>NC_000018.10:57037528-58287528 GCF_000001405.40 Homo sapiens
TACTTTCTTTGGGAAAGTGGAAGTTGATTGACAGCAATTGGCCCTGGTTTTCATTGATTACGCAGTAGCATTTAGTGCTGCTGGCCAGTCCCTGGCACTGCCCGCTCTCCTTGCCTTCATGGGGCCACAACTTTCTGACTTCTCCCGTTTGCTTTTGCAGACACCTCCTCTTCCTCTAGATATTCTTCTCCAGAGAGGCAATCTTTAATAACTTGAGAGTCACTGATACATATAAAACAGACTTCCGAAACTTAAGATTAAAAAAATGGTTTGCCTCCCAGGTGACTTGAACAGAGAAGTATTACAAGACATACTCTCTCCACTTGGCCAGAATCAGCAAAGAGCATCCCCTGACAGGACAGGGGCTGTTCCAGTCTCTATTGTCACATATCGGGTTTACATAGTCTTGGCTCCCCATCCCTGATGATCTCGTTCTGGGAAATATTGGAATATATCAGAACCTACTAGAGCAAACCATAATATGCCACCATACTCACATCCATTAGCCTCAGCTTTGGCCCTGCAGCAGGCTCCAGGCTGTGACACACATCTCAGGTCTCTTTTCTAACAAGTGAAGGGATTGAGGATCCAGATGTGCTTGGAGCCCATGTGAGGCATTTGACATATGTAATTTCACTTAAGTCTCTCAATAATTCTGAATTAGCCCACATTGTATAGGTTAGAAAACTGATACACTGACAGGTTAAGTAACTGGCCTAAGGTCACACAGCTAGTAAAGTGGTAGAGTTGGGATTAAAATCCAAAGTGCTCTTTCCTCTCCATCAATGGACGCTATCATCAAGGCCAGCTTTATAGTAGCGAAAGAGACATGCTTTATTCTCATATTGACCTCAATAAAAAACCAAGGACCTCAAAATTCAATCTTCATTTATTTATTCCACAGTGACTTATTGAATGCCTATTATTTTCCAGGCATTTCTAGCAACGGTGAAATTAATACAGTGCAGGCACTCACATCCTTTATGCATCTCAAAGGCTATCTAGCTAATGCGCTGGATGTTGTGAGGCCCATTATCCATAGTGTACACACGCCCGCAGCCCCTCCTTCTGATGGTTTAACTTGGAGCAATCCTCAATGGTTGTGCATAGCCAGATACACGCACTATGCACACAGGCACTGGGTTCTGGGTCACCTCCCTGGCATCCCAGGCCTCTGTCTGCTTCCTTCAGTGCTTCCTTCTTCAGCCGTCCCTCCCTGGATCCCAGCCACCTGAGCTCCATCCATCCCTGATTTCATTCCTTTTTTTTCCTCTTCCAGCTCTAGTCCACAGCCTTCCTCCCCAGGACATGTGATTCAAGCCTGAAGCATACAATGGGAGCACAAAGGAGGAGGGGACAGAGAAAAGAAATGAGCATCAGCCTTGGGAATGTCTCCTCTGACTGTAGAGTCAGGAGACATTAAGATAAACATTCACTGGAACATATACATTCTGGTAGATTCCGATGAGAATTAAGCCCATTCATTCATCTGGTAAATATCTAGTGAACATCTACCATGCATCAGGCAGAGAACTAGGTGCTGGGATTGTAGTGGGGAAGGCAACAGTTGTGACACCTGCCCTTATGGGCTCACAGTCTAGTGGGCTGGGGTGGGGACTAAGCCAGCCACAAATTGTAACATGAGCAGTGACGGAAACAAGGGCAGCTGAGACCCAATAGCCCAGGGAAGGAGTGGGCAAGGTCAACCCGGGGTCTCTGAAGGAAGATAAGGAGCTGGATGTTGGTGGAGCAGTTGGAAGCGGGAAGAGCTTCTAGAGAAGAAAATAGCACGTGTGAGGTCCCTGAGGCAGAAGGGAGAGTGACAGCAGGTAATGAGCCAGGTGTGGCCACAAGTGAGGCATCTGGACAGTATTGAATCCTGTAGACAATGGTCAAGGGCACTCTTAGGGGACTCAAAAACCATCCAAAAATTGTGAGTTGAAAGGTGTGATTTAATTTAGCTAGAAAACACCACTCAGCTGCAATGTGGAGAATGGGTTGGAGTGGGTTGGGGGAAACGGGGTTTGTTAATTATCTATACAGTAACAATATTAGCACAAACTTCTTAAAACACATTTGCCCGGGTGCAGTGGCTCATGCTTGTAATCCCAGCACCTTGAGAGGCTGAGGCAGGCAGATCACTTGAGGTCAGGAGTTCAAGACTAGCCTGGCCAATATGGTGAGACCCCATCTCTACTAAAAATACAAAAATTAGCTGAGTGTGGTGGTACACACCCATAATCCTACCTACTTGGGAGGCTGAGGCAGGAGAATCACTTGAACCTGGGAGGCGGAGGTTGCAGTGAACGAAGATGGCACCACTGCACTCCAGCCTAGGCGACAGAGTGAGACTCTGTCTCAAAACACACACACACACACGTACACACACACACGCACACACACACTTGCATGCACACATGCGCATGCACACACGCGCATGCACACACACACATATTTATGGCATTACAGCTTCTCGGAACCAGGCATCCAGCCTAGGCTTAGCCAGGAGCCTTGGCCTCAAGATCTCTCACAGGCTGCAATCAAGGTGCTGGCTGGGTCTATGGTCCCATCTGAGGCTTGTGAGGGAGAGAATTTGCTTCAAAGTTCATGTCATTGTTGGCAGAATTCAATTTCTTCTGCTTGTAGGACTGGGGGCCTCACTTTCTCGCTGGCTGTCACTGGAGGCCCTTGCAGGCTGTTGGCTGGAGCCTAGAGGCTTCCTGCAGCTCTCTGCCACTTGGAGTTTCCCAACACAGTCACACTGCAGCGGTGGTGGCATTATGGCTGAATCTTGAAAGATGAATAGGAGTTTCCCAGGGTGGAAGAACATTCAGACAAAGGGGAGACGTGACTGAAGGCATGGAACTGTGAAGGCAGGTGATGTTTTCAGGGAGCAGCAGATGTAGCCAGTCCCTTACCCAGAGCCATGTTCCCCTTTATTCCATGCTTCTAAGCCTGGGCTTGGCTCTGTTCTTTGCACCAATGACCATGTGCTCAGGCTGGAGTTTATCAGCCTTGGAAATGGAAGCTTGATTAATTCAAGCCAGCAAGCTCATGCAGTGCCTAGTGGTATAAGTAAGGCCTTCAGTGCCATTCTGGCCCATGAGGTGGGAGGGGGGTGCTCTTGGGAAAGGTTTTCCTCCCCAGTGAAAAGAGACATTCACGTAGAAGTTTCTATCTGTGGACATAGCTGTGTGAATCTGTGATACCTGGGAACCCACAAGCCATTTTGGGCCTATGTTGGAACCCACCTTGGCTCAAGCCAACTTACTGGGGTAAATCCTCAGTGACATCACTGGGCTTCTAGAGGAGCCAGCCCTGCAGACACCCACCTCTTTCTCCTGTCATATGATATAATCATCTTCCCCACTGGCTGAGCCCCTTGCAGCCAACCCTTGAAAACAGACTGTACAGTGTACAGTGACATGGCATGAAGTGATTCAAACTCATGAGCTGAAGCCAGCATGAAGATCTTTGTAGCCAGTGACACGGAGCTAGGCTGTTTCCTGAGAGGTCTGGAGAGTTCTCAATGATTTTCAGGGCAACAATGATCCCATATCTTGGCTAAACCTGGTGGCAGGATGCATCATAGTTTAGAAAATGGAGATCGTTGTGACAGGGAGGCCAGGGATGGCTGCACATCTAGAGATTCTGAGAACTCAAACTATTGCAGGTGTGATGGACACCAAAAGGAAGGGCCAAGGGACATGTAAGAGGCAGGAGTTAGAGGAGTTGGTGAGTGAAATGTCAGGAAGGAGGCAGAAGCCCAGGGTTCCCCAGTGCGAGAGATGGGGGACCAATGGCATTTGCCAGTCCAGAATACTCACATTCTTGGAAAACATCATCCATGTTCACACCTTGATTCCTTCACTGCTACTGTTCCCTTCGCAGGTAGGATCCTTCCACAGAAAATTCCCATTCACATAATCCCACATTATAGCATTGCTGCCGTGGGGAAGTCAGATTCCATTTACACTATTCAGACTTGCAGTCCCTCAGTCAGGAACACCAGCTCCAGGAGTGAGACGCACCTCTACGAACTGTATTTACGTTAACCCTCAGAACACCATCCCACATGACAAGCCACAGGGTGAGTAGAAGGCTGAATTACTTCAAATGTATTGGTTAATAACTTAGTCAAAAAATACAAAGCTGCAGTGTCTGTCACATTGGATCTATTTCTTGAAGACAAAGGCTAAGCTTCATTGCCGGCTCAGAAATGCACTGGAAACAATTCTTGTTGTTTCACTTCCTGGGGCTTATATTTCTTGCTGTTTGTAAAATATGGTATTAGATAACAAAGAAGAGTCTGGGTAGAAAAGGGTAGAGTCTACATTCCTCATGTTGAAAACCTGCTTAGGGTGATTTTCCCCTTACTGAACTCCTAAAATTACCAAAAAAAAATGTATTCAATTATTATATTTTGAATTTCATCAAGAAAAAATGTGTGGAAATTTGTTTTCTCTCTGTGCAATATTCTCAATTTTGCCTCTTAGCCCACAAAGCCTAAAATATTTACTATCTGGCCCTTCAGCAGACAAGGTGGCTGTCTTAGTCCATTTTGGCTGCTATAGCAAACTGCCATAAGCTGGGTGGCTTATAAACAACAGAACTTTATTCCTTACAGTTGTGGAAGCTGGGGAGTCCAAGATCAAGGCATGGGCAGGTTCAGTGTCTGGTGAGGGCCCAGTTCCTGGTCACAGAATGCATCTTCCTGCTGTGGCCTCACATGGTGGAAGGGGTGAGGGAGCTCTCTGGGGCCTCTTTTATGAGGGCACTAATCTCATTTACTAGGGCTCTGCCCTCATGGCCTAATCAACTCCCAATGTTCCCATCTCCCAATACTGTTGCTTTGGTGATTAGGTTTTAATGTATGTATTTTGAGGGGACACAAACTTTCAGTCCACACTGGTGACTGACTCCTGAGCTACAGCCATACCATTCAAAGTGTGGTCTGGCACTTCTCAAAAAAAGACATTTCTGTGGCCAACAAACACATGAAAAAAAGTTCATGATCACTTAGAGAAATGAAAATCAAAACCACAATGAGATACCATCTCATGCCAGTTAGAATGGCGATCATTAAAAAGTCACGAAACAACAGATGCTGGAGAGGATGTGGAGAAATAGGAACACTTTTACACTGTTGGTGGGACTGTAAACTAGTTCAACCATTGTGGAAGGCAGTGTGGTGATTCCTCAAAGATCTAGAACCAGAAATACCATTTGACCCAGCAATCCCATTACTGGGTATATACCCAAAGGATTATAAATCATTCTACCATAAAGACACATGCACATGTATGTTTATTGCAGCATGGTTCACAATAGCAAAGACTTGGAACCAACCCAAATGTCCAGCAATGATAGACTGGATAAAGAAAATGTGGCACATATACACCATGGAATACTATGCAGACATAAAAAAGGATGAGTTCATGTCCTTTGCAGGAACAGGGATGAAGTTGGAAACCATCATTCTCAGCAAACTAACACAGGAACAGAAAAACAAACACCACATGTTCTCACTCATAAGTGGGAGTTGAACAATGAGAACACATGGACACAGGGAGGGGAACATCACACCCCAGGGCCTGTCGGGGGTGGAGGGCAAGGGGAGGGATAGCATTAGGAGAAATACTTAATGTAGATGACGGGCTGATGGGTGCAGCAAACCACCATGGCACAGGTATTCCTATACCTATGTAACAAACCTGCACGTTCTGTACATGTATCCCAGAACTTAAGGTATAATTAAAACAAAAACAAAAACAAAAACTAAAAAGCAAAGTGTGGTCTGGGCACCAGCCGCATCCATATCCCCTGGGAGCTATTTAGAAATGTAAAACCTTAGGTCACACCCAGACCTCCTGGGTCACAACTGCATTTTGGCAAGCTTCCTGGATGATTCGTGTGCACCTACAGTTTAAGAAACACTTCACAGGAGTCCATGTGGAACCTCACAGGTGCTGTTGATAGTTTCATTAGGCACCAGGCTGGGACTGGCTCTGGGCACCACCATTCACTGTGTCCCAAGGTGGAAGCCCAGGCCTCTTGCACAGGGGTGCACTAAGGTATGCTGCTCCCCATCAAAAGATTGGCCCAAGCCCAGATCCTAAAGCCAATCTCTCTGGGGCATCTGTTTTCCCATCTGTATGACGGAGGGGTTGGAAAGGCTGATGTCAGAAGACCAGTATGGCTTTATCATGTGTTTGGTTTTTGTTTGAGGGGGATTGATAGGATGATTTCTGTCCATGTTCATGTTCATGTTCCAGAAACATGGTAGGTTGAGATGAAAAGGGCATGACAAGAACCACAGCAGCTTCCAGATGAGGCTAGTGTATGGAGATGTGAGATTCGGGATGTTTCATTTTACATAGATCATATTCTGTAAGGTTATTCTTCTAGTTCTATGTTTCTTTGCATCATAGGAAAAAGGAATCGGATCCAGGGAAAACGCTGTACCACTGGGGCCCGGGTGCCTTAAGTGGTTTTCTGATCAACTCCATAGAATCAGAATGTCAGGACTACAAGTCATCCGTGTCCCTGCAAAGGACATCTCATCTTCATTGATCATCCATGGTGCTGAGCATTTAAGAGGCACCAGGGATGTAACTTTGAATCAGAAGAGACCTGGTTCCTGCCCTTGTGGAGCTTACATTCCCGTGGGTGAGACAGATAAAGAGCAGTAGTTATAAGCAAAAGGGGGAAAGGAAGATGCGGGGGTAGGGAGTGGTTTGCAAGAGGAGTCAGGTCACACAGGGTTGGTGTGGGATGGGGCATTAACAGGAAGAGAACACTATGAGATTTGTGTTTCGAAGAAACCATTGGCTGATGTGCGAGATTGGAGAGGAGTAAGAGAAGGCATGAGGAGACCAATTAGGAGACTACTACAGCTTCCCCAGAGGGAGATGACGAAGGGAGGGCAACTGCTTCCATTGCAGGGAGCGAGACCCAGCCCCAAAGAAAGCAACCAAGGATGAAACTGAGAACTGGGGTAGAAGGTACTGACACCAAAGTCCCAACCAAAATAGTTAAAACCGGTCATCCCTGGCAATAGTACTGCAGCCAATGGAGACACTGTTACTGAAGGACTGTGTGGCCTTGGGCAGGTTACTCCACCTCGCTGGGCCTTCTGTTCTTTCCTTGAAAATCAGAGGTTCAACCAGATAATTACTGTATGTGGTGACCAGATAGTTTCTTGTCCTAACTGGGACACTTTTGAGGGCGAAAGATGGAACAATTAATAATTACCCCAGGACAACAGACATAAACCTAGCCAATCCTGGGAAAACTGGGATGAAAATCCCTGACAATCAGAGCTCAGAACCCAAATGAGCTCCCTCCAAGTTCAACACTCTGTTTCTCAACAATTCTTTTATAGATTGGGAGCTGAAGTCAACTCATTTGTAACCAGAATTAAATAGATTCAAAGTTCCTGCTGAACTGAACTCCTGGCTAAGAACCCTGCAAGCATCCTTTCTACTCCCCAGTGCATTGAAAACCCTATTTGTGGTGAAAAGAGGCCCTGTTTTAGCCTCGAGAAGGGTGGAATTGCTGGTGAATGCAAGGACTGGCAAGGGGGTCAGCCTATCTCTGATATGGATGATGCTGTGCATGCACCTGTGGGGTCATGGGTGGAGGGAAGGCAGATGGAATCAGAATGCCCCCAGAGCGGGACTGTTGACTATGTCCTGGTTAGACCCAAGTCTCTCAAAAAGTCATCTTCTTCTTTTATGAAGACATGTAGCATAGCCAGTTCATTCTAGTTGGAAAGGCAACTAGGATTTGGAAATAGGAAATTCAGATTCAAGTCTCAGGTCTGCATGCTACTTCCCTGCTGGTGACCTGGACAAATCACTTTCCTTACTTAATCTCCCATTTTCTCAGTAAATATAGATAATGCCACCCTCTTGAGACGTTGTAATTAGGATAAAATCAAATCAGTAATATGAAAGTGTTCAGATAATAGAGAAAGTTTTTAAATAAACTCTTTACTTTGAAATAATTTCAGACTTACAAACAAGTTGAAGAAAGAGTTCCCATGTGCCCTTACTCAGCATCCCAAACGGTAACATGTGACATAATCATAGTTCAAGAATCAAAACTGGTGAATTAACATTGACCAATACTGTTAAACTAAGCTACAGACCTTAAATGTTACCAAATGTGTCAGCAAATGTTCGTTTTCTGGTCCAGGATCCAATCCAAGACCCCACAGTTTCTTTGATTCTGATACCAATTGAGACTCTTCTCATCTCTGACAGGTCCTCAGTCTTCCTTTGTCTTTCATGACCTTGACACTTTTGAAGAGTACAGGTTAGTTATTTTGCAGACAGTCCCAATTCAGGATTGCCTGATGTTTCTTCATGATTAGATTCAGATTGTGCTTTTTTTTTTGCCAGGAGACCACAGCAGTGACATTGTGTCCTTCTCAGTGCAGTGTATCAAGAGGAACATGATGGTCATTCCTGGCAATGTCCACTTTTATCACATGATTAAGGTAGTATCTGTCAGTTTTCTCAACTATAAAATATGTAAACTATGATTTTTTTCCTTTATAATTAATATGTGTCTTATGAGGAAATGCTTTGAGATTATGCAGAGACACTGTTCCCCATCATACATTTTTGCAGTAATTTTGGCAGCCATTGATGATTCCTGCCAGTAATAATCATAGTGGTGGTTGTTATGCAAATGGTGAAGCCGTTTTAATTATTGCTTTTCTTACTTTTAAGGTCTGGGGCAGGGATGGCAAGTTCCAACCACTTGGTGGTGGCCTTCTGGAACTCTATGTGAGAACGATTGTGAGGTCAAGTTCTCTTAACAGGGGAAGGATTGTGAGGTCAAGTTTTCACAACCTGGTGAGGGGAGGTGGGAAGGGAGCAGACAGGTGCCATATTGGCAATTCTAGGATGGTCCCTTCCCCTTTGGAGAGATAGATCTTGCCTGTTGGGCCTTCAGGCCAACACACACTAGCCTCGCTAGAAGGAATACTGCCTGTGTACCTCCTTCTTTCCTCCTTTGGGCCTACTTTGTTCTTCTGAATGGCTGAAACTCCAAGGCACCATGGTCTGCACAGATGGTAACTATGGTGCCAGGTGTTCCACAAGGAAGGGCAGCTTGTGCTAGGCTCTGGATTAGCAGGGCTGGGGCTACATTCACTTCCTCCCCAAGAGGCCCTATCTTTCTATACCAGTATGTAGTTTCTCTGATGAGATCAGCATGGAAGCCAGTTGCTTGGTGTGGTCCAGGAAGGCTTCTGAGAGGAGGCTGCTGCTGGACCTTGAAGGTTGGGGAGAAGATCACTGATGGGATTTGGGAGCATGCAGAACAGCGTTATTGCTTCACCCTGGCATGCCCTTTCCTTCATGGACTGGATTCTCCTTTTATCTGGATTCCCCCATTATATTTCCTATTGCAGCCATAATAAGTTTCTCCAACTTAATGCCTTAGAACAACACAAATTTATTATTTTACAGTTCTGGAGGTGGGAAGTCCAAAATCATCGTCACTGGGTTAGGTCTCAATGTCGGCAGGGCTGGCTGAGGCTCTCGGGAGGATTATCTTTCCTTGCCTTTTTCCAGCTTCTAGAAGCCACCTTCAACACCTACCATCAGATCTAAATTCCAGACAGCAAGAAGATGTGAAAACGCTCTTTCCTTCCTTTAAAGGCAAAACTCAAGACACACATCAAAACATCAAAACTCAAGGCACACATCCAAACTCATGGCACACATTAAGTCTGCTCACATCTTGATAGTCACATGGCTACACTCAGCTGCAAGAAACCCTGGGAAGTATAGTCTTTGGCTTGGCCACTTGTCTAGCTCAAAAATTACTACAGAGGAATAAGGGGAGACAGATAGTGGTCTCCTCTTCTTCAAGAGAGGTAAGAGGGCACAATGCTGCCTTTTGTCTGATGTGATGGTTAAGAAGGAACAGACCAATGTGAGGTGTGAGTTATGTGCTGTGACTTGGACTCATTCAACAGCAAGACCCAAGGTTTACTCTGATGGGACAGATGGGCAGAATCAGTGACCACATCCCCTGTCATGAACCTGCTGCAGCCAGTGTGATACCTGTCCAGCACAGAGATTGGCCCAGGGGAAAGAGCGTGGGCTTTAGAGCCAGATTAAATTGGGCTTGTATTTGGGTTCTCCACTTGATAGATGTGTGAACCTCTTTGGGTCTCAGTTTCTGAATAAATAAAGTGGAAATGACAAAACTGACCTTGGGCTTTTGGGCATATTCAATGAAACAATGTAAACAATCTAGCCTGGAACCTGGCACACAGTAGGTGCTCAAACAATGTAGCTAGCTGTAGTGTCCACCCACACATCTACACAATTGGCAGCACTATCTCAAATCTTATAGACAAACACATGCGATTCCTCCTCATATTGCAAGGTCCCTTCAGAGCAGAAGGCCTTTGAGAAATGGTAGAATGATTTGTTGCTATCTGTTACCCTGCTATAATTTTCGTGTTTGGAAATTCATTAAGAATTCATTTCGATGAATCCCAAATGCATGCACCATGAAAAACAATTAGCATTAATAGTGTAAAAGAAGGAGATCAATAAATAGATTCATTTTTAAACTGTAATAATTTATTTGCTTCCTAACTTTTGGGAAATACTGCATCTTCTGGTGACACGTCAACCATTAAATAGCCGAACAGCGATGATTTGTGGAAGGACGTTGATAACCAGTAGGCAGACCCTGCTCTCGAGTGCACAACCCCAGCAACCAGTCAGCAACAGTGGACAGAAAGGGAAGCAGCCCTTTTCAGGAGACAATGCAACTCAACAAAGTGCTTATCAGGCCTTCCTCATCCTTAAGCACTGTCCGAATGCAACACAGCAGATGGGAAAAGTAACGAGACCACTGAACCAAAGATGGGGAGAAGAAAGGTGGCATTCCTCAGACAGTGAACAGGGAGAGGAGAAAGAGGTTTCAAGATGAGCTGCAAGGCTCTGAGATTCACTTCACATGGCTCCCTGCCTATGCTGATGCAGGAAGGCCCGGGAAAGAATGTCTGGATGAAGAAGCAGCAGGTGATTCCCGACTGAGGAGGGAGGAAAAAGCCAAATGAAATGAGGGAGCTGTAGTCAAGGAGGGGAGGAAGCCGAGGACGGCAAGGCCTCTCAATCATCGCTTACCAGGGACAGAGGGATGGCTGCCATTATCCCTTCTCACCACGACAAATGAAAGACGATGATACCTAAGAAACTGCCGCAGCCACACAGAGCGGCAGGAGGCGAGGGTTTGCCTGGTGAAAGCCAAACGGCAGCCCTGCTCTTTTGCAGCCTCCTATGGGACATCATGGCGAGCAGTGACGGATGGAGAAAATGCAGCATCCCTGCCGGGCAGGACAGCAGCCTCAGGCCAGGGCTCTGGAGGATGGACAGGCAGACCCCACGGCCCAGGATCCAGGAAGGCCCTCTGCCAGGCTGTGGCTCCAGGAAGGCCCTCTGCCAGGCTGTGGCTGAGAGTGGCCTGGCCTGGGGCATGGCTGCAGATGCCGCCCCACCCGCCAGCCGCAGGGCTGGGGGCCGGCACAGATTACATTTTAAGGTGATAGTCATCTTTGACCTTTGGGACCTCCAGGGCCACTGGTCATCCATCTTAGAGCCGCTGACCAGCAACCTCTGGGCTATTTTTATGGCCGGCAAACATTGCCCATTGATTGAATTGATTGAAATCTGCATCTGGTTCTTGGGGAAAGGACACTGGCCTCACAGCCGCAATATGCAGCTTCGTTTTCTGTTGTTGTCTTTGACTCTTTCCTTTCCATTTGTCTTCCCACCCCCAGCATGAAATGAGTTTGGAGACAGGGCGCACACACCAAGACACACACGGCCTGAATACACACACACACTAAACACACACGTCCCGCATTCTTTTCCAGCAGATTTCTTACTGTGGCGCTCATTTTTCTGTCAGAATTTCAAGGGTTCCTCAAAGGAATTCCGCTGAGAAAAGCAGAGGTATGTTCAATCCAAGGGGAGTCCACACACACACACACACACACACACACACACACACACACACACCTGTTTAAAAATACACAAGAGCCTGAACTATAAAACCAAACCACAACCATATATGGAATTTTAAAATCTGGTGATTTTGCAATTTGTCAACTTCTAAGCTGAATAGCAGTTTCTATAATTCCCTTTCCGGCTTCGTGCAGGTGAAATTTGTGCAAGATGGGTGAAGCGGATGGGAAACTCAGCCATTCGGATCCTGGATGGTCCCTGCAGGCACTCCTGTAGCTCATGCCTGGCTAAAGCACTTCAAGAAGCCCCTGACCCCCAACTCCACCCATATCATTTCTCCTCCCCAACCTATTTGCAAGTCCCCCATCTCCCCTACCTCCCCTGCCTCTCCCTACCTCCCTTGAGTTAGATTTGTATGGGTATATGATCATGATGATGAATATTATTATTATTATTATTTTGAGACAGGGTCTTCCTCTGTTGCCCAGGCTGAGGTGCTGTGGTATGATCTCGGCTCACTGCAACCTCCACCTCCTGGGCTCGGGTGATCTTCCTGCCTCAGCCTCCCAAGTAGCTGGGACTATAGGGTCGCACCACCACACCTGGGTAATTTTTTGTATTGTTTTGTAGAGACGGGGTGGGGGGTGTCTCTTCATGCTGCCTGGGCTGGTCTCGAATTCCTGGGCTTAAGCGATCCGCCTGCCTCAGCCTCCCAAAATGCTGGGATTACAGGCTTGAGCCACTGCCCGGCTAGTATGGGTATATTATTAATATATGTTCCCCACCTCCTCTCAGTTCCCCAAGCACACCCCTACCTTCCCCAGTCTCCCATCTCCCAGAAGACTCCTTCCTTCAGCTGCTCCAAACTGTGGCCAGGTGTGAGCCAGCATAGTTCCAGGGCAGAAGCGTGCCTCCTCCTGCAGGCAGGCCTCCTGGGTAGCCAGGTTGGAGCCTGGAGACAGAGAGGCCAAGGCAGGTTCCACCTTGTCCACTGGGGGTTCCCATTGTCCCTGCTCTCCCCTGTCACTCCTGTCTTTCAGTTGCAACGCTGGCCCTGGGACTTCAGGCACATGACCCCACTCAGAAGAAACAAGACTGTGTGCCCAGCTCCCACAGCAGTCAAATCCCTGCAGTGGGCTGCTCATTCTACATCACTCCTAGTGGTTCTGCTTCCTTAAACCCCAGCCAAACAATGTGTCATAAAGGTGAGACGTGGAAACAGGGAAGTTATTGCCATGATTGCATTTTACATTTCAGACGTGGCCTCGCTGACCTCACTGGCATCTGGGCTGGGGTACAAAGGTCCCAGCTTGGCCAGGCTGATGTCTGCAAACCCCAGCCCTGACTGGCAGATGGGCCATGCCTCTGACCATCTCTCCTGCCCACTGGACCACTTTAACGTACTCTTTCCATCTCAAGCACAGGAACAATTCCCTTCTGGAATGTTCCTCCTTCTGAGGCTTTGAGAAGGCTCACTCTGGGGAGCGGATGGGGTGAGTCCTGGGAGTGAGTGGCACCTCTTTCCTCACTTAGAGCCTAGGTGGGGGTGAGGAGGGTGAGAAAAGGAAGGGGCCAGAAGAGGGTGAGGAGAGGAGCCCCAGGCCTTGGGGAGAAGCCCAGCAAGTGTGCAACGCCCTGCAAAGCATTTCCTCTCTCTCCCTCCCTCCTCTCTATCCCCTGACTTTATGGCTGCTACACTGGGAGAAGCTGGGTTGGCCTCCTCTGCATCTGCATTCCCGTGGGAACCAGCTGCACTACTTCCAGAAACGCCCTGCCCCAGTGGGTCCTTGGTGCTGGGCCCACCTTCCAGTAGGTTTCAAGAACTGTGTGCCCATAAATAAATCCTCCAAAGAGATGCCAATCAGCAGGTACCACCAAATTGTCCCTGGAAGTGACTTTTCTGTAGGAATCCATTATTTCTGAATTGAATGGAGGGAATCTCTGATCTCCTTCCCCTGCCTTCTGTCCCAGCTCATCCCTCCAAGGAAAGGGAGGGCCCCTCCTGGCCCCAGCCTGCCAGGGAAGGGGGTGTTGTGAACTTAGCTGGGTGTGGCCTGGAAAGCCCTTTAATGGATCCAGTTTTGTGGGGTGGGTGGGAGGCTCCAAGCACCCCCAGAGCAGGGGCCAGGGTGGTGGCAGCAGGGCGAGCCACTGTGGCTGTCACACAAGATAACTGGAGACCTACCCAGATTGGACAGAAGCCAGGCGAGCCATTGTGGCTGTCACACAAGATAACTGGAGACCCGCCCCAGTCTGGCCAGACTTCCAGTTTAAGCCTGATTTAATGACAAGCTGAGTGCAGACTCCTGAACCTCAGCACCTGCAAAAAACCAAAACCAACCAAACAAAAAACAACCAAGAAAAGAATTTCAAGGGGATTTCCTTAGTGGGAAATGAGGCACTGGGCAGGGCCCTGGGGACAGCAGCAAGTAAGGAGCCCTCAGATCTGTGGGGATTTGGGGTAAGGTGCTTCTCAAGCTGTTTCAGACCCAGGCCTCCTCCTGTTCGCACTGAGCCTAGTCTGCTGGCCCCAAGGTGACCAGGAGGTTCAGGGGCAAAGCTATGATTACTTAGAGCAGGACAGATGCTGGTTTAGGTCCCAGTTCTACCTGGTTCTAGTTATGGGACCTTTAGCATTCATTACTTTTTACCCTTAATTTTCTCTTCTGTAAAGTGAAGAACGTATTTATCTCACACTACTTCTATGAAACAGCCAATCTACTGTGTTAAATAACATAAATCCCCGCCCTGCCTCTATTCTCAGCCACAAGAACTGTTTGGCATTTGGGGTGGATCACTCTTTGCTGTGCATTTTGTGGGAGGCTTAGCTGCATCCCCAACCTCTACCCACTAGATGCCAGTAGCACCCCCAGTTGTAACAACCAAAAATGTTTCCAGACATTGCCAAGCGTCCCCTGGAGAAGTGCCCACATTGAGAACCCCTGATTTGTAGAGATGAGGCCCAGTAATTCTCTGTGGGTTGGCATGGGTTGGGGGTTGGGGGGTCGGGGGCAGAAGGCACTGCCTTCAAGGATTTGTCCTTCCCTTATAAGCTTCCAGACCATGGCCAAGCCCTTGGGCTTCTTGGGTCCTATTCCCTCATCTGTAAGTTGGTAGAACAATATACTCAACAACAGGCGATAGAATCATGGGTGATTGTGATGTGACAGTGCTATTTAATTGAAGGCACCGTCATCATCTGGAATGGTGGGTCCCTGAGAACAGGGATTCTGTCTCTCCGGTTCACTGCCAGTCCTGAGACACAACCAGGATGGATGGAGGGAAATGGACGCTGAAGGAGGAGGTGAATATTCAATGTGCTGCCTCTGTGCCTGGTGAGCTGGGCTGGGCCCCATGACTCCTTCAGCTTTAAAAGTCAATAAAATTGATTCATCCATCACCCTTTGACCCCTGCAGCAGGGCTGTCACCCAGAGGATGGTCTCAAACTGGAGTGCGCCCAGATCCACTGGAGGTGTGTCAGAAACCCGGCTTCCTAGCCATGCACACTCCAGCCATACTGCTCCAGGGTCCCATTCGGTGGGCCTGGGAGGCCCAGGATTCTGCATTTGAACCCCTTGCAATCTGACTCAGCTGCTCTGTCACCCTCCATGTCCTGGCAGCATCTGAAAGGGTCTGGGACAGGACACCCAGCAGGATGGGCAGCCCTCCCCAGCTGGTTCAGGCCCAGCCATCCCCACTTCTCTCAGTGTGGAAACTGCTCGAATCCCCCAACTCCACCTGGTAGGCACTCTGATGTCCCACACCCACAGATTGGTGCCAGGGCCAACCCTATTTGCTATGGGGCTTTCCTGGTGCCCAGAATTTGCTTTCTGGATTGTTTTAATTGTTGCCTTGGTTTTGACAAACAGCTGACGGGCAGAGTTGTTCAGGAGTAAGTGCTCTGCTTTGGAGACAGCAAGGAGAGGACGCTGAGTCCGAGCCTGTTGGGTCTTGGTGGCCCCGCAGACTCTGCCGTGACTGCCCTGACCATCTTTGCAAATCAGGCTTTATTAGCACAGAAACTTGGACTAGTGGGTCCTCTGCAAATTCTGGTTTTAAATAAACCACATTCTGGAAACTTGTAAGCAATATCTAAACTTCCCACAAAGCCCCGATTGTAAGTAAAATCATCACTCTTTAAACCTGCTGAGAAGCAACCTCTGCCACATTCTGAAGCACCCCAGAAAGGCCCTGGAGCCTCTCCCAAGCCTCCTTAGTTCGGCTTCTTTGGCAGGAACCCCTCAAGCTCCAGGAATACACAGAGCTGATGATGCTGATTTAAGAATCCTACTTTTTTTTGTTTTGTTATTCAAAAGCCCTTATTGAACTAACCAGGGTTCTTAATAGCTTCATTTGCAACAGTTTTATCCCAAGACTTACTTAGGGTTCAAGAACAACCAGCTGTGGCCCCACCCCAAAAGGCAGCTGCAAAGAACCCCCTCTGCACCCTGTCACAGTAAATCCAGGCTGCTCTCTGTCTGTGCAGGAGATGAGGGGGTGGGTGGGAACTTCATGAAGAATCAGATGGGGAAAACCTGGCTCCATGCAGAAAGATTTGAGCCCACTGAGGGTTGGAATACAGGTTTTATAACCTCTATTTTCCAGGCACCATCTTGTTCCCCCAAAGGGGCTTTCTCCTTAAACTTTTTCCCCTGACCCCTGGCAACTGCCATTCTACTTTCTATTTCTATGAATGTGACTACTCTATGTACCTCACATAAGTGGAATCCTATGGTATTTGCTCTTTAGTGAGACTGGTTTATTCCACTTAGCATAAAGTCCTCAGGGTTCATCCATGTTGTACCATGTGTCAGGATTTCCTTCCTTTAAAAGGCTGAATAATATTTAATTCTGTGTATGTGCCACATTTTGTTTATCTACTCATTCACAATGGACACTGGGGCTACTTTCTCCTTTTGCCAGGGTGAATCATGCTGCTATGAACATGGGTGTACGGATCTCTCTTTGAGACCCTGTTTTTAATTCGTTTGGGTATGTTATCCAGAAATAGAATTGCTAGAACATATGCTGTTTCTACATTTTATTTTTTGAGGAACTGTCATACCGTTTCCCGTAACAGCTGCACCATTTTACATTCCCACTAACAGTGCACAAAAATTTTAATTTCTCTGCATCCTCCCCAAGACTTACTTTGTTTGTTTGTTTGTTTACTATTTTTATAGCAGTCTTCCTAATCAATATAAGGTGGTATCTCATTATAGTTTTGATTTGCATTTCTCTTACAATTAGCGATGTTGAGCATTTTTTCATATGCTTTTTGATCATTTGTATATCTTCTTTTGAGAAATGTTTATTCAAGTTTTTTGTCCATTTTTTAATTGGATTGTTACCTTTTGGTTGTATCCACATTTTCTGTGTTCACGCAAGTCATTGATAAAATGTAGGACTGGCCCTACATTTTATGGTGGGGCCTGAGGGTAGGCTCCTGTGGCACACTGCTCAAAACCTCACTCCCATGTGCATGGTGTTCACATGAATCATTCAGCAGCTCATGCCCTAACGGGGCTCAGGCCCCACTCTACTGTTCCATCATCAACTCAGTGGGGAAGACTCCAGACTGCCCAGCACTCTGATTCATGCCAACTCTCAGGCTTCCTCTCCTCTTGACAATGTTTGGTTTTCCCTATTCAGGATATAGGAGATAAGGAGTTCGACTTCCCCTGTGTCTTTAACCTCAAAGCAAGAGCATGATTCAAATCTAGGGACTTCTGCAAAATGATCTGGGTAACCTTGAGAAAAAGAGTTCGTCCTTCTAAGCCTCTGTTGCTTTATTTATAAGATGGGGATAACCATCATGGTTCCCCCTCCATAGGATGATTGGGAGAATAGGGTGACTTTAGGGAACTGAACAATGGGTTTCTCACCTGCTACACAGTAAGGCCATCAATCAACAGTAACTCCTGACATTAAGTGTTCTTTCTCCAACATTTCTAAAAGAGACTTTTGCTGTCTTGAGTATTTTCTCATTTATCCTGAAGTCTCTTCTTTGGGGCTTTTTCTTTTCCACCATGAATGTTCCAAGTCTGTGACGCCTGACCTGTTGACCCACCTTTCCACACACCTGTCCAGATCTGAGCCCATTACAGAGTGGTCTGCATAGCTGGAGTGTTGCAGGTGCTTTCTTTTACTTCCTCATGGAGAGTTTCTGTGATTGTAGTCATAGTGCCATCTTTAAAAAGCTTCCCAACTCTCCTGTCTGTATCTCATGTCATGGCAGGAAGCCAGTGTTTTCTCTGACTCTTTTAAAAGGATTCTGTCTTCTGGAAGCTAAGTGCACATGTCCAACTCTGCCCAAAACTTTCCAGTCATAGAATTTAAAGTGAAAAGAGTCACATTCCCACATGCCCTGGGACTTTCACTCTGTCAGCCCTTTCCTCCTTGTTGGGCAGAACTGGTTCAAGAAAAGACAGGAGTCAGGAGAAGGTGCTGGGAACGTCAGCTGGATCCAGATGGGAGAGAAACCTCCTAGGCCATGAGGAGTCATTGAAGGTTCTAAGCAGAGTGGCGATGTGTTTGGAACAGAGCCTTGGGAAGAGTTCTCTTTCGAGGTTATCAGGGTGTGCAAGGGAGGTGATGAAGGAAGAGAAGATTGGAGTGGAAGTGGACAGGCTATGGCAGCTGGTTTGAGGTGGCTGGTGAGAGATCCAGGAGAGTACAACCCTGAGACCTGCTGATCCCATTCCTGAGACCTGGAAGAACTGAAATGCCATCAATAGAGATGTTTGCTGGGGTATCAAGCTAGATGTGGTAATGCTGTGTGCAGAAGGAGAGGGCGATGGGGAACATGGTGCTTTTCCTTTGTGTGACAATTTTGCTATGAGACAAATTTCACATAACACATAACCTACCATTTTGGGCTTTTGGCTGGGTGCAGTGGCTCATGCTTGTAATCCTAGCACTTTGGGAGGCTGAGCTGGGCGGATCACTTGAGCCCAGGAGTTCGAGACCAGCCTGGGAAACATGGCAAAACCCCCTCTCTACAAAATAATAATAATAATAATAATAACAAAAATTAGCCAGGCATGCTGGCACTCACCTGTAGTCTCAGCTGCTTGAGAGGCTGAGGCAGGAGGATCACCTGAGCCCATGAGGTTGAGGCTGCAGTGTGCCATGATTGTACCACTGCACTCCAGCCTAGATGACAGAGTGAGACCCAGTCTCAAAAACAAAAACAAAAAACAAAAATTCCCACCATTTTAAAGTGCACAATTCAGTGGTTTTCACTATATTTACAATGTTGTACAACCATCACCATTATCTAGTTCCAGAATATATTCGTCAGCCCCCAAAAAAAGCTGTACTTGTTAGCAGACACTCCCAATTCCCCCTGCCACTGATACCCCTGTCCTCAGCCCCTTGGAAACCACTAATCTACTGTCCATCTCTACAGAGTTGCCTAGTCCAGACACTTCATATAAATGGAGCCCAGTTAGCATCATGTCTGCAAGGTTCATGTATGCTGTAGCATGTATCAGAACTCCCTTCCTTTTTATGACTGAATAATATTCCATAGTATGGATAGACAACATTTTATCTCTTTATCGGTTGATGGACATTTAGGTTATTTCTACTGCTATCTAATAGGAATAGTGCTGCTGTGAACACTTGTGTCCAAGTTTCTCTGTGGGACCATGTTTTCAACTCTCTTGGGTGTATACCTAGGAGCAAAGTTGCAGGGTCATATGGGAACCCTATGTTTAACTTTTTGAGAAACTGCCAGACCAAACTGTTTTCCAAAGGGGCTGCACCATTTCACATTCCCACCAGTGGTGCATGAGTATTCTGCTTTACCCACATTCTCATTTACACTTATTTTTTTTCTTTTTAAAAAAGTTATAACCATTCAACTGGGTGGGAACTGGCATCTTATTGTGTTTTTGATTTGCATTTCCCTCTTGGCTAATGCTGTTGAGTGTGCAGCTGAAGTTTAGTGAGCACACTACTCACCTATAACTCATAAGTGGAGCAGGTATGAGATTGAGTCCACAACTTCAGATATTCAAGCAATGAACTTTATGTTTCTTCAACATTGCCAGTTTCCATGTTGAACCTTCATTCTGCCACAGTTATGTAACAGGAGCCCAAAGTAACAGTGCCTTAAACTGGGAAAGTTAGATTTCCTCCTTCCATAAGAGTGCAGAGGCAGGTGGTCCCTGTGTCCAGTGGCTGTGCTAGATGGGCCAGCGCAGGCTCTTTCTCTCCTGTGGTTTCATTGTCCTGGGGTGTTCACCTCCTCTGCATCATCCAAGATGTCTCTCATCACATCCATACTCTGAACAGCAGGATGGAAAATGTCCCCTCCCTTTAAGGGGGCAACCCTGAAGTCACACACATTATTTCTTACTTAGCGACAATGCCATCAAGTCCTCTTTTTCTTCAAAGGAAGCTGGAAGTTGTAGTCTTCATGAGCGATGGCCATGCACCAGGTAGAAATCTGTAGTTGTGTTTCTGATAAGAAGAGAACAGATACTGAGGGACAGATCGCAGTCTTGGTCACACTAGGTCTGTTAAATGACATCATTCCCATCATTTGAGTTGGCACAAGGTGGTGGAAACCACAGGGGGAAGACCCACCCTGACACTCTGACGATATTTTTGGGCTGGAAGAGGAAGAAGAATCAGAAATGCCCCAGGCGTGCCCCAAGCACACACTCCATTGAAGGCTGCCCACAAATCTCCATGGCCCTGCACCACCGTCTGCCACCCCATTTTCCCAGTCTGTTCTGTGTGTGGTCTCCTGCCACCCCGTCTCCTTTACCGCCCATCCAGGTCCCAGTCACCGTGTCCTCTGAAGTCCTGGCGACCACTCCCTTGCCTTCCTGTGCACATCTTTTTGGAGCCTTCTGAGGGTGAGGAGGGATGTAGCATCCTTCCACAAGTGAAGCCCTTGACACCCATGGTCTCACTGAATTCTCTAGCATCCCCTGAGGCGGGGCCAGCTGTCCTCATTTTATATGAGAGGACTTGAAAGCTCAGAGCTGCTAAGTACCCAGGACCCCCCTCCACCCTGCCAGAGACGAAGGTGCCAGAATCATGCCCCGGGGGAGCTGGTCCACTCCACTTTAACCCACAGCTGACTCTTTTCTGCCCCAAACCCCAAATCTGTACTTCCAACCCCCACTAACCTGGCACCTAGCATAGCACTCTTCTGTCCAAGGGATTGAAGTTGAGTCTCAGGTAAACCGAATCTGTTTTCTTCTACTCCCAAGATGGAAGAGGAAAAGGGAAAAAAAAGTGGAGAACATGCTTATGAAATCCTCAACTCCCCTTGTTTACTCTGTAAATAGCACAATATGTTTAGATTTTTCCACATCTAGAGGATTTCAAAATCTACCTGGGAGGGAGGGCTGGGGCATCAACTGGTATGCACTGTGCTTTTTAAATTTAAAAAATGCTATGCAAAGAAAAGCACTGCCTTTGGGCCAGGTCACAGCTGCTTCCTTGTCCCAGCGCCTGCTCTCCTGGGTCATCTGGTGGAACTGTCTTTAGCTAGCAGGGTGAGAGGCACCAGAGTGGGAGCAAAAGGTGAGGATTTGGAGCCACAGCAGCCGGGTTTAAGCCCTGCCTCCGCTCCTTGTTTACCAGGACTTGAGGAAGGTTCATCTGAGCCTTGATTTTCCCACTATGAAATCGAGCTAATAATTATCCACCTTGCAGAGATGTTGTGAAGATTCCGTTGTGAAGATTCACACTGGAAGAGTTCAGAAGCTTAGTAAATGCTAATGTTCATGTCATTAGAACTGGGACATTACATGTCCAACTACTACGCAACTGTCTCACAAGCTGTAATTTACTGACCCAGACTTAGAGTTTCTCAGGAAGGAAAAAGAACCTCCCCTCCAGCACCCTAGGAAAGCTCAAGGGCAGTGGCCTGGCTCTCAAAGCATCTGCCTTCCAGGTAACGACTTCCAGTTCCTGCCATGGGACTTGGGCTTCGGCCCTTGCCTTCCCTGACAGTTGGGCCTGGGAGAGGATCAGGAGGTATTGCCTGGAGGGACAGAGACAGAGCTGGGGCAAAGTTCCCAGGCAGCTGCCAGCCCTGGAAGCAGGACACAGTGAGTGTGGCAAGGTCAGGAAGCACGCGGAGACCCAGGAGGGGCCCGACACTGTGATGTGACAGGTGGGCTGACTTACACAGTGCAGGCAGACATCTACACTCAGGGCAGGTGACCCAGGTGGCCCAGGATGGCAGCCAGCAGGGCCCTATGGTGTACCTATAATTTTGGAGTGAAATCTAACTTAGGTGGGTGTCCACTCACTGCCTGCCAGTCTCGGATGGGTTCTGACAACAGAGGAAACAGCTTAGTGGAAGCATAGAAAAATAGCAGCAGATAACAGCTCTGGAAACTAAACCTCTGGGTGGTAGAACTGCAGGGGACTCAAGGGAGCATGTCATTCCACCTCTTCATTTTGTGGAGGAGAAACCAATGCCCATGGAGACCAATGTCTTATCCACTACGACACAGCAGGCCAATGGCCTAGGGCCAGTCTGGGGCTCTTTCTCCTCCACCATGGCTTCTCAGCATTGTCAACTCAGTCTCCTCTTTACATGACAAATATTTTGTAATGACCTCTTTACTATCCTGATATAGCATTTATAGATAATATAACCTGCCTTTATCCATAATAAAAAATCGATGTAATGCCCTACCTGTAATATAGGGAGAAATAAAACGAAAGTCATTTATAATAAAGTAGTTCAATAAGTAAATACACAGGCACAACTGTACTCAAATGAATGCCACAGCTATACACACAGACTGATGGAGGTAGGTTGTATTGTATTTGTGACTTCAATACCTTAAGTGTTGTTGCTGTTGATTACGTGATTTTTCTTTTTTTTTTTTCTTTGAGAGGGAGTCTCACTCTGTTGCCCAGGCTGGAGTGCAGTGGTGTGATCTCGGCTCTCTGCAACCTCTGCCTCCCGGGTTCAAGCGTTTCTCCTGCCTCAGCCTTCCAAGTAGCTGGGATTACAGACAGGCACCACCATGACCAGCTGATTTTTGTATTTTTGGTAGAGATGGGGTTTCATCATTTTGGCCAGGCTGGTCTCGAACTCCTGACCTCAAGTGATCCACCCACCTCAGCCTCTCAAAGTGCTGGGATTACAGGTGTGAGCCGCTGCACCTGACTGATTTTGTGATTTTTCTGAAATGGCAAACAACTCTCGGTAAAGACACAGTGCAAGCTCCCCTCTGTAGAGAAATGTGAGCCCGTTTCCTGGAATGCAGCATGAGGCTGGGGTAAAGTGGTGATGCTTTCTCTAGGAGGTACAATCCCAGGGCAGCAAGCATGAAAGACAAGGAAGCGTGGCAGTGAAGGTGGAAAGCCACACAAACTTATGCGCTGCTGGACAGCCGCTGCTTCAAGACATGCTGTGAGGAGGGTGTGTACGCTCGGCCACACGGGAAGTCCCCAGCCAGCTTGTACAGAGAAATCAAACTTTAGAACAGTCCCCAGGGAGAAGGAAGAAAGTGGGAATCCTGATACCCAATGGCCAAAGTTCATTCCATGGGGAATTGACTCTCCTGTACTTCTGGGTTATGTTATCTGGTCCCTTGGCAACTGAGCAGGAAGCCAGATCACACCTCCTTGAGCGTGGCCTGTTATGTGATGCTAGAAGCAACAGAAGCATTCTGAGATTCACGGCACAAGGGCACATGGCTGGTGGGGCTTAGGTGGTGGAATGAGGATGCCTTGTTGAGACTCAGGTGGAGCAGAAAGCTGAAAGCCCAGGTGGCAAGGTGCAGCGAAGAGAATCTGAGGAGATGAATATGCTGTGTCCGATCCAATATAGTGATTGCAATCCTGGAAGACCCGTTGTATGTTAAAACCTTTTAAATTTTTTATGTTTATATATGAAAAAGAGTTACATTTCAAGCTCAGATCACTATAAAGATGTTTTTCAATCTATTCCAATGTTTAGTGGAACATCTGAAAGTCACATAGAGCACGGGACGATTATTTATTCTGTCCCTTAGATTTCAGGAAAATGATCACTGATATTTGTAAGTTTTAGGCCTTGTTCTAGGGGCTTTGTAAAGGTTGATTCACAGCATGTGCACAACAATCTTGGGAGGTAGGCATGGTTATTATTGCCATTTTACAGATGAGGAAACTGAGGCCAGAGAAGTTTACACAGCCAATCAGTGCTAGAACTGTGATTGGAACTCAGGGGTCTGGATCTTCAGCGGTTCCAGTCTTCATCCTCTAAATGCCACTGGTATCTCCTCTACCAATTGTTGGGACAAGAAACACACTCCCAGAAATTTCTCCCCAGCCCATGGGAGCAGTATGTTCCCCACAGGCCCTTTGCACAGTTCACAGATGGACACATGGCCCCCAGGGAGCTGGGCCTGCTGGGGCCACCACCTAGAGCCCCAGGTTTACTAACCCTGAGCAGGGTCAGGGATGGAGTGGGTGCAAGGGGGCCTGCAGGAAAGGGAAAGGTGAAGGGAGGAAGAATTTGGAGCCTCCTTGTGCGCCATTTCGCTGTGCTTCTAGATGCTTTCATGGCGGGCTGGGCGTTTGGCTGAAGTGGTGGCTACAGATTTCAAGGTGTTTTAAAGGCTATCACCCAGACTCCGGTCAGGCACCAGAGAAAATAAAAACGAAACCCCAACCCCAAACCAAGCCAATCTCCTGTTTCTGGGTCTGAGGGCTCCAGGGGATTTCAGAGGATGAGGGCACATCTGAGGTCCTCGTGGTCATCTTGTTTCCTGGCTAACTTCGCCTCCTTCCACTCCACTCTGATCCTTTGGGCCTCCCCGATCTCCCTTAACCCTGAGTTCACCCCTGAGCCCCTTCACCCTCCACTGAGAGGGGCCCTGGCCCCTGCATCTCTTCCTTCTCTGGCTCTGAGTCTCTGTGATGTGCCAGTGCTGTGCTCCTGGCCGCAGTGTAACAGACCTTCTGGCCTGTCTTGAATTTCCTGCACTCAGGATATACAAAGTTGGAGTTGAGATGGTGGATGAGGCATAGCTCACAAAGAGTATTAGTTCTCCCATTAAAATGGGCAGCTGTTTAATTTCATGCCAACTCATGATGGCATTTTCCAGAACAGAAAAAAATAAACAGAAAAAAAAAGAGAGAAACAAAAACCAATGCAAGATGAGTTTCCATTTGGAAATCAAATATGTGTCCATTTATTTGCACCTGAGATTCTAGAGGCAAAGGAATTCCAAGCTTCGCTAGTGGACCTTGAGTTTTCCCTCCCTACTCACAATGACTACAGGGGCTCTGGGTGTCACTTTGAGACCTGGCTTCAGCCCAGGTGTGCTATGTCTGCACAGATGTGCTGTCTCCTCAACTGCTTCCACACCCTGCTGCACCCCATGTGCCGCTGCCCAGGAGCCGGCAGAGCCCCAGCGGGCCCTTTGTCACTCGCTACCCAATGTGCATTCTCCAGTGGGCACAGCAGGCAACCCTGCTCCGCGGGCCTCTGCCCGAGCCAGGGATTACGGGATGGGCTTGCCTGCAGTGGCAGATGGTAGTGCTTAGAGCTAAACTGCATTTGGCGCTTTGAACATCTTGAAAAGATTTCTTTAGAAGTTAAACTTGGCTTAGGAGTGACAATATGTTTCAGTCTGTGTCTTTGAAAAGGCCTCAGGGTGGTGCGAGGGGGGTTGGCTGTTTCATGGTTCCCTGCCTTGTCTTGGCTGTTTTCCACGGAGTCCTGTTTCTCATGGGTCCTGCAGTCACAGTGGCTTCTAAATTTTGGCTCCATTGTTTGGAAGTCACATTTGTTTCTGTACATGTGCTGTGGGAAAGGCCACACTGGCTGTCCTGCAAGGACACATTTAGATGCCTCTGGGCAGTGGGAGAAGCGCATGCCTTGGGGCACACATGGAGGCAGAGGGCGTTGTGTCCTGCACCAGGGCTGAGTTTTGCTGTTGCCCCTGCTTCAGCCTATCAAGGGGTTGACAAGCATCCGGGCAGGGTTTGGGGTCCCAAACCTTTTGGCATCAGTGAGGACCAATTGACAGCTTCTTGCCTCCTGGAGCTCATGGCTAATTGCACTGGAATAATACCCTCCAAATCCCCATCCTAGGCTTGTCCTATTTAACGAATCCTTTGGGGGACAAAGGGTTTGATCATCTCTGAGCTCAGATAACATCTCTCTTCCCCATCCCACAATTTTCCCATCCTCAATTTGGCCACTGTAAACTCTGTCAGGAAAAACCCAGCCTTCCTCCCAAGGAAGGCACCCAGGAGCACCTTCTGGGGTGAGTGAAGCCCTGAAATTGGCAGAAAGGCAAGGCGAGTGTCCAGCTTGCATGCCAGGCTGGCCAGTGCATCTCTCAGTGGCTTCTGCAGTCAGAGCAGGCTCCATTGACCATTCATGAGATGTCAGGTGGTCTACAGATGGGAACACAGCATTATTGATTTTTACTAGCCTGCTAAAATGGAAGGGAAAATACCCTTCTTAAAAGCTCCCGGTTAAGCTTTGTTTCCTAAATGGTGATTCCAGGGCTCTGAGTTTGTCAAAGGCAAATTTAAAATAACAGGACTGTTGAAGATATAATAAAATGAAATCTTCTTACAGCCATTAACTTCAGAGAGGAGATCTCTGACTCAGGCTTGGAGGCTAAGGGGGAGAGGGAGAGAGACCCACAGAGTGGGGGAAGGGGGAGAGAGGAAGCTGAAAGAACAAAACCAGCAGCTCTGCCCCTCATGGCAGCCCCTTTGATAAGATCGGATGTGAATGTAAAGAAATGAATTCCACCTTCTCTAAATTGACAACAGTTCCCTGGCCAAGCAACGACGGGATGTGATCAGGGAGCACTGGCCTGATGGGCCCCCACCAAGTGCACTGACTTGGAAAATGGGGAAAGTTGGGGGTCAGGCGATGAGCTCTGGGGGAGGAAGCTGGAGAATGAGGAGGCTCCAATTGCCCTACCACTATTACTTATTTAGATGTTGTTTCTTGTTCATCTTCCTGAGAGCTCTCGTAGTCCCAATGACTGGAACACAGATGAGGACACGGTCGTGTCTGCAGGGGTGTCTGCACTTCCAGTTGGCTTGCTTGGATGTGTGTGGTTCTTGGAGCCATCTTGGGTGATTTTCCTCCAAATCTTTGACATTAGGGAAAGCCTTTCATGCGCGTCCGTGTGAAGAGACCACCAAACAGGCTTTGTGTGAGCAACATGGCTGTTTATTTCACCTGGGTGCAGGCGGGCTGAGTCCAAAAAGACAGTCAGCGAAGGGAGATAGGGGTGGGGCTGTTTTATAAGATTTGGGCAGGTAAAGGAAAATTACAGTCAAAGGGGGTTTGTTCTCTGGTGGGCAGGAGTGGGGGGTCGCAAGGGCTCAGTGGGGGTGCTTTTTGAGCCAGGATGAGCCAGGAAAAGGACTTTCACAAGGTAATGTCATCACTTAAGGGAAGGACCGGCCATTTACACTTCTTTTGTGGTGGAATGTCATCAGTTAAGGCGGGGCAGGGCATTTTCACTTCTTTTGTGATTCTTCAGTTACTTCAGGCCATCTGGGCATATGCGTGCAAGTCACAGGGGATGCGATGGCTTGGCTTGGGCTCAGAGGCCTGACATTCCTGCCTTCTTATATTAATAAGAAAAATGAAACAAAATAGTGTTGAAGTGTTGGGGCAGCGAAAATTTTTGGGGGGTGGTGTGGAGAGAGAGAATGGGCGATGTTTCTCAGGGCTGCTTCGAGCGGGATTGGGGCGGCATGGGAACCTAGAGTGGGAGAGATTAAGCTGAAGGGAGATCTTGTGGTAAGGGGTGATATTGTGGGGTTGTTAGAAGAAACATTTGTCATATAGAATGATTGGTGATGGCCTGGATACGGTTTTGGATGAATTGAGAAACTAAATGGAAGATACGAGGTCCGAATAAAAGAAGGAGAAAAATGGGTATTAAAGAACTAAGAATTGGGAGGACCCAGGACATCCAATTAGAGAGTGCCCAAGGGGATTCAGTGTAATTACTTGCTTGGTTGGCAAGTTTTTGGGCTCTATCCTTGAGTTTTTTTATGTTGTCATACACCAGGCCAGATTGATTTAGGTAAAAACAACACTCTTCATTTAAGAATATACAGAATCCTCCTTTTTCAACAGTGAGTAAGTCAAGGCCTCGGCAGTTTTGGAGGACAACTGCAGCTAAAGAGTCAACTTGGGCCTGGAGGACTGATAAAGTTTGTGATATGTCTGTGATGCTAGCAGAGAAGTCATTAGACAGGCTACGGAAGGTCGTGACAGAGGTTGAAATGCCTGCTATTCCAGTACCGAGAGCAATAGTGGAGGCAGAAAGTCCTAAACCAACCATCAAGGGAATTAGTGGAATAACTCTTTTTTGTCATGTCGGTGTCATGAGGGGAACAGGGAGCTCTTCGGTCCCATTTGCAAATTGAATTTTGGGGGTAAGGAAAACTAGTGTGCATGTGCCTGTCCAATTAGCAGGTAGACACATGTAGGTAGAGGATCCACAGAGGAAGAAGAGACCTTGTGCAAGGCAAAACTGGAGATGTAAAGTAAAAAGGTGAGGAGTGCTGAAAGGGGTGTCTTGTACCCAGACTCCTAGGGATCCAGCTAGGGCGGCAGCCGTCAGAGGTTGTAATGGGGACTGATGGGGTAACTGCATAGAGGAGGAGGTTCGATTTTCATGGTGTATGAGAAAACGTTGACTATCCACGAGCAACCTTTCACTGTTATTTTCGGGACTGGGTATAAGTAAACAAGAAGAGGACTTGGGAGGAGAGTCTGATGAGCAAGTGGAAGGTAGCCAAGGATGGAGTGAAATACAGCGTAAGTGTGTTCCTAAGCAATAATTACTGCTAATGTTTTTAAGTTTGTCAGTATTGATAGAGGGCTTGTCTGTAATATGGAGCTGGAAGGCTCCAATTGTTTCAGTGATGTGTGTAGTTGGGCTTCGGAGATGAAGAGTAAAGGAACATCGAGAAGGTAAAATATTACCTAGGGGAATTCCAGTGGGTCTTTGCCGAGAGATACATAAAGGAGCGGCCACAGGAATAGTAGTTTGTGTTGTGAGAGGTCCAAATATGGGGGGAGTAGAGTATAAAGAGAAAGGTTTTTTAAATAAGTGCGGAGGAGGGCGGCAGCTTGCTGATGTGAAATGTCTGGGGAAGTCTTGCTGGACCTGTCTAGAAAGTAAATGAGTTCTTTAGGAGGGTAAAGGTGAGGGCTGTTAAAGGAAGTTCGGAGGTGTAAGGAGACAGGAGATGTTGCCCAGTCTGTCTGTAAGGCGGGGACAGCTATGTAGGCACTGGAAGAAAGGGAAATGCAAAGCCAGCAGTTGGTCACTAAGGAGGGATTAGAAGCTGCTAGGAGAGAATGGGTAAGGTTGATAGTGTGGTGGAGATAGCTGGGGAGAGGTAAAGGGTGGCATGAGAATGGGAATGAGAATAAGAGTGAGTATAAAAGTAAAGAATAGAACTTCATCAGGGTGGAAGTATTGGAGGGTGCCCTGCCAGCAAAGATCATCTACCCACTCTGAGAGGGAATTAAGAGTGGCAGTTTGGGGATAGCACCAAGAGATATCAGCTGTGATGGCTTGAAGAAACAGTGTAAACCAGCAGTGTAAACAAGAGTAGGGCATTTATAAGTAGTTGAGAACAGAGAATAGGAGTAAGACTAGACAGAAAATAGTAGGGATGACAAGGTTTTTGGGGCTCAGCCTAAGTGGTGGGGTGACTTCATAAAGCCCTGTTGCAAAAAGTAGGGTAAGGACGAACAGACCTAATAGAATGAAGGGATGGTTAGGCTTATAAGGGTTATTACTGTTCTTCAGAAATACGAGTGAGTTTAAGGGAAGTAGGGGAGAGTACTTGTGACTTCCAGGAGGAAGAGGAGGGATTAGGTTGGCTGTCCGATGGACACAGCTTTATTCTGGAATGGTGAACCCAGTGGGGAGGATCCTGCAGGCGGACGGCAGTTGGGGTACTATAGATGACTACGTAGGGTCCGGTCCATCCAGGTTGTAGAGTTTGAGGGGTCAGATTCTTAATAAGAACTGATCATCCAGCTAGGGTGTCTTCATATGGCTGGGGATCTGGAGTAGGCAAGTGAAGATTAGCAGCCTGGCGAATTTCCTGTCTAGCCTGTTGGAGGACTGGAAGATAGTCACCTAGAGGGCTGGTGTCTGAGATGAGGTTGGGGCCAAGCAAGAAAGTGCGTCCATATAGAAGTTCAAATGGACTGTACCCTGTAGCATCTCGAGGACAGGCTCTAATTCTGAGAAGGGCAAGAGGTAAAAGCACTGTCCAATCCTTTTTAAGTTGGAGGCTGAGCTTGGTGAGGTGTGTCTTTAAAAGACCATTAGTCCGTTCTACTTTTCTTGAAGATTGAGGATGGTAAGGGATATGAAGGTCCCACTGAATATCAAGAGCCTGAGAAACTGCTTGGGTGATTTGACTAGAAAAGGTTGGTCTGTTATCAGACTGTATAGAGGTGAGAAGGCCAACCAAGGAATTCTGTCTGACAGAAGGAAATAAATGACCACGGTGGCCTTCTCAGACCCTGTAGGAAAGGACTCTACCTATCCAGTGGAAATGTCTACCCTAGACTAAGAGGTATTTTAGTTATCTGACTCGGGGCATGTAAGTAAAGTCAATTTGCCAGTCCTGGGCAGGGACAAATCTTCGAGCTTGATGTGTAGGAAATGGAGGGGACCTGAACAATCCCTGAGGGGCTAGTAGAATAGCAGATGGAACACTGAGAAGTGATCTCCTTGAGGATAGATTTCCATGATGGAAAGGAAATGAGAGGTTCTAAGAGACGGGCTAGAGGCTTGTACTATAGCATAGCCTGCTTTTGCTGGTGTGTGGCGATTAGGCCTGGTGGAACTGCCATCAATAAATCAAGCGTGATCAGGGTGAGAAACAGGGAAGAAGGAAATGTGGGGAAATGGAGTGAACGTCAGGTGGATCAGAGAGATACAGTCATGGGGGTCAGCTGTGGTAACAGGAATAATGTGGGAGGCCGGATTGAAGTCCGGGCCAGGAACAATGGTAATTGTGGGACTTAACAAAGAGTGAGTACAGCTGAAGGAGCCAGGGAGCAGAAAGTATATGCGTCAGGTATGAGGAAGAACATCGATTCTGGAAGTTATGAGAAATGTAAAGAGTAAGTTGAAGATAGTTTGTGATTTTGAGGGCCTCTGAAAGTATTAGGGCAGCAGCAGCTGCTACACGGAGACATGATGGCTAGGCTAAAACAGTAAGGTCAAGTTGTGTGGACAGAAAGGCTACAGGGTGCGGTCCTGGCTCTTGTGTAAGAATTCTGACTGCACTAACCATGCCTAGGAAGGAAAGGAGTGGTTTTGTAAGGGATTGAGGTTTGGGAGATTAATTGGACTCGATCAGCAGGGAGAGCACGTGTGTTTTTATGAGAATTATGCTGAGATAGGTAACAGTTAAGGAAGAAATTTAGGCTTGACTGAAGTAATGGGGGCTGCCTGTGAAGCTTTGCGGCAGTACAGCCCAGGTAATTTGCTGAGCCTGATGGGTGTCAGGGTCAGTCCAAGTGAAAGCGAGGAGAGGCTGGGATGATGGGTGCAAAGGAATAGTAAAGAAAGCATGTTTGAGATCCAGAACAGAATAATGGGTTGTGGAGGGAGGTATTGAGTATAGGAGAGTATATGGGTTTGGCACCATGGGGTGGATAGGCAAAACAATTTGGTTGATAAAGCATAGATCCTGAACTAACTTGTAAGGCTTGTCTGGTTTTAGGACAGGTAAAATGGGGGAATGATAAGGAGAGTTTATAGGCTATAAAAGACCATGCTGTAGCAGGCGAGTGATAACAGGCTTTAATCCTTTCAAAGCATGCTGTGGGATGGGATATTGGCGTTGAGCAGGGTAAGGGTGATTAGGTTTTAATGAGATGGTAAGGGGTGCATGATTGGTCACCAAGGAGGGAGTAGAGGTATCTTATACTTGTGGGTTAAGGTGGGGGAATACAAGAGGAGGACACAAAGGAGGCTTTGGATTGGGAAGGAAGGCAGCAATGAGATGTAGCTATAATCCAGGAATAGTCAGGGAAGCAGATAATTTAGTTAAAGTGTCTCGGCCTAATAAGGGAACTGGGCAGGTGGGGATAACTAAAAGGAGTGCTTAAAAGAGTATTGTCTAAGTTGGCACGAGAGTTGGGGAGTTTTAAGAGGTTTAGCAACCTGGCTGTCAATACCCACAACAGTTATGGAGGCAAGGGAAACAGGCCCTTGAAAAGAAGGTAATGTGGAGTGGGTAGCCTCCATATTGATTAAGAAGAGGACGGACTTACCTTCCACTGTGAGAGTTACCCGAAGCTCGGCGTCCGTGATGGTCTAGGGGGCTTCCGAGGCGATCGGGCAGCGTCAGTCTTCAGCCGCTAAGCCAAGAAGATCTGGGAAGGAGTCAGAGAGCCTTGGGCCAGAGTTCCAGCGGCTGTGGGAGTGGCTGTCAGGTGAGTTGGACAGTCCGATTTCCAGTGGGGTCCTGCACAGATGGGACACGGCTTAGGAGGAATCCTGGGCTGCAGGCATTCCTTGGCCTGGTGGCCAGATTTCTGGCACTTGTAGCAAGCTCCTGGGGGAGGAGGTTCTGGAGGAACGCCTGGCTGCTGCAGTTCAGGCATTTGGAAGTTCTTGTGTGCTGGAGATGTGGCTGGGATTCGTCTCACAGTGGAGGCAAGGAATTGCAACTTTTCTCTATTATTGTACACCTTGAAGGCGAGGTTAATTAAATCCTGTTGTGGGGTTTGAGGGCTGGAATTTAATTTTTGGAGTTTTATTTAATGTCAGGAGCAGATTGGGTAATAAAATGTATTTTGAGAATAAGACGGCCTTTTGACCTTTTAGGGTCTAGGGCTGTAAAGTGTCTCAGGGTTGCTGCTGAACGAGTCATGAATTGGGCTGGATTTTTATATTTGATGAAAAAGAGCCTAAATGCTATCTGATTTGGGATAAAGAAAAAGGAGCATTAACCTTGACTATGCCTTTAGCTCTCCAGCCACCTTTTTAAGAGTAAATTGCTGGGCAGGTGGGGGAGGGCTAGTCACGGAATGAAACTGTAAGCCGGACCGGGTGTGAGGAGGGGAGGTGATAAAAGGATTATAGGGTGGAGGAGCAGAGGCTGAGGAAGAATTGGGACCTAGCTCGGCCTGGCGAGGAGCAGCCTGGGGAGGAGGGGAGAGGTCAGATGGGTCTGTAGAAAAGGAATATTAGAAAGACTCAGCGACGCTTGGGGTTGGGACTGAGGGGACAGGTGGGAGGGTAAAAAGGAAGATTTGGGACAAGTTGCACTGGGCACAGAGACTAGGGAGGGACCAATGTGTAAAAGAATGCCTGGACATCAGGCACCTCAGACCATTTGCCCATTTTACGACAAGAATTATTTAGATCTTGCAGGATGGAAAAATTGAAAGTGCTGTTTTCCGGCTATTTGGAACTACTGTCGAGTTTGTATTGGGGTCAAGCGGCATTGCAGAAGAAAATAAGACACTTAGATTTTAGGTCAGGTGAGAGTTGAAGAGGTTTTAAGTTCTTAAGAACACAGGCCAAAGGAAAAGAAGGAGGAACGGAGGGTGGAATTTTGCCCATAGTGAAGGAGGCAAGTTTAAAGAAAAGGGAGAGTAGAGACACGGAGGGAAGCGGTTTGGGGGTTCTTACCCTCCAGAAAAGCAGGAAAGGGGTCAGGGCACAGAGATACAAGGTTGGGGTGCAGAAATAAGGGATCAGGGCACAGAGAAATAAGAGGTTGGGGTGTGGAAATAAGGGATCGGGGTGCAGAGATATAAGAGGTCGGGGCACGGAAATAAGGGATTGGGGTGCAGAGATAAGAGGTCAGTGCGTGGAAATAAGGGATTGGGGGGCAGAGATATAAGAGGTTGGGGTGTGGAAATAAGGGATTGGGGCACAGAGATACGAGGTTGGGGTACTTGCCCTCCTCTAAAAAAGCGGGACTTGCCACTAAGAGTGAAGGAGAAGGGGTTGGGGGTTTCTTGCCCCCCAGAAAGGCAGAGAAGGGGTAGAGACACAGAGAGAAGTGGTTGGGGTACTTGTCCCTTCCCCAGAAAAGCGGGACTTGCCGCTAAGGGTGAAGGACCAAGGCAGGCGTCCCTGCATGGTCTGACACCTCTGAAACCTGGAAGAATAATCAGAGAGGCTTCCCTGCAATGATTAAACACCAAGGGAAGGCTGCCTTCCCTAGTCCGTGACCAGCGCCAGAGTTTTGGGTCCACGGATAAAACGTGTCTCCTTTGTCTCTACCAGAAAATGAAAGGAATTGAAATTAAGAGAAGGGAGAGATATTGAAGTGTGGCGCCAAGATTGAAAGGAGAAAGAGGTTGAGGGATAGTGAGGGAGGTTGGAAAAGAGAGTAAAAAGAGGCCACTTACTGGATTTGAAATTGGTGAGATGTTTCTTGGGCTGGTTGGTCTAAGGACCTGAGGTTGTAGGTGGATCTTTCTCACGGAGCAAAGAGCAGGAGGACAGGGTACTGATCTCCCAAGGGAGGTCCCCCTATCCGAGTCACATCACCAAATTTCATGAGCGTCCGTGTGAAGAGACCACCAAACAGGCTTTGTGTGAGCAACATGGCTGTTTATTTCACCTGGGTGCAGGCGGGCTGAGTCCAAAAAGACAGTCAGCGAAGGGAGATAGGGGTGGGGCTGTTTTATAAGATTTGGGCAGGTAAAGGAAAATTACAGTCAAAGGGGGTTTGTTCTCTGGTGGGCAGGAGTGGGGGTCGCAAGGTGCTCAGTGGGGGTGCTTTTTGAGCCAGGATGAGCCAGGAAAAGGACTTTCACAAGGTAATGTCATCACTTAAGGGAAGGACCAGCCATTTACACTTCTTTTGTGGTGGAATGTCATCAGTTAAGGCGGGGCAGGGCATTTTCACTTCTTTTGTGATTCTTCAGTTACTTCAGGCCATCTGGGCATGTACATGCAAGTCACAGGGGATGCAATGGCTTGGCTTGGGCTCAGAGGCCTGACAAAGCCCCTTAGGGAAATTATCCTGTGAGTCCACCAAAGGATTTGTGCTTATGAGGTGGACTCCTAGAAATGAGGGTTCTGCATCGTGACCGAGCCACTATATCCTCCTAAGTGTCTGTACATATGTGTGTGTGCATTTCTGTGTGTCCATATGTGTGCATATGTGTATGTGTGCATGAGTGTTCATATGCGTGTGTGTGCACTTGTATTATGGTCATGTGTGTGCATGTGCTTATGTGTGCATGTATGTGCGTGTGTGCATGCCTGTGTATTAATATGTGTGTGCATGTATGTGTGTGCATATGTGTGTGTGTGTGGTCTTTATCTGCCTGTTGGATTGATATGGGAATATGGGAATGCTATTTGGCTGGTGCCGACCTTCTTCTGATCTGCACAATGGCACTGCAGCACTGTAGAAAATATATTGATTGATTGATTGATTGATCTTTTTGAAATTAAATGAGCAGGGATCTGGGAGTCATGAGACCTGGGATCTGACCAGTGGATCAGTCAGCAGATATCTATTGAGCACAGGGAAGCACTATGCTGGGCACTATGGAGGAATCGAAGAAGCAAATGATACTCTTCTGCCTCCAGTTAATAAAAGTGTGTGGGGCAGTCACCAATTTCTGTTGGGCCCTCTGACTATGAATCCTGAAATCACAAAACTCTGGAGTTGCACAGGGGCATGGGAATGCCTTCGCCCTGTCCTCTTACCTCCTGGATGAGGAAGCTGAGGATGAGGGAATTGAGCTGACTCATGTCATGTTCCATTGGAGTGTCCTGAATTCCGGTCTGTGATTATTGACCAGTTGAACAGCTCTGCCTTTCCGAAAAGATCACATGGGCTCTGCTCTCATTTTTGCCAGGGGACCCAGCAGAAATGAGGCCTGCCCATCTTCAGAATTTATCTTCTATCAGATGGGCAGGGCAGCCCCTCACAAGTGCTGGGAAGCTCAGCAAAAATGTCCTTGGAAGGTACTTTTCGTCCATAGCAGGGGGATGAAAGTGACTCGGATTAGAACTGCATTATTATAATGATTACACAACAATTAACTTTTATCTTGCAATAACTAAATTCCAGATGCTTTGCCGAGGGCTTTATATGCATCATCTATTTTAACTTTCAGAACACGATGTGAGTACTATTATTATCTGTGGTTTATGTGTAAGGACACTGAAGCTCAGAGAAGTGACAAGACTTGCCCAGTGACACATAGTTGGTGCCTGGATTTGCGCATGAATACCAGCTCCAGTGGTTGAGCAAAAAATCTCATCAACTTAAGTTATTTTCGTTTCTACGATTCCCAAGGACAGTCTACCATTTATTTATTACTAAAAGCAGTTGCTATTTCTATGTTAATGTAGACAAAGTGTGTGCTAGTCCCCCTTTATAAAGCCAAGGTTGGGCATCAGACAGATACATTTCTAGTAACTAACCCTTTTCATCGAAGGTTGGCAGCATCCTGTCAAACTTCATAGGCATACGGGGAGAGGAACTGTAATTAAGTCTGTGGTGTAACAGACTAAAACAGAATGCGAAATTACTGGAGTCTTGTGGTTTGGGGAAATTCTCCTCCCACCCCACTAGAAAGACAAATAGTTTTCAAAATAATTATGTTTTTCCATTTTAGAAATTAAAAAAATAAATTAAGATTCCAATTGCCTGCCTTATGTGTTGCAAATAATTTCCAGGTAATGATCAAATTCCTTTCTTCTCTGGTGAGGAAATTTGTTCATGGTTAAGGCTGATCAGCTTTCAGATATCATGGCTATCAGTCAGAAAGACACAAACAATACGGTGCATTGTACACTTATGTAATTAGCATTTCCCCCAATTAGAGTATTAGGAGAAGCATAACATCAAGACTTGGTTTGATGTTGGGCATGCTGTTTTTTTGTGGCATCGTCTTCGGGAATAATGGCATTTAGCTATATACGAAGAAATATCTACAGAGCGAGCACCAGGCAGAGGCTAGCTGGTCCCCTAGCCAGCTAGGTGGTGTCATTCAGACTCCATCTTGCAGGAAGAATTATGGAGGTGCTAGAAATTTCAAGGGCAACCTCCTGTACACCCTTCTCTTCTCCACCTCTGCCCCTGCCCCCTTTAATTAGGTTGTTTGGTTTGTCCCTGACAGTAACCAAAGTTACCAGGGCCTATGCAGAAAGGAGACTTCTTGGTCTCTGTCTCCAGTGAGAGGATGAACACCTCGCAAGGGGTTAAACTCAGAGGGACCCTGGAGACCAGCGTTGCAGAGTACCCCTCCTGGGAGCCACTGTGGCTGAGTGACAGCTGAAAGGCTGGGAAGTGTCACCGAGAGACAGAGGAGGACCCAGCACTCTGGGTAGATTTTTATCACTTTCTTGAACACTTCAAATTACAAACATTAGTTCTGAGGCTTTGTTTCACAATTGGTGCCGCAGCAATTGGTTTTTGTTCATTGATTTACATGAACGCATATTGTAGTTGGTTTCTTAGGATACATAATTTGTGTCGAGAGGTTGCTTTTGTTCCTGGGAACTCTTGAGGGAATGTGGGAGAATGAAAATATCACCGCAATGCATCCCTCCCCTCCTGGGGATCTCATCTGTTGTTGGGGTGGGGGGCTGGCAACATCCACTTGTTCACAGGTCAGTGAGAAGCGAGAGGAGGTGACGGGTGTCTGTCTCTGTCTTGGCCCTATTTTCACTTTGGCCTCATGGTCAGGGCATTGTTGACATTTTGAGCTGGGGGTGGGAGGGCTGTCCTGTGCATTGTAGGGTAATTAACAGTGTCCTGGGATTGTACCCACTAGATGCCAGTGGCACCCCCTTCCCCAGTTTCAACAACCAAAAATGCCCCCAGATGTTGCCAGATGTCCTCTGGGGCAAAACCATCCCTGGTTGAGAACCACTGGCTCAGGATAACTAGAAACTCCACAGACCTAGACTACATGCCCAGATGTGGCACCTAGAGTGTAGGGTTCCTAGTGCCATGGAAGCATGTGGGCATTGGGGAAAGGGAGGAAGTTGGGGGAGAGTCACCCTCTAGGAAAAAAAAAATTCTCACCAGAAAAAAAAATAAAGTTAGCCAACTCTTATATAGACCTCATAGTGACCCGACACTAGACTAGAACACTTTTATCATCTAATTTTCCCAACAGTCCCATAAGAGAGATCCTCTCATTCTTTTCATTTTGTGGATGAGGAAACTCAGGCAAAGAAAAATTAAGTTGTTTGCCCAAGGCCAAAATCTAATTAGAAGCAAAACTGGGATTTGAACCTAGGTCTCCCTGGCATCTTGTACCTCGCCAGTGGATGGCTTAAGAGCATGGAGAAATCAACAGCCCCAGAACCTGTGCTCGCTCCCTTGGGAGGCTGTTATTGCATCTGCTGCAGCTGTGCCCACTGCCAGGATGCCTCTGGCCAGCTCTTTGCATAACAATGCTCAGAAAAAGAACCAAGAATGACCCTGCTTAAGGGCGCTGTGACTTAAGGAAATGCTCACTCTCCCAGAGGAGAACCGAGAACCTCACTTGGAGACACAGAATCCAGAATCCAGTGAACACCACTTGGCATCGGCCCTCCCAGGCTCAGTCCTTTGCTGCCTGCGAAGAGCGTGTGGCTTCCTCCGAAGGTGCCATGCCAGCGTCCTGCATTTAACCTCCCCCACTGGGGAGCCTTGTTTACTAAACAAAGCGACTGCACAGAATCGGGCCTCTGGGGAAGGCAGCAAGGTGGAAGGGCAGGGGTCAAGAAGCGGGGTCAAAGGGCTGAGACCCTGGGGAAAGCGGGAGATTAAACATCCTCCTTTTCAAATCGGGAGGTTCAGATAATTAATTGGTCCCCGAACATGAAAGCTTTCAATGATTGTCCTGGGCAGTGGCCATTCCGCCTTGCTTCTCGTCTGGCTTGCTGGGACCCTCTTCTGCACTGCCCAAGCTGGGGCCAGACCAGCTGATACCCAAGCGGACAGAGGTCTGGCCCAAAGGAGGCCTGTGCCAGTGTCTGTCCCCACAGAATCCCTTCTTCACTGTTACAGTGACAGTCTGCCTTTCACACAGACGGCCAACCTCTGGAAGGACCGGGCCTCTGAGGACAAGGAGAGTCAGGGATAGGGGGCCGCTTCCATGCTGGGACCACCATGGTGTACATGGCCTCCTGGCCAATTGGAACTCCCTGGCAGAGAGACGGCAACTGAGGGATCACGTCCTCCCTCGCTGCCCTGGGAGAATCTGAGTCTGGCTGATCCCATCAGGATTGCTCCCACTTTCTGAACCAGAAACACCCCAAAAGCCTTCTGACATCATGGTGATCCGTGAGAGTGGGGTGACAATTTCCCACATGGCATACCTGTGGGAAGGTGAGAGATGGGTACCTTGATGTCTTTTAAAATTCCTCTTTGACAAGGATGATGGTCATAAACATGAACGAGGACCACACACACACAGATGTTCACCTGCTGCCCTCAAGTCTCTTGCCCGTCATGATGTGTGATCCCATTTTACAGATGAGAAGACAGAGACTTCTCATGAGCACTCTCTGGAGTCAGGGGCTCCTGGCTGCACAGTGGTCTCTCTCGGGGGAACAAGAGAGACCTCCGAGAAGGCATGTTCTCCACCCTGGAGAGTGAGCTGCTGCAGGGCTGGGCCAGGGGAGGGAGTGATTGTGGAGCTGCAGCCTGAGTCTGTGGGGCAGAGGGCCCAGTTTGCCGGTGGCGGCCTTGCCTGTCCTCTGCAGGGCTCCCATGGGCTTGGGAAGGGGCCATGTGGAGAACCCTCCTGGGTGCTGAGGAGCCAGTCTCTGGGAGTGGCCATTCTGGGCAGGACTCCCCAGAACTGTGCTCAGGCCAAGGCCAGCTCTGGTAGAGTCAGGATGACCATTGGAAAGCCCCCAGAGGGGGCAAAACTTAGCCGTGGGGATTGGGCAGGGTAGGCGCAGGAAGCCAGAGGCCCCTGCCAAGGGAACAGTGCACCCCATTGGCAGGTCCTTGGTCAAGGGTGGGGCCCGGGGTGAGGGACTTGCACCAGTGCGGGAGGGGTGGGGGCGGGGTTGCTGATGACTGCTAAGTGCCCTAGCAATGAAGCTGAAAGGGCTCTCAGGCACCCCTTTCTTCTTTCCTGAAAGGATCAATCGCAGAGCTCTGCCTTTGTGTGTGTGATGGCCCTGCTGTGAAGTACACTTAAGGAATCAAGTTTTCTAAAATTCTATAAATCATTATTCCAGCCTCTTGCTCACCCGCTCCAAAATCATTCATCTGCTGAAATATTTAGCGATGGGTGCGTCTGCGCACACACACCCTGTAGGCAGGCATGCGGAAGAGGACATAGGAGCCGTGGCAGAGGTGTCCCAAGGCCTCTGCCTCTCTGCTGTCCCTTCACAGCGACCTTAACAGGCCCCATGATAGTCATGTGCAGGTGATCGTGACCAAATCTTGAGATGTGGCTTCCTCCGCCCCTCTCGAGGGCTCCATAAAAGGAAGTCCCCAGGGTACTGTGGTAACACCCTGGTGGCTCCCTCTGGGGTCCCAAAGAGGAAGGCGTGGGTGTGTGCACAGGTTTGTGGTCAGGTCTGCTAGGGTGGCCGGGGAACACCACCCTGTAGAAGTTGTTCCTGGCTCCTGTCCTCTGCACTGTTGGCCACTCTTAGCAAGCATCTGGGGAGAGCAGTGTTGTGCTGATGTGATGAGTTTAGCCTGTGAGTTGTGGGCTGGGCAGGGGAGACTGGAAGTGGTGGCCCTTTGGTGGACTTGGTTATTTGAGAGTGAGGGTTTTGGCCTGGTTCCTCTGTCCTCACCAGGGCTAGAAGCTCCAGTACTTTCCAGAATTTTCCACCCCTCCCTCCCTGTACACACACACCCTGACACATGACAGGGCAGACCACAGCAGCCACAGCCAATGTCCCTGAAAGGCAAGGCAGGCCTGATTGATTTGCAGTGGTTGATCTGTGTAATGTCCCTTCTCCCCAAGCACCCATCTCGCCTGCAGAGGTGCTACATTACTTCGCAGGCCTGGCTGCCAGCCTGACACCCTACGCCCTGGAGGATGCTTGGGAGGTTACAGGTGCAACAAGCAAAATGAAAATCCATAGTTTTAAACCTTTATGAATTGAGAATGTGAACCTGGCAAATGGACCCGGAGTTACTAACGGACAATTGGTGTAACCAGCCCATCCATCCTCCAGGACCTGGCAAGGCCATTTCCGTGAACTGCTGGCTCCTAAACACGGAGCCTTCCCTGAGCCTGCCTTCCCTCCCCCTTCTCAGAGTCAGGAAAACAGATGCAGGCATGGGAAAAAGACCTGCAGACGGCCTGCCAGGGGCCCCCCGGCTCTGTGTGCCCAGGTGAGGCCTTAGGAGGAGGCAGCAGTGGGTGTCGGGGAGGGGATTCAGGCCTCCTGGGCTGTCCAGGGCTTTAGCCAACCATCAATGGGCGAAACAGAGCCGCTATCCTGACTTCCACATACAAGCATTAGAAATCTCCTCTTGTACAAAGGAAGACCATATCCCAACCATACATGTGCACTTGACTCAATGGCTGTGCTATCAAGTGGGAGGGACATCCAGCCCTGGGTCCCCCCGGTCCTAGCCATCTGTATGTACTAAGGACACTGTCTCTCAGAGCCTGCAAACATGCCATCCCTGCAATACCCATGAGTCACTCACCTTCTCAGAGGAGCCTTTTCTGGCAATTCTGTTGAATGTTGCCCCAACCCTGTATTCCCTACACACTGCCTGCTTTATTTTCTCTATAGCTGTGGTCACAATTGGACGGACTGTATATTTTACTTATTTGTGGGTTTCATATCTGTTTTTCTCCTCTAGGACAGAAGCTCCATGAGGGCTGGAATTATCGTCTGTTCTGTTTGCTATTTTTTCCAAGCACCTAGAAAATTACCTGGCACATAGTAGGTGAATAATAAGTATTTGTTGAGTGAATAAATGAATGGTTGGATGTCCCAGAGGTGTGAGGCTTTTCCTTGTTTGAACCCCAGCACTCTGATCTCCACCCTCTAGAGGGGATTGTCCCTTTCCTGTTGCTGCTTCATTAGCTGTCGTGACCTTGCCAGGACCTGCCTGCTCGGCTGCCTTCCCACTCTTTTTTCTCCTGTCCAGCCCCGCGCCATTCTCATGCTCCTGGTACATGAGAGCAGTTTACTGTTCTGCTCCCGTCTGGGTGTTCTCTCTTTTCCTGCAGGCCCAAGATCACTAATTAAATGAAGGGACTTGGCGTTTTTCTCCCTGCATGCCCCCATCCTTCACCAAGCACCCCCCAACCCCAACACTTGGACACAACTGATGCTGAGTTGGAAGTTTCCTAAAAGTTACTGTGGACTTTCCCTCTAGACAGCAGCATGAGCTGCTCCGCACCTTCACAAACAAGGGAACAAGGGGACAAGTTCAGCCCTTTGAGGATTAAACTCTGAAATCAACCCATGATTGATGGGGGCAGAGATAAACAGCCCTGAGAAGCAGAAGGGACACAAAAGAAGTGATCAATAAATGTTAGCTTCCTTCTGCTGTGGTCTGAATGTTTGTGTCCCTTCAAAATTCATATCTTCATACCTAATCTCCAATGAGATAGTGTTAAGGGGTGGAGCTTTGGGCGGAGTCCTCATGAATGGGATTAGTGCCTTTAAAATATAGGCCTGAGGAAGTTTGTTTTCCCTTCTGCCATGTGAGCACACAGCTGGAAGGTGCCATCTATGAGGCAGAGCATGGGTCCTCGCCAGACACCAAATCTGTTGTCACCTTGATCTTGGACTTCCCAGCCTCCAGAACTGTGAGCAACAAGTTTCTGTTGTTTATAAATTATCCAGTCCAAGAAACTGTGTTACAGCAGCCTGAATGGACTAAGACACCTTCCTTTTCCCTTCATTTTCTCACTGCACGAGTCTGGGGTATTTGTTCATCAGATGATGTGTCAGTCAGGATGAGTTAGGTGATCATGCTGCAGTAACTAACAAAAGATTATTTCTAGATTATGCTATGGTCATGAAAGTTTCTTTCTGCCTCATGCTACAGATCCCCCATGGCTGAGGAGTTTTGTTGTAGTTCTCTTCATTCTGCACTGCAGGCAGATACAAGAGTGAGTATCTTTGACATTCCCTGTTGCAGAGAGAAAGAGAATGTATCATGAGTGGGTGCTTTCTTAAGTCTACCCAGGAAGTGACATTTATATTCCCACTCACTTTTCACTGGCTTGAACATGTCACATGGCTATGTGGAGCAGGAAGGGCAATCTTGCCATGTGCCCCAGGGGAGATCCGGAAGTCATCTGATGAATAGCACTGACTCCCACCGTGAGAGGCCTTTTTCTGAAAGAAGGGGTGCACTGGGTCACTGCCGACACTTTTCCTGTTTTGAGGAACCTGTGAGTCCCTGTCTGTTTTCATGCCAGCCTTGCTGAGGAGCCCCAGGAATCTTCCCCTAGTCTGTCTGGGCTCCTCTGCAACAGTCTGCTCTGAAGGCAGCTCTTGTTCTTTGCCTCCCACAGGCGCCCTGATGGCTCCAGAGGGCAGCCTCTCGGTGACAGGGCTGTTTTTATGGATTGCTGAGGTTGGATGGAGGTTGATCAGCAGAATGGCCCACATCCTACGGTCACTCACCTTTGGCCTGAGCCCAGTTGTAGGGTGCTGCTGCTGCACCTGCAGAGGAAAGGGGGCAGGTGGCCAGGGTTGCAGACTTAGGCCCACTTGCTCTGGGGCCCAGGCCAGAAAGCACCAATTCTGAGGCTCCATCAAAGACCCTCTTCAGGGGCACAGGGCTTAGGAAGGCAGTGAATGCCTCCTAAGAGGCAGAGTTGGTTTGGGAACTCGCGTCTTTTTCTCTTTGTTAAAAAAAAAAAAAGACTGACTTGGCACATCATTTCAGTAGCGCTCTTTTCAGCAGATCAGACCCTCTGGTTCTTCTATCTTTTCAACACATGCCAATCTTGGATGAACCCAATTATCTGCCTTCATTCAAGGAGCTGAGGACTGTTGGAGGAAGTCTCACAATAGGACAGACAGATGGATGCCACTGGAAACGTACAAACTCCAATCTCAAATAAAGCCTCAAAACTGCCCAGCAACCCTACAGTGGTTCTCTGCCAACTTTCCCTCCTTCGCTCTCCAGAGTGATGAGTTCAGAACTTTGCCATTGCCTTCACACTTTCAAGCTCTTCCATCCTTGCCTTTCTTCTCACTCTTGACAGCATTTCTCAAAGTTCTTATTCTGGAAAACACTTTAAAATACTTTCTAGGTCTGATGTAACTCATGCATAAAATTTATTTAATCTATGGATTGTGGTACATTAACATAATCAGGAAATTATAGATATTATAAACCAATAAAATGTCAATGCGTTTTTGAGTAGGAAAAAAAAAAGCCGGTGGGGCGGGGGAGTGGGGAGTGGGGTGGGGCATGGAAGGGAAATGCCTGAGAGTCACCAAAGGCTATGGAGATGTCAAGTTTCTTTCAAGACAGGCTTTTAATGAAGGAAGTGAAAATAGAGCAGATGAAAAAAATACACGTGCAATGTAATCAAGGCAAATGCATCTTCACAAATGCCTTTTCTAAGTTGTTAGTGATACAAAAGCCGCGGTAGAATCTGTTTCCTTGTGAGCCTTCTGGTGGTTTTGAACTATTTAAAACACACCAAAATGCAGACGGAAGGGAGCACCATGGAGCACAACAGACTGCAGGACGTTTGTGCGGAGGGGCACTGTGTGGCACGCGGCAAAGGTGTCGAAACTTAAAATAGAGCATCACTTCTTCCGAAACAGGAAAATATTCATGGGGGATTTTGCTCTCTTTTTGTATACATGTTCTATGTGGCTCTTTTCTCCCTTTTTTCGTTAGCTATATGGCAGAAAAGTTACCAGGAACCTGCATGGAAGTGGCACAGATGCCTTAGTGGATCTGGAATGTTAAAAAACAAGCTATATTTTTAAAAAAACTAGTGTAGTGAGATATAATTCACATACCATGCACTTCATCCATTTAAAGCATATAATTCAATGATTCTAGTGTATTCACAGTTGTGTATCCATCACCACAATCAACTTTGGAACATTTTCACTACCCTAGAAAGCAACCCCCCACCTTTTAGCCATCACTCCCCAATCTCTCTATCTCTCCCAGCCAAAGGAAAACACTTGCCTATCTTTTGTCTCAATAGGTTTATCTATCTGGGCATATCATATAAGCAGAATCATAAATAAGTGGTCCTTTGAGACTGATTTTTTTTCATGTAGCTGATGTTTTAAAGGATCAGCCATGCTGTAGCATGTATTAGTACTTTATTTCTTTTTGTTGATGAATAATATTCTATTGTAGGTATATAGGTCATTTTTTGAATTACTGTAGTTCAAAAACCTAAGTATGTGACTGAGGAGAAAAGGGGTCACAACAAGTGAAGAAAAGAAACCTGCAGGCATTTTACTGCCAACCTGAACTCCTCCACTTTTAGGCTGAGCAGAAAGGATTCTGGCCTCAATAAAGGGTTCATGGAAAACTAAAAAGAAGCATTTGGATCAGTCTTGTTGATAAGATCTGGCAAAGGTTATGTGAGAGGACCCAGAGAGGCTTTTAAATTCCATGTTTTATAAATATGTTTAACATTGTTTGGAGGGAAAAGTAGGAAAAAATATGTATTTCAATGTTAGTCATTAATTTTCTTAGGGCCATGTGATTGATCAAATATAGCTACCCTATCCCCAGGGAAGAACCTCTCAAGATAGAAGTGAAGGTCTTTAGGGCACTGAGACACAAACGTGAAGCTGTAAAGTGAAGGTAAATCCCCAGTCTCTGTGCAGATGTTGCTACTCCTGCTGTCTTCTTACTGCTGGCATGTTGCTTGCTACAGTCCAGATCCTCCAGCCACAGAGTATGTCTGTGCCCCTTAGGGCTGTATAAAATTACCACATTCTCAAGCCCAGCCTAGAGTCAAGAGGTTAGAGACTCAGAACAGTGGTAACTACTGATGAAGCAGTTGCTTTTGAACTTTTTCTAAGTGTGATACTCCTGCTTGGTTGCAACAATGGCCCCAATTTTTCACCCTTCTCTATAGCCATACTCTTCACTATGTGAATCTGAGCTTCCTCCCACTGCACTTCAGGCAGTGTGACCTGCCCTATCCTTTAACACTGACCTCAGCCATGTCACTTGCTGTGGTCAATGGGATGTCAGCAGAGGCATGAGCAAGCCAGCTGAACTGCAGTGCCTGGATGAACCTAGCCAAGATCAGCCAACCTTGACCTGTGAGCAGTTAGCAGTTCAGCAGAAGCATATAGTCAGCCCTTCACTGATTCCAGATGTTTGGATGTGAGCATACACTTATTGTTGAATGCCGTTGAGACTTTGTGATTGTCCATTACCAGCATATAGTGGCAATGCATAACCGACACAGGACCTTCACAAAGTCGTTCTTAAATTCACTGTTTTTGCTAGGCGAATCTAACATTCACATTCTCCTTGCTTCATGCATTCCATCCCTGGATTTATGATTTTCTCAGACTGCATCTCGCATTCTAGTCCCTCATGTGTTCTCTCTGCAAGTCCTCTTTTTGCTCTTCTCTCCTGTTTTATGTGCCAGTGGTTCATTATGCTAATTTTCTCTCCCAGTCTCTCATTCCTTCATTATACACCATGAACAAGAGAGCAAGAAAATGAAAAAGACCCAGAACTTTGGTGAGTTGACTGTTCAACTGCAAGATTGAGATATGGGATGAATGAATGAACTAGAAAATAGAAAACATTGATTGCTTTACGTTTTCATCCACTCCATGTTCATCATAGAATGCCCTCACATGGTGGCAGGACAATCATTAACCTGTCTTAACTACATCAGAAGAACTTTTCAGTGAGTACTTTCATTAAAGGGTATTAATAGGTGTGACACAGGCTGGTGCAGGACATACAAGAGCAAAGAAGTAGAGGAAGGGGGAGGTGTGGCTTCCTGTCACAGCCAGCCTAGGTCCTACTGGCATTTTTACAGATGAAACCGTAAGCACCAAATGTGTATGCTTCAATACAGAAAGTCGCCAAGCAGTGAGGCTGCACTGCATGAGGTCAACTGTTTTCTAAATAACCTTCCGCCCTGTTATTTAGGAGGATGGAAACAAGAGACTGAACGAAATAAACAGAAAATGAAAGACAGGGAAGGAAGTGGTGGTAATAGAGATGTGAGGAGAGGGGAAGCTGAGAGCACCTATCTGTGCCTTTGATTCAGGACAAGTGCATCAGGGCTTTTGAGATCTGGCCAGCCTCACTCCACCTCCCGGGGACTGCTTGCCTTGCCACGGCTGGTGGAAAACAGGACTGTAAAGTTACTTTCCCCAGATATTTAGAACTGGGGCTCAGGAGTCTCTGTTTAGCCTCTGTGCTGTGCACATGTGCAATGCTAAAGGTTGTGGAGCTGCTTAGCTGCTCGATCTGTGTAGGGAAGCAGAGAAACCTGGGAAGAGAGAAACAGAGAGAGGAGTAAATGAGGCATGAGGATGGTGTTTGTGTACTGCGTCCTAGCCCTCAGGGGGAGGATTAGGGTCCTTTTCGCTCTTGGTTGGGTTCCATGAGGCACACTTATAATGACCTCCTCTCCACATGCTTAAGCCAGTTTGAGTCACTTCCTGTCACAACTGAAAGAGCCTTAGGGGAACCGGGAAATAATTCATAGTCAATCTATTTTACTCTCTTCCTCTTTCTTTTCTTTTGTCTGTTTCCAACTTCAGAGTTCAAGTCACTATCCCGCTTTCCCCAGTGCTGCATGTTGTTGAGTGGGCAGTATTGCTTGGAAGTGGAATCCATTGCACTGGAAGAAGGAAAATATCATGGCGAATTAGTAAAACTAAAGTGAGTTGAGGCAGTGGCTTTAGGAAAGAACATGTGGCTTGATGCAGGCTGACACAGGCATAGATGGGAAACGATGAACTCTAGAATGTTTTGTGCCCTTCCAGTTGGAGGATTAGGGAGAACTAAGAACGCTATTAGAGTTTGACCAAGTAGAGTTAAGGCCCGTTGGCCAAAGGCCACCTGGATTGCCCAGGAAATGATGCTGTAACCTTACGATAATGATCCTACAGGAAATTCATATGCAAATGAAGTGCAAAGTAATTAGAGTAATTAGTGGCAAAGCAATATGTGGTTCCAACAGCTCTGCCTTGGGGGGCTGGCGAGGAGGGGTGGAGATTGTGTTGCAGCGAAGACAAAGAAGAGAAAACTGAGTTACATAAAAAAGAGAATCTGTGTGCCTGTGAAGCAGACAATAAATGCACACATACATGAACACGAAAAATATCTGCCAGTGAAGCTCTTTGTGGAGAATTGAAATAGGGCAATGTGATTATGGTAGGGTGGCAATTTGAGATTAGATGATTAGGGTATCTGAATTAATTTTTAAAAGTTTTTACTTACAATTAAACTTTGACACCAGGAGCTCTGCCTTATGACCACGTTTGAGAACCACTGCAGCAGGGAGTATAGGAAATGTGGCCATAATAGGACATTGCCTGTTGCATAGCAAGTCAATACACTGACACCGAGGGTTGCAGCAGAGAAAGTGTTTTAGGATGGGCGCGGTGGCTCACACCTGTAATCTGGCACTTCGGGAGGCGAGGAAGGCAGATTATTGAGGTCAGGAGTTCGAGACCAACCTGGGGAACATGGCAAAGCCCTTTCTCTACTAAAAATACGAAAAAAATTAGCCAGGTGTAGTGGTGTGCACCTGTAGTCCCAGCTACTTGGGAGACTAAGGCAGGAGAATCACTTGAACCCAGGAGGCAAAGGTTGCACTGGGCAAAGATCATGCCACTGCACTCTAGCCTGGGTGACAGAGCGAGACTCTGAACAACAACAACAAAAGTGTTTTAATAGTAGGTTAATGAGAGGAAACCTCAAATTTGCCTCCCTGAGGAGTTTGGGGCTAGGTACTTTAAGGGTTTTGAAATGGGCTAAGGTGTGAGAATTGTGAATTGGTCAAAGAATGCAGGGTGAAATCATGGGTCAGGGTGACAAAGAAACTACATTCTCAAGCTGATTCAGTCCCTCTGTTGGGGTCTTCAAACTGGTTGGCATCAGCCTTTCCAGGGAATTCAGGTTCTGAAGAACATCTTAAGCAATTCATCCTACCTATAGAAACAATACGGATGCAAATGGTCAGTCCTTAGTGCGATGTGACTTTTGGTTACAAGGAAGTGGGCCACAAAATGTGGCCTGATTAATGCTTAATTATAACTATATTTCAGAACCTGGCATGTAATTCTTATTAAACCTGTGAGGACAATTTCAGAAACGCAAGATCAAATCCAGCCACCTGAGGCATTGACCATCTCCTAGGGGAGAGAATCAGAAAGCTTGTAGAAAGTGCTCATTGGACGTGGGATGGAGTAAATTCAACAGGGTTTATCTGAAGATGCTTCTTTAAATCATTTTTCCAAGCCCTCTTAGCCACAGCCTTCTCGGTGAACCAGGAGAATTTCATATTTGTTGGCATTAGCCCCTCAATTCTGAAACTATCTTGGCAAAAGTTATCATAATAAGAAAATCTAACATAGAAAAATGAGGACAGTAAGAGAAATCTGACATAGCTGACTCCATCTTGCTTCTATCCTCTCAGCTGTCCTTGTTCATTCCTGGGCATAAGCCAAGCTAACATTAAGAGGAATTTAGTTTATAGTTTAACCTTAAAGCAGAGATGATAATAACCCTTTCCCACACTACCCCCTCCTTGCTTGGGGACTGAGATTACCTTTGTAAAATTAACAAATTAGTCACTAGGTTAAAATTACGGCTCAGGAGTCATGCAGACAGAAGCTGCAAGATTTCTAACCTCCCCAATGGCTCCTATCGATAACATTACTATTGTAAAACCTAAGACTGGTGTTCAAGGTATTTTTAAGACCCTGCATTCTGATGGACCTGCTGGTATCACACAGTCTGATAAACTGGCTTAATTAGTTTTGTGATTCTATCCAGGAACTGAAGACAGCAAGAAGCCAATTTGACTCCCGATGATTTCATTCCTAACCCAACCAATCAGCATTCCCCATTCCCTAGCTCCTTGCCTACTAAATTGTCCTTTAAAAAACCCTAGACTTCAAATTTTGGGGGAGATAGATTAGGGTAATAACTCCTATCCTTCCTGTCAGTTGCCTTGCAATAATTAAACTCTTTCTCTACTGTACTAATACTGTCTCAGTGAATTGGGCTTATCTGTACAGCAGGCAAAAAGAACCCATTGGGTGATCATAATTCTACGAGGATAGCTGGGGACCCCTGCCTTAAACACTAACAGCTACCTGACAATCCTTCTCTTAGAGTCCAGACACATTCTTTTCTGTATCCCGTGTTCCAAATCTACCAAGCATCACAGGCAGTGGGGTGGAGGCGAATTGGCACACCTCAGATTTGCATAATAATAACTAGCTCTAAACTCTGTAAAAAATGGAAAATGACTTCCAGGAGTCTCAGGGAATAAAGAAATGCAGACATTTTGTGGGGGATTTGGAGTCCTTGCCACTTCGTCCTTCACTTGCATTCTTTATACATTTCTAACATTTTCTTTACTTGGATTTTAAAAAGCAAAGATGCCTTCTTTCCTCAGCTGCCTCCTCACTAAACGTTTCCCTGGTGAAGGTAGAAGCCTCCAGGGAATGAACTTCTCGGGAGATAATGACATCAGTCTAGAAATATTCACACTTCCCGGACTGGGTGTGTTAGTGGTGAGGGTGGGGCTGGGTGTGTGAACCAATCAGTCAGGGAGACCACAGGGCTGGGGGCGCGGGGGGAGAAAGCTGAGGAGACAGGCTGGAAAGGAAGCATTAGATGGGCACAAGGGAAGAAGTTGGGGCCCTATATCCCTGTGGCAGGGTCGCATAGAAACAGGGCCTAGGCTGGACGTGGTGGCTCACACCTGTAATCCCAGCACTTTGGGAGGCTGAAGCAGGGGGATCACCTGGGGTCAGGAGTTCAAGACCAGCCTGGCCAGCCCCACTCTACTAAAGACCATCCTGGTGAAACCCCGTCTCTACGAAAAATACAAAAATTAGCCAGGCATGGTGGCAGGTGCCTCTAGTCCCAGCTACTCAGGAGGGTGAGGCAGGAGAATCTCTTGAATCCGGGAGGCAGAGGTTGCAATGAGTCGAGATTGCACCACTGCATTCCAGCCTGGGCGACAGAGTGAAACTCTGTCTCAAAAAACAAAAAACAAAACACAACAAAAAACAAAAAACAAAAAAAAAAGAAAAGAAAAGAAAAAAGAAGCAGGGCCTAGCACTCAAGGTCTCCATCATCTTATTTTGTTGGGGTGGAGGACAGGGAGAAAAGGAGCTGGTCAGACCCGTTCACGTTCAAGTGGCCACAGGACTCTCTGGGGTGATGGAAAGTTTTCCTCAGAGCTGGAACCACCCTGCTCACGGGGAATAGACCCAAAAGACTTCCCAGGATCCTGGGTTCTGATGCACTGGGTCTTGAAGGTTGGCAAGTCCTCACTCTTCAAAGTGTGGTCTTGGACCAGCAGCCCTGGCATCACCTGGGAGCTTGGGTGCTGTGCAGAATCTCATCAGATCCGCCCCAGAGCTGCTGACTCTGAATCTGCACTTCAGTGAGATCCCTGGGGAACTCAGAGTGCACTGGAGTTTGAGAAGCATGTCTGCAGGTGGCTCTGCAATATCAGACTTCCAGGTTTTAATCACAGGATGTTTACTGAACCGGGTGCATGTGTTATGTAATTTTGTGAGTATGCACAGAGGCAAGATGCTAGTCCATACGGTAAACGACTAGAGCATTGGATAACACTCACGATGTCAAGGAAAAGTTTTTGTTTGTTTGTTCATTTTGAGATGGAGTCTGTCTCTGTTGCCCAGGTTGGAGTGCAGTGGCGTGATCTTGGCTCACTGTAATCTCCGCCTCCCAAGTTGAAGCGATTCTTCTTCCTCAGGCCCCCGAGTAGCTGGGATTACAGGCATGCACCACCATGCCTGGCTAATTTTTGTATTTTTAGTAGAGATGGGGTTTCACCATGTTGGCCAGGCTGGTCTCAAACTCCTGACCTCAAGTGATCCACCCACCTCAGCCTCCCAAAGTGCTGGGATTACAGGTGTGAGCCACTGCACCTGGCCAAGGAAACAGTTTTATGGATGGTTTATCCCTCACCACAGCATGCAGGACAGGGCCACTGGTCCATTAGGGACCCACAGATCATCTGCTTGTGGTCTCCCTGCCTGCCCCTGCCCCATCACTGTGCTTCCCAAAGTCCGCAAACCAACACACCTTCACTCTTCTCCTAGTCTGTCTTGCAGCCAGGTTGATTATGTTTGCCTTTTCAGAAATGTGCTGCTTCTTAATGATAAAAAATTAGGACATGAAAGGAAGGGGCAAAGGTGAAGAAGGTGACCCAGATGAATGACACACTCGATGTCACTGTTTAAACCACATTCCCTTGGGTGGAGTGTGGTGAGGCCAGTGCAGATGGAAAGGGGGAACCAGGAAGAGTTTTCAGTGTTGTTACTCACAGCTTCCTGGGGAGAACACAGCCTAGCACCGAAGGTTGCTCGGGAAGTGGAGGGCAAGTAGTTTCTACCGGAAGGAAACGGGGGGGCAGCCAGTTTAGGATTGACTAGTTTGAATAATTTCAGTGGACTGTAGGGAGTTGAGGCTGTCCCTTGTTTTCTGGTACCTGGCCCTGGGGTGATCAGAACAGAGGAAGAGTGACCCTGAGTGTGAGAGCCCCATCAGGGAGGTGGTTGGGGGTGTGGACGTAATCAGTTTCAGGAAGAAGAATGGACCTGCCTCTAACCGGGTCTCAAACTGGGTCAAGACAATCTTTGAAAAAATTGCAATACAGTCAGGCCCCAAATTAAATTTGTTTCCGTGTTTTCTCATCCAATCCTACCAAATGTGTAAGGCTGCTCCCAAATATTCTGGTTATTGATGGCATAACCAGCCACCCCCAACCTTAAGAGCATAAAACAACAGCATTTATGATGCTCACCGGCTCCGTGGGACAGGAAGCTGTATGGATGGCTCTTCTGGCTTGATTCAAATGGCTGGAGCTGGGGCTGAAAGAGCCGGGGCTGAAAGAGCCAGGGCTGGCATATCCATTTACAGGGTGGCCTCTGGCCAGCTGAAAGATGGGCTTAGCTGGGGTTGTTGATCATAGCGTTGACATGTGGCCTCTCCAGCATGGTGGTCTCAGCACAGTGAAACTTCTTGCATGGAGGTGGAGGGTTCCAAGAACACGTGTTCCTAGCCACGAAGGTGGAAGCTGTATGGCTTTATGGTTGAGCCTCAGAAGTCACATAGTGTCATTTCCACCCCAATCCTTAGGTCAAAGAAGTCATTAGGCTCCTCTTCCAACTACAGATTCAAAGAGAGTGCACAGAGACTCCACTTCTCCTGGAGGGAATGTCAAAGATCCTGTGACTATGATTTTAAAACATTGCACTGCATTATAGAAAATTGATGGCCCTGCACAAGGTCAGAGTTTTGCAGACAATATAAAAATATTAGACCTGGTGGGCTTCCAGTGTCATGACTTTCCGCAACAGGCATCAAAAAGACCTCAGGAAAGAGTTCAATTAAAGAGACTTCTCTCTCCTTTTCCTGGAACCTCACCTCCAATTTCCTATTCCTGAACTGCCTCTCTTTCTGGCATTTAGAACCTAGTGAACAGTCAGCAGAAGGGAGGATCGTGAACTTCTGCTATGAGTATTTGCTATAGGGATCTCCTCTGTTAACTTTCATTTAATCCCACACACTTGTATTGAGTGCCTAAAGATAAATATGATAGCACCATGGTTAAGAGCAAGAACTTCAAAATCCAGTTGCCTGTTTGAAATCCTAGCTCTGCCCCTATGCAAATGCCACAGCCAAGTTATTTAAACTTTTGGTGACTCAGTTTTCTCAACTTTGAAATGGGTATACTATAATAATACCATGGACTGTCATGAGGATAGGATAAATATATGCAAGGTAAGCACTATGTCAGTGTTTTCTAGAGTTGTTTCTACAGAGCAGAACTTCTGTCCCTCCTTGCTGTCAAGGATTGCACAGGTCAGCCAGGTGGGAGAAAGGTACACAAGTAACAATTCCACCAGACAGGCTGTGGTGGATGCTGAAATAGAACCACAGACAGCTGTGGGACAAGGCAAGGGAGCTAGAAAAATGGAATATTGACCACATTGTAAAACTGCAAACTCATGTGTATTAGGCTGCTGGGGTTTTGCCTAAACCTCCAGTCTTTGAAATCTACTTCCAATAGCCATGACTCCAAAGTGGGAGTTTTATAATCGTATTTGAGCTTCAGAGATTGCTGAATGCAGTCTTTTAGAAAGATGGAGATTTGCTTAGAAATCCACCTGAGGACTGGAAGCTTCTTGACTCTCTTTCTGGAGCAGGGCCTCACCCAATAAGTTAGTTCCTAATTGGATTGAATTATCCAGCTTTCCTGGTGCTGTAATTGATGCTTGTGTATCACTATTGCCTTCCCAGCTCAACATGAGCTTCCTGAGCCAGGAACTGTGGTGTCCATTCCAGCTCAAACTCTTGTCTCTCAGGGAGTTTTCAAGAACCTCAGGCAAAAGTTCCATAGCAATTGCCCTAAGGTAACCACAAAGAAACATTTCCGTGGAGGAAATCATGGATAAAACACACTGTACCTGACGAGGTTACAAATGAGCTTAAGATGCTATTTAGGGGTAAAATTCTTGACTTGCTTTTCTCTCTATTCCTAGTGCCCACCATAATGCTTGGCACATAATGAATTTCATAAAAGTTCTCTGAGTGAGTGAATGAATGAATGAATGAACGAAGGAGTAGGGCCTGTGGCTGACATTGCCAAGTTTAAAACCTGAGCCCTAGATCCAGGTGAAAGGAGTTTGGCAAACAGGTAGTGAGGCCAAGAACACACATCTGAGACAAGTTGCCTATCCCAATGAAGACACTCTGATATCTGAGCCAAAGACATCAGGGAAACACCAGTGTTCAGAAGCAAATGTAAGAGGATGTTTTCAGTTGCAAATAACAGAAACTCTCTTTCAAACTGACATTAACAAGTGAATGCAGAGTCTCCCATAGCTGAAAATTTCAGAGGTGGGCGGACTTCAGAATGCTTGATCCAGCCACTCAGTTAGACCCATGTCCCTGTTATCAATCAGTGACCCAGGTTCTTCGGTTCTTTTTCTCTGGGGATCAATGTAAATGCTGACTTCTCTCATAGTAGCCAGCAGCAACTGAGGCTGTATGTGTCTTTGTTCAATTTCAGTAACTGGTTGTTCACAACCCTAGAACAAGAGCCCTGGGGTTTGGGCTGATTGGACCACCCTGAGTCAATCACCATGGCCAGGATAATGTTAGGCCCTGGACAGGTGAACCTGAATTAGCAAAACCAATCACTGTGGCCAAGGGAGGGTGTCAGGTGGGGTTAATCTGAACATCTCTGAACATCAGCGCTGCTTTACTGCAATGATTCTAGGACTGGATGCTGGGGAGGCAACTGCAGTACCCAATGGCAGAAGAGTACTTGTCCGTGAATCCTCTCCTCTGACCCTCCACTACTCATCTGTCCTCTTATGGCTGCTTCCAGATATCATTCATATAGCTTTGGGGATGAAAAGATTGGGGTGAATTTATCATGCTTCCTATACTAAAAGCTGTTTTCATTTTCTAAAGCCGTACTACGTTCTTAGTAGAAAGATGAACTCAATCCAATACATCTGAAGAAGAGTGAATACAGAGGCAGAAATGTCTATGTCTTAGGACAGACACCGGGGCTGGACTGGTGGCTCTAGGGAAGGTGACAATGTGTGCAAACTTTTCCTTTGCTCTTTTCTCTCCAGCTTAACCTGGTTCTAACCAGGTGTTCCTAGGGACTTCCTAGCCCACCTTGTCCTTTGCTCTCAGACCCCCACTGGGCCCCTCGTTGCATTTCTGTCTTTGGAAGGCCTCTCCATGCTGTAAGGCCCATCTCTTCAGGAGCTCGTTAAGGGACTGAAGCTAACGATTGAGTAAAAGGTGCTAAAAAGTTCTCATGACATTCATGGATCCTGTGTTTGTATTTTGTAAAGGCAGTTCAAGGAGAACAGACTGATTGACTGCACAGATGTCAGTGCAGATTCCCAGACAGCAAAAGAACAAGTGCTCTTACCTTCCCAGCCTGGGGCTTTTCTCATCCAGGACACTCCTGCCATGTCTGCATGGGCAAGGGAGTGGAGTGAAGAGTGCAGATGTCCCAGGAAGGGGACATTCCTCTCTACAGCAGAGCTGGGGAGAAGAAAAAGAAAACCAAACCTCCCTGAGACAAACCAACAATAATATCCAAACCAACCCAAACACACACACATACAGGAACACACACAAACACCTACATGCCTATACACAAACACACACACAATTACATATACACATGCGTACAACCACACATGCACACACACATAGGAACATACATGCACACACAAACACACATGCATTTACAAACAAACATACAGGCACACACAAGCACATGCACACAAACACGCACATACAGGAACACACACAAACACACACCCCCACACATGCATATACACAAACATGCCCACACATATGTATACACACACACATGTGCACATACATACCCGAGCACAGGCTGCTAGTTGCTACCAGATAGAATCCGAAGCAGCCTTTTGCAGAACGGTGCCACAAAGATTGTCCCCAGGAAAGAAGGGCTTCTTGTGTCCCTCATGTGTCTGAGAGTACAACCACTTGCATGGCGAGGAGATGAAGCTAAATGTTGACAATGAGGAAATTGCAGATGGCAAAATGAAACACAGCTGTTCCAGGGTAAAATCAGTAAAAGAGGGAAGGGTGGTAGGGGAGAGAGAGGGAGGAAATAAGGAGAGAGAGAGAGAATGCAGATGTTGAGCACAGGAGAGGCTGGGGCTCTGTCCAGCTCTCCAGTGCCTTAAACCAGCCATCTGTTTTCAGAGCTCTGGAGCTCCAGTAGCGTGGCGCCTGCATTTTCTCCCACCCTGTCCCTTTCTTCTCCATACTGGTCTTATGCTCTTATTGATTGCTCTGGCCTTTGCAAAGCCTCAGGCTCTTCTCAGAATCCTCGAACCCTAGGGAGCCCTGCTCTTTGCTCCTCTCTGCTCCAGCAAGAATGTGGTCTTCCAACAGCACCAGCTGTGGTTGGAGGAAGAGATCCCAGCCTCACCCCAGAGCCTACAGATCTCATACCCTCTGTGTTCCGGCCGTGGGTCCCCCGCTCTGTCCAGTGCCGTGACCCAGTGCATCCCTCACCTTTACGCATCTCCTTCTGCTTGGGCTCCAGCCACCCTCCCCACTCCTGTGCGGCCCGCCGTGTCAATGGAGCCTTATACCCTGCTCTTTGGAACAATTCTCTAGCTTGCCCCAGCTCTCAGATCAAGATTTTGAGCTCTGGCCAGTACCTCCCTCTTCACCTCATCTTCCATCCTCCCTGGCATAGACTTCTGGTTAGTAAGGCTGAACCACATGCAGCCTCCTTGAGGGGTTCTCATGAGTCCCACCAGGGGTCCTGGGATCCAGAGGAGAAGGCCCTGCTCAAAGGGCTCAAGTTCTTTTCTTTACGGACCTCTGTTCAATGACTTCCAACTCTGGAAGGTGTTCACTATGGGCTTTTTATACTCCTAATTTTCAGAAGAAAATTGGAAGTGTGTCAAAAGATACTGGCCTGGGATTCAGAGCCTGGGGCTCTAAACCAAATGCTACCACTAATTAGGTGAGTGGCCCTGGCAGCCAGCCTTTTTGTGAAGTGAGGGGACTGGAACTCTAGGCCCCTTTCGGTGGGGACATCTGTGCTTCAGAAGGGCCCCAGAGCCTCCAGAAATCTGGCTTAACAAGAACACATTTTGATATTTTCTGACTTGCACATTTCCTGGGGAAAACCAATGAGCTTACACCTGTAATCCCAGCACTTTGAGAGGCCCAGATGGGTAGATCGCCTGAGCTCAGTACTTTGAGACCAGCCTGGCCAACATGGTGAAACCCCATCTCTACTAAAAATACAAAAATTAGCCAGGCATAGTGGTGGGCATCTGTAATCCCAGCTACTTGGGAGGCTGAGGCAGGAGAATCACTTGAATCCGGGAGGTGGAGGTTGCAGTGAGCTGAGATCTCTCCACTGCACTCTAGTCTGGCAACAAAGCAAGACTCCATGAAGAAGAAGGAGAAGGAGAAGGCGAAGGAGAAGGCGAAGGAGAAGAAGAAGGAGAAGGAGAAGGAGAAGGAGAAGGAATAGTAATGTTAAATCAAAGCAGCAATGCTGTGAGGTAGTTGCCACTTAGACAAAAGCGAAGCTTTCAGATGAATACGAAACTTTGCACTACACCCAGGCAAACCTGCTGCTTGGTGCAATACAGCCTGTGATGTGGGGTCTCGTGCTCCCTACCCCCCACACTCAGTTTGCCTTGTCTGAGTAGTTTCTGAGCACTGCCCAGGCTGGGATGCCCTTCAGGGTGGCTGCTGACAAGCACATCTGCCAGAGGAAACTAGAGTCTGAAGGGTTCTTGGATGCTCTGATACGCGCTGAAAAGAAGTCAGGCTTCAGTTAGAAGTGAAATCTGAGACTTCGGTTTCCTGCAGAGAGCAAAGGGAGAAGGCAGAAATATTGAGGCTAAGAAGTCAGGCAGTGGGAAACAAGAGAGAGTGATTCATGCAGGGGAAGACAGCTTGGGAGCAGTGATAAGAGAAGGAACAATACCAGACACACAGGCTGGTAGAGTCAAAGGAAAATGATTTTGCAAGATAGCGTGAGTCCTGGATGGACACACACTGCAACATTTTGGCTGAGTCTTCCTGGGTAGGTTTGGGACCTGAGTTGTTTTACAGGAAGACCCCAGCTCCTGATGGAGAAAGCCCACAATATAGACAGGCTGGAACGTAATAAAAACATTACATTTTTATTATGTTTTATTAAATAGGCTGGGTGCAATGCCTTATGCCTGTAATCTTAGCACTTCGAGAGGCCAAGGCAGGAGGATAGCTTGAGCCCAGGAGTTCAAGATCAGCCTGGGCAACGTAGCGAGGCCCTATCTCAAGAAGAAGAAGAAGAAGAACAACATCAACAACAACAACAAAACACTTAAAATACACTTTGAGGAGCTTCTAGCTTTTTACCTGATATGCCCACTGGCCAGAACAATTTCCTGTAGGAACTGACCAGATCCGCGTGGTCCAGAAGCCAAATTGTAAAATCAGAGAAGCTGGTCTTCATTCTTCACCTTTATTTTCTGAATCTGTCTCCCCCCACCTCCCTACCTTCCGTGCTTTCAGTGCCAACTTCCCTATCTTTACATTTTCTACCCTCTCTCTCTCTCCCATAAACCCTTGTGACAACCTTACTGTTAGAATGGGAATATGTCTGGTAAATTTCTTCATACCATGAAGTCTTAGGGACTTGATGTGCTATTTCTTTGAAGGGATTAAATTATTAATAGCAACATTTTTGACACCAGTTAGAAAATATTTTGTCAAGGACCTTCCCATGAGTTCTATATCTTCCCATAAGCCCTCTATCTATATCTTACAATGCAGGGCAACTCTTTCTACCGCCCATGACTGAGACCCACTGGGTGCAAAGTCTGTGGGAAAGTCATGTTTTGATGACCGTGATGGTCACCAAAATGACTTCTTTGGGAAGTGGCCTAGTGCAGTCATTTGGATTCCAGCCTAGCCACTTTCTAGCTGTGTGACATGATGCACATTTCTTTTAAAGTTTCAGCTTCCTGGTCTGGAAAACAGACGTAAGAATGGTATGCCCCTCATGGAGCTATCTTGGGGATAAGATAGTATGGCATGAAACAAGTGCTCAATAAGTATTTGCGATCATGCTTCCTTGATTGTGAGGTAGGCTTATGTGAAGATGTATTTGAAGTCTCACTTGATTCTGTTGTTGGAGATCCATTGTATACCTTTATCTCCTATAATTTCAACCTCAAAGTAGAGTTTGAACAAAACTTAGAGACATTTATGGGGCCTCTACTCCATATCCTAGGCTCTGTGCTTGGCACTAAAGTATAGAGATAAAAATCCCTTTTTTCCCTCAAAAGGAGGATAATCAAATAAGGAAAGAAATCTAATATACTATATTCAGGGCAACCATCTAGTGATGCCAAGGGAGAGGAAGGATGCAGCAGAGGGAGGCATTCTCTCTGGTCGAGTGGGGTTTGAAGGTTCAGTAACATCTTCACTGAGGAGGTGACACCCAAGGAGGTTTTGAGAGGAAAATGGGAGTTTCCTAGGTAACAAGAAGGGAGGAGGGCATCCCAGTAAGAGGAAAGAGGAGGTATAAAGTTATATTGCATTTGCAAAAATGTAGAAGCAGCCCAAATGCCCATCAATCAATGAGTGGGTAAAGAAACTGTGGTATAGGCCAGGCGCGGTGGCTCATGCTTGTAATGCCAGCACTTTGGGAGGCCGAGGCAGGCGGATCACGAGGTTAAGAGATCGAGACCATCCTGGCCAACATGGTGAAACCCCGTCTCTACTAAAAATACAAAAATTAGCTGGGCATGATGGCGTGCACCTGTAGTCCCAGCTACTTGGGAGGCTGAGGCAGGAGAATTGCTTGAACCGGGGAGGTGGAGGTTGCAGTGAGCCGAGATCGCACCACTGCACTCCAGCCTGGTGACAGAGTGAGACTCTGTCTCCAAAAAAAAAAAGAAAAGAAAAGAAAGAAACTGTGGTATATATGTATGATGGAATATTAATTAGCCATAAAAAGGAATGAATTAATGGCATTAGCAGCCACTCGAACGGGATTGGAGGCTATTATCCTAAGTGAAGTAACTCAGGAATGGAAAACCAAACATTGCATATTCTTACTTACAAGTGGGAGCTAAGCTATGAGGATGCAAAGGCATAAAAAGGATACAATGAACTTTGGGGACTCTAGGGGAAAGGGTGGGAAGGAGGTGAGGGATAAAAGACTACAAATTGGGTTCAGTGTATACTGCTCAGGTGATGGGTGCACCAAAATCTCACAAATCACCACTAAAGAACTTACTTCTGTAACCAAGGACAGCCCGTTTCCCAAAAACCTATGGAAACAAACAAACAAAAAAAATTAAACAGTTATATTGCTTAAGACAGGAGGGAAAAGTGAGGGAGAGAAGTGAGACAGGAAGCTGGAGGGGGACAAGGCAGAGCGCAAGGGGGGTACCAAGGAGAGGGGACATTTTCTTGGGGTAATGGGGTGTGTGTTTAAACAGGGGGGACCTGAGCAGATCCAGTGTCAGAGCAGAGGTTGGGCTGGAAAGAGACATGAGCATAGGAGGTGATGTTTGTCCAGCTTCTCTAAAGAACTGCTTTTGGCTATGTTGATTAGACTTTCCTTGCAGTCTTTCTGAAATATAGTTTTAGAGTTAAAACTAAATTCCAAATCCTTTGTCTGAAATTTGGAAATCCAAAAAGTTCTGAAAGTTTTTTCATAACTCATTTGGTGCCAGTGACTGACTTGAAGCTATTTGGTAGCTATCTGAGTGGAACTGATATGGGGCTATGTATAATATTTTATTTATCCTACATGGTGTAAATATTCCCACATTTTGCTGCAGAAATATTGAAGTTTGATTATAGAGTGTTGTCCCAGACTCTTTGGGTATATTCTGTGACATACAGCATACACAACTGTGTTGTCTTTCTAACATTCAAAAAATCCTGAATTCCGAAACACATTTGGTCCTGAGGGTTTTGAATAAGGAAATATATGCCAGTAATGCATTCTACCTGTCAAGTAAAAGAGTAATTACTTTGTGTCATCTAAACTTCCCTTCACCCCCTCTTCCACATTTCAGGTTTTAAAAATATCTCATTGTGGTTTTGATTTGCATTTCTCTAATGATCAGTGGTAATCAGCTTTTTTTTCATATGTTTGTTGGCCACATAAATGTCTTCTTTTGAAAATGTCTGTTCATATTGTTTGCCCACTTTTTGATAGGGTTGTTTGTTTTTTTTCTTGTAAATTTGTTTAACTCCCTTGTAGATGCTGGATATTAACCCTTTGTCAGATGGATAGCTTGCAAAATTTTTCTCCCATTCTGTGTGTTGCTTCTTCACTCTGATGATAGTTTATTTTGCTGTGCAGAAGCTCTTTAGTTTAATTAGATCCCATTTGTCAATTTTGGCTTTTGTTGCAATTGCTTTTGAATAAGGTGTGAGTAAGGAGTCCAGTTTCAGCATATGGCTAGCCAGTTTTCCCAACACCATTTATTAAATAGGGAATCCTTTCCCCATTGCTTGTTTTTGTCAGGTTTGTCAAAGATCAGATGGTTCTAGATGTGTGGTGTTATTTATGAGGGCTCTGTTCTGTTCCATTGGTCTATATATCTGTTTTGGTACTGGTACCATGCTGTTTTGGTTACTGTAGCCTTGTAGTATAGTTTGAAGTCAGGTAGCATGATGCCTCCAGCTTTATTCTTTTTGTTTAAGGATTGTCTTGGCTATATGGGCTGTTTTTTGGTTCCATAGGAAATTTAAAGTAGTTTTTTCTAATTCTGTGAAGAAAGTTAATGGTAGCTTGATGGGAATAGCATTGAATCTATAAATTACGTTAGGCAGTATGGCCATTTTCACGATATTGATTCTTCCTATTCATGAGCATGGAATGTTTTTCCATTTGTTTGTGTCCTCTCTTATTTCGTTGAGCAGTGGTTTGTAGCTCTCCTTGAAGAGGTCCTTCACATCCCTTGTAAGTTGTATTCTTAGGTATTTTATTCTCTTTGTAGCAATTGTGAATAGGAGTTTGCTCATAATTTGGCTCTCTGTTTGTCTATTATTGGTGTATAGGAATGCTTGTGATTTTTGCACATTGATTTTGTATCCTGAGACTTTGCTGAAGTTGCTTATCAGCTTAAGGAGTTTTTGGCCTGAGATGATGGTGTTTTCTAAATATACAATCATGTCATCTGCAAACAGAGATAATTCGACTTTCTCTCTTCGTATTTGAATACTGTTTATTTCTTTCTCTTGCCTGATTGCCCGGGCCAGAACTTCCAACACTATGTTGAATAAGAGTGGTGAGAGAGGGCATCCTTGTTTTATGCCAGTTTTCAAAGGGAATGCTTCCAGCTTTTGCCCATTCAGTATGATATTGGCTGTGGGTTTGTCACAGATAGCTCTTATTATTTTGAGATATGTTCCATCAATACTTAGTTTATTGAGTGTTTTTAGCATGAAGGGGAGTTGAATTTTATCGAAGGCCTTTTCTGCATCTATTGAGATAATCATGTGGTTTTTGTCATTCGTCCTCTTTATGTGATGGATTACGTTTATTGATTTGCATATGTTGAACTAGCCTTGCATCCCAGGGATGAAGCCAAGTTGATCATGGTGGATAAGCTTTTTAATATGCTACTGCATTCAGTTTGCCAGTATTTTATTGAGGATTTTCGCATTAATGTTCATCAGGGATATTGGCCTGAAATTTTCTTTTTGTGTGTGTGTCTCTGCCAGGTTTTGGTATCAGGATGATGCTGGCCTCATAAAATGAGTTAGGGAGGAGTCCCTCTTTTTCTATTGTTTGGAAAATTTCAGAAGGAATGGTACCAGCTCCTCTTTGTACCTCTGGTAGAATTCAGTTGTGAATCCGTCTGGTCCTGGGCTTTTTTTGGTTGGTAGGCTATTAACTACTGCCTCTATTTCAGGACTTGTTATTGGTCTACTCAGGGAGTTAACTACTTCCTGGTTTAGTCATGGGAGGGTGTATGTCTCCAGGAATTTATCCATTTCTTCTAGATTTTCTAGTTTATTTGCATAGAGGTGTTTATAGTATTCTCTGATGGTAGTTTGTATTTCTGTGATATCACTGGTGATCTCCGCTTTATCATTTTTTTATTGTGTCTCTTTGATTCTTCTCTCTTTTCTTCTTTATTAGTCTTGCTAGAGGTCTATTTATTTTGTTGATCTTTTCAAAAAACCACCTCCTGGATTCATTGATTTTTTGAAGGGTTTTTTGTGTCTCTATCTCCTTCAGTTCTGCACTTATCTTAGTTATTTATTGTCTTTTGCTAGCTTTTGAATTTGTTTGCTCTTTCCTCTCTAGTTCTTTTAATTGTGATATTAGGGTATTGATTTTAGATCTTTCCCACTTTCTCCTGCGGGCATTTAGTGCTATAAATTTCCCTCTAAACACTGCTTTAGCTGTGTCCCAGAGATTCTGGTACGTTGTGTCTGTGTTCTCATTGGCTTCAAAGAACTTATTTATTTCTGCCTTAATTTTGTTATTTACCTAGTAGTCATTTAGGAGCACATTGTTCAGTTTTCATGTAGTTGTGCGGTTTTGAGTGAGTTTCTTAATCCTGAGTTCTAATTTGATTGCACTGTGGTCTAAGAGAGTGTTTGTTATAATTTCTGTTCTTTTGCATTTGCTGAGGAGTGTTTTACTTCCAATTATGTGGTCAATTTTAAAATAAGTGTGATGTGGTGCTGAGAAGAATGTATATTCTGTTGATTTGGGGTGGAGAGTTTTGTAGATGTCTATTAGGTCCGCTTGGTCCAGAGCTGAGTTCTAGTCCTGAATATCCTTGTTAATTTTCTGTCTTGTTGATCTAATATTGACAGTGGGGTGTTAAAATGCCCCACTATTATTGTGTGGGAGTCTAAGTGTCTTTGTAGGTGTTTAAGAACTGGCTTTATGAATCTGGGTGCTCCTGTATTGGGTGCATATACATTTAGGATAGTTAGCTCTTCTTGTTGCATTGATCCCTTTACCAGTAAGTAATGCCCTTCTTTGTCTTTTTTGATCTTTGTTGGATTAAAGTCTGTTTTATCAGAGACTAGGATTGCAACCCCTGCTTTTTTTTTTTTTTTTTTTTTTTTGGCTTTCCATTTGCTTGGTAAATCTTCCTCCATCCCTTTATTTTGAGCCTGTGTGTGTCTCTGCACATGAGATGGGTCTCCTGAATACAGCACACTGATGGGTCTTGATTCTTTATCCAATTTGCCAGTCTGTGACTTTTAATTGGGGTATTTAGCTGGTTACATTTAAGGTTAATATTGTTATGTGTGAATTTGATCTGGTCATTATGATGCTTGCTGGTTATTTTGCCTGTGAGTTTATGCTGTTTCTTCATAGTGTCAATGGTCTTTACATTTTGGTTTGTTTTTGCAGTGGCTGGTACCAGTTTTGCCTTTCCATATTTAGTGCTTCCTTCAGGAGCTCTTTTAAGGCAGGCCTGGTGGTGACAAAATCCCTCAGCATTTGCTTGCCTGTAAAGGATTTTATTTCTCCTTCACTTATGAAGCTTAGTTTGGCTGGATATGAAATTCTGGGTTGAAAATTCTTTTCTTTAAGAATGTTGAATATTGGCGCACACTCTCTTCTGGCTTGTAGGGTTTCTGCAGAGAGACCTGCTGTTAGTCTGATGGGCTTCTCTTTGTGGGTAACCCAACCTTTCTCTCTGGATGCCCTTAACGTTTTTTCCTTCCTTTCAACCTTGGTGAATCTGACAATTATGTGTCTTGGGGTTGCTCTTCTTGAGGAGTATCTTTGTGGTGTTCTCTGTATTTCCTGAATTTGAATGTTGGCCCGTCTTGCTAGGTTGGGGAAGTTCTCCTGGATAATATCCTGAAGTGTGTTTTCCAACATGGTTGCATTCTCCCCATCACTTTCAGGTACACCAATCAAACGTAGGTTTGGTCTTTTCACATAGTCCCATATTTCTTGTAGGCTTTTTTCATTCCTTTTCATTCTTTTTTCTCTAATCTTGTTTTCATGATTTATTTCATTAAGTTGATCTTCAATCTCTGATATCCTTTCTTCTGCCTGATCCATTTGGCTACGATACTGTGTATGCTTCATGAAGTTCTCGTGTTGTGTTTTTCAGCTCCATCAGGTCATTTATGTTCTTCTCTAAACTGGTTATTCTAGTTAACAATTCCTGTAACCTTTTATCAAAGTTCTTAGCTTCCTTGCATTGGATTAGAACATGCTTCTTTAGCTCAGAGGAGTTTGTTATTACCCATCTTCTGAAGTCTACTTCTGTCAATTTGTCAAATTCATTCTCCATCCTGTTTTGTTCCCTTGCTGGCAAGGAGGTGTGATCCTTTGAAAGAGAAGAGGCGCTCTGATTTTTGGAATTTTCAGCCTTTTTGCGCTGGTTTTTCCTCATCTTCATGGATTTATCTACCTTTGGTCTTTTCTGTTGGTGACCTTTGGGTGGAGTTTTGCGTGGTCATCCTTTTTATTGATATTGATGCTATTGCTTTCTGTTTGTTAGTTTTCCTTCTAACAGTCAGGCCCCTCTACTGCAGGTCTGCTGGAGTTTGCTGGGGATCCACTCCAGACCCTGTTTTCCCAGTTATCTCCAGCAGAGGCTGCAGAACAGCAAAGATTGCTGCCTGCTCCTTCTTCTGGAAGCTTCGTTCCAGAGGGGCATCTACCAGATGCCAGCCAGAGCTCTCCTATATGAGGTGTCTGTTGACCCCTGCTGGGAGATGTCTCCCTGTCAGGAGGCACAGGGGTCAGGGACCCACTTGAGGAGGCAGTCTGTCCCTTAGCAGAGCTCGAGTGCTGTGCTGGGAGATCTGCTGTTCTCTTCAGAGCCAGCAGGCCAGAACATTTAAGTCCGCTGAAGCTGCGCCCATAGCTGCCCCTTGCCCTAGGCACAGCCCCTTTCCCCGGGGGCTTTGTCTCAGGGAGATGGGAGTTTTAGCTATAAGCCCCTGACTGAGGCTGCTGCTTTTCTTTCAGAGATGCCCTGCACAGACAGCAGGAATCTAGAGAGGCAGTCTGGCTACAGAAGCTTTGTGGCACTGTAGTGGGCTCCAGCCAGTCCAAACTTTCTGGTAGCTTTATTTACACTGTGAGGGGAAAACCTCCTACTCAAGCCTCAGTAATGGTGGACACCCCTCCTTCCACCAAGCTTGAGCATCCCAGGTTGACTTCACACTGCTGTGCTGTGCAGCAAGAATTTCAAGCCAGTGGATCTTAGTTTGCTGGGCTCCATGGGGGTGGGATCCACTGAGCAAGACTTCTTGTCTCCCTAGCTTCAGCCCCCTTTCCAGAGGAGTGAACAGTTCTGTCTCACTGGTGTTCCAGGTGCCACCAGGGGGAAAAAAAAAACACAAAAACAACAACAAAAAAACTTCTGCAGCTAGCTCAGTCTACCCAAACAGCTATCCAGTTTTGTGCTTGAAACCCAGGGCCCTTGTGGTGTAGGCACCTGAGGGAATCTCCTGGTCTGTGGGTTGTGAAGACTGAGGGAAAACCATAGTATCTGGACTATCTGGACTAGATAGCACCATCCTTCATGGCAAGTCCCTCACGGCTTCCCTTGTCTAGGGGAGGGAGTTCCCCGACCCTTTGTGCTTCCTGGTGAGGCAACTCCCCACCCTGCTTTTGCTTGCCCTCTGTGGGCTGCACCCACTGTCTAACCAGTCCCAGTGAGATGAACTGGGTACCTCAGTTGGAAATGTGGAAATCATCCATCTTCTGCGTTGGTCTCACTGGGAGCTGCAGACTGGAGCTGTTCCTATTGGGCCATCTTGCCTGGGAATCGAGTTCACATATTTTTAAAGCCCTTCACATGACTTTGATATAAAAACAGATTAAGAAATGACTGATCAGCTGGGTGCAGTGGCTCACGCCTGTAATCCCAGCACTTTGGGAGGCCAAGGTGGGCAGATCACGAGGTCAGGAGAACGAGACCATCCTGGCTAACATGTTGAAACCCCATCTCTACTAAAAATACAAAAAATTAGCTGGGCCTGTAATCCTAGCTACTCAGGAGGCTGAGGCAGGAGAATCTCTTGAACCTGGGAGGCAGAGGTTGCAGTGAGGTGAGATCGCACCACTGCACTCCAGCCTGGATGACAGAGTGAGACTCTGTCCAAAAAAAAAAAAAAAAAGAAAGAAATAACTCATCCAGTACCCAGTAGCAATACTTTTTAAAAAGTCAGTGACTTTCTAAAGTATTTGGTATTATGAAAGACTCTATTCTTTATTTAGTATAATTTGTTAAAAATCATATTAGGAGTGTCATAGTTCTCTAAACCAATCCTATGACATGTAGAAATAGATAGTGAGATAGGCATCTATTGGGTTTCCTGCCTAACAATACCCCTTGTGTAGGAACTCCCCACTACACACATGGTTCACATGTGATTCTACCACCCTGAAACACAGTTAATTGATCCAAGAAGAAGGATGTTACTTCACCTGGAACAACGATCTTTTCTTTGATAATTTTGGATTTGAGACTGTTAGTCTGCTTGGACTGCCATAACAAAATATCATAAATTGGGTGGCTTAAATACCAGAGATTTCTATCTCACAGTTTTAGAAGCTGTGTGAGCTGATTCAATTTCTGCTGAGGGCTCTCTTCCTGGCTTGCAGATGGCAGCCTTCTCAGTATGTCCTCACATGGCCTTTCCTTGGTGAGTGCTTATGGAAATACAGAGAAAGATCTCTTTCTCTCTCTTCCTTTCTTTAGGAGGCCATATTCTTACTGGATTAGGAGTCTACTCTTAAGACCTCATTCAACCTTAATTACCTCCTAAAAGCTCTAGCTCCAAATACAGTCACACTGGGAGTTAGGGTTTTAACGTATGAATTTTGGGGGAACACAATTCAGTACATATCAGGGACTAAAAGCGTTCAGTTATTTCACTATGGATCTGTGAGGCTCAGAGCTTGAAAAACACCATTGTTCTCTGCTATGTGGAGAAAGAGGGTGTGTAGAGAGAAGGAATAACACAGTTGACATCCAAGTAAAGCAGACACAAGAAACAGAGAGTAGTCTTGATATTGTCATATTCCTGGTACCAGCTGTTTCTGAATCTCAGATGAATCCTTTCCCTTTTAGGGTCTTGGTTTTTCTGTGAGGTGCCCCAGTTTCCTCCCAATAAATTGTTCATTTGTCTAGATTCAGTTGGTCTCTCCTATTTATAATCAAAAGGCAGTCTTGGCTATTATCATTTCCACAATATCAAAATAGATTTTTAATAAAAAGTAAGTAGAAATAAAAATAGTATTCAAAAATATAGAATTTTATCTGTGATTGCAAAATTAACCTCAAAAGACATCCTGGAACTTTGATATCCCACTTCAGATTTGGAGCTGAGAAAATCATGATCACAGGACACACTAGGGGTGTTTCCCTTGGCCATGTGCCTGCAAATCAAAGTGATGTGTCCACAGGCTACCCATCTACAGACAACTCCAATGCTTTTTATAGTACCAAGATCATGTTTATCCTAATTTGCTCTCGCTCTTAAAAAAGTATATGGCCCATAACATGTATCCTATTTCCATTTCAGGGCCCCGTGTCTGTCTTGTTGGGCTTAAGACATGTATTGTTCTCTTGGCTTCACATTGAGATCTCACTAAAGGGCTTTACTTCAGAAACACTTTTAGCCATTTTTTACTCTCAGCCACCTTGGGGATGTCACGCCTTGGGAAAATCCTAGTTTAAGAAACTTGAGCTGCAATGTTGGGCTATGGCTAATGGCATGGTGGAGCCAGCTTGCACTAGCCCATGAGAGCTGATTGCACATATCTTCTCTCAGCTTTGTGTTTAGTGACGTCTCGTGAGTGGCTTGAAGTCAGCCATTGTAGGAGTGCTGCTTATATCATGGAAATTGGAAAACACTACAAATTATGTGTTTTTTTTTTCTTGGAGAGCTATTGGTTAAACATATATCAGCACATCACAAGCTATCACCCACTTGACAGTCCCTTTCCTGGTGAGACATTAAAAAAGAGAACTGGCTTTGAAATGTCTGGTTAAGTATATATAATTTATAAGATTTATAAGATTTATAATTTATAATCATTATAGACTTCTGCTTTTCCCACTCAGGCTGGACAGTCACTGCTTTTGCTAATATCAGTACCATGGACAGCAATTCTGCAAAGTGGCTGAAACGAGAGCCAAAAATAGCACAAAGTGAAGGGTCTGGACTTGGCAGTGGCTGAAAATTAGAGGACAATGAGGAATCTCAAATGAGGGAAGAAGTAAATGTAGTATCTGCTAATATCTGGAGTCTTTGTTAGGTGATGCATCCAGGATTTAACTGTCAGGGTAAAGCAGACACCATGGATGTAAGCCAAAATGAGAGCACTAAATTTATACCACAATTCAGGAAGGCAATGAGTAAGACATCAGGTGAAATGTTTCATGGTAAAATGGGTGGCCAGAATATAAAATAGGTGGTCAGGAAATAGCTGAATCACAGGAAATGGGAGGATGAGTACAAGAGACTAGAATAAATAGGAGATAGTAGCAGCAAGGCAGTCTATACCGGGGCAGAGAACATGGTATGATAAACAGAGCACTGGAAGGGCCTTGGCCTGGCTTTGCTGCTAACTTTCTGAGTCACCTTGGTCAGATCACTCGATCGTTCTAGGCCCTAGTCTTCTCATCTGTGAAATGAGGACATTGAACTATATGATCTCTGAAGTTCCCACTAGCTCTGTGACACTGTGGAGCATTTTTTCCAAGACAGAAAATTTCTTATAACCCCTTAGGGGAATTAGAGCAGAAATCAATAAGTAGAATGTTTTGACTAGGGTAGAAATTAAAATGAGGCCCATCGAAATTTGACTTTCTCATTTTGCTGAGACAATTAATTGAGATGGGTGTTCAGAAAGAAAAAAAAAAACAAATCACCAGCATCCCAAAGAGACTCAGACTCCTAACCCATGGCTATACCTGACTGACTGTTCATCAAATGAATTAAAGCTAAGACACGTTGCGATTTTAATGTCTACTCCTTACTGCCTTGTCATAATGCAGAAATCAGCTCAACCTTTGTGGTTATTTTGGGATTGAACATCACTTAACTGCCAATTTAAAAAATCTAGGGCTTATCCAGTTACAGAGGAAGAAAGGACATTCTTAACTAATCCCCCCATGCACAACCTATTCAGAAAATATGTCTAAAGAGAAATATCATCATAGCTGAAGATTAATGAACCAGGAGTCAAGGAAACCAGTCAATCAGTTATCAGAATTAATGAAAAAGTAAAGCTGAATTTTTGAAAACTTCACCTGAGTTTACATAACAGATGTTCATTTAAAAATGTCAGTAAGGAATGAACTATATAGAGTTCGTCTCCTTCTTTTAAGAGTTGTCACGCTGCCTATGAGTGATAGGTTAGAATCAAATACCGCATTTTGTGAAGGTTGGAGTTCAGAGGCAGGTAATCTGTTATGAGAAGATCATGCATTGATGTATGATCTAACCACTTGTCTGAAACATGAGCAGACATTTAAGGAGCTTCTGTGAAGGCTCTGAGGACACCATTTACAGCACAGAGATATGCAGAAAGGATTATCCCAGAACCCGATAAATGAGAGGCCAACTGTGCCAAAGGAGAAGAACATATGCCTGGAGAATATAATCTCAGATTCCTTGTTGGCTGGCTTATATAAATCAATCTAATACAAAATATACAGGTTCTTCCTCAAATGTTTGCATAATTTAAATTTGGCTGCCTTGGGCATGCAGAAATTCAGAGTGCAGCATGGAAATCAATGTCATTGTCCATGACTTGAGCCACTACTCTCCCTTCTGTCTTTTGAAGGCTGTATCACCTCACCATCATGGGATTGTGTTCGGTGTAACTTTTGTTACAAAATTATCAATAGAAGTGTTTCTGGTTTAAACATTTTTTTTGCCTTACATAATCTGATTTTTAAATCATCATAAAACTTTAAAATTTTAGAGCTTGGAGAAATCTAGAAGGAGCATCTGCTGCAACTGATGAGATAGCTGAGTTTACCTGAGGTAGGTACAAGGACTTGCATGTGGTAAAATTAATTAGGAAATTGCAGATGCCAGGGGTCGTGGTGTCACATATGACCACTCACCAAGCCTTCCACAAAGCCCGAGCCTTGCTCTTGGCACTCACACAACTCAGCTCTTTGTGGGGAGTGGTCACAGAGCCTGGCATGCTGCCTCCTCCTGGAGAACACAGGCTAATGGGAAGGATGGCAAGTCAACCACTAACTAAAACACACTGGGCGCCCAGCTGCCACTTTGGAGGCTACACTGTCACCTTTTCTAATTATTCCACATTAGTCCTAGACACACTTAAACTCTGAGGACACTTTGGGGATTGTAGAATTGTCATCAAAAAAATGTAAAGGTTGTACTCTCTAAAGAGAATATGCTAGAATAATCAGAGTTAAATTCTATGAAAATTTGCTGAGGTCGTTTCTCATTTCTAGAGTTTCAAAATTCTTGGTTCGCTTTCAGTTCACGAAGATGTAAACTTTATAGCTGCTACTGGAACCCATTCAAAAGCCCCCTTCCAGAAAATTTTCAATTCAGCCACAAGCACTACATTAATTTAGACTTTCTCTATCACATATAAGTCAAGGATTGCCATTTTGGTTTGTCTTGTCTCTCCCATTCACCAGCACCCCATTATTTCCTCTGCCTCCATCCCATCTCTTCCAACTAGCTTATAAAGGCAGCAAGCACATGCCCTGTTTTTAATCTATTATCCTGTGCCATGTAGGAGAGTACTTTACAAACAGGAGATGCTTCATCAATGCAGACACAGTGCTCCTTTCATCCTCAAAGCCTGCACAGCTGAGCATGCCCAGTTAGAGAAGAATCTCTTCTGGGGATGGTCCCTTTCACTCTTTTTTCTTTGGTACCTTACGTTTCCTGACCAGACCCAAATTTCCTTCACCTTCGATTCTCTCATTAAACCTTTTAGATTTAGCAAATACACTCACCAAGTATGGAAGTGCAGGTGCCAGAAAGTCACTTAAAGTACTTGTTACAACTTTGTAGAAGTTCATCCTTTGCTTGCCACGTTTACAAAAGAGAGCCAATAATAAATAGCAAGTGACAGGAAGTAATGAATTGTCCGTGACCATGAAATGTAGCTTTCACCAAGGTCTCTACTTAGGAGCTGCAGGATGAGGTGTGGGTGGGGGAGGGACAAATTAACAAAATGTCGTTGGTGCCAAAGAATAAGCCACTTTGTAGTGACACACATGTTACGGTGTCAATTGGTATGGAGTTTTTTGATGACTCATATGATGAAGAAAGAGCCATGATTCAAAAGCTGTCATTGTAGGAAGACTCAGTGCTGCATCAACAGCACACTGGTTATCTGCTTTAATAGGATGCAAACAACATTGTCAGGTATCAGATAAGCTGGGCTGTGAGTCAAGCTGTCATATCGTAAGACAACTGAATTGATTGGTGTTTGGGTTCTCATTTTATTTCCAATGGGTGAGGAAAATAACCACAGATGCTTGTCCATTTCTCCTGTCTGCAAGGGATTACCACATTCCATAGTTTTTGGGTTACCCTTTGGGGCTTTGACTGGGAGCTCAGTATAAACCTGTCTGATCATCTAGTCCTATAAGAAGGTACATTCTAGCTTCAGTGACTCCAGCAATCTGTGATGTGCTGCCCAATATCTTACAACAAACTCCTACCCCCCCTTGGAAAAAATAAAAGCCCAAACTTGTAGAACTTCCTGATTTCCATGGTGTAGATACTCCCATCAATTTCAGTTTCAAGCTACCAAGATGATATCACTGAATGTAAAGCTGGGAAGGTATGTGCCAGTCGGCTGCCATGGGCTGGTAGTAGCTGGTTCCAACACAGCGCTGGCAGCAATCCCAATACATGCCCACAGCTAAATGTTTTTGTGAATTGGGGACAGAAATGCCATCCTGATCCCCTGGCTGTTGTAAGATCAGAGTGAGAGTATCTATGTGCCTGTCTTTTGGTGCCTTTAGGGACAGGTATCACTTACTAATATAGTTTGGCTGTGTCCCCACTCAAATCTTATCTTGAGTTGTAGTTCCCATAATTTTCATGTGCTGTGGGAAGGACCCAGTGGGGTGGGACATAATTGAATCATGAGGGCAGTTATCCCCATGCTACTGCTCTCATGATGGTGAGTAAGTTCTCACGAGATCTGGTGGTTAAGAGGCTTTCCCCCCTTTTGATCAGCACTTCTCCTTCCTGCCACCATGTGAAGAAGGATGTGTTTGCTTCCCCTTCTGCCATGATTGTAAGTTTCCTGAGGCCTCCCCAGCTCTGCAGAACTGTGAGTCAATTAAACCTCTTTCCTTTATAAAGTACCCAGTCTCAGGTATGTCCTTATTAGCAGCAGGGAGAACAGGCTAATACACTTACCTTCCTAGGCACCAAGCTGGGGCCTGAATGGCCCCTTTAATTAGGGTGACCATATATTTTATTATCCTAACAGGAACACTTTTGAACTAAAAGGGGATGATATTAATAATTATACTAGGACAACTAGGGCTGTGCCTGGACAAGCCAGGACAATGTGGTTACCCCCTTCTAAAGCAAAATGTGAACATAGTAGCAAACAAGCCATATATCCATTGAAGCCTCCTCTGTATTCTGCATCCCTGAAGTTGGTGCTCTGCCCGTCTGGGAGAATGGTGCTAGAGTCTCCACTCAGCCTGTGGCTGCCGCCAGTCTGGGAGTGGGAGGGTCTGCAGAGCTCATAAAACTGTATGAGTTTTTAGGCTTGCAGCTTCCCTTGATGCATATTTCCAACCACTGCAAGTGTCCCTTCCTGTCTAAGCAATTGTGTCAGCAGCTAAATGCTTTTCTTGTTGGTCTCAGTCCAAACTTCCATTCTTCTCATAAAAAATAAGAAATATATAAGATTCTATGGGAGAAAAAAAGAATCCAGTAAATAATCCTCTACGTACACCACTCTAAATTTGCTTCCAGCCCTTGCTGATGAGTGTGCAGACATAATTATTGATGGAGTTGTAATCCATGTGTGCAAACTATTGGGTGTTGTACTTGTTTCCATTTAGCACTATTTCACATACTTATTTCCATATATTGACACAATCCACATGCTTATCATTTTTTATGGCAGCATAGTTCTCCATCATGTTGACACACTCTAGTTTTACATCCTGCTCTCCAAAGACAAAATGCCATGGCTTCATGAAAACTGGTATTCATGAATGCAGGCCAGCAGGGAAAGCTCTGGCTGGCTGGCAGTGTAGAAGGAGCAATGGTGGGTAGGGAATCAAGGTCTATCTGTAACTAGTGCTTTCTTTTGGAACAGAATCACTGTGACATGTGCAGATGTTCACTGTGACATGTGCAGATGGGGGCACTGAGATAATTATATTTTTTTTGTGTGTGTGTGGTCAAATTCAATGTTAACACTCACCAGTCTTTTGCTTTTATAACCTTCAGCTCCTCAAAGTCCCAGACACAAAAACAAGCCACACATCAATAAGCATATTTAACAAAGGGGCAGCTAACATTAATGTAGGCGCTGGGGCAACTTCTAAGTAATGCCTAGAAGAATGTAGCCATTTAAATTATGTAGAGCAGGATGAAGTCTTCCAACTCTTCCTGGCTTCTGAGGGACATCTAGCTGCCCGGGTGGTTTTTCAAAGGCCACCACCGCAGAAGGTAGTGAATTATGTCCTGGAGGTACAAGCCTTAGGATGAGGGCTTGGCTTAGGGCCCCAGCCTGACAATTCACTTCCTGTTCATTCAGAGTCCACCCTAGCTTGGGCTATTGATTTGAATGGATGTTGCTTTTGTTGTTGAGGAAGATCAATAAACAGTGTAAGGGAAGAAGGTTGCACTTAAGTGCAACCTTTGGCCTTGCACCTATGGCTGAGTTAGTTAAATTTGATTATCTTCTTGTTGGGATTAAAGTCTCTTCTTCTGTGTAACAAACTTGCTTATTTGGAGGGTCTAGAGGAGAGATTTGACTTACTCCCCATTGTGCTTACTGTACGTCAGCCTCTCTTCTAAACATTTAAGGCACATGAGCTCATTAATCGTCACAACAATTGTACAAGGTATGTGCTATTACTCTCCCCATTTTATAAATGGGGAAACTGAGGCATGGAGAGGTTAGGTAACTTGTTGAAGTCACAAAGTTAGCACATAGCAGATCTGGGGTTTCAACCCTAGAGGTTTGGCACCAGGGTCTATGCCACATTCATCTACCACACTCCTCTAATGAAATTCCAATTATTTCACCCAGAGGAGGGCCTGGTGTCCCTTCGTCCTTGGCTCTCTTTGGCCCCGGGCCACACCAGGTCATCTTCAGCCTCAGAGGAAGAGCCACAGATGGGATGGGCTGATAGCATCCATCCGAGCCATGTGAGTTGAACAACAGAAAACACAGCTAAAATGATTAACCCCAATTTTTCCTCTAATTTCCTCTCTAAATAGATTTTTCCCCTGCTGATGAAATCTGTCTCAATTTGGTGGTGAGTGGGTAGGTAGGAGAATCTGGATTGATTTGGTATTAGAAAGTCTCACATGTCTGTAGGGAAAAATATAGGGGGTGGATTATTCTTCCCAAATATAGTAGGGAAACCACAACTCCTATCATGTTTTATCCATCCAACCAGCCATCCATCCACCCACTCATTTGTCCATTATTCATTTGTCTATCAATCAGTCAATCTATTTATCTATCTTTCTACCTACCTACCTACCTACCTGTCCATCATTTTCACAGGAGGTGGTAATAACAGTGTTGAGACCACTAATCAGGATGCTGCCTGCTGTGTCATCCAGCCACAGCCCTGTTTATGGCCATCATAAAATGTCTGTGGATAGTCCAGCAGCTGATTTTCCAGGGTCTTTTTCTACTGTCTGAAGGATCAGGAAAAAAAATCTATCAGCTGGAGAAATTAAGCCATTTTTCTTCAGGGGAGAGAAATGGAATAGCAGGCTTTCCACATTAAAATGCTGCAGTGGATTCCAGATGAATGAAAAATTGGTCTGCATAGCAATGAGACTAGAGAGAGAGAGATTTGGAAGGTTTGTAACTGGCTCCTGGCAGAGGCCCCGGGCTGAGACACTACATCAAACCCGGTGCAGTCAGGCAAGCTTGGCTCTTGGGACTTCCACTCTGCGGAGCCGGGTCCTAAGACATCATTCTCTTCATTTTTTCTGTCTTTTATTTTTCCAACATGCTAGTTGTCTGGGTGGTTTTATTAGAGAGGTGCAAGTGCTGTGTTCCTCTTCCAGCTATGGCCCTTTGTTCCCATTGCTGCTGGGAACCTGCTGCCTGACAAAAGCCCTACTCCTCCTCATAACTCACACAGGCCAAGTCTGTCAGAAAGAGGGGTTCAGCCTTTGAAGGGTGCAGAGTCTGTCCCAGAGGGAGAACATTAACCCAGCTTCAGACAATTAACCCAAATATGATCCAGGTATAATGTTATGACCAGCTGGAAACCCAATTACGGGCCCTCTATGGACCTTAACAAATAGGGGTGGCTGTGTGGATGACAGTAAGCAGGTTAATAAGAAGCCACAAAAGCAAGAGAATTTACTTAAGGATGCCATCCAGACTCCACCCTTGCAAGAGATTAGTTTTCTGTGGGGTGCAGACGCCTGACCTTCCTGATTTACCCTGGAGTTCCTGGCCATTTCTCACCTCTGGGGACAGAGGCTACTTTGTCTTGTCATTGCTTTTTCAGGATGAGTCTTCTGCCTACAGCAAGTTTTGCTTCCTAATGAGGGAGCCCCATTATGGAAGGGAATAACTGGGGCTCTAGCAACCTAAATGCAAATCTTACCTGTTGTGGGTGTGACTAGTCCTCTAATTGCTCTGAGGGTCAGTTTCATCACTGATAAGGTAGAAATGGAGATGCTATCCTCCAGAGATGCTGTGTGGACCTAATAGATGCTCAATAAATGCTAGCTGCTATTTTATTATTATTTGTCTGCCTGACATGAATTAAGGGGCCCAGAATTCCTGCTTTTCCAAACATTGCCTGATCTACAGGGTCTACAGTTCTGCCATTATTTTCATTTACTTATGTCTAATTTCATTTCTGAGAGGTTTATGGGCTCTTCTCCCTGATGTGCTATTAAAGGGCAAGTATTCGTGGGAGAGGCAACAACACATCAGACCTGCTATTTCATATTTTCCCACAAAGCATCCTAATGGCAGTGGGGAGTGAATGTTTATATCCTGGGTGAGTGTGTGAGTGAGGCCACAAAACATAGCAAATGTGAAATTTGAGAGTTTTTTTTTAAGCTTGTGCAAATTTTGAAGTCTATGCTATAGAATAAGCATACTCCAAATGATTTATTTAGAAAAATTAAAAATTTGGTGCTGCTGAAAAATGAGGGATAACTACTCTTTGGTTTAGAGTGGGGGTTTCCAATGCTCCTCCCAAGACCAGCTGCATTGGAATCACTGGGAGAACTTAAAAACACCCCAACTGCTCAGATCCCCTACTGAAAATTCTGACCCATGTGTCTGGACTGCAACATGAGAATCTGGGCTTTCGACGGTGTCCCTAAGCAATTCTTCCTTGAGATGACATCTGGGATCCATTGTACAATAGATACCCCGGCCTATGCCAGATCCTCTGCAGCGAGATGCATGTGTTTACAGGTGTTGGGGCCTTCTCAATTGTCCTCCATGCAGAAGGAAGGGGCTGGTGGTAGCACAGCCGTGCATAGAGCTCAGAGCCGGGTGAAGAAGGCTCACACACAGGCAAAGAGTAGGGGCTGGGGGTGGGAGGTCAATCGGATGGGCCTTTCGAAAGCAGTTTCCGCATTTGTGCATTTTGTCTTAGAATCATCTTTACTTGTCTTAGTTCTTTTGGGCTGTGATAACAAAATACCTTAAACTGGGATGATTTATACACAACAAACATTTCTCACAGATTTGGAGGCTGGGAAGTCCAACATCAAGGCACCTGCAGATTTGGTATCTGGTGAGGGCTCAATTTCTGCTCCATAGATGACACCTTGTTGCTGCGTCCTCACACGGCAGAAGGAGCAAACTAGCTCCTCTTAAAAAAAATAATAAGGGCTTCTTTTATAAGGGCCTAATCCCATTCATAAGGGCAAAGCCCTCTTTACTTAATCACTTCCCAAAAGGCTCCACCTCTTCCTGCTACCACATTGGGGATTAAGTTTCAACAGATGGATTTGGGAGAACACCAACATTCAGACCATAGCAGTACTGAAGTCAAATTTGATCCAAGCCTTTGGCTTTGTATTCATCTGTAGTCTGAATGTGGATGTTGCTTAAGGAAGCAAAAGGTACCTGGGCTGGACTCTGACAGTGCCACCTGGCTGTGTCCAGTGACCTGATCTGAGCTTGTCATTTGAGCAGATTCAGCATGGGTTGGTCACAAAAGCTGCAGGGACCACATAGCATTGTTCTCTGACTGTCGGAGAAAAGTAGGGGCTGGGGCGGGGGTCGGGGCACAGATGCTATTGTCTCTCAAAAGACAGAGCTCTGGAAGTTTCTCTAGACTCCAAGTCCAGGACAGTACTTCCCATAATCTTGGCCACAGCTGGTGCTGCACTGCTGAGAATGTCACCCCTCTGGCTCACCTGTGGGTGCTCCTTCCCATCCCACAGCCCCCATAGGGCAGCAGCCCCGTGCACTGGCCACCCCTTCTCCTGACAGTCAGACTTAAGGGAGATGGCCGGCCCCAGGCAGGCTGGCCATGAGCTTCCCACTTCAGGTTTTCCAGTTTGCCAACCAGCCAGGCCTCAGGCCTGGATTTCTGCTGATGCAGGTGAACCCCTGGGACCTGACCTCTGCCCCCCTGTCCCTCAGCAGGGCCAGTTGTCAAGGAGATGACAGGATTGAATTCCGAGTTAAGGGAACCAATCTTGTCTTTCTAATTTTATCTTCACTCTTTTTTCCTCCTGCATCCCCTTGCTCCCTGTCGTCCTTTTTTTGTTTGTTTGTTTGTTTATTGCATGGCATGCAGCCATTAAAAGAATAGTGGTCATTCTCTAAATTGAGACCAACTCATTATTTTATTAAAGCAATGCCTTTTACTGGCTTTTTAGGAAATCTTTGCTGTAGGTTTGCTTCTACATGTAATATACTCCGTGCTACCTTACATTATTGATGACTGCCAAGCACTTTGACAGCTCACCTGGAACCATCACAGCATCTGAGGAAGACTTTATTACCTCCAATTGTTTGATGCAAAAAATAGAAATCAAAAGATGAGGCCCACAGCTAACCAGGGACTGAGCTGGGCTTAGATCCCAGGTCTTAGAGCTGGCCAGGACTTAAGGCAGGACTTGTAACTGTTCTTGGGCTCCCTGAGGCACCACACCTCTGGGGACAGGCTAAATACATTCAGTAAGCTGTAAACAGCTGGGCTTTGAGCTCATTTTAATGCCTCATTCAGATAATGCTGATGCCAGTGCAGATGCTGCTCACTTCGGGATGTGCCATCATCTCTGTAATTTGTCAAAAGCTGTCAACTTTCCAGGACTAACCTGCATATGGTGCTTCTTGTTTCTCCTTTCAACACTCACTTGCTCCTGTTCACTTTAAGACAACAAAAATATATGACGTTTGTAAAACTTTACTCATCAGGGGATTTTAGAAGTTAACTTAGAAACTTGCAAGGACATGGAATAAAAACTCAGTGGGGTAGACTTCGCTTCTTCCTCTCAGAAGGTGATGACCAGAGTCCTTTTCTGTTCATCTAGTACTTACAAACAGTCTTCTAGAATGAGCGCCACTGTATCCATTATCATCCCACTGTGTAACCCAGAAACATTTTTGTTTGTTCATATTTCAATTTCAGTAAAGGACAATCAGCGGGAAAGAGCCCAGCTATTCTAAGACTCAGGTGGGCCTGGCTGAGACGTCCTCCTTCTCTGTCTCCACTCACACCCTTTGGTTGGAACTTTTCTCCCTGGGTCCCACTGCAGCTGCCCACTCCTTAGGTCCCCACTCTTGCTTTATAGATACTCAGGATTCTCCCCCACATACACATAGTGGCCACATGTCTTCTTCCTACCCATGGAGGCTTTTCCAACCTGCATCTCCAGTTACCAACTTTCTTTTTTTTTTTGAGACTGAGTTTCACTCTTGTCTCCCAGGCTGGAGTGCAATGGCACGATCTCGGCTCACTGCAACCTTCACCCCCCAGGTTCAAGTGATTCTCCTGCCTCAGCCTCCCGAGTAGCTGGAATTGTAGGTGTGCACCACCACGCCCAGCTAATTTTTGTATTTTTAGTAGAGACGGGATTTCACGATGTTGGCCAGGCTAGTCTCGAACTCCTGAGCTCAGGTGATCCACCCACTTCAGCTTCCCAAAGTTCTGGGATTACAGGCGTGAACCACTGCGCCCGGCGACTCCAGTTACTTTCAAGAGCACAAATCAACTTTTCTGTAGGAGGTGTGACAGGATGACTATCATCCCAGCATAATCATGAATAGCATGGTCCTTTTAACTCAAATCAAGTATTCTGGTTTGTACAGTAAGTTGTGTGATCTCCCAGTTAGTGGGTTCTGAAGCAGGACACCATCATTCATATTACCTAATGTGAGTGGCTCCTCATACGAAATCGAAGCAAGCCATGCAGAGAGGGAGAGGGACATCAAGAGGGGACCTCTCAGGCCTCTCAGGTGACTTGTCTCATTGAGGTTCAAGCTCATTTATCTTGGTGTCCACAGAGCTTAGCAGGGAGCCCCGCACATCCTTTTTGGCCTCAGAACCCTTTTACGTTCTTACTGAGGACTCCGAAGAGGTTTAGTTTATGTGGATTGTATCTAACATATTTACTGCATTAGAAATTAAAACTAAGAACAATCTAAAATATGTATTAATGTATTTAAAACAATAATGAAGGCCGAGTGCAGTGGCTCACATCTGTAATCCCAGCACTTTGGTAGGCTCAGGTGGGTGGATCACCTGAGGTCAGGAGTTTGAGATCAACCTGACCAACATGGTAAAACCCCATCTCTACTAAAAATACAAAAAAATTTGCTGGGCATGGAGATGTACACCTGTAGTCCCAGCTACTTGGGAGGCTGAGGCAGGAGAATCGCTCGAACCTGGGAGGTGGAGGTTGCAATGAGCCGAGATCGTGCCACTGCACTCCAGCGTCGGCGATAGAGCGAGTCTCAACCACAACCACAACAAAAACAAACAAACAAATGAAAACATATTAAATATTAAAATAAATCACGCTTTATGAAAAATAACTATATTTTCTGACACAAAGATGTGTAACAAGGAGAGTGATTTGATTTAAATTTAGTGAGAAGCATGGCATTGATTTATGTTTTTGTAAATCTCTTTGAAGTCTGGCTTAATAGCAAAGAGTTAAATTTGATTCCCATATCTGTTTCTAGATTTCGTCTCACATCAACACCCATCATGTAGGCTCTGAAAACTCTACTGTGCTCTCAAGAGGGAATGAGACAAAAAGGCAAAGTCTAGTATTATTATGAATATAGTTCTGAACCCCTGGGCCTCCAGAAGCATCTCGGAGACTCCCAGGACTCTCCAGACCACACTTGGAAAACTGCTTCCCTGGACATTCAGTTAGCACCTATTGAATAAAACAAATTTTAATGTGGAAAATCTTTAAGAGAAGTGTGGAAGCTTCCAATAGGTAGAAAAAGTTATTATATGTGATTTAAGCAGCTACCTTAGATGTCACATTTTGGTTCAAATTTTGGGAGGTAGTGTGGGCATAGGGGTGGTCCTGAGGCCTATTATAAAAACCTATCATAGAAAAATCTTTTCCATGGAAAAAGGTAAAACAAAATCCAAGCAAAAAAATTCTCCAAATTTTGAACATATTTCTTTTTGTTAGTTTGTTTGAGACAGAGTCTCACTCTGTCACCCAGGCTGGAGTGCAGTGGTGTGATCTCGGCTCACTGCGACGTCCACCTCCCAGGCTGAAGAAATTCTCCTGCCTCAGCCTCCTGAGAAGCTGGGATTACAGGCATGCACCACCACACGTGGCTGATTTTTGTATTTTTAGTAGAGATGGGGTTTTACTGTGTTGGCCATGCTGGTCTTGGACTCCTGACCCCAAATGATCCACCAGCCTTGGCCTCCCAAATTGTGGGGGTTACAGGCGTGAACCACTGCACCTAGCCATATATTTGTATTTGTGTGAAAGGGATGCATGCAATTCTCAAGTCATGGGGTGTGTGTGTGTGAGAGAATAGTAGATATTCTATCTCTTCTGATAAAATTATACACTCGCCAAAGTTGGAGCTATATTTTCTTTTTCTTTAGATCTATGGTGTCCAATATGGTAGCCACCTGGGGCTATTGAGCCCTTGAAAGGTGGCAAGTCAAGTTGAGATGCGCTATAAATATAAAATACACACTGTGGATTTTAAAGACTTAGTATAAAAAAAAGAATGTAAAGTAGTGCGATCATTTAAAAATATTGAGTGAATGTTGAAATGATATTTTGGCTATATTGAATAAAATATATTATTAAAAATTAATTTCACAGCCAAGATGTCCTTTGGTAGATGAATGAATTAAAAAAAACAGGAATGCATTCATAAAATGGGATATTATTCAGTGCAAAAAAGAAATGAGCTCTCAAGCTGTGAAAAGATATGGAGGAACTTTAAATGCGTATTGCTAAGTGAAAGAAACCATACTGAAAAACTATACATTGTAAGATTCTGCTTATTTAACACTCTGGGAAAGGCAAAACTATGGAGACAGTGAAAAGATCAGTTGTTACCAGAGGGTTGGGGAGGGGAGGCAAGGATGGAGGAACAGGTGGATCATAGGGATTTTTAAAGCAGTGATACTATTCTGTATGATTCTACATTGGTAACACATGTCATTTATACATTTGTTAAAGTCCATAGAAGTATACAACACAGTGAGCCCTAATGTAAACTATGGGCTTTAGTTAACAATAATGTATGAACATCGGTTCATCAATTGTAATAAATGTACCACACTAAGGCAAGATGCTAGTAGGGGGAAGTGTGAAGTGTGTGTGCGTGTGTGTGCACGCGAGTGCGCAGGCCTGAGTATGTATGGCAGGGGTGCTATATGGGAACTCTGAACTTCCTGTTCAAATTTTCTGTAAACCTAAAACTGATTTTTATAAAGTAAAGTCTATTAATTGAAAAATTAATTCTACTTATTTCTTTGTACGTTTATTAATGTGGCTACTAGAAAAATTAAAATTGCATATGTGGCTTGCTTTTTAGATTTCTACTGGACAGAGCTCCTTAAACTAGGCCTGTACCTCTCAGGCCAGGTGCTTAAGTTGCCTAAGTACTTAGCAAAGGTTTACTTGGCTTGCTTAACCAGCAGGCCAGCGATCATTTGTAAAGCGCAAAAACAGAATCAATCAAGGCCCAGAGAGATCCCTAGAGCTGATGGGCTCCATTTTCCTTGCAGCCCACTTTGGGGAGGGGCAGTGGGAATGGCCAGAGAGAGGGGACGGCGGCTTCCTGCTTTCTGCTGGCTTGAGCTGCTCGGGAAAGCGGAGTGGTCTTTGTGTAGCCAGAAAACGTGAAGTTCCTGGACCTCCTTCCACGCCCTAACCGCCGCCCGCAAACTCAGGGGAGGTAGGGCAGAAGCAGCCCCCAGCCCCCCACTTCCAGCGCTTCTGGGAGTGCATGTGCGTTGCTGAGCGTGGCCTGAGCCCGGTCAGCGGCCGGGCGCCGGTGGCAGCCCCCGGTCCCGCGGCGACCCCGGCCCAGGAAGGAGCCCGGTAGGGGGTGCGCTTTCCCTGGCCTCCCGAGGCGGGATCGGGGCCGGGCTCCACTCGGTGAGAGGATCCTGCCAGCCAGCTGGGTGAAAGACCCACAGAAATCCCGAACTGGCTGCAAGATGCATTGGTAGCTGGCGCCTTTAGTCGGGTTCCTACAGTTTTGCAGAGAAGTCTATGAGTGATCGTTTTCATAAATCCCAAAGTAGGAGTGGAAGCAACCTCCCTTCTTCCTAGCTGCACCCGGAAGCGCAACCCAGCAAAGAGCCTGTCGTTCACCCCTGGGGGATTGTCCCAGGGAAGCCACGTCGCAGAGCCTTCTCTCCTCCTCCACTGCCCATCTCTGCAATCAAGAAGTCTGAATGCAAACCGGGCACCCCCTGTACCTTGGGCTGTTGGATTTAATCAGGGCCATGGTCCAAATGCAATAGGGGGATCAGGGCAGCCCCCAGGCCCCATGATTGGATTAGAAGCTCCTTCATTCCTCAAATACCTGTATGCATTATTCTTTTAAATTTTGAAATATTTCAAACACACAGAAAAGCAGACAAAGAATACTGTAGGGCTCCTATAGAACCACCACCCAGATATAACAAACGTTATTATGTTGCCAAAAGTCTTCCAGTAATTTTTTAAAGAAATAAAAGCTGTTACAGAGTCGGAGAGCTCCAGCATCCCCAACCCCATCCTGTGCCTTCTCTCTCCTCTCCGAGGGAGCCTCTCTCCTGATACTACTGGACTCCTTTCCTACCCAGGCTTCATATGTTATCTATGACATAGCCATAAACAATATGTATTATTGTTTTTATCAAAGTCCAATCAATATTTATTGGATGCCTAGTATGCACCTGCCATTGTTCTAGGCTTTGAGGATAGAGCAATGAAAAACCGAATCCCAATACTCGAGCTTAAATACTAGTAAGGAAGACAAATAAAAAACAAACAAGTATGAGTGTGCTGAAGAAAAATCAGCCAGGAGTGCAGTCCATTGCCTTCCTCGGAGTGGGTCCTATCTTCCTATCATCTTACACTTTTGACTTCTCATCGGAGGTCTTTTTTCCTGTGGGTGTCCCCTTCCCCTGGGTGGTGGAAATTTACAGAGAGGTTTTACATTTGCTTCTGCTGGAAGCACCAGGGGCTCATTTGTTTGTGAATGGTTTGTATAGCTACTTTAGCCTGCGGTTTACATTTGGACTTCACCTCTATGCGAGCTGCAGTCTTGGGATGTCAATATCACATGGCAGACGGTTTTTCCTCCGGCAGATGGTATGTCTCTTTGCCACTCCCCCCAGCCATCAAGAGAAATTTTCCAGCCTTCTTTTCATGGAGGCTGCAGGTTTTTCAAAGGTTTGGGAAGAGGCAGGGTCTTGGGTTTGCTCCCTATGTCAAGCAAACCTGGGCTGCAGGCCACATGTGCTGTTTGTGTGCCGGCCACTGGGGCCAAAGTCCAGGGCCAATATTACTTTTTTACCCCATTTTGTAGTCTCTTTATGCCTCTGGCACCTGGAGAGTTTTATTTCTTTCTTTTCAGCTTGGCTATAAATTTAAATCATTTTTTGGTTATCTTTTATCCAGTGTTTCTATGTGTTTGGAGGATGATGGGGCTCCATTGTCAGCACTGATTACCATGCCGCCAGGTATATAAACCACGCCTTTGTTGGCTTGTCTCAGCCCCTTAAATCTTCCCTCGGATCTCTAGCATTGTGGTTAAAAGCACTGATTCCAGAGCCACACTCTCGTGGTTCAAATTCTGGTTCCACCACTTAATAAACGTGGGCCTGGGGAAAGTTAATTAGCCTCAGTTTCCTCATCTGTAAAGTGGGGACAATCATAATACTGACATCCTTAGATTGTTGGGAAGATTAAATAGATTAGCTTTGGTAAAGTGCTTAGAATTGTGCCTAGAACCTGGTAAGTGCCATATAAGCACTGGCCACTATTAGTTTTGGTGTAATGTCTTTATTGTTAGTTTGCTCTTAATAAACATTCAACTCTTGGAAAATAGAAACCATCAGGTTAATACCACGAATCTAACCTCTAGCATGTTTTGTTTATTCAGTTCTTACTAGTTATCATTTTGGAGAATAGAGACAAGGAATCCATAAGAAGAAGAATCCACGGGCAAGCTGTGGTGGGGACGGATAATCCCATAGGCTGGGCTGTCCAGGTGTGGCCCTGGAAGGGAGTGATCTTTCCACCATGGGGGCCTATAGTTCTTTGATAAATAGATACATTTTTAAATTTAAAAAGGTGTTTCAGCTTTTGGCTCTTTCCTGTGATTTTGAGAAAAGAGTCTGTCTTTTTTACTGGAGTCTTTGTCTTGGCCACTTTTCACTTCCCGTTAGATGGTGTCTAGGAAAGATTTTAAGAATTCCTGTGAGAAACAAATGTGGCTGGTGAGTCTCTCCTCTTGGCATTATGAGTTAAGTGCTCCAGCCCCAGAGGCTGTGCTTCCTGGGCTTTGCTGTAATGCAGTTGGATGTGTCAGGCTGCAAAGATGTTTGCTACAGAAGGACATTCACTCCATAAAGCCCAGGAATCTGGACGTGGGCCCCGGTGTCAATGTTAGGGAATGAGAATAATTGGATACATAGACTTCTATTTTATGCCTTGTTGAAAGCCAATATTGGTTAAGGTGGATGTTTTCCTTCCAATAACAAGTATTCATTGAGCATTTACTAAGTGCCAAGCATTGGCACCCAAAAGGCAACCAGTGTTTCCAGTGTCTTAGACATTCTTCTAGAATTATTTGATACAGGCAAACACACACACACATACACACACACACTGCAAAATTGGCAGCATAGCACACACACTGTTGTGTATCTTGCTTAACATTGTAGCTTGTAGGTCTTTCATAGCAGTACATACACTTGATTATAGCTGCTTCATTCTTTTTAATCACTGCATAGACACACCACATAGATACACCATAACTTATATCAATAATCCCCTACTGATGGACATTTAAGTTGTCTCAAATAATTACCACAAAAAATGCAGTGCATAGTCTTGTATACACATTGTTTCACAGATATATATATATACATATATACATATATATATGTATATATATATGAATATATCCGCAGGATAAGCTCCTAGAAGTGGAACTATGCGATTCTCCCTGCCCTCTTTTCTTTAAAAAACAATTTACATTCATCTTTTCTCAAGTTGGCAAGCAACAGAAATATGTGCTATTAAATGAATGAGTTGGATGTGGGAGGACAGTGTGCCAGAGAGCACTGGACTGAGGATGGGGTCGCACGGTCTTTATTTCAGTCAGGTAACTGGCTGAATGACCCTGGCCATGTCTTTTAACTTCTCTGAACCATAGTTTCTTCATTTGTGAAATGAATCATTGGGTCATTCAAGGCTGGGGAAGAAATATTCATGAACCTAGCATCTTTTTAGAGCATTTACTGTCCTGAGGTCCACTGTAGCTTTCCCCTCATACTTTCAGGCTTCTCCTTGCCGAACTATGTGAGGTCTTGGTCTTGGGTTCTATTAATTTCTGGAGGTTGGTAACCGCTCCAAATGGCTAGCTCCAAGGCCAGCTCCCATTTTGTAAGAACATGTGGTGCAGTGAAAATAGGCCTGGAGAGTTGAAGAGTCCAATCTGGGCTCTTGCGCCAGCTCCATGACACTGGGAAGTTATCTTCTCTTGTAGAACTTCATTCCATTGTTAAGTGGATAAGCCCAGTGAGGTTTTGAAGTTCCAAAAAAGGGCAAAGCCTCATCTCTTACCTTTTACACAGGGACTTTTTGCAGAATAAACATGCCTTATTGTGTTCAGTTTTCAAACATGACTGAGTCCCTATAAGCTTCCTTCCTTCCTGTGGCCACTGTTTGCTCACAGTGGTCGTGGGTCGACTAGAGGAACCCCAGGTAGAGAGAGGAAAGAGAACTGCTGGTGGGAGAGATTAGGCTAATCCCCATAAACCAGCAGGGCCATTAGTGAAATCTTTTCTCAGGATTCCGTCTGTGGTGTCATTGTGACAGAAACCATTTATTACCTGAAGTATGTCCTGAGCCTTCCCAAGAGTAAAGTTGTTCAGAAAACACTGACCTGAGTGTAGGCACCAACGGAAGACCTGAGCAACCTGGAACAACTCCACGCACAGGAAGCCCTTAATTGTTCAGTGATCTGCATTAAGGACTAGTGGCAAAAGGAGAACTTCATGAATGAAAGACCACTACTGGCTGGTAATGGAAGTGTAAACATTACCTTAATGAATGAACTTTGCTAATAATATCATGTTATAAATATTTTAGCTCGAGTTCAGCATAAAGGGATGATTAAGGAAGGTTGAGGGAGTCCATAAACAGAGAAATAGATGGGGTCTTAGCAAAAGGATTTGACTGATGAAATTTTACAAAGTTGAGAAACGTAGATGAATAGAACTTACTGTTGTATAGAAGCTTCTTAAAGTCTCACCTTCTAACAGAATCTTTTTCCATCCTTGAACTGATTTGTCAACATGGACATTCCCATTTTCCTTAATGTTCAGTCTAGGGAGAATCTCACACTAGCACCATCCTCGGATGGGAAAGAAGCTCAGGTGGCTCCTTAAATTGAAGGCTCCTTCTGCCTTCAGGCCATCTGAGACGGCTCTCCTGGGACCCAGCCCATGCAGGCTGCTCAGAAAATGGTTACTATATTGGTCAGATCTTGTCCAAATCAAGCCCCGAAGACATATGCTTGGACATTTTTGGAAGCTCAGTGTATGGGAAATTGGCATCTAGGTCAGACTTTTCACCATACAGCCACAACATGGAGCTTAACTACTATTCTCACTTCCAGGGCTTTCTCACCTGATCCAGCTCCGTTCTTCCCCATGATCACAATGCACCCTCCCGACCTCTGCCCTTGTTGTCTCAGTCATTCTATGCTTACAGACTCCCTGGTCACTGACCACCTTGGGTTGGGCTTCCAGTGATGCTAGTTCTGGGCTCTCTCCTGCTAACCAGAAACTTTCTCTGTCTGCATTTGCCCCATATCCAGATGCCAGGCTTAGAGACTGAGGCTTTGGGAAAAGAACTGCTGAGGCAGTGGCAAGAGACCCAGCTGTGGGCTTGTGAAGGAAGGGAAGTTCTTTGTGCAATCATAGCCATCCCTTCTGTCTGTCTGTTGTTGCCTTTCTCTCCTTGGTTCTTTTCCAGCTCCTTAGACCCTAACTTTCATGGCTCCCCCTGCATGGCTGTGTCACCCTGCAGGTTGACTTCACTCACTAGTTGGCAGCGGGTATGACCCACAGCCTCTCACTGGTTGATCCCACTCTGTTTTAAGCTGGTGTCTAACTTTAGAGCTTAGCCCTTTTCACGTTGCTTCTGACCTATCTGATGGCCCAGCCCTGCTCTGGTGTGTATGTGAAGGGTGGAGGAACCTTTGTCTTCCTCACCTTCAGGTTTCCATATGGTGGAGTAGTGCTGGGGTGAACTCTTGGTCTGCTCTCCACCTCCTTCAGGGTGTGTGGTGCAATCAGCTGGAGTCTGGATCTGCGAGGCCACAATTTCCAGAGGCAGGATCCTTCCATGGAAACAGACAACATGGGCCCATCTTTCTTGCTGTCCCCTAATCCTGCCTGCTGTCCATTACATTGTGCTTTCTCTTCAAATTCCCAGCATCTCCACCCAGGTTCATTCACATTTGGGTGGCAGGTAGGGTTCCCTGAAGGCTCTACAGATGAACCTTCTCAGACCCTCACACTTTGGGTTTAGTAGGAAATATTTTGATCATTTTTAGGCAAATACGGTCTACTTATCAACTGGACAGAACCTGGGAGGGAAGAAAAAGTAAAGAATAGGATCTCCACACTTCCAGGAGGTAGCAAGAATTAAGATGCCATTGATTGCTTCTCTGCTCTGTTGCTAACTCCCAGAGCTTCGCTGGTTTAATTCATTCTAATAGCTTCCTGGCTGCAGCCCCCAGGAAAGTGACCTTCTGATTTATAAATTCTGGGCTGGGCACAGTGGCTCACTCCTGTAATACCAGCACTTTGGGAGACCAAGGTGGTTGGATTGCTTGAGCTCAGGAATTTGACACCAGCCTGGGCAACATAGCAAGACTTTGCCTCTGCAAAAGATACAAAAATTAGCTTGGCATGGTGGTCACCACACCTGTGGTCCCAGCTACTCTGGCAGCTGAGGTGGGTGAATTGCTTGAATCCTGGAAGTCAAGTCTGCAGTGAGCTGTGATCATGCCAGTGAACTCCAGCCTGGGTGATAGAGTGAAACCCTATCTCAGAAAACGAACAAACAAACAAACAAATAAACAAAACATAAATCCAACTTCCTTCCTAAGGAAGTCTTCCTGTACCCCTTTGGGCAAGGGACCTCTCTCAGGCCACATAGTGGACATAGGTGCTGCGTCCTCTTTTGCAATCACACAAGAGCAACCTCTTTCTCCCTTCCACCTGTCCACCCTTCCAGAGCAAAAGACACCGGCAAGTATCCATGTTCTTGTTCTGAGGGGCATGCCATCAGGATTCTGCAATGCTGATTTCAGCACCATCCTGCTGGACTATGAAAATGTCTGGTGCCTTCTGGGCATTTTATCTACTTGGAGGATCAAGTGCATCAACCTGGGAAATCTTTGGCTGCCAGTGCCATTGGGCCACAGCCCGCCCTGTGGTGACCTTTCCCACCGCCTTCCTGCAGACACACAGCAGGTCCCCAGAGATGGCTGTCAACTGCAGCAGCCACCACATAAAATCAGGTTCCGGTATTGCTGAAGAGCTTCACCTTGCCTTAATACAGCGTCCGGGGGAAGGTTTGCCAGGACCAGACAATGCCTTCCTCTTTGTCTCCCTTCTCAGCTCTATTTTTCTGCCTGTTCCTGACTTTGTTCTTTGTTAGAAAGGTCCAGAGTGGCAGAGCAGTGGCTGCTGTTGTGCAAGACATGTAATTTTGACCCCTTCTGCTCCTAAAAAAATCAATACTCCTTTTGAGCCTCTGTGAAGAGTGTTTTATAGCATCCCTCTGAGAAGCCCCGATCTGTAAAAGCTGATATTATCTGATGACCCTTCTCATACTTACACAGTCTTTTTTTTCACAAAATATTTCCAGAACCTCACCTTCCTCTATAGCTGAGACCCTACTGCACATGTCTGCTTTGTGACATGCAAGTATAGTACATCTTATCTGTCCAGTTTGGATAGAAAAGCTCCTTATTTATATACCTGAAGGCACTGGGGTGTAACAAAGGTCATTGGCTGACATGGGCACCCTCAGCGAGATGGGAGCCTGAAGTAGCACAGCCGTGTTAAACACAGGATAGGGAGTCAGCTGAGGGCTCGCTATGGAGTTGGAGAAAAATTCATCGGCTTGAGAATGTCACCTGTTGCTGGTTCCAGCCTTCACCAGTGTTGCCTCAAAGATAGAAAGCACCTCGGTTTGACCTTCCCTATTGTACATGTCACATCTCAAGAGGAGAAACAAGACATCACTGAATCGCAAAGTTCCAGAGCTTGAAGAGACTTCAGAGATCACATAATGCAGATGTCGTGAACTGGTGACCAGATATATCCCCATGATGGATGTGTCTTTTTTGACCTTTGTAGTGTTTTGGATTGTTTCTTGGTTTATTTGTGTTAAGCTGAATTCATCATCAATATTTTACATCAGGAGCCTTCAAATAAGAATAAAGTTTGAGGGATTTTCTTTAAAAATTGGAAGTGCCAGCAGCTCTGTTCCTATTCTTGAGTAGGAATAGGTGAACAGTCTTTCACAGCTCTGGCAGCTCTTATTCCTGAACAGTCTACCCAATGGCCTAGCTCACTTCTGGTGAAGGCTTAAGGCACCTGGGTTGGTAGTCCCTCACCTAAAATCAGCCCCTCCCCATTTTCCCATATGGAAACACAGGATCCTGTTATAAAAGGTGAAGGTGAGTTCACTTCCCCAAGTCTCACAGGGACTAAGTGGCAGAGCTCTTGTGGAGTTCTCTCTGGTTGTGGGGAACTATGTCTCATGTACCATATGGGTCTTCAGTGAGATTGTTGTGGTTTCCAAGAACCTTGTTAGAGCTTTGTGATGAAGTGGCCTGTAGAGATGGCTTATTTTACTTCTGAAGTCGCCTCCAGACAGCTGGGGCAGTCAAGTCTCTGATTTCTGTGTTTGTTTCCTCCCAAATATTATTTTCTTAATACATTCAAAAAATAATACTGAGAGTTTCTTACCACTAGATCTATCCTGCAAGAAATGATAAAGGGAGAAGTCTGTCCCTCAGATTGAAATGAAAAGAAGCTAGATGGCCAGGTGTGGTGGCTCAAACCTATCTCAGGCTTTGGAATGTGGAAGGGAAAGGATGGCTTGAGGCCAAGAGTCCAACACCAGCCTGGGCAACATAGAGAGACTCTGTCTTTACAACAAATAAAATAAAAATTAGCTGGATATGGTGTTGTGCATGTATAGTCCAGGCTACTCAGGAGGCTGAGGCAGGAGGATCATTTGAGCCCAGGAATTGAAGGCTGCAGTGAGTTATTATAGCATCCCTGCACTCCAATCTGAGTGACTGACACCCTATCTCTAAAATAATAAAAAGAAGAAGCTAGACAGTAATTTGAAGCCATATATAGAAATACAGGTCTCCAGTAAGGGTAAATATATGAGCAATTATAAGGCTAGTATTATAAATTTGATGTGTAAATTCACTTTACATTTTCTACATGATTTTAAAAAGTAATGCTAATGGAAACCAGATAAAATCACTACAGAAGAAAACCAATCACTCATAATTGCACTATTCAGGGAAAATTGCTGGCTGCAACTTATTGGGCTTACTGGTCATTTTAATATTTGATTGGGATCTTACTCTATACACTCATCAGTTCCCTGCCTGTTTCACTCTACACTATATTGGAGATATTCTTCCATGTCACTATAGTCATTTTTACAGCAAACTTCTCTAATGCTGTTAAGGCTTCCACAGCATGGATGAGCCGCAGCTGATGGACTTGTGTGTGGGTTGCTATCAGCTACACTGGGAGGAGGGGCCCATCTTGGGTAACATTGTGAAACTGCCTTCTTCCCTCTCTCACTGTGTAGCACCTGCCCCTAGGTCTCACTTTATATTGTAAGGCCTGAAATTTCTTTCATGTGATACCTTGATGTCTTTGAGCCTCACGCAGCCCCAGAGGCCTAACTGAATTCCCCTGCTCTTCCCAGATATGCCCCCATTTAGCAAAGAAAGGCTCCCACCATCATAGTTCCTTCAATGGCTGGACCAACCGCACTCCACCTGGTCCTCAACCCAATGTGTTTCATGCCCCTCCCAGCCTGCAACATTATTCAAACAAGCCAATCACATGCTCCTGCAGGAGCTGGGGGCATCTCTGGCTCTTGTTACTATGAAGCTTGCCTCCCGCAGTCCCTGCCAGCTCACTCTTCTCTAGAGTGCAACCCCATGTGATCCTGCATGTAATGAGCTGTCTTCCTCCTCTGGGCTGTGAGTCTACGTGACAAATAAACTGCTATGAACCTCATCAGTCCAGTGTCGATGGTATGTGTTTGGCCATCCCCAGAGCCCTAGGGCAGGAATCCCTCCTTCACCAATGAGGTAAAAAGGAGATAGACAAGACACTCTCGCTCTGCTCCACCGACTGTTAAGATGTGGCTTTAGACAAGGATTGAAAGCTCATTCCTTCTAAGGTGAAGACTTAAAGAAGTTTAAACATTAGTTATTTTGTAAGGGGGGATACATTTTAATAGGCATCAGTATTTGGTTAAAGTTAGAAGAGCAGAGTTCTACTAGGGCCTAGGAATGAGGAAAGAAGAGAAATCCTAACTCAGTGGTGTCCTGTGCCCCATGAATGTACTCCTTGGCTGCTGCCTGTTGTCTACTTCAATCAGTGACTGTGTTCAGAAGCCGTGTGGCACATTTCTGCCACTTGCTGAGTGATTTTAGGGCAAGGAACCTCATATCTTTGAGCTTCACTCTACTTATCCCTCAAATAGTAAAACCAATACCTGGTCCTCCTATGCCATTTGTGCCCAATGTGCCTGGCATGCTCCTGGCACTGTGTCTGCCCTCTTCTCCTCTTCCCATCTGTCTCTCATTTTCTTGGCACCTACCAGGCACCAGCCACATTGCCTCATTCAGTAAATATTTAAGCAACACTGATAGTGTGCCAGGGACTGTTCTAGGTACTTCACTTTCATTGAAGTATGCCTATAAACTTAAAACAACAACAATAAATGAATTCTGATTTTTTTTTTCAACAAAAGGAAGGCAGCATTCTGAAATAGAGAGTGTTGTGTTGCATTTCAGACAGACCCAGATTCCAGCCCTGAAATTTAGTACTCAAGCAGTGCTAGGTGGATATGCAGCAGTGAGCAAAGCAAAGAGGAAGTATCCTTGGTTCCCATGCCAGCATTTTAATCTCTCTCCCCTTCAGCTGTCTCATCTGCACAATGGGCATATGAATACTTACTCTGGGGGGTAATTGTGAGGACTGTTGCTAATCCCGTGAAGTCTTTACTGACACTCCATGCCTGGTCAACAGTCCCTTCTGCCCCATTAGCCCCAAGAGATGTGACAGTGCCTTCCTTTGTGCCATGTGGCCCTATGGACACCTGTGCCTGCACTTGTTATATGAGTATTGCATTTGCCCCCATTAGGTTGCAAATCCAGACATTAAAACCCTGCATCTTTCTTTATGACCACACCTGACACTTAGTAGGCACTTTTGAATGTTTGTTGAAGGCTCCTGGTGCACTGGCTGTGGTTGTTAACAACTCGCACATTGGAATGAAGACATCCAAATCTGTGCCCTTTGCTAAAGCTGTCACTCTGGCTACCCAGTGGAGCCACCACTACTCAAAGGGGTTGGCCCAGAACTCAACTCTTGGCTATGCTTTTGGGCCATTCTTGAACCACCCCCAAAACTTGTCTCTTTCCTTTGTTTTATGTCAAATTTTCTACCCAAATAAAAGTCACCATTTTCTTTAGTCTTAAGTCTTAATTCTGAATCTATCAACACCAAGGATATCCTAGTCTCTAAAGCTGTAAAATGTTTCATACAGTTACATTGTTGTTATCTGGCAAAAAAGCCACAGCCAAACCCACCCTCAGGGATGGAAAATTGTTGCCACCATTAAAAATTATCCAAAAGAATACTCATTAAGCAATGAAAGGAATTCCAGAAGAGACATTAATATGTTTTGAACAATGGGATGTCAGAAAAAGAAAGGAATTTGAGAGAAAGTCTTTTCATTTAAATGAATGAAAAGAAACCCAACCCCATTGCTTACAGTTACCCTGTGCCCCAGAGAATAGGGGGAAGGAAGGAGTGAGCTCAAGGAGCAACAACACAAGAAGTGTCCAAAATAATAAGACCCACAGTGGCTTATGCGCCAACCATTCTCCCACACTTCCTGATTTGTGATTTCCTCCACTTATCAGTAGGAAGAGGAGCAGCACTTCTTTTTTTTTCTCTTTTTTTTGAGATGGAGTCTTGCTTTGTTGCCCAGGTTAGAGTGCATTGGTGTAATCTCAGCTCACTGCAACCTCCGCCTCCCAGGTTCAAGCAATTCTCCTGCCTCAGCCTCCCAAGCAATTGGGATTACAGGCACGTGCCACCACGCCCAGCAAATTTTTTGTATTTTTAGTAGAGACGGTGTTAGCCAGGATGGTCTCGATCTCCTGACCTCGTGATCTGCCCGCCTCAGCCTCCCGAAGTGTTGGGATTACAGGCATGAGCCACTGTGCCTCGCCAGAGGAACCCTTCCTAGTGGTCTTGTTTGTGCCACAAGATAATTGATGAAAATATCTCCTCCAACTAGACTTTTCCCAGGTGTAGTGGGATTGGCCATCCAGGCAAGGCTGTGAATGTCCCTGGGCTGGGGCCATGGATACAGCAAAGAGGAGCCAGGATAGAAAATCATGAGCAGCCTTAGGGTGGCACCAGGGAGGAAGAGTTTACTTCCATGCGTGGGTCTCAGGATGGCACCAGGGAAGAAACAGGGGTTCTGTTGGACCATGAAAGCCTGGGAGCACTGGGAGGTGCCAATGGATCAGAGTTGGGAGGGAAATGGGGCCACCCCAAGTTGAGAGAGCAGGGCTAGTTACTTAGCATCTAAACGGCTCAACTAAAAATGGGCATAAGCAAGATATAGTTTGTGGACTATCTACTTAGAGCATTGTAAGTTCTAATTCAGTGTCACTCATTCTCCATGTGACCTTAGGATGTTGTTAAATCCCTCTGTACCTCAGTTTGCACATCTGTTAAAAGTGGAGGAATACATGACTTGTGTATCTCACCAGATTGTTCTGAGGATAGAATGATCTATTCCATTAGAAAAATTATTCATTCCTTCATCCATCCTTCATTCATTCAAACAATCATCTATTGGGCCCTCTAGGCTTCCATCAAGAGCAGGGGGTGGGGAAAGACGTGGATGTGAAATTTTATTCAGATTAAAAACTACAACCAGCTCTATTAGGAGACAGAATTGGAGAATAATGACTAGAGACAGCTGAGCATTAGCTTTGGAAATGCTCTCTTGGCCCCTAAACTGCTGGTAATTGTATCTTTTCTCTCCTTTCATTAACTGTTAAAAAGGTAAAATCTCAATATAGATAGAGGGGCATCTCTGGTAAGAAAGGCAGCCAGGAGCAGGACAAAACTGGGCTCTGGGTTGGAGTGCCGAGGCAGTTTCTGGGGCACTACCCAACCCTCACCCGTAGCTGGCTTGCCTACACTGCCCCTTCCTCTTGAGCAAATCCCAACCCTCCACTAGGAGATGGGAGAGCTTGGCATCTTGCTTCTCTGAGCAAAATGAAAGAATGCATGAGGCATGGACACACTTGACCTAGAGGTTGCGTCATCCCCTGAGAGACAGCTTAACTTACTTGATAAAGATCCCAGAAGGAAGCCTCCCAGCTTCCCTTATCCTTGTTGATACTGGTCAAAAAACCTAATTGCTTTGTCTGAGCTCACATCCTTCCCTTCTCTTGGTTGATATTGGTTGAAAGATTTAATTGCTTTGTCTGAGCTTACACCCTTCCCTTCTCTTGGTTGATATTGGTCAAAAGGCCTAATTGCTTTGTCTGAGCTCACAACCCTCCACTTTTTACTGCGTTCTCGGGGTCAGGACAGTTGCTAGGAGCCCCTAAAGGAAGATTAGGACGAGGTGAAAAGGTAAGGTCTAGGGCTGTGTTTACTCTCCCATGGCAACCTGTGTGACCCAGAGAATGAATGAGGAGGCAGCAGATAAGGTTAATCAGCACAACAAGCTCATTGCTTCATAGGGACACTGGTTACAATCCTAGTAAACCCCAATAATTTTTTTTTCAGATAAAGGAAAAAAATCGTGGAGTTTTTTACTGTTGCATTCCCCCAGAAAATCAGGCTTTTCAGAAGATGGCTTGACCATTGTCTGTAAACACAATTAGTCTGGAGTCCCTGCCACACGGTAGTAAAGATGCCTTCGAGAAAAGCATGAGGGAGATTAAATGATTACATTAAGACAGCAAATACATGTATGATAAAGTTTTATGAGCTCTTTTTCCAAGAAAGGGGCTCCATAAAAGCAATATTTTATTATCCTTGTTCCAAGGCTGAGGGAAATGTAGCCTCCCTTATTCAACTTGAGAGTTTGTGACTATATTTATCCATTCATGAGTATCTTTTAAAAACATTTTTTTCAAGAAAATTCAGACAAAGCATCATATTGGTGTTATTAACATTGTTTAGTGCTGAATCTTTAAATATCTTGTTTTATCCTCTTCTGGGCAGTAGCTCAAAATTTCTCTCATAATATAGCAAAACTTTATTGTAGCAAAGCAGACATTAAAATATTAATAGAATGTGATCCCTTGCTAAGATTATGAGAGTTCCTTCTTTGTAGGATTTTAAGAGTAAGTTCATAGACTCTCAGGAACAGGCTAAAAGCTGACAGATAGGTTAATGGCGCTCTGAGCACACTGTTACATTTTCCGCAAGCACAACTGTTAAGAAAAATGAGAATTTTTGTTCGAGGTGCCCTACCAATCCTTGCAGCTAGGGGTTTACAGCCCAAGACAGGCAGATAGCAGTAATGAGTAACATCATGCTGTTCTTATTATACAGCAAAACTAATGTAATGCAGGCCAACGTTTTACAGTAGGTAAAGGAAGCATGTACCTACATACAGTAGATGAAAATGAAATTATGGGAGCCACACATTAGTACCAAGCACCACTGGTCTTCCTGTTCATTGACAAAAACATCCCAAATAAAATGTTTCTGTTGTTATTTTTCTATAGTTATAGAAGCTATACAGTCATAGAAATATAGTAGCCAGAAGATCACTGCTCTTCATTTCTAAAGAGTGTAAACTATGTCCAAAAGGTTCATTTCATGGAAACATCATGGAAGTTCTGCTTAACTGTATTAGGCATCTATTGCTGCATAACAAATGACCCTAAAACTTAGTGACTTAAAACAACAACTAATATTTATTATCTCACACAGTTTCTGTGGGTCAGGAACGCAAGAGTGGCTTGTGGCTGGGTAGTTCTGGCTTATTATCTCCCATGAACTCGAATGACAGTTGGGACTGCAGTCATCTGAAGACTGGACTGGGGCTGGAGGATCTGCTTCCAAGATGGCACACTCTTGTGACCAGCAAGCCCATGCTGGCTATTGGTGAGGTGCCTCGGTTCTTTACAACACTTGGATCTCCCCACTGGGCTGCTTGGGTTCCTCACAGCATAGCAGTCAGCATCCTCCAGAGTTAGTGGTCCAAGGGAGAGCAAGGAAGAAGCTGAAATGTCTTTTATGACCTAGCCTCAGAAGTCATACACCATCCTTTCTGAAATATCTTACTTAGCAGTACAGGTCAGCCTTATGTGGGAAGGGACTACACAAAAATGGGAATACTAAGAGGCGAGAATCACTGGGAGCCATCTTGGAGGCTGGCCACCATATTAACTTACCTGAGTCTTCACCTTGTCTTCTACCCATGGTAGCAGTATTTTTCTCAATGTCTTTTTGTGTTTTCCTCAAGATGGTATTAATAAAAGGCATTTGGCAAAAACAAATACCTACTCTTACCTTACCCTTACCACACACACATACACCAACACTACCAACAACAACCTTCCGTGGTGAAAATACACATGGTAAACTATGTTGGGAGATTTGCAATTCACTTGTGATAAAAGCTTTGAAGTACACTAGTGAGGAGATGTGTTTGAACTCCCAGCATTTCTTAAACTCATTTTACATTGAATTCTCCTTCAAGGAACATACAAAACACCATGACCATAAGGGCATAATTTGATAAAGATCTTTCTGGGGTTGTTCCATGTTAGGGGCAATCTGTCTTTAAGTTTGGGAGCCTGCCCAAGGAGGTTTCTATGGCTCTGTGACATTTTTGTGGGAATTCCAGTGGGGTGGAGGGGACATGTGTGTTGGAAACCACCTGCTTCCCCCACCCCCCTAATAATTGCAGTTCCAATACTAACTCTTCATTCCCAGCAATCATAAGACTTTAGGCAAAAGCATCCAAAAATTAGTTGGGGATTATCCTATCACCCATTTTTTTTTAGAAGAAGGGGTTTCTTCTTGAATGTCATATTCGTTGCATTTCTCCTTAATAAAGAAAAGCGAACATGGTGGTAGCAGTCTTCCTGAAGTACCTTGGGTCTCAGGGAAGAAGAACAGCATCATGGTCAAGCACACAGACCCTGGGGTCTGAGGCCTTCACTTCCCAATCCTGCTGTCGCATGCATAGCCTGAGTAAGCTTGGGCAAGTCCCTCTAACTCGTTTATGGCTAAGTTTCTTTTTCTGCAAAATGAAAATAAAATAATAAAACTTACCTCACAGAACCGTGAGGAGTATGTGAGCTGAAACTGATAAAGTCCTCATCCTATACAGATGCTTTCCCATGGCAGAGTACTAGAGAGCACTCAACCATGAGTTCTCATGTAAGAGAGGAGGCAGACTAGAAAAGCTGGGGGTTCTGCCATCACCACAAAAAACTTACTAACTTTGAGTTGCCAGAATAATAGAGAAGCAGGTGAGAAAGAGTCTTGACCAACAAGAACTCAGGAAAAACTAAGAGATGGAAGAAGAATTCAGCAAAGAACCAGGAATTAGGAATGGGCCCATGAAAGGGTAGGTGTGTGTCAGGAGCATGTTGGATGTCACCGGCACTAATTTTCCAGTGATTTAGTGACTTTATCAGTGCACAGGAATGGTGCAGCCTTATTATCGAATTGCAGAGTTAAAAGAAATGTCACAGATTAGCCAGCCTGAAGCCTCATTTGATAGTTAAAGGAACAGAAAACTACATCAAGGAAGCATGCCGCCAACAGCCCATGGACTGTCAGACATGAACCCAGGCTCCTGGTGCTGGGGCCTGGGTCGTTTTTTTCAAATAAAACATGTCTTAAGTGAATTTTAACAATCTCCTGCTAAGACAAAATTTTCCTGATAATACAGGCCCCATAGCATTCTCTTGGATGGATGCTGTGTGCTCTCTCTGACAAACCCAGATTCTAACAAGTATCACGGGTCCGCTCTGTCACAGTCATTGAGTGTCAGAATAGCTGTCTACCAAGGGTGGGGTTAGAACTTCATAGTTGCCAAACTGTGAGGGAAACCTGGTTCTATGTGTTGTTACAATAACACGGATTTTTTTTCTTTAATTAACTTCATTGAGGAATAATTTACATACATTAAAACACAGATTTTAATTGTACAGTTTGGTGAGTTTAGGGAAATGTATACTCCCAAGTAACCACGACCTCAGTCAAGAATTAGAATATTTCCATCACCCCAAAAAATTCTCTCATGCACCTTTGCAGTCACCTCCTTCTGCCCCACATGCACACCCCCAGCAAACACTGATCTGGTGTGACATTAAGTTTTCAGTCAACCGAAGTTGGAATAATCCTGGCTTGGCCCAAGCACTGCTCTGGTGCCCTGAGGAAGGAAGGGCAACTCTGTGATCTGCTTAGGAGACAGACAGAGGAAGCAGTAAAGTTGCAACGCCCCTTGTATGTCAACTAAGACCCAAATGACAAGGGATGAGGTGATTTGACAAGTATGGAGGTCACTGCGGGCCAACACGGTCAGGGAGGTCTTGCAGGTCTGAGGAGGGTCTGTGGAAGTTGGCAGGTGTGGATGGCTTGGTGTGAGAAGGGAGGGACAAGGAGGAGGTTGGGCAGCCCAGCAGCGGACGAGGCAGCCAGGAGCTGACCTCCAACGTTCATTGCCCTTTCGTGAACTTGTCAAGGAGTCCTTGGCTGGAGGCGGGTGCAGGATTCCTGCCGAGCAGCTGCAGGATGCGAGTGAAGTCTGGGATAGGAGGATCAGGTTGTTTCTGTCATTATTGCATAATACAGCATATGTTGCATTAACATACATTATTTACTAAATAAATGCAGGTTTAAAAAAATGTCAGACTATGATCCTGCTGCCCTTTTGCTTTTGAAAATGGCCTTGGTGCCTCTCAGCCCTTGGCCAGCCCTCCTGGGCTTCAGGGAGCTTGGGAGTGTGAGCATTTGCCAAGCCTCTAATGACAGGGGCCCATTAAAGCACATGGCTGGATTCCTGGAACCACCCGTTAGATTAAGAAATGGAACCGGAGAATTAGTTTGATGCATGCCCTGCCAAGGAGGGACCCGCGTCCTCATGGTGGTGGCTCCCCGGAGGTTGAAGCAGATGGGGAAGCTGTGTTCAGGTCATTACCACTGTGTCACCAACAGCAGGCGGGCTCTGAGCAGCCCTCCCCACCCCACCCACTCCCATGCCAGGCAGTTCAATTCCTGTGGCCACTAGGGTCCATGCTGTCAGTAGCAAGGGGCATTACACAATGAAGAAAAAGAGGAGAGGGGCAGGCATGTGAAATCATGAACAGAAATGAGAACATACCCCATGCCAGGCACTGGACTAGAGGGAGGGTCAGACACCATTCCTGCCCTCAGTGAGGGTGATGGAGGAGGAATGAGGCCAGTTAATATCCTATGGTAGGTGAGAAGTAGTAAGGGTCCTGTTATGGGCTAAATTTTTTCCTCTTCAAATTCATCTGTTGAAGTCTTAACCTCAGCACCTCAGACTATGGCCTTGTTAGGAGATAGTCTTTACAAAGGTAATCAAGATAAACGGAGGTCATTAGGGTGGACCCTAATCCAATATGACTGGTGACTTTATAAACAGAGGAAATCTGGACACAGGCAAAGAAGGGAAATGACATGAAGAGACACAAGGAGAAGATATCCCCCTACAAGCTGAGGAGAGAAACCTGGGACAGATCCTCCCCTCACAGCCCTCAGAAAGAACCAACCCTGCCAACATCTTGATCTTGGACTTCCAGCCTCCAGAACTGTGTGACAATATATTTCTGTTATTTAAACCAGGGGTCCCCCTGGTACTGGTCTGTGGCCTGTTAGGAACCAGGCCGCACAGCAGGAGGTGAGTGGCAGGGGAGTGAGCATGACTGCCTGAGCTCCCCCTCCTGTCAGATCAGCGGTGACAATAGATTCTCACAAGAGCATGAACCGTATTGTGAACTGAGCATGTGAGGGATCTAGGTTGCATGGTCCTTGTGAGAATCTAGTGCCTGATGATCTGTCACTGTCTCCCATCACCCCCAGATAGGACTGTCTAGTTGCAGGAAAACAAGTTCAGGGCTCCCACTGATTCTACATTATGTTAAGTTGTATAATTATTTCATTATATATTACAATGTAATAATAATAGAAATAAAATGCACAACAAATGCAATGTGCTTGAATCATCCTGAAACCACCTCCACCTGCCCTGCACCAGCCCGTGGAAAAACTGTCTTCCACGAAACAGGGACTGTTGCCACAGAGTTTGGGGGCCACTGCTTTAAGCCCCCAGTCTGTGGTACTTTGCTACAGCAGCCCCAGGAAATGGGTATAGACCCCATGGGAGAACACCTGAAGGGCCCTTGAGCAGAATGAGGGGTCAAGGAAGGTTGCCTGGACTGAAGAATGTCTAGGCTGAGACCTGAATGACAAACAGGAGGTTTCCAGTAGGGAGGGGAAGGGGTAGTGTCAGTGAAGAAGGAGGAAGGGACATCTGGGCAGAGGGCCTGGCCAATGGCCCTGCAGTTGGGGAGGCCCTTTGGGAATTGCAAGTCTGTGGGACTGGGGACAACACTGAGTCAGAAACCCAAAGGAGGGTGATATGGTTTGGATGATTGTCTCCTCCAAATCTCCTGTCGAATTGTGATCCCCAATGTTAGAGTGCAGCTTGGTGGGGGGCAAATGCGCCATGGGGGTGGATCCCTCATGAATGGCTTGGTGCCCTCTCTGTGGTATGAGTTCTCACTGTATGATTTTAGTTTAAAAGAGCCTGGCACCTCCTGCTGTCTCTCCTGCTCCCTCTCTCACCAAGAGCCATGCCCGCTCCCCCTGCCTTCCCCCTTCCGGAAAAGCTTCCTGAGAGCCCAGCAGATGACGGTGCCATGCTTCTGGAATAGCCTGCAGAACCATGAGTCAAATAAACCTCTTTTCCTTATAAATTACCCAGTCTCAGGTATTCCTTTATAGCAACACAAAATGGACCAGTGCAGAGAGCATCAAATGTCAAGGGAAGGAAATAGGCCTGAGGGTGGGAATGTCCAGTGCAAAGCAGGTTGCTCAGCATGGGTCTCTGGAAATTCTTGGAAATGCCCCTGTCTTCTACTGGCAGCTTCCTCCCCAGATTCTCACTTCAGACAGCAAGGTTGTAAACCCAGGCCACTGACCTTGTCTACACATTTGTCACTGTAGATCAAGAACAATTTTTTTTTTCCTGTAGTGATTGATTTATGCAGGTCTCTTGGATTGGGTTAATTGTCAACAATGTGAGCTCCTCCTGCAAGACAGGGAGTGGGGTTATCAGCACACTGTGTTACCCACAGTTCTTCAGACTGAGAGCTGCAGATGATGCAATCCTATGTTGACTTGCTCCTGGCCCTGCGGGGCGGTTGGGCTCACCTGCCCACAGACAAGGCACGATGACTGATTGCCTTTCGTCAGTAATCGGCTTGACACGGAGCCAGCAAACTCCCAAAGTTAGATTAGGAGGTGAAGTAATTGGCTGAGGACTTTGGATTTTAGTTTACTAATGTCCAAACAATAGGGAAGCTTTCTGAATGGAAACAAGCCAAAATATTTGGCCTTCAAAATCCCTTCCGGGGGCATGGAAGTGTGCTGGTTAAGGGTGGGGCATGGGTTGAACAAAGCCAGTGGGTGAGATGTATCTCCATGAGAGTGCACAAAAATCAGTGCTGCTGCCTTGTTGGTGAAAAAACAAGAAAGGAAATGCACAAAAAGTGAAACATTGTAGGATGCTGAGAAGGCAACACAGCACTTGCTTGGCAAATAAGTGGAAGTAGAAGGCTGTTAAAACTCAGAGTTTTGGCCTGCAGTTTTTGTTTCTCAGGAAAGTCACATGAGAATGAGCGATGAACTTTCTCAGGACCAATTTCTGGACAGTGGTTTCTGTTTTATCATTCAGAGAAAGGCAGGGACTATTCTCCAATGTTTTGTAGGCTGTCAAGAGGGAGGATAAATCTGAGACTGCCTTTAAATACTGGGTTTCAATTGCTTCCTTCCTTCCCAGGGCAGATATACAGTCTTCTGGTATGATTTAATGTCCAAGCTCAAGTGGCTGGTGTGCTTCTGCAGGATGCAGACAGCACTTTGCAATTATTTTTGTGTTCTCTGCAGAGGACAAGGTTCAGCCCCCAGTAGGGGGACATTCAGGGCTGATGGTTCTGTTAGGGAGGGAAAGTGGGAGAGCATGGTCACTGCTGGCCTGACTCCCTACTGCTTCTGGGAGAGACCTTCCTGTAATCATCACCACCACCTTCATCATCATCACCATCATTGTTGTCTGCTGCTGATGTTGTGCTAGAAGGGGTGGAGGTGCTAATTACTTATGCTTTCTCCCCTCTTGGTTTTAGCCAATTAAGGAGCTCAATGGGATCAAAGAGTCAATTATAGTACCCAAAGCATAGGGCTCTCTGGAAAACTGGGCAGCAAGATCTTCCGTGTGGCTCTCCGGTCTGAACATACACATCCAACCACATGCCTGCTAAAGAGAAGCAGACTTCCCTTGTGGTTGGGGGTGGGAAAAGGAGGAGGGCAGTGAGCTCCAGAAGAAGCCAGGCAGGTCTAAGAGAACCAGCAAGACATGTCCATGTCCCACTCAAGGATTCTGCTCTTGGCAAATGTGGCCTGGTGGATTTGCCTGGTTCTCCCTGATCTCCCCAAGCAGATAAGTCACTCTTCCTCTGGCTGGAGCAGCACATGATGGGGGAAGTTGGGGGAGAGACTGGAAATGTGTATCCTGATACTGGTCCCTTCTGGGCATGGCACAAGGTGGAAATGTAAGCAGTGGAGTCATAAGCATGTTCCTTTAATAACTGTGATGTTTGTGATCATCTCCTAGGTGCCTGGTAGTTTGATCAAGATAGTACAGTCTATACCTGATTAATTTAAGGTAGTTTTGCTTGCTGATGAGGGCCCAGAAACCATGGCTTTACAGTTCCTCTAAATTGTCACAGGCTCCCTAAGTCAAGCTTTTGGCTAGCAAAAGGCTTTTGTTCTTGTACAGTTATCAGCAGGGGCCAGGACTGGCCACAGGCTGAGTCTGCCCTGGGTAGTAGAGGTCAGGAGCTGGGAAAGGAGAGGAATTTTCTCTAGTTTAGTCTTCCATGCCTCTGGCCAATAAGATTGGTTCGAGGATGAGGACTGATCCAAGGTAGACCAAGAGATATGATCTTGAGACTTCTGTTGGAATTTCTCTTTCTCAGAACTAGCAGCTCTCCTGTCAGTGGCAGTTGCTGACTATGGGTGATGCACACCTGCAGCTGCTCGGAGAGCCCTGTTAAGACATCCAGCCTGGGAGGAGAGCCAGTCAGGAGGAAACCAGAGATCAAGTTCTGATTATTGTGTTCAAGTACCTGGATCCCACTATGCCTGAGCCAGAGAGACCTTTGTGTCTTTAAGTGAGCCCATATATCCCCCCTCCTTTTTTAAGCTGGGTTTCTGTTGTGTGCAATCAAAAGACTTGCCTAATGCATTTGTGGATCTTTCCAATGGAATAACCAGTGTTTAGATCATTGATTGTAGAAATAAAGCAGGAAACATACACACATAGTGAGATATGAGGATTCTCCGAGCCTCTATGAGCAAAAGTAGCCCACTCCCACCTTCAAGCAGAACTGGAACCTCTGAGGTTCCAGTATATTTACTCTTCTGAATTTTAGGATTAACTCCAGGAGTGGTAGCTGAAGCTGTCAGCAGCCAGAAACATTTCAATTTGAGTTGATTAGTCCAGTTTTTTCCTTTATCAGAAGTGGAGAGAAGTGGGCTGGAAAGGAGTGAATATGCAGAAAGTGCTTTGGTATTTGGGGAGGAGCTAAGAAAGGTATAAGTGATGTGGTCAAGGTGACTGGGAAGGAAACAGAACACAGAGCGTTAGGATGGGGGTGGAGGGGACACTAAAGATGTAGGAAGAGATGAAGGTAGAAAACACCAAAAGTTTTACCTGTAGAGATGTCACAAGAAGTATAGCAAAGACAAAGTCTTCCTGAGTCATAAAGGCAAGGGTCATCCCTACCCTTGAACAATACTGGTCTAGGTGCCTATGTAATACATGAGGAAAATTGATACTGATAAAGACTATTGACTGTTTCCTACCAGGTAATATTCAGAATGTCATCCCTCCTAGGCATCCTTGCATGTTAGAAGCTATGATATGAGATTATTGACAGAGTCTGTAATATTTTCTTGGTGAAATATACAATCTCTGAGTTATGCTAAGGATCATAGAACACTCTGGTATCTACATTTCAGAGTCTGACACTAGTGTGATTGCGGGTGTGGGATTAGTGGGTGGGAAGATGGTGTGATCTGTGTGATTGTGGGTGGGTGTGGTGGGGGAATGGATGTGGTCTGAGTTAGATGGCATGTGCCTGTGTGTATCTGTGTGTGTAGTTGCGGTGGGAGGCACTGGTTTGAATCAGCATGGGGCTTGCCTTGTCCGACAGGCAGCTGTCAGCCAAGGGGCACTTCCAGTTGTAATTGAGAAATGGCAGTGTGCTATCTCTCCCGGAGTGGGATGATAGTAATTAATTGTTCATTGATCCCTGCAGGTCAGCTAGAGGTCAGGGAAGTTACTCTAGTGGCCTTATAGTTTGCCAGGCAACCGGGAGCAGTGGTTTGAAGCCTCGGTGAGAGGTGAGAACTGTCCTGTGCCCTAAACCCTGATCCAAGGTGATGGGATAATTATGGTAACTTAATGTTTATGATTACAAATAATACACAAGTCAGCTATTCAGAAAAACCATGCCAGCACACTATTTAAGACTTGGGGAGGATGTGGAGAAAAGGTGTTTGACAGTGAACATTTTTCAGTACAGAATGGAACACTGCAATATGATTGTTATTATCATCACTTTCAAAAGCTTAGGTAAGTGTCCCTCTGTGGGTGAGGCTGTGATTGGAGAACCCCATAGATCTCATCTTGGATCCACATAGGTGATTGCATTCTAAGAGAACTCCTGTGCAATCTGAAGGGCTCATGCACAGTGAGGGGATAAATGAAGACTCAGTTCAGGCTCCAGCACTTCTGCAAAGTCTTCTTCCATCTGCCACGTTCTCCCAGGCTTCAGTGTTCTCCAACACATGACAGGGACACCCTCCTTTCATCTATGCAATCTTTATTCTGCAAATATTAATGGTGCCTCTCTTTTGTTCCAGGCACCATGCTAGGTGTGCATGTTGCATCTAAGTTCCCATGGAGCTTGTGTATGTCCTCAATGGTTTTCTCTGTCAACATCTCCCCTCTCCAACTAGATTGTAAGCTTTTCAAAGGCTGGCCATGTTGCCTGTCTTAAACAACAGCCACAGCAAACATTTATTGAGTGTTAGACTGGGCCAGGCACGTGGAGAGCTCCATAAAGCTTAGCACAGGGCCACATCGACTAGTCCCTCAATAAATATTGATTAATTTAAAAAAATACAGAACTGAATTGTCGAGCTGATCATGGGGATGGTGAGGAGCATAGGTAGGGGGTTGCTGTGGTGAAGTCTTGGTAGGTTCACTGTCTCCTGTGGGATGAGATTCAGAATACGTCCATCTGAGGCATCTGTACTTGTATGTCAGAAGCTATGGGGTGAGGTTATTGACAGAGTCTGTTGTGTAAACTTTCTTTGTGAAATATACTACCTTTAAGCTATGTTACGGCTTATAGAACAATGTGGTGTCTACATCTCAGGGGCATTTTAATTCAGGGAAGTGAGTGTTGGGGTGAAATCAGGGATCTGCTTTTCTTTTGAAATATTGATAGAAGGTTCTTTCTGTGCACCTGCACTTCTCTATTGGATGGCGCTGGATGTGGTTGCCTTTTGTGGCTCTTGGTTGCAATACAGTTCTCTTGTTGAAATGACCTCCTTCTGACTGACACATCTGCCCTAGGCTCATCAATGGCTACCAAAGCCAATGGACACCTTGTGGAACATAGTGTGGCATTTCACCCATGGCCTTCATGAAATGTACCTTTTGCGGTCTATGATCCAAGGCTTTTGTAGTTTTCCCTCCATCTTTTTAGTGTTGTTCTCAGTCCCCCTCATGGGCTCTCCAGGTGTTCCTCTATCTCTTCTAAGTTCTCCATTGTAATTGCCACCTATAGTCTCTACCTTCAGTGAGTTAGATGTCTCTCCCCAGCCCCTAGTCCTTGTATCTTTGGACTTCATAGGCAGATGTCTGCATCTGAATAACCCATACCCATCTTAAACTAGTAAATAAAAATGGAATGCACGATCATGTCTCTGTCTCCCATCCTCACCTCTATACCTGTTCTCCATTTAGTAAATGGCACCTCCATGCACCTGCCCAAGTGAGAAGCCTGGGGGTCATCCTTGACCCTCTCCTTTCCCTCGTCCCTCACCCCGTTGTTCTCCAATCCCTGGGATGAGTCTATCTCCTAAATATCTCTTGTATCCCTGTTACCTTCTTCACCTGCCAGGCCACGAAGATCATTCACTCCTCGCCATCTCCTTCTTAGGGCACTGAAATGGTTGCTGAAATTGTCTCCCTGTTTCGCCCTTGCCCACTGGCATTTGTTTCCCACCTCCCTCTTAGAGATCTTTTAAGAAATGCAGATTACGGTTCCCGCCTCACAATGCAAAGGTCAACGGTGACGCCATCTGGAGCGCGCTTGGAATCCAGCAGGCGGTTGCTGCCGCGTCTTCCACAACCTCCGCGGTCTGGAGCTGGCCTCCCCCACCGCCGCCCCAACCACCGGCCCCGCCGCCATCACCACCACCGTCACCTCCGCCGCTGCCTCCTTGGGGCCCTCCTCCTTCACCGCCCCCTTAGCCACCTCTACACATTCTAGGCTTTCTGTCCTGGAGAAGAAGCTATAATCGGTTTCCTTGTGGGCCCGGTGCGCAGCCATGGCGGACGGTGGCGGCGGCGGCAGCGGCGGTGCGGGCCCGGCCTCGACCCGGGCCAGCGGGGGCGGCGGCCCCATCAACCCGGCCTCGTTGCCCCCTGGCGACCCTCAGCTCATCGCTATCATCGTGGGGCAGCTCAAGAGCAGGGGCCTTTTTGACAGCTTCCGCCGGGACTGCAAGGCTGACGTGGACACCAAGCCAGCTTACCAAAACCTGAGCCAGAAAGCGGATAATTTTGTGTCGACACATCTGGACAAGCAGGAATGGAATCCTCCAGCAAACGACAACCAACTGCACGATGGTCTGAGGCAGAGTGTGGTTCAGTCAGGGAGGTCAGAAGCTGGAGTGGACAGGATTAGTTCTCAGGTGGTGGATCCAAAACTAAACCACATCTTCAGGCCACAAATAGAACAAATAATTCATGAATTCCTGGTGGCCCAGAAAGAAGCAGCTGTGCCAGCACTCCCTCCAGAGCCAGAAGGCCAGGACCCTCCAGCTCCGTCTCAGGACACTTCCTAAGAATATGCCTGACAGCTTTTGAAAGCGCTATTTAATTTTTGGTGAAGAAATGGATTCGGTTACATAAGAGTGCAGTTTCAGATTGAAGATAAGCCAAGTTCATCACTGAGCTCAAGATTTCCACCTCGACCATGAGCAGTGACCAGATTGAAAGGGAAGCAAGTTCGCCAGAGAGAAAGTTGACCGTGGCACCCTCCTGCATTGCGCTGCCATTTGGCCAGCCTTTCCAAGGGCATGACACCAAACACACACTACAGAGAGGGAAACACTACCGCGACCCAGGATTGTCCTGAAACAGACATCTATACTTGAACATGGAGACTGCACATGGATTTTAGGGTTTGTGCTCTGAGATAAACGAAAGCTACAGCGAGAGAACATAACCAATCCCAAAGACAATTTCAAAGAACAATGACAGTAAAGGTTAACTGGGAGGAATATTTGACAGTACTTATTTGATATTGTCTCTCAGAGTTGCAAACTAGATTGTACACAACATTAGTGTCAGATAGCTTTGAAGTTGTGACCTTCTTGTACATGAATCTTCTAGCCAGTTTCCTTTCCTTTGTAAGAGATAACAAAGCATGAAACCCTAGAATGAGTGAGAAGTTCAGACATTAGGTATAAGGAAACTCATTTGCAGACTCTCTGTCCAAGAATGCTTCCTGTCTTGCAGGGGCTAGTGAGTCTTGGGTGTGTTTATGTTATGCTCACATTTGTGTTTTATTTGAAAAGTGGATGGTCAATAAATGGCTTATCTTTCAACTGCAACAACAAAAAAGAAATGCAGATTTACATCCTTTTCCTCTTTAAGCTCCGTCAGTTTTCTGATATTTCTAGAAGGTCAGACACCTGGCATGGTTTATGAGGCCCGTGATAATGGGGCCCCTGGTCACCTCTGCTGCCCCGTACACTGTCATTTCTCATATGACAACCATGCCCATGACTATCCTGGACACCCTGTGTTCCCTCTGCTCACTGTGAAGGGAATGCCCTCAACCACTCCTACCCTCCTTTAAGACTCAGCTCCTGAGGAGCCACACATCGTCTAAGCAGGAGTGACAGACTCCTTCCTCTGTGCTCCCATAGATCTCATAAGGGATGACCACACTTACTATAGTAGCTAGGTCTGACGAAGCACTTGCTCTATTGCTCTACAGCTGGCAGTGTACTAAACGCTTAACTTCGCTTACCGTAGTAAGTCCTCATGATCTAATTGAAGAAATCGTATCTTTATTCCCATTTTTATTCCCATTTATAAATGTAGAAACCAAAGCTCAGACACTGCCTAAGTGGTGGGGCTGGGGCTGAGCCTGTATTGAGCACAGAGCCCTCACTTTTAACCCTTTTAACCATGCTTTTAGCCACACCACCTCACCACAGTGAACTGTCTTTGCTTACAGATCTGTCATCCCCACTTAAATGTGAGCTTCCTCCAGGGCAGGGATTTGCTTTGTTCATTTCTTTTCCTTAACCCCAGGACCTAGCACATCACAGGAGCTCAGCAATTTGTAGAAAGAAACCAGTTCTGGATTTGTCTTTTCCAACATTTAATTTCTCAGATGGCAGTATTTATCATCTAAAAAGTGAACAAAAATTAATTTTGCATCTAGTGTCTACATGTCTAAGCAAGAAAGAGCTTTCTTATCCCTGGAGGTATTTTATCTGTAATGTTTACCTATGAGCTATTTTAAATGATTCTTCAAAATTTAGAGTCCAGAAGGTAGAAGACCATGTCCTTTCTGAAAATGTCCCTTCCTTTCCCAGGTACCAGGCTCTTTTTAAAATTAGCTTCTGAATATGAACAACCCAGCTCTTTAAAGTTTAATGTCCCAGCCATTTTAATTGTTTCTTTCGAAGTACAAAAGAGCAGCTGGGCCACATCGGCACTAATCACTTGCCAACTTTCCTTTTTACAAAAACAGCTAAGCTCTTTCTGAGATTTAAAATCACTCCATCTGAGACCCCAGCTTGGCACCTATCTTTGCACTAACATAAAAGGAACCTAATTTCTGCTTTTAAGAAATGTGTTGCGGAAGTGATTTTTGGTTTGGGGTTTGTTCTCCTTCTTCTTTTTAAAAATAACGTAATAAAGTGTAATACAACTTTTAAAGTTTTTTTTTTCCTTTACCAGTTCTCTATTCTCCTTTTCTACTTGAATTGTCCTGAGACAGGTTGCCAGATAAAATACAGGTTGCTCAGCAAATGTGAATTTCAGAGAAACAACAGATACTCTCCTAGGGCATGGACCGTGCAATATTTGAAACATACTTGTATTAAAAAGTTATTTGTTGTTTATTTGAAATTCAAATTTACTGGGGCCCCATGCTTTAGTTTGCCAAATCTGCCAACCATAGCCTGAATGCTTCCCGTTCCCACCATGAGTTTGGCAAATGGAAAATGCTAACCTATGCGATGGACACTGCTGTATTCTGAAAATGAATATGTAAATAAATCAAACTACCGTGACTTGAGAGAGCTCATTACGTGCGTGCGTGCATGCCTGCCCACTGGTCCCTGCTAAATAATTCCCTTCTTGCAATCCAGAAGGATAAATAAATGTAATTTCTGGAATTCTATACATTCTTATCAATGAACTACAAGTATTTATTGAAAATGTCTATGTTTTGGGAAGACTTGGAGTCCAAAGGGGTAGGCGATACAGTCACTATCCCCAGAGTCACAGTTTAGTTTCATGAAGCAAGAAAGAAAATGATTTTAGTTGTAATCCTAATAATGAGTAAAGAGAGTTTCAGGGAAGGAATACAGCAGTAGACACCAGTGAGATAGAAAGAGCACGACAGAGAGAGACAGACAGAGGGAAAGAGACAGAGAAACAGAAATACAGAGACAAAGAAGAAACAGAGAAAAAGGGAGGGAGAGAGACAGAGACAAAGATATAGACAAACAGAGACAGAAAGAGGCAGAGAAGCAGATACAGAGAGAGAGAAACAGGGGCAGAGAGACTGAAAAAGAGACAGAGAGATGTGCGTGTTTCCTTTTTAAGCTGCAGGGTGACTCTTCCATTCCCCCTTCCTCCTCCCCCACTCAGATCTCTGGGCTGGGTGGGTCCTGGGGTCTGGGCGGAGTCAGCACCTGTCACAGGCACGCCCCCTGGGGCACCATTTGGCCCTGGGTCTGAAATTGATTCTTTCTGGATTTCAGGGCAGCAGCAGCAGGCAAGAGCTCGGCTGTCACTTCCAAGACTTTTATAGACTCTGACAGCAACGCTGCTCCTTGTCTTTTGTCTTTTGTATTCTGTTTGTGTTCAGCCTCTAATCCACGTGGGGAATAACATGCGGGCCTGCAGGGGAGGGCCTGCCTGTGGGCCATGTGCCAGCAGGACAATCTGCGGAGACTGGGAGGCCAGCTCCCCTCCCAGGCTTCCTTTTTGATTCACACACGTGCTCTGGGATCTCCTTTGCAGGAAATGATTTCTGGGCCCACCTCCTGGCAACTTGGAGGGCAAGGACCCTGCACCCCAGGCACTTCTAGGCTTGGGAAAATAAGTATCTAAGATAGGCAGGCCAGTGTAGAATGAGAGTTACAGAGGTGAGTACATGTGGCTTCATAGCAGGGAGTGTTTCCTAGGACTGAAGTGTCTTTGGGGTCTTTGAAGAGGAGAGATGTGAGTAGCACCTGGAAAGAAAGGATAGGCTAAGCTGGGATGGTGCCCCCAAAAGGCAAGGCCAAAGGAAGGCGCAGGAGAGAGGGTTGGGAATGGCAGGAGTGGCTGGCGGCAGGGAGCAAGTGGTTGGAGAATCTTCACACTCTGATTTGAATGGTTCCCCATGCAGGAAACCAGGGTGCACCTGAGGTTGAGGACTTCTCAAACTTGAGTGAGCATCAAGGTTAACCAGAGGGTGGTACTGATTGAAATACACATTACTGGGCCCACCCTTAGAGTTTCTGATGCAGTGGGTCTGGGGTGAGGCCTGAGACTCTGCATTTCTAACAAGGTTCCCAGTGATGCTGGTGCTGCTGCCCCAGGCAACCACACCTTGAGAACCATTGTGTAGCGGGCACTGCCCGGAAACCCAGAACCGCTTCCCTCTGCATCCATTCCCTCTCCACTTCCTGGAACTGGCTGTTTTCCAGATTCTTACTAAACACAATAGGTGATGTTGACTAATTACCCATTTTTGTTTTGTTTTGTTGGGCAGGAAGAGAGGAGGAAGAAGATAAATTTACCAGGTTTCTTTTTCCATCTACTCAATCTTTGGAATTTCAGTTATCATTTCTTGGGTACTCTTCCCACCCCTACTGCCAATCCACAGATAATTACGAACAGCCAGCAGGTCTAAATCACTGCACTCGTCTCTCCTCTTCTTTGCCCCTCCAGTGAATGCGCCAACAATGAGTGGTGACAGCAGATTTGGGCAGTTTCTAGGAAGCCTGATGGTTAAGCACATTCTTTCTGTTCCCCATCCCTCGGTGTGACTCAAAATCACAGAATCAGAAGAGGGAGAATGGGATTCTATTCAGATTGCAGCTTTAGCTCCATCATTGGTTGTGGGCAGCTATAGGTATAAGGGGTAGGCTCTATGACTGAGAAAATGAATGTCATTCAATGAGGGTCTCACTAGACCAAGGGGCAGTGGTGTGCGATCCAGCTGGAGCCCGTGTGGAAGGAGTTTGTGTTGCTGACTGGTGAGTGCCCATTGAAGAGTTGCCTGCTCAGTGATGTTTCAGTTGCATATTTCTTGCTGCTTCCTCTAAATTGTTTTTTTAAATCCTAGTCGTAAAAATCATCCTACCTCAAAAATATTAAACAGGTGCCAAAAATGGGGAACAATCACATGCCTTCTATTTTGGACAGCATGGAAGAGGAATTTTCCCCACTTTCCACAGCAGAGCATTTGAGCTGGAGCACCATTGCATGGTCTGGTAACCACCAGCTGTGGCTGTGCATGAACACAACTAATCTGGCCTAAGAGGAGACCAAGAAAAGGGAAGCAATATTATTAGAAGTGGTATGAGAAGAGAGGCGGGAAGATCTCTGGGAGGTATCAGGAGTGCCATGGGCTGAGATGGGAAGGGGTTGGCAACCTACAGAGTATGGGCATGGAAGTCAGTTATCCAACGCTCTCTACTCTCAGGCCACATTCACAGTCCTCCCCAAGGCAAGCCAGGACAGACTCTGTAGAGCATCTCTGAAACCCCACCCAACTAGGAAGAAAGAAATCCCTCGCACGAAGAGTTCCAGTGATTTAATACGCACAGTAGGTTGCAGCTTAGCTCTCTTCGCCCTCAGCTCCCACTAAGATTTTTCTCTCCCTTGCCCACTCTTCTCCTTCGTTCCTCCCTGGTCCTTGATCTCTCAAGGCAGGCAGCCTCCTGCTCTCTGGAGAGCTAGTAGCTGGGCTGTGAATGGGTTTGTGAGAACACGATTTCCTTCAGGATGGAAACAGATGATTTCCAGGTTTCTGGATTGTGGTGCTGTTGCACAGATCCTCTTTTTACATTCCTGTCCTGGACTGTAGATGGAACATAGGCTGAACGTGAATGGCAGGGAGTCAGTGGCATCCTCAACATGGGAAGAGCCCTGTGCTGGGAGGCTGGAGACCTTGGCTCTGGTCACGGCCATCTACATAACCTGCCTGGGACCTTTGGCTGCCAACGTAGCCTCCTGGGCCTCAGTTTCGTCATCCTCCTGAAATGCTCACCTATGGCGCCCGCAGCAAAGAAGGCAACAGTTTTAAGATTCAACTTCTGAAATCCCCTATTGTGACCTGGAAGGGCTAGGTGAGGCCTTGGGCCCTCTCTTAGGAGCTCATGTTGATTCCTTAAGTTAGTTCATTGTATCCTGACACTGAAGGGATGAGATCAACCAGTGCGTGGGTTGTAATGGCTGCATGTCCTCTTAAGAGGCCAGAGGATGGAGGCTAGTCGGGTGCTGGGGGATCAGGAAGCGCCAGAGGCTGCGTTGAGGAAGGAGGTGCTGGATGGTCAGGGGACTTAGCACCTCTCCCTCCTCCCTCGTGGCTCCCACAAAATACCACCCTCCACCTGAGAAATGTCTACCCCAGAGAATGCATTGATTCCGAAATACTCTATTTCATTGTTTTTATTTGTCAGCATACCAAACAGACGACCATACTGAGTGAGAAAATAATTCCAGGCAAAGTTAAAAATACTTTTGGGGGTTAGCCTATACAGCTTATTGTGGATAAATATATTTCTTTTTCCCTTTTCAAGGATTGGAAATAGGCCATGGACTCCGGCTTTTGGGCCCATCCAGGGTCTGGGAAGCTCAGGTTGGGAGGATAAATTTCTAGATGAAAAGCAGGAGGAGGGCTCCAGAGTAGAGAATGGTGGATTCTCATTTGGGGGCTCCTGCACCCATGGCTCACCTCTCTAGAGGCCTGTCCCCATTGTTGGTGCAGGGAGCGGTGGTCTGTGCAGGGCCACCACGCAGGGGCCCTTTGAGTAGTGGGCTTCCAGGCAGCCCTCCCTACTCTGGCACTTCCTACTTCAGCTGGTTCTTGGAACACAGCCCTTCTCTCCAGATCTCTGACATAGGCTAATTGCTTGTAACAAAACTTGGCCTTAGAAATGTCAGGCATAATGGGAAGGGGGAGGAGGAAGAAGAAGAGAATCAAAAACAACAAGAGGAATTTGGCAGAAGCCACCGCAGAGGGTGCAGCCTCTGTGGCTCCCAGGGCCGGCCAGGTTCATTAACGGATGTGGATTTAGAAGGTCACCACCTTGTACAGGCAGTTGCTCCAGCCCGGCAGACGCCAGGTAGCTAGCTGTCATGAGAACACCTTGGAAAGGGAAAGGAAGTGTCAGTGGGCCTCACAGCACTTCAGAGCCGCTCCGGGGCCTGGCCGAGGCTCCTGCCCTCCTCCAAATAGCAAAGTCAAACATTTATTAAGCCAGTTCCTTCCAGTCCGCTGGGCCCATTGCTGACAGGAGGGAGGTTCCTTCGAAAGCCTGGCCTTGACTCAGGAAGGCCATGGGGGCACTCTCGTGACCTCTTACCTCCTGCTGTGGCTGCTCTGGGGGGCACAGGACTGGCAGCTGAGAAAGGACAAGTGTGACCTTGGGTCTGCCCCCCAGACATGTTATTTTCAGTACTTTACTGATCTCTGTTTTTAGATCCTTGTTTTCACAGTCGTCCAAAAATCGGACAAAGCTGATTCTCACTAAAGCATTAATAACAATGGGACTTGGCTTCTGGAGTCTGTGCATTTTCAGTAGAAAGACCTGGCCAGGGGCACTGCCCCAGGCAAGGGGAAGCTGGGGCTTCTTGGCTCAGCCTCAGCTTCTTCCTTGGCTTTTCTGCCCCTTCTGCAGTGAGCCCAGCCCAACGCTAGCCCTGTGGGCTCTATGAGGCCCCAAGCTGGACCAGAGGGTGTGTGCATTGCGGGGGACTGGGAGGAGTCTGATTCTCCCCGTGCAGATGTCAAAGTCAAACATTTCTGAGGTCAGTTCTTTGCCCCTTTGCTGAAACCCTATTGTGTGTTCGGAGTCAGATCCTTGGCACACAGCTAAACCCACCCAGCTTGTATGCTGCGGTTCTGGGTGGATGGTGTGGAGATTCAAGGCCAGGCTGCCTGGGTTTTCTTTCTATCCCTGCCACCTCCCAGCTGGGCAAGTCACCTTCCCTCTTTATGCCTCAGTGTCCTCGCCTGTAAAATGGCGAGTACGTACCCACCTCGTGGAGTTATGATGAAGATTAAATGAGATGTGAAACACTGAAGAACAGGGTCTGGCACCAGCAAGTGTGATAGAAGAGTTTATTAGTAGTGTACATTGCTAATTGTCTGAAATCTTTGCACTCCAATTATTAAGGGCAGCTCTCCTTTCCCTGAAAACCCACTCTTAGGAGAGGACCTGATTGCACAGCATCATCCGGTGGGGATTTATTGAGCATCTACTGTGTGGTGTTAGGTGCAATGTACACAAAAAAGGGCAAGGCCTCCACAGATGCCAGCCTTCCAGCTTCCTTGATGGAAGCAGGCTTCGCACTCGGCTTCCAGCCAGCATGTGTTTGGAGAGCTCCCTGGGTGGTGAACAGGGCTGGGGCAGCCACAGGCTAGGAATGGGTGGAGGGCTCGGTCCTGGCTGCTGTCAGGTGCTGGAGCCGGGCACTCCTCAGGATAAAAGTTGCTTTTTAAGGGTGAAAGAGACATATCAACTAAATTCAATATGTAGACTTTATTTGGATCTTGTTTTGAACAAACCAATCATAAAACCACATTTTTCAGATAACTGGGAAAATTTGATCACAGAAGGGTTGTTAGGTGTGACAGTGGTATTGTGGTTGTGTTTCAACAAGTCTTTCTTGATAAGAGAGACACTTTTAAGTGTTTATAGATGAAATAACACAATGTCTGCAATTTGCTTTAAAATACTTCAGTGGGGTTGAGAGGAGGAAGGATGTGGCCAGACTGATCAAACGTGGATAATTGTTGAAGCTGGGTAACGCTGCAGGGGGATTTGTATCACAATTCCATTTTTGTGTCTTTGAGAATTTCCATAATAAAAAGTTAAAAATAAAAACACAATGGAGATGCAGCTGCTTTGGTCCAAGCAGGGCCCCATGTGACCCTCAAGCCTCATGGGTGGGCAAAGTCACCTGTTCCTTATACTTGTGGCCCCAGCCTAACCTCCTCCTCTTTGTCCTTACAGTGAGTGCACACTTCAACAGTGAAACTGGTGGCTATGGAGGCAGGAATTCAGATTTTTGAAGGAGATCTGCAAGGAAAACCTGGGATGGGGAGGGTCCCATCTTCAGGCTGAGCTCCCCAGGCTGTGTGAGGCCTTCACTCTTGCCCCACTGACCTGGCACTACAAAGACTATCTGGGCCAAGGAATTGCTCTTTCACAGCCTTAGGCACATGCGAGGAAAGGCTTCTACTGCCTTAAAGGCCCCTGGGTCCCTCACCTCTGTCACTGTGCCATTTTCTCTAGAAAAGCCTATCACCGGAGTGGCGGGCAGTCCCATCCAAGCCCCAGGGAGGTCCTCCAGGCTTCCTTGCTGGAGGGATCCTTTTCCTGAATGTCTGGAGATCTCTATTGCTTTGGAAGTATCTACCTGCATATCTTAGATGCTGGCTCACACCCCCAGAACATCTCTAGAAAGTTACTGGAGATCTCTGTTCTTCTCCTTCTCTCCTTCTCTGAGCCTACTCCGCACACTCCCATTTCAGAGCTTGGGAGAGCGGGCAATGTTTACCACTGTGCACAAGAAAACCCTACTGGGTTGAGGTGGACTGGATGATCCATCTCAGAGGATTAGAGGTCTCCAAGCCAATACTACTATTAGGATTTGGAGGCACTCTTCTGTGACCTGATTTGTGTCATCCTGGACAATTCCTTCTACCTCTTTTGAATCCAACTGCTCTCCTTTGAAGGACTGGAGTGATAGGAGATCTGGCTGCAGGACTCTGACTGGTGGCCAGGAATCCTTATTCCCATGGTCCTTCAAGACTGAGAGTTGAATGGTGCCCAGGTTAATGCTGCACCTCATACCCATGGCGAAAGGAGATGTGGGTTTTGATCAGATCTGCTAGAGTCTGCATTCCAAAACCTTCCTAACAATCCTCTTGATGTCAACAAATCAATCAGCAAGGATCGGTTAAGCCAGCTGCTCCCCAGGCAGCTATATTTCTTGCCGTTTGGAATCTTATTCTGTCTACCTATAATTCTGGTTTCTCATGTCATGCTAGCGGCAAGTGGAGGAGGGGGGCATGGATAGGAGGGAATTGAAGGTTGTCTGGCTGGAGCCCTTCCTAAGCAGTTGCTGGCAGTCTAGCCCAGGTCCCTCTGGCATTGGTTGTGTGTTCCCTTTGGTGTCTGGCAGAGTCACTACCCATAACCAGTTTGGTGTGGGGGTTACAAGGACTGCTGTGGAGCCTCTGGGGTCAGGACGCTTGGAGCCCACTCCCAGCTCAGCTGTTGACTAAGGTTCTACGTGCTATGGCTGCCATTTAACCTTTCTGGGCCTCAGTTTTCCCATTTGTGAAGTGAGGATAATAACATCCCCTACCTCAGAAAGTTTTTTGATAAGAATTAAATGAGTCAAGCTCTCAGAAAACTGCCTGGCATGAGATAAGGGCTCAAAATCTCTCAGTTGGGGTTACGACTGCTCACTTGCTGCCTCCCTCATGCCCTGTGACTTCTGACTAACTGTCTCCAGCAGGTGAGATTGTGATGGGAGTGGAGGGTGCAGAGTTATTGCATGGTGGGAGAAAAGAGAAAGCAGTGTTAGTTATTTTATTAGATCGCAAGACAGGAAAGAAGCCTGCATCCTGAGTTCTACCCAACACCCCTGGGAGCAGCCCATCCCTGCATCTCTCCTTGGCCACAGTCCTAGGGCCATGTTCAGGGCAGGTCAGCTCTTTCTGCTGACTTCTGTATTAGGTCCCTCACCTAGCTACTGCCACTTAACTTTTTCCTTGGCAATTAACCCAAGAAAACTGCCTGGGAGGGGAATTTGTTTCCTTGAATGCCACATTTGCTAGGTGTCTATTTTGTGCTCCCACTTGGCCAGGTTCTGGGGACCCGTGAATGCATAAGACAGAGACCCAAAGTCTCCCCAGGCCTCAAAGTCTACCGGCCCCATAGCTCTCATCCTCCAGCCTCACCCTCTCCAACCCAGACATGCACCAAGCACCCTCAGAGCCTTCACCCCTTCTCTCCCCTGAGCTCAGAGCCCTCTCCCCAACCACATAGATACACACGACTCCCTCCCTGGCTTCCTGCAGGTCTGTGTATGAAAGTCACCTCCTCAGAGAAGCCTTCTCTGATTTCACTCTTTAAATCAACCCTCCACAATCTGGTCTGGTCCCTGCCTTTTGGTCTTCATGGAGCTCATCACTCACTACTTGACATTCCGTTATCTATTCATGGGATTTGCTTTTTATTTGTCTCTCCCAGAATTGAATAGATATCAGATATTCTTAACATTTTTGTGCTCCATGACCCCATTGATAGTCTGGGGGTCTGCAGATCATCCCTTTTCACAGTAAGGTTTTATAAATACATAAGACAAAACACATAGTATCACAAAAGAAACCAACTATATTGAAATATGGTTATCAAAATGTAAAAGAAATCTCAAATTTATGATACAAGGATTACATATGCTTATTTGTTAATACATAAAATAAGAGAATCTAAAACTGGCCTCCCAATTTCTACTTTTAAGGTAATGCTATTTCCAATAAATATTTCTAAACCTATAAAAGAACTATAATGTGATATGACAAGACTGATTTTTATTAATAACAAAGCCACAGGCACTGCTAATACTATTGTGGTTTGTTGCCTAAATTCATAATTGAAGAAAAATGCTACATTTTTGCAAGTGTAGTGAAAATGAAACTGCATTTTCTGCCCCACTCAAGTTCAAGATTCCCTTGAGTTCTTCAGGTCAGGTTGAGCTCTTTAGGCCACAGGTATTGTTTTCTCTCCTGCTAGCACCAAAAACCATGCCTGGAACATCACCGGTGCTCAATAAATATTTCTGGATGTTACAATCTGGTAGTTAAAGGGTTAAAATTCGTTCCCCAATTTTCACATTCATTTTAATAATAAAATGATAACAATAGGTACTATGCAATGATTGCTTTCTGTATACCAGACCCTCCTTTATAAACATTATCTCATTTAATTCTTCTAATAACCCTGCAGTGTGTACTATTAATACTTTCATTCTGTGGGTATAGAAACTGAGACAAAGTTTAAGCAATCTGTCAAGGCCACACAGCTTATATTAGGACTCAGATCTGTCTGTTTTCTTAAACTATTAAGGGTAGCTTCCTGTGAGGGTCTCAGCCTCCAGGACTGGCCCACAGTTCCAACAGGCCCTTCCCTGGTCAACTTCATTGGGTAGAATTCACACCAGCTCTCTTCTACCCTGGTCCTCTTATGCTACCTGTGGTGCCAGCTGGGAGATCTTAACCACTCACCCAGCTTAACACAACTACCTAAAAGCTAATGACTCCCAGGCTGGTATTACCAGGATCAATTTCTCTTCTGCTCTCCAAATCTTAATGTCCACTCTCCCATTGAATTCCTTTGTCTAGATGGTCTTCATGCCTTTCTACATTAATGTAAGAGTCACCTTCACCACAAAGACTTTCCTGACTTTTCTCAGGTAGATCTGCCACATTGTGTCCCCATTGTTTTCTGCACACACCCTACCACTACTCCAGTAATATTGTATTTGTTTACATACCCTCCTCTCTTTACCATTCTGGCAGCTCCTTGATAACAGAGACTATTTCCATTTTGTCTCTAAATCCCTAGGACATAGTGCAATGTCTGACATAGTAGGAAAGTGTGAATGCTTGTTGAATGGGCAAATAGATGAATGAATGAATGAATTATATGCACCAATCATAGTCAACATTTGGCTGTTGTGTTCATTATTAATTGCATATAACCAAGTGTCCAATACCGTTATGTGGCCCAAGAGAAATAGATTTTGAAGATGCAGAAACAGGTTCCACTTTATTTCCAAACCTGAAGTTAACCTGCAAGAAAAGTATCTAGAACTAGATCACAACAGGGTAAAATATCTATTTGTTTCAGTTCCTCAAATCAATTCAAACCCCGTTAATACTTAATTTAATTCACTGGCTTTTTTAACAAAGAACATTAACAGATATGTTATTAAGCTGTGGGGTCATTCATAATTGGTCATCTCTCTGTGAATTAAATTTTAAAAAGGAAAAGTAAAATCAAAGAATAATCAGATTTCCTATTTATGCAGGGCAACTAAGTTAAATTATATTTACTTTCTAAAAATAGATTATTTTCTTAAGAAACAAACATTTATTTTGATCTCAAGTGATCTCAATATATCTTATATAGAGTTAACAAATACATTCCAGGTAATAGTATTATAGACTTAATAGATTTAGCATGCATTTAATGATGTTTGAGTGTAGAGCACTGAGCTGAGACCTGAAGGAAAACAAAGATAGATTGAACACCGCCTCTTCCCTAAAAAGGAGCCTGGAAACAATAGAAGGGTGTAAGCCTCGAGGGATGGGCTGAGCTAAGCTGACGATGGAACTTATGCTTCAAGATATCAAGTACTGAGGCATTTTGAAGTCTTGGTCTAGTGGCATGTCTAATGGTGGAGAGGCCTCTTGGGTCTGCAGAGAAAGCAGGATGTGGGATAAAAGGCCACTTTAAAACCACACTTTCCTTATTAATTGCCAGCAGTGATGGGAACCTCGAGTGTGCCCCTATCGCCAGCTGCCATAAACAATACTGTGGTGAGCATGTGATGACTCTCAATCCAATGACTAGTGTTCTTATAAAGAGAGAAGAGGACACAGAGGTGTGAAGACAGAGGCAGGTGATGAATTGCTAGGAGCCGCCAAAAGCTGGAAGACGCAGGGAAGATTTCTTCCTAACATGTAAACAGCACCAAAGGGATGGTGCTAAACCATTAATGAGAAATTTCCCCCATGATCCAATCACTCCCTCCAGGCCCCACCTCCAATATTCGGGATTATAATTCGACATGAGATTGGGAAAGGGACACAGATCCAAACTATAGCAAGTATTGAAGAATTGGGGATCATATTTTAAAAACACCACAGTCAGGATACCTGTCTTGGGTCCCTTTTCGCAATTAGTTGTGTCTTCTTGAAAGAAGACCTTTACCTTGCTGGTTCTAGGTTTTTTGCAAAGAAGATGAGGATATTGGGCCACATGGCTATCTAAGGATCTCTGATTCAATGTCCACACATCACCACAGTGTTTAGGTATAGGAAAACTCTGCTGTAAGAGTTGTTTTAGCTTGTCAGTGGTTATATTGTATCGAGATCCCTTCACACATGGCCGAATCCATGTCCTTGTGGAGCTTATTTAGCTCGGCTGCAGTTTTAGGTCTATTTCAGATATCCCCCTGAATTCTGAAGGGGGCGGGGGAGGCTAACTCCCCCGCTGGGATGCAGGCTCCGTTGTGCTGCCATCCCCTCCCTTGGGCTGCCTTGCACAAGGACTCAATCATGGAGTAGCTTGCTCAGAATCTGAAAGAGTAGCTGCTTTCCTGTTCCATTAGCTTCTTCTCCAAGATCTGTCTAAGAGAGCATAAAATATCTTCAAGTTAGGGAAGGGTATAGACAAGAGATGGAGGGATTTGCTCAGTACCTTTTATTTCCTCACTACAGCAGATGGAAGAGATGCTGCTGCTTCTGCCTTGTGATGCTAGAGGAACCAGGGAGATCAGGGAGGTTACTCCCTCACACCAAAACCTGGAACACAAGATGAGAAACTCTTATCAAGACCTAATGTACACCTGTAAGATGAGATATGAAAATGAAGCACCTCCTAAACTACCAAGAGCAGGTGGATTAACTTGGATGTGATTGCAGAATCCACATGACAGATTCTATGCCTAACCATGATATAGGCTCAGAGTCATTTTCATTTTTTTCCAATGGATGTTTGCAGGGCCCTCCTTCAGAGAGGGGTGATCAGAGGAGACAGGAAGAATAAGCTACGGAGAAGTGCTGACCTTGTTTATTGAGGAATTTCTGAGTGTACCGGAGGAATCACAACCCAGGGAGAAGTCAGACAGACATCTCAGAAAAAGAATGCTAACCAAAACAAGAAGGTTTTTACTGATCCTCTTCAATTCTCACTTGGATGTATAACTGTATCACTTACAAGTTCATCTTTTTTTACATAATAGATGAGTTCCAAAGAACTACTATGTAGAAATATTTTTCTAAGTATTTTATAACATTTTAATGTGCAATGAAAAGTGCTTATTTTAAAAAGGATTACTTGGTGCTGTTCTCATGATAGTAAGTGAGCTCTCTTGAGATCTTTTTGTTTAAAAGTGTGTGGCGCCTCCACTCTCTCTCTCTTGCCCCTCCTCCTACCACATGACAGTGCTTGTTCCCGCTCGCCTTCTGCCTTGATTGTAAGTTTCCTGAGGCCTCCCCAGAGGCCGAGCCGATGCCAGTATCATGCTTCCCATACAGCCTGCAGAACCGTGACCCAATTAAACCTCTTTTCTTTATAAATTATCCAATCTCAGGTATGTCTTTATAGCAATGTGAACTCTCTTATTGAGAAGACATCTGTGTCCCTTCTCCTTGAATCTGGGCTCTGTGATTGATTGACCAATGGTATATGACAGAATTGACAGCATAGTAGGTTCCCAACCCAGGACTTTAAGAAACTGGGAGCTGCCACTTTCTGTCTCTTAGAACTCTTATTAGTGGAACCCAGCAACCATGCTGTGAGGAAGCCCAAGCAGCCCATGGAGAAGCTAATGTGGAGAGGAATTAATGTCCTTAGTTTTCAGCCCCCAGCTGAGCTCCCAGGCAATAGCAAGTCCCAATTTATCAGCCATGTGAGCAAGCCATTTTGGAAGTGAATCTTTCAGCTCCACTTCACCCCAGTCCCACTTCATTCCAGCCCCAGTTGGTGCTTCATGGAGCAGAGGTGGGCCTTCCCTGCTAACCTCTGTTCAAATTGCAGATTGGTGAGTTAAATAAATGTTTACTTTTAGTCATTTAATGGTTTTAAGCCACCAACTTTTGGGGTAATTTGTTCCATAGCAATAAATGACTACAGTACTTTCTGTCCAATATACTCCCTATTATACCATCAACCGACATCTTCTTGGGAACGGGAGATGGGACAAGTGGGTGAAATACTACATCAATGTTTCTCACACTTAGCCAGATATCAGAATGACCTGGAAAGTTGTTAAAAATGCAAATCTCCTATTTCAGTAGATCTTGGGTAGGTACAGAAACCTGCATTTTTAACAAGTGTTCCAATTGTCCAAGAATACTGTATTGTCACAGGTTAATTAAATTATGGTTACTCTAATAGAAGAACAAGTTCATTGGCTCGAAACACTTTAGGAAAATTACAACTGTCCTTCTGCTCTACCTTCTTTCATACCTTTATCATTTTGTAATTTGAAAGAGAATGGTATTCTAGCCTCCTAGAAAGAAGAACAAAATATTACATTAATCCGCTTAGTCATATTAGCTAAACTCCATAGCTTTGGAGTTGAGAGGCCATTTGCCTTAAAGTTCTGCTGTTCAAATTCTGCATGCTCAGGGCTTCCAGCCTACAACTCTGCCCTGTGTCCTCTCAGCTGCCTGTCACTTACTGGAGACAGACGCAGGGTGGTAGGAGCACATACCTAGGAACCAGACAAACCTGGGTTCAAAGCCTAGGGGGCTTCTTGTTAGGTGTGTGACGTTTAGCAAGTTATCTTTCTAAGTCTCCGATTACTCATCTATAAGATGATAATAATCATGTTGCCTATCTCACAGGATTGCTGTGAGGATTAAATGACCACTATACATTAAGTGCTCAGTACAATGCCTGGCACACAGTAATGGCTCAATAGATATGTCCAACAAAAGATAAATACACATCATGAGTGTCACCCACTACCTACATTTATACCTGGAGATGGGAAAATGGATAAAATCAGTGGTAACCCCACATTGATATGAGCCAGAGTCAAATCACTAGGGCATATTTTAAAAACACAGATTTCGAGACCCCAGTCTCACTGACTCTGGGTCAGTAGATGCGCATGAGCCCAAGAATTTGTGCAAATAATTAGAAGGAAGCATCAGGTTTGGGATCCAGTAGAGCACTCAGATTTTTTTGCTCTGGACCATGCTGAAGACCAGTTCATCAAAATCGTCTGTGAGATATTGCTCCACGCCAGCATATTTCCCTGCATTTTATGCACCCCAGCTGCAACAACGAGGCTACCATGCTGCTTGACAGACTTGAATGACACAGGCCTCCATGGGTTAGTACTGTTTTTAGCTTCCAAGGAGACTGATTCTCTAGTCTTTCCAGGACAAGGAGTGAGGAAAGCCCCGGGCACCTTGGCTTCCTTAACTTCTCCCAAAGCTTCACATTCGCCACCTTCACACTTGACCCTGCTCTCTACCCACAGAATAAAAGTAGATGTCACTACCCGAGATTTTAATTAATCATCTTTCTATTTTTTTTTCCTTTTGGGTTAGACTCCTAAGTGTCTATCATGTTGATAGCACTCTGGGGAGTCTTTTGTTCTGAATAGGGGAAAAATTGTACCCACAAAAAGAGTTCCCCATCAGATCAATTCTAACAACTTTATTGATTAGCTGCAGGAACATTTTTCATTTATTAATTATGAGGAAGATGTTTCAGGGATTCCTTAAAGTTAACTATTGTGATTTTTTTTAAATACTGAATTAACATTGACTGACTTGACTCAAACTGCTTAACAGGGCACAGAGTCTTAAAGCAGGTATTTGGATTCTCAGCGCAGGAAGCTATTAAGTGCCTGTGAGCATAGGCAGTGGTCTGAATCTTCATTTGGGACTGATTAATTGATTACTTGAAAAAAAAAAAATGGCTTGTCCTTTTCAATAATGTGTTAGCATCAAAATATCATCCCATTGTGATCGCCAGGCTGGTGATAGTTAATTAATTAATCGCTGCCAGTTAAAAACAATGTTCGACCCAGGTAAATCTTTCATTTATTAAAATCAATTTTGGTAATGGCTTTGCAAAGAGATTTGGGAGCAGAGTCAGGAATATTGGCCAGCTCCTCCTTCCCTCCCCACGCCTTTCCCTTCTTCCCTCCCTCTTCTCCCCCTCCCCCATTCCTCCCCCCACCTCACCTCCCTCCTCCATCCAGCTGCCCCTGACTCTGGGGTTGGCAGGTGTCTATTAGCGCCCCATTCAGCAGTGTGGGTCAGAGGCTCCCTGGGATGTGGATACTCTGTAGGTTGCAGGCTGGCTTCCTCCTCCTCCCCACGAGTTACTTAGCAGAAAACAATCTGACAGCAGACATCTCTGCCAGCTTAATTCCCAAGGCTTCCTGAGGAAGAAGGTTGGGCTTCTCGGAAGAGAGGGAACCTGAACCAGGAAAAGAAATTCTTGCTCCCCAGCCCATAGTAGTATCCCCAGCTCTGTCACTCACCACATCCTTGCTAGACTACATTCATGGCAAGTAACCCTAATCATGAAAGAAAGAAAAAAATGCATCCAACTTCATCAGTGAACAAGGCACTGTGCTGGACACAAACATGAATAGGGGTCCATCCCTGCCCTCAGGGTGACTCCAGTCTATGGAATCCATCTTTTTACAGTTCTAGCAGAACTGAGGAACATGCAGGAGGAAAACTGGTGGTGTGTATTAGTCTGTTTTGATGCTGCTAATAAAGACATATCTGAGACTGGGTAATTTATAAAGGAAAGAGGTTTAATTGACTCACAGTTCCACATGGCTGGGGAGGACTCACAATCATGGTGGAAGCAAAGGAGAAGCAAAGTCACATCTTACATGGTGGCAGGAAAGAGAGCATTTTGCAGGGGAACTCGCCTTTATAAAACCATCAGATCTCATGAAACTTATTCATTATCACAAGAACAGCATGGGAAAAACCCACCCCTCTGATTCAATTACCTCCCACCAGGTTCTTCCCACAACACATGGGGATTACAGGAGCTATGATTCAAGATGAGATTTGGGTAGGGACACAGACAAACCATATCATGGCATGTGGATAAGATTAGGACAAGAGGAGATACCCACCTCACCTCAGGTGCTTCAGAGGAAAAATGGATTTGAATTCAAGGTAAAAGGTTATAAAAAAATGTATTTCTCATGAGGAATAGGAGATGATAAAAATGAATCTGATTGGTGAATGTGAATGATGCCAGGGAAAATGAAAAGGGAGTAAGAGGCAAAACCAAACCAAACCCCAAAATCCTTGTGGCTGCTCAGGGAGCTTACGGTGGAGTTTGAGGTTTTGGGGAGCCCTCAAGCAGAGTGGGCCGTGGGTTAGGGGTGGGGGGTGGAGGGCTGAGTCAGAGGAGCTTGGGGTCCTGAAGAGTCAAGTCAAATATCAAAAGCTTTGAGCCATGTGTTTGATGTAAAAAGATAAGTGAGGGGGGAGGAACACAGATTCAAGAAGGCTGATGTGGAAATATGAGGCCACAGGGCTGGTCTGGGTTCTCTAGCTAAAGAATCAGCCTTCCCAGGACTGGGGAGAGCTCAGCAGAAGGGAGGCAGTGAGGGACACAGGGGGCATGTGACCATTTAAAGTAGGTTGAAGTCTCCAGAAAAGTTACATCCCAGGCTCCTCAAAAAACTTGCAAATGTGACCTTAAAACTACTTACTGTTGTTGAGAAATTATGGAAATGAGGATAGGAAAACAATGTACTGGCAAAAGTTCCCATTCTCAAAAAGAAAGTGTAGATTCTGGAAACCATAAACTTGATCTCCCCTGACATGCATGCATAGCTCCCTGATAAAATTCCAGATCAAATTATTAAAAGGAAGATTGGAGGCCAGGCGTGATGGCTCACGCCTGTAATCCCAGCACTTTGGGAGGCCGAGGTGGGCAGATCACAAGGTCAAGAGATCGAGACCATCCTGGCCAACATGGTGAAACACCATCTCTACTAAAAATACAAAAATTAGCTGGGCATGGTGGTGTGCACCTGTATTCCCAGCTACTTGGGAGGCTGAGGCAGAGGAATTGCTTGAACCCGGGATGCAGAGGTTGCAGTGAGCCGAGATCATGCCACTGCACTCCAGCCTGGTGACAGAGTGAGACTCTGTCTCAAAAATAAAGTAAAATAAAATAAAAATATATATATATAAATAAAAGAAAATAAAAGGAAGATTGGAGGGTTTTAGAAATGAATTCAGAGGTTCTTAGTGGTTAAAATAAAATTGCTAATAACAAGCCAAATGAACCATATTTCCTTTCTGATAAGGTTATAGGCTCATGTATCAGAGGCATGACATAATTGTGGATCTTCTCTATTCTAGCAAAGCAACTGAGCTGAGCTTGCCTGATATTCCTATGGGCAAATTTGTAAATTCTGGGTTGAACTGGTGCAGATAGTTTGAATCACTACCAATAAGCATTCTTACTGAAAGAATCTTGATTATTGAACAATGGGAGGAATTGAGTTTAGAATTCTTTTCCTAACCCTACCTTGTTCAAAGTTTGTTTGTTTGTTTGTTTTAAGTGAATGAAGGCACAGGAAACATGCTTATCAGATTTCTACATATGACTCATGTCTGGAAGGGATAGTTAACACAACGAAAGAACAAATCAATATTCAAAGTTATTCTGTTAGGTTGGAATATGGAAAAAAACTTAAGAGTATAACAGGAATAAACATAAACTCTGAGTTTAGGTTAAAAAATCAATAACAAAGGCACAGCACTGAGAATGTGTGGCTTGGTAGCAGTTGACATAAAAAGAAGCTGGGAGTTTATCTGACATTAAGGATACAACAGCATCATGTGACTGGTAAGAAAGCTGATGCAGCATTAGGCACTGTCTTAGTTTGGGTGACCCTAAGGCAAAACTTGAGATGAGAATTCCAGTACCAGTAATTACTTTGGAAGGTGAACCCAGGAAGCCTTCTCCCATATGGGATGGGGGAAGTGACACAGGGAAGGAGCCAAGAAAGGATGAGCATCAAGTCAGTAGTGAGAAGGGTAACAGGAACATGATGCTGCCGGGAAACTCTGAAGAGGGTGGAGAGCATGAATCTCAGGGCTACCCCAGCTGAGTGGTGAGGGAGCTGGGGTTTTTATACTCCACCTTTCATTTCGTTACTGGCTGAAGACTCCTTTGGGGAGTGTTGACTCCTTGGCACTTCTGACTGTGCACAAAGCAGGCTCTGGCCGACAGAGAAAGTCCTCAGGCAAAGATATTTAGGTGCTGACAGTTAGAAATCAGGCCACCATGCACGAAAATGCTAGGGCTCAAGAAGATATGGGCTGGGCACCAGTGACGTCAGCTATAGTCTCTAAGAATTATATAACAAACACATGTCTATCCTGCTGGGCAGCCATTATCTGGGGTGCTCTATTTAATTCTGGGTGCCACATTCAAGAAAAACATTGAAGAACTGGAGTAGAGAACCAAGATCACAAAGGGTTTGAGGACCATGTCATCTGGAGATGGAACTAAGGAGAGCCAGTTTGGAAAAGGAAAAACAAGGGCAGATGATATCTGCTTGACATATTCTCTTGGGTGTCTAACAGACATCTTCAACTTAACATGTCCAAATGGGAGTTCAATGTTCTCCCTTGAAGCTAGAATACCATGTTTTAAATATGCTGGATAAATATAGAAAACATACTATGGCCCCTACTGCCACTACCCCTCCATCCTGCCATGGTCATACTCCTCTTCTAAAGGGAGGGTGTGAAAGGAGAACTGAGTAAATATGGAATACCAAAACACAAATGTCAAAAAGGTTAATATCTATACATAGAAGTGATTTTAAAGATGTGCTGGGCTTTGATATTGAAATAACTGAAAAAATATACAAAACTTGGACAAATTCTTAATCTGGGGCTATAAAAGAATAACAAAAGGATCCATTTTTAAAAACTAAAGACAACACCATGGATGAACAAATAAGAGATTATTTATGCTGGGTGCAGTGGCTTATGCCTATAATCCCAGCACTTTGGGAAGCTGAGGTGGGAGGATTGCTTGAACCCAGGGGTTCCAGACCAGCCTGGGCAACATGGCTAAACCTTGTCTTTACAAAAAAACAAAAAACAAAAATTAACTGGGTGGGGTGTCAAATGGCTGTAGTCCCAGCTACTTGGTAGGCTGAGGCCGGAGGATTGCTTGATCCTTGGGATGTCGAGCTGCTCAATCCCTGAAGGTCCATAATCATGTCATTGCACTCCAGCCTGTATGACAGAGAAAGACCCTGTCTCAAAAAAGAGATTAATTACCACTTACGCGAGCATATATTATAGATTAGATATTCCTACACATAGATAGATATATATTGATTCATTTAACTGTTAATTATTCATTCGTACAGGCATATAAACATTGCAAATTATAGCTGGGTATGACAGTACTGTGGTTTTGATATTAATACCAATTCTTCCCCACTGGTGAAAATAAATGATGGCATTCCCAACCGATAGACCATTCAGTGGTGGAACTCCCTGTATGTTGATATGGAATCATCTTCAAGACCCAGCTTTCTCGCAATTAACAGTCTTCCTCTTGCCATGCTCACTGGCCCAGGGCTTCATTTGGTTTCAAGGCTGCCTTGTCTTCAAGGGTCCTTGTCTTCCTTGTGTTGCTCCAGGATCCTGGTCAGACTACTTATCAACCATGTGGCTTGAAAAAAATCCCATAACTTAACAGGATTCTAGTTTTCCCGAAATGTCTTTCTCATGGGCTTGCTGTGGAGAACAAGTAGGGATAGAAATGAGTTTTTGGAGATTTGGGATTTGATTTTCTTTTGAGTTGGCCTGGGGAGAATGAGAAGCCAAAGATATCTCTAAAGCTGTCATAGAAAGAAGCATTTGTTCTTTTTTTCATTTAATATTATTCTGGCTTGGGACAAAATACTTATTCTTATAATCCCTGCCTCCCTTGAGGAAATCATCCAGGAGGCAGTGACCTGGACCAATTGTAATGGACCTGTACAAATCTGAACAAATGCAAGAGAATAATGCAGAGAAACAAAGCATCTGCATCCAAGACACCAGGTTTGTACAGTTTAGGACAGAAGCTGTGGCCAGGGTGCTCTGGGAATCCTAAGTGTGGAGAAGAGAAGCTGTCAGCTCTCATCTAGGCTGTTCCAAAAGACTCCTCACAACAGTCAGGATCCCACAGCAAATTGAATAAGCAGAAAGACACGGTTTGACTGCCAGATATAAGGGACATTTTCCAAAACTTAGAGAGAACCGATAGGATGCAGAAAGGACACTTAAATGTCTAGCGCTCAAAAACAAATTCAAATAGAATATCTACCTGTAACATAAAAATAAGTTATTTCTGTATAAATCTAAGAAATCAAAGTAAACATTTGAGGCAGGATGAAAAAATTAGAGCTGACTCTGATGATGTAAGGATTTTAACAAGAGCTTCATTGGATTATCTGTTGCTATCAGTACTTTCTAGAGAATGAGGCAGAGAAAAGATAGAATGATTTTGTCTTCTTTCTTGCCAAGTGGCTGCCTTGCAAGGGCATGGAATTCTAGGCATTTTCAGTGCTCTGGGCTTTGTGGGATGCTGGTGAAAGAGTAACAATACCTTGTACCTGAACAAGTCTTTCCTAGTTGCAAAGCACTTTCTCATCAATTATCTTAGTTGAACTCAATATCACTATGAAAAATGCATTGTGAGGAAACAGGTTCTGCAAAGTGAGGGACTGTTGGCATCTCCCAGTGAGAAGTGGTGACCTGGAACACCTGTTTTCTTTTGTGTGTTCTTTGTACCATGCCATGCTATCTGTAAGACCCACTCCTCTTTTCCTAAAATATCTCACCCCTGACCCACCTTTATGTGCAAACTTTCATTCCTGAAGTTTCATTCTTTCAAGCAAAGATAGCTCTGGAGGCTCCATACCAAGATGAAAATACCTCTAGGAGGATGATCACATTGGTGCCATTATCTGCCAGCGAGGATGAGTTTATCTAATTGGACCCTTGGGAGATAGAAGATAAGACAGATATGTTCTGAAACAAGAATGAAGGGAATGTAAAAAAACTGGACACAAAACACTGCTAAAGACAGAAGGGGAATCCAGGCAAAGTGTCCAGAGGAAACTCTGGGACCCAGAGAGCATTTTTAAGGGCATGGAGTGACCCAGAGAAAGTAGACAGAAAGGCCCTAAGACAAATGTCACCTACACTATGGTTTTACTGGGAGAAGGTTTAGATCATATGAGTCGTGGTAGGTCTTGAGTTTCAATATGGCAGATCAGCTAAGAGAGGTGAAGAGTTGGGTTGGTTGAATTAGAAAAGGGAGAACCTGGATGGACAGAGATGTCTATTGAGGTCAGTTAGCATAGAAAGGTGCCCAAGAGCTTTAAATCTAGACAGGGAAGGATATCCCAGGGTCTGGAGAATAAGCCCTTCAGAGAGAGAGAAAAAAAAAAACTTTACAACGAACTGTGATGTGGAAGCCTGAGTAACAAGTCTGAGATGAGGGCCTGGCAGAGTGCACATCGAGCAGGTGAAGGTGACTAGACTGGCTGGATACACTGAAATGCCACTGCAGCCTCCAGTTGCAGGAAGTCAGGGACCCAGGTTAAAGACTTGGGGACATAAATGAGTAGAGGCCTGAGCTCTGTTACCCAGGGTACCAGGAGTTAGAAGCCTGGCTTGGAAAGGACGAGAAATTGGAGTTAAATACAACATACCCTTTGACCTATAATTTCACAGATGTTTTTCTACAGATATTCTCATGCATGTGAGAAATGTCATACATGCAAGAATATTCACTGTGGCATTGTTAGAAACAGCTTAAAGGTTCTTCAATAGAAGATGGCTAAAAAATTATTGCATACTCATGCAATAGAAAATTAAGCTGCAGAACTTCCTTGGCACTGATCTGGAACAATCTTTAAGAACGTGTCCTCAAAATAAGCAAAGAAAGAATGGTATATATAGTGAGCTACCATGTTTTTTTTGTTTGTTTGAGACAAGGTCTCACTCTGTGGCCCAGACTGGAGTGCAGTGGCATGATCACAACTCACTGCAGCCTTGACTTCCTGGGCTCAAATGATCCTCCCAGCTCAGCCCCCCGAATAGCTACAGGCTACAGGTGTGTGCCATCGTGCACAATTAGTTTGTCTGTTTGTTGTTGTTGTTGTTTTTGGTAGGGATGGGGTTTCATTTTGTTGACCAAGCTGGTCTCAAACTCCTGGGCTCAAATTATGTTTCTGCTTCAGTCTCCCAAAGTGCTTGGATTAAAGGGGTGAGCCCCTGCACCCTGCCTTGTATTTCTTTTTATAAAACATACCTGAGGAGACTTCTGGGGATGAGATCTGGGTGGCTGAGTAATAGATTGGGAAGAAGCTATTCTCAATATACTCTTATAACCTTGGAGATTTGTACTGTATATATGCATTAGCTATTAACAACAACAACAACAACAAAAAGGCCTGGAAGGATTAGATGACAGGGAGCAGGAGCCAGAACCCAAAGAAAATGTACCAAAATGAAAGGTTAGGCAGAGGCAGGTCAGTGGGCTGGGGCACAATGTTGGGCCAGGGTGTCTTACTTGCAACCTCATCCATGTGGTTCTTGCAAGATTCAGTTCCTCGTAGACTATTGATGAGACTAAGGGTCTCATTGCCTTGCTGGCTGTTGTCCAGGGGACCCTACAGTTCCTTGTCATGGAGGCCTCTTCACAGGGCAACTTGCAACATGGCAGTGGGCTTCCCTCAAAGCAAGTGAGAAGGCAAGAGAGAGTGCACAGCCTTTTTACATACTAATATCAAAAGTGACATCCCATCAACTCTATTGCATTCTATTCTCTAGAAGAGAATGTGAGTTCCCAGCCTGGTCCAGGGAAGTCAGAAAAGTTGAGGGATGCTAGGTCCAGGAAGGGGTCACCTGAGAGAGTGAGGAGATCAGAGAAGGGTCAGGTGGCCAGGCAGTTTCCCTAGTACCCTCCTGCCCTGGAGCCTTAGTTCTTGAAGAAAATTTTAAGGCCACTCAGCCTGGTGGTTCCAAAATATACTCATTTAATGTAACTGTCAGAGTCAACCAGAACCCTTCTTTAAAAATTCAGATCTGTGGCCCCATTCCAGACGCTTGAACCTGAAAGTCTCAGAGGTGAAATGGGGCTTAGCATCATTCCTGTGGATTCTGATGTTCAGCCTGGTTGGAAACCACTGACCTTGATCATCCATTTCTTTCCCAGCCGAAGGGAATTTCCAAGAGAGAGGATGGTGGTGCAGTGCATATTGCAACCCCGGATCAGCCAGAAGTCCGTGGATTTGGGAAAGCACATGTAACAATGTCGTCCAGGGTACACTGCAAGGAACACAGGCTTAGAGTCACAAGGGTCTGTGCTTGAACCCAGGTCTGTTATTTGCTACTTATGTCCTTGGAAATGATTTAATATTGTTATGATTCAATCTCTTTATTTCTTACATGGATTTAATAACATCTACCCCATAGTTTAACATTTAAATTAGATAATGCATATGTAGTGGCTAGTGGTTATTACAATTATTACTCTTCTGTTACTGCAATCTCACAGGAAGGTAAGGACCTTGACAAGAGATGAAGGTCTGTTATCACAAGAAGAGCAAGAAACAAACCAGCTGACTTCCGAAGCATTTTTTAAAGTCCAGCATCAAACTCTCGGGAGTGTGAGCAAAAAGTGGGACTGGCATGGGATCAGTTTTCTGCAAGTACCCTAATCCTGTGAGTGCCCAGGCCACTTAGATCTCTGACCTAGTGAACATTTAGTGCTTAATCACCCTCAAAATATACTATTTTATCCTTGAAGTGGGATTGTCTTGGGCTTATGCGATGAGCCACACTGGAGACAAAATAGACCAGTTCTGGATCTCTGGAGGACTAAGAGAGGTCTGTGCTTTTTACCGTATTTAACTGAGCTCCTGATAAGATTGCTTTCCTGGGATTACAGAATGGAAACTTGAGGTATTCATCTGATCTCTTTCCCCTCAGCATGCTCAACTCCATTAACGACTAAAGAAGCACTTTCCTAGCACATTTAATGGGCTTGGGCTCATAAAGAATCATTCCAGGTTCTCACGATGCCCGGCTGGCCGAGGTGTTAAAGTACAGAAAACTTTAAGTCTGGAGAGGTTTAGAAGCTCATCTTGGCACCTCATTTTTAAGCGGGGGCTAATTTTACCCAGAGGCCGGCCACAAGCACGAATTTCTTCAGATTTGGAACTTTGGGGAGATACTTTATGTAAAGTGTGGCTGTTGGGTTGCTGCAGCTGTGTTTGAAAAAAGTACGGGGGGTGGGAGGGGGAGATTGAGGCCTACAGAAGTAGGAGATTCTGTAGTTAGTCAAGCATCAGAACCCAGGTGTTCAGATATGACTAGTTTTGGCAATGTCAGGAAGAAAGGACTGGACAGGGGAAAGGAGATTTGCAGCTAAAAAGTTAGTGCTGAGTTTGTTGGCAAACTTGCCTCTAGAATTTTTTTTAGAAAGTGATTTCTAAAATATTATTATATAAGTGAATTAGTTTCTATTTCTGTGTAATACATGAATCCAAAACTAAGCAGTTTAAAACAACAAAGAATGATTATCTCCCAGTTTCTATGGGACTGGAATCTGAGCATGGCTTAGGTAGATGCCTCTGGCTCAAGATGTCTCACAAGACTGCAATTAAGAAGTCAGCAGGGGCTGTGGTCTCATCTGAAGGCTCACCTTGGGAAGGACCTACTTGCAACCTCATCCATGTGGTTCTTGGCAAGATTCAGTTCCTCGTGGGCTATTGGACTAAGGGTCTCATTGCCTTGCTGGCTGTTGTCCAGGGGACCCTACAGTTCTTTGTCATGGAGGCCTCTTCACAGGGCAGCTTGCAACATGGCAGTGGGCTTCCCTCAAAGCAAGTGAGAAGGCAAGAGAGAGTGCACAGCCTTTTTATATACTAATATCAAAAGTGACATCCCATCAACTCTACTGCATTCTATTCTCTAGAAGCAAGTCACTAAATCAGCCCCCACTCAAGGGGAGGGAGGGTTACAAAGGCATGCATACCAGGAGGAGGGGATCACTGGGGCCATCTTGTAGACTGCCTACTGGACATTTGTTTTGGGTAGAAAATCAGGAAAACTCTGAAATACTACACTTCATAGGCAACTTTACCATGAAGATCTTAACTAATTACACACCTTCTTGTGCCTTTTTTCTATACACATATGTATTTTTTAAAAGATTTCAAACTATATATACTATGATTGCCTGCACTGTTAACTCAGAAATATTTCATGTATTGGTGTCAATAAACCTTGTTCTACTATATCACTTTTAACGGCTTATTTCATCATGTATTTCATCATATGAACTTATTCCACAAATGACTCAGCCACCCTTGCTCCAGCTCTGCATTTAATTTTGTCAAATTAATGTCACAATCATGAAAAATTGTGCCAGGCATTTAATGTGCTAAAGTGCAGCAAATCTCAGCAAGCTCTGTGCCTTCTGGCCTGTCCCTGGGGCTCAGCCTGTAGGTCTCTAACATGAGAGGTTCGAATAGATGGCCACTAAGGTCCCTTTAGAGACCAGAAAGCCTGTCCCCTGGGAGTGGTGATTCCTCAGAGATGCTACCCAACCCACTGGGGCCAGGAGTTTAGCAGCTGTCTAGGATGCCTTTGTTGATTTTGAGACCTCTGAATCCTTCTATGTCTGTGTAAATATATACAACTTGCTTGAATGTATTTATATATATATATACACAATATATATACAATATGTATACAACTTTCCTCTTTATTTCTTTTACAAAAAATGCTGTAACACTTTTCCATAGTTTGCTTTCTTTTCTTTTTTTTTTTTTTAGACGGAGTCTCGCTCTGTCACCCAGGCTGGAGTGCAGTGGCGCGATCTCTGCTCACTGCAAGCTCCGCCTTCCAGGTTCATGCCATTCTCCTGCCTCACCCTCCCGAGTAGCTGGGACTATAGGCTCCCGCCACCACGCCCGGCTAATTTTTTGTATTTTCAGTAGAGATGGGGTTTCATCGTGTTAGCCAGCATGGTCTCGATCTCCTGACCTCGTGATCCACCCACCTTGGCCTCCCAAAGTGCTGGGATTACAGGCGTGAGCCACCGTGCCCAGCTGCTTTCTTTTCTTTAAAAAAAATATCATAAGCATCTTTCAGGGACAGCTTAGAAATATATGCCCAAACTTCCTAACTACTGTCTGATATTTTTGTATAAAGATGTGCTATTGGCCAGGTGTGGTGGCTCACACCTGTAATCCCAGCACTTTGGGAGGCTGAGACAGGTGAATTACCTGAGATCAGGAATTAGAGACCAACCTGGCCAACATGGTGAAACTCCGTCTCTACTAAAAATACAAAAATTAGCCAGGTGTGGTGGCACACATCTGTAATCCCAGCTACTTGGGAGGCTGAGGCGGGAGAATTGGTTGAGCCTGGGAGAAGGAGGTTGCAGTGAGCTGACATTGTGCCACTGCACTCCATCTTGACAGACACAGTGAGACTCTGTCTCAAAAAAAAAAAATGCTATCACTTGGACATTTAGAATGTTTACAATTTTTTTCCTCCCTCAAGTCTGCTGTGACCACTTACATGCATATAACTTCATGTACCTGTGGGAGCTCTTCTATAGCAGAAATGTTTAGAAATGAAATTATTGGCTCAAAAGGTATGCCGTTTTTAAAACTCTTTAGGTGATCCCAATTTGTCTAATCTCTCCCAAGTCTTTAGCAACACTATGTATCTTTGCAATATTATCTTACTATGGATTTGGTTTGCCTTCAACACATTGGTGAGATTATTCACGTTATGTCTGGATTGGTAATTTATATATTTCTTCTGAGAAGTCCATGTTTTTGTCCTTTGATTAATATCTTCAAGGAAAAGAACAGCATACTTACCAGGGTGGCAGCCTTAGAAAATATCAAATTGTTAAAAGAGAAAAGCCCTTTTGATTCCATCTTATTTTCAGTGGTCCTCTCTGCCTACGTCTCCTTTTACTTCTTTTTGTGTTGGAAGAATAAGATAATATGTGATCCGTCTGCAGAAATGACACTAGGTTTCCCTGGGAAACCCACCGCAGAAAGAGACTAGAAGAATTAGGTGAGTGCTAGACTGCGGTTCCAGGGTTAGGCTTCTTGAAACTGCCTCTTAGTGGAGAGGGGTCAGTAGGCTCTTTGTTGGCCACATAAAGCTCTTTCAGCTCCCCACACCCCAATGCTGTATTCTATCATAAGAATGTCTCTATGCTTTGTTCTGTGGCTAAGCTGGAGGGTATGGTTAGATAAAGGCACAAATCATAGAATATTAGAGCTGGAAGAAGCCTTTGAGATATAGGAGTTCCTTGTGTTTATTTTTATAGGAGAGGGAATGTGGCCTAGAGAGGGGGAGTGACCAAGGCCTGTGCCCAGGCCTCCTGATTTTTGACACTCCCTAGTGCACCCCCCACTGAAGCCCCACAACAGGGCAGCTGTGGAAAATGGCCCCAGGACTCCACTGTTCTTGGCAGATGCTTTCATGAGTGGTTGGCTCCAGGCCCAAGGCTTAATCTCTCTACCTGACTCTTCTTGCCCTTCCATTTGAGAATGGTTAGGGAAGCCCTTTCCAGGAAGATGATCTTTATCGTGAGAACTGAAGGAGCCACAATGCGAAGAAGGAGGAAAAGGGTTCAGGGCAGAGGAATCTGCATGTGCAAGTGCCCTGAGGTAGGAGGAGTTTGATGTGTGGAGGAACAGAAAGGAGATCAGTGCAGTGAGAGCAAAGCAGAGAGAGAAGGATCCTGGCCCATATGCAGTAGGCCTTGGTGAAGAGCTTGTGTCAAGTGCAATGGAATGCCAGTAATCAAAGCAGGAGAAGCCATCTTGTGATTTGTCTTGAGTGGCAAAAGTGGAAGCATGAAGAAGATGCAGAAGACTCCTGCAGGTGAGAGATGATAAAGGAAGACTGGTAATTGCCAACCTATAGTGAGTGTTAATAGGTACAGGAACTGTTCTAAGAACTTTTATGCTCTTAGCATAAAAAACTGTTCTAAGAGCTTTTATGTACATTAACACACATTACTCTCTCAGCAACCCTATGAATAGGGAAAAAAAAATGTAGCCCTCTTATATAGATGTGGAAACTGAGGCACAGAGAAATTAAGTCTTTTTCCCAAGGTCATACAACTAGTAAGTGACAAAGTCAGGAATGAAATCTGAGCAGTCTGGCTGCAGAGTGTTTTTGACCACAGCTCCATCCTGCCTCCTGGCTTCACAGCAGAAGGCAGGGACAGGCTCAGCATACAGGTGCTGACTCTGAGAATGTCACAGAATCTCAAGGGCATCAGGTAAATGAGAGAAAAATAGGAAGAAAGGGAGAGAGATACTGAGATGGCTGGCTTTGCTGAGACTGTCCCTGTAGAGAACACAAAGCTATCAAAATAATGGAGCTTCGTAGGAATGCTCAGCTCACGTTCTCAAGTGAATTGTTGTGTCTACTGCAAATATGGGCATTTAACTTCATGGCACACTGCAGAAAGTGCCCATATCTCTGTCCCAGGCTCTTGAGCACAGTGTACCCTGTGAGATTCTAGCTCTTGGCTCTGTCAGTCTACAAGGTCAGGGTTGGGGCACTGTCAGTCCCAGAGCAATGGGGTAGAAGGCAGAGAGAATAGAAGAATCTCTCCCAAGACCACCACTGGGATTAGAAACCCTATCACATTCTGGGTCAAATGGAACTGGGAAGTACAATGCTGATAATAAAGAGGGGAAGACCCAGGAGAAGGGAGCCAAAAAGACCATGAGAGGTGAAGGTAGAGCATGGATTCTGGGTCAGAGGGACCAACATGACCAGCTGAACAGAAGGCAGAAAGAAGCAGGGTTCTGAGGCTGACCATGAGCTGAAGATGGCTTTCTCACCATGGGGCTGAAAATGGTGGTAGCAGGACAGATAGCCAAGCTAGGAAGGCCAAGTAGGAACCAAGGAAAGCAGGCTTGATCCGGGCCCAGAGATAGGAGGGAGTCTGGGAGACTGAAGGCTGGTGGTCAGGGTAGGAGTAGGTGAGCAGGAAGAGAAACCAGGCAAGCAGAGGGTGAGTGAAGGTGGAGAGTCAGAAATCAAGCTAGTGGGCAGGTGTGTAGGTGGGAGGTGGCAGGATATCTCTGGTGAGATGCAGTTTCCCACCCAGAGAGAAAACTTACTATATGCTTCCTCTGGGACGGGGCCAACTCCTCGGGGGAGGGAACCCAAGCCTGAAGGAGACAGGAAAGCTGGGGAGGTAAGTGCCTACCCAGCCTGAATCGGGTGCTGGGCCAGAGATAGGAGAAATTTCTGGCTGCAGTGATTTGGGCAGGGGATCTTAACTGCTCTGCGGTGGCTCACTTTTCAAACCTTTATGGAGGACTGCTAGATTTCAATCAATATGTATGACATTGGCCACTAAGTAATGCTACATTGGTGTCTTTCAGATCAAACCTGAGTGGCTCAAACACCATGGGGTAGCACTAGGTATAACTTTTTGAGAGAAATAGGTAAGAAGCATGGCATAACATCAGGTTGATACAAAAGTAAGAGGGAGTGTTCACTGAAGCAAGTAAGAAGTTTGTCTTGAGATTGTATAAGAGCTTGGATAGAACCAAAGTGTTCCAACCCAATAGGAAATGGAAAATCTCTCAATAGCGTGTTACAGCAGCAGCTTATAGAGGCATTTATACATTACATGTAAATAACCTGGTGCCGATTGCACTGTACTAATTGCTAGCTGTCAGTGTTGAGTTTTCAAATCACTTCAGGTATGTTGCCAAAAATCTCAGTTTAAAAGAGTGACACAAACACAGAAAGATTGACAACCTTTGGAATGAGGCAACAGAACCAATGCACTAGAGTGCAGGGAAGAAAGAGACTCAACAGGCTTCTTGGCCCCTCCTAATTTGGGTTGCCTGAAAATATAGAGTGGCAAACTCAGTAGTTCTCAACCTTGGTTGCACATGGCAGTCACCCGGGCAGTTTTGTTGCCTGGGTCCCCGGAGATTCTGATTTAATTGTTCTGGGATGGAAGGGTTTTAAAAAATTATTATTTTTAATTAACGTATAGTAATTGTACATATTTATGGGCTGCAGAGTGATATATCAATATATGCATACAATGCATAATGATCAAATCAGGGTAATTAGCGTATCCATCACCTCAAATATTTATCATTTCTTTGTGTTGGGTAAAAATCCTCCCTTCTAGCTATTTGGGAATATACAATTAAATATTGTTAATGATAGCCACCTACAGTGCTAAGGAATACTAGAACTTATTCCTTTTATGTAGGTGTAATTTTGTTTCCTTTAACCAACCTCTCCCTATTCCCCTCTCCCAGGCTACCTTTCCCAGACTCTAATAATCACTATTCTAGTCTCTACTTCTACGAGATAAACTTTTTTAGCTTCCACACATGAGTGAGAACATGCAGTATTTATTTTTCTGTGCCTCGCTGATTTTATTTAACATAATGTCTGTCCTTCAGGCTCATCCATGGTGTTGTGAATGACAGGATTTCATTCTTTTTTATGAACAAATAATATTCCATTGTGTATATGTAACACATTTTCTTCATTCATCTACTAGAAATAGTGCTGCAGTAAATATGGGGGCGCAGACAACTCTTTGATATATTGATTTCCTTTCCTTTGGAATATATACCCAGTAGTGGCATTGCTAAATCATATGGTAGTTCTATTTTTAGTTTTTTGAGGAAACTTCGTTTTCTATAGTGGCTGTACTAATTTATATTCTCACCAACAGTGTATAAGAGTTCCTCTTTCTTTACATCCTCACCAGCATTTATTACTTTTTGTCTTTTTGATAGTAGCCCTTCTAACTGGGATGAGATGATATCTTATTGTGGTTTTGACTTGCATTTCCATGATGACCAGTGATGAACATTTTTTCATATACCTATTGGCCATTTGCATGTCTTCTTTTGAGAAATGTCTTTTCACTTCATTTATCCATTTTTAATTGTGTTATTTGTTTTTTTTCTGTTGACTTGTTTGAGTTTCTTATATATTCTGGTTATTGATTCCTTGTTGGAAAGTTTGCAAATATTTTCTCCCATTCTGTAGGTTGTCTTTGCACTTTGTTGATTGTTTATTTTGCTGTGCAGAAGCTTTTTAGTTGGATATAACCATATTTGTCTATTTTTGCTCTTATTGCCAGTGCTTTTGAGGTCTTCTCCATAAAATCTTTACTCAGACCAACGTCCAAAGCATTTCTTCTGTTTTTTTTCCCCCGAGTACTTTTATAGTTTGGGGTCTTATATTTAAGTCTTTAATCCATTTTGAGTTGATTTTTCTATATGGTGAGAGACAGGGGTCTAAGTTTATTTTTCTGCATAGGGATATTCAGTTTTCCCACCAACTTTTATTGAAGAGACTATATTTCCCCCAGTGTGTAACATGTTCTTGGTGCCTTTGTTGAAAATCAGTTGGCTGTAGATATGTGGATTTATTTCTGGGTTCTCTATTCCATTCCACTGGTCTATGAATCTGTTTTTATGCCAGTACCATGCTGTTTTAGTTACTTCAAGCTTTACAGTATATTTTGAAGTCAGGTAGTGTGATGTTTTCAGCTTTGTTCTTTTTGCTCAAGACTGCTTTTTCTATTCAGGGTATTTTATAATTCCATACAGATTTTAATATTGTTTTCTACTCCTGTGAAGAATGTCATTAGTATTTTGATAGGGATTGCTTTGAATCTGTAGATCACTTCGGGTAGTATGGTCATTTTAACAATATTTATTCTTCTAATCATGAACACAAGGTGTCTTCACATTTTTTTGTGACCTCTTTAATTTCTTTCATCAGTATTTGGTGGTTTTCATTGTAGAGATCTTTTAACTGCTTGATTAAATTTCTTCCTAGGTATTTTTTTGTAGCTATTGTAAATGAATTGCTTTCTTGATATCTTTTTCGGCTAGCTCATTATTGGTGTACAGAAATGTTAATGATTTTGTGTATATTGATTTTGTATCCTGAAACTTTACTAAATTTGTTTATCAGTTCTAACAGTTCTTGGTGGAGTCTTTAGGCTTTTCTCTATATAAGATCATGTCTTCTGCAAACAGGGACAATTTGACTTTCTCCTTTCCAACTTGGATGCCTTTTATTTCTTTTTCTTACCCAATTGCTCTAGCTAGGACTTCCAGTACTATGTTGAACAATATGATAAAAGTGTGCATCCTTATCTTGTTCCAGTTCTTAGAGAAAAAGCTTTCAAGTTATTGCCATTAAGATGTCAGCCATGAGTTTGTCATATATGGCTTTTATTGTGTTGAGGTATATTTCTTCTATACCTAACTTGTTGAGAGTTTTTATAATAAAGGGATGTTGAATTTCATCAAATGTTTTTCATGCATCTATTGACATAGTCACATGGTTTTTGTCCTTCAGTGTGTTGATGTGATGTATAAGGTTTATTGATTTGCATATGTTGAACCATCCTTGAATTCCTGGGTTAAATCCTGCTTCATCATATTGTATAATCTTTTTGATGTACTATTGGATTTTGTTTGCTAGTATTTTGCTGAGGATTTTTGCACCTGTCTTTATCAGGGATATTGGCCTGTAGTTTTCTTTTGTTGTTGTTGTGTTCTTCTCTGGTTTTGGTATCAGGGTAATGCTGGCCTCAAAGAATGAGTTTGGAAGAATTCCTTCCCCTTCAATTTTTTTTCCCTGGAATATTTTGAGAAGAGCTGATGTTTGTTCTTTTTTAAAAGTTTCGTAGAATTCTGTAATGAAACCATCCAGTCTTGGGCTTTTTGTTGTTGCTGGGAGAGTTTCCATTACTGATTCAATCTTGTTGCTCATTATTGGTCTGTTCAGGTTCTCTATTTCTTCTTTGTTCAATTTTTGTAGGTTGTATGTATCCAGGAATTTATCCATTTTCACAAGGTTTTTTAATTTTTTGGCATATAATAGTTTCTAATGATTCTTTGCATTTCTGTAGTATCACTAGGATCATTACTTTTTTCATTTCTAATTTTATTTATTTGGAACTTCTTTTTTCTTAGTCTAGCTAATAGTTTGTCAATTATTTTATCTTTTCAAAAAACTATTTTTTGTTAAACTTTTATATATTTTTTAGTCCCTGTTGTGTTTATTTCTGATTTTATCTTTATTATTTCTTTCCTTCTACTAATTTTGGGTTTGGTTTGTTTTTGCTTTTCTAGTTCCTTGAGGTGCATTGTTAGGTTGTTTATTGAAATCTTAGAAAGATTTAATGGAGGTGTTTATTGCCATAAACTTCCCTCTTAGTGCTGCTTTGACCTATAGGTTGTGGTTGTGTTTCTCTTTTCATTTGTTTCAAGATATTTTAGGGCTAGGCGCGGTGACTCATGCCTGTAATCCCAGCACTTGGGGAGGCTGAGGTGGGCTTTTCACCCGAGGTCAAGAGTTCGAGACCACCCTGGCCAACATGGCAAAACCCCATCTCTACTATAAATTTACATGTATTTGCACAGTTACCAAAGTTCCTCTTGTTACTGATTTCTAGTTTTATTCCATTGTTGTCTAAAAAGCTATGTGATATAATTTCAATTTTAAAAAATTTGCTAAGACTTGTTTTATGGCCTAACATATGTCTATTCTGGAAGATATTCCATTTGCTAATGAGAAGAATGTATATTCTGTAGCTGTTAGATGAAATGCTCTGTAAATGCCTGTTAGGTCAATTTAGTCTATAGTGCAGTTTAAGACTACAGTTTCTTTGGTTTCTGTCTAGGTGATCTGTCTATTGTTGAAAGAGAAGTGTTGAAGTTCTCAACTATTATTGTACTGGAATATCTCTCTCTTTTTAGATCTAATAATGTTTACTTTATATATCTGAGTGAACCAGTGTGGGGTACATATACATTTACAATTGTTATGTTCTCCTACAGAATATATCTCTTTATTGTTATATAATGACCTTCTTTGTCTCTTTTTACAGTTTTTGACTTAAAGTGTATTTTATCTGATACAAGCATAGCTACTTCTGCTCATTCTTGGCTTTTGTTGCATGGAATATCTTTTTTCATTCCTTCACTTTCAGTCATAGGTAAAGTGAATTTCTTCTAAGCAGTATATAGTTGGGGTTTTTAATTCATTCAGTCAGTCTTTATCTTTTAACTGTGAAATGTAAACATTTACATTCAAGCTATTAATTGATGAGGACTTACTTTTGTCATTTTAATAATTGTTTTCTTGTTGTTTTATATATTGTTTGTTCTTTTATTCCTTTTATTATTTATCTCTCCCATTGGTGGTTTTCTTTTCTTCTACTTTTTTTTTTTTTTTTTTTTTTTTTTGAGACAGGGCCTCTCTCTGTCACCCAGACTCGAGTGCAATGGCATGATCATAGCTCACTGCAACCTCAAACTCCTGTGCTCAAGTGATCCTCCCACCTCAGCCTCCTGAGAAGCTGGAACTATAGGCATGTGCTATCATACCTAGCTAATTTCTGTATTTTTTGTTGAGCCGGGGTCTTACTATGTTGCCCAGGCTGATCTTGAACTCCTGGACTCAAGCAGTCCTCCTATCTTGGCCTCCCAAAGTTCTAGGAAGTAAAGGCATGAGCCACTGTGCCTGGCCAAGTTGGTGGTTTCCTATAGTGATAAGGTTTGATTCCTTTTTCCTTTTCCATTTGTATATCTGCTCTACCAGTGAGTTTTATACTTCTGTGTGTTTTCATGATGGTACTCATCATCTTTGCTTTCATATGTGTGACTCCTGTCAGCATTTTTTGTAAGGCTCATCTAGTATTGATGAATTCCCTCCAGTCTTGCTTGTCTGAGAAAGACTTTATTCCTCCATTTATGAGATAGCTTTGCTGTGTATAGTATTCTTGGCTGGCATTTTTTTTTTCTTTGTTTTAGCACTTTGAATACAACATTCAATTCTTTCCTGGCCTATTAGGTCTCTGCTGAAAAAATGCTATTAGTCTGATTCCCTTATGTGTGACCTCATGCTTTTTCTCTTGCTGTTGGTAGAATTCTCTTTGACTTTTGTCAGTCTTTGTCTTTGACTTTTGTCAGTTTTACTATAGTGTTCCTCAGAAAGGATCATTTTGGGCTGACTCTATTTGGGAACTTTGAGCTTCTTGAATCAGATGTCCATATCTCTCCCAAGACTTGGGAAATTTTCAGCTATTATTTTATTAAATAGATTTTCTATGTCTTTCTCTATCTCTTTCCTTCTGAAACTTCCATTATGTAAACACTTGTTCACTTAGTGATGTCCCATAAGTCCTACAGGCTTTCTTTGTTCTTTTTTTTTCTTCTTCTTCTTTGTCTGACTGGCTTATTTCAAAAGATGTGGCTTCAAGTTCATAGAGTCTTTCTTCTGCTTCATCTCATCTATTGTTGAAACTCTTAATTGTATTTTTTATTTTATCCATTCAATTCTTTAGTTCCAGTATTTCTGTCTGTTTCCTTTTTATTACATCTCTCTCTATTTCTCATTTAGGTCATGAGTTGTTTTCCTGATTTCATTGCATTGTCTATCTGTATTCTCTTGTATATCACGGAGTTTCCTTAAGATAATTATTTTTAATTTGTTTTCAGGCATCTCATGGTTTCCTTTTCTTTAAGGTCTGTTACTGGAAATGTATTGTGTTCCATTAGAGTTGTCATGTTTCTTTACATTTTTGTGTTTCTTGTGTGCTTCCATTGATATCTGCATATCTGGTGGAACAGTCACCTCTTCCAACATTATTGGAGTAGCTTTTGTAGGAATAGATTTTATTTTCTGGTAGATGTATCCTGTAGCATTGGTTGAGTAGGGTGATTTGGCTTTGGTTCTGGGTGGGTGCAGTAGTGTAGTCTCTGTGTAATTTTTTTCAGCTGTAATCACTGCCAGTGGTGTCTGCAAGTGCTTCAGTGGCCTAGGCTGTAGGTTTTTTTTTCGGAGGCAGTGGTGCAGCTTTGCTGGGGCTGGCTCTCAGGCCCTGGCGGAGCATGCACAAACCACAGTGGCTTTGCTGTGGAGATGGGGTGAGGTTACTGGCAGGCACCAGGCAAGCCAGTCCTCAGTCCCTGGGGGCATGGGCAATGTGCAGTTTCTCTGCAGGGGGTTGGGGGTTGCTGACAGCAATTAGCATTGGGAGGGCTGGTCGTCTGTCCCCGGGGAGTCCATGCAGCCTTCAGTGGCTCTGCTGGTGGAGGAGGCAAGGTTGCTGGTGGTGGTGGGTTGCTCTCAGCCCCTGGGGAGCACATGCATCAGCTTTTCTGATCCTGGGGACAGGCCCCTGCTGCACTGGACCACCCACTACCTGGAGTGTAGGGTGTTCTTTGGGCTTGTGTGCTGGGGTCATGGCTGCACTACTGGGTGTTTGTGGAGGCAGCTGGGGTCATAGCACTGGAGCTTTCCTCAGCATGGTAAGATGATAGTGGGTTCACCACAGGGACAGGGAGATGCAGGGGTTACTGGGGTTCAGGGCAGGGTGCTCTGTGGTAATGGTTCCCCTCTCAAAATGGTGCCATGCCATAGCCTAGATCCCAGGGAATGTGGAAGACCTGACATAATTTCACTCTCCGGAGCAGTGCAGATGCATGGACTCCAGGCAGCTCCTCATACTGTGCTAAGGGGCTGCAAGGACCATTGAGCTTTGCTGTAGCTAGGATTGTAGGCATCTGTGATAGCATTGGGGACCACTGGGGATCTCCCACTTAGCTTTTCCCTGCAAAGTGGGGTCCCTCTTGGCTCTGAGTTCATCCTCACCAGGTACTTTGCCTCCCTCTCTATGCTGCCTTCTAGAGTTCTCATGTTTCTGAGGGTCTTTGTCACTTTTCTTGCTGAATTCCAGTGCTGCTGCTTTAGGGAGGAGTGCTTATTGGCAGTAACAATTGATTGGAATCAAGCATGGGAGAATTTCAGCTGACTGGATGCCTGCCCCTTGACTTGGAAGATGAATAGCCCTTCCAGAAGGCACCTCCCATTGGCATCCTATCCCTTGAATAATTTAAAAGTGAACTTAAAGTCATTTCAGGAAAATATGTACCATCTACCTTGTGTCAGCATGGACTGTATCAAATCACCAAATGGACCTTCCCCACCTCTCTTTTATATTTTTTATGGAGAAAGTCAGTTCTCCTCCAGCCAAATGTTACTCATGAAGTTTGTCCATGCCCCTAACTTCAATTTCTTACTCTTCTGCCCCCTTTTTTGGAGCGTCAAGGGCCACTAACTGGCCTTTGGAAGCCACTCCTCACTCTGACCTTACCTCCCCAGATGGCATGGCACATGGCAATTTTCTCCTTGGGTCATGAAGATTTGTCCATGTCAAAATTCTACAAAGTCCTGATAAATGATGTCAGATTGCTAGGTTGGGACATGATGGTAGCTTAGTGAGTTAAATGTAGCACACCATCTTCTGAGGATCAGACTTTTCACAAGAGGATGGCACTAATTAAGGTCCAGGCAGTGGGACAGGATGGGATAGGGAGTAGGAAGAGACAAGCAAGTCTTTTTAACATGACTCAGATCTCACAAGTGGTTTTATCTGCCCAAGATCATCAAGAATAAATGAAGGAAGGGGAAATGGGGAAAAATTGTGTGTATGGGGAATTGGGGTGGGAAGGGACAATATTGGAAAGGGATAATGCTGGAAGGAAATTTTAGGCTGTGGTTGGAGTTTCTTGCTTCCTTTGAGAGAAAATTGTTCAACCATTTCCTTTAAAAGTGTAAAGCATACAATTAATCTACAAATCTAGATCTGGTGTGGGAAATGAGATCCCCAAAGAAATACAAGTTTGGGATTTTGGAATGGTGTGTATGTGTGTGTGTGCACAGAGATATTTTCTATATTAAAATATCTACAGCATGATCAGGACAAAAATTGCTGAATTCTAAAGGTATATTAGGAAAATTTAGTTTATCTTGATTCATTTTCTTAAAGGAAGAGAATTAGAGATTTAGAGCTTGGAGGAAAACTATAATCTTAACCAGAGGTTGATAGTGAAGAAGAAAGAAGAAACCCAGAGACAACCTTTAAAAAGCAGATTTCTATAAGCTGAAGGAATTCATTAAGAAGTTTCTCACTACCTAATGGAGGGGAAAAATCAAATGAGTAAAGAAATATGGGAGAAAAACAGGTGCCCTTTAAATATGCAGCTCAGGAGCCTCAGGAAAAATTCTGGAACTTAGAAAAGATGGGAATGGAACGAAGATGGAGATGTATTCACGGATCTATAAAAGGAAGAGGTGAGAACAGGTGGGGCAGAGAAAGGAGAGCGAGAGAGGGGAGAAAAACAAATCACAGAGGAACAAAGAGGTGGCCTCATCCTGTGGACACAAGAGCAGAAAGGTTAGACAGGCTTTTATGAAATTTTACCAGAAGCATTCTTCATTTGCATTACATGTCCCAATGGACAAAGAGGGCAAGCAGGTAGCAGAAGGATTCAAAATAGCACAGGTTTTAATGTGTAGTTTTACATCTGTCTTTACTAAAAGATGCTACATGTTGATGTAAGGTCTGTGGGTTACACTCAGAAAGCAACCACAAGCAGACATTTTGTCTCATACAGAACCAATTCCCAATAATTCTCAAGATTTCTGATCCCCTTCCAGCCAGCCAGTGATAGATGAGTACAGTAGAATGCTTCTTTTTTGAGGCTTTCCCTCGTCTTTAGCAGTTGGGCTTGTTTTGCAGGCATGGAGTCTCAGCCCATGTGTCCTGGCCAGGGCCAGTATACTTGAAATAGACCAGACATCCTCTGCAAAAAGCTGCCTGAAATGAAACCCGCAGGGACTCACAACACTCAATTTGAATGGACCTGGAGAATTATTGGCAGGGACCATTGGGGAGAAACCAGCAATTATTCTGAGCCTTCACAGAGAAGTGGTGTTGCCTCGGGAGCTCCACAAAGAGCAAACATGATGCCCTTCTTTTAGGAAGCAGAAAAAGATGACCACATTCCTTATAGCCTGATAAGCTTAACCTGGCTTCTGGGGAAGATGCTAGAACAAATCATCAAGCAATCAATGTGCAGTCAACCAGAAGGGGGCAAGGCCCAGGGAGCTTATGAACACAGCCGTGTAAAGAGTAAATCAAGTTGGACCAATTTAATTTCTTTCTATGACAGAGTGACAAGCCATGTAGATAAGGTGGAAGCAATAGATGTAATCGACCTGAGGCCTCAGCAAGGCATTTGCTTCTGCCCCACGTGACAGGCTCAGTGACAAGCTGGCTTGCTGTGGTTCAGGCCAGGGGTCAACAACCCCAGAGCTTACAAGATGGCCATGGATTCAGCTCTTGCCATGTGCTCCTCCTTGTTGCTCCACTGCCTCAGTGAGTCAATGTTTATTGTCACACAATTCTATTTAACAAACCTGTGTTTTGTGCCTACTTAGGGTTTGTTCACCACTAGCACTTAATAAATGTCTCTGAAATGAATGAATGCTTAGGCATGTGAGCAGCAATGTTAGGAGACTGGAGCAAGGAAGCTTAACCCCAATCCATCCCCTCCATTGCAAACAGACAACCAGCAAATACTTAGCAATTTGCTCCTCCATCCATACAAATGCCAGAATCCAGTTTTGAGTTTATACCATACTAAGATTGTGTGTGTGCAGAGGTGAAGGCAGGATCTGCCTCCCAACATTTGCCATTTTCTCAGAATAAACAGAGAGAGAAAGAGAAAGGGAGAGAGAGGGAGAGAGAGAGAGACAAAGAGAACCAAAAGGAAGAGATGTTCTTTAGATTACCCACCTTTATCTGTAGTGTAGATGATAGACTTTATAATGCAACGTATCCATGGATCATAACAAAGTAGACTAAATTGAATAAGTCACAGAAAACAGACTAGTTCAATGAAGACACATGAAACAAGATTCAAGAATGACACTGAACTACTCAGGCACAAGATTGGTCTTTGTCCAGATTGTAGGTCAGGCTGGACCTCCAGATGGGGAGAGAAGCCACATGGCTTCAATGAATGGCAGAAGGCAAATGCCATCTAGCCAGGAAGCCAACACTCTTCAGTGCCCCCACAGAGGAGACCTTATGTGGTTTTTAGTCCTGTTTCTTAGGAAAGATGAGGAAAAACTGGAATCAGTATAGGAAAAAAATGACTAAAGTGATTTAATGGATGGGGAAATATTTTGAGGCATTAGAGAAATAGCAAAAGCAGTTAAACTAAAGAGAAGGCTATCAGGTATGACAACTGTTGTCAAGGACAAAGGAATGATAAGGGAAGTGCCGATGATTATTCTCTATCTTCCCTCTCAGTAAGAAAAAAGAAAATGAAAGATTTTATTTTAAAAAGCTTTTTTTTTTGTTTCAAAATAACATACACACACACTTTGAAATTAAAGAATGCTAAAAGACTTAAAAACAGTATTCCCCTGTCTTGACTGTTCTCAAGTCCTGCTCCCAAGGCAGGTATTTTTAAAACTCTTTTAGCAGCTTATTTAGTTATTTACCTTCAAATAATATGCTTATATTGTATTTCTTCCCTTTATCAATGTTTTAATATTGTTTATGAATTTTTATTATCCCTCCCACTTTCCCATCCTCCCAGTAGAGTTACATAACAATTTTGGGTTAAATCAATATTTAAGGATACATTGCTAAGACTGGGTAGCTACTGTTCACTGCTGAGCCACATAGTGTGCTACAATTACATTTCATTTTTGTGTGTTTATCTTGGAGTTAATAATTGTCTCCTTTCATTGCTTTAATTTGGATTCTGGTTGGCTTATTGTTCTGTGTACCTATCACTAGTTCTTCCCAAACTCTCTAATAGAGCTGTAAATTTTCTCCCTGCATTACCTCTCACTTGGAAAACAGAAAAAAATACATATATACTTACTTGGTTTTCTTCCTGAAGACCTCTGTCTTCCTGCTCCTAGATGAATGGGTTGTTTACTAGGCATGTTGCCCACCTGTCATTTTGCAGCCACCATTTCCAGTATTTGTTAATGTCCTTTCCCCTCTGTATTAGTTTGCTAGGTCTGCCATTAAAAAGTGCCACACACGAACAACAGAAATTTATTGCCTCACAGTTCTGAGGCTGGAAGACAGAGATTAAGATGTCAGCAGGGCCCTGCTCGCTCTGAAGGCACTAGGAGAGGATCTGTGCTGACTTCATTCCTAGCTTCTGGTGGTTCTTTTGTTGTGACAGCATCATTTCAACATTCACATGTCGTTCTCCGTGTGTGTGTGTGTGTGTGTGTGTGTGTCTGTCTGTCTGTCTCTTCACATGGCATTTTTCTTATAAAAATTTGAGCCATATTGGATTAGGGTCCCACCCTACTCCAGCATGATCTCATATTAATTAATTACATCTACAATGACCATGTTTAAAAATAAGGTCACATTATGAGGCACTGGGGGTTAGGACTTCTGCATATAAATTTTGAGGGGATGAAACTCAACCCATAACAGCCTCTCCCCCATATTTCTTGTCTCCTGTATCTCATGTCCTGTTTTTCTTGGTTATTCCCTCATTGGGAAGGAACACGTTTCAATAGCTTCTTTCTGAATGATAAATGAGAAGATTTTGTTCCTATAATGGGCATGGTTTTGGATAATTTGGCTACACTGAAAGTTCTAAACTGAAAATTACTTTTCCTTGGAGTTTTAATGGGGCTGTCTTAATGCTATGCATTTTTGTGTGCTGTTGAGAAGTCTGATGCCATTCTGATTTCAAACATTTTATATGAAAGCCATATTTCTCCTTATGGCAATTTTTAAGGTCTTCTTATCCCAGGTATTCTGAAACTGGCATGTTTCATTGTATTAAGCACTTAGTTTTCCCTTTTAATTTGGAAACTTGTATTCTTCTATAGGAAACAGTTTACTTTTATTTATTTAATTATTTCATCTCTTCCATTTTTGGTTTTAATTCATAGTGATTTCTCTTAGTAGGATATTATTTCCTAAATTTATGATCATTATACTCCTGTTTTCCTTTTTTTTTTTTTTTTTTGAGTTTATTCATTCTGGAAAATTTCCTTATCTTGCTTTTTAACTTTTCCCTGGCTTTTCAAAAACTTTTGGTTGTATAATTTTAAGAGTTCTTTGATATTTTCTGAGTATTGTTTTTAAAGAGAAACTATACTATTCTTTTTTCATAGATATAATATCTTTTCTTCTTTCCCTGAGAGCATTAACTACTATAGGGGTTTTTTTTATTAGTTTTCTTCTGTTCTATATATTTTTTGTTATCCTGAGTTCCTTTTTCCCTGCTAGATTGTCTTTCCTATTGGATACTTTCCCAAAATGACAGGTTCTCTATGTTAAATTTCAGCCCAAGCTACTATAACAGAGTTCCCTGCAACCTAACTTCAATATATAATTTTATTTTCCTGTCTTATACTTGTGCAGACATAGGTTGTCATGATCATTTGACTGCCTTTCTCAACAGATAGCTTTTGTCTCTGGGTCCAAGTTGGCTACCTCAGCTGCCACTATCACAACTGCATCCCACCCACAGGGAACAAAGGAAAGGAGAGAGGAATACACGCCCATGGCTTTCAGGGCATGGCCTGGAAGGGGCACACATCACTTCTGATCACACCCTTTTGGCCAGACACATGGCTGGTTGTCACATGGCAACAATTAGCTTCCAGGGAGAGTGAGAAATGGTCTCATGTTAGGTGGCCATATTTCCATCTAAAACTCAGGAATTTTTTAATTGAAGAAAATAGATATCAGTAAAAAGCAGCAGGCTTTGCACAATCCACATAATACAGAGTTTACAGAAATCAGTCTAGCTATTGAAGGAGAAAGAGATTTAATAAAGGGAATTGAGTGTTTTTAAAATCACCTAGAGGACTGGGCTCCAGGATTTTATGCTGAGCTCCTAACAACTTCAGAGACCTACTTGTCAAGGGACTCCTACCTTTGCCATATCCAGAGGGGCAGGGAGACAGGAGGTTGTAACAGGAAGAATTGAGTTCAAGAACATTTTGTCAAAGATGTGATCCAAGGATCAGGACGCTGCCACAGCTCACCACCACCTCTCACAAAGCTGGAGACTGGTACTGGGAAGACTGTTGTCTGAAGCTTTCATCATCTTGCTTGCCGGCAGAAAGCCCTAAGCGTTAGGAAGATGGCCTCTACCTCCCTTCCACCTTTCAAAATTGCCAGATGCCTCTTATTGATGAAACCAAATTCACTTCTCATACCCTGGCTGCAAGGAAATCTGGGAAATGTCCCTTTTAGCTTTCCAGGTTTTAGAGTACGGCAAGACAGACTTCGAGGAGGCAGACATAGAACTGAGGGCCAACCCCACATGTCCAAGACTCTGGCAATTCTGTCCTATTCATTAGTCTTTACTAGTAGGGCAGAAACAACAGATGAGGTGGGAACCCTGCTCTTTTACTTGAGGGTGGGTTCCCCAAATGTTATTAAAGATTGTCTATTCTCTGGGACTTTCTCCAAGAAGAAACCTTCAGTCTTCAGCCTGGGGTTATAAACTGGTTAAAGCATTTGGAGACCTGGAAAGGTCAACTCCTGGTTACAGCCCAGCCTCGCCCTGCCCTCCCTCTACATGAAGTCTTTGAAATAAAAATCTCGGTCTTTCACCTAAAAATTCATGTAAATTTTGTAATCGACTCCATAATAAAGATTTGTTTTAATATAAAAAAAATCTCTGCCAAATTTGGAGGTGAGTTAATGTTTCAAAAAGATGTTCCATGTTTAATTTATATTTTAAAAACTATCCTGTGGCACAAGGCCACAGACCCTTCCCCATCCCCACCTCTAGGAATATATCTTCCAGTTTGAGAAATGCAAACCCAGATTATTTCTCTAATATTCTAGGATCCTACAATGATTTTTCCCTTCTTAGTAGGTAGGTAAAAATGAAAAACAGCCAAGGAAACGAAGAGAAGCTTGAAGAAGAATGACCTACTTCCTTTTTAAAAAATAAATCATAGCAGGAAAAAGCTGGAATGGAAAATTCAGAACAGTGATCAATACTTAGAGAAAAGAAACCAAAAGGCCAGGTTTTATTGCATGATCCATGCACTGTGTCCAAGAAAGCAGCTAACTGTGAACACAGGTTTCCAGGGCTAGGAGGAGGTAAAGACAATCCCCTCGCCCCTTTTCTTTTTAATGAAAGGAGCCAATGAGAACCTGCTGGAAGTAAATTCAGTGCTTCTGGAAAATGCCATATTCCTGCTTCAGGAAGCCCCCAGCCTACCTTTTTTACTGCATGGGCGCCAGACACAATAAATCATGCATTGTTTCCTTCCAGCCCTTGGACTGGCTGATGGTGACATGTCCAAGACACCCTCACCATTGTGTCTGGGTGTCAGGCTGGGCAAAATCAGTTGGTATAGACCTGGTGAGAAAAAACAAAATGGAGCCGTATGTGGCCACTTGAAAGCAGGAACATGTACAGTGACACTTCTGAGCGGGAGAAAAAAGGGCAGAAAGGTGAGCGAGGAAGAGAATGCTTGGATTTGTGTTGCAGTTTGTGGGTTAAAGAGCACTTTGACAGACGTGGCCTCCTTCAGCCCTCTCAACTCTGTGAGACAGCACCATTTTAGAGATGAATAAATGCAATGTGAGCAAAGTTCATGAATTTATTCAATGTTGCAAAGGTAAGTAGACTCTGAATTCAAACACAGGACTGTCAGATTGCCAGATGGATAATCTGTTAACTACACTCTTTTCATGTCTGAAAGAGAGAAGCCAGAAGGCTTTGGAGCTTAGTCCCAGCTCTACCACTGAAGCTAACTGTGTGGCCTTGGGTAGTTACTTACACTCTCAGTGTCTTCCTCTGCACAATAGAGATAATAATAGCAGCTACCCCATTGGACAGTCAAGGGGATGAAATTAGATAATACATGAAAAGTACTTAGCACAGGGCCTGGGACTTAGTGAGATGTACTAGCTACTCTTGCTATGCAAACCCCTGGGAATTGTAGAAGAGGAGCATTCAGTGAAATATGGGACAGAATGGAATGTCATTCCAGGTAAATGACTTACGATGCTTATCAGATTTATTTCCCAGTCTTCCTCTATTCTGCATGGAATCGCAGAGAGGTACACTTCTCAGGCTTCTTTGCCAGGCAGTGTCCATGTAGTTTTGGTAAATGGGAGACTATATTAAGCAGTGTTCTCTGGAGAAACAGAACCAATAAGAGATAGATAGATAGACAGATAGATAGATAGATAGATAGATAGATAGATAGATAGATAGATAGATAGATAATAGATAGATAGATGATAAAGATAGATGAATAGACAGGTAGGTGATTGATAGATGATCATGATAACAGATGATTGATGGATAAATGATAGATAATGATGATAGGCACGTAGATGATAAATGATTGATAGATAATAATGATAATAGTTGATAGATGGTGATACTTTGATAAATAATAGATAAATAGTTGATTGATAGATGATAATAGATGATTGATAGATAATAGATGATACATAGAGATAGATAGATAGATAGATAGATAGATAGATAGATAGATAGATAGCTTTAAATCAAGGAACTGGTTCATATGATTGTTGGGGCTGACAAGTCTAAAATTTGTCAGGCAGCCTGGCAAGGCTACACATTCAGGCAGGTGATGGTGCAGTCGTAAGGCAGAATTTCTTCTCTGAGAAACCTGTTTTTGCTCTTAAGGCCTTCAACTGTTTGAACGAGGCCCACCCATACCACCGAGGGTAATCTACTTTCCCTAAAGTCAATTGATTGTAGATGTTAGCCCTGTGTATAAAATATCTTCACAGAAACACATAGATTAGCATTTTATCAGATAACTGGGTTCTGCAGTCTAGCCAAGCTTACACATAAAACTAACTACCAGAGAGGCATGGCCAGAACCGGGAGAGGGCACGGAGAGGTGAGGGCAGGCCTCCCATCTCTGTGTCCCAGAGGTGATGGTGCACCTTCTGGGCAGCCTTTCAATCCTGGACTCAGTCTCACTAAGCAGCCAAAGCCCATGGTTCCAGCACCTTTAGTTGGCCTGCTTCACACCCTTCTCCCATGGCCTCTCTAGCCCTAGGGTGGCAGTGGCTTCCTGCTCTGACCAATCTCTGAGTAGTCTCCTTGTCTCAATTTGGTGTTCTTGGCACTTCCATTGCCTGGGTCACCAATTCCTTGTGTGTAGGACCTAGCATGGGTTCTGCCTTGGCACTGACTGGGAGGACTTTTTGGTTAGACAGGTCTTCACTCAGCTTTCCTTAAATTGCACCATGTGCCTTCCAGTCATGCAAGTTAGTTCTGGGGATGAGTTTTGAGAAGTGAAGAAGACAGATGCAAAATGAAGACTTGTCCCATGACCACCCTCATAGCTACTTAGGTGGAGCAAAGCTGGATGGGCAGAGAGGATAAAGTCACGGTGCTGACCTCCCAAGGACAGAAGAAAGACCATTGACTTGATCCTGGAGGACCCTGTTTACTTGTTGGCATTGGCTTTTCCAAAGTCATCACCAAATACCTGCATGTCTTAATGAGCAGCACAGCACCACGTGTGTACAGCCCCTCTTCTATCAAGACCAGGGCTGTTCTGGGATAGTCCTCTGGCTGGAAGAGGTATAAGCAGTGAGCAGCTGCTGACGGTCACAAATCTCATGTCTCCTGGTGTGCACTAGGGCTGAAGACACTAGGGCTGGCCAGTGAGGAAAGTTTAGGAGCAAAGGAGCCAATCTCCTCCCCACACCACATCTTTCCCTGCTTTAGTTTTCTCCAAAGTGCTTAGCAATCTCTGCCATACTGTTGAGTTGATTATTTATGTGCTTATCTCTGTGCTCAGGGCTACAAGTTCCACAGAGGCAGGCAGTTTGGTCTCTGCTCACCGACCGCATCTTTCCCAGAGCACCTAGCAGCACCTGGCTCAGAGTAGATACCCAGTGGATTTCAAACGGAGAGACGTGTCCTTGCCTTTTCAATCCAAAGAGGTGCTTTCAGGACCTGCCTTCTTCATCAACTCTGAGCAGAGATGCTAATAGAGTCCAGGGCATGTCCATTCTTCCAGTGCACCCTCTTGCCCACAGCAGCCCAGAGTGGTCTCTGTGGTAGCCCCAGTACCACATCAGGTAGGGGCAGGGGCAGGGAGGAGGTTGGGAGAAGGACAAGGAAGGAAAGTTGCTTCTGTAGCAGGAAATGCCTAAATCAGAGACTGAAAGTCAGAGTGGATTGTAGAGAGCAAACTAGTTGGAGGCAACATGCTGTCTGACAGCAGATGTCCCCCTTTCTCCCCAGCTTTGACAGCATTTAAGCTCTGCTCCCTTTCATCTCCTCTCATCATCTCTCTGGCACTATCCTTCCTCCAGGGTTAATGAATCACAGAAGTGGAGGGGAGGGCAGAAGCCACTGTGGCAGCCCACGTTTCCAGGGCCCTGTTTCTCATGCCCCTTGAAGCTGTGGCCTGTATGAACCACAAAGCACAGACATTCAGTAGTGATGATTCCAGCAGGTACTGGGACTCCAGTGGCTTGTCTAGTACTAGCTGGACAGAGTCTTCTTTTCACTTCTGGAACCCAGCACACCTCTGGCTCTCCCCATCTCAAGCCTGTGTGCAATGGCTCTAACCCAAAGCAAGAGACTGCCCTTCAAAACCTTTTTACTCCCCGTGGTCTAGATGAAGTCCCACTTCTCCAATCACCCCAGCTTCATAGACAAACACTTCTTTCCGAAGAGGCAAAGGCCATATCATCGTCATTCTGTTTTTTCTTATGTGCTTCTTCCTGTCTCAGGGACTTTAAAGCCACTTTGCATTTTCCCCATCTCTTCCCAAGCCTAGCCTAGATGTGAGGACATAGCACATGATCAACCCATGATGTTCCTTCTGTTGCTTGATGGACCTAACTGTGGGAGAAGCCATTTCCTCCCAGTTCTCCAAGTCAGATAACAGAATAAAAAGCCCAAAAATACTTACAGTTTAGCCAAAGCTATCAGCCATCTGTACTCATTTTAATCATAGCAAAAGTAACACATGTTTGTTTTAGAAAACTTGGAACATACTGAAAATAATTTTTAAAAGCACATGTATTTTGGTGTATTTCCTGCCAGTGCAAATATGCACACATTTTCAAGGAAATTGGAATCATACCATATAGTTTTCTATGCTTCTTTTCCCTATACTGTTTATGGGGACACTTTTCATGTTGTTAAATATCTTTCAGAGGTGTCATTTTTCATGGCTGCAAAACATGCCACCATATGGATGTGCCTTGCCATATTGTCCTGTTGCCCTATCGTTGGATCTTCCAGGCATTTCCTGTTCCCAAGGGATCCCTGGAATACTCAGTCCCTACCCACCTACCCCCTCTTCGCCTTCAGGCCTCTGCTCCACCATTTAGCTGCATGGTGTGTCTATTAAGGCCCTATCTATTTAGGCCCTGCCTTAGCTTGACCAGCCCTTCCACCAAGCTCCCAACCTCTCAGCCTTCCAGAGAAGCTAATCCTTAGGATTTTCTCTGCCACCATTCATTAAACTCCCCCAACTCCCAGGTCCCAGGGGTGCACTCTTATCCACTCTGCCTTAACCAGCCAGCCCTCTCCTTAACTCCAAATACCCTGACACCCTAACGCCAGTGCCCATTTATCAATCTTATCTTTCTTGCCCTCTTTGTAGTACTGGACCTTTGATCCCTCCCTCCTTTCTGAACCTCTCCCCTCCCTTGCTTCTATCTCTCTTCCTCTCCTGTGCTGGTACCTATGTGTCCACTCCCCATTGGGCATGTACCCCAGGACTTATCCTCATCTTTCTTTCTTCTTCTTGACCAACTGGTTGCACCATTGGGATGTGATAATAAGGGCTGAATAAGATGGTGCATGGGAACAGGAGTCCCCTGCACGTCTACAGGTGGCCAAAACTTGGCTCATGCTGTCCTCCCTAGAAGGCCTGAACTAAAACCTTCAGAGCCTCCTCCTCCATTTTGGAAGGGCTCCCTCTAGACCAGGGGCAAGTTTGTTTTATCCCTAAAGGATGAGTTCTCCTCTCTTAAGGGATTTTAGGGGGCTGAGCAGAACTAACCAGCTCCAGAGCAAATGGCCAAATTCCTAATTCCTAAAGGGTTTCTGGGTCTGACTGCCTGGATTCACTTTTTACCTGAGCAGTCTTGGAGCTTGGGTAAGTTATTTATCTCTTTGTGCCTCAGTTTCCTCTCTTGGAAAATGGAGATGAAGATGAGTAATGCACATAACATGCTTAGAAAATACCTGCCACATAGTAAACTTTGGTAAATATTAGCTGTTATTACCAATGTCCAAATTCTTATCTCAGGGAGATGAGGAGGCAAAAAAGCACCCCTACCTCCTTCTACTTCCCCGCTGTTCCAGAACAGAGGGAACTCTGGGGATCAGAGAGGGATGCCATGGACCAAATACACCCAGGAAGGTGGGGTTCTGAAGGTTTCTTTCCAAACCTTAAATATTTGAATTTGTAAGGAGATGGCTCTGATTCATCTCTCATGCTGGATTGTGAGATTCTTACAGACTAGGACTATGCTGTGCTCATCTTTGCATCTCTGCACATGCCAACCTGCCCACAATAGGTGTTCAACAAATGCAACAAATGAAATAAGCTGAGGATGGTATCAGAAAAAAAGAAAAATAAGATTAAGGAAGCTGAGAGTGAAGTCATCAGTATTTGATTCTTCCCCTGTCTAGGAAGTTAGCTTCCTGATGCTTATGGAGCTACAGCTGCTTGGGCTGAAGAGAACAAAGAGATGTGCATTCTCAAACAATAAGCATTTTGCTTTCCATTATCCCCCGCTGTTGATTACGAGGGAGGAAAAAAAAAAGGAGTCAGTTTCATTGGACATGATTTTAAGATGTTGAAAAATGAGTACCATAGGCTATTATTAAATTAAAAACAAGATTCAAGCGATACCCCAGGACTTCCCAGGCCTTTGGTTGTGCATTAGTTGGACAGAATGCATTAGAACATTTCTATAAAACATGAGATGGAATTTGTGAAAAACCATATCTTGACTCAGAATTAATAAATTAGGAAAAATGATACACCTTGTTATGGGCATAGAGCAGGCCCTCGGCCAGATGGTGAGGTCAGCATGGGTCATCTCAGGGGCTCCTGGCCTTCCTTTGTGGATCTCTTTCCTCTTGGGTGCTGCCCCCTTCCTTTGGTCTACTGGGACCCTCGTGCTGAGCAAACTCCCAATCACGAAGGCAGCTGGACGGTGAACTGTGTCCCAGAGCTCTCCTCAACCTCCCTCACCCTTTTCCTCAGCAACCTGGCCAAAAAATATATTGCCGGTGTCATGGGTTGAATGATGTTCCCCTAAATTTCACATTTACCTGGAACCTCAGAATGTGACCTTATTTGGAAACAATGTCTTTGCAGAGATAGTTAAGGATCTCAAGATGGAATCATCCTAGATTGAGGGTGAGCCCTATATTCAATGACGAGTGTCCTTATTAGACAGGCAGAGGACACATAGAGAGATCCGAAGAGAAGTGGGCCATGTGAAGACAGAGGTAGGCAGAGAACAGGGTGATGCTGTCACAAGCCAGGGAATGCCTACAATCACCAAAAGCGAGAAGAGGCAAGAAAGGAATTATTTCCTAGAGCTTCTAAGGAAGTGTGGCCATGCTGACACCTTGACTGTGGACTCGTAGCCTTCAGAACTGTGAGAGAACAAACTCCTATTGCTCTAAGCCACCAAGTTTGTGCCAATTTATACAGCAGCACTGGGGAATCCATACTATAGGCATGAGATACTAGTGACTGAAAATGGGTAAATCTGTTACCCACAGAAGCATTTTACACTTTAAATATAATTAACTGGAGAGCTGATCCCTTAAACCCAAAGGAAAGAATCTCAACTGGTAGAGTTTTCAGCACAATGGTCAGCCATTGGGTTTTAGGTCTTTTCCAAGTGCATCATAAACCACCCCATGAAGATAACCAATGCATCTGTGGATGTATCCTGAGCAGGTGGGTGTGAATCCCTTAGAAGGTGGTAAGAAGTTAATGGGACTAATGTTTCAGTTTCCCAAAGTGATTGAATCATGTTTGCTTCAGATGAAGATTTCATTTCAAAGAGGATCAATTTAGGAGGTATTTAGAAATTATACTAAAAATAGTTAGAAAAATAGGGAATGATGTTTGGCAGAAGTTTGCTCTTTGATCTGCAAATACTGACTGATCTATTTTCAAAGCACTGCATTGATAGGTAAGATATAAATACGAACGTGATCTAAAGCAAAGGGTGACCACTGCATTGACAGGTAAGATATAAATACAAATGTGATCTAAAGCAGAAGGTGAGCAACTTCACCTAGAAAGTAGTCTTGCAAGAAAAAAAAATAGCCATGAATCTGATCAAACCTTTAGATTTAACTACTAATTTACATTAACATAGGGAAGACTAGACCATTTTAAGGGACGCCAAGAGGAATCAGTCACAAATGCATCTTAAACTTTAACTACATGAAAATCACCTGGAAAGGCAGGTGCAGGGGCCCACACCTGTAATCTCAGCAACTCGGGAAGTTGAAGCAGGAGTATTGTTTGAGTCCAGGAGTTCAATTCCTGCCTGGGCAACATAGTGAGACCCCATCTCAAAAAAAAAAAAAAAGAGTAAAAAAGAAAATCATCTGGAGAGCTTTTGGGAGCTAGGCAATTCTGTTTCATGAGTTCTGGGGTGGGACCTGCAATTTTGCATTTCTAATAAGCTTCCAAGTGATGGAGACCACGCTTTGAGAACCATTGCTACAGAAGACAGTTTTCTCCATAACAACAAGCAAAATTACAAGAAAAAAAAAGAAGTGGAGAAAGAACATGTATTTTAAAAAGATATAAGAGATACTTCAACCAATACAAACTGTAGTGTGTGTGTGTTGTGTGTGTATGAGACAATTAGAGAAATTTGAATACCGAATGGATGTTTTATGATCTTCAGAAAATATTGTCAATATTTTAGGTGTGATAATGTTTAGTTTTAAAATAATTCTTACCTTGTAAAGCCATACACTGTAATATTCAGAGGTAAAATAATAATAAGTCTGAGGTTTACTTAAAAACTTGGGGAGTACGCAGGGAGGGAGCACTAGTGAGACATGACTGGCCATGCGTTGATCATTACTGAAACTCGGTCATGGGTGCATACTATTCTGTCTACATTTGTATATATTTGAAATTTTGCATAATAAAAGTTTAAGAATAAATGAATCAAGCAGAGGGCCACCTTTAGATTCATCTAGACTTTATGCAGGACCCACTGTATACAGTATCTTCACATGTATTTCTTTTAACTCTCACAACAGTCTTTTTATGGTGGTTCAGATAGACTGACTTGCCCATTTTTACGCTGCTAGTTAATGTTAAAGTCTGGAACTCATGGTCAGGCCTCCTGACTCAACACATGGTGCTTATTCCATTGTATCAGATTTCATCACACTTAAGGAGGCAGAAGAATCACCTTGGGAGCTTATTTAAAACTCAGATTCCAGGTCCCCACCCCCAGAGTATCTCTGATCCAGAGGATTTGGGGTGAGGCTCAAAAATGTGTGTTTTCAATAAGTCTCCCAGGTGACTATAACGCAGGTGATTTGGGGACTGCACTTTGAGAAACACAGTCTTAGGTTGTTGAGCCAACTGGAATGAAGAATAATAGAGCACTCAGTTTCCCAAAAAAGACATCTAGGTTCAGAAGCCCGAAGTCCCAAGAAACAATTCTACCAATCTTTGATTCCTTCTATAAATATTAGGGTGATTAATTCAACTTCAGCTGGATTTCAAGACCTTTCCACAACTGCTAAATGATTAATGCTCTATTCTGTAGAAGTAACAGCATTTGAGTCACCTGGTACACTCTCTTCAAGGGCCCAGAGCTGAATGGCACAATTAACGATGAAACAAGCACCCTGTGCCACACTTCCCTTAAAGGAGGAGCTTCCCAAGGCTGTGAATATCAGCTGTTTTTCCCTTTGCCAAACAAAAGAAAGAGTTTTTGTCTAATTCTAATCTTGTCTGCTGATCCCTGCCAAAGACTTTAATGAACATTAAAGTTCTGGAAATTCTCTCGGAAATGCTAATAGAGCAGCTGGTAGGGCAAGTGTGTTGGGGGAGGATGTCACAAATTTTCTTCAGGAATTTGGAGAGGCAAAGATGATTTGCCTTCTGATACCACACCTCGTGTTCAAAGAAGGCTCTGACACAGTCTCATTTTTGCTAATGAGTAGAGTTTAGAAGGCAGATTACAACTTCTATTTCATTGGTTCTGCACCTCAGCTACATGTTCAAATCATCTAGAGAAATGTAAAATCTCTGACTGTGTAGCCCCCTACTCTGGACTGATTATATCAGAATTGCAAGAAAACTCAGGTGTCTGCAGTTTAGAACTTCCCATGTGATTGTGCAGCCAAGGTTGAGAACCATTCCTGATGCTTTAACACTGTCTTTCCCTTTGAAACTCTGCTTCTAGACATTTGGTTCCTGAGTTCCAGGGACTGGATATCAGTCTTCCCCTGTGTCTTCCTCAGCATCCAATACCACTGGGTGTAGATGTTGTCCTCAACAAATACTTCATTTACTCAGGAAGTATTCATTGGACCTACTATGTGTCCAGATGTGGGGAATATGAAAATAGTAATGAAAGAATTAAATAGCAACTCAAGATATTTTTCTGCAGCTACTTAATACTGAGGGATTTCAGAAGGCAGGGCAGTTTTGGGGGTAATCCTAGGAGGCTATACCTAAGAGCTGGGCCTTGAGGATATGGAAGATTTGGGCAGTGGAAAGAGAGATAAGGGGGAGGAGAGAAGGCCTAGAGATGACTCCCTCAGATAGGCAGAGAGGCCCCAACTCAGGACCCAATGCTAAGCTTCGTGGTGTCAAGTTCTTCCCTTCTGCAACATGCTGGCATTTTAGGACATCTAATTTCTACTTCCAGAGTGAGCATCCAGAGGTCTACCGCAAAGAAGATAGTACTGTAAGTTAGGAAACCATATAAGGATGGGCAAGTCTCAACCCCTCTGGTCCTTTGTCTCTGTTAAATAAGAAACAGAAGCTAAGAGAACTTTAAGTTTCTCTTTCCATCAATTTGCTGAATAAATTCTCTAATTCAGGTCCCAGAACCATGAGACATAGACCCCACTTTTAAAATAAACTTTATTAAGGTATAATTTATATACAGTAAAATGCATTTAAGTGTAAATTTTGATGAGTTGTGACAAATTTATATACCCATGCCATCACCACTATAGTCAAGATAGAGGACATTTCCATTACCCCCCAAAGTCCCTCTAAGTCCTTTCCCAGTCAATTGTCACTTTCCTCCACTCCAGCCCTAGCTAATCACAGATCTACTTTCTGTCATTATAGATTAGATTACTGTTTTCTAGAGTTAAGCATATGTAATCTGCACTCTTTGATGTCTGGCTTTTTTTATTCAACATGTTTTGAAATCTATCCATCAGTATGTATCAGTTAGTTCATTCCTATATAATGCCGAAGAGTATCCCACTGAATGGATATACCATAGTTTGTTGACATATTCATCTGTTCATGGACATTTGGGTTGCTCTCAGTTTTGGACTATTAAGAATAAATCAGCCGGGCATGGTGGCTCACGCCTGTAATCCCAGCACTTTGGGAGGCGAGGCAGGCAGATCACCAGGTCAGGAGATCAAGACCATCCTGGCCAACATGGTGAAACCCCATCTTTACTAAAAATACAAAAATTAGCTGGGTGTGGTGGTGCATGCCTGTAATCTCAGCAACTCAGGAGGCTGACTCAGGAGAATCGCTTGAACCAGGGAATTGGAGGTTTCAGTGAGCCGAGATCACGCCACTGCACTCCAGCCTGGCAACAGAGCAAGGCTCTGTCTAAAAAAAAAAAAAAAAAAAAAAAAAGAATAAATCTACTCTGAATGTTCATGTACAAGTTAATGTGTGAATATTTATTCTTATTTATTTTGGGCAAATACCTAAGAATTAGTTTGTGTGGTTTCATGGTAAGTATATAAATAACTTTGTAAGAAATTCCAAACTGCTTTCCAAAATGGCTGTGCCATTTTTCATTCCCACCATTAACATGTGAGTATTCCATTTGATCTATATTGTTGTCAACTCTTGGTATTGTCAGTCTTTTAAATTCTGGCTGTACAGGTTTTGTTTTGATGTTTGATTTTAGGTTATGCCTACACAGAAGGGCCCTTAGAGCATTTCGGTGGGAGCTCTGTATTATGCTGCTTGGATCCAGGATGAGTTCAGGTGTCTCAGATTCTTTCAGGTCCAAATACACTAGCCAGTTTCACCAGCAGTCAAGAGCAGGATGAGCCTGATGACTTGATGCCATCTTTACCACCCATACATGAGTCAAGCTTTAAGGTCCTCTGCAGTCAGATTTCACAGTCCTAGAGCCACAGCTAATGCCTCCCTGAGCTCTCCTAGTGGGCGACTGACACATTCTTTAATGAAGAGACGCTGCCTTTGAGTACCAGGAAGTTCTTCTTCCCATTCATGGCAACCCCTTCATCTGATTATATGTTTTAATGAAGGAGAATGAGGAGAGAAAATGAGTGCCAGACGTATCTGGAATGGGTCTGAACAATAATTACATTCTGCAGTGAAATTTCTAAAATGCTCCATTCAGTGTGCTTTGGAAAAGGCTGGCAGGGGAGAACTGCGTGTTCCTGAAAACAGAACTAAGGAAGCGCAATTTAAAGCTCTAGCATAGAAACATGCCTACAACAACTGAAGAAAGCCCTTTCCTTTTTCAAAAGAAAAAATATAAATTGAAGCTCAGTGAAGAGTGAACATTCAGACCTCCCTGGTAATGGATTCCTTCCCACACTGGATTCTAAAACAGTAAGGGAAGATAACAGGGTACATCCAACCTCCTCAGCCCCAGGGAAATTTAACTGGGTGAATATTGGTCGGATACCTCACCAGACTCCAGAAACTGAAGTGCCCTGATCGGGCAGCTCTTTCTTCCTCAGCCAGGCTGTGATTTGTCTACAACTGAAGGCAAAGAGCTGAGGGTGATTATGAGCTGTGTCTCTGGTCTGTGAGGGTGACCACCAGGAAGGCAGTGCTGGTGACACTCCCAGGGGCCCAGATGCTCCCCTAGAAGGTGACACTCCCAGGGATCCAGATGCTCCCCTAGAAGGTGACAGTCCCAGGGATCCAGATGCTCCCCTAGAGGGATGTCAGGTTTCTGCCTGAAAATTCTAGTATTTCCTCTGTACTCCCCAAAGGGATGGAGGCCATGTCAGCCTTACATGTGGGCACCAGAGGCCAATTTTAAGTGTCCACTGGCTGTGGCCCTTCCCCCCGTCCCACAGTAGTCTTATCCCTGTCCTGACAGTTTGTATGGACAAAACTTCCCCTGAAGCTCAGAATGCTGAGAGGTTTTCTAAGCATGTTCCAAGACCTAGGGCTTCTTAGAGATAACATGGAAATGTCCCCCCACCCCCTCAACAAATCCCCGTAGGATTCTATAACAATTCCAAAGTCTGTGCCTTTAACAAAAGGCAGAGAACAGGCATTTTAGAGAACCCATCCAGAATCAGATTTTCTGGGTCCAAATTGTATGACTTTCCTGGTAGTTGGGATTCTCCAGAGAAACAGAACCAGTATATATTTTTATTACAAGGAATTGACTCAAGTATGGAGGCTGAGCAGTTCCAAGATCCGAGAACCAGGAGACGACCTGATGCTACAAGTCCCAGCCAGACTCTGAAATCAGAAGAGTGTGCTTCGGTCTGTGCTCAAAGACAGTCAGGTAGAGAAAAAATTCTCTCTTGCTTAGCATTTCATTCTACTCAGGCTTTCAAAGGATTGGGTGAGGATTACCCCCATTCAGGAGCGCAATCTGATTTACTCACTCCACAGATTCAAATGTTAGTCTTATCCAGAAACACCCAGACTAATGCTTGACCAAATAACCAGGCACCCCATGGCCTAGTCAAATTGTTACATAAAATTAACCATTATAACCTTGAACGAAGTCACTTTGTCTCGCTGTGCCTCAGTTTCCTCATTTATAAAATAGGTGTTATCACAGCCCCTTCCTCACCTGGTTGGTGAGAAGTTTAAGAGAGGCCAAATACACAAACTACTTGGCAGAATGCTTGGAATGCAGTAAGTGCCTTAGCTCCTGGGGAGGAGAGAAGTAGTAGGAAAGAAGCAAAGAGGAATTGGAGAAGGGCTTCCTGGGCTAATTTATCACAAACTTAACCATTTCTTCACCCTTACTGCTAGAGTTCCTTCTCTATCTCTCTTTCTCCATTTGTAGCAGCTCTGATATCCACATTTGAAAAAGGTTCTGATTCCCCTGAGTGACAGTTTCTTCACTTCTCTTTTTTGTCAGCCTCTCTTCATGGAGAATCTAATTTTTCCACTCAGAATTTCTGATGAAGATGAAGGCAGAGAGAGGGCTGAGCATGTCATGGGGACATTGTTGTCAGCCGCCCTGATGTTGGATGTTGTGGGAATGGAGTGACTGCCTCCCAAACCATCTACCTGCTGTTGACACAATGCAAGAAGTCCAAAGGCCTTTTTCCCAGGCTGACCCAGCACCTTGTGCTGCTGAGCTTATTCAAATGACCATTGCATTAAATATCACCGTGGAGACAGTTAATGCAGTAATATTACCAGCTGGGAATATGCCTTACAGTGGAAGCCAAGGGAGGCAAGAGGAGGTAGTGCGGAAATGGTTTATGTGAAAGACGTCTTCCCTTTACACAAAAATGTCCAAAAACTATTAATTTTGGGCAGCAGCAAGGAAGAAATACATGAAAGGAAAATTGATTTCTATTTAAATGGTATGTTTTCATCACCTTTCTTCAGAGCCTAAGCATTCATCTTTGAGTACCTGTGCTAATTGATTTTGAATGCAATTCAACGCGATCGCTGCACAATAATAAATCTCAGGGCAAAGAGGATAAAGGAGGGAACTTGAGCCAAACAGGAAGTGGTGTGACACGTGGCATCTAAAAGGTGTGTCTGTGTCATCCTGGGGTGAGCTCAGGAGCAGTACTGATGGGAGGCGGGATAGTCTAGGCAGCAGGAGCTGCTTGTTTGTATAACAACCTTGAACTTGAACTCTTCCAGCTGATCCAGGGAGTGTCAACTGCTGGGCCACCGCCTGGGGCTCAGGCGACCTGTCCCCAGGCATGCTGTGGTCCTCTCTGAAGGAGGAAGGCACTCTTGTGGCTACTCTTCCATTCTTCCTTGTAGTACCTGTTGCCTTCTTTCTTTTCCAGCTGCCCCCCCACCACTGCCCACAGCCCTGGTCTTCCTGGCAAGCCTCTTTCTTATTACCCATTCTCCCTAAAGTTCATGCCCATTCCTCCATGGGCTGTCACTTTGGAAGGCAAGTGGCTGAGCTGTTCCCTGGAAGATATAACAGAACCATGCTAGAGACCCTGAACTCTACCAGTGATGGAGGAATGAATCTCAAAATAAGAGTCCAGGCTCCATGGCTGGCACATGGGGCAAGTAGAACCTTTGGGATTCATTTGGGTAACCCCCTAAGGGTGCCTGACCACCTCTGCAAGGGCCATGCCATTGTTCATCCCCAGGAGAGGTGAGGCAGGAAGGGGTTGGCAGGAGGGTGAGGGTGCAAGATTGGATAGGAAGAAAAGGAGTCTACGAGGGCTCTTTGCTACTCAGTGGCCATGTGACAGTTTTAATGTTTCTTTCTTGAGCAGAAATATAGCAGATAAAAAAAGAACCACAAATCTGTCAAAATGCCCTGTGCAAAGAAGCTGAACAATCACAAAAAAGTGTTGTGCCCATTCCTGAAAATATTTTCACCACGTGGTGAAAATAATTCATGGGAACTTGGTCCAATCTCCATGCATCGGGTCAGCAGGTGACTCAACTCAGAAGGAAAGAGCAGATGGTGTGGTGAGTGTGCAGGAGCCCGAGAAAAGCTGAGATTTGGAGACCAGTGGTGGTCTGGTGGGCTTGTGCAGTAGTTAGCCATACTGTTTGTACAGGACCAGCTCCAATTCGCAACAGGATCAAATCTTTATACCGACCCACTTGGCATTCCTGGAAGTTTGATGTGGCAGGGCTACTCTTGAGCAGGACTGAACCGTCTCCAAGCGTTTTTCTCTAAATGATTGAGATCAGGAGTTTATTTCTGAGAATGAACAGTCCTATCCAAGATGTATCTACTTAACCCAGAAGCAACATGTATATGAGATCAAAATACAAAGCCATTGCAGTCAGTTTGGGCATGAAGGCAGTTAATCCAAATTTCCAATGCACAGACAAATCATCCCAAGACAGACTGAATTATTCATGGACTTAATGGTTTATGTTTTGTACAGATATCACTTTATTTTTTATGGTAAGAAGTTTAGTTGCCATGTAAGTATATTGAAAATTAAAATAATTATTTCTGTTTACACGACATGAAATGAACTGGACCCTCATGTCCTACATCTCTCCCCATTGCTATCTCTTTCATTCATTCATTTATTTACAGTCTCTATCCTCTTGCAGTTTACCACTTGGTGGGGGAAAGCAAGCATTAAGCAGATAAGCATTTCTTCCTGTGTTGTGGGGCTACGATAAGAGAGATTTAAAGCAAAAAGGCCTGGCCCCTGGCACAGCCGAGTCAAGCTTTCATTTTCCCCCAGCTTGCCAAGATGCGGTCTCTGTTTCTGTCTCCCCACCTGCCAACCGCCCAGGTGGCCCATTGATTTCTGACATGCCGTGATGTAAAATGGCACATCGTGGTATCATTAGGTGCAATGCTGACAAAGGTAAAAGAAAACCCCTTCTGGCTCATGCTGAGAGTTCCTTCTCTCACACCCACCGCTCACTGTAGCCAGTTCCTGAATTGCATTTACAGCCGGGAGGATGCGGCAGCAAAGACACCCCACGGAGGGAGGAAGAGAAATGAAATTTCTCTCGGACCCATTGATCTCTCCTCTGAGCAATTTACTAGTCGGGGAGGTGGAGAAGCGGCAGGAGAAGCGCTTAGGGCTGCTCTTTATCTCACTTCTGAGGGCTGGGGACATCCCTAAGTGAATCTGCAACTCACTGAGGCCACACTCCCTGCTGACAGTCCCTTGGTGACAAACCCCTGACTTTGCAGGACCAAAACCAAGAAAACAGAGGTAGGCAATAATTTGGAATAGGAAAGAGCGGGCATTAACAAGCTAGACCTTAAGACATCCCTTAGGTGATTAAGGGGCTAAGCTGGCAGGATGTGTGCAGGTCCCCCTTCTGAAAGCTGTGCGGGAGCTGGGACTGCTCAGTCAGCTCCGCCTCCAGCTCAGGGAAAAATGCACAATGACTCATCTTCCTCCTAGCCAGGACCAGCAGGCGCCGAGGGAGTGTCTGCAAGCCTTTCCTCCGCACTGGGCAAAGTGTAGCTTCTCATGATGAAGAAAATCAACCTTCTTTGTGCCAAGAGCGAGTCCTGTGACATTCTTTTGCCCCAGGGTCTGTACTATGAGGGGAGTCCTGAACCCTGAGTTCAGAATTTTATCCTGCCTACAATCCTATGCGAAAATCTTCAGCCTTGGTATTTAGCATTCCATAAAATACCAAACCTGAGAGGGAATTTGGGGGTTTTCCCATGATTACCTGAGGGCAGGGCAGACACTGCACAAAGTGTCACTGAGTTCAATAGACTTCTGTGAGTGATCAGGACTAGATATCACAGAGTGAAAGAGAGGACTTTGACCTTTGACTTTTCCTTGGGTACTCCACCCCAATCTCAGTGCCTTCCCCTCCTCACTCTTCCCTGGCCTGTGCAAAGGCTCCAGGCTTTTTCTGTGGTTTCCACCACACCCTCCTGGAGCCTGATCTTGGATTTCTCACTTGCAACCCACCAGGCAACCGTGTAAGGGAAAATCAGCAGTTTCACTGCAGTCTGAGCTGGCACAAAATACAGGTCACAAAGACCCTGCTAATAAAACAGGATGTGGTAAAGATGCTGGCCAAAGCCCACCAAAACCAAGATGGTGATGAAAGTGACCTCTGGTCACCCTCACTGCCAACCTCCTATCTTATCCTGTGACTTAGAATGCCTAATCTCCTGGGAATGCAGTCCAGTAGGTCTCAGCCTTATTTCACCCAGCCCCTATACAAGATGGAGTCACACTGGTTCAAAATGCTTCTGACACAATTAGTATCTTTTTTCTTTAGTGCAATCATATCTTCAATATAATCAAATTCAGTTACTTCAACAGATGTTCACTGGGCATCTATTATATGCTAGACTGTGGGATGACAGCCATAAACGAGCTGACCTAGTCCTTGCCCTCATGGAACAATTGGTATAGAAGATGAAAGGAGATATGGACAAGGAAACAGAACATTCTAATGCAGTATGATAAAGGTGTTGGCATGGGAAGCTGAAAATGCAGAAGGACTTCCGAGCTCCTGAGAGAGGCCAGTGAGCAAGAAGTGATGTCCAAGCTAAAACCAATAAAATGAGCTGGAGTTAGTTAGCAGGCAGAGGAGATAGGGGAGAAAGGAAGGCGCTGCAGGAAGAAGGAAGAACATGTGCAAAGGATCAGAGGCTGGGCATAGGATGAGGAACTGCAGAAAGTTTAGGATGGCTGGAGCTTGGATGATGGATGATGGGGGAAACAGGGAAAGATGAGGCTGGATAAATCAGAAGGGTGCAAAAACAAAGGGTGTTGCAAGCCTGACAGAGGGTTGGGCTTCATCTCTCTTAAGCACACAGAGAAACCAGTGGGAAGTTTTATAATAAGGGAGTGATAGACTCACAGCACAGTTTGAGAAAGATCTTTCTTGTTGCAATAGGGAGGTGGAGTTAGCAGTGGGTGGACAAGCAGGGAGATCTGTCTGAAAGCTCCTGCAAAGCTCCCACCAGGGAGCATCAGAGGGAATGAAGAAAAGAAGGGCCATGGAAAAGCGATTGAGAAGGAAAGTTGATGTTCTCACTGAGACCTGAAATAGGGAACCCAAGAAAAGAGAATCTGTAGTGAGACAAAGTCTTTCAGTTTTAAGGCTGGATGCTGAAGTACCATGCTCCTTCATCATGCCAGGCACAGAGGAGATTTCACAGACACCAAGCTCCTTGTTGTTGGGTGATGTGTCTTGTTCTCTAAGCACCTGGCACACAATAGGTGGTGAAAAGTGGTTTTAGATGTATTCATGAATGAATGCATTAATAAATAAATTTAACACAAGAGTCTCTAACTTCAAAGTTCTTACAGTCTTATCGTAAGACAAGATTATCCTACATCAAACAATTAAAGAACTGCACAAGATAGAACGTAATTAAGTTCTAAATCATCTAGTTTAGGTTATAAGTGCTGGAGTTTCAGAGAAGGGAAAGATCAATGTGGGCTGGAGGAGTTAAGAATGGCTTAAATATAATTCCCTGACATTACAGTACCGTGGAAACAACAGTGCTGGGCTTAAAATGAAGAGATGAAAGCCAACACATTGAGCCTTATTTACCCAGTGTCGTGCAGCAGACCACCATGATTTTGGGGGACTGAATTAGTAACGTTGGCCTTAGGGGTTAATGCTGTTCAGGTGGACTTATTTGTGTACAATTAATAATGGGTTCTGACATAATTAATTCTCATCATATTCTTTTTGTAATGATTTTTTCTATCAGCATGAACATTCACGGAACGTAAATTGAACCATTTTAAAGTATACAATTTGGTGGCATTTAGTACATTTATATTGTTGCGCAACTAACACATTTAGATCCAAAACATTTCCGTCACTTCAAAAGAAAACCTGTTCATTGTATTCTTTTTTCTTCCTTTTTTTTGAGACAGGGTCTTGCTTTGTTGCCCAGACTAGAGTACAGTGGTGTGATCATGGCTCACAGCAGCCTCGACTTCCCGTGCTCAAGTGATCTTCCCACCTCAGCCTCTCAAGTAGCTGGGACTACAGGTGTGAACCACTATATCTGGCTAATTTTTGTATTTTTTGTAGACACAGGCTCTCATCATGTGCTCACGCTGGGTGTTCATTGTGTTCTTGAATTAACAATGCAATACAGTAGACTGAAAAGAACACTGGAGTATGGTACCTTAAGTTCTCCTCTGAGGTCTACAACTGAGTAGTTCAAATTTGACTCTGAGCAGGTCACTAATGATTTTTGCGCCTCAGTTCCATCATTTGTAAAATGGGAGAGTTTGACTAAGATGATACCCAAGATCTCTTCTAGCTTTACAACCCTGTAATTCTAAATACAGTAGATTTATTGATTGACTGTAATATGCAAAAAAAATGATAGTGCATGTGTGTGCGTGTTACAGGGCAGAGATGGGAGGAGGCAGGGACTCCCTGAGACTAAGATGAAACTGAATGATGCATGGGTGAGTGTGGAGTTGAGGGAGATTATCTGGTTGGCTACCCCATTTTTTTTTTTTACTTGGATAGGTTGGTGTTTAACTCCTCATTGAACCCTGGTTGAATTCAGCAATTATGAAGTCTTGCTCCAGAGTTGCCTTGGATACTACCATTAAGCTGTATTTGCATCCTGAATAATTTGATGTGTACTTCCAAGGCTAAATGTTTCTTTTTCTTCCTGCCCCAAATCTTTAGTTACAACTTCTGTTCACCAATTTCTTCTTGCACACTTCATGGAAAGAACTTGTTGCCAGTTCTCTAAATAGCCTCAAAAGTGTACATAGGCCTTATAGTCCGAGAAAATACGTGGAATCTCAAAACTGATAGAGCAATAAGGAAATAATTATGTGCTCGGTCTCCTGGGTTTATAGGGAGACTGCTATAAGGGAGACTGCTATAGGGAGATTGCCACTATTTGGAATTAGTTCCTTGCTATGACGGTTAATTTTATGTGTCCACTTATCTGGGCTAAGGGATGCTCAGATAGCTGGTAAAACGTTATTTTGGGGTTTGTTTGTGAGGGTGTTCCCAGAAGAGATTAACATTTGAATTGGTTAACTGAGTAAAGAAGATCACTCTCACCAATGTGGGTGAACATCATCCAATCTGCTGAGAGCCTGAATAGAACAAAACAGTGGGGGAAGAGTGAATCTGCTGTCTTGGCTTGAGGAGAGACATCTGTCTTCTCCTGCCCTCAAACATGGGTGATCCTGGTCCTTGAGCTCTCAGACAAATACTGGGAGTTATGCCATCAGGCTCCCCCATTCTCAGGCCTTCACACTTAGACTGAATTACATCACCTGCTTTCCTTATCAGCTTACAGACAGTGGACTGTGGGATTTCTCAGCCTCCATAATCACGTAAGCCAATTCCTATAATAAAACTCTTCTTATAGATCTCGTTATATATAGCCTATTGGTTCTGTTTCTCTGGAAAACGCTGACTAATGTGCTTGCCAAAATCTGAAGCTCAAGACTGGAGCTCAGGATCGGATTGCTTACATACATGCAAAAAGACGCAGAAGACAGACCTAAGATATTGGGCATAGGAGCCACAGGGTAATTGCAAGGATTGTCAAAATCATAAGGGCAAAATGCACAATGAAAAGACAGAATAAATTCTTATGTAGCTTGTTAATTGGACAGATTCTGGTGTAAGGCTGACTCGGTTTCATTTCCAGTTCATCCACTTAATAGCTCAGTGATTTAAGGCAATTTACTTAACCTGGTTGGTGTCAGTCAGCCTAGGCTAAATTGTGCTGCAGTAACAAATAACCCCCAAATCTCAGTAGCATAAATAAACAAATGAAAGCTTAATTTCCCACTCACAGTCCCCAAGTTTAACTTTAATTAAAAAAAATTTATTGTACTGAAAAATATCAGTGCAAAAAGGTGCAAAAGTCTTAAGTGAATGAATGATCAAAAATGAATTATCAAAAAGTTAGTATCGGCAACAGAGCGAGACTCCGTCACAAAAAAAAAAAAAAAAAAAAAAACTTAGTATATACCAGGCTGAGGAAATAGCCCCTATCTGGGACATGTTGATCTTGTAGCAGAATGAAAAACTAAATGACAGAATCACATAATCACATAATGACTCAAAGTTTCTGCTCTGAAGTAGATTACATCACTGCTGCTCATAATTTATTGACCAAAGCAAGTTATGCAGCAAAGCCAGGCATCAGAAAGGTGGGGAAGCACAGCAAAGGCTTCAGAGCAAGACAAGCTACTACAGATGTATCCTGTTCTTCCATCTGCAAAATGGGAATTATAACAGTATTTGCCTCAAGTTTGTAATGAGATTCAATTAGATGATATTTGTAATGGGCCTGGCACATGGTAAGTACTAAAAAGATGGTAGCTATTATTATGATCTTGCCCACATGTATCTGTAAATGGTTCCATTAAAATATTTTTATTATGAAAGTAATCATAGAAAAATAGAAAGTACACATAAGCAAAAAGAATTAGAATCACCTTTAGTCTGACCATCCAGAGAAAACTATAGTATTTTGAAGTGTATCTTAAGACTTGACACACATACATTACATACACAGATGCATGTTACAGAAATGAAATATTGCACAAGCTGTGTTATAATCTTTTAAAATTAAACATTACATTGTAAACATCTCCATGATAATAAAAGTATATTCAATTTATCATTTTAGCTTGTTTCATGGTATTACATTCTTTATATATATATAAACATCATATATATGATGTTTTCCTTCAAAAACACAATCTACTTACTGTTGGGGATATTTTTATGTTTGATATTGCTTCCAGCACTCACTCTGGTTAACAGTGGTTTGTTACTTACTTCCATGCATCTTTCCAGACTTGTTTGCTTGGTTTTCTCCTTAGGTTAAAATCTGAGAAGTGGAATTTCCGGGTATGCTCCTCTCCAAGACTTCTGATGCAAATCGTCAAAATGTCCTCCGGAAATTCACCTATTTATAAATCTCACCAGCAGGGCAGCTTTCACTCAATATGATCATTTTTTTACATTTTTTTCCCTATCTTATAATCCATAGGTGGCAAATGATATTCAATTGCTACTTTAATTGACATTTCTTTGATAACTAATGAAGAAGAATTTTGCATAGGTTTATTGGCCACTTCTAGTTTTTCTCTTGTGAGTACAACTAGTTTTCAAATATACATGGGAACTATTGTGATTTTCTTTAAAAATCACACAAAGTCATTTAAAATATATAGTCACAAATATGAAATTATACCAAGTAATTATTGTGAAAATTGTTAGATTCAAAAATGACATTGTAGTTATGTAAGAAATTGTCTGTATTCCTAAAGATTCCTGCTGGTGTGTGTAGGGGTGAAGTAATCTGATACATGGATATACCAGAAAAAAAAAAAAAAACAGATGAAGCGAACACTGGTAATTGTTGAATCTGAATGAATCTAGATAGAGTTCATTGTACTGGTCTCTCTAACTAAAAAAAAATATATTATTGTACTGAAAAATATCAGTGCAAAAAGGTGCAAAAATCTTAAGTGAATGAAGACCAAAAATGAATTATCAAAAAGTTAACTCAGCCAGGTGCAGTGGCTCACACCTGCAATCCCAACACTTTGGGAGGCTGAGGTGGATTGCTTAAGACTACAAGTTCAAGACCAGCCTGGGCAACATGGTGAAACCCCGTCTCTACTGAAAATACAAAAATTAACTGGACATGCGCCTGTAGTCCTAGCTACTCTGGAGGCTGAGATGGTAGGCTCACTTGAGCCTGGGAGGTCAAGGCTGCAGTGAGCTATGATTGTGCCACTGCACTCCAACCTGGGCTACAGAGTGAGACCCTGTGTCTTAAAAAAAATAAAAAATAAAAAAAGTGAACTCACTATATAACAGTAATCCAGGATAAAAAATAGAACTTTACTGACATCTCGGGAGCCCCTATCAAACCTCTTGCCCAAAAATAACCATCATAGATTAGTATTGCCCGTTTGAACCTTACATAATGGAAGTATACAATATGAATTTTTTTGTGTCTGGCTTCTTTCTGTCAACGTAATGTATGGATAAATAAATAAATTTTTTAAAGCTGTCTTTTGATGAGCAGAAGTTCTAAATTTTAATGTAGTCCAATTTATTAAACTTTTATTTTATAGCTAGTGCTCTTTGCATCCTGTTTAAATAATCATACCTACCCTGAAATCATGAAGCTATTTTTCTGTGTTATATTCTGGAAGTTTTTTTGTTTCACGTTTAGGCCAATCATCTGTCTGAAATTCACTTCTTTTTTTTTTTTTTTTTGGTTTTTTTTTTTTTTTGAGACGGAGTCTCACTGTTGCCCAGGCTGGATTGCAGTGGCGCCATCTCGGCTCACTGCAAGCTCCGCCTCCCGGGTTCACGGCATTCTCCTGCCTCAGCCTCCCGCGTAGCTGGGAATGCAGGCGCCCGCCACCTCGCCCGGTGAAATTCACTTCTTTTGCTTAATGTCAAGATTCAAGTTTTTCCCCTTATGGATAGCCTGCACTGTTTATTTTAAAAACCTGTCTTTTTTTCTCTGGCCTGCAGTGCCGTCTTTGTAAAAATGCAGTGTCTGTGTAAGTGTGATTTTGTTTCTGAACTTCCTCTTCAGTTGCTTTGGTCTATTCGTCTATCCTTTCGCCAGTTACACACTGTCTTCATTCCTGTAGCTTTGTAAGTCTTGATGTCTAGCAATAAAAGTTTTCCATCTCATTTTTCTTCTTTAAGTGTTCACTCCTACAAGGGATGGTATATATTTGGTTCACCCTTACTTTAAGGGGTTAGCCCACTGGGTCTCCACTATAAGCATAAAGTGTGTTTAGTAATTTCCATTTCTTTGCTATGCCCTGAACCCCAGATTTCATCCTCCAGCCTTGCACGCTCCACCTACCTTCTTTGGCTCTGTCATATACTCTTATGGTCAGTCTAGCCCCTCAGTGCCAGGCCCATCTGTCTAGGCTTCCTTCTTCTGCTGGTTCTTGACATCCTGACTCTTCAAGGCCCTGTTCAAACTGATATATTTTAAGTCATGTCCAGCTTCTCTAGTTCTGAGTGAAAGGTTTAGTCTGAATTATGGCAGAGTACTGCCATTACTGAAGGCAAAACTCCCTATCCTGTGGAATGATTAATTATATTTAAAAATATTTATAATAAAATTGAAAGATGTTTAAAACACGAAAGAAAAATGCTCTCAAATTCACATTACATAGCTTCTGAATTAGTAGATACCAAACATGACCACTCACTAAGGAAGTGCTACGAAAAGGTTTTGCTGCTGGCAGATGTCCTCAGACAGGTGATGCCAGAGGCTCACTGGTCTAGAGTAGAGAGCCGCTGAAACCAATTTGGAAGACTGGAGCCACTTCTGGAGGTGGTGCCACCTGCACAGGCACTGGCGACATTCAACCAGCCCAGAGAAGTGACGCCACCTACTTAGAACTAAAGAGAGAAAAACCGACTGAATTTTTCACTTGTCAAGGGACTTCTTGGAGCTGTGTCAGAAGCACCTTATATAGACATGCATGTCACTGTGAGGTCTTTGATGTTCTTATGAGTAGGCTTTGGTATGCAGAAAAGACTATTTCAGGCTTAGTTTTAGAAATAAGATTTTCAATATCTTAGTAACGAATGCCAACATTTAATGAGTGCTTATTATATGGCAGGAACTATTCTAAGAGGTTACACCTATTAACTTATTTAGCATGTTGTTAATGTCAGCATTCCCATTTTACAGGTGAGGATGCTGAGGCACAGCCAGGTCAATTTCCCGGTCCAGGATCATACAACAATTAAACAGAAATGCTAGGTTTTAAACCCTGGTAGTTTGGCCGCAGCAACCAAGCTCTCAACCACTGTATTCTGTTGTTTCTCCTTAAAGAGCCAAATTTAAACCAATTTAAGCTTTTACATTCAGCTTATACATTTCATTATTCTTTGTGTAAGTCTACAAAATTGTAACAACCACTTTAAAGGAGACTTTGGTTCATGGATGATTCCATGTACAAACTTGGTTAATTAAACTCATTTAAACATTTTAAACTACAGTTATAAATGTAATATGTTCAATTTCCTTTTAAAGTGCTTGTTTGACTGACAAAATCCTCCTAAAACTTAAGTTCTTATCAATGTAATATGTTAAACTTATGAATATGATGAACCCTAAAGTCTCCTGTATTCTAACCCTGTAAGTTAATTTTGTAAGATTTCCACTTAAAATCACACACTTAAGGAATCACTCAGTTCACACTTTAAACTAATGTCATGAGACTAAACTGTTACTAAGAAGGTAAATTTTCTTAAACATTACAAACTCAAGATACAAAAATGCGGCTAACACGGTGAAACCCCATCTCTACTAAAAATACAAAAAATTAGCCGGGCGTGGTGGCGGGCGCCTGTAGTCCCAGCTACTCGGGAGGCTGAGGCAGGGGAACGGCGTGAAGCCAGGAGGCGGAGCTTACAGTGAGCCGAGATCCCGCCATTGCACTCCAGCCTGGGCAAAAGAGCGAGACTCCCGTCTCAAAAAAAAAAAAAAAATAGATACAAAAATGCACACAATTTCTTTGTGCAAAAATATCAATGTTATCAGTTTGAATCATTTAAACATCTGTATTTTTAATTTAAAAATTTTCTGGGGTTAAAACATATTTGCACTGTAAGCAAACAATGTTATTCTAAACAAATTTGGGGATTACTTTTCTAAATTTTTTTTGTTTTTTCCTTTAGATGAGGTTTCTTAAATGACCAGGAATGTTAATCATAATTTGACCAGATTCTTATCGGCAATTTAGCCAGCATTTAGGCTAAAGCCACTTTTACTGTCACAACGTCATGATTTTCAAAATTCAAAGAGTGAAATGGTCCTCACACCACCACCCACGCCCCTGTTCCTGGGTTATGATGTTAGATAATTTTTTAAGTCATACAGTGTCTATTACTTCTCCTCAGGTAGCCACATACTTAATTGGGTTCAATAATCTATTTACCACTCCATTCCATTCTAATTTATTTTTTATTCTTCTTCTCTGTTAGGACTATGCAACTTTTATGGATATTAATATAATAACTGATTGAATTTTGCATGTCTCCTGTGGCTTTGTCTGGCTCTAATTACAACTTCTCCTGGCAATATGCACATACACACACCCCAAGTATTTTTATGGCTACTTAGTGTCATAGACAATCTATTGGTCAAATTTGAATATCCAAGAGAATCACAAATCTAAACATTTACTTAGGTGTGTTATAAGAGGGATAAATTAGAACATGCACACAATTTAGATGTGAAGGTGCTGGCTAAACAAACATGCATTTGATTGAAGATTTGAATGAACATTTCAGACCAGCTTGGCCATTACAAATCAGTTGGTGGCACAATGCTCACCTCTATCCCCATCCCACCCAGAAAACATTTCCTTTTTACTTTAAGACTTTAAAAAACAATGTGAGGGATTCAGAAGTTCTTTCTCTTTCCTCCAGACCCAATACTTAAGCCCCTTGTACTTGAATTATCAAAAAGCCTCGGTAATTGCTTGAACATGTTAATTTATCCTGCAACCCTGCTGGCTTCATCTGACTGTATTTAAAGGATTTAAGGGTGACAGGGAACAGCTGGAGAGAGATGTTTTGTCTGTGAATGTGGAGTCTGAGCTCAGAGATCGGTGGGCTGGGACTCAAGTTCGCTTGGAGCATTGAAATAGAGTGGCTCTCTGCATGCTGGTATTGAGGCTTGCCTTGCTTTTTCTCCTTTCTCTCCTCCCTCCTCCTGGAGCTCAGTTTCTCCCTACCACCCTCCCTTTTGCTCCCTCACCTATTCTCTCTCAATCCAGAGACTATAACCTTGCCAGAGAGTGGGAGATCGCCACCCCTGCCCCCAAGCTTATTGTTGCTACAATTTGAGCCAGGAGCGGCTTGAATGCATGTATTGATAATCACAGCTGGGACTGCATAAGCAAAATAAAACCAGTAAAATACGAGCTAGTGGACAGTCAGAGACCATGGAAAACCCATCGATTGTTGCTGCAGCTTCTTTCCATACGGCAGAATGAATGCAGAAAAGCTGAGCTCTGGGTAATTCTAGCAAACAATGTGCTGTAGAGCGTTATTTGTAAGTCCCAAAAATCAAAGTGGAACGCTAGCTCCCCATAGAACATGTTTCGTTAGTGTGGAACAAAGGGCTGTTGCTGGCTGGGTACAGCATTTTCCATTTTGCAGCATAGTGAGGGGTGGGGGAGGGGAGCAACAGGTACAATGGAAGCTCAGGGAGGCTGTGCTGACCAAGTCCCTGCATCAGAGAGGGCTCCAGACAGAGGACAGCCACCCCTTCCTTAGGGTAGGGCCTGTCCTTACGGAGGTCAAAGATGCCAGCTCCGGGACCAACTAGCTGTGGGACCTTCAGCAGATGCTCATCCCAGGGGCCTCAGTTTCCTTCCTGCTTCAATTGCAGGGTTTTTGTGAGGATAAAATATGACACAGTGATGTAAAAGCATCTGTTTTGCATGCATTTATATTATTTTAGAGATAAGCCCCGCATCATCATGGGGCAGAAGTATGTATCAGGGACAACCTGGTCAGATCCCCAGGGAAACCGATGGCATGCTCAATGGGGGAACCAGGAGAGGAGTTCTTACAAAGTATGAATAGGGCAAAGGGAAACCAGAAAAGGATGCCAAACCCCCAGGGTTGGCACAGCAGAGAGATGTTCCATCCCTGAGAGCTAAAGGAGGAAGCAGGTTGTTAAGTCTTGGAGAAAGCTGCAGCTACAGCTGCAGAAGAGGGCTGTCCCACAAAAGCTGTGGCCCTTACTAGGAGAACTTGGCTGCCCCAAAGAGTGGCCCATGCAAGGAGGAAGCAGTGGTAAGAGGGTGATTGCCCTGACCTCACTCTTTCCTCCCACCCTCTGATCTCCTGGCAGAGACTTGCATTGGCCCAACCCAACGGGAGCTAGAGGACAAAGAAGCCCACCCTAGACCTTTAGGTCAGCCTCCCAGGCCCAGAGCAGCTGAAAAAGGGTAGAGAGTGGTTGTGGAAATGTCTGGCACAGTGCCCCTGCTCTGTGTCCCCAGGCCCCCTAGGTATTTGCTGTACTCTTGGGATGCTTATCCACTTATATTCCGTTTGTCTGTATTAGACCCTTGGAAGCAGGGGCTGCACCTACTCCAGTGGGCTCAACACATGTTGGAAGGTTTGGGGCTGCTGGTCTCGGCTCAAGAACAATGATGTGGTGCAGGCATCACTGGGATTCTCTTGGCCTTTCCTTTATTTTTGTCACCTCATGGTGGCATGATCCTGGTACCTTATTGTCCTGTCCTCAGTGCCTAACATGGTCCCTGGAACCTGGAGGGTACTCAATAAATTAGGAGTGACCAAAGGCATGAATTCATGATGCCTTGACTGCCAACTAAAGCTGGTAAAGAGGGAGATGTTGCCTTTGCCTGTGAGCACAGCCTTCTATAGATGCTGCCTGAGCACAGACCACACACTCAGGAACCTCCAAGAGGCTCAACATGTGTGCTCTGACATCTCGGTCGTCATGTTGTCCTACCATGCCCTTTGTGTCCCTCAACCGCACCTGTACCATGATACCTCATCTCCATGTGGTCTGCCCTTGGGTCTCCCATATAGTCACCCTCTGAAAGCTGGTGCCATTCCTGTCCATTCTTGTCATTCTCATACCCTTCTTACAGATGAGAAACAATTTCAATATTCTTGTATTCTAGACCAGCAAATTCTTCATTATCCTCTTACAGAGAAAACAACCACAGGCTTCAGCTTGGGGAAAAAATAACTAAAAAATAAAAGTCTACTTCCATGGTGTCCCACCCCCAACCTTCTCCACCATCCTACAGCCAGCTGCTCAGAACACAGGCCTTTGCCTGAAATCTTGTTTCTTTAAAAAGAAAAAAGAAAAAAGAAAAAACAAGAAGAAGGAAGGAAGAGAAAGAGAAAGAAGGGAGTAGAAGAGAAGAAGAAAAGAGAGGAGGAAGAGAAAAAAGAGGAAGAAAGAAGGAGGAGGAAGATACTAGAAGAAATCATGCCCCCAGATTCCAAGGATTGATCCAGAGGAGCCCAAATACGTGCCCCCACTTGAATTTCTTTGGCTACTGGCCCACAGGAGCCAGACGACTCTGCAGGGCAGGAGGCGGAGTCAAAGACAGACTAACTCCCTTACTCCTCTTCCAGGCTTTTCCAGCAAAATGTAAGCTCCAATCAGTTGTGGATACTGGGCCTTCTCTCAAAACAGCAACTCACAGAATTCTCCCAGGGGAAGGATGATAGCATAGAGCCTAATACATCACCAGATGGCATTTGTCTTCAGGAACAAACATGCTTTCTTTGACCCACAAGGCCTTTTCAACAATGGAATGAGTTACTATGTTAATGAGTTACAGAATCACCCATGAGTAACAAACCCCAAATAGGAATGTTTCAATAAGATAAAAATGTATTTCTATCTCACATTAAATCGAGGCAAGTATAGCCCTTCGTGTACAGCATCAGGGACCCAGGCCTCTGCTGTCTTGGTAGTCTGCCATTCCTGGTGTGTTCATTCTGTCCATATATTCCAAAATGGTCCCCAGCATGTCTGTACAACTGCTAGTAGGACTGGGGGAAGGAAGGCAAGGCTACACCCTTCCTTTTAAGGGCAAGACTCAGGAATGTGCACACATTACTTTCTCTCTCATTCTTTTGGCCATAATTTAGTCACATGGCAACCATTGGCTGCAAGGGAGACTGGGAAATACAGTCTTTATTCTCAGTGGCCTTGTAGCTCAACTAAAAATTATTTCACTCTGGAAGGGAAAGGAAATATTTTTAGGGACAATTTATAGTCCATCCTACAATGGGCAAAATATAAAAACTGGTATATTTCATGTAAAAACACAGATTCTAAACTTCTTTAAGAGTTGGAGGATCTGACAATATTGGGAGATAGTTCTACTGAGTAAGAATCAGCTGGACTGAGGAGAAGCTGAGCCCTTTCCAGTTGTGCAGGTTTCCCCGACTTTCTATCAGGAACCAAGAAGAGAGTGGAACTGAAAGATATCCTCCAGTATCACTTAGGGGCAGCAGAGCATGAAAAGTGATGATCTGGATGAAATCCATCCCTAAGAGATGAATCCTTTTCTAGCGCCCTCTCCTGCACTGCACACTGTACTCTTACCACCACCCCCACAATCATCACTGTAAGAACAGCAGTGTTCAGAATCAACATTAAATCGTAGAATTCTTTCATTCATTTATTCAGCACACATTATCTGAGCACCTGCTATGCACTGGTCCTTGTACAGGGCCTAAGGAGACAAAGATGAATAAGGCACTGATCTTGTCTTCAAAGAGCTTTTATTTTATTGAAACATTTGGGTTTGTTTTTCTTCTTGTTTTTGGACCCACGGGGTATTTTTAAAATTAAATTAGTTACTACATTAATACATGTGTATTAATCCCCCAATGTGAGTGCAACACCATAATAGGAGGTGTCAGGAAGTACTTATGTAAGAGCCAGTCCCTGCTGACAAACTAGAGGATAAATGAATACAACAGAAAAAATCTGTTGTGAAGGGTTTTGCTGTGGGGCCTTTTGGGGAAGTTCTTCCTACCGTACTTGTTCCCACTCTCTCAAATGTATATTTTCCTCTTTTTTTTTGCTTTTTTTTTTGTTTTGTTTTGTTTTGTTTTGAGATGGAGTCTCGCTCTGTTGCCCAGGCTAGAGTGCAGTGGCATGATCTCGGCTCACTGCAAGCTATGCCTCCTGGGTTCATGCCATTCTCCTGCCTCAGCCTCCCAAGTAGCTGGGACTACTGGCGCCCACCACCACGCCCGGCTAATTTTTTGTATTTTTAGTAGAGACGGGGTTTCATCGTGTTAGCCAGGATGGTCTCGATCTCCTGACCTCGTGATCCACCCGCCTCGGCCTCCCAAAGTGCTGGGATTACAGGCGTGAGCCACCGCGCCCGGCCTCAAATGTGTATTTTCAGTACAGAGGGCAGCATGCTGTTTTATGGCTAAGAAACCATGTTTGTTCCACAAACATGTAGCATGTTTCTTCTCTTAAAGAAGACAGAAGAAGACAACATTTCCCAGGCAGTTCCATTGGTTTCCATTTGTGGCTGAATCATTGTCATTGGTGTTAGATGGTCGAGGCACATCAGTCTGTGGATCACTACATGACAAGCATTTTGGGGCTGGAACTTCAATTTTGGCTCTATCATCAGATTAAATCTACATCTGATCCATAAGATTCTTGTGTTCTGGGACACACCTGGGCTCACCAGACCAGGTTCCTGACCCCATGTCCAGGGCACTGAGCCCCATTTCACAGCTGCCTCCTGGAGGGCTTAGTCCTGAATGTGGAAGCAAAAGGCTGATACGGCCAAAGTCTTTACCTTTAAGGGAATTTGACATAATCAGAACAGAAGTCATTTTCCCCAAGATTTGTCTTTAAAATAGCTGACAGACTTTAGAAAATGACTCAAATAAGAAATGATACTTCAAGGTACCTAAGAAAAGGTTGTCTTCAACTTCTCCCCAATCTCAAAAGACTGATGTTTGGCCATGAACATCAGTTTGGGACTGGTGGAAGATAAGTTGCAGCCAAGCAGACTGTTGGCCATGCGGGCAGCTGATGGGCAGACCCCTGTCCAGTGGGGCCTGATGGCAGAGAGGCAGATTCATTGGTGGGAGCAAATGGTTGCCATGGACACGGCTAGTTTAGTCCATGGCTATCTTTGTGATCTTGGATCTAGTGCAAGAGGAACGATATGGATCAGACCTGTTCTGATTCTCTTGGCATGGACTTGCTAAGATGGAAAAATGGCTGCCTCCCTAGTCTTACCCACCCCATCCCTATCTTGTTATTTCCCATGAATCTTCTACTATTCAGTCACTCTAGATAGCAGTTATGGGCACTACTGTGGGGTCACGTGGATCTGAGTTTCAATCTCAGCTTTACAACAAAAGCACTGGGAGACCTTGGAGATACTACTTAATGTTTCTAAAGTACAGCTGACTTCTCTTTAAAATGAAGATAATGATGATTAACAACATAAGATTCTTCAGAAAATCATTCTTTCATGTAACAGATATTTTTGAGCTCCTATCATGTTCTAGGGGCTATAGTGTTTCGAGTACTGGGAAAACTGTCACAGATTCGGTTGCAATCTTAGTCTCTGATAAAACAGACTTTAAACCAACAAAGATCAAAAGAGACAAAGAAGGCCATTACATAATGGTAAAGGGATCAATTTAACAAGAAGAGCTAACTGTCCTAAATATATATGTACCCAATACAGGAACACCCAGATTCATAAAGCTAGTCCTTAGAGACCTACAAAGAGACTTAGACTCCCACACAATAATAATGCGAGACTCTAACACCCCACTGTCAATATTAGAAAGATCAACAAAACAGAAGGCTAACAAAGATATCCAGGACCTGAACTCAGCTCTGCAACAAGCAGACCTAATAGACATCTACAAAACTCTCCACCCCAAATTAACAGAATATACATTCTTCGCAGCACCACATCTCACTTATTCTCAAACTGACCACGTAATTGGAAGTAAATCACTTCTCAGCAAATGTAAAATAACAGAAATTATAACAAACTATCTCTCAGACCACAGTGCAATCAAATTAGAACTCAGGATTAAGAAACTCACTCAAAACTGCACAACTACATGGAAACTGAACAACTTGCTCCTGAATGACTACTGGGTAAATAACAAAATGAAGGCAAAAATAAAGATGTTCCTTGAAATCAATGAGAACAAAGACACAACATACCAGAATCTCTGGGACACATTTAAAGCAGTGTGTAGAGGGAAATTTATAGCACTAAATGCCCACAAGAGAAAGCAGGAAAGATCTAAAATTGACACCCTAACATCACAATTAAAAGAACTAGAGAAACAAGAGCAAACAAATTGAAAAGCTAGCAGAAGGCAAGAAATAACTAAGACCAGAGCAGAACTGAAGGAGACAGAGACACAAAGAAACCTTCAAAAAAATCAAGGAATCCAGGAGGTGGTTTTTTGAAAAGATCAACAAAATTGATAGACCTCTAATAAGACTAATAAAGAAGAAAAGAGAGAAGAATCAAATAGATGCAATAAAAAATGTTAAAGGGGATATCACCACTGATCCCACAGAAATACAAACTACCATCACAGAATACTATAAACACCTCTACACAAATAAACTAGAAAATCTAGAAGAAATGGATAAATTCCTGGACACATACACCCTCCCAAGACTAAACCAGGGAGAGGGTGAATCTCTGAATAGACCAATAACAGGCTCTGAAATTAAAGCAATAATTAATAGCCTACCAACCAAAAGAAGTCCAGGACCAGATGGATTCACAGCCAAATTCTACCAGAGGTACAAAGAGGAGCTGCTACCATTCCTTCTGAAACTTTTCCAAACAATAGAAAAAGAGGGAATCATCCCTAACTCATTTTATGAGGCCAGCATCATCCTGATACCAAAGCCTGGCAGAGACACAACAAAAAAAGAGGATTTTAGACCAATATACCTGAAGAACATTGATGCAAAAATCCTCGATAAAATACTGGCAAACTAAATCCAGCAGCACATCAAAAAGCTTATCCACCATGATCAAGTCGGCTTCATCCCTGGGATGCAAGGCTGGTTCAACATAAGCAAATCAATAAATGTAATCCCTCACATAAACAGAACCAATGACAAAAACCACATGTTTATTTCAATAGATGCAGAAAAGGCCTTCAACAAAATTCAACAGCCCTTCATGCTAAAAACTCTCAATAAACTAGGTATTGATGGAACGTATCTCTAAATAATAAGAGCTATTTATGAAAAACCCACAGCCAATATCATACCGAATGGGCAAAAACTGGAAGCATTCCCTTTGAAAACCGGCACGAGACAAGGATGCCCTCTCTCACCACTCTTATTCAACATAGTATTGGAAGTTCTGGCCAGGGCAATCAGGCAAGAGAAAGAAATAAAGAGTATTCAATCAGGAAATGAGGAAGTCAGATTGTCCCTGTTTGCAGATGACATGATTGTATATTTAGAAAACCCCATCGTCTCAGCCCAAAATCTCCTTAAGCTGATAAGCAACTTCAGCAAAGTCTCAGGATACAAAATCAATGTGCAAAAATCACAAGCATTCCTATACACCATTAACAGACAAACAGAGAGCCAAATCATGAGTGAACTCCCATTCGCAATTGCTACAAAGAGAATAAAATACCTAGGAATCCAACTTACAAGGGATGTGAAGGACCTCTTCAAGGAGAACTACAAACCACTGCTGAACGAAATAAAAGAGGACACAAACAAATGGAAGAACATTCCATGCTCATGGATAGAAAGAATCAATATCGTGAAAATGCCCATACTGCTCAAAGTAATTTATAGATTCAATGCCATCCCCATCAAGCTACCAATGTCTTTCTTCACAGAATTGGAAAAATCTAAAGTTCATATGGAACCAAAAAAGAGCCTGCATTGCCAAGACAATCCTAAACAAAAAGAACAAAGCTGGAGGCATCACGTTACCTGACTTCAAACTATATTACAAGGCTACAGTAACCAAAACAGCATGATACTGGTACCAAAACAGAGATATAGACCAATGACACAGAACAGAGCCCTCAGAAATAATACCACACATCTACAACCATCCGATCTTTGACAAACCTGACAAAAACAAGAAATGGGGAAATGATTCCCTGTTTAATAAATGGTGCTGGGAAAACTGGCTAGCCATGTGTAGAAAGCTGAAACGGGATCCCTTCCTTACACCCATACAAAAATTAATGCAAGATGAATTAAAGACTTAAATGTTAGACCTAAAACCATAAAAACCCTAGAAGAAAACATAGGCAGTACCATTCAGGACCTAGGCATGGGCAAGGACTTCATGACTAAAACACCAAAAGCAATGGCAACAAAAGCCAAAATAGAGACATAGAATCTAATTAAACTAAAGAGCTTCTGCACAGCAAAAGAAACTACCATCAGAGTGAACAGGCAACCTACAGAATAGGAGAAAATTTTTGCAATCTACCCGTCTGACAAAGGGCTAATATCCAGAATCTACAAAGGACTGAAACAATTTACAAGAAAAAAACAAACAACTCCATCAAAAAGTGGGCAAAGGATATGAACAGACACTTCTCAAAAGAAGACATGTATGTAGCCAACAGACACATGAAAAAATGCTCGTCATCACTGATCATCAGAGAAATGCAAATCAAAACCACAATGAGATACCATCTCACACCAGTTAGAATGGCGATCATTAAAAAGTCAGCAAACAACAGATGCTGGAGAGGATGTGGAGAAATAGGAACACTTTCACACTGTTGATGGGAGTGTAAATTAGTTCAACCATTGTGGAAGACAGTGTGGCGATTCCTCAAGGATCTAGAACTAGAATTACCATTTGACCCAGCAATCCCATTACTGAGTATATACCCAAAGGATTATAAATCATGCTACTATAAAGACACATGCACACGTATGTTTATTGTGGCACTATTCACAATAGCAGAGACTTGGAATCGACCCAAATGTCCATCAATGATAGACTGGATTAAGCAAATGTGGCACATATACACCAGTGGAATACTATGCAGCCACAAAAAGGATGAATTCATGTATTTTGCAGGGACATGGATGAAGCTGGAAACCATCATTCTCAGCAAACTATCACAAGGACAGAAAACCAAACACTGCATGCTCTCACTAATAGGTGGGAATTGAACAATGAGATCACTTGGACACAGGGCGGGGAACATCACACACTGGGGCCTGTTGGGGAGTGGGGGAGCTGGAGAGGGATAGCATTAGGAGAAATACCTAATGTAAATGATGGGTTGAGGGGTGCAGCAAACCAACATGGCACATGTATACTTATGTATCAAACCTGCACGTTGTGCACATGTACCCTAGAACTTAAAGTATAATAATAATAATAATAATAATAATAATAATAAACTGTCAGATTCCTACTTTCATGCAATGCATAGTCTAGAGGATAAATGAGTGAATGCATGTAAACTGTTAAGCATGGTGCCTGAAATGTGGTTAGAATATAATTAAAACTGAAGCTAGCAGAAGTTTTCACTGTGCCCTAGGAACCTCAGACACTTCCTAGGGTTCAGAGAAGGGACCAAGGAGGAAGTCTTATTGTCCAAAGTCCCAAAGGTAAAGCATCCTGTCCTGTCACTCCCCCTCAGATTCTACTGACTCAATGTGTCACCTTCAAGAGTGTTTGCATCTTCCAAGATGTCTAGGAGTTGATAACGAACACAGACCAATGATACATACATTTTTAAAGAAAGAAAGAATTCGCTGCACTTTGCAGGGCTGAGATGGGAGGATCTCTTGGGCCCAGGAGTTTGAGACAAGCCTGGGCAACATGGTGAAACCCCACATTGCAAAAAAAAAAAAAAAAAAAAAAGTCTACAAAAAGACCCAAAAATTAGCTGGGCATGGTGGCATGTGCCTCTAGCCCCAACTACTCAGGAGGCAGAAGTAGGAGGATCACTTGAGCCTGGGACATGGAGGCTTCAGTGAGCCATGATTGCACCACTGCACTCCAGCCTGGGTGACAGAGTCAGGCCCTATCTCAAAAAGAAAAGAAAGAAAGAATGGATGGATGGATGGACAGATGGATGGACGGACAGATGGACAAACAGATGGATGGAAGCATATGCATAAAACACCAATGATGAAACAGGCACTGAGATATTTGGGGAAGTAAGATATTTGGTGGAAGGAAGCCTCTGCAGTCCCCTCAGGTCACAATCAGAAAGATACCAACTCCCTCTGCCTTCACTTCATACTGCACCTGCCTTAAAGCCTTCTTATTCCAGAAAGAATACAAGGCAACATTCCTCCCTCAGCCATCAGGGAAGTTAGATTGCTCTCTCCATCCTATGACTAACTGGGAAGTCATCCTATGCCTGAATGGGAAGGCAAAGCCAATGTGGTGCAGCGTTTTCATTGCATTTGGGGCATTTGCATGCTAAATTGGGTCATAAACTATTGAAAATGGAAAAGTACTCAGAAGTTATTCTCCTGACAGACTCCTGGGCTGCCTCCCCCACATGCTGGTGGGGGACAGGTGGGAGAGGGGAGGGAGAGTTTTGTTCCAAACACCTCCCCTCTGTGAGGCAAAATGGGGAGAACATGAATAAATAACATGTGCTTTGAATAGCAATGAAGGGAGAGGAGGAACCCACTTTTACCGGAGGCTCCATATTCTACGGCCCAGGGATTTCCAGGAAAATCAAACCTGCTTGGCTGGCGTCCCAGGAAAAGAAGTGGGCAGAGGCTTTGCGACCCTCACTCACTCGGCAACAATCAAGGTCAGTATCAGGTAGCAGGGTGCCAAGTGTGTCTCATTATATTTATGGCAGTACAAGTAGGATAAGTAATAGCCACAGCCCCTGTGGTTTTCTAGTCCTCAGCCACCCTAGCAGGCAGCAAAGAGGGTCCTGAAAATCAAAACGACCAAACACAACTGATCCAGAAAAGGGAAAACAAGTAGGCCATTGTGTCTCCCCCTGGAGCCTTGGGGTTATTTCTAAGACCCCTCTTGTGTGTTTGCTTGGTTTAAGCTTAAATGTTTTCTTTAATATATTAGTTTTATGAGGGCTTCATTGATTATCATAAGATAAATGATGTCACTTTGAAAAACATTTTCTCTCTTTCATCATTTTAAATAAAGGGGATGATACATCAAATGGAAAAAACTCTCCTTGGGTTTGGGTTCTTTCTGGACCCATATATTTTGCAAAATAGATTTTTCAGCTGACTGGAAAGAGACCCAGAATGAGAAAGAAAAATGTAAGGGTTCCCTCTGCTCTTCTTGCCAATTTCCTTGAAGTTGAAAATCCATCTTGCCTGTACAATGTGGGCTAATTACCATATTGGGTTGCTGTCTCCCAGCTTTCCTGCTTATTTAGCTTCTTGGATGGTCTCCAGACCTGGCTCAAAAAGGGCCACAAAGGGGTAGAAATGAGCTTTTTCCTGGGCCTTATCCAAGGGGGCTCCAGGGCTAAGCTAGCTGTGTCCATGGCAACCATTTGCTCCCGGCAATGAATCCACCTCTCTGCCATCAGGCCCCACTGGACAGGGGTCTGCCCATCAGCTGCCCGCATGGCCAACAGTCTGCTTGGCTGCCACTCATCATCCGCCAGTCCCAAACTGATGTTGATGGCCAAACATCAGCATTTTGAGGTTGGGGAGAAGTTGAAGACAACCTTTCCTTAGGTACCTTGAAGTATAATTTCTTATTTGAGTCATTTTCTAAAGCCTGTCAGCTATTTTAAAGACAAATCTTGGTAAAATGACTTCTGTTCTGATTATGTCAAATTCCCTTAAAGGTAAAGACTTTGGCCATATCAGCCTTTTGCTTTCACATTCAGGACCAGGCCTTCCAGGGGGCAGCTATGACACAGGGGTCAGTGCCCTGGACATGGGGTCAGGAACTTGGTCTGGTGAGCCCAGGTGTGTCCCAGATCCACTGCTAACTCGATGTGTAAACTAGACAAGGTATTCTTGCTCCTTGCTTTACAGGGAGCTGTTAGAAGGACCAAAAGAAGCCATGATCTCTTAGTCACAGATTTTAGAAAATAGACCCTGAGAAAGCAGAACTGGGGGTTGAGTGGGCAGTATCCAGTCTCTAGTAGTCTTGCGGGTACAAGAAGAGCCCCCTGTTAGGGACAGCTAGCTTCTTCCAGGTGTGAGTCTCATATCCACACTGAAGATGTGCACGCTCAGAAAGAACTTAAATGGCAGTTCTGGGAATGTCACTTTCACTGTGTTACTTCCCTGCTCAAAAGCTGCCCACAGTTTCTGATCTATTCTAAGCTCTCTGGTTTAACACCCAAGGCCTACACAGCAGAGCCCTGGCCTGTCCAACCAGGCTGCTCTCCTACTGCATGAACCCTCCATTCCATTCAGACAGGCTCACTCACTGTCCCCAGGACACAGCTTCCTGTGCCTCACTGCTCTCCCAAGAGCCTCTCTTTCTTGGGTTCAGATGCCCTCTCAAACCTCTTTGCTTAAGGTGTCTTCCTTCACCAGCCCGTCCAACCGGATCTCTTATTCCCCTGAAATGTATCACTTATTACCACTCCCTAGGCAAACATCAGCTGCCCCCATGTTAGAATATTTTGAGCTGTTGTTCAACTCTTGGATCAAAACTGAAATTTTTCTGAGTTTTTACCTTGTTTCTGCAAGTAGGTTGGGAACTCTTCAGGGGGCAGGAACTTGTCTAATTCATCTTCGTATCCCCTGGCAGACAGTAGGTGTTCAATCAATGTGTACTGAGTGATCAATATGAAAATCATTCGATCTCCAGAACTTTGTGAAGATCCCCAAAACATAAAGAGCACAAAACATTCTCACTCATTGACCTGATGGAGAGCACTCATGTGCTGTAATTATAGGCCTAAAAAAGAACACTGTTCTTCAATTTACTCCACCTCCCCCAATGCCCAAAAGGACTCTCAGTCATCCTTATTACTAAGACAATGTGTGTTACAGAATCAGAAAGGTGAATTCCCACAACTAGTCTCACTCCCCACCCTCCTCCTTTTCATCTACTCCAACATAGCTGTTCACTTACAACTGGATGTAGCTTAAAAATTGCTAACATTTATTGAGTGTCTACCATATACTCAGCACTTTTCTTAGCCCTTCCCATGTGCCATCCCTTTGAGATGGGTTCTATTCCTCACTTTAAAGCTTCTGAAAATAGTAGTGACATTGTTGCTCAGAATCACACAGCTGGTTGAAGAATGGCTTGACTCTTCTCGATTTATTCTAAAATCCTGCATTTTAAAACTACTGTAAACAAGGCAGATTCTTCATTTGGGGGGATAAAGACACTCGAGACTGACAGACCTGCAACTTCTACATAGATTCCAGGAGCCAGGATAGATACTTCAATGATAGATACTTCTTTATCCCAAAGAAGAGAAGGACATCTAAGCCACCCCATTAATACCCAGGGACAAGCCAGTCAATTTATTTAGGGGGTGCAGCATATGCTTATCCGTGCCACACCATAAGGGTTGAGTGGCCTGACCGTGTGGCATTGTAGAAAACTCACTATCAACCAACAGAACACACACAGGATTCATGCAAGTACTCATTCATACAGCAAGTTATTTGCTGAGTGTCTACTATATTCCAGGCACTGTGCTAGGACCTGGGGTGGGGGGGGCAGATAATCAACTCTTGAAACTTGAGCTCTTTACATGGTAAGAAAACATGCAGATGCACAGCCACAGAGCTGAATCAAAGAGTGTGCAATCTCTGCAGGAGACTGGATGAGGGAGAAGACCGCTGTGTTTGGGGCAGTCAGCGGAGGCTCCTCCATAGCCTGCGGGGGCCTGCTGTCGATCCTCACACGTTTTCATGCACATTCACATTTGACACCCGCTGCCTCTTCCCACCTCCCCACCTTCTTCTATTCCCCTGACAGATTCCACCACGCTCTTTCAAAGAGAAGGGAAATTTGATTGACACCTCAGCTTGGAAGCTCTGGGAGCTGCCACAGAAATATGATAGCAACTCCAAGTCTTCTGGGGAGAGCAGAAGGTGTGGGCATGAGGAAAAGAAAGGTGGGAGGGAAGAGAGTGGAGAGGGGAAAGAGAACGTGGAAGAGACTGCCTTCCGGGTACACCTAAGACCTTATCTTTCTTTCTCTGGGTCTCTGGAATATGCACTACCTGGCCATTTCTGGAAACAAACAAACTGAATGCATTTACACACACACACACACACACACACACACACACACGTATACACACATACATGAATGCACAGACTTATATGTACACAAACACATATCAAAGGCTTATGCTTCCCCACTAAGCCAAGTGTCCTTTATCTTTACCTTGTCCTTCCCACTATACACAACCTAAAATAGTCCAAACCCCAATTGGAGGTAGTCTGGGATCTTATCTGGCTTTAAGCCATCTGGAAGCCTGCAGGCTTGCCTCAACTCTTGTCTAAGAAGCCATTATGGGAGAAGTTAATTCAGCAGAGCCAAGCTTGTGATAATGGAGGAAAGAATTAATCAATCAAAACATTCATATATATTTGATGAAAATAACCTTGAAAGAATGAATAAATGAAGCTATATTGAGGCCCTCCTATATGTCAGACTTGCGCCAAGAGTGTTTAAAAGTATCACTTATTTTAATTCTCACACTAACTTTATGAGGTAAGTACTATTATCCTCATCTCAACAGCAAAGATCCTGAGGGTCAAAGTGAATATATGACTTTTGAAGACAACACAGAAATGCTATTAAGTGGCCAAACTGGAATTAAGTGGATTCTCAGTGGAGAATCCACTTAATCCAGCATTTTCAATGCTTAATTCAGCATTTCATTCTCCATCGAGAATCCATTTAATCCAGCATTTTCAACAGCTGATTGTTAAAACCATGTGTTCTTCTGGATGGTAGGCACGTGGAGTGGCTTCAAAAGCAGAAGACATGGCCTTTACTGGAGAACTCACAGATGGGTGGAGATAACATGCCCTTCAGATACAATGGGAGCAGAGGGCAAGCAAAGCCACCCACAACAGAACCTAGGATGAGGCATGTCATAGGGATTCAAGGAAGAGACTTGGCTCCAGCCCAAGGTCTTGACAACGGCTTTGAGATGGAGTCTCACTCTGTCACCCAGGCTGGAATGCAGTGATGTGATCACGGCTCACCGCAGCCTTGACCTCCCCAAGCTCAGGTGATCCTCCTGATCCTTCCGCCTCAGCCTCCCAAGTAGCTGGGACAATAGATGTGTGCTGCCACACCTGGCTAATTTTTCTACTTTTTCGTAGAGGTGGGGTTTTGCCACATTGTCCAGGCTGGTCTGGAACTCCTGAGCTCAAGAAATCCACTTGCCTCTACATCCCAAAGTGCTGGGATTACAGGTGTGAGCCATGACACCTGGCCCACGGTGGTTCCTTAACAAGTACCAGGTTGGTCTGCTGCAGGTCTAGGCAGATGAGATCAATAGAGGAGCAAAATGGAAAGCTCAGAAACAGGCCCAAGAGCAAAATTAATTTACGATAAAGGTGGCGTTTCAAGTTAGTGAGCACAGGATGACGTAGTAAATAGTTTAAGGGCAACTGGCTAGCTATTTGCTAAAAAGAAAAGCTATATTCTAGCTTTATACAGTATATAACAATAAATTCCAAAATAATTAAGACTTTACATGAGAATAATTCTTTAAAAAACTCAAAGAAAATACAGGTAAATATTAGAAAAGCTAATCATTTAAAAATCATATTTGCAAAGGAATGTTTACAAATAAAAGAACAGATAAATTCAACTCCATATAAATTTAAAGTTCCAACATATCAAATCAAATATCATTAACATTTAAATGGTAAACAACAAACGGGGGGCCGGGCGCGGTGGCTCACGCCTGTAATCCCAGCACTTTGGGAGGCCGAGGCGGGTGGATCATGAGGTCAGGAGATCGAGACCATCCTGGCTAACAAGGTGAAACCCCGTCTCTACTAAAAATACAAAAAATTAGCCGGGCGCGGTGGCGGGCGCCTGTAGTCCCAGCTACTCGGGAGGCTGAGGCAGGAGAATGGCGTGAACCCGGGAAGCGGAGCTTGCAGTGAGCCGAGATTGCGCCACTGCAGTCCGCAGTCCGGCCTGGGCGACAGAGCGAGACTCCGTCTCAAAAAAAAAAAAAAAAAAAAAAAAAAAAAACAACAACAACAAACGGGGGAAACCATTTGAAACATACATAGAAGATAGATGTTAGTATTCTTAATATATAGATGCACTTACGTTAAATAAGAAAAGAAGCTTCAATTTTAAATAAAAATTTGCAAATGATGTGAATGAGGTTACTACCACACAAGAAATGCAAATGGCGCCAGGGTGGAGGCTCAGGCCTATAATCCCAGTGCTTTGGGAGATGGGGCAGGAAGATCCCTTGAAGCCAGGAGTTCGAGATCAGCCTGGTCAACATAATGAGACCCTATCTCTAAAAAAAAAAAAAAAAAAAAATAGCCAGTCATAGTGGTGTGTGCCTGTAGTCCCAGCTACTCAGAAAGCTGAGGCGGGAGGATTGCTTGGGCCCAGGAGTCCAAGGCTGCAGTGAGCTATGATTGTATCACTGTACCCCAGCCTGGGCAACAGAGTGAGACCTTGTCTATTAAAAAAAAAAAAAATGACCAATATATGCATAAAGCATGCTCAAACTTACTAAATATTTTTAAGTCAAATTAAAATTTTAAATTGGAAAATGAGTGTTTTTTAATATTTTATATTTTGGATATTAAATACATTTTTTTAGTTCCAAAATAATAAAAAAAAAAAAAACCAGCAAAGAATTCAGTGAACAATTTTCTCCCATCCTGTCCCCCACGTGCATAGGACTCACCACACCTTAAACAGGTAACCGCTTGTTTTAGTCCATTCTCATGCTGCTGTAAGAACAGCATGGCTGGGAAGGCCTCAGGAAACTTACAAACATGGTGCAAGAAGCAGCAAACACATCCTTCTTCATATGGCAGCAGGAAGAAGCAGTGCCAAGCAAAGAGGGGAAAGCCCTTTATAAAACCATCAGATCTTGTGACAATTCACTCACTGTCATGAGAACAGCAGCATGGGGGTAGCCACCCTCATGACTGAATTATCTCCCACCAGGTCCCTCCCACAACATGTGGGGATTATATGGCAACTACAATTCAAGGAGAGATTTGGGTAGGGACACAGCCAAACCATATCACTGTTGTTAGTAATGATCCATGTATACTTCCAGAGGTTCTTTTCATATATACAAGCAAATACCAGATGCATTATTATTTTTATTTTAATCTCTTTAAAATAAACTATAGCATAGTATACATAAAGTTTCATAACTTGCTTTTTCCTTCTACCAATATATATTACAGAACTTTTCATATGGGTGTTTTAAGAGCTTTCTCCTTATTTATCACTAAATAATTTTTCATTGTATAGATGTATGATAATTTACTTAGATGGTTTCCAATGTTTTTCCTCTTATAAACAATGCTGCAATGAATAACCTTGAATATACATCATTTCTCAATTATGCCAGGGTATCTGTAAAACGAATTCCGGGAAGTGAAATTACTGGGACCAAGGCTGTATGCATTTTTAATTCTGAAAGCTACTGCCAAATTGCCTTCTACAAGGGTTTCATCAATTTACATATCCAACCAAAATGTACAAGTGTGCTTGCTTCTCCACAGCCTTGCCAATAGAGTGTGTTATCAGGCTTATGGAATTTACCGAACCAATGAGTGAAAAGTGGTACCTTAGGATAGTTTCAATTTACATTTCTTCAATTACAAGTGAATCTGGGCATCTTTCCATATATCAAACAGCCATTTTTATTTCCTTTCCTATGAAGCATATGCTTAGGTTATTCAAATAGTCCCCATTTTTTTCTTTAAAGAAAAATATCTAGGGAAAATAAGAATACAAGGACTCGGGCCAGGCGCGGTGGCTCATGCTTGTAATCCCAGCACTTTGGGAGGCCAAGGCGGGCAGATCATGAGATCAGGAGATCGAGACCAGCCTGGCCAACATGGTGAAACCCCATCTCTACTAAAAATACAAATATTAGCCGGGCATAGTGGCAGGCACCTGTAGTCCCAGCTACTCAGGAGGTGGAGGCAGGAGAATTGCTTGAACTCAAGAGGCGGAGGCTGCAGCGAACTGAGATCACGCCATTGCACTCCCACCTGGGTGACAAAAGTGAAACTCCGTCTCGAAAAAAGAAAAAAAAAAATACCAGAACTCACACACAGACTGTAAATGGTAGCAAAAATTGATACAACAAAAATTTTCAGGGGCCATTGGGCATATAAAAATATAAAAATCCTTAAAATGTAAATATTCTTTGGCCCAGGAACTCCATCTGCAGAAATTCATCATAAGAAAGGAATCAGAGATATAGAAAAATGCGTATGTGTTAGGATATTCATTAAAACATTGTTTATAATGTCAAACAACTAGACTCTGTGCCTCTCTGGATTCTCCTGTTGCCTCAATATGGTGCCTCAATAGCCAAGAGAATCTGTATTTGCTAACAGTTTTACATAAGAGCCAATGTTGGCAACTGAGTGAGTCAGCCTCTCTGACTCCCAATCCCAAATTCCTGGGAGAGGGAATATCATCATCTCAGGAGGATTCCAGGGCCAGCTTTTGGTCTAGAAAATTGCAGTCTCTTGGGGGAAAGGGTGCCACACATGGTGACATTTGAAGAAGAGACACTTTTTGTCTAGCAGCCCTGAAAATAGAGCAGTGCCCTGGCTGTTAGGGTTTGGAGCATCAGATGTGTGCATGTATTTGTTTTTCTATCTAAGTTCCTGCCAGGACCTCAGGGCTGGTAAGAGGGATCCAGACCCCAGAAGTTTAAGACAGCAAAGTTTGTCCAATGGGCTATAGACTTTGTCATATTACAACTACTATGTCTTCAATTGGTTGGCATTTAAAAAAAAAGCTTATAAAACTAAGCCGTAATTTCTGTGATTTTAGTGTTTGAAATGGCAGCCTCTTATAAAGAGGAAAGAAGACATCTCCTCTAAACCACAGTATACATACTTGCATACTTGCAGAGAAAGAGCATTTTTCTGATATTTTGAGAGCACTTTGAGCCTGCAAAACTTCTGTTTCTCTCTCTCTCTCTCTCTCTCTCTCTCTTTTTCTCTGTGTGTGTGTGCAAGGGAAATGCTTGCAAAATTTCTTTGCTGGAGAAGAAAGGGCTTTTGGTGAGTTGACAATTTTCTACCCATTTCTACTGAGCCCAGGGGACAGATTCAAAAGCCATTTCCGTGTTAGAAGACTTGAATAACTTGGCGAGGTGGCTGAAGTAAAAGAGAGAAAACTGCACTGGGATTTCTAGCTTGGGAACCTGGGTGGATTCTGCTACTGTAGGTTGATCCAGCATACAGAGGCAGAGGGACAGAAGTCAGCATAATGGGTTTAACATCAGGTTGGTCTTGAAATGATATAGGTGCTACAGGTATGAAGATCAGAAGTGAGTCTGGCACTGAAATTTCAGCATTGGAGTATTCTAGGTTGGGTTCCCCTAAAGGAGAATCTGAGACACAGACATGAGTGCAGCTAGTTTAGTTGGGAAGTGATGCCAGGAAGCAGAGTGAAGAAGAGGGGACAATGAGACCAGGAATGAAGAAAAGCCAGTGAAGAGTGAGTTACTGCATTGCTTATCTCAGTGCTCAGGCTTACTGGAGACTGAGAAACTAAGTAGACAGCACTTCAGAGCTCTCTCTCTAAAGTATGAAAGCTGGAGTATTTATCCACTTACTTGCATCCCCCATTGGCTGAGGTTTGCCTGCAGACAGTACTAACTCCTCCATACTTCCTGCACTCAAGCTTGGCCTTCTACAGCTTTAAGAAAAGCCCTGAGACAGGAAGGTGAAGAGACACCCAGAACAGTTTTCTGGTTGCATGGAGCTGCTCAGCATAGTTCCACTAAAATCCAATGTACTGAGGAGATGTGGTGCATTGCACATAAAGCATCACTACAGACGTCAAGAGGAGTTGGGTCATATTTGACATAGATCAATGTCCAAAATGACATATCTATTTGGAGTAGATAAGATTGGTGAGTCTAGGAAGAAAGGAAAAGTCACAAGGATAGAACCACAAGACCCAGCGGAAATGACAAAGGCTGGTCAGAGAGGCAGGGAAACCAAGAAGAGTGTCACATCAGCCAAAGGAGACATGACTATCAAGAAAGAGAGAAGGTCAACAGCTCCAAATGATGGGGAGCTCAAATGGACTGAGGTCATTGCTGGCTTTGGTGGTAAGTGTGGAGGCAAAACTTCATTGCTTTTGGAGATAAGTAGAAACAATTTGTGCAAAGGGGGGTAGAGAAGTATAAACCACTCTCGAGAACTACGGTTTCAAAGGAAAGAAGAGATAGGTGGATAGTCAGGAATGTGGAGGTGGAAGCAGAGGTATGCAGGTTAGTTTTAACAGCCAACTCTCCAGAAATGAAAATTAAAGCCCTGATTGGAAGCATTGGCTGGTGTCTGTACTGTAAATCCTCCTACCATGGCCAATTTCAAGCTACCAACATGATTTCAACTATCTTGCAAAATTCCTGAAATTGAAACAATCAGTGCTCCTGAGATGGTAGGAGTTAGCTCCAGCACAGGACTGGGTGAAAGATTAGAGACTGTTGTTGTTTTGTTGTTGTTGTTGTTAATTGGGGGAAAATTTCATCAAATAGACTGAGTCAATTGAGAGGGAGAGATGGAAGATGTGGGAGCAAGAATACAGTAAGATTGGGAGTACATGCTTTGGGGACAGGGCATCCATTTTTAACACATCTCATCTTCAGGGAGCACATGGAAAGAAGATGCTTTTAGAAAGCCACAGACCTGGGTGTGAGTCCAGCTCTGCAGTGTACTCACTGAGCCTTCATTTCCCATCAATGAAACATGGACAAAACGCCTACTTCAAAAGTTGTCCCAAGGGCTAAAGAGAAAGGTATATGATAGTGACTATTGAAAATATAGCAGTTTACATTTGTTTAGTACTTAACTATGTGCCGACACAGACTAAGCACTTTCATGATAATCTTATTTAATCGTCATAGTAACGCCATGAGGTAAATTCTGTTATATCTCAATAGAAGCAGTAATAAAATAAGCTCAGAGAGGTCAAGTAATTTTTCCAAGTGCATAGAGCTAGCACTTTGTAGAGCCAGAATTTGAACTGGAGGAGGCTGGCACCTATGTTAGCCACTGCACAGAACTGCATCCCACATGGCGGCCGCATGGAGGTGACAGGCAGGACCATTGTGTCCCTCCTATGAGGAGGGAGAGCAGGGTTTGGAGGAGCTAACAAATGGCCCAGGAAATGTATTCAATTAGAGCTTCACAGTATTCACAGGTGAGATCAGAAATCACAAAGTAGTCCTGGTGCCAATCAGCACGTTCTAGAAATGTTTGTTGTATTGAGTGTGATGCAAGCCTCCTTCTCGTGAGTCAGTTTTGACTGAGGTGGCCAGAGGGATTAGAAGGGCTGTGGGATCCTGGGGTGGGCAGGGCAGTGGTAACTCAGAGAGGCAGGGCTGAAACCTTTTACCTTCCTCCAGTAGATTGAGCCCGACCTATATGGTTGGCTGGAAGGACAAGCAGAGGGTTACATGGAAATCCAACAGGTATAGCCTCACAAAGATTTTAACAATAGTCATGGCCAAACCCGTCCCCACAATCAAGTCAACATTACCAAGATGCATTTCCAAAGAACCCACTTTCTTGGTATCTTTTCCCCTTATTCAATTTGGAATGGAAAAAGAAAGGCAATTCCTGAGTGTTCTGGAAACCTAAAGCCAGGACACTGACCCTAAATAGCTGTCACCTAGCGCCACAAAGATAACAGTGATGGCTGGGTTCCAGACACCTGGCCCTGCTTATCTCCTAAGTCATCATGAACCTGGGTAACATGACCAGCTTGTGTGGCCACTCTAGGCAGCTTCTTATAAAACTTGAAAGCAAGAGAGATCCAGAGTACAGACACATGGCCTAGGCTTTCTGCTTCCTTGAGAAGCTCTCTGTTTCCCACATGAGAAAGGAGGAAGAGGACTCAGAGAGTCACTTGATTTTCTGTGCAGCTGCAAATAGTGTGGAGTGTGCAATTTTATTTACTCGCTTAGATATCTGGCAAACTGAGGCCACTGTTTCACCTAAAAGCAGCTGTGAGAAAAAAATGTCAATAGGCTACAGCTTTACCCTCTGAGAACAAAACCCTTTTCTGGCCCATCTTCCATGGGAGGGGCTCAGGTGGAGTTTCCTGGCTGTGGGATGGTGAGTGGTGGAAGTTACCTCTCAACCCCTATAACAAAGAGATTGCAGACAGGCCCAGAAGTTGTGAGTGTGAGAAACTGTCTCATATTTTTAATGAAAAAATGATACTTCATCTTTCTAATGACAGAGAACTTGGATGTGGCTTACAGTAATATATGTTTTTTAATACATAGCTCATCATCTCAGGGCAATGGCAGTATGAAGGATGGTACAGCAGACAAAAGGTTAATAGAGCATCAGGCCTTTTTTAATTGAAAAAATGACTGAGGGGCCCCACAACAGACCAAGTGGTAATAGTATTACAGAATGTAAGTACCGTTCTGGAGACATACTATTCATTTGAGGGTAGAGTAACAGACGTCAAACCAAGTCCCTATGCCTCAACATGAACAGGAGTCCATTCCAAAGGAGGTTAATCAGCAATACACAGTATTTTTCAAAGTAGTCTTCAAAGTATGTTCACAGTATTTCAAAGAGTTCTCTATGAAAGAATCTAGTGTGAAGCAGATAATGTCTTTGTTTTTTGTTTGTTTGTTTTGTTTTGTTTTTTAACTGGATAAGGATATAAAAATGAGAAAGTGGGGCCAGGGATGGTGCAGGGATGGTAATCCCAGCACTTTGGGAGGCCAAGGTCGTGTGGATCACTTGAGGTCAGCAGTTCGAGACCAGCCTGGCCAACATGGTGACACCCCATCTCACTAAAAGTACAAAAAAATTAGCCAGGCATGGTGGTACACACATGTAGTCCCAGTTACTTGGGAGGCTGAAGCAGGAGAATCGTTTGAACTTGGGAGGCAGAGGTTGCAGTGATCTGAGATTGCACCACTGCACTCCAGCCTGGGTGACAGAGCCAGACTCCATCTCAAAAAAACAAAACAAAAAAAAAATGAGAGGGTGGGCAAGGAAGTGCCCTGAGGGTGTAAATATGAAAATACGAACTTCTCCCTTCAGCTTGATCTTTGTGTAACTGCATTTGTTTATACTGAGACTTTCATAATCTCTCAGGGCACCTCGGAATCTGCAGCCTTTCAAGCCATGTGTACTTGCAGCTGCTTCCGTGAATGAGTGAACACGTGAATGGCTCGGCCCTAAATAAATAAGGGCTCTTGCAAAACTGTCCCCAACTCAGGAGGGGCTGATCCTCTCAAGCCCATCATGCTTCTGTGCCACTCCTGGCTGGACCCTGTTATCCTTTAAACAAGCAAAGACAGATGGAATGATTAAATGGAACAAACATTAGGCATCTCCTCCTGTACACAATTCCGAGGATAAGACATTACCGCAAAGGATGTATAGGTGAGAGACAGAGGACTTCTCAGAGAAGAGCTTACTATCTAACAACTATTTTTTTTTTGAGATAGTCTTACTCCAGCCCAGGCTGGAGTGCAGTGGTGTGATCTCAGCTCACTGCAACCTCCACCTCCTGGGTTCTAGCTATTCTCATGCCTCAGCCTCCCAAGTAGCTGAGATTACAGGTGCATGCCACCACAACCGGTTAGTTTTTGTATTTTTAGTAGAGACAGGGTTTCACCATGTTGGTCAGGCTGGTCTCGAACTCCTGGCCTCAAGTGATCTGCCCGCTTTGGCCACCCAAAGTGCTGGAATTACAGGCATGAGCCACTGTGCCCAGCCCCACATCTAACAGCTATTGACAGAATCATTGTGATTCTTCTGGGACTCTCCAAGGCCCAAAGAAGACATTTTCCAGACTGAATCACCAGAACATGTGCTCTCAGCAATTCTCTTGCACACAGACAAACAGAAACCCTTTTAAGGGACACTACTATTCCCTAAAAGCCAAGTAAGAATGTATGTATTTATTTATTTTGAGACAGGGTCTCACTTTGTTACCCAGACTGAAGTGCAGTGGCACAATCATAGCTCACTGCAGCCTCAACCACCTGGGCTTGAGCAATCCTTCAATGTCAGCCTCCCCGAGTAGCTGGTCCTATAGGTGCATGCCTCCATGCCTGGCTAATATATTTTTTTAAGTTTTTGTACAGATGGGGTTCTCGCTATGGTATCCAGGCTGGCCTCGGACACCTGGCCTCATGTGATTCTCCTGCCTTGGCCTCCCAAAGTGCTAGAGTTACAGGTGTGAGCCATTGCACCTAGCTTATGCTCATTTATATGAGAATTTTTTGCATTCATGATAATTCAAAACGTGTCTGCTAAACACTGTTCTAGAAAAGTTTCTTAGTCAATGGGTTTTGCTGGTTCTGAAAGTGACATGGGGCTTCTAGTGATGATTCTTGTCACCAAGCACAAGCTCCTTTGCAAAGTCCTGGGGGGGGTCTTATAGGATACACAGCTGTTCTGCTGATGTTTCATTTACTTCATGAAAATGCCATGATTTTCAAAGTCAAAGTAAAATCAGATTGCCTTTCTACTTTGAAACAATTACGGAATTTTTATACTCGAATTTTGACAGATCACAGGTGTATCTGTAAGTATCTCCAAAAGATAAACGAGCATGAAAGAAGGGCATTTAAGCTCTCTGAAAAGTTAAACTTCACATTTTGTCCACTTAAGCCCTACACTCTCTCAAACAGACAAGAATGGGGTGTAGAAGGTTTAGCAACATCTGCATGGACATTTTTGGGCCAGTGGATGAGGGGTTAATTGGGGCTAATTTTAAATGCACAGGCTAGAATCCTTTTCCCTGGAGAAACTGACTGCATCTTAGCCTCCAATTCCTAAGAGATGATGGCCCTCAACTCATCGTCAATTGCTCCGGGGATCTCAGAGAAATGATGTGTACATGGACCCAATAGAAAACATAAAAATAATAAATGAAACTAATAATGCAAAAAGGGTTTGGGAAATAAGTAGTCCCTTCTGACACGAGCAGTGCTGGAAGCTTTGGGAAAAGAAGGCTGGAATGTAAATTGTAGAAATTGGAGTTGTAAATTTTTCCTCTGGAAAAAGACAGAGCCAACAGTTCTGTTCAGAGGAAACTGAGCTCACAGGAGTTGGTTTTCCATCCAGGTTCAATCCAAGAAGGACAGCCTCCCACTCCTACTTCCCTGAAGAGGCTGGGCTCAGAATCAGGGAGGTGGGGGAGGGCGAGAGGGTCAGCAGGACTTGCAATCTGATGTCCTCATTAAATTGAATGTGCTCGCCGGGTGTGGTGGCTCACGCCTGTAATCCAAACACTTTGGGAGGCTGAGGCAGGTGGATCATGAGGTCAGGAGATCGAGACCATCCTGGCTAACACAGTGAAACCCCGTCACTACTTAAAACGCAAAAAAATTAGCCGGGCGTGGTGGCAGGCACCTGTAGTCCCAGCTACTCGGGAGGCTGAGGCAGGAGAATGGTGTGAACCTGGGAGGTGGAGCTTGCAGTGAGCCGAGATCGTGCCACTGCACTCCAGCCTGGGCTGACGGCAATACAGGGTGAGCAACCCCTTGTTAAACCTTTCCTTTCTCAGCCACTGCCCCTCTCCCCTGAGAAGGCTGACGAAGGAAACCACGGTGGTCAAGTGGAAATCTTGACAAGGATGAACAGAAAAACTTAATGAGGCAAATCTGTTCAAATTTCATCGAATTGTATTTGCAAGTGAGCACAGGGCCGCAGGATGGAAACATGAAGATGTTTGGTGTGTTTGGCTCTAAAAAAAAGAAGAAGGAAGGGAGGTTGGAAAGAGGGAGGTCTTGTAGAGAGGAGACTGCCTTGTTATTTATTTATCTCTGTTGATGCTTTCCTGAACTTAGTCTAGGTGCTGACTTAATTTCATTTGGTTGGTCATTTTCAACTCAAAGTTCGTTGGGAATACTCAGACATTCTCCAGGCTGCAGCAATCCAGAGAAGCCAAATCCCACCAAATTCCATCCTGTCTCTGGGGCAACTTTGCCATGCCACCACCCTCTGAACCCAGCCTGGACTCGTCTGTCCCCCACTCCACCCACACCCATTCTCCTATCAGCAGATGGAAAAATGGAGGCCTCAGGGCTGTGGTGTCAATAGCAGAGCTAAGCCTGGTCACTCAGAACTGCTCCCCCTCTCCTCAATCTGAGATGCAAAAGATAATCGCAACCAGGATTGAAAACACTCCTATGGCACGATATGCATCCTACCCCAAAGTGAGCACCAAGCAGCCTGTACGGGGCAGACCTGGGGTTCATTCCTTTTGCTCAGTAGCTCAGTACCTGGCCTTTGTTTATTAATGTATCATTCGTTTGTTCAGTGAACCTTTATTGAGCTCCAAGTACCTGCCAGACAGTGGGTCTAGAGGAGTAAGTGAAACAGACATGGCTATATCCGCATTTGGCTTTGTGCAATTAATACCTAATATATGCTGAGCACATGGGAGAGGAGGGAGGAGATAACATTTCTTCACTTCAAAGACGTCCATCTAGTTGGAGAGATTATGCCAAGCTTTACAAGTGAAGGAAAAATTCCAAGGAAGTGTGTCCCTATTTTACAGCAGAGAGAAGATGACTTGACCAAGGTGAGTGGCAGAGCTGGGGGCAGAAGTTTCATATCCCAGCTCTGAGCCTGCGCCCAGCATGGCCGCAGGATGCAAGGAAGCACAGTGAAAACTGCCTTTTTTTTTTTTTTTTGAGACGGAGTCTTGCACTGTTGCCCAGGCTGGAGTGCAGTGGCGCGATCTCTGCTCACTGCAAGCTCTGCCTCCTGGGTTCACACCATTCTCTTGCCTCAGCCTCCTGAGTAGCTGGGACTACAGGCGGCCGCCACCACGCCTGGCTAATTTTTTGTACTTTTAGTAGAGACGGGGTTTCACCATGTTAGCCAGGATGGTCTCGATTTCCTGACCTCATGATCCGCCCGCCTCGGCCTCCCAAAGTGCTGGGATTACAGGCGTGAGCCACTAAGCCCGGCCGAAAACTGCTTCCTTAGGGATAATTGGTTATTGCAGTGATTCCATCTTGGCCTGCACTTCCTCTACACCCTCACAGCCATAGTGCCGCCCAAAGAATCCTCCCTGGCCAGCAGGTAGAGTCCCTGGAAGTATGGCTGTCACCACACAATCTCAGCATGAACCAGCTGTCCTAGTTTCCTGTGGCTGCTGTAACAAAGTACCACAAACTGGCTGGCTTAAAACAACAGGAATTTATTTTCTCACAGTTCTTAAGTCCAGAAGTCCAAAATCGAGGGGTCAGCATGGCCATAGTCCCTGGCAAAGATCCTGGGCATGGGCACACTCCTTGTGAATGTCACAGGCCCACTGTGCAGCCAGGGTGCTCTTCAAAAGTGGCAAGTGCCACAGTAGAGGACAGCTTCAGCTACAGTGTGTGTGCCGAACTGAGAGGCACCCTCTCACTGTAGGATTACATAAATCTTTATGGAGAAACAGCATCTGAGATGGACCTGGAAGGGTCGGCGGGGTTCAGACCTGCCGGGATAAGGGGAGGGCATTGCAAGCACAGGGCAGTGCAGGAGAGACTGTTGCTGTGCTCTCTAGATGGGAAGCAACAGGGAGAGTGGCTTCTCCCTCCTCAGCTGCCAGAAACTTTAGCAGGTGCATTTGAATTTAAAAATAAACTCACAATACAAATGACCTATACTGATACATATGTAAGACATATAAGACTTTGTGTGCAGCCTCTGTCTGCCTCTGAAGCATGGATACAGTTGATTCCCAGGCCCTGGGGGCTGAACCCCAAGTGAGCTAATCAAGGTGTTCTTTTCACATCAGAGGCTCTCTCTTGTAACAACTTCGAAGAAAATAAAATGTTCCCCACCTCAATTCATATTCAGTATATTACATCATCTCAGCAGTCTCAGGGGTAGGCACAATGACTGGCCTCATTTTGCAAAGCAGGAAATTGAGGCTCAGTGAGGTTAAGTGATGCAATTAAAGTTATATAGAAGGAAAGTGATGGGACCCAGTGTATACACACAGGTCTGCCTGGCTCCAAAGCCCTTAGCCTAATTCTTACCCACTGCCTGAATTGATCCAGTACCTTATCTACAGGCTGCCTCAAGGAGGATGGGGACAAACCAATCAAAATACTGTGGCATTTATGAAAGCTTTTTTAAAGTGGTTTAAAATGACCGGGAAAACAGGACGCTTTAGAAGACGTGCAAGATGCGGCTTGGCAAGAATTCTAACGAGCTCACAGGCTTTGCCGTGCATGCCTGGACTGTATCTGTTATGGGCCAGGGATGAAGGATTTATTCCATTCATGAATCAGAGAATAACTATTGTTATTATTTAGCATTGATTAATTGTTCCTCCCCCTAAACCCAGGTCTCTCTGCACAGTTCTCAGAAAATCATTAAGCTTCAGGAGTTGTCTGGGCTTTGACATTCTGGGTAAAAGCGCTGCATCGTGAGCCCTTCAAGGATAAGCCAGATCTCAGAGTGGCCTGGCAAAGGGCCACACAAAGGAGATGGCCCAGCCCACTGCAGGATGCTCCATGACCCCTCACCCCTGTCCTGGCCTCAAAGCAGCTCGTGGGAGGTCACCGTCGTGACCCAAGAAGAGGGGCAGAAATCACAGACCTCTGCTTCCTTACAAAGAAAACCAAGCAGGCTCCAACTGTTTCCCACACTAAGGATGTTGGGAAATGCATAAAAATTGTGTAATTCCTAATAAGGAGGGGTAACCCTTCAGGGGTAATTACAGCGGCCACATTTGTGTGGCTTGATTAAATGTAACATTGTAAAGGGAGCCAGCACGGTGAATTTCCATCCTGACATCCAATAATACTCCCTGACCCTTTGGATATTGTCCTCCCCGGAGGTCAAAAATATGAATAAATTATGGTTTTGACAACCTTGACATGGAGTAGAGGTGGGGTGAAAAGCTCTCTGGGAAAAAATTCTGACATTACATTTGTGATCACAGAGAATAAAGGAAAATTCATATCCTAATTTTGCTAAATTTAAGCTTGACGGAGAAGAACACAGAATAACCTTTGGTGTTATGTTTATTCAGAAGGCAAGGGGCCCTCAGAGCTCAAAACCAAGACATATCCTCTGTCATTCACCGTGAGGCGGGTTCCTAGTTCCTGCTGACAATTTTTATTGATTAGAAATTATCAACCCAGGGACAATGCCATCCAAAGAAGTTGGCTGAGAAACAATATTGTTAAATAGTTAGCCATGGTGCTTCCAGTCAGGTAAAATGTGTGCTCAGAGAGAGCGGGGCCATCCATCATGAGTGAGAAGCCTCATTTACAGAGACAACTGAGCCCAGGCAATCAGCCTGAAATCTGCTAAGCTGGGAATTTATAACAGTTCAGCAAGGGAGGGTTGTCTCTTGTTTTAGGTTCTGTCAGTGGATGGGGGAGGAGCAGAAATCAAGGCCTGGAAGGAGAGGAGTGAATTACTCAGGTGGCCTTGGGGAGGCCGCCTTTGGGATGAAGGGTAGGGGTCAATGTGAAGAGATCGTCCATCCATCCATCCCAGTCTGGAGCCTATCGGACTCAAGTTCAAAAACCCAGCACTGAGGACATAAAACCTACCGGATTTGTCATTTAAGCAGCTGGGAACATGTCCAGGCGGGAGCCCTACATCACTCAAAAGCCTGGATTGATGGCAAGAGAGGAACAGCCCAACACTCTTGTCCTTGACATCATGACCTTCATTTCACTGTGCCAATGGCAGCACCGTAACCTCCTCAGTGGCCAAGGCAGACACTCACCTCTCCTGAGCTGAGTCTAGAAGGGTCTACATGCCCGTAGAACAGATGCCAGAACGCTGTGACCCAGCTCCCAGCTGCTTGCCTCCCAAGCAAGTAGGCATTGACATTTCACAGAGCAACAAGTAAATCTGATTTTGTGCCGCAACACTCTTTACGAGCTTTCCCGCTTTTCCTGAGTGTGTGCCTCTGTTCTTTCCATCATTTCTTTCCCTTAAAATACCTCCTCTAGATGCTTCCAGGTAGTAGAGGGCAGTGGTTAAGCATTCAGGCTGTGGGATCATACTGCCTAGGTCCTAAACCAGGCTTGCTTTCTTCCTGGGTGTAGTGAACATTGTGGTGTGCCACTCAGCTGTCCCCTTCAAGCTCAAGGCACTCCTATCCCCAGCTTCAGGGGATGCCATGCCAAGCCATATTACAGCCCACAGCAAAGGGAAACATTAGTACTACTGCTCCTGTTTTACTTAAAATTTTGAAAGATGTTTATTCATCATGGATGGTTGCATTAATTTTTATATAACTTTGCATCAAACTATTATTAATCTTGATTGCTAGATGTGGCACCATCTGAAGTTTTGCATCTGGGGTGATGCCTCACTTCTTGCAGCCTAGGCTCAATCTTGGCAGGGAGTGTTGGCTGCTGATGGCTCACAGTTGAGCAGCTCCCCAGAAAGAAGCCTCGATCAGAGGGAGCTGCCTCCCAGCTTATGCCCCTCGAATGTAAGGAGCAGTCCACATCCAACGACTGGCCAGTGAGGAATTTCACAGACCCCTGGACTCAACTGAGACACCCCAAAGGGTCAGTCCAGCCCCCTCAGAGCTCCTCATGGGACTGGTCATATTGGTTTCCTGGGCTGCCATAAGAAAGTGCCACTATCTGGGTGACTTAGAACAACATAAAGGTATTGTCTCACAGTTCTGGGGGACAGAAGTCTGCAATTAAGGTGTCAAGAGGGCCTCCCTCCCTTTGAAGGTGCTAGGGAAGGATGTGTTCCCAGCCTCCCTGGCTTCTGGCTTTTGGTAGCTCATCAACTTATAGCAGCATAACTCCAATCTTCACACGGTGTTCTTTTATAAGGATGCCACTCATGTCAGATTAGGGGCCCACCCTACCCTGGTATGACCTGATCCTAATAATGACAGCTGCAACATCTCTATTTCCAAATAAGGTCACATTCTGAGGTACTGGGGGCTAGGACTTTAACATATGAATTTTGGAGGACATCATTCACCCTGCAAGTTCATCAGTGGAACTGCGCCATAGCCCAAGCCCTCCCTCTGCCCAGCCCTGCCCACCGGCCTCCGTCACTCCCTTACAGCTAACCCAGGGTAGCCCCCTGATTTCTTTCACTGGAAAAGACTTATCTACTCCATACTAATCCAGGTCAATGTTCTATCCAATTTAACACTCATACTCTCTCCTCCCCTGGGTATTTTGGACTTGGATGGGAGGGGATTACACAATTATTTATTTTTCCTCCCCCTACTTTAGCTGTTAGGGCAGAGAAAAATGTGTCTCACTTACCTGGAGTTGTCATGGTTCATGGTCTTCTCTCTCTTTCTCTTTTTCTCTCTCTGTTTCTCCTTTGTTTTCTTTTTAGAGACAGGGTCTCACTCTGTCACCCAGGTTGGAGTGCAGTGGCACAATCACAGCTCACTGCAGCCTCCAACTCCTGGACTCAAGTGATCCTCCCACCTCAGCCTCCTGAATAGCTAGGATTACAGGCACACACCACCACACTCAGCTAATTTTTTAAATTAATCTTATGCAGACAGGGTTTCCCTATGATACCAAGGCTGGTCTTGAACTCCTGGCCTCAAGCAATCCTTCCACCTCAGGGTCTTCTCTTTACTGACACTGACTCTCTAATTACACCCCCTGTGTGATAGGCCTCTTGTTGGGCACATGTGGAAATCATGGAGGGAGTTCTGGGTTGGGCAAAGTGGGTCTCTGATCTGGGCACCCACACTGCCAGCTCCTGTTTTGAGCTGGTAAAGAACTCAAGCCCGGCTATCTCCCATCAAGTCTGCTCAGCTCATATGCAACTCATGCCCCTTTCCTCACCAAACCATGGGGGTTCAGGGCACCGCGCTGCTGCCTTCTCTCTCTGCCCACCTGCTGTCTCTCTCCAAGCCTTTTCTCCCCTCCTCAGCTATACTCAGGAAGATCAGTGAGTCTATGGCTTCAGCATGAGCAATGAGAAAATGAGATGTTGGCCTCCCCTTCCTGTAGGCATTGCCGATCTCCATGAGGGATTCTCTGAAAGCCCCATCCCTCTCTATCTCTCACGTGGAGGAGGGAATCACAGCAGTCCACTGGATCAATAAACTCCAAATCCCTGCTAGTTCCTCTCTCTCCTCTGCCTCTCCCTGCTCAGTAGTTTCCTCATGTAGACTGAGGGAAGGGAGTTTGAGGAGATAGCTCTGGGATGGGGATATGGGCAGCAGAGTTGTTGAGCCATCTCTTGGTGAGCCAGCGGGGCCCCCAGACACTTGCTTATTTGAAAGTCCTTTTACAGCCCTTGTCTTCACCTGTGGGTCCTAGTTGCTGTTTCTGATGCCACAGCAAAGTATCACTCAGCATTCTGTTCCAGGAATCTCCAAGGGACCCAGTTCCCATCCCCCTGGAGACAGTGCCAGGGGCGATGTGTCTGCAGCCCACCTCTCCCTCCATGAAGACAGGCTGCCATTGTTGTCACCGAAGCCATGACTCCAATGGGGAAGTGATCTGCACTTTTACTCAGCCTGAGAGAGAAGTTGCCCCAATTACTTCAGCATGGCTTCCAAGAGGAGACCTTGGCTATGACTCTCATGAGCACCAAGTCCAGCGCGGGCTCTATCTTCTGCATCTTTCATGCATTTTCAGAGTCTAAATGCTGCGCCAAGTGGCCAGCACTTCCCAACCAAGAGGGTGAAAGGGATCCATGACCACCAGGTTGGTACTGAAGGCACCTCAGTCTCCTGGGTCCATCCTGATCTACCCTGGGGACTCCCATCAGCTTATTGTCTAGGACCATTTTCAGTGCAAAACCCAAGTACAAGCACCAGCCCCGACTTTTGTTTTACAGAGACCATCATAATTATATTTGCTTCAATAGGCATCCTTCATTGAGCCCTTACTACATGCCAAAAACTTCACATGCATGATTTCATCTCATGTTCATAACCACCTTAAGAGGGGAGTATTATTATTTTCCCCAGTTCGTAGATTAGGGAAACTGAGTCCAAGCAAGGATAAATTACTTGCCAGAGGTCAAACATCTAAGAAGTGGTGGAGTCTGGATTTGAACTTGGTTCTCTCTGACATTAAGGTCAATGCTTTGCTCTGCTGCCCCTGTGATGCTGCTTGCTGGTGCCCTGTCCTCCAGTGGGACGAAAGTGAATGTGACTATGGGGCAGCCCTCAGCTCCTCCATTTCAGAACCTGTAGAAGTGGAGTGGCCCTGGGGCTGTCCTTTAGGGAGGGACAGGTCTCTGTGGCTAGTGTTTCTCTGGGCCCAGCCTACATGATTCCCACGCAGCTTCCTCAATCAGACGCTCCTAGGCCTCTTCTCTTCAGTCTTCAAATGGTAATAAATCAATCCCCCGTGGATCCTGTTTCCCTTGAATTCCAAGCACATATGTCGAAAAGGAATCGCAAATGAAGGATGAGCTCTGTGGACTCTGGCAGCGTCTGTGTATGTGAGAGGCTCAGAAAACGATGTCTTTGGGTATGTGGGGTCGTTTTACATACATGTAAATTTGAACGTACTGCCTGGATGCTTATACCTACTAACTCTCACCTTTTGTGAACCTGAAAGATTGAAATAAAGAAAAGAAAACCAGAGAATGGATTAACACTTGATTTGATTTATTCCTTAGTAAAATCTATGTGAAGATCCAAAAAATGAGCTTGATCTTAAAATCAGCATCCATATCCTTCCATCTGATAGATCCCAAAGTTTCCAACCTTCCACCTCTTGGCTTAATTTTTCTGATGTCTGTTCTAAGTTTGGTCCAGCTATTGGCCCTTCTCCCCTGCCTCTTATTCCTCTGCCTCGACTAAGTTAAATTCTTGGTTGCATGGTTGTCTCTCCCGGGCACCTGCTTAGACATTAGTCCAAGATTAGAAGTGCTGGATTTCACGGAAACTAATTCCTAGAACTGATCCGTGGGAAAAAAAAGATATTGCTCCCTAGAGCGCTTTTCAATGGAGATCTCTCTGTCTTTGGAATAGGATGGTTCTCCCTGTCTTTTCAGGTAACTTTAAACCCCAAAAGAGAAGAAAAAATATGGAAGCCAGCCCCAGGCTGGGCCTGTATATGGCAAGTTCTTTCTGAGAACAAAGTGAGTTAGAATAAAGAACAAATACTCTCCCTTTTAAGGGGTAAACAGATCCCACCCCAGCCTTCTTGCAGACTCCAGGAGCTTAGTCCTAGAGCTTGGGTTGGGAGGGAACCCAATCTCTCCTTGACACAGTGGCAAACTGTGGACAATAGGGCACAGATTGTCGAGTCAGCTAGGCCTGGCCTCAATGGCTGAAGTCCATCCCTGCTATACAGTAACTATGTGACCTTGAGGAAGGACCTGAATCACTCTGAGTTTCCAGGGTTGCGATTTTTCATGATGGGGACAAGGCAGTGACATTTGCAATTTTATCAGGGTTGGATCCTAAAGTCAGTGCCTAAGGAAAGAATCCCTGTTGGTGGGAGCTACCCTTGAAAACCTCTGAAACTGGCTGGGTGCGGTGGCTCACGCCTGTCATCTCAGCACTTTGGAAGGCCAAAGCAGGCATATTGCTTGAGCTCATGAATTCAAGACCAGCCTGGGAAACATGGCAAATTCATTTCTCTACAAAAAATACCAGAAAAATTAGATGGGCATGGTGGTACACACCTGTAGTCCCAGCTACTTGGGAGGCTGAGGCAGGGAGATCACTTGAGCCCAGGAGTTTGAGGCTACAGTGAGCTTTCATTATGCCACTGCACTCCAGCCCGGTAACAGGGTAAGGACTTCTCTCAAAAAAAGAGAGAAAATTTGGCAACAATGCGAGACTCTTTCTCAAAAAAATAAATAAAGAGAGAGAGAGAGAAAATTTAAACACAGAGACATGTACAGTGGGAGGGTGAGATGAAGACACAAGAAGAGGCCATATACAAGCTAAGGAACACCTGAGGCTACCAAAAGCTAGGAGATAAGATATAACACATTCTCTCTCACAGCCCTCAGAAAAATCAATCCTGCTGACACCTTGACTTTGTCAAGCCTCAGAACTGTGAGACAATAAGTTTCTGATGTTTAAACCACACAGGTTGTGGTTATCTTGTATGGCAACCTCCAGGAAGGTAACACATAGTTGGATGTGTACAAGTCAAATGTACCTTTGATGAGACTCACCAGAAATACCTTCCTTGTAGAGTTTTTGTGAGGCTCAAATGAGCTAATGTGTATGAAGTGCTCAGTTCTACACCTAGGACTTATTAAATACTCTGTGAGCTCTTACACCATTCATTCAGGTAAAGAGCCATGAGACCTTTGGTGTCAGTCCTCACTGAGTGGGTAGGTAAGGGACAGCTCTCTGGGCCTCAGTTTTCTTCTGGGCAAAATCAAAGTTTGGACATGTCCCTTTCCTTCTAGCCCCGATGCTCTGTACATCCACAACACTTGGAGCTACAGGACATCAGGCAGGATGCTACATGTGAACTTGACCTTGAATGGGGCACCAGGGCACCACCTCTGTAAATATTTCAGGATCATTCTGTGCTGGGCCAGAGGCTGACATATAGTGACCTCCTTGGGCTTGTTTTACAGAAACTAACAAATCAAAAGGACAAAACTCAGTGTCTTGAAATTGATGCCTAATACCTCTCCCTTTCCCATCTGTTCACTACCATTGTTTCACTTCTCTGGTTTGTGATGTCTATAGAGAAAGTTCTTTTTTCTACTGATTTATATCTTTTTTTCTTCAAATAGAAAATATGACTTCTACTGTCTTCTAAAAAGTATTCAGCTAAGTGAGGTTGAAGCATTGGAGTCCCTTCCCCTAAGAGAATCCTCACTGCATACCCTGAATCACCATGTTCTAATTCCTATGACTTGTCCTCACAAACCTTTGGACCTAAGCAGAGCCAGGTTCATCATTAGCTGGGCCCATGGCAGGATGAAAATGTGGGGCCCTGGCCAGGGGTGGGGAATTCAGTTTCCCCTTCCCATAGGTCTGGCTCTTCACCCACTGGAAATAGGCAGTCTCCAAAGGACTGCAATTTCTGCCCTTGGACATGCTCAGTATCTGAACTGGAGTTGAATGAGAGGTCCCAGCTGAGCCATCTGCCAAATGCAGGTGGCCCTTCCAGCCACGATGAGGATGGCTGCTACCCCAGATGCTGCAGGGCACACACCTGCTTTCTGCCCTCTCTGCACCCACACTTAGGCCCTGCCAGAGGAAACACCCAGATGATGGCTGGCAGTGGTTGAGAGGAGGGGAGAGGGAAAGGGAGCAGGAGGCTGGGCAGGGCCTGAGATGCTAGGGGACTGGGGAATGTGCAGTAAGAACCAGTCCAGGAGAGGCAGAGAGGCCATGGGAAGTGGTCTTGTGCTGGACTGAGGCTCCAAGTCCCCAGCATGTGCTCCATTATTCCACTGGACAAATTCCAAGACAAAACAATTAAGAATTTCAAGACTTGGCAACCGCAGATCATCAACTCCCAAACATGAGTCCTTTCTGAGTGCAGAGCCCTGTGGGATGCATGGCTGAATGTCTTAACATACCCATTGTTCAAAACAAAGGCAGGGAGGTGCAGGCATGAGTTTTGGAGGTGGGGCAGGCTTCAGTTCAAACTCTGATTCTCCTGCTTCCACCCTGGGTGATCTGAAGATGGGGATCAAGTGCATACCAAGATGGCTGGCCCATAATAAGGGCTCAGGAAGAGGTAGCTGTTACTGATAGAGGGCTGGGTGATATAGTTTGGATATTTGTCCCTCCAAATCTCATGTAAAATATTGATCCCCAATGTTGGCGGTGGGGCCTAGTGGGAGGTGTTTAGGTCATGGTGGTAGATCCCTCATGAATGGCTTCACACCATCCTTGCAGTAATGAGTGAGTTCTTGCTCTGTTCGTTACTACGAGATCTGATGGTTAAACAGTCTGGCACCTCCTTCCCTTCTTTTCTCTTGCTACCTCTCTTTGTCATATGACCCACCTGCTCCCCGTTTGCCTTCCCACCATGAGTAACAGCTTCCTGAGGCCTCACCAGAAGCTGAGAAGATGCTGGTGCCATGCTTGTACAACCTGCAGAACTGTGAACGAAATAAATCTATTTATAAATTACCCAGCCTCAGGTATTCCCTTATGGCAGCACAAAATGGACTAACACACTAGGTTTCCAACAACTATGCTTCAGGAGCCAGATGCAGTCCTACAGGATGCGTGAATATGGTAGGAATCCAGGAAAATGAGAGAAGAGAAATTTAGACAGACACAGAGGAAAGACTACACAGAGACCAGCTTATAATGGGCTGGAAAGATCAAAGGATACCATGTTCCTGTTTAGTGAGCAGGGAAGTAAAATAGCTGTGGGTATCACTTGTCAAGAGACACTTTACTTTGGTCTCTGAAAATGAAAAAATAGACATCGCTAGGGGTTGGGGGATGGAGATAGGGAAAATGACAAGAAATAATCCATCATTTGGAGAAAATTAAGCTTATCTGTGGGTTTACATATCCATTTGAATATAGTCAAAATGCTCTGGAATCCAGTGAAAGTAATTACAATGATGGATTTTTGCACTTCGTCACACGGTGCAATTAAGGGGTAGGATCCAGCCAATATCTTAAGCCTATTAAGAGATTCATATGGAATCTGGCCATGCTTTCAATGACTTGGATGAGGTTGCATCTCATTTGTGGTGCCCTGACACAAAACATGCCTTGACCATCCAGCCCTGTTCTGGTCCATGGGCACCCTGGGCACACTAGCTCAGGCCAGATGCCAGAGGAGGAAGGTGACAGCAGAGGAGCGAGAGAAGCCTGCTCAGCCTGCTCCCCTGATACTCTGCAGCAGTTTAATACATCACTATTGTGGCCCCTGTCACCTCTGACAGCAAATATGATTTTAGCTGTCAGGCAGCTGACAGAAAACAAAACATAATTTACGGACAAATTTGGCCTGCAGAAGCGCACACCTGGCTCTCAGAGGTGTGAGATATGGAAACACACCCACGGGCAGGATTTGGCTGGGCCAGCTAAGGAAGGGTGAAACACCCCTCCCAGGGCTCAGCAGTGCTTGCTATTGGAGGAAGGGGAAAATGGGAATGTAGTCACTATTTCTTACGACTATAATTTCTGAAATATACTTTGAGAATTTTATTACTAATAATCCATTCTGCCATAATTATACTGTCGGCAATAAATTTCCTACTGAAATAAAAGACCTTTTTTTGTGAATTCCAGGGGGAAAATGATAGTTCATTTTTTTCACTGTCTGCTTTGCAGATTGAGCCTTTTAAAGTGACTTGAGGAATTTTCCTGTGCCCTTGGAAAAGGACACAATTTAAAAGTCCCAAATTCTCATGCTGGCTGCTTGGAGTTGGAGGTGATCAAAAGGGAGTGAGACAAATATCTACAAAAGGATTGAAACTTGAAGATGTCAAGGTTCATTTTCATCCTTGGCAATGAGCTTCCAGAACTGAACAGTGTGAGTGTGTATATGTGTGTCCTAATGGAGGCAAATTTGCATCAAAAAATAACTAGAATGAGCCAAACACAGAGTAGGAGGTAGCAAATCCGAGCTGTCTGAAAGTGGAAAATGTTGCACCATGGATTCTCTTCAAGGATGCTCATCAGCTTCACTGGACTCTGGGCACTGACCCCAGAGCCAGGAAAGTTGGCTTCTAGTTTGATCTATTCTTGATTGTTTGTACAACTACCATTTCATACAGGATGGCAATAAAGCAGTCAGGAACTGGACCAGACAGACCTACCAGATTCAAATTCTGGGTTCATCACTTACCAGCTCTATGACTTTGGATAAATCACTTAACCTTGATAAGCCTCAGCTTTCTCATCTGTCAAATGAAGATAGAAGTATACTCTCTGCAGAAGATGCGGAATTAAAGGAGATGAAGTATGCTGAGGTGCAAAGCACAGTAGTCGGCACAAAGTATCTGCTCAATAAATGCTACTATATGTGCTATACAGTCACCCATCATTTAACAATGGGAAGGAGGAGCCAAGATGGCGGAATAGGAACAGCTCTGGTCTACAGCTCCCAGCGTGAGCCACGCAGAAGACGGGTGATTTCTGCATTTCCATCTGAGGTACCGGGTTCATCTAACTAGGGAGTGCCAGACAGTAGGCGCAGGTCAGTGGGTGCACACACTGTGCACGAGCCAAAGCAGGGTGAGGCATTGCCTCACTCGGGAAGTGCAAGGGGTCAGGGAGTTGCCTTTGCTAGTTAAAGAAAGGGGTGACTGACGGCACCTGGAAAATCGGGTCACTCCCACCCGAATACTGCACTTTTCCGACGGGCTTAAAAAACGGCGCACCACGAGATTATATCCCGCACCTGGCTCGGAGGGTCCTACGCCCACGGAGTCTGGCTGATTGCTAGCACAGCAGTCTGAGATCAAACTGCAAGGTGGCAGCGAAGCTGGGGAAGGGGCGCCCACCATGGTCCAGGCTTGCTTAGGTAAACAAAGCAGCTGGGAAGCTCGAACTGGGTGGAGCCCACCACAGCTCAAGGAGGCCTGCCTGCCTCTGTAGGCTCCACCTCTGGGGGCAGGGCACAGACAAACAAAAAGACAGCAGTAACCTCTGCAGACTTAAATATCCCTGTCTGACAGCTTTGAAGAGAGCAGTGGTTCTCCCAGTACGCAGCTGGAGATCTGAGAACAGGCAGACTGCCTCCTCAAGTGGGTCCCTGACCCCTGACCCCCGAGCAGCCTAACTGGGAGGCACCCCCCAGCAGGAGCACACTGACACCTCACACGGCAGGGTACTCCAACAGACCTGTAGCTGAGGGTCCTGTCTGTTAGAAGGAAAACTAACAAACAGAAAGGACATCCACACCAAAAACCCATCTGTACATCACCATCATCAAAGACCAAAAGTAGATAAAACCACAAAGATGGGGAAAAAACAGAACAGAAAAACTGGAAACTCTAAAAACAGAGCGCCTCTCCTGCTCCAAATGAACGCAGTTCCTCACCAGCAATGGAACAAAGCTAGATGGAGAATGACTTTGACGAGCTGAGAAAAGAAGGCTTCAGACAATCAAATTATTCTGAGCTACGGGAGGACATCCAAACCAAAGGCAAAGAAGTTAAAAACTTTGAAAAAAATTTAGAAGAATGTATAACTAGAATAACCAATACAGAGAAGTGCTTAAAGGAGCTGATGGAGCTGAAAACCAAGGCTCGAGAACTACGTGAAGAACGCAGAAGCCTCAGGAGCTGATGCGATCAACTGGAAGAAAGGGTATCAGCGATGGAAGAGGAAATGAATGAAATGAAGTGAGAAGGGAAGTTTAGAGAAAAAAGAATAAAAAGAAACAAGCAAAGCCTCCAAGAAATATGGGACTATGTGAAAAGACCAAATCTACGTCTGACTGGTGTACCTGAAAGTGATGGGGAGAATGGAACCAAGCTGGAAAACAGTCTGCAGGATATTATCCAGGAGAACTTCCCCAATCTAGCAAGGCAGGCCAACATTCAGATTCAGGAAATACAGAGAACGCCACAAAGATACTCCTCGAGAAGAGCAACTCCAAGACACATAATTGTCAGATTCACCAAAGTTGAAATGAAGGAAAAAATGTTAAGGGCAGCCAGAGAGAAAGGTCGGGTTACCCTCAAAGGGAAGCCCATCAGACTAACAGCAGATCTTTCGGCAGAAACCCTACAAGTCAGAAGAGAGTGGGGGCCAATATTCAACATTCTTAAAGAAAAGAATTTTCAACCCAGAATTTCATATCCAGCCAAACTAAGCTTCATAAGTGAAGGAGAAATAAAATCCTTTACAGACAAGCAAATGCTGAGAGATTTTGTCACCACCAGGCCTGCCCTAAAAGAGCTCCTGAAGGAAGCACTAAACATGGAAAGGAACAACCGGTACCAGCCGCTGCAAAATCATGCCAAAATGTGAAGACCATCGAGACTAGGAAGAAACTGCATCAACTAATGAGCAAAATAACCAGCTAACATCATCATGACAGGATCAAATTCACACATAACAATATTCTCTTTCAATGTAAATGGACTAAATTCTCCAATTAAAAGACACAGACTGGCAAATTGGATAAAGAGTCAAGACCCATCAGTGTGCTGTATTCAGGAAACCCATCTCACGTGCAGAGACACACATAGGCTCAAAATAAAAGGATGGAGGAAGATCTACCAAGCAAATGGAAAACAAAAAAAGGCAGGGGTTGCAATCCTAGTCTCTGATAAAACAGACTTTAAACCAACAAAGATCAAAAGAGACAAAGAAGGCCATTACATAATGGTAAAGGGATCTATTCAACAAGAAGAGCTAACTGTCCTAAATATATATGCACCCAATACAGGAGCACCCAGATTCATAAAGCAAGACCTGAGTGACCTACAAAGAGACTTAGACTCCCACACATTAATAATGGGAGACTTTAACACCCCACTGTCAACATCAGACAGATCAACGAGACAGAAAGTCAACAAGGATACCCAGGAATTGAACTCAGCTCTGCACCAAGCGGACCTAATAGACATCTACAGAACTCTCCACCCCAAATCAACAGAATATACATTTTTTTCAGCACCACACCACACCTATTCCAAAATTGACCACATAGTTGGAAGTAAAGCTCTCCTCAGCAAATGTAAAAGAACAGAAATTATAACAAACTGTCTCTCAGACCACACTGCAATCAAACTAGAACTCAGGATTAAGAAACTCACTCAAAGCCGCTCAACTACATGGAAACTGAACAACCTGCTCCTGAATGACTACTGGGTACATAACGAAATGAAGGCAGAAATAAAGATGTTCTTTGAAACCAACGAGAACAAAGACACAACATACCAGAATCTCTGGGATGCATTCAAAGCCGTGTGTAGAGGGAAATTTATAGCACTAAATGCCCACAAGAGAAAGCAGGAAAGATCCAAAATTGACACCCTAACATCACAATTAAAAGAACTAGAAAAGCAAGAGCAAACACATTCAAAAGCTAGCAGAAGGCAAGAAATAACTAAAATCAGATCAGAACTGAAGGAAACAGAGACACAAAAAACCCTTCAAAAAATTAATGAATCCAGGAGCTGGTTTTTTGAAAGGATCAACAAAATTGATAGACCACTAGCAAGACTAATAAAGAAAAAAAGAGAGAAGAATCAAATAGATGCAATAAAAAATGATAAAGGGGATATCACCACCAAACCCACAGAAATACAAACTACCATCAGAGAATACTACAAACGCCTCTACGCAAATAAACTAGAAAATCTAGAAGAAATGGATAAATTCCTCGACACATACACTCTCCCAAGACTAAACCAGGAAGAAGTTGAATCTCTGAATAGACCAATAACAGGATCTGAAATTGTGGCAATAATCAATAGCTTACCAATGAAAAAGAGTCCAGGACCAGATGGATTCACAGCTGAATTCTACCAGAGGTACAAGGAGGAACTGGTACCATTCCTTCTGAAACTATTCCAATCAATAGAAAAAGAGGGAATCCTTCCTAACTCATTTTATGAGGCCAGCATCATTCTGATACCAAAGCCAGGCAGAGACACAGCAAAAAAAGAGAATTTTAGACCAATATCCTTGATGAACATTGATGCAAAAATCCTCAATAAAATACTGGCAAACCGAATCCAGCAGCACATCAAAAAGCTTATCCACCATGATCAAGTGGGCTTCATCCCTGGGATGCAAGGCTGGTTCAATATACGCAAATCAATAAATGTAATCCAGCATTTAAACAGAGCCAAAGACAAAAACCACATGATTATCTCAATAGATGCAGAAAAGGCCTTTGACAAAATTCAACAACCCTTCATGCTAAAAACTCTCAATAAATTAGGTATTGATGGGATGTATTTCAAAATAATAAGAGCTACCTATGACAAACCCACAGCCAATATCATACTGAATGGGCAAAAACTGGAAGCATTCCCTTTGAAAACTGATACAAGACAGGGATGCCCTCTCTCACCACTCCTATTCAACATACTGTTGGAAGTTCTGGCCAGGGCAATTAGGCAGGAGAAGGAAATAAAGGGTATTCAAATAGGAAAAGAGGAAGTCAAATTGTCCCTGTTTGCAGATGACATGATTGTATATCTAGAAAACCCCATTGTCTCAGCCCAAAATCTCCTTAAGCTGATAAGCAACTTCAGCAAAGTCTCAGGATACAAAATCAATGTACAAAAATCACAAGCATTCTTATACACCAATAACAGACAAACAGAGAGCCAAATCATGAGTGAACTCCCATTCACAATTGCTCCAAAGAGAATAAAATACCTAGGAATCCAACTTACAAGGGATGTGAAGGACCTCTTCAAGGAGAACTACAAACCACTGCTCAAGGAAATAAAAGAGGATACAAACAAATGGAAGAACATTCCATGCTCATGGGTAGGAAGAATCAATATCGTGAAAATGGCCATACTGCCCAAGGTAATTTACAGATTCAGTGCCATCACCATCAAGCTACCAATGCCTTTCTTCACAGAATTGGAAAAAACTACTTTAAAGTTCATATGGAACCAAAAAAGAGCCCGGATTGCCAAGTCAATCCTAAGCCAAAAGAACAAAGCTGGAGGCATCACACTACCTGACTTCAAACTATAGTACAAGGCTACAGTAACCAAAACAGCATGGTACTGGTACCAAAACACAGATATAGATCAATGGAACAGAACAGAGCCCTCGGAAATAACGCCGCATATCTACAACTATCTGATCTTTGACAAACCTGAGAAAAACAAGCAATGGGGAAAGGATTCCCTATTTAATAAATGGTGCTGGGAAAACTGGCTAGCCATATGTAGAAAGCTGAAACTGGATCCCTTCCTTACACCTTATACAAAAATCAATTCAAGATGGATTAAAGACTTAAACATTAGACCTAAAACCATAAAAACCCTAGAAGAAAACCTAGGCATTACCATTCAGGACATAGGCATGGGCAAGGACTTCATGTCTAAAACACCAAAAGCAATGGCATCAAAAGACAAAATTGACAAATGGGATCTAATTAAACTAAAGAGCTTCTGCACAGCAAAAGAAACTACCATCAGAGTGAACAGGCAACCTACAAAATGGGAGAACATTTTCGCAACCTACTCATCTGACAAAGGGCTAATATCCAGAATCTACAATGAACTCAAACAAATTTACAAGAAAAAAACAAACAACCCCATCAAAAAGTGGGCAAAGGACATGAACAGACACTTCTCAAAAGAAGACATTTATGCAGCCAAAAAACACATGAAAAAATGCTCATCATCACTGGCCATCAGAGAAATGCAAATCAAAACCACAATGAGATACCATCTCACACCAGTTAGAATGGCAATCATTAAAAAGTCAGGAAACAACAGGTGCTGGAGAGGATGTGGAGAAATAGGAACACTTTTACACTGTTGGTGGGACTGTAAACTAGTTCAACCATTGTGGAAGTCAGTGTGGCGATTCCTCAGGGATCTAGAACTGGAAATACCATTTGACCCAGCCATTCCATTACTGGGTATATACCCAAAGGACTATAAATCATGCTGCTATAAAGACACATGCACACGTATGTTTATTGTGGCATTATTCACAATAGCAAAGACGTGGAACCAACCCAGATGTCCAACAATGATAGACTGGATTAAGCAAATGTGGCACATATACACCATGGAATACTATGCAGCCATAAAAAATGATGAGTTCATGTCCTTTGTAGGGACATGGATGAAATTGGAAATCATCATTCTCAGTAAACTATCGCAAGAACAAAAAACCAAACACCGCATATTCTCACTCATAGGTGGGAATTGAACAATGAGATCACATGGACACAGGAAGGGGAACATCACACTCTGGGGACTATTGTGGGGTGGGGGGAGGGGGGAGGGATAGCAATGGGAGATATACCTAATGCTAGATGATGAGTTAGTGGGTGCAGCGCACCAGCATGGCACATGTATACATATGTAACTAACCTGCACAATGTGCACATGTACCCTAAAACTTAAAGTATAATAAAAAATAAAAAAATAAAAAAATAAAAAAAACAATGGGAAGACATTCCAAGAAATGCAACATTAGGTGATTTTGTTGTTGTGCAAACATCATAGAGTGCACTTATATACACCTAGGTGGCACAGCCTACAAAACATCCAAGTTATATCATGTAACCTATTGCTCCTAGGCTACAAACTTGTACAGAATGTTACTGAACTAAATATTGCAGACAATTGCAACACATTGGTATTTGGGTATCAAAACATAGAAAAGGTACAGTAAAAATACAGTATTATAATCTTATGGGACCACCGTCATATGTATATGCAGTTCATCTTTGACCAAGACGCTGTTATGCAGGCCATGACTGCACATTGGTTCATCCAACAAGCAATAATTGAGCACCTCTTCTGTGCAAGCACATACAACTACGTAAAGGTTAGACATATGGGCCCTGCTTTCAAGGAGCTCTGCAGGGGAGCAGATAATACAAGGTAAGAAGATGTAAGACCCAGGAGAGGATCATCTGGACAAAGTGCTCTGGAATTGGCAAGATGGGGAAAGAAAATAAGTCAGGGAAATTTTGCATGTCACTTAATCTCTTTTTTCATCTCTCCATCTATAAAAAGGAAGATTGACCCTCTCTTTTCTTACCTCTTGGAGTTGGTAGGAGACCCCAAGCAAATTATAGACATAAACAAGTGTTGGAAAATGCAACCCACTCTCAAAACCAGAGTCTGACAAAGGTGATGGTGACAGTGACAAAGGTAAGAGTGAGAAGGATTCTCAGAAACTTCGTGGATTGGTAGTTTAGATAAACCATGGGCAGTTCCAGGTGCTCCAGCTTCATGGAAGATCACCTGGGGCTTGAGAACTGTGTCAGGATTTCAAATTCCCAACTCCACTGTAGTGCAGGCTCTCAACAGAAACACAGTTGACTGAGCACACCTTAGGAGAAGTTGAAATATTACATAGAAAAGTGGTACAGAGTGGAAACTTGTCTCTCCCTGAATCCTCCCCCTGCAGAAAGGGCTGCTATGAACCTCCCAAGGAGCTTAAGAACATAGATAAGAAACCCAAGTACAGTCTATGCAGCCACCAGCCTTTACAATGACTCTGGTCTAAATCCCAAGTTTGATCATTAATAGCCGCAATTTTATTTAAAAATATATCCTCCTGTTTGTGTATTGTCCAATAAAATATGTATTTTCCATGCCTATTTATATGTGTTGTGAAGAGATAAAGAAAGAGAGGGTCTGTTGATAAATATGGTATCGACACAGATTGTTATTGCACTAGTATGTTCATTTCATCCTTGACAAACATCTATTGAAGGGTGTTAGAATTGTGTCCCCCAAAATTCAGACATTCAAGTTCTAACCCATAGTACCATAGAATGTGACTGCATTTGGAGATACAGTCTTTAAGGAAGTAATTAAATGAAAATAAGGTCATTAGGATGGGCCCTAACTCAATCTTACTAGAGTCCTTGTAAGAAGAGATTTGGACACACATCTTTTAGCTTTCAGAATTGTGAGAAAACAAGTTGCTGTTGTTTAGCCACCTGGTCTGTGGTACTTCGTTATGGCAGCCCTAGCAGACCAACGCACAAGGCTACTATGTGCTGTGTGTATTGCTAGGCATTGGAGAGACAAGGAAGAGTAAGACCCTGTGCCCACTTCTGAGCCAAAGAACTGAATTCACAAAATAGTGAAAGAGGCAAATGCTTACAAACACAGCAGGGCTGATGCTGGCCAGAAGCCCCAGCAGGGAGCAATGGGCAAACAGCAGGGAGCATGGCTGCACTGTATGGGGCAGCATGGAGGGCTCCTGTTGAAATGATTCAGACCCCAAATCGTGGCATGACCTGGCTCATTCCTCATTCTCAGTTTCATGTTGGCTAATCTTTAATTAATGAATCACATCTCTTGGTGTAGAGGAATGTTATTTACCTACTGGACTTGTCCTCTTTTTGCAGTAAATTAAGCATTACATTCATGAGACTGCAAGGTCTCTTCTCGTTTTCTAATTCCATTGAGCAGCCTGGTGACAGGCAAAGCCAGCTGCCATTCCAGACAATCAATGAGCTCAGAAATGTCCGTATGGAGACAGCAACAAGGCAGAAGGAAAGATGGCAGGGAGGGAGGGAGGAACAAAAGGAGGGAAGGAAGGATAACCTTTGTTCAAATTTCTCAGAACTCTGGAGAAAAGGGCCGTGTCCACAGAATGCCCAAACATCTAAAGATAATGTGGATAAAGTCGATTGTTAGAATATTTGGTTTAAAAGCAGCTGAACAGACACCCGGAGGTTTCTGCATTCCTCCTGGACATGTAGTCTTCTTACACAGACTCACCCCGAAGAAGTGGAGTGTCTCAGGGAAGTGAACATAGATGAAGCCAGACATTGAGCCCCTTTACTCCTTGATCAGAGGCCAGAAGACTGTGCCCCTTTTCTCCCGAAATAGCATCACATCAAGCTACTGCTGTCAGCTGAGCCCAGACCCACCCACCAACATGTACACCTGTATCAGCCACCCATACTCTGTTCCCACCAGCAGCATGGGTTTCAAGAGCACAAGGAGCCTTTCAAGAGCACAGTCCAGCTGGTGGTCTTCAGATTGTCGGTGCATGAGTAGCAGCAGCAGGTGAGTTAAACAAGCAGATTCTCAGGACCCATGCCAATGATCAGTTACCTTAAAAGACAAATACTCCAGTCTGGAGTGGGGGGCAGAGGCGACTTTTTTTTTTATACTTTAAGTTCTAGGGTACATGTGCACAACGTGCAGATTTGACACATAGGTATACATGTGGCATGTTGGTTTGCTGCACCCATCAACTCATCATTTACATCAGGTATTTCTCCTAATGTTATCCCTCCCCCAGCCCCCCATCACCTGACAGGCCCCAGTGTGTGATGTTCCCCGCCCTGTGTCCAAGTGATCTCATTGTTCAATTCCCACTTTTGAGTGAGAACATGCAGTGTTTGGTTTTCTGTCCTTATGATAGTTTGCTGAGAATGATGGTTTCCAGCTTCATCCATGTCCCTGCAAAGGATATTAACTCATCCTTTTTTATGGCTGCATATATTCCATGGTGTGTATGTGCCACATTTTCTTAATCCGGTCTATCATTGATGGACATTTGGGTTGGTTCCAAGTCTTTGCTTTCGTGAATAGTGCCGCAATGAACATACGTGTGCATGTGTCTTTATAGTAGCATGATTTATAATCCTTTGGGTATATACCCAGTAATGGGATTGCTGGGTCAAATGGTAATTCTAGTTCTAGATCCCTGAGGAATCACCATACTGTCTTCCACAATGGTTGAAGTAATTTACACTCCAACAAACAGTGTAAAAGCATTCCTATTTCTCCACAACCTCTCCAGCACCTGTTGTTTCCTGACTTTTTAATGATTGCCATTCTAACTGGTGTGAGATGGTATCTCATTGTGGTTTTGATTTGCATTTCTCTGATGACCAGTGATGATGAGCATTTTTTCATGTGTCTGTTGGCTAAATAGATGTCTTCTTTTGAGAAGTGTCTGTTCATATCCTTTGCCCACTTTTTGATGGCGTTGTTTGTTTTTTTCTTGTAAATTTATTTAAGTTCTTTGTAGATTCGGATATTAGCCCTTTGTCAGATGGGTAGATTGCAAAAATTTTCTCCCATTCTGTAGGTTGCCTATTCACTCTGATGGTAGTTTCTTTTGCTGTGCAGAAGCTCTTTAGTTTAGTTAGATCCCGTTTGTCTATTTTGGCTTTTGTTGCCATTGCTTTTAGGCCAGAGGCCACATTTTTTAACAAGCTCTAGGTGATGGTGATTGGCAGGACTTGGAGAAATACTCATCCAGCAGGACTCTTTGAAATACAGATAAGCAAATTAAGGCTGCAAAAGGTGTGGTGACTTACCCAAGATCACAGAGCTGCTGGTGGTGAAAGCCAGCAGAACTCTGTCATGCTGACCAAAAGTAATGCTGTCAACTCAAGACAGTCCATTCAGTGGTCCACAGGGCTGTACCTGTTTCCCCCACTGCCCAGGACCTCTCACCACTTCCCAAAGTCTTCATTACAAAATGGAACAAAATCAGAGGGAGATTAGAATTTGGGGCAAGCATTGTCTGAATGAACATTCAGAGTGCTCTAAACCCTTAAAATATCGCCATTTATTTTTTCTGTCCCCATCTCCTGTTCATCGCAGAGGATTTGCATCAGTGAACTATGTGGTATGTGTGGTTACTGGAATGAGCAAAAGGCTGGTCTAAGACAAATAGTCAAATAGCCACATAAATTTAAAGAATTAAATTCAAATAATTTCAACATGTGTGCAAGTAATACTTTTGCTTCTAACAACTTCTTTTTATGACAAGGTAGTACCATAAGCTTTAGCTCACAAAAGACCATTTTAAACACATTCGTTTAGGGTTGAGAAAATAATCTTTTACAAGATTATCAGAGGAATCCAAGAGGAGGTGATTTCCTCCTCATGTGCTTGAACTTGAGAAGACTTTCAACGTAATGGTTGACATATAAAAGACATTTATAATAATTACTTAGGCACTAATGACAGTTTGAACAATAAGAAGCCTTGGTTCCAAACTTCCTTGATCAGCAGTGTTTGCTGTGACTAAGGACCCTGTAGACGGCAGGCATTGACTTTGCTTAACCTTTGCACTTGTAATAAAAATGCAATAAAGTAATTGGTTAAAATAAAGACATGTCTGATAAAGAGTATTTGCTTTTTAAGGTAACTGATTAAAATAGAGGCATATCTGATAAATGAGTTTATGGGGGCGGAAATCCATGCCTTGCTAATTAGTCAAGATTCTGTTTCCTACATGGACTTTTTTACCCCTTTGATGAGAAATGAAGCAGTGGAGCGATGGAAATGCTGTATAGTACTAACCAATAAATAATATGTGTGTTCATCAAAGAATAATCAGTTGTTCACATGCTACAACATGTTTTAAAACGTCCTTGCTTCACAACACCAGAAGATACAGCATTCAATGGCCTATTCAATCACAAAACTGTGCTTCCCATCAGGACACCAATATACTTTGACCTTCTTTGCCATAAAGCTGAGGACACTGACAGGAAGAGCGAGACTCTCTAAATCTCCCCATTACTCAATTCATTGTGATCCAACCTGGAGTTGAAAATCTATGAATGTCTTGATCAACCTTATTTCCCTTGAGAATTTGCTCTATGTTACTTCCCTTTTAAAGAGTTCCAATTTTAATTAAAATTTTCTTTCTTAACTATTAAATATATGAAGGATGACATTCTGTATAATTATGAGCAGACCAGAACAAATTACACATCGAAATAGTAATAAGAATGACAAGAACAAGGGTATCATAAATAAGCAGGCATTGATTGCTCACCTCTCTGTGTCCCCCTAATAGCAGTTAACGAACCTGGAAGGCAGCCATATTGACTCTGGGCACTGTATAGAATAGAGGCCCCCAGGACCCAGGAATTCATGCTCCCTGAGCTGCTATGGGCTAGCCCCTAGTGACTAACTTTAAGGCAGGTGCTTGAGGTTACAATCTTCTGCTGGGATACACTGCTTGGTCCAACTTGGGAGGAGCTACAAGTTAAACCATCTGTAGGGACCTGCTCTTAGGACAAAAGAGCTCTTCTTTACAGAACTCAGCAAAGGGGGAGAGAAAATTCTCAAGTCATGGTGCAAGGTTGCCTGACACCCAAACCTGGGAGCATCAAATAACAGCTGCAGACAAGATAAGCCCTCGCCTTCATGATCAATTGGTACCTCGGAAGTGTCTGTATAGATACAACCCTCTTCTGGGAAGAAGAATATCCCCCAGAAGAAACCTTTTAAATGCCCGGTACTTCTAAACCTGACTGTGTCATACCTTCTCTTTCTCTCGGGGTTAGAAATAAATGCATTTTTTTTAAAACTTGCGTATTTACTGAGGACTCTCAATTAACCAGAACCCACCTAATCAGAATTTTTCTTTAACTGGATAGTTCCCTCTTGAATAAAAGTGTTTAATAATTCAAATAGCAAACATTTGCATGGTACTGACCATGCTCCAGGCACTCCACTAAGCATATTACCTCTAAGCTGCATGATTACCCGCAAATATGAGGCAGGTGCTATGATTACCCCAATCTGGCAGATGACAAGTCTGGGGCTCAGAGAAGTCGCTGCATCTTTGCCCAAAGGAATGGAGAGTGAGCCCTGGCCTCAGAACAGGGCTTCTTAAGTTCAACTCATTTTCCATTAAAAAAGATGTAACTTTGGCTCCAAGGCTGGACTTTTTAAAGCCCAAAGAAAACCTAGAGGCTTGGGAAAATTTTGAAAACATTAGGTGTTAAAGTGAACTGAATGATGAAACTTCAGTTGCCCCAGAAATTCAATTAATGTGTCTACCCCATTAATTAGCTGGTTCTCTATGGTCCCTCTACATGGGCCCCCCGGCCCTTGAGTTATCCATCTGAGGATAAAATGCCCCCCACATCTAAGGTGACTTCCAGCAGAAACACTCCTAGTCAGGCACTAGAAGATTTGGAATACAGCTAGGTGTTAACATAGAATGCCCAGACTCCCACTCCAGTTCCCAGAATTATTTGAATATCACTGATACCAAGCTGGCCTGAAAGGAAGTCTCAAAGATTTCTTTAATAGACTCTCAAATGATTAAGATTGGGTTCTGTTTTCTTCACTTCTAGCCTTAAAAGAAGAGGCCTCATCACCACGGGGCTTTTTACTATATCACCATGCCCTGAAAGAGATAATGTAACTATTTTATCACCAAGGAGAGTAACTAGAGCTGTGAAAAGGATTGGTGGAATTACCAGGTTAAAGGAAGTAAAGTCGTTCTCTACTCCTTCCCCAATGAATACTGAAACACACTAACTGTGTCCATCAATAATATGTAGAAGCAATATATAATATGACAATATAAATATTAACACATTTACTGAACACATTTATGTTCCAGGATCTATTCTAAGCCCTATATGTATATCATATCATTTGATTCTTATGAAAACTCTATGAGGTAGATGATGTTATTACTCTACTTTACAGATAGAGAAACTGAGGCACAGAAATCCTAAGTAACTCATCTACAGACAGTAGCTGATGGAGGATTGAGTCTTGGCAGGCTGACACCAGAGCCTAGGATGAAATTAGATTCTTAATGAATAAATATAAATTTGATTAATTGAGAGACTTATGTGTTTTGGTTGGTCACTCTTGTACCGTAACTGCAATGTGCTGAATGTTTGTGTCCTCCCTAAATTCATATGTTGAAATCCTAACTCCCTTTATGGTGGTATTAGAAGGTAGGATCTTTGGGAGATAATTAGATCACAAGGGTGGATCCCTCATGAACAGATCTGTGGCCTTGTGAAAGTGACCCCAGAGAGCTCTCACCCTCTTTTCCACCATGTGAGGACACAAAAAGAAGATGGCAATCCTCAACCTGGAAGAGGACCCTCACCAGAACTGACCATGCTGGCTCCCTGATCTCAGACTTTCAGCCTCCAGAACCGTGAGAAATAAATGTTATTTATAAATCACCCAGGCTATGGTACTTTGTTACAGAAGCCCAAACAGACTAAGACAATTAAGTACACTGTACATATTAAGTCCCTAAAAGACAAACATTTGTCTAGTTCTCTGATAAGGCTGGAATGTCCAGTTACACAAACATGAGGCCAACCCCTCCTGGGAGAAATGAAGGAAGTTGAGAAGACGGAGTTGCTGGAAGCTGGAGGGCAGAGTGCGGCTCTGTAATGATGCCTGCTCCAAGTCTTCACAGAGTCCCAGGGGCCCAGATGGCATCACATTTTGTGGCAGACACAGGTTCCTGGACTACCCCTGGTCTGGGGAGAGTCCATACATTCTCTGTACATGTCCTCTGAGGGCTGAGAAAACTTGTCCTCTCTCTCTACTGGTTGTATCTGAAGTCAGAAAATTCGGGGAATGGAAAAAGCCTTAATTCCTTCTCATGTTTTTCCCTTTAGGTCGAAGGGTACAAATGTGAAAAACACATCTCAGAAACAGTCTTGCTTTCCTAAACTTCTTAAGAATCGATAGAGAAATTAAATGACAACGTTCTGGCTCATATTCACTGGGGACTGGAAATGCACTTTTCACAAATCCACCTTGAGGTGTCCCCAGGCTGCCCGATGTCCTCCTGAAATGCCTCTTCCTCCTACGGTGTGTTATGCACCAACTCCCGATGTTTCAGGCTCTGTGGAATCCACCGAGGTTGCCTTGGTGATGCTCAGTGCTAACCACGTCCTTCTTGTCTATGGACCTGAAATCAGAGGGGAGTGCTACCCAGAGGGACTGCCCAGTCCTGGGCTCCTTTTGTTGGGTCTCCACATGCTACCTACCAATTCAGGTACTTTGTGGAAGACTCTACAGGAAAACTCAGAGATGGCAACTCACTTGTGTTGTCATCCCCTGTTACTTTTCTCCACTTGAATTGTGACGATGAACCTAAGCTTTTGGAATTGACATTTTAGTTAAATGTCAATTTCCAAAATTGTAAGTCCACACAAATGGTCAAAACCAAAAGACAATAAATATATTAAAGATGGACATACTCTACCCAAATGGTTAATTCCATGGGGGTTCCTTAAGCAAATGTTATTTCCAACATATGATGGAGCTAAAATTACAGGAAATGTTTATCTTGAGTGATATAATCCATTCAAAGACTTTTCAACAGAGATTCCTAGGTATCTGAACCCCAGACAATGTATCTCTCTATTGTCATCTTCTCTGTAGTCCATTTTCCTCATTATGCCAATTCTCTGACCTCTTCCTCCCTAAATATTTAATTAATAACTGAGGATAAAGATACAAAGGCTTACAAGTGACCCCTACATGATTCTAACTCAACTTGGGGGAAAAGGAACCAAAGAATTGAGTCAGCCAAGCCTCTGATTTGCCCCTACACCACAGAATTACCAATTTGTTTGATACTATTTTCTAAATTAAATTGTTTTCACACTAAATTGAACAGCTCCAGCATCAACCAGGGCATGAAGAGTGTATTAGGAGTAGTTCTTGTCAGTAACTAGGTTAGGTTCACTATAAATTTTTAGGCCTTAGAATGGAACAGTCCCAGCTGTAAAATGTTTACCCCAATCACTCATAACCATGGCCCTGTGTGACTACCCTGTGTGTCTGTGAGTCTTTCAACAGCTCCACTGTTCCACTGACCTATTTATTTCTCTCAACTCCTTTTGCCGCAAGAGAAGAGAGAAAGTGTTTTAGCAACAGTAGCCTCATAATCCTAAATCCTTCTGAAAAGGAAAGTGATAATAATTAAAATGCAATTTCACTTGTGTTAAACTATTCATGGATGCAGGAATCAGCTTGCTAGGGAGTTGGTGGCAACCCACAAAGAAATGAACAGCGGATTCTTCTTTCCCAGGCCCCTGAGTTTTTGACCAGGCTCCCTAGGATTCTCCAAGTTCTAAATGAGCCATGAGAGGGTTCCCAGGGGTTTCCTGGAGTGCAGAAGCAGGTGGAGAACTGCAATTAAAGCTCAACTGAAGGCGCAAACACAAAGACAGTTTAAGTTCAAAGTGCTTCCCCACCCAGGCAGTTGCTCAGGTGGGAGTAATTGAGGACAGACAGGAAAGTGACAGGTGCTAGACGCCAGCCTAACAAGAACAGGCTTGAACTTCGAGGATCAGCAGGGCAGGAGAGCATTGCTCATCCTCTTTTCAGCAAAGTGCAAAGAGCTGCTGTGTGCTTGCAATGTAAAGTGCACTGAAGATGCCCCTAGATGTGGGGCTTCAGAGAAGAAAACTAAGGTGTGGGCCAGACAGACCTCCCTCCTCCAGTCCTTCCAGATCCCACAATATTCAACAAGCTGATTTGGAAAAATGATTTCCTTTACCCTGTGCCTGATGTCCTTAGATGTGAAAGGATGTTGCCATACCCAGATTTTTTAGACAATGTTGGGAGAGTAACACCAAGGCCATTCTTTTTACACTTATAACCCATTCTTTTTACACCTATATTTCCAAATTCTTCTGGGAATTATGTTCCTCATTTAAACTGAGCCATGGAGAGGCCATGAAACTAGCCTTGCTCACCCAGGCAATGTGTACTCCAAAGCTGATCCAAGACCAAGAGGCATCTGGGGCTACAGATTCCTCTTCACCTTCCTTTTTAAAGAGGAAAGGAATTGAACTGCTCACATTAACCCCACTTGTCTGAGTCTGATAGAAGATCCTGCAGAAGAAGAAAAACAGAGTTCAGAAAGGCACACTTCCCACCTTTCCTGACTTCTCCCTTCTACCTCCTTCACATCACAATCCCATGCATTTATCTCTTTCAAACTAAGGAAATAGCACTATTAACCTATCAGGAGTCCTTGACTGATTGATTGAGGAAAGTTAATTTCATTGAAATAAGCTCGACCTCTAGAACCCTAACTGTTAGCAGCTCGATCCTTGGAAGCCAGTAACTGCTCTATCCCATGGAATCTCCAGTGGCATACTACATGCAAACTGTCAGATATTTTCCTTCTATGTTGGGCTACGAATCGAATTGGATCATTATCTCTACCCTTCCTTGCTCTTCACACCTTTAAAGCTCCCCAAGGAGAAGGATCTATGAGTTTTCTTGGTTGGTAGCAGAGCATGTGGACATTGGCAAGTTGCCTTGTAAGAACTGAATTGAAAGAATCTGTAAAGAGGGAAGGAACCAGAAGAGATTATTTAAACAACCCTTTCCAGTTTAGTATTCCCTAATTCCATGATGCTTTTGAAAGGAATGCCTGTTTAAAGTCTCCTTTAACTGGAGGATTTAAGACTTGGGATTCAGATGCTGCTTCTCAGGAAGTGGATTTGGAACCAAGACCTAGGCTTCTAAAGTTGGTCAATGAGCAGAAGAACCAAGGGCAACTGACAGACAGTAAACATCTTTTAGAGTAATTTAAAGCAATTATCATAAAACTTCTGATTCATCAGAGATCCAGCCCACCAACAATAAGATTTTTAAAAGGAATTTGAGGCTGTTCTGCTGTTTAACATGAAATACGAGACAGAAATTGGTGTCACGGTCTATGTCCTTGTTACTACAAATAAGCAGGTACATTTCTCTCAAAATATCCAAGGCTTTTGTTGTAGAGCCAAAATTGATCAAAGGTTACTGCAATCTAAAAACAAAAGAAAGAAAGGGAGAGAGAATTCTCCAGTTGCCCGGTTGCTAAGCAACCCTAGTCTGTTCTGGTAACTGGGTCTGGGGGTCTTTGCTTTCATTTGCTGCTGACTTTCACTCCATATATAATATATACCAGCATGTTTATTCTCCTGTAAATGCCCAGCAAATAAAAAGCGATAAAGCCCTTTCACTGAAATTATTCATGTGCTAAAAGCTTTTATCCACATCACTGGTGTGACTGACAATATCATACCAGCAAGCTTCCAGAATTAGTTCTTGTTCTGGCATTGTACTCCTGGGCTTTCTTTCTTTAATAAAAGAAAAAGAGCTACAGTTTGATTTAAGCTTTCTATAGTCTGGCATTACAGCTCTTCAGTACCAATGATTAAGATGTCATGTCTATTCCAGGCACATTTATTCTTCTAGTGGCTGTCAACTTTCTAGAGAAACTACCTTTTACATGATTTTTTCCCCTTTAAAAACTTTGGTTTGCCCCTAGGACTAATCTGCAAGAGAGAATTTGAAAGAGTTACTTGTCCATTCTGGGAGCTTTTTAAGGAAATCTGAATGGCATACAATACCCTCAGCACAGTTTCTCAAAGTGTGTACAAATGATCACTTATGTCAGAATCAATATTCAGGGGTCAGGCCTGGGAATCTGATTTTCTCAACCGTCACCCATCATGCTCTCCTTCTCATCAGGCGATTTTGATGCATGCCTAAATTTGAGCATTTCTAACTGAAAGAATGCCTAACTGCCTAAGTGGTTTTATTTGCACAAGTTAATCAATCCTGGCAAATCTGTATTTTAAAATCAGAGATGGGGGTGGTGTCTCTTCAGGCAAAGGCTTCAGGGTCCCTCAGAAATGACTGACTCTTAGAACTAACACTGTAGGCACTGGCGAGCAGACTGGCCCCCTCTTGCCAGGGAAGGATGGCCTCCCACTAGACAGAAGCCTGACAGTAAAGATGGTCACACATGTGAGGCCTGGCTGAAGGCCACACACACCGAAGGGGAAAGCTTGCTGGTGAACTGTGTTGCTGGCCCAACCCCTTTCCCCTTTTCCTTTAACTAAAGATTTTACTTTGACACTAAAGATTAGTACCCAAAAGTATATGTAGCGGGTACAAATTTTCTAAGTCACAAATTCAAGTATGAGAAAGTATCACTTTTTTCCCCTCTAACAGGATTTGATTTCTCTCTCAGTACCTTATTTCTACCAGATGGCCAGAAACATAGTCTTATTAATTCAGGGAAAATACTGTCGAATTTGGTGATATCTAAACCATTTCAGGTTTAAAACTCAGTCCCATTGAGGATTTCCCACCCTCTCTTGTGCCTTCCTGGAGTTGATCCTACACTCCAGGAAAGGAGGGAGCAGGCCTTGTGCAATGTTGCTGTGGTCCCAGTAGAAGCGAGTGTGGAGGGCCTCTCTCTCTCTCTCTCTCTCTCTCTCTCTCTCTCTCTCTCTCTCTCTCTCTTTCTCTCTCTCTCTCTCTGCCTCTCTCTCAGCCTTTGCAGCTATCATGGGTGGCTCATCCTCCCTGGTTCTGGCCACAGGAAGATCCTTTGCAGGCTGGCCAGCTCTCATTCTCCCACAGAGAACCCAGAGTTTAAGCCGATGTCCTCCTCTCCACATACCTTCTCCCACCCTGATGGTTTGGGGAACTTGTCTATGACCCTTGCAGGGTCCCCAGATGTTGTCTTGGAAGTTAGTCACACGAGTCCTCTCCACTCTCAGATTTCCAAATTTTAAAAGGAGTTTCAAGAAGAAGGAAGAGTCAGGTGCCCTGCCCTGAGCCTAACTCCCTGTCTTCTTTCTCATCAATTTCTTCTTCCCTCCTCCAACCTAAAGTTTCCACCTCCTTCTTGGGGTGAACAATGGGGAAACAGGTGGCTCATATCAGAAGCTGAGCTCTTAGAAGAATAAATCTAAAAAAAGATAGGGATGGAAATGGTGAGGGGTAAGTAAAGGAATTGCAGGAATAAAAATGACCACCTGCAAAAGTTAGCCCTTCCCATCTCATCACACCACATGTACACTAGGTCCCTGGCACTTCATTTATTAGGCAAAATGAAAATATACTGTCAACAAAAATACCTTTAAGTTTACTAAGACTTTTGGTTAAGATGGAGCTCCTTGGTTAAATATCCAATAAGGTGCCTCTGCAGTAGATTTCAAAGTCTTTTTTATCTTGCTGTCAAGCTGTAGCAGTCATGGGGACTTTTGAAATAGCCTCCTGATTGATTGATTGTACTACCATGGTTACATGGGACAAAACTCCATCTGCAAGTGACTCAAGCTAAAGAGAGGAAATTACCAAGCTGCATAATGGAGACATGTGGAGGTTTCAGGCACAACTGGATCAGGAATGGCAAATGATATTATCAGGGCTCAATTTCTCCATCTCTCAGCTCTGCATATTGCTGTCTGACCTCATGCTATGCAAGATGATTGCTGGTAGCTCCAAATTCACAACCCCATAGCTGAACAATCCCATTGGAAATAGGGATTGACATAGCTCTGGCAGAAAAGTCCTGGGGAAGTTTCTCATTGGCTTAGCTGGAGGTAAACTCCCAGCTCTGCACTAATCACTGGGCCAGAGGCATGGCTGTTTGGACAAAAAGGAACAGGTTCTGCTCAAGAAGGAGTCCTGTGGCCAGGTGAGAAGGAGTGTTCTGGGCAATTAGCACCAAATGTTCACCACCCCGGAGACCTCACTGCTATTCTTTCACCTCTTTGTACCAACAGAGTTGCTTTTCCAAAGCATGAATAAAACTTCATAACCCCTCACCTCAGTAGTCATTTCCACATTTAATAAACATTTATTGGACACCCACTCTGTGCCAGGCTCTGGCCAGTTCTTGAAAACAGCCATGAGCAAATAGATAAGGTCCTCCTAGGTGGGAGCCTACTTCTCAAGACACCCCTCCCAAGCCCTGATTTCTGTTTGTCTCTCCAGCCCCATTTCCTTCTCCAGGCCAACAATCACCAGCTGCAGCCACAGGGGCCTCGCCCCCACCCCATCTGCTCCAAGTTACACTGTTAGTCTGGACCAGGTTTTCGTGTCCACATATGCAGTAGATACTTCCCACCTGCTCTATCTTTCCCACCTAATTCATCCTTCAAGGCCAGCTCAAATGTCTCCTCTTCCTGGAGCCATACCTGATTGCCCATCTGGATTAATTGCTCCTCCCTCTGCACTTCCACAGCACTGGGGTTCTTATGCAGGTTTTGCACGTCTTCCATCCTGTCTGGTATGCTGGTTATTTGCATGACTGCTTTCTCCAGTGGACTGCCATCTCGTGAAGGTCGCCATGTCCCGTTAGCCCCTGATTCCCACCCCAGAGCCCAGCTCTATGCTGTGCATATAACAGGCACCCACTAAATACTAGTTAAAGGATAAAACAAAAGCTAAGCAAAAAAGTACTCCGGTGATATCTGTCCATCAATCTGCCCTCCCCTTGGGCATTGGCTGATGTTGAGCCAGGCCACTGTGTGATGCCCACATAGTTATAATACATCCCTGAGCTCCTCTGGTGAAACAAATGTGAACACTGTCATCGGTCTCCCCACTTCTAAACATGCTGTCCCAAAACCTGGTGGCAGAGCAATGTGACTGAAGATGGGGCAGAGTTTCTCCTGTTGCCTCAGAATTCCAGTGAAGATCCAACACTGAAGACAAAACGTGTTAAAATAGTCAACATTCTCAGCTCAGAAAACTAGCAGTTGGGTTCCTTCTTCCTCAACATTCTTAGCTGAGAAAACCTCTGGCAGTTGGGATCCTTTTTCCAGAGCTGACTGAAAGGCATCATTTTAAAAACCTCCCTATCACCTCCGATCACTGTTGAAAAAGCATTAAACTGTAAGAAGGGGTTAGTATTGGGGGAAGCATGTCGTTTCTAAGGATGGGAAAGGAAAATGAAGTGCTTCTCCTCCCTGATCCAAGAGAGGCAGCTTCATGAAACTTCTGTATGAAAATGGGAGCGTCTGTAGGAAGAGGGACTCTATTTACATAACTCAGGTCTGAAAAATAGTCTCTGCAAAACCTCATAAAGACAAGGTCTCGACATCTTCCCAGACAACCCATGTGATCTCACTTCCCTTGTACTTTCCAGACCCTTTGTGAACTTGAGCACATTGGAACATGTTTGGCCTCCCTCAAGACACTGTGAGGCCAACTGGTGGTGATATCCAACGCTCATATAGCACTTTATACTCTTCAAAGGCTTTCACATACATAGTTGCTTATTTAATTCTCACATATGTAGTTGCTTATATAATATGCTTTCACATATACAGTTGCTTATTTAATTCTCATAGGAAACATAATTTACCCTAGATCAGACAGACAATTTGAGGTGGAATCACCTAGAACCAGCCACGCTAACTCCTGAATCAGCAATTACTCCTTCCATTGGAACATGCAGATATGTTCCTGGGACTGTCTTCGGGTGGTGCTAGCGTAGATGTGCAACCACTGAGCAGGCCTGTGTATGACTGTCTGGTGCAGAACTAGTTATCTTCCCATCACTACTGCTTATTCAACCAAATCTAAAGCCTTTTTGTTAAAAGAATGATATTCCCATAGGCAGAGTCTGTGATCTATACAACCACAACAATTTATATCTAGGAAGATCCTACTTTGTTTCAGGCACTGGGCTGACATCTATTCTCTCTTATCTTTTCGACATTGAGAAGTAGACATCATGATCTGTCCTTTATAGATGAAGAGACAAAGGCCAACACTCCTCTCCCAACACTGGACATCTATGATTACCGGGGCCATGCTTGACAGGTGTCTAAAACTTCTTCCTGTAGGCATCTCCCTTGTGTTGCATTGTTACCTGCAGAAGGTCCCCGTTCAAATAAAAACCAGTTTGCCTAGAGAAAACACGTAACACAGACAATCAGGAATGAGGAAGGCCTTGAGGAGATGGGACATTCAACAGATGCATGTGATGAAGGAAAGAAGGTTGGCAGGAAGTTTTAGGGGTTCAGCTAGGTCTGAATAAAATTCCACAGTGAGACAAGGACCCCAGCGTTAACAGAAAGGTATTTGAACACCAGACATAGTAGACTGGGAAGGAAGCCTCCATTGGTTCAGGTTTGCCCTGGGCCAGTCTTCTTTTACAGAACCAGTCATTGAACAAATTAAAATCTGTGACTACTATAGTGCTTCTTCTCCTTCTAACAGGTCCCCGCAGCCACTAGCCTAGGAGTAAAAGGAATTCTCTTCCTGAGTGGGTCACCATGACCAGCATCCCCAAAGAAATCCTCCAAGTCTTTGCAAGCTTCGAGTGGTTTAAATAGTCATTGTGTTCATACCTTGCCCTCTTTCATCACCATCTTTTATGCAGCATTAATTATTTTTCCTTTTTGTTCACTGAAAAAGCTTTCAACCAGAGAGAATCCTAATTAATTTGAGGCAAGAATAATTTTTTCTACATCTGCTACTTCCAGTCTGTGATTAAAAGGGGCAATTTCAAAGTGGCCATCTTCAAATCTCACGTATAATATTGAGTGGTTCTGCTAAATAGCTTTCAGATGTGCTGTTCATGTGTTATTTTGATGAGAGCTGGTGATGGTGTTAATTTCTGATAGAATACTACAGAATGCTGGGTCCTTTTTTTAAGAGATATCTTTGTGTAACGGGAAGGACTCTAGCACCTCATTTCATCAGATCCAGTTAAGTAACTGAATGTCATATATTGCTCAGTAACTGAATGTCATATATTGCTCATGGCCTCTCCTCTTCTGTATATTCTCACACAGGTTGTATACCACATGCCATATAGTATACAAATATATGGTATGGTTTCTTTCATATACCATATATTTTGCCTTTCCAACTAGATCATAGTCTATTTCAGAATGGGGCCAAGCTTTTTCCTAACATAACAGATTGGATTATCTTGATTAAAAGTACCATCTCAATTTTGCTAGCTTGACTAGAAAAGAGAGATCATTTAATTTTTTTTAAAAGGAAACTCGTTTGTGGGCCAGGTACAATGGCGCATGCCTGGAATCCCAAAACTTTGAAAGGGTGAGGCAGGAGATCAAGACCAGCCTGGGCAGCATAGTGGAACCCAGTCTCTATAAAAAAATTTTTTTTTTTTAATTAGCCAGGTGTAGTCCCAGCTATTCAGGAAGCTGAGGTGGGAGGATCACTTGAGCTCAGAAGGTTGAGGCTGCACTAAGCCATGATGGCACCATTGCACTCCAGCCTGGGCCACAGAGTGAGATGTGAGATCCTCTCTTTCTCGCTCTCTCTCTCTCTCAAACACACACACACACACACACACACACACACACACACACACACACACAGAATCATGTATGTTTCATGGCTTCCATGGGGGACTAGCACTAGAAATGGAAAGCCATTCTGACCCCAAGAGGTGGGCATGCTGGGGTTCAAGTCTGGGTGTCATCTGAAGTTAGAGGGTTAACAAAACCAGGGTAAAAGTGAAATTACCCAGGGAGAGAGTATAAGGTGAAACAGGAACGAGAGCCTGGGGTAGTTTTTGAGCATTGCTATTCAGTGGCTACATGGAGACTTCAGCGAGAAGTGTTTCTGTGGAGTGATGGGGATAGAAGCCAGGAGAGGTAAGATATGAAGGCAGGGTAAAGAATTAGAAACAGCAAATATGTGCAAGCCTTTTTTTTTTTTTTTAACTTCAAGTTCCGGGATACGTGTGCAGAACGTGCAGGTTTGTTACATAGGTATATGTGTGCCATGGTGGTTTGCTGCACCTATTGACCCATCCTGTAAGATCCCTCCCCTTGTCCCCCACCCCCCAACAGGCCCTGGTGTGTTGTTCCCCTCCCTGTGTCCATGTATGATTGTTCAACTCCCACTTATGAGTGAGAACACGCAGTGTTTGGTTTTCTGTACCTGTGTTAGTTTGCTGAGGATGACGGCTTCCAGCTTCATCCATGTTCCTGCAAAGGAATGATCTCATTCCTTTTTATGGCTGCATAGTATTCCATGGTGGTGTATATGTACCACATTTTCTTTATCCAGTCTATCATTGATGGGCATTTGGGTTGGTTCCATGACTTTGCAATTGTAAATAGTGCTGCAGTAAACATACGTGTGCATGTGTCTCTATAGTAGAAAGATTTGTATCCTTTCAGGTATATACCCAGTAATGCGATTGCTGGATCAAATGGTACTTCTGATTCTAGATCCTTGAGGAATCGCCATACTGTCTTCCACAATGGTTGAACTAATTTACATTCCCACCAACAGTGTAAAAGCATTCCTATTTCTCCACAGCCTCGGTGCCATTTCTTGGCTTTTTAGTAATCACCATTCTGACTAGCATGAGATCGTATTTAATTGTGGTTTCGATTTGCATTTCTCTAATGAACAGGGATGTTGAGCTTTTTTTAATATGCTTGTTGGCTGCATGAATGTCTTTGGGAAGTGTCTGTTCATATCCTTTGCCTACTTTCTGATGGGGTTGTTTTTTTCTTGTAAGTTTGTTTAAGTTCCCTGTAAATTCTGGATATTAGACCTTTGTCAGATGGGTAAATTGCAAAAAAATGTCTCCCATTCTGTAGGTTGTCTGTTCACTCTGATGATAGTTTCTTTTGCCATGCAGAAGCTCTTTAGTTTAATTAAATTCCATTTGTCAATTCTGGCTTTTGTTACCATTACTTTTGGTTATTTCATCGTAGTCTTTGCCCACGTCTATGTCCTGAATGGTATTGCCTAGGTTTACTTCTAGGGAAAAATATGGAACACTTCATGAATTTGCGTGTCATCCTTGCACAGGGGCCATGCTAATCTTCTCTGTATCGTTCCAATTTTAGTATGTGTGCTGCCAAAGGCAGCAGAGCAAGTCTTTTAAGAAGTGTGTTTACCAGCTGGGCATGGTGGTTCATGCCTGTAATCCCAGCACTTTTGGAGGCTGAGCTGGGAGGATCGCTTAAGTTCAGGAGTTCGAGACCAGCGTGGGCAACAAGGCAAAACCCTATATCAACAAAAAGTAAAAAATTAGCCAGGTGTGATGACGCACGCCTGTAGTCTCAGCTATTCAGGAGGCTGAGGTCGGAGGATGGCTTGAACCTGGCAGTTGGAGGTTGCAGTGAGCCATGCTCACACCACTGCACTCCAGCCTGAGCAACAGAGCCAGTCTCTGTCCCCCCCAAAAAAGGAAGTTTGTCTACAAAGGGGAGGAAAGAACAAGAGTGGTAAATGAATGGGACCAGGATCTAGTAAGTTTTCTCTCCCATATTTAGAATGATCCCATCATATAAATGCAAGCTTCTATAGATATGATTATAAAGAGCATCTTCTTTAAATATGTACACTCCCCCACCCCACCCCCACATATGCACATGTCAACCCTGAAAGATCCAGTCCTTCAAAATGGATCCTGGCCGGGCACAATGGTTCATGCCTGTAATCCCAGTGCTTTGGGAGACCAAGGCTGGAGGATCGATCACTTGAGACCAGGAGTTTGAGACCAGCCTGGGCAACATAGTGAGACCCCATCTCTATGAAAAATTTAAAAATTAGCTTGGCATGGTGGTGCATGTTTGTAGTCCCAGCTGCTCAGGAGGGTGAGGCAGTAGGATTGCTTGAGCCCAGGATTTCAAAGCTGCAGTGAACTACGCACTACTGTACTCCCACCTGGGTGACAGAGTGAGACCCTATCTCTAAAAAATTAATAATAATAATAATAAAAAGATGAATTCTGAGTGGTTAACTGCACTTAAATTCAAAATAGAGCAAGCTCTATTCTATACCATGAGTTCCCAGAAAACCCACATTTGCATAACTTTGATACTTTTATAGCTGCCTGTTCCTGCTAACACCACCTGAACTAACCAGTAGGTTGTAGTTCAGTGACCTACAACAACCAATCACAACTCAGCATTAACCAGTCAGAACTAAGCAAGTCTACATCCTTCATTTGCATAAGCAAATCAGAGTGGGAACCCAAGTAGGAACTTTCTCTATAAAAGACAATTTCTCCCTTTGTTTTCTGGACTGCACTTTGATTTTTTGCTGAAGGCTGCATCTACCTATTTTGCAAACTGTTCACTGGAATCTATGAAGCACTTCAGTACTTGGTCTTTCTAGTAGAAAAATTCTTTGGTTGAAAAAGTAAAATCCAAAGTTACTGCTTTAGCATCACCATCTAGCCCGGCTATTGTGGTTGGTGGGCCAGTCACACAATGACACTTGAAACGCCTCTCTGGAGAAGCACAGGGCCTCCTTCCACAGGGAATGGTGGACCCAATCCCCCGGTGCAAGCACTCCCAGGACTCATATGGTCCTTGTCCCACGAAATTTCAGAGGGCTAATTCCACCAGGCTCCGAAGTCCTGTGCTTTTTCTCATATAAAAAGACCCCATAGTACTTCCTGTGTATTTTTAAGCAGTAGTTTGCACCACCTATTTTTAAGTCCGACAGACAGGTCTGGGGGAAGTGTGACTTGCCACTAACAATGGCAGAATTGGGCCTGGACCCCACACGCCCCAAGGCAGCACCAGGGTCCTCCCGCAAAACAGACAGGCTGCTTCATTCCCCTCTCTTGGTGACAACAGCTTCATTCTTGACTCGCAGCAAACATTAACTCATAAAGCTCTGATAGGTTACTTGTCCATACCACAGCCACACCCATTATATTACAAATGAGGAAAACCGAGGTGCAGAGAGGATCAACAACTTGGCTAAGTGCACGGAGCTAAATGTAAAACCAAGACCTGGCTGGGCGCGGTAGCTCACATCTGTAATCCCAGCACTTTGAGAGGCCAAGGTGGGCGGATCATGAGGTCAGAAGTTCGAGACCAGCCTGATCAAAATGGTGAAACCCCGTCTCTACTAAAAATACAAAATTTAGCCAGGCATGGTGGCGTGTACCTATAATCCCACTACTCAGGACATTGAGGCAGGAGAATCACTTGAACCCAGGAGGCGGAAGTTACAGTGAACCGAGATCGTGCCACTGCACTCCAGCCTGGGTGACAGAGTAAGACTCCAACAACAACAAAAAAAGACCTCCCACCCTCAGACCAGCATATTTTTGTCTGCAACAAGCACCAGCATGCATGTGTAACAGACAAGCCTGGTGTATCCCAGTGGCTCAGCAGAAAGGAGTGAAGACCCACTTTCTTAAAAACCTCAGAGCCCTCCAGAGACATGACATTATCCAATGTACTCCCTCTGGAAGAGCCCTGAGTTTCCTGAGCTATAAATATTGAGTCTTGTGAGGTTTCCTCTCAGAGCTAAGGTACAGCTAATGAAGTTTCACATCCGTGCTGAGTTTGACCTAAAAAAAAAGTTTAAACTGTCAGGCCCATCAAAATGAGGAGCTTTTTCTTACCCCAATCTCAGTGAGCTAACAAGGCCTTTCAAGAAAGAAATTCCCACAAATGGAGACTGTTGAGGCATCGGTGGTTACTTCTGATCACCACAGAAACCCCCAAACTACTACATCCCTGGCTTCCACAGGGGCAGGGCTGCCTCACCCTCCTACTCCATCTTCTCCAAAGATGAGATGCTGCTGAGTCCACCAGCTTTTATCAACCATTCAGCACTCAAAGTCTACTCCCCTCACGTTTAACCCAACTTGGTTCCTTCGTGGTCTTCACTACTGCCAAGACCCAGTTTTTGGCAGCCTAGGAGATTTCAGTGGCTTAACATTTTTCCTCTTATCCCAACTTCTCAATGGCCTACAGCCCTCTGTTCTCTGCCATGATCCCAGGGAGTTCCATTTGAACATCTTGAAACCCCTCCTCGGTTTCTGTGGCAGGTGCTCTGCAGGCTAAACTCCCGGCCTCTCCCAGCACCTCACTCTCCACGGCCACTTTCACTTCTAAGATCTTTGTCTAAAGCTTTCAAGGAAATTAAAGGGCAAGCTAGTTACACAAAGTAATGTGACTTATGCCCTTTAGGCCCATCGCCTCCCCTGCTTTGCTGCCTATTCTCCCTAAATCTTTGCAACCTGATCAACCTGACTGTCTGTCACCATCACATTAACCAAAACTGTATTCTTTAAGGTTAAATCTCAAGTGCTTTGTCTAACCACCCTGCTCTCATTTCTGAATAGCATTTGACACAATTGACAACTCCCCCACCAACCCTTGCCCTCCCATGCATTCACACAGGTGCACACACAGGCACACAGACTTCCTTAAAATTATCTCCCTGGCTTTTGCAGCTTTCTCTGCAACCTTTCTGCCACCTCTCTCTCTCCAGTCTGATGATTTTCAAACCTTTCCCCTCAGAGGTTCTCCATCTCGACATATCTAAAACCAAACTCATGGTCTTTCTTTAAGACCTACTATCCTGGGTCTTGAGTGTCATTACCATCTTCCAGCCCACCAGACTGGATACCAAGGAGTCATCTTTTTCTCCTTCCTATTCTCAACCCTCACATTTAATTAGTCCCCAAGTCCTGCCAATTCTTCCTTCTTAACATCCCCTATACTTATACCATCATCTTCATTATCACTCTATTCTCTCCTTTCTAATTCATGTGGCCCATCTCTGCTAGATTAACCCCCTTAACACATCTGTCGAGCCTCATCAATGGTGACTCCTGTTTCCCATATGAAACTAAAGTTCTTGCTCTAAACTTAAAATGCCTGAATATGCTGGTCCTATCCTGCTCAGTCACCCTGATTTCCCATTACTCTAAAGCATGAATTCTTTGCTGCAGTCAAACTCTACTTGTTACATTTCTCCCTTCATGCTGATGAACATGATTTGCACTGACACCACCACCAGGTTGCTGATCCTTCTCTCTGCATGGAAAGCACCCTGCTCCACTCCACTTTGCCTCATCTTATTCCTGCAGGGCCCTGTTCAACGATCACTTCCTCCCTCAGGGCAGTTGGTGACTCCTGGACACCCCAATCTTGTCTCTAATTCTTTTTGCTCTCTCTGCTGATGCATCTTATATTAGTACATAGTGCTAATTATTTTATGATGGGTGTAACTGTTCAATTCAACATATGTTAAAGATTTATTTTGACCAAGTCACCAAGCTAGGAAATACAAAGGTGGGGAGGGAATATAAAAATATTATTATTATTATTATTATTATTGAAATGGAGTCTCGCTCTGTCACCAGGCTGGAGTGCAGTGGTGCACTCTCAGCTCACTGCAACCTCCGCCTCCCAGGTTCAAGTAATTCTCCTGCCTCAGCCTCCCAAGTAGCTGGGACTACAGGCATGGGCCACCACATCCAGCTAATTTTTGTATTTTTAGTAGAGATGGGGTTTCACCATGTTGGCCAGGATGGTTTTGATCTCTTGACCTCGTGATCCACCAGCCTTGGCCTCCCAAAGTGTTGGGATTACAGGCGTGAGCCACCGTGCCTGGCCAAAAATTATTTTTAATGGTCTGTACCAGTGACAGGCTTGAGGGTAGGAAGAAGGATTCTGGTTTTCTCATAATCCCCCTCAGCCATCCCTCCCATTCTTTAACATGAACAAATGATATTTCTTCAATTTTAGGTAAAAGCTATGGAGCCAATACAGGTGCAGCATTCCCTTCTACCCATTGGCAATTCTGGAACTTCCCTTGCTCTGTTAATAGACCAAAAAGAAAAAGTTGTTATTATGTTGAGTATTTACTGACTACAATGTAATCCAGTTAGAAATCCACAACAAATAGATAACCACAAAAAACATCTGAAAACAGATTTTCAAATAACTCCCAAGCTTGATAAGAAATACAAGAAAATTACAAACTGTTTACAACTCAAGAACACTACATGACAAAACTTATGGGATGCAGCCAAAGTGGTACTTAGAAGCCAATGAATAGCAGTAAACAAGTTTATTAGCACAAAAGATTGAAGTTAAATGAACTTAACTTTCAAATCAGGAAGTGCAAAAACAACAACAACAAAATTATCCAAGGAAAGTAGACGAAAGGAAGTAAAAATAATTTTAAAAGAAATTATAAATTAATCAACAAAAACAATGCTTGTCCTTTGACGAGACGAATCTTTGGTAAATTTCACTAAGAAAGAGAGAAAGTATACAAACACGTTGAGCCTGAGAAAAGCAGGAAGCTAAATTTCAGCCTGAATTTCAGTTACAAAGCAGGAAACTGTGCAGTCTCAGGCAAGTTTCTTAACTACTCAACACAGACCCACCATCTGCAAAATACAGGTAACAAAAAAAGCAATTCCTACCTCAAAAGTTGCTGTCACAATTAGATGAGATAGCATATGCAAAGGACGTAGCACAATGTCTGGCTCACAGAAACAGAAAATAAATAGTGCTATCATAATGGCATTTTAATGTCATAAACCTAAATGAATAGAGTAGTAGGTCTTAGTCCTGGGTTTGCATCAGGATTAACTGTGATGATTTTTAAAATTCATGTTGAATGATTATTTTTATTATTGGGAAAGTCTAATTTTCTCATCACAGGAATCATTTTTTAATTCACCAAACTCTATTGTCAACACAACTGTGTTCCATAGATACACCCAAACTTGGAGATTTCTGATTCTGTCAAATTTTTCCCCAGGCATTTCTTTTCTGATTTCTTCCCATGCAAGCTTCAAGGATGGGAAAGTCTGACACTGGAAAATTTTCCAACTTTTTCTTTTTCATTTCTTATTCCTTATGAACACGACTCCATATTCAATGGTTAGATTGGGCACCAAAATATATCACTCAAAAAAAAAAGGTGTTTTAGTTTGGGTTTCCTTAGAAGCAATCCCTCAGACAAGAGTCTTGGAACATGCAGTTTATTTGGGAAGTGTTCTCAGGAAGCATAGTATACTGGCTAGTGGGAAATTGAGCAAAGTAAGCAAAGGAAGCCAATAAAGTTATGAATGCCCAGGTTGCCACTGTGGGAAATTGAGGCCCAATGCCTTTGAGGGCCTCTGGGACAGCGAGTAGGACACACCTCAGATTTATCCTACTCAGGGAATGAGGAAGCTTAACCACCAACTTTCATTTGGCTTGGGTTGAGGGGGGCTCTTGAGCAATTCACTCCAGTGGCAGGGAAAGCCCTCAAGCAGAATCATGTTTCCTTGCAGGAGGAAGCCATTGGCCTTTTGGAGACTCAAGGGGCTATGGGCATCTGCTACAGAAGCCAACCAATGTCAACCCAATGCTCATGCCTAGGGTAGTTTGTGTCCACATTGAGGGGTGAGCAACATACTTTGGAAATTCTTTCATGCTTCCCTTCTACGCCAGATTACCTTTTATTTAACCATCCTAGTCTTTAGGAAGCTCTTCACAAAAATGAAAAGATTTGTGCTTTTTAATAAAAGGACTTGGAATTTAATATAAGTGATCTACAGGGTGCTTCATGACATACATGCTACTAATTGCTCCCTTACCTTTTGTGTTACCCTGTTTCAAAATTATTGTTTCTTAAAAAAAAAAAAAAAAAAAACAACAACAACAACAATAATCACAGAGTTATCTATGTGATTGGATGGTGCATGTGATCAGGGTACCATAGAAGGGCATGATATGGGGAGGTTCCAGCACATTCAGCAATTCATACGCCATGCTCAGAGATCTTCAAGAGTATTTGCAACCTTTTTAAAATTAATCTTCACAGAACTTCTAATAGTAAAAATAGCACTCACATATTTTTTGCTTTTAGGATTCTCTCAGAAGTCTCTCATCACTCTAATTCATTTTTTCATAGCTTCTGCTATAATTTATTTTATTTTATTTTACTTCATTTCAGTTTTGAGAGGTTAATCTCACTCTCTCACCTAGGCTGGAGTACAGTGCTGCAACCTCAGCTCACCACAACCTCTGCCTCAGGTTCAAGCGACTCTCCCACCTCAGCCTCCTGAGTAGCTGAGATTACAGGCATGCACCACCACACCCAGCTAATTTTTGTATTTTTAGTAGAGCCAGGATTTCCCAATATTGGCCAGGCTGGTCTCGAACTCCTGACCTCAGGTGATCCACCTGCCTTGGCCTCCCAAACTATTAGGATTGCAGGTGTGAGCCACTGTGCTCGGCCTTCTGCCATAATTTAAATGTGTGCCCTCCAAAATTCAGGAGTTGCCAATGTGATAGTATTAAGAGGTAGGGCCTATAAACGATGATTAGGTCATGAGAACTCCCTGGTAAATAACCTTAAGGCCTTTATAAAAGAGGCTTCAGTCAGCCTTCAGTTTCTCTTGCCTTCCTGTCATGTGAGGATACAGGAAGAAGGTCCTCACCAGATGCTGGTGCCTTGATCTTGGGCTTCCCAGCCTCAAGAACTGTGAGAAATGAGCTTCTGTTTTTTATAAACTAGCCAGCCTTGGGGATTCTGTTAGAGCAGCACAAGCAGACTAAGATAGCTTCCTTACAAGACCAGGAATGTAGATGTCCCCACTTTCATATTGAAACACTGAGGCATAGAGAGGTAAAATAAATTGCGAGAGGTAGCAACAGATCTCTATTATCATCCTCACTTCACAGGACTGTTGTTTCCTCTGCTGAAGAGCTGGCTTTGGCTGAATTCTCTCACCAGCTTTTGGCAACGTCAGATCTGAGCATGATGGCCCATCCCAGTAGAAGCAAAGCCATAGCTTGTTGTGGGGACAGAGGTAAGTTCTGAGCGTCATCAGTGAGCCTGGGGACATGTGATGTGCCTTGGAGTAAACTGGACTCACTTGATAAATAAAGATATAAAAACTTCTATTTCTCAATGAAGGTTTTACTTCACTTCAAGGACCTAGACAGTCTCAGTTGCTTAAACCACATCCAGAAGGCCCCATGGGAAGTGTCTTCACAGTCAGGTTAAAAGCTTTCTGCTGCACAGTGAGACACCATCCAGCAAAGGGAATGAACATGCTCAACTTTAAGCAACAATAGGGATGAATCTCACCACCGTATTGTTGTGCAAAAGAAGCCAGACTCCAAAGTAGACATGCTGCTTGCTTCCATGTGTATAACACTCAAAAACAGGAAAAACCAAAAATTCTGTTAAAAGTCAGCATAATCATTATTCTTATACAGAGTCGTCGATGACAGAAAATGGGTATTTGGAGACTTTTAGGGATATGGTGGTATTCTGTTTCTTGATCTGGATGTTGGTTTCACATACCTACAGAAAGCGAACAAATCGAAGTGTTCAATTTGTGAAAATATATAAATCTGTACACTAATGATTTGTTCACTTTCTGTATGTATGGTATATACTTTTTAAGTAGACTACATTTTCAGAAAAATTGAGTGGAAAGTACAGAGTTCTCACTCTGCCCCCTGCCCCTACACACGCAGTACACCCTGCCCCTACACACGCAGGGGGCAGAGTGAGAACTCTGTACACGCAGTACTACACACGCAGGGGGCAGAGTGAGAACTCTGTACACGCAGTACTACACACGCAGTATTACACACACAGTACTACACACGCAGGGGGCAGAGTGAGAATTCTGTACATGCAGTACTACACACGCAGGATTACACACGCAGTACACAGGCAGAACTCTGTACACATGCCCCTGCATATGCAGTACACCCTGTGCCACACACGCACAGCCTTTCCCATTATCAACATCCCCACCAGCGTGATGAATTTTTTACAATTCATGAGTCTGCATTGACACATCATTATCACCCAAAGTCCATAGTGTACATTAGGATTCACACTTGGTGCTATACATTCTATATGTATACAGACATCCCTCCTCCATTGTAGCATCATACAGAGTCATTTCATGGCTCTAAAAATCCTCTGTGCTCCATTGATTCACCCCTTTCTTCCCCCTAGCCCCCAACAACTACTAAATCTTTTACTGCCTCCATAGTTTTTCCTTTTCCAAAATGTAATATAGTTGGAATCATAAAATATGTAGCCTTTTCAGATTGGCTTCTTTCACTTAGTCATATGCATTTAAGTTTTCTCTATGTCTTATCATGGCTTGATAGCTCATTTCTTTTTAGTGCTGAATAATATTCCATTGTCCATATGTACCACAGTTTATTTATCCATTCACAGACTGTAGGACGTCTTGGTTGCTTTCATGTTTTGGCAATTATGAATAAAGTTTCTGTAAACATGCACGTGAAGGTTTTTGTGTGAACATAAGTTTTCAACTCACTTGAGTAAGTACTGAGGAATACAATTGCTGCATCATATAATAAGAGTATGTTTAGTTTTTTAAAAAATTGCCAAACCATCTTTCACAATGGCTATACTACTTTCCGTTTCCATCAGCAATGAATGAGGGTTGTATATTTTAATTAAAACTTTTTTTAAAAAAAGTTGAAAAATACAAACAAAAGCCCACTCCCAAATCCAAATAAATTGAGAATATTTAAAAGAATGTGCCACAGATTCTAAATACAAATCTAAAAAGTTTTCAAAAATATTTTGATCAAAAGGAATGTCCTTAGAATATAAATAAGTACATAGCCCCCCATTTGAGCCTCACTGGGGTGTGTGTTCAAGCAGGCTTATTAAAACCACAGTGAGAGTTGGTATACTTTGGGGTCACAACAGGGCAGACCCACCAAATCCAAATGAAGCTTTCAGTTCCTACTAGACCCTTGAGACCTGTGTAGACACAGCCTTTAGCCAAATGGCTTGTCTTCTCAGTGTAAGGCAGGTGAATAACTGAAGTCCTCTGACTTCAAACCACATATTTAGATGTCAAATTCTTTCTTACTATTTGCTATTCGGAAAGTATGTAATGCACCCCTCCACCTTAAAAAAAAAAGTTATTATTTTCTGTTTGTGACAATGAGCTATCCAAAGGAGAGAAAGGCAACCAGGCACAAAACTTGCAGCACGTGAGCTTCTACAGAGCATTTGAGGTTGAGAGGTTATCCTCCTTGGTTACAGATAGAGCAGGGGTCCCCAGCTCCCGGGCCATGGATTGGTACCAGTCCTTGGCCTGTTAGGAGGCAGGCTCCACAGCAGGAGGTGAATGGTGGTTGAGCAAAGCTTCATCTGCATTTACAGCTGCTCCTCACTGCTTGCATTACCTTCTGAGCTCCACCTCCTGTCAGATCAGCAGCAGCATTAGATTCTCACAGGAGCACAAACCCTGCACATGTGAGGGTTCCAGATTGCCTGCTCCTTATGAGAATCTAATGCCTCATGATCTGAGGTGGAGCTGAGGTTGTGATGCTAGTGCTGGGAAGTGGCTGCACACACAGATTAACAACAGTAGGGAGGTTTGACTGCACAGAGACCATAATAAATCAACTGCTTGCAGATTCATATTAAAACCCTATCAGTGAGTGGCAAGTGACAATTACGCTGCATCTGGTGGCAGACTTTATAGTGGCAAGTGAGTTGATGTACTTCAATTGTACGGCTGCATCTGGTGGCCTTAAAAGTATGTTTGAGACAACTTCAAATCTCCATACGATCTGGATTAAACTCAAAGTTAGAATATCCTGAGATTGCCACAGAAGCACTGAAAAGCCTGCTTCCATTCCCAACATCTTATCTTTGTGAGGCAGGGTTTTCTGCAGTGACAGCAACCAAAATGAGATGATGGAATAGGCTAGACATAAACAACACACTTCAGCTGTCACTGTCTCCCATCAGCCCCAGATTGGACTGCCTAGTTGCAGGAAAACAAGTTCAGGGCTCCCACTGATTCTACATGATAGTGAATTGTGTAATTATTTCACTATATATTACAATGTAATAATAATAGAAATAAAGTGCACAATAAATGTAATGTGCTTGAATAATCCCAAAACCGTCTCTCCCTCCACCTACCACCCGGTCAGTGGAAAATTTGTCTTCCTGATGCCAAAAAAATTGAGGACCGCTGAGATGGAGGGCATCCGTTTCTTGAAATATAAGTTAGAAACAAAAGTAACAGTAATTCTGTGGTTTGTAGTATACCTTTAACTTTGCAAAGGGTTGGCATATCCACTTAAGCACTCATTCAATGTGCCTTTACTATAGAGTCATATTTTATGAGAAGCAATAGGTTCTGAAGAAAGTACATAAGGTCAACATTGCCCTTATGAATTCCTTAAGTAATTGTGCAACATACATGGTCTATGCATTCACAGAGTTGGCTCATGTTTAGACACCACGCTGTACAAACATGTGGCTTTAAATGCTGGGCTGATGATCACACCCAGCACCACAATATGCTCACTCTAAGCAGCGAAGGGGACAGAGACAGACAAAAGAAAACCATGAATTGAGTCTCCTGTCTCACCCTCTCTCACCAGAGCCGGGGTCCACACACTTTTTCTGAAGAGAACCAGAGAGCAAATATTTTAGGCTTTGTGGTCTCTGTCACAAGTCTTCAAGTCTGCCACTGTAGCACAAAAGCAGCCATGGGCAATAAGTAAATGAATGGGCATGGCCATGTTCCAATAAAACTTTATTTCCAAAAGCAGACGGTGGGCAGGGTTTGGCCCACAGCCTATAGTTTGCAGCCTGTTCTTCTTGACATATACCCATTGCCTGGGATTGGCAGCAGAGTTGCAGGCACTATTTAGATTGTTTTCTTTCTCTATTTCTCTATGCAGCTAAAGTTACAGAAATGAAATACACAGATGATGCAAGTCTATTATACTGAACATCTGTGTCAGGAGCCATGTGGGGTGCTGAGACATAGGGAGAACAATATCTTGCCCTCACAGGGGTCTTAGATGACTGTTAGCTATCCATCAAAGGTTCACAGTTCTTCTCCTTTTGTCCTGTAGAGTTGTCTCTGGGGTGCAGCTGCTTGTGGCCTCCTTTGCATCAGGTGGAACTGTGTGACTGTCCTCACCAGTGAAATGTGAGCAGAAGTAACATGAGCCACTCATAGCCAAGATGGTTAAGAAAGAGCTGTGCTCCTCCACACATTCATCCAATTTTCTGGCTGGATTTATACAACTCCAAGGGTCTAAGGAATGACAGAGCCACAAGATAGAAGGAACTTGGGTCTCTGGATTCCTAAATGAAGATGCCCATCAATCAAGTGGTTGATAAATGTATTTCTATTGTAAACCTCTAAAACTTGGGGGTTTTAATTGTCATGGCCACTAGCAGTACCTTAACTAGAACAATGGTCCAGCAGAGAGCATAAACCATGAAAACTGTCATCACTTAGGGCAGTGAAAGCCATATAAACAATGTGCTGGGAGGGTACTGAGAAGGAGTGATGGGAGAGCAACTTCTACCTGAGAATTCATGCAAGATACATCAAGAGTCAGTGGGTCTGGAAGGATCAGTTAATCCATCTTCACAAACGATCCTTTTGACATAATAGAACTCTAAGGTTCAGAGAGGTTAAATGACTTGGGCAAAGTCACTAACCTGTCATTGGCAGAGTCAGAACTCCTGACTCAACTCTGGTTCTCTTTTCCCTGCATGACACTGTCTCAAACCCATAATCTGGAAGACTGATGGGACGGGCCAGAGAAGAGTTTGACCAGAAGCTGCATCCTCTCCACCAGACAGCTAGTGTCCTGCTTCCAGAGGCAATCCTACTCAGGGATTCATGAATAAACCAGCTCCTTTCCTTCCTCAGGGTCCAAGCAAATCAGGACACAGGAACTTAGGCTGTAGGAAGGGTCTGATCCACAGGGCGGAAGTGCTCCCTGCAGCGAGACATCCATGCCCACCGCAGAGGCTGACTGACCCACTCACCATCCACCAGCAAGACAGGCAGCATGGGAGTCGGAAGGCAGACAAGAAAATGGAGCACGGCGGGGGCTGGGGGTGGGGGAGAGATTAATGGTTTCTATTTTTTACCATGAAAAAAGATTTTTGACATATTAAGTAGAAGAATTTAATACATCTGCACACACCCCAAAGCCAGTTTCCCTAATGTGGCTCTTCCTGGCTCCAACATTCTTCCTGGTGAGAGAAACGGCCCACACTTCACCTTGCTTTTTCTCTCCCTTGAGCATCTCAAAAGCAGATTTCTTCTTTTCTCCTATTGAAACAACCAGGCCTTGGCTCAAATTCACCACAGGGTGAATAAGTACATACACACACACACACACACACACACACACACACACCACTGCACACCACAAACATGCAGCTATCCAGGACATGCTGTTTTTGCCCATTTTAATTATGCTGAAAACAAATCCACTTCCTTTACACTCATGCAAGTGTACAACATAAGATGTTTTGCAACCTCATATCAGATAAAAACTGGACCTAAACCCACTGGTCTGTTTTAAAGAGCAGCAGAATTTCAACCAGAGCAGATTGAATTAAGGCAAACAGCTTTAAAAATATATTAACTATTTTATTTCTTTCTCCCCATCCCACCTCTCATCCATTTGTATCTACATACACAAACCAGTCTGACTGAATACACTTCAAACCAGCTAGAATACTGGTGGGTAAATTGATGTGACCTCTCTGGCCATAGGTATCATACAACTTTAAAATGTACATTTCCTTCAACTAGTAATTCTACTTCTATGAATTTATCCCAAGAGAATAATCACACAAGCAGGCAGAATTTTTTTTTGAAACAGGGTCTCACTCTGTCTCCCAGGCTGGAGTGCAGTGGGGTGATCTCAAGAACATTCAAGTAATGTTCATTCATATAATGTTCATTTTTCTTTTCCATGTTCTCGAATTGTTTTTCATCAAACAAAAATTACTGATACTACAAGAAGTAATAAAATAACTAAAATAAATGAATAAAATGGAGTATAGTGACTCAAAGAAACTTTTGATAACCAAGATGCCAGCTACCTGGTATGCCTGAATTCTTCACTAACCTGTCAGCTGCTGCAGCATTCAGAGAAGGGCAGCCTAAACGGAAAAGGCCATTCAAAGTACGCTGCTAACTGACGTTTAAGCCCCCTAGTCCTGTGCTTGGGCTGCCAGGGCCCCTTCTCATGAGGCTTCTATGAGGCTTTATAACATAAATATATATTTTTAAATACAATTATAGTAATTGGAAGATGCTTCTGTTCCACTCTTCCCTACATAGGCAGAGAGGGGAATAGGGGCCCTAGAGAGAGAGGGGCTTGCCTGGGTTTTTGTTGTTGTTGTTGTTTTTAAGCAGAAGGAGTAGAGAGAACAAAGAATAACCTGCAGTCAGCAGGTCGTTTGATGGATGCCCTGGCCATCAGAGAGCGGCCTGGAGTGCCTTGGATCCTGGGAAGCCATCCAGGAACTGGCCAGCAAGGAGAGCTCCCAAGTCTGAGACTCCAGGCTGAGGAGCAAAGGCTGCCTTGGTGGCATTAAAGAAAGGTTGCAAGATTCATCTGTTTAATCAGTGAGCTCCCAGATGATGCTTGGAGTTTGATATGGATCATTCCAGCCTCTCACAGATCGATCAACAAGTATTGATTGAGTGCCTACTGTTTGCTGGGCTTGACGCTAGGCATTTTGGGAGATGCAGAGTGAGTATAGAACGAGGTCTCTGTCCTCTTCAATTAGCACCACAAGCCCGTGCGTAGCAAAGTGGGAACTGCCTGAGTGTGAAGATGTGAGCAAAAGAAATGTGGGCGACAGAGCACACTGAGATCAGTGAGGCTAGGAGGACCTCAGACAAAAGAGGTCAGACTTGGAGCTGGATTCAGGAGTAAGGAATATGACTGGTAGAAGAAATATGAATATGTATTAGAGGAATGCTGGCTACATTAACAAACACTCTGAAATATCAGTGCCTTGACACAATAGAAGGTTATTTCTAGCTCACATAAAAGCCTTGTGGCAGTGGGGCTAAGGGGCAGGACTCTTCTCCATGTAGTCATTCAGGGTCCCAGGCTACCCAGAATTCCACTATCTTCAGTGAATGCCTATTAAGGGCAGCTGGAGCCTCAACATCCAGCCAGCAAATGGGGGAAAATGTGGGCAGGAATCTCATGGGAGGTTTATGTAGTCCAGGCCTGCATATGGCTCACATCACCTCTCCCACATCACATTGGCCTAAAGTCAGTTTATTGTCCCGCCTAGGTGAAAACAGGATGAAAGTGGGGTGCAAACCTTTGGTGGAAGGCTAGCCACAGCAGACAAAAGCCAGAGGCGGGACTCAGCATGGCCAGGTGTGAAGCTGCAGAGAGATGCCATGTTGGAGACCAAAGTTGGACATGGACAAGGAGACTGAGGTAGGGAGGAAAGAAAGAAACTCCAGCAGCAATTCTAAGAGCAAGACCCTACCCAGGCTTCTGATCCCAGTCAAATTAGAAGTCTGGAAAGCTTAATTCAGGCAGAGGCCTTCATTGATGACCAGCACAGTTGGGTTTGGGGACTTGAATGACTTCAGGGAGGGCCTGTGCTAATACCTAATATGTCATGATGACCACTTGCAGTGTCTCCAACAGGGCCCAATACCCCTCAGCACTACAGGGTTGGCCAGGAATGCCAAGGAGTTTGCAACCTCTTCTTTCAATGTAACTTGGGTTTTAGAGAATGTTCACATTCCTGATGGCAATCAAAGAGACACCATGAGGAGCCTAATTGGAACAGAGGGTCTTGGGGGTTCCTTAGATACCCTATGACAACCTGGTGAGTGGCTTTTCAATAAGGCTTAAAGCATCCTATCCCTGAAGCTATGGGTGACCTGCCTGTGAATATCAGCTCTAAAAGCTCATTGAGATTTAAGTCCCACTTATCCCAAGGCAAGAGTGGTGATGAGGCGTTATCCTACAGCTCTATGAGTTGCTATGTTTATGTTGTTTTCCAATGATGGCACCATGGATAGTAGCTTCAGACAAGTCATCAGACCTCTGTAGGCCCTCATTTCTATAAAAAAAGTAAGTTTGACACCGCGATCTTTAAGGATCTTCTCAGCTGTGGCATTCTGTGGAAGTGAGTTCTTTCCACACAGGAAGCCCACATATGCCTTCATAAGATCTTAGAAATTTTAGAATTAAAACATAGAAATCAAAATGGGTGGGGAGGGGGTCAGAATTTTAGAGAGTATTAGCCTAGCACTTCCCAAAATGTGTTTTAGGAATATTAGTTCTGTAAACTAGGATGTGTGAGTATGTGTTTGTCTGTATCTATATCTATATATAGATATATATACATAACATATCTACATATGACATATACATACATATCTTTACTGTATTTCTATATATACATACCATGTATGTGTGTATACAGTGTGTGTATATATATATATATATATATATATAGTGTAAAAGTTGATGTTCATACTCTTATGCCAATATACTAAGAACTATGCAAAGAGTTTTTCATGCATCGGTTCTTTTATTCCTCCCAGCAACCATGTTGTCACCACTATCCCTATTTTATAGCTCAGGAAATTCATGTCTAGAAAGGTTTAGCCCCTGCCCAGGGCCACAACAGTTCTAAGTAGAAGGCGAAGATATAAACCCAACCATGTCTGACTCGACTCTGTGCTTTCAGCCATCACACCCTGCTGCTTCCTGAAAGTCTTTGGTCACATCAGTTTGAGAATTGCCGGCTTAACCGAAGGTTAAACGGGTCTCTTTGCTGCAAAACTTCTCAGAGCCCTGACTGACTCTCACGGTGTGCACAGGGTGACATGGGGGTTAACTCAGAATCTGAGGTGAGATTGAATGGCCTGGAAACCAGCTTTGTCCCTTACTGGCTGTGTGACCTTAGGCACATCGCCTAGCCTCTCTGTACCTCATCTGTAAAATAAGAATAACAACAGCATGTGCTTCATAGTTGCCTGCAAGGATTAAATAGTTATTATGCTTTGAGATCAAAACCAAGTACTATTTAAGTGATGGCTATTACTAGAGTGGGCAGTGCTGTCGCCTAAATTGATCCTTGAGCCCAGTTCTCACGTAGCGTCTCTCGGGGGTGATGGCATGATCTGGGTCATCTTTCTCACTTAACAATGAGGAAGCTGAGGTGACAGACCTGGCTCAGGGCCACATAGGTTGCTAGTGCAAGAGCCAGCTGAGCTAGAAGTCTGGTCCCCAGACTCCCAGCCAGTGTTAGCCCCTGAAACCCACCCTGCCTCTCTCTAGCAGATTCAGACATTTTTTGCAAATCTAGTTACAGAATTGTAGCTAAACATAAAATCACACAGTGCTAGCTCCTCACCGCCACCGCCCCCACACCCTGCTGCATTTAAAGTGTCTATCTAATGTCCAATGCAGGAACTTGGTTTTACTCAGAACAAAAGCGATGTGGAATAAAGTCTTCTGCAGTGGCTGCTGTGTCCCCAGAGGGTGGTCTCTCTGACAGTCTCACTACTCCAGCCTTTGAGCTGCCTAAGGCAAAATGACACTATCCGCCAGAAGCACTGGGCATTTGCAGCCACTGACATCCCGACCTCCTGCAGCTGGGGCACTGCCTCTGTCCTAGCTCCGCCCAGAGCACGCTCTGGGAGCTGGGTCTGCTCACCCCACAGAAAGGGGGAGAAAGAAGGAAAGAGGAAAGTAATCCCTCTTGGGATCTCCGGGGGAAGCATTTTAGAAAATAGAAAGAATTAAATGTGACAATGATCATAAATTAAAAGTAAAATCAGACAGGGTTTAGGATGAAAATCATCCTATTAGGATGATGTCCCTTCAATTTTTATGATTTCTTTGTGATGCTCTATGTATCTCACTGCTCTGGTTTGTGCAACAAGAATGTGTAGGGGGTGTGTGTGTGTGTGTGTGTGTGTGTGTGTACATAGAGAGAGAGAGGGAGAGAAAGAGTGACAGAGCAAGAAGGGGAGTGCAACGGAGAGCTGGAGAGAAGCCTTTGAGCTTCAGAGTTCCGTTCTGTCATTCTTTCTCCAGCCACGGCATTGTTTTGTTCCATCTGCTCCCAATGGTTTAGTTATGTCTGCCTGTTTGTTTAAAAGGTCTGATATAAGCACCCAACTTGCTATCCTTTCTTCATCTTGACCATATATGAGAGGACTCATAAGTTCAGGTACAATATGCTCCTTTTTGCACTCTAGATACGAAATACCTTCCATCCTAGGGTTATTGATTACTATTGATTACTTATAAGGTTCTGAGTACACTGAGAATCTCCCTGGACCAGTGCTCCAGTGCACATCATCACTTCTTAAAGGCAGAAGACTCTGAGCTCACTGCGTACTGAATGGTCTACAGCCCACTGCCTACAGGAACGGTCTACAGGCATTGGCTTGGTTAAGGGATTCAAGTTAATGGACTTCACCCATAAAGTCTGTGAAGTCTCCTTGCCTGATCTTGTCCACCTCTGGGCAGCAGACACATGAGAGAGGTCTTTGAGCTGCTGAGAAGGAAATATCGCTCTCACGCCTGCCAACCAAATAATCACAGCCCGTGACCATTCAGCCTTTACAGTGGATGCTGCATACCTACAAACTGATGCAATTAAATAACAGTTTGCTGGGATCCTTCACTTGAGCTCAAATAAAGTAGTTTTCTTTTTTTACTAAGCAAAAAAGATATAGGAACACTTTTACATTGTTGTAAAAGATATAGGAACACTTTTACACTGTTGGTGGGACTGTAAACTAGTTCAACCATTGTGGAAGTCGGTGTGGCAATTCCTCAGGGATCTAGAACTAGAAATACCATTTGACCCAGACATCCCATTACTGGGTATATACCCAAAGGATTATAAATCATGCTGCTATAAAGACACATGCACACGTATGTTTATTGTGGCACTATTCACAATAGCAAAGACTTGGAACCAACCCAAATGTCCAACAATGATAGACTGGATTAAGAAAATGTGGCACATATACACCATGGAATACTATGCAGCCATAAAAAATGATGAGTTCATGTCCTTTGTAGGGACATGGATGAAGCTGGAAACCATCATTCTCAGCAAACTATTGCAAGGACAACCAATCAAACACTGCATGTTCTCACTCGTAGGTGGGAATTGAACAATGAGAACACATGGACACAGGAAGGGGAACATCACACACCAGGGACTGTTGTGGGGTGGGGGGAGGGGGGAGGGATAGCATTAGGAGATATACCTAATGCTAAATGACGAGTTAATGGGTGCAGCACACCAACATGGCACATGTATACATATGTAACAAACCTGCACATTGTGCACATGTACCCTAAAACTTGAAGTATTAAAAAAAAAAAAAGAATTGACAACCCCAAAAAAAAAGATACTAAATATGTACATTCTATTCATTGCTTTCAATATACCCAGGAGTTTCTGACTGAATGAAATCATTTTACTGTTATCCCTCTTTTGATGACTTAGTGCTATGTGTAGATTCAGGCAGAGTCTGTACATGGCATAGAGATGAGAAACATGGGAAAATGCCAAGAATGTCTGACCTTGTCCAATGCAACTCTGTACATCTGCTATTATTATTCATCTCTCCCAAGAGATGTTTTAGGATCAGCAACACCTACCGTGCAGGTGGTCACAACTGAAACAGCTCAGGGGCAGTCGTTTATTCAACAAGAGTTTATTGAGGACTTACTATACGCTAGATATTGTGCTAGATACCAAATACCCAGCTACCAAAAAGAAGGATAGAGTCCCCATCTTCTGGAGTTCTCATTAAAGATTTTGAGAGCTGGGACCATAACATCCCATTCCCTGGTTAGACAGGTGAGGATATTGAGACCCAGAGGGAAAGGTGAGGAAATTGAGACCCAGGTTGCCTGAAGCTACCTGCATTGAGTGCCTGAGCTGGACCTGAAACCCAGGTTTGCCAGCACTGGGCTGGGCTCTGATGCAGCATGCTGCATTTCACCTCGCATTGAAGAAAATGGCCCCAGTTGAATTCCCTGTGCCTATGGCAAATGACTGGTCAGAGGGCCATGACAATGGGGATCCAACAGAAAGTCACATTTCAAAATTATGATGTTGCCGTGGCTTCTGCTTTTTGTGTGCTACATGGACACACAAAGTAGATCACCAGTTTCCAAAGGGCAGCTGCTGGGGGCTGTTGATTACAAATGGCAATTTAAAAGGCAAAAAGGTCCTCAAAATATTTATAGAAATTGCTTAAGAATTTTTTCTAGACTAGAAGAGACTGGCTCTTTTCAGATCCCAAGGAGCTTACAGACAGAGTAAAGAGTGAATTGGCCTGTGGTGGGAGTCAGGGTGGAACTCAGCGTGGAAATCACTGCCATCGAATTTCTAGGCCCCCATACCATCAGCGTCCCCTGCAACTGAGATGTGGAAACTAGAGAGCCACAGAGGTGCAGCACAAGAAGAGAATAAATAATGATGCAAGCTATTATTTGTTAAGCACCTTCTGTATGCTTGGAGTTTCATTACATCAACATGTCCTTAAATTTCATTACAACCCTGTGAGGTGTGTATTAGTTACCCAGCCAGCAAGTGGTGGGATGTGGCTCTGCACCTGAGGCTAATGACCATCCTTTGTCCACTGCACAGCAATAATATGGAGAAGTTTTCCTGGGAAGGAGTGATGGGAACAAGGAAGGGGGCAGAATTAAAGGAAGGGTAAAGAGAGAAGGCTCAGATGAAGAATTAACAATATTTAATGAGCACATGCACCACATAAGCATTCTGCCAGGCATCTGCTGCAAGGACATCAGGTAAACCAGTACTTCCTGCCACCCCCAACCAGGTTGTGGGCCCAGTGTTCACCCATTGCCAAGCCAGGAACTGTGGCAACACCCATGACTGCTCCATGTTCCTCATCCTCCACCTCCTGTGACTCCCATTTATCCTTCTGTGTGCCATCCATCTGCTCTGCTCATTTGTAGAATGGAGATAGTCAGGTCCCTACTTCATTCATGCAATAATGTATATATAGCAATTAACACAGCCCTTACCACATAGCAAGTTCGCAGTAAATGTTAGCAGCCATTATTGTACTTTCTTTACCAGCTTGTTGAAATAATAGTGAAACTGACACATGAGTCTTCCAAGAATAAGATCAAATGCAGGGAGACCTAGGGGTGGGTTTGAGGCCAGCTGGTCTACCCTCTTTTGGTGAACACACTTTGTGATTCCAAGTGTGTGCATTTTTCCCATGTAGAATTCCATTCTCCTGTCTTTTCAGATCTTATAATTTCTTCAAGATCTAAGTGAAATGCAAGCATTCAAGAAATGGACATCCAGACAGGGTATCTTTTGGGTAGCATTGTTCAGTTCAAATAAAATGTGAGCCATATATGTAATTTTAAATTTTATGGTAGCCACATTAAAAAGAATAATAATTATTACTCAAAATTTTTATTTAACCTAACATTTCCCAAAATTATCATGTTAACATGTAATCAATAAAAAAATTACTAATGAGGTATTTTACATTATTTTGTTTGTATACGTCCTCAATATCTGGTGGTTATTTTATACCCACAGCACAACTGAATTTGCAGTAGCCACATTTCCAGTGCTCATAGCCACATTTGGTTAGAGGCTACCATTTTGGACATTACGCCTTTAGAGAAAACTGACACTATTCCTTTAAATATCATAACATCTCCTGCATTAATTGTGGGTGTGTGGGTAGATCATTAGAGTAGCAGGTGGCCCTGTTGGTCTCTCTGCCCCCAGGGAATGTGTGAAGAAGGAGCCTGTTTCTGGCCAAAGCAAATCACACAAACCTATCTAAGGCCCTGCTGATAATACATTCATAGAGTTTCATACCCCAGCACACAAACAGGCTCTGGCTAAATAGGCTTTTCAAAATACTTTCAGATCCGTAACCACCCCTCCCCAAAACCAGCTTCACAGAGACAATACCTCTGCATCCCAACACACCCTTTGAAAATGAGCACCAAAAGCACCCACTTTCTCCAACTTCCTGATAAGGACACAGCTCTGAATAATTTATTCATTCTTTACAGGTTTCCTGGGCACCCACTGTACTCTGAGCATCATGCTAGATGAATAAGTCATGGCTTCTGGCCTCAAGGCTTCAATAGCGAATACAAATAATATTAAGAAAAGCCTTTTGGTCTCTTTTGGAATTCTAATCGGAATGATCATGATTGTGTGCTAGAATGGGAACTTTTATGGCTGCCTGGCCTGAGAACTTGCTTCTACTCTTGGTTTTGGTTTTCTTTGTTCATTTTCTGTATACTTCCTCTCCTCCAGGGTACCTAAGTCAGCTGCCCTCCACTCGTTACCAACAGGAAAGTACCAAGTCATTCATGAGGGATACACTCCCGTGACCAAAATACCTCCCATTAGGTACCTCTCCAGCACTGAGTTGGGGTCAAATTTCAACATGAGATTTGGAGGATTCAAACACACCAAACTACAGCACCTGTCTTCATGAGTCAGTTATGATGGGCATCCATTTTACTGTTTCTTTTGTGGATGCTTTCATGAGTCTTCTGGGAGATCCTTCTGGATAGAAGGAAAATTTGAAGGCAAACAGAGCTCTTGATTATTCTCAATGTCTTACAGGTAACTGACCACAGTTGTCTCAAGGCTGGTCCTCATGAAGGAAAAGGGTCAGAGGCAGTGCTAGGGAAGCATCCCTTCTCCAGGTTAACTGGGTGGCCACGGCTATGTGTAGGTTCCCCAGGGCCACTCAGATAGCCTGGAGAAGGGATGCTTTTCTAGCTCTGCCTCTGACCCCTTTCCTTCATGAGGACCATCATGCTCCAGTGGACAGGGGCATGAAACTGGGGAACACAATTTGGCCTCAGATAAACTTTGTTTCAAATCCCTACCACCACTTCCTTACGACGCAAGTTTGAGAAACTTATTTTCCTCCATGCATCTCGATTTTGTTTCTTACAAAAGTTTTCTTAACTTTTATTAAATGGTTTAGTTCTTGCCATTCCACATAACCTACTCTAAGGTCTTCTAAATTTCTTTCAAAGTGTAACTTATAGTCCTGATGACATAACTAACGTTTAATCAAGCTCTTCAAAAATGTAAAGTTACAGTCAGTATAGAATATGTTCACCATCATCATTGCCTTTCCTCCTCTTTCTGAAATGGGGATCAATAATAATTGCTACTCAAACCATACCTTTAATAAGTGATCAACACCTAAAATATATAAAGAGCTCCTACAACTCAATAGCAAGAAAACACATGGCTCAATTAAAAAATAGGCAAAAGAACCAAGTAGAAATTTATCAAAAGAAGATATACAAATAGCCAACAGGTATATGAAAAAAGTGCTCAACGTCACTAATCATCAGGGAATTGCAAATTAAAACTACAATGACATATTACTTCACACCTGTTGGAATAGTCATTATCAAAAAGACAAAGATAGTAAGTGTTGGTGAGCATGTAGAGAAAAGGGAACCCTTGTATACTGTTGGTGAAAATGTAAATTGGTATAGCCATGGTAGAAAATAGCATGGAGGTGGGCCTCAAAAAATTAAAAATGGAAATGTCATCTAATCCAGCAATCCCACTGCCAGGTATATATCCAAAGGAAACAAAATTAGTATGCTAAAGAGATAACTGCACTCTTACATTCACTGCAGCACTATTCACAATAGTCAAGATAAGGGATCAGTCTAAATGTCTATCAACAGATGAATAGATAAAGAAAATGTTATTTTACACACACACACACACACACACACACACACACACACAAAATACAAGCCAGCCAGCCTTAAAAATAAGGACATCCTGTCATTTGTGACAACATAGATGAACCTGTAAGACATTATGTCAAGTGAAATAAGAAAGACATAGAAAGAAAATCCAAATGATCTCCCTTATACGTGAAATCTAAAAAAAGTTGAACTCATAGAAGCAAACAGTAGAATGGTGGTTACTAGGGCTGGTGGGGGGAATTGGGGAGATGTTTTTCAAAGGATACAAAATTTCAGTTAGACAGGATGAATAAGTTCAAGACATTTATTGCACAATGTTGACTAGCTAAACAATGTATTGTATACTTGAAAATTGCTGAGAGTTTAATTGTTCTCACAACAAATAAGTATGTGAGGTAATGTATATATTCATTAGCTTTATTTCACTATTCCACAATATATACATATTTCAAAATATGTGGTACACAATAAATATCATTTTTATTTTTCAATTAAAAAACAAATAACAGAAAAAATAATTTCTACTACTTATTAAGCATTAATATGTGACAGTCATATTATATTACTGAATCTACCAGCAAGTCAATGAGGAAAGAACCTCCATTTTGGAGATTCTGTATTCATTTGACACATGATTGTTGAACAACTACTATGTCCCAGGCATTGTCCCAGGTGCTAGAAATAAGCAGTGAGGAAAACTATATTTAAACTTCTCCCCTCATGAAGCTTACATGCTATTTGGGGAGAGAGACAATAAGAAAAATATACAGAATATCAAATAACAATAGGCCCAGTGGAAAAAATTAAGCAAGTTAGCAATCATAGCTAGGGTGGTAAGGAAAGTTCTCGCTGAGAGGAAGGTTGGGGCAAGCCATACGGATATCTGGGTGAAGAGCATTTCAGACATAGGAAATAGTGAGGGCAAAGGTCCTGAGGCAAGAATGTTCTCTTCATGTTTGGGGAAGAGCAAGGAACTCTGTGGCTAGAGAGAAATGAACAAGTGGATATGTGAAAAGAGATAAGGTCAGAGGCATAACAGGAAGTAAAAATGCAAATCACATAGGGCCTTGAATGTAAGACTTTGGCTTTTACTCTAAGATGGAAATCTATTTGAAGATTTTGAGCAGAGAACTAATAGAATCTGAAGTGCGTTTTGAAAGGACCATCTGACTGCCATGCAAAATAGGGAGGGTAGTAAGAGGGAAGCACAAAGTCCAGGAAATGGTTGAGTCCTGGATATACTGCTATGGAGAGCCAACAGGATCTGCTGATCAATTGGACATGAAGTGTGAAAGAAAGAAAGAACTGACTCAAAAGTTTTGGCCTGGGCACCTGGAAGGATGCAACTGGGATCCAGAAGCTGAGATGGGGGAGTTTGGAGGTGAAGATCAGAAGTTGAGTTTCAATGATGGTGAGTAGAGCCATTAAGTTGACTGTTGGATCCGACTCTGGAGTTTGGGATGAAAACCAGTGTAGAAATAGAAACTGGTGAGTCATCAGCATATTGAAAGCCAGGAACTTAGATAAGATGATCAAGGGAGTAAGGGAAGAGAGAAAAGATAGAAGGTCCAAGGACTGAGCCTGTGGCTCATGCCAACATTTGGAAGTTGGCGAGATGGGGCAGATAGCAGGATTCTAAGGCAGTACAGTCAATGAAGTGGGACAGAAGCCAGAAGGGTGTAGTGTCCAAGACATCAAGTGAAGAAAGTATGTCAAAGAGAAAAGAAGGAGAAACTGAATAAACTGCAGGTGTTGTGGCAAATAAAATGAGGACTGAGGGTGGATTGTTGGTGTCAGTAACATGGAAGTCATCAGTCACCTTGACAAGAGCAAGACCTTTGGATTGTTGGAGGGTAAAAGCCTTATTATCCTGGATTCAAGAGAGAATGGAGGAAAGTGATTAGATAGCAAGTGCCGTCACTTTTTGGTGTCCATGAGATATTGTTCTAGGGCCCCCTACAGATACCAAAATCCACAAATGCTCAAGTACCTGGTATAAAGTGACATAGTATTTGCATGTAACTATGCACATCCTCCAAAAAATCATCTCTAGAATACTTATAATGCCTAATATGAGGCCTACATATCACATCACTCATATGGATTCAGCACAGTACTCAGCACAGGGGAAATTCAAGTTTTGCTTTTTGGAACTTTGTGAATTTTTTTCTGAATATTTTTGATCCATAGTTGGTTGAATCCATGGATGTGGAACCCATGGATACAGAGGGCCAACTTGTATAGACAACATTTCAGATGTTTTGCTGGAAAGGAGAGCAAAAACATGAGGCAATGGCTAGAGGTGGGCAAGCGAGTTTTGTGTTTTATTAAGGATGTAAGAAATTACATGTTGACATAATGATGGGACTAGCCCAGCAGGGAGGGAAAAAATTGATAATGCAGGAAAGAGAAAGACAATCTCCAGAACCATGTTCTTGAAAAAGGATGAAATCCAATGTACACATTGAGTTTTTGGACCACAAAGGAAAAGAGATTGCTCATCCCAGGTAAGATGAGGGAAGGCAGTACTTTCTCGGCACTGATGCGTAGGTGATTGAATTTGGTGATGGAAATGTGTGCAAGTTTCTCTTCTGCTGGCTTCTACCTTCTCAGCGAAATAGCAAGCCCAGGTCATCAACTGAGAGAGGAGATGGGGAAATTTGAGAATAGAGAGTAGAAAATAGTGAAATATGAAATGGTCGGAATGAGTGAACCCTGAAGATGTAGAAAGACTGCTTCCTGGAAGTTACTGGTCATGAATTCAAGCTGAAACTAGTCAGTGTGGTTGCATGTATTTCTCCTATCCTGTCCACTGTGTAGTTGTGAAGCAAGGAGACAGTTGGATTTCCTCAGGATTGGGCTTTTGAGAGAGAGTAGCTAACAAGATGAGGATGTCTGTAAGGATGGAAATAGAATGATGGGTCATGAAAATTTAAGGTGGGTGAGGAAGGGAATGAGGACATGGTGGGGGAGGTGAAGGACAGTAAGAAAGTGGTAGGCTCAGCCTGTTGTAGTGTTAAATCAAGTTTAGCCTAAAGCTGCCTCCTTGCATATTTTAAGTCCAGCCTAAAGGTTTCTCCATACATCGCGAACTATAACCTAAATAGAATTGTAAACAGACTATAGCCTATTCTTGTGCCAATCACTGAGTTTTGGTCAATCAGTGGTGGCCAACTGTTCAAACTGTGTTCAAATAAGGCAAATGCCATCTGTAACCAATCCGGCTGTTGCTGTACCTCACTTCCATTTTCTGTACATCACTTTCCTTTTTCTTTCCATAAATCTTCTTCCACCACATGGCTGCGCTGGAGTCTCTGAGCCTACTTTGGCTCCCGAGGCTGTCTGATTCATGAATCATTCTTGCTCAATTAAACGCCTTTAAATTTAATTTGGCTAAGGTTTTTCTTTTCATAGTAGGTACTGGGCAAGGAAGCATTATCAAATTTGGGGAACAGAGAGAATGAACTGACATGTGATATGGTGGTCACAGAGTGAGATGACTAGAACTGAAAGACTGATGATAATGACAGCCAGAGGTATGACTTAGGAGGACTGTAGGCAGGAGAGTGAGATGAATCAGATGCAGGGAGATTAAGGATCAGGTAGGCTAAGGTAAGAGAGGATCGTCTAGTAGGAATTATGGCAGGAATATTATTGGAGAGAGTAACAGCAAGCTGGGAGGTAAAGCCTTCAAGGAACAAAGGGGATGACTGTGGGGTTCGTGAGTGGCTGCAACATTGAAAGGAAATGGATGGTAGTGTAGGGTGACATGAGATTGGAGCCAGGATTTTAGAGAGGCAACAAGCATAAGATTGAAGAGCACAGACTAGAGCCAGTCTGCCTGGGTTGGCATGCCAGGTCTGGCATTGATTAGCTCTATAATCTCTCTGAGTTTCACCTTCCTAGTCTGTAAACTGAGGACAATAACAGGACCAAACCATAGAACGTTGTGAGGACTGAGTGAGTGCAGGACACTCTCAGTACATGATGAATGCCATCCAATGTTTGTTGCTTTTGTTACTAAGGAAGAAGACAGAGGATGTGGAAACTGAGGTGCCCAGCAATACTTTAATAAGCTATACAAGGTCTCTCATCTGGTAGGTTGTTCTGAGACCTCAAACTCATTTCCATTCAGCTCTGAAGTCCATTCTGAACCTCTAGGCTCCACAACTCCGATTGGTAATGAAAGATAGTTGCAGTCACAGCACGGCCAACATATGTGACCCCTGGCCCCCAGACTGAAAAAACTGTGTGGTATATGGGAGAGTCCTTTGCTCCCTCTCATCTCTCCCTCTTTAGTGGCCTGCTGCCCCTCCACTCTGCCCACCTTCCCCTCCAGGCCCTGGTGGTCTGCCTCCTAAAGCCCTCCTCTCAGGAACACATCTGATATTTATTCATGCCGAGATATAAAGACTTGAAATAAGATGGCTCATTCCCCCATACCTTAACTTTGAAACAAAAGGAATCAAGTACAAATAATGGATTTCCCTGATGAGAAGGAGGCCTCTCAGAATGCAGCTGGGCCTTCTGGGATCCCCTAAAAACCCTGCCCTACTTTTTCTCAGTGTGTTCCCCTCATGGCTGACAACATTGACCTGCTGAGCAGCTGCTGACAGACAGATGGGAGTGTGGCACCATGACCTCTGGAGTGGACTCTGGAGGGCCAAGAAGTGGGGGTCAGCCATAAGAACTGAAGTTAAGTGCCCTCACAGGAAATCACCTGGGCTCAGAGACACACAGCCATTTGCTGGGATCACACAGCTGCTTACTGGAACCAGAGTCATCTGATGTCCAGCCCTGAACTCTGTACCCTGTCCCACACAGAGGGACAGACTCAGGAACTGACAGCCAGACAAAGGATAAGGGTTTTGTTATCCACACTTAAAACACCTTTTTCATGAACAGAAATGAAGCTGAGCCTTCCCCCTCACTTTGCTACACAGAGTTTTGTCAGTGCACCATATGCTGTGAGGACCAAGTATAGTTTTTTTGTGAGAAAAATAACATGGTCATTAGAAACTGTGAAGGAAACAATCAAAAAGCTGAGTTAGAGGCAGAGCAGAGGAACTAAATTGTCCTTCTCCTCTCTGCAGCACTTCTGGACCACCTACCCAGGCTGGGAGGAGCAGCAGTGCTGCGGTGCTCCTTTGCCTGTGCCCTGCTCCCAGATACAGGTGGCCTGGGGTGGGGAGGGGTCTAGGTAGATCATGCAGATAGAAGAATGTCATGGGGAAGGAAGGAGGAAAGGGAGGAGAAAGAAGGGGAGGGGGAAGGGGGAAGGAGAAGGAAGGGGAGTGGGGGGGAGAAGGAGGAGAAGGAAGGGGAGAAGGAGAAGAAAGGAGAGCAGGAGAAGGAAGGGGAGGAGAACAGAAGGAAGAGGAGGAGGAAGGGGAGGAGGAAATCAGGAGGAGGAAAAGGAAGGGGTAGAAGACAGGAGGAGGAAGAGGAGGAAGGGGAGGAGGAAAGGAGGAAGAAGAGAGGAGGAAGAGAAGGCAGGGAGGAGGAGGAGGAGGGGGAAGACATGATGATGATAAGCGCTTATATTACCATGCAGAGTGCCAGGAACTCTCCACTCTCCACAGCACTTTGAGGCAGCTGTTATTATTGTCCCCACTTTACAGATACAGAAATTGAAGCAAAGGGATGTTAACAAAATGGGAAATAAATATTTCCTGGCCTGGGAAGAATGTGGAAGCTTTGTCATTCACTTCCATCTCCCAGTCCCTCCTTGCTGGTGCTTGACTTTAGCACAGAAACATTACTGGGTATATACCCAAAGGATTATAAATCATGCTACTATGAAGACACAAGCACATACATGTTTATTGCAGCACTATTCACAATAGCAAAGACTTGGAACCAACCCAAATGTCCATCAATGATAGACTGGATAAAGAAAATGTGGCACATATACACCATGGAATACTATGCAGCCATAAAAAAGGATGAGTTCATGTCCTTTGCAGGGACATGAATGAAGCTGGAAACTAACATTCTCAGCAAACTAACACAGGAACAGAAAACCGAACACCACATGTTCCCACTCATAAGTGGGAGTTGAACAATGAGAACACATGGACACAGGGAGGGGAACATCACACACCTGGGTCTGTTGTGGGGTGGGGCGCTAGTGGAGGGATAGCATTAGGAGAAATACCTAATGTAAATGACGGGTTGATGGGTGCAGCAAACCACCATGGCACACATAATACCTATGTAACACACCTGCACATTCTGCACATGTATCCCACAACTTAAAGTATAATTAAAAAGAGAGAGAGACAGAGAGAGAGAGAGAGAGAGAGAGAGAGAGAGAGAGAGAGAAACATAAACTCCCTATCCTTGCTTTCTCAACTCCTGAGGCAGCTTCCAGCCCTCCCAATGCACCCTTAAAATGACTTCAAGTGAACTAGTACTGGTGGACCCAGGGTTCCCTCCTCACCCCTCTTGCTCTCTGTCACTCTTACTGTTTTTCTTTTTCGTTTTCTTTTTTTTTTTTTTTCTTTTCTTTGAGACAGAATTTAGCCCTTGTAACCCAGGCTGGAACATAATGGTGCAATCTTGGCTCACTGCAACCTCCATCTCCCGGGTTCAAGCAATTCTAGTGCCTCAGCCTCCCAAGTAGCTGGGATTACAGGTGCCCATCACCCACTCCTGGCTAATTTTTGTATTTTTAGTAGAGACGGGGTTTTTTCATGTTGGCCAGACTGGTCTTGAACTCCTGATCTCAGGTGATCCGCCCACCTCAGCCTGCCAAAGTGCTGGGATTACAGGCGACACTCACTCTTTTGTTCTCTCCTTGAGACAGCCCTGAACAGCCCCTTCTGTACCACCACTTGGGATGTCCTCTTCCTTCATTATCAGTAATTCCGAGGTTTCCTACCTCCTTGAAACTCTGCCTTGGCCACTTTTCACTAGTTCCTCTTCCTATGCCTACCTCAAAAGTTAGCCCTTCCCAAAAGTTTTGAGAAGGTTTTAAGGGCGCAAAGATTTTGGTGTCAATAGACTCTGTTGAAGTCCCAGCTCTGCCTTTAGTTAGTTGTGTGATCTTGGTTAACCTACTACTGCAAGGGTTAGCCTGCTACTACAAGTTGCACTCCCTGTAGGAGTTCCTTATATATTTCGGATATTAACTCTGTGTCAGATATATGGTGTGCAACTATTTTCTTCCATTCTGTAGGTTGCCTTTTCATTTTTTGATAATTTTCATTGCTGTTCAGAGTCTTTTTTTTGTTTGATGTCATCCCACTGGTCTATCTTTTGCTTTTGTTGCCTGTGTTTTTGGTGTCACATCCAAGGGATCATTGCCAAGACTGACATCAAGAAGTTTTTTTCTATGATTTCTTCCAGGAATTTTGCAGTTTCAGATCTGAGGTTTAAGTATTTAACCCAATTTGCTACACAGATACCATTTATTGCAGATTCTATCCCCATCGTTTATCCTTGGTACCCTCGTTGAATATCATCAGTTGACCATATATGCATGGATTTATTTATGGGCTCTCTATTCTGCTTCATTGGTTTATATGTCTATTTTTATGCCAGTAGAATATTGTTTTGATTATTGGAGGCTTGAGATATAATTTTTCATATTTTTAACCTTTTTTATTTAAAGATCTTTCTTTCATTTCTCTATCAGGCCACTGTTCTTGATGATTATTATGTATTCTTTTCTCATTTTTTAACTTATTTTTTAATCAATACATTGTAATTGTATATATTTATGGGCAACAATTTATGTTTCAATGTAATATAATTTAAAATCAGAAAGTGTGATGCCTTCAGTTTTGTTCTTGATCAAAATTACTTTGGCTATTTGCAGTGTTTTGTGGTTCCATATGAATATTTAAATTATTTTTTCTATTTTTATAAAAACTGCCATTGAGATTTTTTGTGGGGATTGCATTGACTCTATAGATTACTTTGAGTAGTGTGGATGTTTTAATGTTATAGATACTTCCAATTCTTCAACACATGATGGCTTTACATTCATTCATGTCTGCTTTACTTTTCTCACCAATGTTTTACAGTTTTCAGTTTACAAATCTTTCACCTCTTTAGTTTAATTTATTCCTAAGTATTCTATTCTTGTTGATGATGTTATAAATGGAATGATTTTCTTAATTTCCTTTTTAGAGAATTTGTGGTTATTGTATAGAAATGCAGCTGATTTTTGTACATTGATTTTTGTGTCCTACAATTTTGCTGAATTCATTTATTAGTTCTAACAGTTTTTTGGTGGAGTCTTCAGGGTTTTCTGCATATAAGATCATGTCCTCTGCAAACAAATAATTTTACTTCTTTTTCTTTTATCTGGATGCCATTTATTTCTTTTTCTTTTGGGAATAGAAGTGGTGAGAGTGGGCATCCCTGCCTTGTTCCAGGTCTCAGAGGAAAAGTTCTTAGTTTTTCACCACTGAGTATGATGTCAGCTGTGGGTTTTTAAATATATGGACTTTATTGCATTGGGGTAAGTTCCTTTATATCTAATTTGTTGAGAGTTTTTATCATAAAAGGGTGTTGAATACTACAAAATGCTTTTTCTGCAAAACTCTGTTGAGATGACCATGTGATTTGTATCCTTCATACTGTTAATGTGGTATATCACATTGATGGATTTGCATATGTTGAACCATCCTTGCATCCCAGGGATAAATCCCATTTGGTCATGTTGTATGATCCTTTTAATGTGCTGTGTAATTTGGTTTGCTAATATTTTATTGAGGATTTTTTACATCCCTGTTATCAGAAATATTGACCTGTAGTTTTCTTGTGATATCTTTATCTGACTTTGGTATCAGGGTGATGCTGGCCTCAGAAAAAGTTTGAAAGTCTTCCCATTTCTAATTTTTGGAAGAGTTTAAGAATGATTCTATTAATTCTCCTTTAAATGTTAGGTAGAATTCACCTGTGAAGTGTCTTATCCTGGGTTTTTCTTTATTGGAAGGTTTTTGATTACTGATTCAATCTGTTCATTTGTTATTGGTCTGTTCAGGCTTTCTGTTTCTTCTTGATTCAGTCTTGGTAGGTTGCATGCTTCTAAGAATTTAGCCGTTTCTTCTAGGTTGTCCAGTTTGTTGGGGTATAATTGTTAGTAATAGTTTCTTAGGATCTTTTTATTTCTGTGGCTTCAGTTATAGTATCTCCTATTCCATTTCTGATTTTATTTGTTTGAATTTTCTCTTTTTTTCTTAGTCTTGCTAAGGTTTTGTCAATTTTGTTTATATTTTCAAGGAACTGACTCTTAGTTTTGTTGATTTTTTTCTATTGTTTTTTCATTCTTAACTTCATTATTTATACTCTAATCTTTATTAATTTTTTCCTTCTGCTAATTCCGGGGTGAGTTTAATCTTTTTTTCTAGTTTCTTAAGGTGTAATGTTAGGGTATTTATTTGATATCTTTCTTCTTTTTTAGTGTAGGTATTAATCACTATAAACTTCTCTCTTAATACTGCTTCTTTTATATCCCATAGGTTTGTTATGTTATTTTTTCATTTTTGTTAGTCTCAAGATATTTTCTAATTTCCTTTTTAATATCTCCTTTGACGCAATGGCTGTTCTAATTTCCACATATTTGTGAATTTGGTCATTTTCCTTTTGTTATTGATTGTTAGTTTCATTTCATTGTGGTCACAAAAGACACTTTGAATGATTTTAATCTTAAATTTGTTAAGACTTGTTTTGTGACCTAACATGTTGTCTGTCTTGGAGAATGTTTGGTGTATACTTGAGAAGAATGTGTGTTTGGCTACTGTTAGGTGGAATGTTCTGTACATGTCTGTTAAGTCCATTTGGTCTGTAGTATTATTTAAATCTGCTGTTTCCTTATTGATTTTTTTGTCTGGATGATCTGCTCATTATTGTACTTGGGGTATTGAAGTATCCTATTATTGTATTGTTATCTATTTCTCCCTTCAGATCTGTTGATGTTTGTTTTGTATATTTAAGTGCTCTGATGTTGAGTGCATGTATATTTATAATTATTATGTCTTCCTATCAGATTGACCCTCTTATCATTATGCAATGACCTTCTTTGTCTCTTGTGACAATTTTTGACCTAAAGTCTATTTTGTCTGATATAAATACAGCTGCCTCTGCTCTCTTTTTATTACCATTTGCATGGGATATCTTTTCTCATCCCTTCATTTTCTCCCTATGTGTGTTCTTAAGTTCAAAGTGAGTCTCTTGTAGCTAAGAGATAATTTAATCTTGTTGTTTTTATCCATTCAATGACTATGTCTTTTGATTGGTGAGTTTAATCCATCTTATATTTAATGTAATTATTAATAAGTAAGAGCTTACTATTGCCATTTTGTTCATCGTTTTCCGTCTGTTTTGTAAATCTTTTGTTTCTTTCTTTCTCTCTTGTTTTCTTTTGTGATTTGATGGTGTTTTTGGTAGTGATATAATTTGATTATTTTCTCCTTATCTTTTTTGTATCTGCTATGGGTTTTTTGGGGGTTGCCATGAGGTTTGCACAAAACTTCTCATTGTTGTAACAGTCTATTTTGAGATGACAACAATTTAATTTCAATTGCATACAGTAATTCTACACGTTCACTCTTTTGCCTTCACATTTTGTTATTAATGTCAGAATTTACTTTTTTATGTTGCTTATTCTGTAACCAATTTTTGTGGCTACAGATATTCTTAATACTTTTGTCTTTTCACTTTTATACTAGAGTTTAAAGTGATTTCAGGCCTCAAGGTCTTTATAGGTATCACTGAGGACTCCAAGTAAAGATATTGATAAATTATTTGGCACACTGCAGCTGGTCAACATATGGAAGCCAATTATCAACTACTCTTTCTGTATTGTCTCATTTCTTCCCACAGCATTGGCTTCTGATTTCCCACTGTTGACTCCTCACTGTTCTTTCCATCCCTCCACATCCTTCTGGCCTCCAGACCTACATTTCCAATCATCTACTACTAGTCTTCTCCACCTAGATATCCTGCAAGTTTACCAAAGTCGATTAGATTAATTACACCTCCCAGCACACTTCAACACTGCACTCACCAGGCTTCAAACCAGACCTTCCTCCTATACTCCTACCTTGGTTAATATTGTCAGCATACACCCAGCCACCCAAGTAGGAAAACATCCTCTAATCAACTCTCCACATCCAAGTGGCCGTCAGGCCATCGTGGGTCTCCATTAAAAGTGTATCTTGGATTTAGCCCCTCTTTCTGTTTCATCCTTTATATATGAGGAGACTCAAAAGGCTCAAAGTCATACTTCCCTATATACTGACAGTTATCTGAAATGCCTCCAGTAGGACTTTGTTCCTTTAAGCATCGAATGCAAATACCCATAAAAGATAGTGAGAATACTGGGTCCCTGGAGTAGACAAAATACCTTATTGAAGAAAAAGGCCACAAACACTAGCTTATTCATGATACTATCTCCAGATGACCTTAAAGAGATCCAATAACTCCAAAACCATGAACTTTAGAGGCTCTGATGCAACTATCTCCATATTTTCAAATCAAAGAACAAGAAGAAATCTGTCCATCCGCTATCTATCAATCTTTTTTCATTCATTCATGCATCCCTCCATACATTATAACAGGTGACAAACAATGGGCACAAGCCACCATCTCTGGAATCATAAAAAACTATTCAGAATTACAGAAATAGACAGAGATGCAGAGATCATTACATTTCTTTACATCTTACATGTATAGGCTGCTTTTCACTTATTGGGAGTCCTCTGTGTATTGAGTGCTATCGTAAGCATTGAGGATACAATGATGACTATACCCAGCCATGGTCTTTGCTGCTGTGGAGCTACTCAGAGAGATGGGGCAGAATATCAGGACATGGCTGAAACTGCCCTTAATTCACACTTTCCATTCCTGTCTTCTGATACCAGTTTTCTCAGTTATGAGGTAAGGTAGGGGTGTGAAGGAAAGAACATATCATTGGAATATATAACTAGAGGCTCAATTAGGCTAAATTGGAGATTTATCACTAGCACAGGTGGAACAGTTCACTCCTGTCTCAACATACTTTTCAATACACCTCTACTCAGTGCTAGGAGCCCCAAAACAGAACAAGAGTGGAAGGCTCCTGGGGCAAGTGGTATTAGGACAGGGAGGAAAGGAGGCTTGACTCAACAGCTCTGTTTTCCCCGACAGGGCTATGTTGAGATGCAACTGGGAACCACAAACAAGTTCAACAAGAATCAGGAGAGAAGACCCCTCTGCATCAGAGCAATTAGAAGAAGCGGCTGGCCCCTTGCAGCACCTAATGGGATTCTAGTGTACTCCCACCCATGCTTTTGACAAGGGAATTTTATCTTTCTCCTAAAAAGAGATGTTTACCAAGGGATTCACACATATTGGCCATTACATGCCCTATTGTGCTTGGACTTTGCTCTCCAACCTTGTCCCAGGGGAAGCCTGGACCCTATAGGGCAACACCACGCAGCTCCTGGGAAAGTGAGAAATCCAACTGTCTCCATGGACCACATAACTCAAACAGCTATTTTACAGGATCACTGGACTAAGCAGTGTGGGAGATAAATCCAAATAGCAGCCTAGTGGCTCAGCCCCAGTGTGATGGCCTCAAGGCAAAGCATAAAGCTTTTTCCTCTAGCCAAATATAGTCATGTGTCACTTAATAACTGGAGTATGCTCTAAGAAATGCATAATTAAGTGATTTCATCATTGTGTGGACATCATAGAGTGTACTACACAAAGATGATACAGCCTCTTACATGCCTAAGCTACACAGTATTACGTATTGCTTTTAGGCTACAAACCTGTACAGTATGTGACTGTACTGAATGCTATAGCCAATTGTAACACAATGGTAAGTATTGGTATATCCAAATAGATCTAAACATAGAAAAGGTACAATAAAAATACAGCATAAAAGATAATAAATGGTATACCTGTGTAGAGCACTTGCCATGGATGGCGTTTGCAGGACTGGAAGTTGCTCTGGGTGAGTCCATGAGTGACTGGTGAGTGAACATGAAGCCTTGAACATTACTATTCACTACTGTAGACTTTATAAACACCATACACTCAGACTACATTAAACTTATTTAAAAATATTTATCTTTCTTCAATTCCAAATTACTCTTAGCATACCTTAGCTTTTTTACTCTATACATTTTTGAAATTTTTAACTTTTCTATTCTTTTGTGTTAACACTTGGTTTAAAACACAATATATTGTAGAGCTATACAAAAATACTTTCTTTACTTCTTTATTGTATAAGCATTTTTTCTATTTTTAAATCTTTTTTTTTTAACTTTTTAAACTTTTTTGTTAAAAACTAAGACACAAACACACACATCAGCCTAGGTCTACACAGAGTCAGGATCATCGAGATGGCACAAGTGATAGGAATTTGTCAGCTTCATTTTAGTCTTATGGGACCACTATATATGCAGTCCATTGTTGACTAAAATGTCATTATATAGTGAATAACTGTACTTGACTCCTAGCGGACCTTCAACTCTGTAGATTACTCAACAGACTGATTCTTAATTGAAGCTTTATTGTTTTTAATTTAGTTTGGCTTTAGACACATGGTTCAACTTGGCCTAGTTAGGTCTGGGATTTACTGGTGCCTCTCATTCATTTCATCATGTTGATTACCACTGGCTTTTTCCAAATTCTGTTCTTCATAGTAATATGTGGCTCTACTTTGGTTCTCCCATTTCCTTTGATGACGTGTTAATATTGAAGGGCAAATGGAAGCCCTAGTTCTGAATGTTATGATCCATGATTGCCCCTCTGTCATATCCAGTGCTGGTAGGCTGTGAAGATGGGCCGGGGGAGATGTTGTCAGCAATCAGGGGTAGGCATGGCAAGGACTGTGGAAACAGACCTGGCTGAGGGTCTGTCTCCAGGATATAAGTGAGCCAACCAATGGCCAGGAGCCAAGAGGCATGGCCAGGTGGTCTCCTTGCAGGTCCGAGAAGTCTCAATCTGGTTGGTGGAGGCTGTTTACAGAGCTGAATCCACAAGGAGATTGGATGAGATTGAGTGCAAGGTTATAGGCTCAATATGGAACAGGAGGTCCAGGTGGGGAAACTGAGGCAGAGTCCAGTGGTATGGGCTAGGTTAATATGGGAAAGAAGGGGGCAAAACTGTTTATGTGAGATCTGTTCCATCCTTGGCAGCTAACCTAATTCTGCCCTTCTAGGCTGATGTGCCAGGTTTGCCTCAGTCAGGATCGTCTGTTGTCTGGATCAGGGCTGAGCACATGGATAGCCATGGCTCTTGCTCAGGAGTGCGATGGAAGAAGTGGCTAATAGCAGCAATTTGGGGAGCCCATTATGTGAGCATCAGACCTTCCCCAGATACCCCCACCTCACTGGTGGTGAGGAGTTCCCCATATGTTGCCAGAGGAGTCTGGCGGGGACTCTAACAGTGATGGTCCTTTATTACCTGCAGTTTGGCAGGGAAGGAACAGGCAGGAATAGACCAAGGTTCCTATAAAGATACAAATACATCACCTCAAAGACTGACCCATTAAACGATTGTAACTTCTAACATCTTAGTCTAATCCAGCTTCTCACATTAACAGCTTACTCTCATCAAGTCCCCAAAAAGAATGGAAGCCAGGACAGATGAGCTTGATAAAGATGGCAATGGTTCTCAGCCCTGGTGAGACATTAGAATCATGCGCCCCAGTCCCAAAGTTCTGAATTAATTGATCTTGTGGGGGACCCGGTATATATTTTTAAAGTCTCCTGGGCAGTTCTAATGTGTAGTTGGAGTAGCAATCCTCTGATTTAGGACACTGTGCACTTCCAGGGGGAGGGAGGGAGTATGGAACAAAGGAGCCCAGAGTAAAAGGAGGTCATGGGAGGCTAGGAAAGCCTCCTCCCACCCAAAGAGTTTGCCCAGTGTCTGTCCTGCTTTTGGGTCTTTAGGCCACTTCTAAATCTTTTCACTTCTAATTATTCCCCAGCAAATCCCACCTCCTTCCCCAGGTCAAAGCAGACTGCTATAAAGGAAAAAGGAGTGGAGTGGACCAATGTCTCTTTGTTAAGAAAGTTCCACAAGCTTTGTTTTACTGCTTTATTTGGAGTCTGATTTTTTAATAAGACGGGGCAAAAATGGGCATTAGTATTTGTATTAGTCCATTTTTATGCTGCTGATAAAGACATACTCAAGATGGAGCAATTTACAAAAGAAAGAGGTTTAATGGACTCACAGTTCCACATGGATGGGGAGGCCTGCCAATCATTGTGGAAGGTGAAAGGCACATCTCACATGGCAGCAGACAAGAGAAGAGAACTTGTGCAGGGAAATTCCCCTTTATAAAACCATCAGATCTTGTGAGACTTAGTCACTATCATGAGCATAGCATGGAAAAGACTCACCCCCGTTATTCAATTTCCCTCCCACAACACATGAGAATCATGGGAGCTACAATTCAAGATAAGATTTGGGTGGGGACACAGCCAACCCATATCAGTATTCCACACATCCACAGAGGTACCCCTGGTATTCAAGGAAAAACAGCACAAAGAAACAGACCACTCACATTAGGATTATATTGGGTGCTTTTTTTCACCCCTAACAGTGTTTTTGTAATTGAAATCATTAAATGGGAGCATTAAAAGGGCCCTTCAAGGCCATCTGGTTCAGCCCATGCACCCCATGAGGAATCAGCAGGGCTGCATTCAGGAGCATTCAGGAATTTACCTTTACCCCAACCTGAGTTTCAATCCCAGCTTGGCTACTTGCTAGCTGAGCCACCTTGGGCATGTAACTTATGTTAAGTTTCCTCAGTTTACTTGTCCATAAAATGGGACTCATGATACCTACCTCCACAATACCACAGAGTGGTTGTGAAGAAAAAATGAGTCAATGACAAATATTAATCCACTTCCCTTATTAGAATTTTGAATACTGAATGTGATATTTGATCCTCCCACCATCACCACACACAACAGCATTTTAGCACCATCAATTTCTGTCATTAGCATTTGGGATGTTCTGTGGTGTCAACCTCATTTGATGAAGTTGACTAATGGGCTACCTAGGTAGAAGCAGAAAATATCTTCTCCTAGCAGTTTGCCACAGTGACAGGAAATTCATCATCATTGCTATGCCTTAACTAGAAAGCAGTACTGTTTAAAAAAAAACATGGAAGGGGGCCCACACTCGGAGTCAAAAGAATTAGGCTCTGATCCCAGTTCCACAAATGTGTAGCTGTGTGATCTTGGGCAAACAACTTAAACTTTCTGAGCCTCGGTTTTCTCATATGACAAAACTTGCTCTGCCCACCTAGATATGATAAGGGCCAAATGAAATTGTATATGGCAGCAGTTCCCAATCAGTAGCAATTCTGCCTCCACCCGACCCGAGGTACATTTGACAATATCTGGAGACACTTTTGATTGTCACAACTAGTGAGTAGAAGGAAGGGAAGCTGCTAAACAAACATCCTACGTTGCAGATGACAGCCTCCCACAAAGAGTTATCCTGTCCAAAATGTCAATAGTCCTGTGGTTGAGAAAGGGCTTTGTAACTTTGAGAGGCTCAGGTGTCATTCTTAAACAACAAGTACCTATGAGGAGGTTCACAGTGGCTTTCAGAGTCATTGCCACCTTCGTTCAGCTAATTTCTCAGACCCCTTTCCAACAGGACACAGAACTATGCGGAGGGCACACCCCTCTAAGAAGCCTTGCTCAGGGCAAAAGTGCAGGGCTTAGCAGGCTGGCCCCTGTGGAGGGCAGGTCTCCCGCCAGCCAGGGACACTTAGAAGAACAACCCAAAACAACAAGGGTTGTGAGCATGGGGAGGTTTAACCCAGCATCTTCATGTAGGTTTTTCAAAGATGCCTCAAACCCAACATGACTCATATCAAATTCATGTTCATCCCACATTCACTCCTTCTCCATGGTTCTCTGCATCAGCAAATACTACCACCCTTCATCCATGAGTTTGCTCAGGCCAGAAATCCAAATATCTATGGATTCCATCCACTTCTCTATATCACCTATTCTCTCTTTCTCTCTCTCTCTCTGTGTGTGTCACACACACACACACACAAACACACACACGCTGCTTAAAAGCCATTCAAAAGCTTTTCCGATAAAGACCAAAATTTTTAACACAGCCTGGCCTCTGGCCTGACTCTCCAACTTCATTTATTACCATTCTCCTCACCCCTGATGCTAGCCAATCAGTTGTGGCTTATTTTAGCTCTTTGAAACCACCATGCCACAGGGCCTTTGCACATTCTTACCTTATTCTTAGACACTCTCCCATTTTCTTGCCCTAATTAACTCCTATGCTTCCTGCAGATTTCAGCTTCCAGCTTCAGCTTCCAGTCATTACATTTTCAGGGAACTGTTTTCTGACCTCCTTGACAAGCCAGTTCCCTCTGTTATCCCTCTTGTGACCACCACCTCTCCTCCATAACCCCTACCCTGCTGGTAGTTTACATTTGTAAAAGTCTTGGATCAAAGTGTATCTCCCTCACTAAAGAAAACATTCCACCAGATTTGCTAACTATCATATTCACCACATAGCACACAGTGCCTTCCACATAGCAAGAAATGTATAAATATTTGTTGAATATGTGAATATGGATACCAAAGGCAAATTTGAGGCCAACTATAAAACAAACAAACAAAAGGCAGAAAAAACACTCTTAGGTTCATTTTAATTTTTGAACCCCTTTTGTGCCAAGACTAGCTTTTGGCCTAATGGAATATTTTTATGCTAAAATGTCTGAAATGCTGTCTGATGCCTCTGAGCACACTTAGGCAAACATTTCTGGTACAAAGAGAGATTATCAGGCAATCTGCCTTCCCTAGCACCAAATACTGTTTTCCTTGGGCACGTCCCAGCAGCTGCTGATAAATCTGCAGACAGTCCTTCTCAATGATCTTTGTCTCCCAGCTTTATCAAGGCAGCTTCTAGGAACAATGCTCCTACTCAGCTATCAGGCTGGTCCTACATAGGGGTCCATTTTGGAGACTCTCCTTAAAGTTATCTGACTGCACTGCGCTTTCCTCATCTGTGAAATCCATAACTAGCAACAAGGCAGGAACCAGGCTCTGCCCACCAAGGCCCATGGGGGTGGCTCTGCAGGTGAGGGGATGATTCTTCCATCTCCTGTGTGGTGGAGCCCCCAAAGGGAGCCCAGGCCTTCTCTCTGCGTTCTACTCCAAAGGGCAGTTCTCAGATATAGCAACTGTGAGTGATATATTTTTATTTTCCCGGAAAAATACTGAGCTTCTGTTCAAATGAGATTTAAGCCAACATGAAAGATGGAATGTGCTATTTTTTTTCTTTCCTAAGGTCCTCGATGTCACATCCAGCAAAAGCAGGTTGCCCATATTGTGGTAATTATTGTCTAAGCTCTTATTTTGAACAAAAGGAAATTGTGTGTGTGTGTGTGTGTGTGTGTGTGTGTGTGTGTGTGTGTGACAGAGAGAGAGAGAGAGAGAGAGAGAAAGAGAGCAAGAGAGAGAGAGAGAGATTGACCTGGGGAAGGAGAGGCAAGGAGGGAGAAAGAAAGGAAATAGAAAGAAGAGAGAGACAGCAGAGACAGAAAGAGGAATGATGAAGGGAAAGAAAAAGGAGTTCATTCCAGGGAATTTTTTTTATTAAATTCCAACACGAGGAAGCTCTGTGTACATGGGCTCCCCGTTTTCTCCTTCTGAAGCCTGAAGGCAAACCAGGATGCTGTGTCAATTACAGAAAAAAATCAATGAAGATACTGTTCAGGAGTCCTTTTCACCATTCAGTGCGGATGGTATCCTTCACTTTCTAGCACTGATTCATTTACTTTCAGCCTCTCTGGGGGCTGCTGACATATTGCTATCTCTGAAGAATCTGAAGCAAAATCACCTTTGTTTCCTACTGCAACTTGTTCCTCCGTGCAGTTCGTTAGAGGGGCCACCACATGACCTCCCTCGGCTCGTAGGACTGAAGGGCAAGACCTTGCTGGGCTCGCCATGGGCTTTGGTGCCTCCCTCCATCAACCTGCCATCTCCCCCCCTGAGGCACCCAGGGCCCAGTCAGGCCTCCTGACTGTAGGCTGAGAGCCTCATAAATTTTCAAACACTGTTTCCTCTACTGTGTCTATTCTGACTCTAAAACAAATTCCTGCTCCAGTACTAGTACCCTCCTAGCTCAATAGCATTGTAGAAGACATCTTCTAAAGAAATAAAACCTATTCCAAAGCAATGGCATTGATGAAGGAAGCCCAGGCATTAAGACACAGAACATCCCTGGAGCAGGCACTGGAAGTGAGGTATGGAGCCATCTGCACAACTGGATTTCCACTACGACAGTGCCATTCATTTGAGTTAAGTAATGCCCTTCTCTTTTGGCCCCATTTTAGATTTTGAACATTTCTTTTTTTTTTTTTTTTTTTTTTTTGAGACGGAGTCTCGCTGTCGCCCAGGCTGGAGTGCAGTGGCGCAATCTCGGCTCACTGCAGGCTCCGCCTCCTGGGGTTCACGCCATTCTCCTGCCTCAGCCTCCCGAGTAGCTGGGACTACAGGCGCCCGCCACCTCGCCCGGCTAATTTTTTGTATTTTTAGCAGAGACGGGGTTTCACCGTGTTAGCCAGGATGGTCTCGATCTCCTGACCTCGTGATCCGCCCGCCTCGGCCTCCCAAAGTGCTGGGATTACAGGCGTGAGCCACCGCGCCTGGCCTTTTTTTTTTTTTTTTTTGAGACGGAGTCTCGCTCTGTCGCCCAGGCCGGACTGCGGACTGCAGTGGCGCAATCTCGGCTCACTGCAATCTCCGCTTCCCGGGTTCACGCCATTCTCCTGCCTCAGCCTCCCGAGTAGCTGGGACTACAGGCGCCCGCCACCGCGCCCGGCTAATTTTTTGTATTTTTAGTAGAGACGGGGTTTCACCTTGTTAGCCAGGATGGTCTCGATCTCCTGACCTCATGATCCACCCGCCTCGGCCTCCCAAAGTGCTGGGATTACAGGCGTGAGCCACCGCGCCCGGCCGATTTTGAACATTTCTAGAGAGGTTAAGACTTCAGTCCTTGTACTAGTTTCTTATTGCTGCTGTCACAAATTATCACAGTCTTACAGCTTAAAACAACAAAAACTTATTCTCTCTCAAGTTCTAGAGTTCAGAAGTCCAAAATGGGTCAGCAGGACTGCATTCTTTCTGGAGGTTCTAGGAAAGGATTCATTTCCTTGCTTTTTCTAGCTTCTAGAGGCCACCTGCATTCCTTGACTCATGGTCTTCTCTCTCCATTTTGAAGGCCAGCACATAGCATCTTCCAACATAGTGCTCTCTCTCTTGCTCTCTCTCTCTCTCTGTCATCACATCACCTTTTCTGGCTTTGCTTCCTTTGTCACATCTCCTTCTCTACCTTTACCTTCTTATGAGGATCATGTGATTACATCAGGCCCACCCAGATAATCCAGGATAATTTTCCCAACTCAAAATCCTTCAATAAATCATACCTGTGAAGTCCCTTCTACCTATAAGGTAGTGTGTTCACAAGTTCTAGGAATTAAGACATGGACATTCGGGAAAGGCATTATTCTGTCTGCTACACTCCCTGACTTTTTAGTATAAGCAAATAAGGCCACCCAATTTCTTCCCAGTTGGTGACAGAGATCAGTGGAGAGACACAGGAGTCAGGTAAGAGGGGAATGGTGTGCACTAAAAAGGGGGCAAAGAGTACAGAGTTGAGAGGTAGAGGTGGTATAGCATTGATTTCATTGATTTTTTTTTCCTGACTTTATGAGTCATGTAGAAGGACTGTCAGCTAAAATGGTGCTGTAAATTTATGGTGTGCATTCTCTCCACCCCACCTCTATTCAAACACAACGATGACAGAAAAAGTGAAATCTAATTTAAAAAATTTAAAAGACACAAAACATCCCCACGGACCAGGAACAGAAAAAAACAGAAACATGGTTAAAGCACCAGGCTTGCTGGGCCTTGAGTTCGAAAGGATGTACTCGTTACTGAGCAACCAATGAGCTGACAGCTGCCTGACGTGAAGCCAATACCATGGCATCAGCTTTTGAGCAAAGAAAAGCTTTATTGCAAGTCAACTGGCAGCGGACAGGAGGAAATGCTCAAATCTGTCTCCCTGAGCTGGGAGCTGGGACTGGTATTACAAGCATAGCATAATGAGATGTGATCTGATTGGATCTTATAATGAGATGATACCAGGGCTCCATATGATTGGATCCTGAATCCTGTCATTCAGTGTCTCCTTCTTAATTCAGTTCTTGCGCCTCCATCTTAGCACTTAGGTTCTGCCCATGGTTTCATACATGGTTCATCTGGGCATGTTCCAATTACATGAGCTTCAACGTGGAGGTCTGTGGCAACTGCAAAACAATTCACAGCTTTGTCACATAAAAGTTTAACTAGATTGGTCTGGTGTGGCTACATATTCAGTCAACTAAGAGGGTGGTTCCTGTGGAGATAAAGGGGCCCAAAGTTCCACGAGGTGAGGCTGACCCTGAAACCAGAGATGGGTTGGGGGTTCCCTGCTTGTGAAAGGGATACGAAAAAGCTTTCTAGCTACCCCGGCCAGGGGCTGATGCTGAGTTGAAGCTGTGCACACCTAGGGAGGCAGAGAGAAGCAGGCTTCACAACCAAGACCTAGGCCAAGCCACCCACTGGCTCGATGAACACTTTTGAGATATTGGCAATATTATCGTGCGCTGGGATTCTCAAGCCAACAATTATTTAGTTCTGATAGGGTGTTCCAAAGGTCCAAACTGCTAGACAGAACGATCATTCTGGTTATTACTGTTGCATAGCAAATCACCCAACAATTCTGTAGGGTAAAACAAGTCATTTTACTTTGCTAATGTATTCTGTAGCTTAGGAATGCAGACAGGGCATAGCAAGGATGTCTAGAGCCTCTGTTGGAGGTGACTCAATGGCTGGAGTCACCACCTGGAGGCACATTTGCTCACATATCTGGAGGTTCATGCTAATTCAAGACGTTAGCTGAGCTGTTGGTTGCCCTCTACATGTGTTCTCTCCATGAGGGCTATTTTGGCCTTCCTGATAGCGTGGTGGCTGTGTTCCAAAAGTGAGAGTGAGCATCCCAAGAGAGCAACGTGGAAGTGTACGGCATTTCTTTTCTTTTTTCTTTTTTTTTTTTTTTTTTTTTTGAGGCAGAGTCTCGCTCTGTCGCCCAGGCTGGAGTGCAGTGGCACAATCTCGGCTCACCGCAACTTCTGCCTCCTGGGTTTCAGGTGATTCTCCTGCCTCAGCCTCCTGAGTAGCTTGCATTACAGGCACCTGTCACCACGCCCAGCTAATTTTTGTGCTTTTAGTAGAGATGGGGTTTCACCATGTTGGTCAGGCTGGTCTTGAACCCCTGACCTCAAGTGATCCATCAGCCTCCGCCTCCCAAAGTGCTGGGATTATAGGCGTGAGCCACCGCGCCCAGCCAGTGCATGGCATTTCTATGGTCTTGACTCAGAAGTCACAGTGTCACCTCATCATAATCTATTGATTGAGGCAGTCACAAAGGTTGGTTTAGGATCAATGCGAGTGGACATAGACCCCATCACTTGTGAGGACCATTAGTCAGATTCCAACACAAGCATGTAAGATGGGAAGTATTTTTTGCCTAATAACTTGCTGAGAAGTTTTGAGATATCAGAAATATTATTGTGGGTTGGAATCCCCAAGCCAACACTCCAACACTTAGTTCTGATTGAGATACCCCAGGAGGCAAGTAGAGATACCTACTAAAGTATTAGATAGAGTTAGCCATAGAGGATGGGAGGGAAAACTTCCGCCTCACTCAAAATGAGTCTGCAAACTAATAGTCCAAAATCCGAAATGTAAATAATCTAAGAAAGCTAACCAGAAAAATCAACAACTGAGAGATGAAATCACTTCACAAAAAAATTAAAATAATTGAGCAATAAGAAAATGATTTTTTATTAAATACTTCTGTGATAATATCCTGAAACAATGAAAGAAATAGCATCTTTAAAAGTAATGAGATTATCAAATTAGAAAGCAGAATTAATCAAAATAGGTGATTATAAAAGGTAACTGTAGAAATCTTGAAAAATAAACCACAATGGATGAGATAGCTCTAAACTTGATATGGTGAAAAAGATAATTAGAAAATTTAAATATAGGACAAAATAATTTGCTCATAATATACAACAGAGAAAAGGATGAAGACATTTAAAAATGGTTAAGGGGACAGTTTCAGTTGTGGTAATAGTATTGTAGCTTGTTTCAGACTCTCTCACACATAACAATTATAAACTCTGTAAAAAATATTAAAACAAACACTTGAAGACACTGAAGAACAACCAAAAGCAGGCAAAATCTGAAAGAGATATGTCCCTTGAAAGGCGGAAGCCATGTTGGATGACATATAGCCATTTTCAGTTGAGAGCAGACTCCAGTCCATACAGTGAAGAGTCACCAGATCTCAAGCAGAAAGCTGCAGTCTTATTGACTTCAGGTGTCAGAGGATAGAGTTCCAGGGCAGCTGGGAATTAGAGAAGCAAATCCTGGAAAGGAGGGAGCCATGGCATGAGGTGCCAAAAATCTGCATACAAACTCCCCTTAAATTATTGGCTCACCCCTAAAATGCATATTCACAATAAGGATTCTAAAAAGACAAGCAAAAATCAAGTTGAAATGGTAAAATAACTAAGCAGAGATATCGGATGCCCACCCCAAGAGAGTGAGAGCTATCAAGTTGGGAAGTCTTGCTAAACACCTTGAGCTTTATACAGACACTCCCTCTTACTAAAGGCAAAACCATGCCTCCACATGTTCAAAGTGATGAGTCAGTGATTTAACTCCATGTTAGAATTCTTCAGAGGAGGGTCACAGAATTCAGAGTCACCACAACATATCATCGCAGTGTCCAACATGCTATCAAAAATCATTAAGCATGTGAAGACACAGGAAATGTGACTAATAGTAAAAAAAAAAAAAAATGTCAATAGAACAGACTCTCCCTCCAACCCCCAGCCCCAATGATTCAGGAAATTTGATTAAACAAATTTTGATATTTTTCTACAGTAAAGGTCTACTCAGCAAAAGGAAAAAAATGGACTACTAATACATGCAACAACATGGTTGAATCTCAAAAACACTTTAAGTGAAATAGACCAAACACAAAGATATATGCTGCATGATTCCATTTATACAAAGTTTTTTTTTTAATTTTATCATTATTATACTTTAAGTTTTAGGGTACATGTGCACAACGTGCAGGTTTGTTACATATGTATACCTGTGCCATGTTGGTGTGCTGCACCCCATTTATACAAAGTTTGAGAACAGGAAAAAACAACTACCCTGTGATGAAAAAAATCAGAACAGTTTTCCATGAGAAATGAGAATTGACTAAAAGGAAGCATAAGAAAATGTTATTGAAGATGGAAATGTTCTTAATTTTGATTGGGATTGTGGTTTCACAGGTACGAATTTTACCTCACAGTACGAATTTTCACAGTGTACGAATTTTACCTCAATTTCACAGTGTACGAATTTTACCTCAATTTAAAAAGTAAAAGAATAGTTGGGAAACAGAGGATAGATTGAAAAATTTGAAAACACATGTAATCAGAATTCTAGAAGAACTGAAGAACTGATGGCAAGACAACATTCAAAGAGGAAATGGCTAAGAATTGTTGAGAGATGTTGACTCCTCAGACTGAAAGTGTACACCAAGTGCCAAGCACAATAAACAAAGATAAATCCCACTTAGACATAGCATCGTGAAACTGCAGAACATTAAAGATAACATCATAAAAGCTATGAGAAACAGGGAGAAAGAAAAGATTTTCTACAAAGACATGCTCATTAAACTGACCTCAATCTTTTCATCAGCAGCATGGATGCCAGAATACAAGTGAACAATATCTTCAAAGTGTTGTAGGAAAATGTAATAAAAGCCATATACCTTGCTAAGTACCATATACCTTCTAGAGTCAGGGCAAAATAAAGACTTGTTAAATATAAAAAACTAATAGTTTTTTTAACCACTCACATGCTTCCTGAATAAACTACTAAAGGACATTTTCCAACAAAAAGAAAAGCCAAATTAGAGGCAAGGTGTGGGGCTAACCAGAAAACTCAGAAATAGCAGAACATATTGGCAGCCACCACTAGCTAGTAACTACAGTCAGTCAAAGACAATTTTAGTATTTTAAGAGGTAATTAATGTAAAAGTAACATAATGAATGTTCATTGTAGAAAATTTAAAAAGTACAGAAAATTATAAAGTATAAAAACCACCCAAAGTCCAGCACTCAGAGATCACATTGCTGTTTCCACTAGCCATGTACCCATAACTGAGAACCTGTACCAGTGTATGTTCTTTTCAAGAAGATATTTAATGATATGCATTATTACATTAGATGATTCTTCCACAATGGATATAAACAATCTGCCTTTCGATTTGTCCCTGTATTTACTATTTTCCATAATGTTGCTATAAAAATCTTTGTGCATACATTTTTGTATGCGTTACTTTGCTAGATCCCTAGCAAAGGCAGTTCTGTAAATTCTGTCCATTGTAGAAAGACCTGGCCTTATTGGAGCAGATGGAGCATTCAGTTCCTCTCAAATGAAAGGCATCTGGGGAGTATAAACAACCCTGTACTGAGAAGCCAAGATGGGATTTTGAATCTATCCTTTCGCTGACCAGGCCAATCAATTGCTTCTCTGGGCTCCAGGATCCTCATATGTAACAACGAAGTTGGGTAGAGCGTTTGGCAGGTCCCTTCCTGCTGTAACCTTCTACACCACACAGGCAGATATCCTGTTCAAACCGCCAATAATAAGGCCTGATCATGTCCAAAAGAGCCCCCCTTTCCCCAGAAAAAAGTCTGGCTCTACAACAATGGAAAACTTCTCCCTAGTCCCAGCTCCCAGGGCAAGTGACACTATGAGGCAAGAGCTGCTTGCAGAGAGAGGGGAAGCTGAAACCGCACCCCTGGGTGGGATCAGATTTCCCCAGTAAAGACTGACCTCAACACCCAGAATGTGCTCCTGGCCCAGGGTGCTGTGCTGGAGGCCAAGTCGGCTTCTCTGACATGCTTGCCGGGGCTAGAGTTGGCCTGTCTCCTCGGCCTGTGGCCCTTCAGGCTGAACAGACCCACAGCAATGTTCTGGTGCAGCGCTTCCCACAAGCAGAAGATAGAAGACAAATCCCTGAGGTCTGAAAATCATGCATAAAAAGACCTACAGCAAAAGAGAAAAATCTGTTTTTCACTTTAAAATGCATGTGCTTTTTCTACCTTATTCCATAAAGTTTCTGTATTTATTTGAGTGTAGAAAACGTTTCCCCCACTCTTCAAGTAAAATTGATATCCCCCAGAAGATGAACCACATTCACTGTGTGGCTTAAAATAACCCCAGCACACACAACATCCCCGACCAGTGGAAAGCGCAAGTAGCTGGGTTAGAGAAGCAGGACTCTCCTCTGCCCCGCACCTTCTGTGCTTGCTGTCAGTAGCCTGGCTGTCCTCAACCTCAGCACTGTTTCCAGTCCTCAGCCTGGGAGCTACTCAATTTGTCTCTCCTGTTTTTTTCAGTGGTCGCATTTTGAAGATGCTAGATGTATTATTCCGAAAACCAGCTGTCCCTAAATGAGCTATGCCTCCAAGTAACTCCATAGTTGGTGATAGGATGTTTCCTGGTATAGGTGTATTCCACATAAGTGAAAAAAAATAGATTATCATCATCTTGCAACCCTCTAATGAATTAAAAGATCTGGGTCATGATCATCAATGGCAGCTCACACCAAAAGGGAGACAACAAGACACCCTGGGACTTCTGACGCAGCACCGCCTATAAAGTACGCCAGGCTAACAACAAAAAACAAGCCTGAATCTGAAGAAGTTTCACAATCCAACTACCAGTGTGCAGGAAATACAGAGGAATCTGTTAAATGACATCAGTGCAATCAGTGAGATCCACAGCAAAACATCCAATTTCCTCAATAGTAAATTGTAAAGGGGTGAAAAAGAGAAAGAGGGAAATCTATGAACTAAAAAGAGATATCAAGCACATGCAATCTATGAGTCTTACATGTTCTGATACAAACAAACTCACTATTTAAAAATCACTGGCTGGGTGCGGTGGCTCACGCCTACAATCCCAACACTTTGGGAGGCCGAGGCAGGCGGATCACCTGAAGTCAGGAGTTCGAGACCAACCTGGCCAACATGGCAAAACCTCATTTGTACTAAAAATACAAAAATTAGCCGGGCGTGGTGGCGGGCATCCCTAGTCCCAGCTACTCAGGAGGTTGAAGCAAGAGAATCGCTTGAACTTGAGAGGCGGAGATTGCAATGAGCTGAGATCGTGCCACTGCACTCCAGCCTGGGCGACAGACTCTGTCTCCAAGAAAAAAAAAATGATGCGTTCAGTGGGTACAGAGTTTCAGTTTGGGATAATGAAAAAAAGCTCTGGAGATAGATGGTGGTGATGGTTGCACAACAATGCAAATGTAGTCAATGGTATTGATCTATACACTTAAAAATGGGTAAAATGGTATATTTCATGTTTTGTATAATTTACTACAGTAAAAATTGTTTTTCATTTTTTAAACGATTTATTTTTCTAACTACATGCTAGTATGTAAAAAAAAGTTTATGAAACTACTAGGAAAATTTGAACACTGACTAGATATTTGATGATAGTAATGAATTACTAGGGCTGTATTTTATGTGTCTTTATCTTTTAGAGATATATATAAAGGTATTTATGGATTAAATGATATGATGGCTGTGATCTGCTGCAGATTAATCCGATGCTGGTGGAGGGGGTGGTATAAGTTATATAAGAGTGGCCAGGAATTGGTGACTGTTGTAGCTGATGATGGATACAGGGGTTTATTGTATATTTGAAATGTTCCCTAGTACAAAGTTTTTAAAAGAAGACTCTGGCCTTGTATAGCTTACATTTGTCTGTGAGAAAATAAATAAAATATTTAGAATATCAGCTAGTGATAAGTGTTAAGAAGAAAACATAAGTCAGGAATATAGGAGGAGGTGCAGGCTGGAAATATAAGTTTGGAAATTTTCAGCATGTATAAATGCTTAAAGTCCTGAGCTTTGAATGAGCCATGGTTACGTTCATCTAGGGAATGAGTATAAATAGAAAATAGACTGAATTCTGAACTCTGGGGTCCTCAGACCTCTGGCTGAGAGGTTGGAGAAATGAGGACAATTCAAAAAATAATTCTGAAAAGTCAGTGAGGGAGCAGGAAAGCCCGTAGTAGCAGGAAGTCCCTAAATCCAGAGACAAACCCATTTCAAAGAGGGAGTGATCACAAATGTCCATTTATGCTCACAGCCTAGTAAATTCAGTACTGAAGATGGGCCATTAGATTTAGCATCTAAATATCTGACCTCATGCTCCTCCCGGCTTCTGATCTCCAGCTGGAGTCTTGCATGATTGAATCCAGTCTAGAGCCAGAGGGCAAGGAAGCCCACAGAGGCAGTCCAGAATGGAGAGGGCCTATGGGAGAGCACCCAGAAGACAGCTGTCACAGGAATCTTGCCTCCTTCAATCCCCATCCTTTTGGAGCACAGAGTTCAGAAATGTAGGGACTGTGTTTCATTAGAGCCAGAGTAAAGCTATCATCACCATCTTCATCTTCTTCATTCTCATCATCATTCTTGTTTACCCAAAAGGAATCTTAATCATTCAAGGTGCCTTGTTTCACTGTGGCAGAGCCAGGATAACATCCCAAGCCTTTGGACTCCTGGTTCAGTACATTGCACCATCTTCCCCAACATCTCCCCAGTCACCCTGCTCCTGTGACCACATGGATGATTTACCTTTATTCATCAGTTAACCCATTCTCATGGCTGGAAGTTTACAATAAGGACCCCTGCACAGAAATCCCCCAAGTCTGCACACTCTGTAGCTGTTTGTTCTTTCTTTTTTTTTTCTTTTTTTTTTTCTTTCTTTTTTTTTTTTTTTTTTTTTTTTTTTTTGACAGAGTCTCACTCTGTCACCCAGGCTGGAGTGCAGTGGGGCAATCTCGGCTCACTGCAAGCTCCCTCCCAGGTTCACACCATTCTCCTGCCTCAGCCTCCTGAGTAGCTGGGACTACAGGCACCCGCCACCACGCCCCGCTAATTTTGTTTTGGTATTTTTAGTAGAGATGGAGTTTCACCATGTTAGCCAGGATGGTCTCAATCTCCTGATCTCGTGATCTGCCTGCCTTGGCCTCCCAAAGTGCTGGGATTACAGGCATGAGCCACCAGTCCAGGCCCATTCTTTATTATTTGTACCACATGTGGCATCATCCTAAAGTCACTGGAAACTGGGAGCACAAGGGCCACACTAGGTCCTGAAGAAATCCCGAGGTGAGTGGGAACTGTCATTACCAATAAAGAGCTACCTCATTTAAGTGGTCTCTCCTTTCAGCAGAGCACAGTGTGCTGCTGCCATGGCTGCTGCCAGCAAAGGCTGCCTTCCAGATCGGCTCCTTTCTGGACATGTGCAAGGAAATGTCCTGGGCAGGCAAAGTTTCCATTGGTTTTCAGATGAAGGGGCTGTTTTCCAGGGGTTGATCCCAGGAAACATAAAAGTGGAGACCACCTGGGGCTTCAGTCCACCCTGTGATGTTATTCTTGAAGATTAAGATAATTTAGGAAGAGTAATAAAAAATATGAGCTAATATTTGTTGTGTGTTTGTTATGTCAGGCACTGTTCTAAGCACTTTGTGTGTGTGTTCAGGCTGAATCATTGGAACAGCTTTTGGAGGGACATGCATGTATTACCCTGACAGTCCAGTCACTCCACTGCCCCACTCATCTGGATGACTGTGTCACTCCTCCTCTCTCCCAAAGCTGCAGGGGTACCACCTTCCTCATTCTTGCTGTCATCTGATGACTCCACTAAGAAAGTACAAGAAACCAGAACAGAACTTCCCCAGCTGCACGTCTTCTACCACCAGAGAGTCTGTGTCAACATGACTCCCCTCCTGCTGCCATGGAAGATGGCCAGCCCTTGTGCATGCGCAGTGGACCCTATCCGCTCTTGCCTACTCTAGGGCATCGCATCAGTGGTTCTCCTCTCCCCCATCATCATGTTGTTACTCTCTGCTAGTTCACTCCCTACAGCCTACCAACATGCTTTAATTTTTCCCATGTTAAAAAAATTCCACTCTTGACTCCGTATACTCCTCCAGTTACCACCTTGGTTTTCAGTCCCCATTTACAGCAAAAATCCTTGAAAGAGTTATTTATTCTTGATCTCTCCAATTCTCCCCCAAATCTATCCTACTGGGGCTTTTGCCTACACCCTTCCATAGAACCCAGTCCTGCCAAGATTACCAGTGACTTACCTAAGGGGCCTTGTACCCTGGGATGCTGTGGGGAGCTTCTGTCCTTTGCTAAGATTGAGTGGGGGAGGGAACTGCCTAGAGCTGCCTCACTCTCTCATCTTCTTCCCCTATTCCCTCCACCTTCCCTTCTCTCTCCCCAACAGTCTCTACCTCCTACTCTCCCCACTCCCTCTCCATTTCCCTTTCCCCTTCTTCTTCCCTCCTCTCCCTACCTGCTCTCATCCCACCCCATTTCCACCCCATCCATAAGAGGTGGGCTGTGTGGAGCATGGGTCTCAGAGCCAGAGACACAGGCTTGCACCCTGGTTCTGCCACTCAGCAGCTGAGAGACATGGGTGAGTTGCTTGGCTCTCAGGGTTCAGTTCACTCCTCGGTGAGAGGAGAAACTAATGCCTCATGGTGTTCTCCAGAGGGGTCGGGAGACCATGTTGGTGTCAGGTCAAATGCAACTCTTAGTGTGTCATTTGCTCGTAGTTTTCCTCTCTGTGGCACTGTCTAAAGCTTCCAGAACAAATCACCACAAATTGGAGGACTTAAAAGGCAGAAATTTATTCTCTCACAGCTCTGGAAGCTAAAAGTCCAAAATCAAGATGTTGGCAGCATTGGTTCCTTCTGGTGACTCTGAGGGAGAATCTGTTCTGTGCCTCTCCACTGGCTTCTGATCGTGGCTCACAGTTCTTGGGGTTCCTTGGCTTGTGACCACATCACTCCAACCTCTGCCTCCATCATCACACGGCCTTCTTCTCTCCGTGCCTCTGTGTCCAAATTCCCCTCTTCCTATAAGGACACAGTCATTGGACGGGAGCCCACCGTAATCCAGTATGACCTCATCTTAACTTGACTACATCTGACCTTATTTCCAAATTAGGCCACATTCGCAGGTACTGAGGGTTAGAACATCATATATTTTGGGCAGGGACACAATTCAACCTACAACATTGTCCTGAAAGTTTGTGCCCATTGAACTGCAGGCAACACCTGGGAGGTGCTCACAGATTAAGCAGAGTGGAGCGCCATAGGGGTAGTCAAAGAAAAGGCTGTGCTGGGAAGGAGGCCTGAGCCTTAAGCCCTGCAGGAAACACATGAGTACAAGTGACAACCTGGGCTTCAGGAGGAAGATGGAAGTGGGTTGAAGCCCAGCTCCCCGATTTGCTGCGGTGAGCCTTAAACTTTTCAGGGAATCACAGATGCTCCCCCCTCAGAAAAGTACTCACACACACACACACACACACACACACACACACACACACACAACTGAGCTTATGATTTCAGGGGTTCATGGATCTCAAACACCTGAATCTCAGAAGAACTCCTGACTTCCACACTTTGTGACAGTAGACAAGTTATTTAGTCTCTCCGACCTTCAGTTTCTGCACTGATGACATGGGGATGTGGTCATTACCTGCAGGCTGTTAGGAAGATGTGTGAGAATTCAGTGTGGTGACATCTGCACGTGGCGCAGTTCTGATCTCCAGGGACCCCAGGGAATGGCAGTCATTGCTCCTGGTTCTCTTGCCACCCTTCTTTCCTCCCCACTGCCTGCTGCTCCTGCTCCCTGGGCATGGACTCTCATTTCCCTCTCCCTCTCCCTCTCCCTTTCCCAGTTGGGCTGGAGATCTTCAGCCTATTGGGCTTGAAGAAGGTAGAAGCCGGGGCAGAGAAGAAGTGTAGGGTGATGAGGCGATGCCCTACTTCTCTCATCCATTACCATTAGAAATGCCTTTCTGCAAGACGTCCCAGCTGACATGGACTGGGAACCATATTTTTAAAAAATAAACATCAGACCTTAAACAACATATCATGGGCACTGTGTCAGAATGTCTCTGGCCAAATTAAACCCCAGCTCATCTGGTTTAAACAATATGGAATATTTGATTTTCCTTCACATAGCTAGAGGTTGTGGTGAATGGAAGCTGCAGGATCAGTTAGTTCCATGGCTCACGACATCCTCAAGGGCCCAGCTCCTTCTGCCTTTTCACTGTATCATCCTCGGTGTTAGCTTTGTCCTCAGCTGTCTCCCCTCATGGTCACAAAATGGGTGCCATCGTTCCAGATCTCCCAACAAACACAATGTTCAGGGGAAGAAGAGGGACTGCTCTTCCTTGGGTCTTATTTTAAAACTGAGGTCATCTTTCTCAGAAATCCTCCCAGACACCTCCCTTCACATCTTGTCGGCCAGAAGGGGCCTGTGCTCCACTGAGAGACTATGTGGAAAGAATATGGAATTAGGATAGTGGGATTAGACTCACCAGAAATTAGTCTTTTTTTTTTCTTTTTTTTTTTTGAGACGGAGTCTCGTTCTGTTGCCCAGGCTGGAGTGCCATGGTATGATCTCAGCTCACTGCAACCTCCACCTCCCAGGTTCAAGCCATTCTCCTGCCTCAGCTTCCCAAGTAGCTGGTATTACAGGCACGCACAACCATGCCCAGGTAATTTTTGTATTTTTAGTACAGACAGTGTTTCACCATGTTGGCCAGGCTGGTCTTCAACTCCTGACCTCAAGTGATCCACCAGCCTCGGCCTCCCAAAGTGCTGGGATTACAGGTGTGAGCCACCGCACCCAGCCCCAGAAATTGATCTTAAGGAGAAGATGGGTGTTGGAGCATCCACTGACAGTGCCTGTTACAGGTACCAATCAGGAGGCTCAGTGTGTTCTGAGGTAATAGAAGATGCAGAGCTTGTGGATGAGTCAAGCTTCAATGCAATGATCCAATTGTGAAACACAGTGCGCAAAAGATTGCTTAATCCTAAATTGTAAATTAAGGGGAAAATGTATCATTAATGAGAGCAGACAAGAGAAATGCCTAATTCTAAATTGAGAGTGGAGAATGAGGGCAGGAAACTGGGGATGGTTGCTTAGAGGAGACGCCAATAATAAAGTGAACACATCTTCAGCGTTTAGTATATGCCCGACACAATGCTAAGTGCATCACATGCATTAACTCACTGAACCCCTTCAGTCGTCCCGTCATAGTTACTGCAAGTTCCCATTTGGTGGTGAGGAAACTGACGCACAGAGAGGTTAAGTAACTTTTCCTAGGTCATTAACTTTGTTCACTGGTCCCTGAACTAACTTGATTCTGGTTGACTTCAGACCCATTCTGTTACTTAATCCCTGGCCATTCCTCCTCCCTAACCTCATAAAACAAAACTTTCTAAGAAGACAAATATGAGTTCCCCAGATGGTGAAGCTAGAGAAAGGAAGTTAGTAAGTTCAGGCAGAAGGGGCAGCAAATCAGAAGGAGATAAGAAGGATCAAATACACCTTCTAGAAATGTATTAGCAGGTTTAGGCAGGAGGCAGTTAGGACCTCTGTTAGTTGGTCCAAAAATAAAGGAAGAGGCAAATTGAAAATATGTATATACATTATTTTCAAAAGAGGAAATATTAGTATTAACATTAATATAATTAATGATGGATGGGTATTTCCAGAACTGAGTTTCATGTCATCAGCCTTAAGAAAAACTGAGTTTCTATAAAGGATTCTTGAGATTTGGAAATGAATCTAGAAAGCCATTCAGTGTCCAAGCGAGTTGGCTCACAGGCCATACTTGTAGTTCCTCCATATCTGCCAGTCAATATTCTCCATTCTCTGCCTCCATGTTCCAGAGGGAACTAGGAGTCTTCCTCTTGGTCACCACATAGGCTATTGATCAATGGGTGGGCGGACCACAGTCATGGGTGCACAGCCCAGCACTGCTTCCCACCAAGGGCCATAGGCAGGGCAGAATCAGCTAAATAGACCCTAACACAAGGCAGGATAACAAAGAAGGGAGAATCAAAGCTGACCCAAAGAACTGGGAAGATGAGGTTCCTGGAAGCAGCAAAGTGGATGGAGAACATTTAAAAGAACAAGTTTGTAGGAGGAAGGAAGGTGTTCAGTTTTGAATAGCTGGTTTTGAGAAGATGATGGTACATCCAAGAGATGGCATTAGAGGGGCAGAACTAGAATGCAGGGCAGGACTTTATACACAGAGATGAGATTCAGTCACATTGATGTGACCATTCATTCCATTATTGAGAGTGTATCTGGCACTGTCCTAGGTTCTAGAGCTGCAGCCATGATTAGAATAAAGCCTCTGCCCTTGTGCAGCATGCAATCGAATATCCAAGCCCTTGAAAAGAAATGATCCTCTGCACAACTCTCCATACTATTTTCTGTATCCTGTGTGACCATGCAAAGAAAAGGGTGAGGCTGAGTTGGGAAAACACAACGAAGATGGTGAACAAATGAAAACTGAAACAGGGAAAGCACCATCGGAGAACAGAGAATCGAGAAAGTGTCATTTTATGGAAGCCAAAAGAGGAATGAGTTTAAAGAAGAAATTAGTATCAAATGGCCCCAGGCTAGCAGCAAAGAAAAAGTCATGAAATTTGACATGAGGGTTGCCATTGGTAAGCTTCTAGCAATGGTTTTTGATCCTTACTGTGCATCAGAATCACCTGAGGAGCTTTGAAATACACAGATGCCTGGGAGCTAATTTCGAGATCCAGACTCAATTGGTCTGAAGTGAGACTTGGGCACCAGTATTATGTTTCAGTGACTCTGATGATGCTAAGAGGCAGGTAGAGTCAAGAAACACTGCTTTAAAGAAAGGGATTCCAGCAAATGTTCATTGGCTCCATTTAGCCTTTCCACAATGTGTACATATTTCAAAACATCAAGTTAAATGACGAGTTAATGGGTGCAGCACACCAGCATGGCACATGTATACATACATAACTAACCTGCACATTGTGCACATGTACCCTAAAACTTAAAGTATAATAATAATAATAATAAAACATCAAGTTGTACACCATAAATATATACAGGTGTGATTTGTCAATTTAAATAATTAATTAAGGGAGCTCTGACAAGGAAAATAAGGAAGTGATTCTTGTAGAGTGATAGCAGTAGAAGCTAAATTGCAGAGATTAAAAAGAAGGGTGTGTTTTTTTCATAGAGAGACTAGCAGTCTTAACATCAGACATGGATGTTTAGCCTCAGTCTCCTGCCTTACTGTGTGATTTAACCTCTTTGTGTCTTATCTGTGAAATCAGGATAGAAATACTTGCTGTGCCCAACTCACAGTTTCCTTGGGAGGTCAAGATGGGATAATACATGTGAGAGTACTTTGAAAAAAGATTGAAGTGCTATAAAAAATGTAAGATTTATATGGTTGTCAGATTTTTTTCCCCAAAGATGGTCCTGAAGATAGTGATTATCAACTGTAAAGACCTACATGGAACCAGCATCCCTTTCCACACTGAGCTCACAAAGTCAGCACCCTTTGATAAGTGCTCACAGCTACTATCCAAAGGTCTAATGCTGTTTGCAACTCTCGCTTTTTCACAGCTAGCTTTGCACTGGGTCTATAATAGATGCAGTTTCCATAGTCTTGCAAATTTTGCCTAAAATTGCTGAACAACACAGCCTTCTGGCATAACACTACAGTTGAAGGATGCTGCTGTAAAGGTTAAAAAGGAAGTTTACTGTGATATGATCCCCATTAGATTGTCAACCCTGTGGTTATAGAGAAAAGGGAAAGCAGAACAGATTGAGAGACATCTGTGAGAGCAAGCAATGCTGCAGTATCTGAAGAGCCTGATTTCTCAGGCAGATGGGGAAGGATTGGCAAAGATCTGAGCCAAACCCAGCAGTTTTTTTCAGTGACCACCTTGAGGTCTATTTGAGTACTTGGATATGCCCACCTACATAATATATGCCATGCTGGGTCTCCAAGTAACGAAGCAATACTTCTCTCAATCTTCTGCAAACTCTGACTGCCCTTGGGGTAACACCTGGACCCAGGTGAGAAATGGAACTTCTTTGCGGTGACTAAGGTCCAGGAGAGAGGCTTTCTTCAATCATAGATGATCTTAGATGTGAAGAGTAGGATTACAAAGTGCTTTCTACTCACTTTCAGGCTGACATTTTCCTTAGGGGAAGATACCAAAAAAATACAATTCTTTGTCAAGGTAATAGCATACCTAATAGTTCAGCTTCTTTTTTCCAATTAGCAGCTTGAATTCAGAGCAAAAAGAAAATGAAGGACAAACTGCTAACTAGTAGTGAAGCCAGGTGTCAGATAACTGGAGAAAGCATCAGAGGTATCCCCGGGAAGATCAGTTACCTCCATCTCTCCTCTGAGCCTGCCCTGGCTCCTTCTACTCTGGTTGCAATTAGGATGAAGGTGCTAATTACATTCTCCACCAGCAGAAAGGCTCACTTCAAAACTGCCCTTCTCCAAACCGAAGTACAGACACCAAAGCCAGCCACCCCCTCATCTTACACCACCTCCAACAGGACTCAGAGCTTTTTTCATGTAAAACCACAGGACAAAATGGGATTTTGAAATGAAGATATAAGGTTGCTTCACAAGGGTACAAGGATCTTCTTATCCAGTGAGAAGTCACTTTCCCTGTGCTCAAACATCCTTGTAAAAATCCAGGAGGAGAAAGGGGCACATAAGCCAATGGAAATACCAAGTCCATGGCTCCTTTCTTAATGACAAATAACTACTTTGAAGAAGGATCCTTCATGCCCCAGGGTACGGGAGCCTAAATCTCTGGCTTGGGAGGAAATGAGGAATAATACTGTAGTCATTCAGTCCTTTACTAAAATCTCACTGTTTAAAAAGCTGCTGTTATCTTGGCCAAGTTATTTAACCTCCCTGAGTATCTTTCTCCTATATTAATGGAAAAGAATAAAAATATTATCATACAGCATTATTGTGAGCATGATTTGAGATAGAACATGCAGGGCCATAATGTCAAACATGGTGTAACTCAATCTTTTTTTTTTTTTTTTTTTTTTTTTGCTGCTACTGAGACTGAGTTTTTCAATATTAGAAAGTCCGGTGACCTCCTTACTATGTGAATTCCCTGTGAACACAAGACAAGAAATCTCAGCCTGGAGTATGTGCTTATAATTGGAGCAGGGGGCCCAGAGCCCAGGGAAGGGAGTGCTTAGCAGTTTATTCTTCAACAATTCCTATCGTTTCATCTGTGGAAGCAGTACTCATCAATAAATCAGCAAGTGACAGGACATTTTTCAAAACTGCATGGAAATGTTACCATTTTATACCGTTATAATCATACACAAACAAAAGAGTATTTTTCCCCTGCTCTCAAAGATACGTTGTTGACACAGTTTCAGAAGCACAAGGCACAAAAACTGCCCCAAAACTCAAGATGAAGGCTAAAATTAGATTTTTTTCAAACACCTCCCCTGACAGTACCTAGTAATGTTATTGTGGCTGTTGTAACCGTGGGTGATTGCCTATACACACAGTTGGTGCAATGAAGAGACACAATAGCTTAAAACTAAACTGTAAGATTATTTTTCAAGTAGCTTCTCCAAGTATAATACCTCAGCTTCTAGAAAAAGTAATCGCTGCTAACATTTGAAAAGTCAAAATTCTATGCAAGGGTCTGGGAGATTAACACGATTGAGCATAATAGCTCCTTTCAAACCATTTCCTAGGGACTAGGCTGCAAAAAGCCTTAAGCTTGAAGATGGCTTTCCAAATATATTTTATTTATTCAATGAAGAAAAAGACTATTTGAAGTTTCCATATTCCTTTCACATACAGACACTTCACTGAGCTTTAAGAGAAGCATTCGTCTGTAGGCGCAAAATGAGTAATTCCCCAGCTTCTAGAAAATGCAATCAGTGCAAACATCTGAAATGTTAAAATGTTGTGCAAAATGTCTTTTGTAGAGATATAGAAAAAAAAACCCTGAAGTAAATATCATTTTAAACTGGTCTCAGCATTTATGTTTAAAAATGAATACATACTCATATGCTTAGTATCTGATGCATAGATCATCTCCGGACAGCAACAGCAGCTGCTTCTTGGGAGGGTAACTGAGGCCCTGAGAGATAACAGTGGGAGGGCGTTTGTTCACAGTGCATCCTTCCTTGGCTTTATATTTTGTACTGTGTGCATGTATTAATATTAATCTAACTTAATCTAACCACTTAATTTAATTAAACATGGCCTCTTCAATAAGCGAGTCAGCTCATCCATCCCGGTGGAGCAGATCTTTCTCCACCATCAGTACTGGATGCTGACCTTCTCCCTGGCCTGGACCTCAGGGATGCCGTACAGCAAACTTCCCTGACTTCTTTTCACACTGAGCACTAGGTGGGTGCTGTGCTGGCACTAAAAGGATACAATGAACATAAGAGGTTGTCTCAGGGCCGTCTGCACAGGATTGCTAGCCCTCCCTTCCCAGGCTCCTGCCTTACTCAGCTTTCTCCAGGGACCACAGGAGGCCTCTGCATATCTTATGTACCACTCTGGTCCTTTCCTTGTTGCCCCCAACCCCTCTACCCTTGCCAACGTGCACTCCCTTCCTCAGGAACTCTGAGACACAATGAATAAGGGAGAAGGTGAAAGCCCCTCTTCCTCTGGGCTCTGGAGTACCAGTGAAACACACTGGGGCCAAATCCTCTTCTGGAACACACTAACAATATGACCTTGATAAAGTCAACCTCACTGAGCCTGATTCTGAACTCTTGAAATGGTGGTGGTCATTATATCCTCAGGGGAATGGAATAGAGATTGAATGAGATCAGTTATGTAAAATGCCCAGTGTTACACTCAACACATAGCATGTGAGCAGTAAGTGTTGGATGATATCATCGTCATCATTGTCAGTAGAAGCAATGGTAGTTCTCACTGCCAAAACATGATTGTTTCAACCTCCGCAGGCCTGTACACATCTCCAGCTCTCTGACCTGGGACTCACTTACACACAGTGTGGATTAGCAGAAAGGGTGGGCTTTCCAGCCAGAGGGGCTTTACCTTGAGCAAGTCCTTAACTTCTTTTAATGTCAATTTCTTTAACTATAAAGTGAGAATAATTTTATACCTTCCTCATAGGAGTGGGGCAAAGATTATAGATAATATCTACAATGCCCTAGCACCTAAGTGCCCTACATATCTTGGCTGTTTTGACTTTACTCCAAGGGGGCTGATCTATTTACTGGCTCCTGTCAAGACTTGCCCTCTTCTGCCTCCACATCTTTGTTCAGTTCTGTTGCCCTCCCTGCCCCGTCCTCTCTTTCCACCTCCATCTCTGGAAACTTTCATGCCTCTGTTTCATCTGAGAGATTTTATGACACTTTCTCTGACCACAGTGAATTTTCCCACAATTGAATTCGTAGACTGCTTATCTTCTGTAGGGAAATAGGAGGTGCAAATCCAGAAGACTCCAAGACCCTTCCTCTGAGTCCTCTGTTAGACTTATTAGAAATCAAGGTGTTAGGCAACAGCCGGCAGAAAGGACTCCGGTCACATGCAGCCAAAGAGCAGCTCCTCAGTGGACTCACTCTGAGCTCCCCACACGATGATCTCTGTGTTGCCTGGGAGGGGTCACTTGCCCTCCTGAAAGTCAACTCCCTGATGCCTTATTCAGGGGTGTCTCATAAAATAAAATGGCCAATTGGTTCATTGATAAATTAAGGCACACTGGGGCTTCTAGCACGTGGACAGACTGCAGGGCCACGAGGCGCGTCGGCTGACATCCGCAGGAGCAGCTGGTGTCTCACCTCCCCACGGGCCTGGCTCCAGCTGCTTTGACATCCATTCAGTGCAAATCACATTGAGTCACTCCTCTCTGTGAACTTTGGATGGTTCTGAGCAGCGCTGCGAGAGGATCCTGACCAAGTCCTCACCATGTCCCACAGGCCCATCCCGATCTGACTGTAGTCTTCTAGGCTTTTCTCTTGCAGCAGTCACCTCCTACCTCTTGCTCTTCCCCAAGCCCACCATAATCTTTCCTGCTTCTAGTCTTTCCTTTACTTGGAATGGCCTTTCTAAACTTCTGTACCTAATGAATCCTACTCATGCTTTAAAATCCAGCTCAAATGTTGTCCCCTATGAAGAACTTTGCTAACCTCCCAGACAAAGCGTGTTGCCCAGTTTTCTCAGCAGTCCTCTAGTGTGGAGCTTTTTGCGTAGTACCTCTGTTACATTTACATCCTTCTCCCCAACAAGACCATAAGCATCGTGGGGTCAAGGATGATTTTATAACCCCTGAGTCTGCCAAGCATGGTGTCTGATAACCAACACATTTCATTGCATGAATAATTAAAGAAAACAGAAATAAATGAATGAATAAACAATGCTCTTTTTGTTTTGTTTTGTTTGAGACAGCCTCATTCTATCACCCAGGCTGGAGTGCAGTGGCGCAGTCTCGGCTCACTGCAACCTCTGCCTCCTGGGTTCAAGTGATTCTCCTTCTTTAGCCTCCTGAGTAGCTGGGATTACAGGGGCCCACCACTGCACTAGGCTAATTTTTGTATTTTTAGTAGAGACAGGGTTTCATCACATTGGCCAGGCTGGTCTCAAACTCCTGACCTCAAGTGATCTGCCCGCCTCTGCCTCCCAAAGGAACAATGTTGTTTCTAACAAAATACACCACCTTTCCTGGCCTTCCCACCTAAATGGGTTCCTGGAAATTGTTCTTGGCCAGTATGGGTTGGTGAGGGGCTAGCCAGGGAGCAGAGTCATGTTCGCAAAAGGTGGGCACTCATGAGAGTGGAAGAAGGGAAGTAAGTTCCTATGTCTAGAATAACACTCTCCTAGAAAACATTACATCTGGGGGATTTTTCATTTCTGTGCTTCTTATTTTCACTCGCCTATACTCTTGCACAGGATTGATTTCCAATGAAATTTGATAAGTGATATTTTGTTAAAATGTCCTGATTTTTTTTAATTATTAAATAGCTATAATCCCAGGCCTGAAAAATCCCTTATCCAGTAGCTACAGTTGTTTTTTGAAGCACCGCCACCAAAATTATTCCCCTGGTAATTATTGAGCAATCCGTTTTCACCCATAAGCCTGTCACATGTAATAAGGATGCCTGCCTGCCTGTTTATTTTCTGGCTAATTTGGTCCCTTTACATCATGTGACCTTCAGTGGCCTGTATGCAATATGAAAATCGTCCTCCTAGGACTTTCTTTAGAAGGTTCACAGAGGTGTGCTAAGCATAAGTAATACATCAGTTTTTAAATCCAGGCAGAGCGAACCCATATCAGATGTCTCAGGAAAGCCTGCAATGCTGTTTTATAAAGGGAACAGAAGAGTTTCTTGATCTTTGCTATTCTCTGCAAGAAAATATCTCACCTAAGTACATCCTTTCGTATGCACTCTGTAGCAGGACATTTACAGGGTCAGAGAAAAAGACACTAAAAACTTACCCAAGCTGTTAGCTCATATTTATTAACTGCTTAATATAGGCCAGGGTGCAAAGGCCTTTATATGCTTTGTTTAATCTTCCCCCAAACCCTGGGAGATTTTTATCCCAGTTCTGCAGATTAGCAGACTGAAACACAGAGAAGTTGTAACTTACCCAAGGTCACCTGGCTGTGGATGCCAGAGTAAGCATTTATTTTAATTGATACATAATAATCATACATATATAGGTACATAGTGATATTTTGATACATACAATACATAGTGATCCCATCAGGGTAATTAGCATATTTGTCATTTCAAACTTGTATCATTTCTTTGTTTTGGGGCATTCAATATCTTCTCTTCTAGGTATATGAAAATATACAATACATTATTGTAACTATAGTCATCCTATAGTGCTATAGAACACTAGAACTTATTCCTTCTATCCAGCTGTAATTTTGTATCCTTTAATAAATATTTTATCCTCTCTCCCCCGTACACTTCCCAGCCTCTAGTATTCTCTGTTCTACTTTTTACTTCTTTGAGATCAGCTTTTTTAGCTTCTGTGTATGAGTGAGAACATGCGGTGTTTAACTTTCTGTTCCTGGCTTATTTCACTTAACATAATGTCCTCCAGGCTCATTCCTGTTGCTGAGAATGACAGAATTTCATTCTTACTTATGGATGAATGGGATTCCTTTATGTATATATACCACATTTTCTTTATCCATTCATCTGTTGTTGAATACTTGGGTTGATCCATATCTTGGCTATTGTGAACAATGTGGCAATAAACATGGTGGTAGATATCTCTTTGACATACTGATTTCCGTTCCTTTGCATAAACGCCCAGTCATGGGAATACTGGATCTTATAATAGTTCAGTTTGTAGTTTTTTTCAGGTACCTCTGTACTGTTCTCCATAGTGGCTGTACTAGAATGCATTCCCACCAACAGTGTATACGAGTTCCCTTTTCTCTGCATCCTTGCCAGCATTTGTTATTTTTTGTGTTTTTGATAATACCCAGAGTATGCTTTTGAAGTCAGGTCTTTCTGGCTCCACAGTCTGAAGGTGTAACACTACCCCAGGCTGCCTCTCCATAGCATGTTTCCTGATTTCTGGTTCAAGAAGACTTTTTCTAACAGGTGTCATTCCTAGATGGCTCTCTTAAGATCTTACTCCCTTTGGCATTTTACACCTTACTCATACAATCATTTTTAAAAAATAGCAATTTAAAAAAATACAGTTCAAGTGTTCATCATATCCAGGCATGCAAGCCTTTTCTAAATTTTTTTAAATAATAAAAAAGCCCCACAGAGGAAAGGAGGTTATTTGTGTCCTCCTGACACACACTTTTAGATTTTGGTTAAAAAGTCTCTAGTGGGTGCAAAGTGACCCCCTTTGTCACTGGAAACAAATAGGAGCATTCTTTGTGCCACTGTCCACAACCACACAGATATGTTTCCCAAGGGAGCTCATCAGGTCTTCAAACATTTAGCAAGCATGACATGTGTAAGAGACAGTATTGGAGAAGTAAGACAAGCCTTGCTCTGCCGAAGCTTACAATCCAGGAGCTCACCCCTTCAAGGAATTTACAGCCTCCAGACAGATAATAACATTAGGTCCATGAAAGCCTACAAGGCAAGAAGTTCAGGAGAGAAAGAAGTCATAACCATCTTGGAAGAATCTCAACTTGTTTTATCAGAACTCAAACGCCAATTTCTCACCCCTAGCTTCCCTCATTAGTGCTTATTAACTAGTATTGGGAGGACCAAGCGAAGAGTAAAGCTAGGGTAGCAGAGGCCATAAGCTAATTGCAAAGGACAGAGCTAAAGAAACATGCTAGTTTCCCCTGAGCACCCAACTGCATGACTGAAAATGGATTAATTTGTATTTCTAATGGATATACAAGAAACACGTGAATATGCTAAAATAAATTTAAGGTCAAGCAATGCAAAGTGTTAGTGCGTTTGCCTTCCACTCTCAGAGGCAGCCTCTATTATTTGGTTCTTGGGCTGCTTCATAAAAAGTTCTGTGTTTTTTAATGGCCTCAGCTTTTGGGAGGCTCAGGCCACCTAGCCCATCAGGAGACCAGGCCCGAAGGATGGATCTGAAGAGTGGGCAACGGAGAGTTAAACCAGGGCTGACTTCAACAGGCCCAGTCAAGTCAGGGGCAAGCACATTGTCCATCCACTGGAAGACGGAAAGGGGAGAGGAAGGCAGGCCCTCCCGACTCACAGGTCACCTCGCAACTTTGCTAGGCACTACCCACCCTTTAGGGATAAGTGAAGTATGTGGTGGGCATACAAGGCGCACAGGGGAGTCATTCTGGCAAATTCCAAGAAGGTTTTAAGGGCTCCCGAGGCAGGCAGGCCCAGTTGCTGTTTGGAGCTTCCTTTGGGGTGGGAGGATGGCGGGGGCAGGGGGCCGGGGCGGTGCCTTAACGAGGGGAGATGCTTTTAAATAGCTGCCTTCCAAAAACCATCCTCCCTGCTTCTTTGAGAAGCACCCAGCTGTTGTTTACCCTCCAGGACAGCAAATCCGGTTATTTGTCTCTCTATTCCGTGATATTATAAAGTAATGAATGGTCCATTAAACTAAGTTTGGGATCCCGTCTCCCCACAGCCACCTCCTCGCCGGCACCCTCAGCCGGGGAGGCCGTAGGCTCGGGCTGCAGCCTGGCAGCCTCAGTCCCCCTCCCTCCACCATTTCCCTCTACTCCCTCCCTCTCCTGCACCCCCTCCCCCCGGTTATTTGGGAGATTAGAGTTCATTAATTAAATCCTGTGCTTAGATCGAACTGTAACATTATTCCAATCACATTTATCTTGCAGGCGGCGGAGGAGATGGCAGCCTCGCTGGAAACGCGCGGGGGAGCCTGAGCCGGCGGCCGGGGACGCACGGCGCTGCGCGCTCCTTCGCCACGCCGCCGCGCAGCCCCTCCATCTTCCTGCTCGGCACCGGGCCCCGCGCGCCCCTGCCTACGGGGTCCCGCTGCTCTCCGGGGCTCCTGCCAGCCCCAACCCCCGGCCCCGGTGGCCTCCCCCCACCCCCGCCCGGGTCCCCCTCCTCCGCCACACGCGCGCGCGCTCACACACACACACACACACACACACACACACACACACATATATACACGCCAGCGAGCTGCTGGCCGCTCAATGGACCGATTTCCCCGGTTTCCCTGAACCCAGCCCAGCCCGGGATGAGAAACTGCAAAATGGCCCGGGTCGCCAGTGTGCTGGGGCTGGTCATGCTCAGCGTCGCCCTGCTGATTTTATCGCTCATCAGCTACGTGTCCCTGAAAAAGGAGAACATCTTCACCACTCCCAAGTACGCCAGCCCGGGGGCGCCCCGAATGTACATGTTCCACGCGGGATTCCGGTGAGTGCGGGCCTCTGTGTTAGTGCCCTCGGGAATTTGGTTGATGGGGTGTTTGGGGAAGGGAAGGCGTGGGGGAGGGGTGTTTTGGCCTCTCCGAGACTCTTTGGGCCAGATAACTGCGCGGTCCTTCCACTCCTCTCTCTAATTCTCCCTTCCCCCTCCCTGTTATTTTTTTTTTAACCCAAAGCCCCTAGAAGCCGCTGTCCAAATCGATGTGATTGCATTTCTCGTATTCTTCCTCAGCATCCCTTCCCTCATTTCAGAAATGGGGGTTGGGGGAGGCTTTCAGGAGGGTGAGGGTGGAGGGAAAGACGGTGTGTTTGTTCGGGAGGGGGCGGCGAGCAGAGATGGACAGGCGTGAGGGGAGCGCCCTCCCCGCGCCCTGTCCGCAGACTCCGCGGGCCGGGCCCGGGGCGGTGCTGGCGGTTTAATGGCGCAGGCGCCGGACTCCCCTCGCGCCCTCCTCCTTTACTCCCCCACGCCTATCAAAGGACACGCGGGTTTATTCTCAGGAAGCCCCTGGGGCGTTCTCTCTCAACCCTTTCCCCCGCAGCCACCGCCCCCCACCAGCTTTCCGGGATTTCTGCAATTCCCCCGCCCCCTGCGGGAAGCGAGCCTCGGAAGGGCCGCCCACCCTCGCCAGGTCGGAGTCACCGCTCCGCGCTGGGCCGGCCTGTGAAGGCTCCAGGCGCAGCTTGACGCCGCTCTGCGAGAGCCCCCGCCCCGCTCTGTGACCCCGGGAACTCTCCCAGCAGGGCCTCCTGACGGGCAGGTGGCAACTACAAAGTGCCACCTGTGGTCCAAGCTGGGACCGAGGCGAGGAACCCAGAGGAGCCTCGCCTGGACCGAGGAGCGGAGTAGGCCGGCGGCCCCCGGGGGTCCCCAGCCAAGTTATAGGAAGTGAAATCGGACGTGGGTTTGGGAAGGAAGAGGTTAAGGCAGGAACCACCCCCAGACTTTCCCTGGGTCTCCGGTTTCCTCTGCCCTTTCTCCAAAAACAATTCTATGGGGCTGCAAAGGCGTAGCGGGTCAGGCTGGCGGGGCGGCCGCTGTCCGCGGTGCTGATTCCCTGGTCCTCGCAGCGCCGCGGGCTCCAGCCCTGCGCCCGGCGTGCGCCCTGCTCTCCGCATGACGGCCATTTTATGGTCTCTCCGGCACCCGGAGGGATGGACAATGCAGATGGGGTTCCCTAGTTTTCTTTTTTTCTCTCGGGTGTGTGTGGGAGCAGAGGGTGGACCAAATGAGAGGGGCTCCGGGACGGAACGGAGCCCGCACGCGTACCAGCCGCCCTCGCCCCAGCCGCTGCACTTTAATGGCTACCTCGGCTTCCCCGAGCTGAGGCCAGCACGCTTGTCTGTGCTCATGCTCCTCTCCAGGTCACAATTTGCGCTGAAGTTTCTAGACCCGTCATTCGTGCCCATTACGAATTCTCTCACCCAGGAACTCCAAGAGAAACCTTCTAAGTGGAAATTTAATCGGACAGCGTTTTTACATCAAAGGTAGGATAGGAGGAAAAGATCCAAAAGGTGCTTTTAAGAATTCAAGAGCTCAAAACAAAACAAAACAAAAACAAGCAAACAAAAACATCTAAAACAACAAACATCTATACGCCCCACCCTCACCATCAGGTGTATCTGCATTGTTTTCTTGGCATGACTGCACAAAGCAATGATCAGGAACCTTCTCCTGTGTGTGTAGTGTCCTCTCATAAAAAGGACATATCAGGACCAATTTGAATAGCAAAAAAAAAAAAAAGCATTCCACTTGGGCTTGATTGAGCACCATGATTTACAGCTAACAAGTCTGGCAAGTACTGCCAAAGCCATCTATTTAAAAAAAAAAAACAGACAAAAGGTTAGTTGCAAAAAGACCACCCAATGCATTTTCATTTCCTCACTGAAAAAAACTTGAAAAATAGAATAAAGTGGTATTGTTTCTTTGAAACACACGGAAAATGCCATAATCTGTCTCCATCAAATTACTCGTGAAAATGCTGGCCCAAATGTATGTAGATATTTAACTATGGTTTTGTTTTGGTTTTGCCTGTTTTCATTGTCTTTACAGCTTTTAACTTACTGTAAAGGTACCTAACTTAATTCCTACTAATTGTAGCGGTTTCATTTTATACACATAAGATGGTTTTGAGGTTTTGTTTTTTTAGGTGGAAGAAGGATGAGATTTGTTCAAATGTATTTATTCTGCTCAGTGATTCTGGTCTACTCTTAGCAAACCACGATAACTCATTACTCCTTCCTTCATGGTGGGATTATTTTACTGCTAAATGGGATGTGAGCCATCTAGCGTATTCATTAGAAGTGTGAATACTTATTTTACAAACCACTCTATTTAGGGAGTTGTGTTTTGATCTTAGCATTTCTAGTTATTGCTCTCTCTCTCTTTTAAAAGTTTAATCTATGGGCAGAATTAAAACAAATTCAGTGGGTATTCATGGTCTCATGAAAATACTGTTCAGATGAAAAGTCAGCATACAGTCATATGATTAACATTTTAAAAACACTTATGTTTAATTATAAATTAGTTCATGAAAATTGATCAATTCTAAAACTCTAGAAGTGTTTTTTTAATAATTGGGTTTTAATTCAATATTAATTTTATGGACAACCCAGAACGTTTTCATGGGTAGAACACATTCTAGCTTTCCCCAAAACATGTTTCTAACTCAATAAAAAATATTCTTCCCACACTAGGCCATGTGACCCAAATGACCAGTCAGAAGAATATTTCCTTCTCAAAACTTCGCTCATTTTAATTAATTAGATAATCTTTCATTAAATTTTTACCAGTAGCATTTTAAATCTGCCTTACCTTTTTAACAACTTGTAAGAGTGGTACTGGTAACTTGGGGAGTTTCAAAGATTTCAGTTGCTGTTGCCTCTATTTTGAAGAATGAAGTCATTTTTAAATTAAAATTCCAAGCAACGGATGATGTGCAAAGCATTTCATTTCATTCCTGCTACATTTAGGCAAAAGTTATAAGAAATTCACTGGGTTTACTTAACATCGGAGAATCTAGCAGCAGTAGCATGTTACCAGTCTCTCTTGAATGTTTTAAATAGCTAAACTTTAAGAAGAGATACTTAATTTTACTTAAAGCTCAATATGAAAGCAACGTGAAATTAGTTCTAAGTATCAGTCTTGCCTTGTTTATGTACTGAATTGCTAGAATATGGAAATATTTTCAGGATTTATAATAGCCATGTTTTCTAAGGATTAGATTTATTCAACTAAATTGTGTTTCTATATAATCAAGTAGAAAAAACTCCCTGTTTCATTATTCAAAGGACCTTAATGAGATTATCATCTCATTTCTATTAAATATTCAGCTACACCCACTGCTATTACCATCTTCATATTTTAATAATAGATAGTGCTGTACTGACTCATATCTATTTGGCTCTTATTTGGACACCACTGATATTTGATATTCTTTGAGCACTTCAGTCCAGTAGCAAACAAGTAGACCCTAGTTACAAACTATGTGTTACTAATGTTTGTGCATTAATGTGAGCTCTTTCAGGCCTGTGTAAATTGTCTCCCTGTATTTTCTGACACAATTTGCCCTATACCTCCCTGCTGATCAAATAAGATACACTCTTCACGTAGAGCAGAAAACCAAGGTATGGCAGCTAAAACTGTAAGTTGCATTTACAAGCCTCAAAGAATACACCCAGAAATTGACTGAAAGATTAGAATATGCGGAGATTCTGAAGCAGTCCTCCCTTCAAGGACCACAATTATGTATGTATAATCTTTTTTGGATTCAATGAGCCTAAGATTCCCTCTGAATGAAATGTCAGCATAAGTCATAAGATGGAAAATCAGTTCTTCTGAATGGAATGCTTTTCATGAATTTCTTTTTATTTTAGGCAAGAAATTCTTCAGCATGTCGATGTAATAAAAAATTTTTCTTTGACCAAGAATAGTGTTCGGATTGGACAACTGATGCACTATGATTATTCCAGCCATAAATATGTTTTCTCTATTAGCAATAACTTCCGGTCACTTCTTCCAGATGTGTCACCCATTATGAACAAGCATTATAATATTTGTGCTGTGGTTGGAAATAGTGGGATCCTGACAGGGAGCCAGTGTGGACAAGAAATAGATAAATCAGATTTTGTTTTCCGTTGCAATTTCGCCCCTACGGAGGCTTTCCAAAGAGATGTTGGAAGAAAAACCAATCTTACCACCTTCAACCCCAGCATCCTGGAAAAATATTACAACAATCTCTTGACTATTCAGGACCGTAACAACTTTTTCCTCAGTTTAAAAAAGCTTGACGGGGCCATTCTTTGGATCCCTGCATTTTTCTTCCACACTTCAGCAACTGTGACCAGGACATTAGTTGACTTTTTTGTTGAACACAGAGGTCAGTTAAAAGTCCAACTGGCTTGGCCGGGAAATATAATGCAACATGTCAACAGGTGTGTATATTTTATTACATTTTACTCATACTCCACCAGATGGCAAATCAATGTTGTAATCTCTTGGGGGTGGGAGCCATCCAATTCATTAGTTGTTGTGGTGAGTTTAGTAGTAATTAGAAGAAACTCATATGTTTTGTAATGAGCGAATGAATGAATCATTCTAGCTAAGAAGTTCCATCTACCCACAGCTGGTAACCAAGTGTCAGATGGAAGGATTGGGGCTTCATCAGTCTCCCGTCTCTATTCTCTGTCCTCTCCCTTGGTAGTAAGGCTATGGAGCAGTCATGGAAATCACCACAAATCAAGAATTTTCTTTAAATAGATAGCTATATTCCAAGAATGCCAATGGCTAAATTAGAGACAAATCAAGTGGTTTTTCTTTTTAGAAACGATGCAGTTGACTTAAATTTATGTTTTGTAGATGTCCAAGGTTAGCAAAACACCTAAATCATAAATTGCACAATCTGCCTTTATAATCTGATATTTGAGTGCAAAAACATGAAGAAAGTATTTTATGAGCATGTTGTTATCTCTTGGGATTTGATAGACAGATTAGCCAGAGATGCAATATTTTCTTCTAGTCTGGTGATTTTCAACTCTGGTTGTATATTAGAATCACTTGAGAGCTTTAAAAATACTATTGTCTAGGCTCTGCCTCAAGAGATCCTAATGTAAATTATCTGGTGGGCAGGGAGGTGGAGGCCAGGTACTTGGTATTTTTTAACAACTCTCCTGATGATTCCAATATGCAGTCAGAATTGAGAACCACTAGTCCAGGGCATTTTATAAAACAAGATTAATTGTAGATTTTTTTTCTTTTAAATCATCTGGAGAAAATTATCTCAACTTCAGTTTCCCCTATGTAAGTAGCCTCAGTGTCCTAACATAGCCCTAAATATTATTATAAGTTGGGGTGGGTTCTGGAGACCTGGTAAACAGGGAATTCTGAAGATCTTTATTCCACAATAGATTTTTCCCATCCCGTAGCCTCTTAAGATGTAAGATCTGTTTAGTTGACCTCTCATAGGAGGAGGAATTACAGCCTAATAAACTGGTTTGTATCTCAATGGTAGAGGGTAGAGTGATGCCATAATTTACAGTCCAAACTGGAACATTTTCTTTGAGAGAAAGAGGGTGCTATTAATAATTACAACACAGATAACTGACAAACTGGGACTGTCCCAGTTCCCCAGGATATATGGTCACCTTTTTAAGTGGTGATGTAGCCCAGCTCCTAAGTTTAAAGATGAATCAACTGAGGTACAAGGAGCAGAAGTTATTTACCCAAAGTCACTGCCCTAAATGAGCAAGACTAGAGTTAGAAGTCAGGTCTCCTGCCAACCTGTCCCATGGTCTTTTGATCTCCTTATTTTGCTCCCCTTTTGTTCAATTTAAGTTTGTCTATACCGAAAGGGTTGTCAGAGTCATTCTAGTTCCTTAGACAGGAATAGTAAAACCAAGACTGAACTTTTAAATTTCATTTGGAAGGGGAAAGGTTCACCTTTGAAATCTTCAAGTAGTGAAGAAGAAACTGCATGTGCTTAGAAACTTCCAGAAACTATCCTGTGTGGCTGCCTGCCACAAAAGTGGAGTTAATCATAATGTTTCTTAGCCACTCGGGCCTCAAAAAAATACATGGGTTCAATGAAAACGGGAAGGAAATACAGTCCACAGAAACCTGACTAATGCACAGTTTCATTCTGCCTGCATCTCCAATGATAAATACACACACCACATAGAAGCCTCAAATATTTGGCGGTGTCAGCAGGAAGGCTTCAGAGTATTAATATTATTTAAATATGGAAGGACTAATAACTATAATTTATTATTTACACTTAATGTATCTTACACACTTTCTGAATTTAAAAAATTTAGCATGCCAGATTGTGGCATGCTGAAGATGGGCTTGGGAACCCCTAGTTAGAAGAGAAAGAAGCAAGGAATACAATTATTTGCAAGAGAGAAGAAAAATAAGGCTCCACAATCTTTCTAAACCCCGAATGAAGGGTTTATTTCTAGGTTTGAGAAAGGAAGAGACGGAGGAGTTTCCCTTAGATTAAATGACCTCCTTCACCCTATCCAAGAACACTTTATGTAAGAAAAGCACAGTCATTCTTTTTGGTGGCCTTCTGTTGTGTCACCGCTGGGTCAGAGCCACACCACTCTTTAGAAAAACCCAGGGGCAGCTTCAAAGGCCAGCTTCAAAGGTGTGCAAACAGTGTGATCCCAGGAAATCCCATGCTCAGAAGGGCCCAACACTTGGTTTAATACTTTGCTCTTGCACTCGAAATTTTCAATACTTTTTGAACCAAGACTCCACATTTTTATTTCTTACTGGATCTCACAAATTATGTAACCAGTTGTGCCCAGAAGTTGTTTTTGGTTGCCTAAAATATAATTTCAAAACAAGCACTATTTAAGTTACAGTAACAAATCCACTACCCAGCCCAGTCAGATAGACCTTGCTGATTGAAACTTTCAACGCTGACCTCTGAATCCAAATGTACTTATTGTTCCACAGGTACTGGAAAAACAAACATTTGTCACCTAAACGGCTGAGCACAGGTATTCTTATGTACACCCTTGCATCAGCAATATGTGAAGAGATCCACTTGTATGGATTTTGGCCGTTTGGATTTGACCCCAACACAAGGGAAGATCTTCCATACCATTACTATGACAAAAAAGGAACCAAATTTACCACCAAGTGGCAGGAGTCCCACCAGCTGCCTGCTGAGTTTCAGCTGCTGTACCGAATGCATGGGGAAGGGCTCACCAAGCTGACTCTGTCACACTGTGCCTAAGAACTCCAAACGGAAAGCGCCAAATGGCTGTTTAAAAAGTGCCCCAAATCAAATTGAATAGCCTTCAGAATAGAACCCTAGAGAATGTCTTATAAGGATTGTCTGCCATTTAAAAGGAAAGATGTCTTTTCTCTTTTGCACTGCTCTTTTAAGAGTTTTAGCAGATTTAGCAGGACAGATGCATTGAAGCCACATGGTTTAGACTTGATTGATAAAGGGAATGTTGCATTTGGGACTATGCTGCTAACGAAATGGTTTGAAGTATTTTCATGTTTGGATTTTAATAATAAACTGCCTCTCATTTTTATGAGGACTAGAGCTATAGTTTCTGCAGCTCTGCTCAGATAGTCCTCATAATCAGAGGCCTCTGGCCAACTGGGGCAGGACCTGTTTTGCTGGTGGGATCAGACTCTGAAAAATGGAAACGTAAAAAACTGGTTTGCATATCTCATCTTCTATCTATCTCCCTATCTCCATCTCTATCACCATCTCACTCCTTCCCTCTGCAACTACTCCCTGCCCTACCACCGTGGAGTTTAATAATTTGCTAGGAATCCTATTGAATTCGCTTTGCTTGTATATGTTGCATTTGTACTTGATGTGTTTAAGGTTCTGGGTAACTTTGATGCTTCATGACAAAATAGGCAAATCACGATGGACTCCCTTGTGATTCCTTTTTTAAAGAAATGCCTCTGATGCAGTCCTCACCAGTCCATTCAGTCATTCTACAGCAAGATGGTCCCTCTGTGGTGAGTGGGATATAAGGCAGTGCATCTTTCATGATCACAAAGAAAGCCTATGTTGTGGATAGCATTGCGTCTCTTGATGTAGGCATTGTTATGGCAAATAATAGCACTGTGGCCACATCTGTAAGGCCATTCCAGCCTAAATTTAGTGTCTCCCATAATCCCAACCCATGCACTAGGCTGGGTGTTCTCTCAGAATATAGAGGCAATGAATCAGCTTAAGACCCTGGGACACACAAAGGAAAAGGAAGAAGAATATTTAGAAGTTGTTATGGAATCCTGTGTACCCTAAAGTGTGGTAACCATGTTACCCATTCCAGCTGGGTTAAAGTGGAGGAGGATCTTGGCCAGGCCAGGTGCCCAGGTGACTAGTGCTGAGGTGCGATCGTTTTCCGTATCATTGTGTGCACCACCACCAATCCAGAACCATTTGCTCTCTTTGAGAACATTGTAGCACTGGATATTCCCTCTTTCCACTGAAGTCAGATCTATACAACTACAAATTAAGCATTTCAAAAGAAAAAGCCATTGTGCAGTGGCAAGAGTTGGAATCCAAGATTATGTAGACCTGCGATGAAGGAAGTAGCTGGCCATTCTCATTTTCTTTATTTCAGCCATATGAGTAGAAATCAAATCATTCCCATCCCTGGCTTTTTACTGAGCAGCACTTTGTTCTTCCAATTCAGCCCAACGTCTGGCCAAGTTGATGTTAAATTTTAATAAGAGTTTCTTTCTTCTTTCCAAATGCCAGTCAAGCATATTTGTTATGCATTTGAGTGGGGTAGCTCATTCTTTTCCTGAAATCTCATCTAGATTGCTTGCAATGCGACAAATAACTGTTTAAAAAATGTGCTGTAGTTCAGTGATGAGCTCATTGCCCCTCTTTAGGAAGGTAAGATCATGCCTAAAATTAAACCGAATATGGTAAGGAAAGACACTATCGTTATGCTCACGTTCTGCCTGGTCCTAAACCTGCCTTATTATTATTTTCAGAAAGCAATCTAATTAGAGCAACTTGCATAGATCTAGATATTAACTAATGAAAGAAACACCAAGTTCAAATGTGTTACCAATTATGACACACATTACAATATAATTATAAGGGGAGACATTAAAAACATTTTGTAATTCAGTGGTATAATTTGATGGGTATCACAACCACACCGTGTTTGTTCCCTGTCCCTTTGAAGAGGACTGTACTACCATCCTCACACTGTGCTCTGTTGGGATCACTGAGAGATTGACAACTGACAGAAGTGTTTAGTTGGCTGTTCCTGAGCACTTAGTTCATTTGGTTATAGCTAAGTGATATTAATGCCAATATTACTTGGGCCAGATTCTGACTCTGGAGTTTTAATCCCAATGTGCCCATTCATTTTCACTAAATATAAATGCATAGACACTTTAAACCAAGAAGATTAAAAGAGGAAAAGACCAGAATCTCTAAAAAACAGTTTACTGTTCTGTAGTGGACAATTTAAATTTTATCTCATCATAATGCCAAGGATTTTTGTTTGTTTTTTAAGTTCAGGGAGATTTTTTAAATCTCCTTGCAGTCTTGGCTCCATCTTAACCTTAGAGTGGGAGGACTTTCCCATCCCCCACCACCGTGTTATCTATCACTTTAATGAAAACTCAAAATAGTGAGGAAATGGACTTTTCTTCAGAACTTGAGGGGTTTAGAGATCAGGCTCATCTCTGCTTATAAGGAGGACTTCCTGGAGATGATCCCAATAGATCACCCTTCACTTTTGAAGAATAGCAGCTTCTAGCTGACCATGCAAAATCTCTGTTTGTTTTTAAAGACTGTTTCAAAGATTAAATCTATACAACCACTTTTATGACCAAAAAAGTTGTTGTGTCCCAAGTGTCCTAATTAGAAAGGCAGCTGGCTCTCCTGCAGCTCCCAGGCTTGTGTAGTCAAGTGCAGTGAACTGGGCAGTAATCAGCTCAGGACCATTGGCTCTTTCCTCCTCTTTCAGCTACAGACACATGCCCTGGCTTTTGCATTGACCTTGCTTTGTTAGTTCTAGACTAATTTATCCTTTTGTCAGACACTTTCCCTTTTTTAGGATACTCACAACAGAGTCCACTTTCAGCTATTGGAATACATTTTACCATAAAGCCCCCAAGGCTTTCTACCCATAACACCAACACAAAAAACCAATTAAGTTGCAGAGGGGGGAAATAATCACAAACTTTTGGCAACCTGCTTAATGCTAGACGCTCTGTTTTCACTGGTTATTCTGAGTGTCATATGCAGATGCAGATCCAAGGGAGACAGGGCTAAATGGTGGTGTCAAGAATTCCTCCCACACCCCAAAAATTCTTTCCAATATTTGATTATTAAAATATCTATCATTTCTCCACCTTGTGTCTGTGTCTTAAGTGTCTGTGAATATTGTAAAAGTGCTGTATGTTTAGTAGTGTTGTGTGCCTGGCAGTGCTGACTATGACTACTGTGCCATCTGTCTGTGACCTTGATGTCAGGTACCTGGCCATGGGGCTACCAGCAAGGATGTGCAAAGGAAGAACCGCTGCCCCTGCCCTCAGCTTCCTTATGCCCGAGCCACTACTTATCCGTGAATGTGAGTGCCAAGAGAAACCTAATTTGGTGGGGAAGCCAAGGAATGGGAGAACGTTTTTTCTGATTTGAGTCAAGGCACTAATTATTAGACACTCTCAGACAACAAAGCGGTATTGACCTGAGATCAAAGGAAGCAGGGACAATATTGTAGAATGCTAGGACACTGGAAATGAAGAGGCCTTCAGCTTCGCCAGTCTTGATTCTTGACTTTACAAATGAGAAAATGGAGAAACAGGGAGGCTAGGTGATTTGCCCCAGATGACACTGTCAATTAGTGGAGAAATTATGATTCCTCCTCTAGTACTTCTTGGTCTTACCAGCATCAAATGAAGCTGGGCTCACAGGGAAAGTGGTTTTTGGTCTGGGATCTGCAGAGCACATAAAATAAGTTAGAAAGTCTATAAAAGAGGAAAAAAGGTTCTCCTCTCCCTCCCAAAAATGACTTCCCAACACAGAACAATAAAGGAGATGCTTGTGTGGGTATGCAACTGTCCACCAATTATCACCTACCTTCTCCCTGAGATGAAACAAAACACGCTTGGTAAATCATGATTTGATAAATAACAATTAAGTTACTGGTGGTTCATGCTTGACAGCTGCAATCTTACCCAATAAGCTATTCATCTTAGTAAAACCTTGTTTTAGTAATATACATGCATAATTTAGAAGTTGAAGGCTGAAAATTGTTGTGTTCTTCTCCATATATATACAACTTTCATCGGGGTCCCTTGAGTTAAGAAATGCCTTCTATTTTATAGGTAATCTCAACAGCAGACTTTGAAATATTGTGTTTGGTTCAATATGCTAAGAAGATATACAAATAATAATAACTTCGTGAGTCTTCATGTGCAAAATGACAAACTGAGCAATTTTCTGTATAATTCTAGATTCTTAAAACCTTTTTTCCCATAATTGTTTGAATGCACTAGGCACAAGTTTCTGTTTAAGCCTCTGCTTCTCCCTGAATGTGTAGAACTGTCACTTTGCTTACAAAGGGGCTGTGTGTTTGTGGCTGGCAGCCCAGATAGAGCACTCTGGGTGCTGGGGATTGAGGGCACCTTGGCCAGCTGATTGACCTGTCTGGACTCTGTGGCCCAATTAATCGAGGCCACAGATCAGTTGGTACTAAGCATCAAAATGATTCATTATGCCTCTCTCACACTCCGATTGCTTTGCCACATAGATAACAGCATTTGAAATGGGAAACACTTTAGAATGTCATTATTGTATTATATATTGTCATCTTATGCAGTATTTCTGAAAATTTATTTTTATTGTGATGACTGATTGAAGACATATGTGTATGAATAGATGTTCCTCAGTGAAGCCTATTCTCTTGTTGTTGATGACAGTGGCATCAGAGTGAAGAGTTGTTGCAGAGTAACTGACTTCAGTTTAAGGTTACCCTGGGGTTCTGGGGTTAGGACCCGGATTATGCAGCTGATCTCCCAGCAAACACAGCTGTATGAAATAAGCAACTCTTCAAAATACAATTCTTGCCACTCATTCTGGACCTTTGATTCATAATGTCCTGGGATAAGTCCAACTTACAAAGATTCCCAGGTGATTCGTGTGACCACCATTTGGAAACCAGTAATATATACATCCGGAGTCATATATACCATTTTGAACAAAGTAGCTAAATGCTTATCTCTCCTTGTGCGATTAGTTTCACATGTTCGTTGAGGTTATCATGTTAAATGGCAATATAGACACAGTCTTAGTGATTCAACAATTCAGCTGTTTCAGCCGAATTGACCAGTTGCTAATTTATAAGCAAATTGTAACTGATCAATTTAGTCAGAATGGATGCAAGCCCAAAGACAAGGTGGAGAGCAAGCTTTAATATACACTTTGTCTCAAGGCCAGCTCTTCATATTTCCCTCTTTATATTTCAAACTAAGAGGCAGATCTCAGGTCACTCATCTTTAGAATTGGTGAGAATGAGAAACAGGGAACTGAAGTGATTCATTCAGATTCAATTTGGAAGTCATTCCCAGAGCCTAAAATATTTATCTAAGGGGTCTGATTTATCAACCTCAGGTAGTCTCCAAAACACAAAGGTATTCAGGCTAAAATAAAACCAATCAAAAAAGGAAATTCAGGAGGCTCCAGTTCTAAGACTAACCCAGTATAACAAGGGTGATCAGTTATTACTTGTGGCCTTGTACCACCTCTGTTGGATAATGTGCCACCGTCCTAATGAAGCTTTGGCCAGACTTCTTTCTATAGCTGTGCACATAGAAAGGCTTTAGACAACAGTGATACCAAAGGGTTCCTTTGATTTTCCTTCTGTGTGATTCTCAGACAGTTTTAGCTCTTTGGTGTGCTGCCAAATGTTTAACAACTGGCTCTGGAAAACAGTGGAACCCAGATTTTTAGCACCTACCAATTTCTATGGTGTAAATACTCTCATCTCAGCCAATTTCAGGCTACTAACTTAATGTCAACCAGCTGAAAACACAACAATATGTTTTCAAGAGCCAGTATAAGTTGGCTCCAATACAGCATGAGCCAGCTCCAGCATAGCACTGCCTGAACAATTTTTAAGTCAGTGAGTACCAAATAGGAGAGGCTAGCAGAGGCTTTGGAGGGACTTTTAAATGTCCCCTCCACCAAGGGAAGCATTTCCATGTTGGTTAGTTTTACTGATTTTTAGTAAAAGAGCATATTATTGGATCCCAAGGTGTTCAAATATTCCACGTGACTCTTAGGAACCTCTCAACAGACTCCCCAGTATCTTGGGAGATTACCAACTGTGGCTTTTCTAATTTCTAAGGGTGACCCTCCAGGAAAACATTCTTTAATTTAACTACCAGTTAAAACCATGTTTGGCTGATCTTTTTTAAAAAATCTATACCTATAGTTCATCACTTGTTTCCCCAACTTTGTCATTTTCCCTATCCACTTGCCCCTCATCCTTCTGACACAATAAAAAAAATACAGGTACCCACAAAACAGTGCCTGCAAAGGAGCAGGGGAAGAACAAGGCACCCAGTAAGCTCACTTGGCTCTACATATCTGGAAAGGCACTGAGGTTCCAAGGTCTCTACCCCACCAGGGGACACCCAGTAAACATCACGCTGAGAGTTTAAGTTGCACTCAACTGGAGTTGATTTGCCCTTAGAAAAGTTTCCAACGGTGAAGAAATACCACTTGGTAGGAATATCTCTGGGCAACTTCATTGCTGACTGGGCAAACTTTGTAGGATAAGGTGTCATGTGATGTAAGGCTGGACCATGAAAAACAAAAATCTACTAATACACATTTGGCCCCTGCAGTCCCCTGGCATTGAGCAATAGAGCAACTGTCCTTTCTCACCACTAGTTGTGAGTGTACTTCCAACTGAGTGTTTAGAAATCAGGTAATCTGGTAATCCACAGAACAAGCTTTGTTTGCAAATTGCAAATTTTTCTGGTAGAAGTCATTCTTAGGTGGGCTTCATTAAATCTTTGGAGAGGCAATGCTGGGAAAAAATATGCCTAATTCCTAGGACACAGTGAGTGGCCGTAAGTTGTTATCTGCATGTACTAAATCAAAATTAGATCATGAAGGACCAAATCTACTTCCGTTGCTATAATAAAATACCCTACAGGTTCTGTAAGGCATTTCTAAACTGTAAATGCTTGAAACGCAAGTTGGACATTTTCTATACTATGTGTAAAATGCCAGGTTATACCTCTATTTTCTTTCTTCCTAATGGTCATTGAAATGAGCTTGTTTCTCTACATTGAGCAAGCTACATTTTATTTTAAATGAGTCAGGTGCATGTTCAGATGTCTGTATTCCCAATACATTGCATGCAGCCTGAGCACAAGTATGCCTTCACCCTCTGGCTCTTTTCCTGACACCAAACAGAGAAGTCCACAGCTACAAGCACAAGGGGCTTGACAGGTAGGCCTTGTTTTATTATGAACAAATTCACCAGAAAACCATTCTTGAGGAACCAGCCACTCCCATAGCATTTTTAGTCTTAGGGAAGAAAATTGGCAGGGAAGAAAAATTGGCAGACAATGGGAAAGAGGTTTGGTCAACCTGCATAAGTGGAATAAAGTCATTGAAGTACTTGCAAAAAGAAGAGGGAGGTTTCCCTCTGAAGGAATCTAGACCATTTTTTAATATGGAGAATAACTGTACCCCATGTTAGAAGTGCTCTTTAGCCATATTTCAAGATCCAGATCTGAACCCATACTGTGCAGAAAAGCACAAGAGCGCTTACAGCCAAGAGCCCTGGGAGGAGTTGAGTAACAGGCTGAGATCCGGTCACCAAGCATCATTAGTTAGCACTGAAATTCTCCCAGGACACAAAACAAATGTATGGAAACATCGCAATACACTATCATTTACTCACATGGGACAACCACCTAAGTCCATAGCAAAACTTTACAGATCTAGATGTTATCTCAAGTCAGGATTCCAGATCAACATCCTCCATGTGGAGATGAGACAACTGAGGTTCAGAAAGTTGGAGTGACTTATTTGCCCAGCTAGCTAACTGGAATTAGAGTCTGGGTCTCCCAACCACTGATTCTGCTACACCACACTGTGCTGCTTCCATTAGTTAGATGGACATTGACAATTAATTGTGAAAGCATTAATTAGAAGTCAAGACAAAAGAATGTTTGTGATATCTTCTCTCGCTTAACATACTTTGATTTCACCATTGCATTTCAGCATTTTAAAGAATAGTGTATCAGTATAGAAGGAGGAGCAAAGCTCTTTAAGAGTAATGATGAAACCAAAAGGTCAAAAAGTAGAAGAATAGCGAATGTAAGTTATTAAATAAATGAGCAAGAAGTATGTGTCAGGGAAAATAAATGCTTCTTATATTGTTAATACCGTGATTCCCTGCCCGCTCACCCCGTCACTCAACACTTGATGCATTTGTTTTGGAAAGTGCCATTTTATGCTGAGATACTGGTATTGAAAACTTCCCTCTTTCCCAACTCTGTCAGAAGTTCTCTTGCTCTTTGGAAGAAGCCGAGGGCCTTAACAAATCAGACTGACCTCCCTTGTGACAGGCAGCCTCGCCTGCCCTTGGAAACAAGCTGCCAGAATGTGAGGGCCACAGAGACCCAAGAGAAGCCAGCACTGCTAGACTGAGGAACTTGTAAATATCTTCTGCTTTCTTGGTGAACAAGGACAGAGGCAATTGCGTGTATATTGTGACTGTAGTTTGTGAAGAAAATGCAACCATTTGCTTCGACAGCTCCTCAAATGTACTTGTTAAGTGTGAATGTGCCTGCCTCATTGCCTTGTGTTCCAAACACAGTACTGAATGCGTTGTTTTTAAATAAACCATTTCGTTTTGCTTTGGGAAACACTGCTGGTTGTCTGTCACATTCGGGAGAGCCCCCACACACACATACACACACATACATGTGCTAACACATACTCACATTTCATCCAGTGAAGAGATTGAATGCTTCCTCCTGTTTTATATTCTCAGTGTTTTGAGGTCGTTGGAAATTTGTAGGACCCCAGAAAGGGTGAGCTTGGCTGTCTACAGCCATGAACAAGCAGGAAATACTCAAAGTCCCTACACATAACTTTTCCATTGGTCCTTTAAATGCTAATCATGTGACAGGCCTTAACATTATTAATAATAATACATTACTCTTGAAAGTTACTATTACATACATCATTTTATTTAATGAATAATCAGGTGAGGGAGAGATGCTGAGGGAGTTGTCCCTGCTGTGCAGTTAAGTGACAAGTCAAAATGAGAACTCAGCCTGACTCCCTGTCCAGTTCTCCTTCCTCTGTACCTTTCACCCCATCCCAGGCTCTCTCTAGATCACCTCCTCATAGAACCTTCCCCAACTGCTACAGTCAGCCTCTATCCCCTTTCCCTGTGCTGGTTTTCTTCATATCATTTTTTAATGGTACTATTAACTTGTTTACTCATTGTTGATCTGTGTCATCCACTATATTATAAGCTCTACCTTCAACAAAGCAGGAAACGTTGCCTGTCTATTCCCACTACACCCCCGATGCCTAGAACAGTGCTATGAGCTAAGTAGACTCTCAATTGATATTTATAGGATGAATAGATGGATGAATGAATGGGCAGATGGGGGAAAGGAGAGATGGACAGATGGATAAATGGATGAACAGGTGCACCATGGAGTCTGTGTAACACTTCAACTGTTTCTCATCATCCTTCCCATCTTTGTACCCACACCACAGACACCAAAAGTCTTAGCTTTTCTCTAACTGTGCTGCCTCAGACAGCATTGTGAACAAAACTCAGTAAGCATTTATGGACTCAAGGAATGAACGAATAGTCCTAGGAATTATTTTTCTCAATATCTGTGCTCCAGTGTCAAAAATGTCTCAGCATATCAATGCACAAAAACACATCCTGTTCTTGTTCCTGGTTGATTTCAATTTCCAGCAAAAGGAGAAACTCAAGTTGGGTAAAAAAATACAGCATGATTGAAAGCATGCCACCTTCAGTAGACACCTGAGAGGGCCTGTGGGTCTTTAATTCAAACCTAAAATCCTTACTGTTCGCTGCACATAACACTGGGCAAGATATGAACAGGATACGAAATTAGCAAAATCACAATGCTTATCCGAAGGAACTTAAAAAATCTTCTTGGGGAAATGGTGCAACATACTACAGGTGTATGTCTTATAAGGAGAAAGAGAGAGACAGAAAGAAAAAGATGACCCCCTGACCCCATTAAATTTGAGTGAAGACAACAAAAATTTTAGTGGTCAAATGTAATGCTCAGGGCTTATATTTTCTGAAAACTATTTGCCCAGCTGATGATCCCTGGCAAATACACACACACACACACACACACACACACACACACACACACACACACACGCAAATGGTAAGTTCTGAAACAAAACAAAACACTTCACAAACTTCAGCAAAACACGAAATTGACACCAAGTTTATTGCAGGCTCTCTGCCTGAGGCTGATTAGTACCAATTAAAATTTTAAAGTAGAAATTTTTTTTCTAAGAAAATACATTACCATAGCTTAAGACAAGGAAGAATTTTTTTAAAAGAGATAGAAAGAGAGAGAATCCCTCCTCATAGAAGATCCAACCTAGCCCAAGGCTCCCAGGCCAGTAAAGATGCTGGCCTTCTGATTCCATCTAAGCAAGAGTGTGAGTTCGCCCTCGGACTAGGTTCCCACACAGGTTGAGGGTCCAGGGGTGGCTGGTATCAGCCTCAGCTCCAGAATCATTCCCCGTTTTGAGTGTGCAATTCTTGGTAAGTGAGGTTGGCTCAAGGAATATGCTGCTCTGAACATTAACTCATACTGCTCAGAATGGCAGAGCTGATCAGAAACTTAGAGATTCAGTCAATTCAATGCTCTCATTTCCAGATGAAGAAACTGAGGCTTGGGAAGAGAAAGTGACTTATTCAGATACGCTCTCCTAGTGAGCAATAGTTTAAGTACCTTATCAATTTTTAAAGAAAGAAAAAGAAAGTTCTTTTTTATATCAACTACAAATTCTCAACTCTAAATAAAAGTATTTAAAATGGCAGTCTGCTCATTTCACTTAAATTAACTTATTTTTATTATTACTAAACTATTCATCAAAAAAGTTGGAAAATGAGATAAGCAAAAGAATATTTTTAAAAGACCTAAACCTTTCATCTGTTTTTTCTGAGTGTGTATTTGTTCTGTACAATACATACTATTGTGTTTTCTAGTTTTTTCTCACTTAAAATTATATCAACAGCATCGTTCCATGTCATTAAATATTCTATGATAAACTCAGAACATGAAAGCACTATAACTTATTTAACCTCTTATTGTTTTAAATGTAGGTTCTTTGCAACTTTACATTGCTGTAAACAGTGCTCTGATGAACATCTTTGGAATTAAATGTTTGATTATTTCCTTAGATAAATCCCTTGAAGTGGATTTTCAAGAGGTATGAACAATTTTTGTAAGAGGACTCTTTTTCAGGAATATTTGAGAAAAAACTCAATGACCAAATTTCTAAATCTTTATTTTCCTAGAAAACTTACCAACAAGTTAGGAGAAAAACATGCATCATCATTAAGGAAGACTTCCTCAACAGAAGGATTATGCATTATTGTGTACTAAATAAGGAAAATAAATAAGCTATTGTTGTGTGCTTCTTCAATTCAGTTACCACATCTCTTGTTTAGAATCTGGGAGAACTTCACACACTCAAGACAGAAAGCCTATGCAATTGCATTATCATTATTAATCAAATAAGAAGCACCCAGGACCATCTGGAAGAGATGGACCTTCAATACAATGATAGATAGCTCTTTTCCTTATTCTGAGAGTATGTTTATTGCTTACTCAATCCTACCAACCTAATAATGCTTCCAATTCACATTAAGCCCAAGAAGTCAAAATGAGGAGGTTGAACTAAACAATCTACCTGAGGCTACACAAATCCTATAGATCAGTTGTTTTTGTTGAACCTCTTTTAATCAATATCTCCATTTCTATAGGAGAGATGTGAATTTGCTTTAAGCAAATTCAAACTATGAACATACAGATTTTCAAAGCAGATATTATTAAAGGTAGCCAAAGCAGTCACCACAGGCTTCCCTATCTACCACTATCGCTCTCTTAAGTAAATCCGTATTTCTGCCCAACTAAAAAATTGTAAATATGGCCGGGCGCGGTGGCTCACACCTGTAATCCCAGAACTTTGGGAGGCCAATGCAGGCAGATCACGAGGTCAGGAGATCGAGACCATCCTGGCTAACACGGTGAAACCCAGTCTCTACTGAAAATATAAAAAAATTAGCCGGGCATGGTGGCAGGCACCTGCAGTCCCAGCTACTCGGGAGACCGAGGCAGGAGAATGGCGTGAACCCGGGAGGCGGAGCTTGCAGTGAGCCGAAATTGCGCCACTGCACTCCAGCCTGGGCGATAGAGCGAGACTCTGTCTCAGGGGAAAAAAAAAATCGTAAATATATTTATCTTCGTTGGCCTTATGGCTTCTGTTGTAACTCCTCAGCTCCACTGTTGCAGCACAAAAGCAGCCATAGATGATATATAAATGGATGAGCATGGCTGTGTTCCAATAAAACTTTATTTACAAAAACAGGCAGCCGCCAGATCTAGCCCATGGGACCACAGTTTGCCAACCCCTGCTTTAAGAAACAAGCTCCTTACTGTATATAAAATATTTCATTTGACCTTCATCGTATTAGTCTCCCAGGGTGGCCATAATTAATTACTGCAGGCTTGGGTCCTTATTTATTTATTTATTTATTTATTTATTTATTTTAAAACAGGGTCTTGCTGTGTGGCCTAGGCTGGAGTGCAGTGGTGTGATCACAGTTCACTGCAGCCTCAACTTCCCAGGCTCAAGTGATCCACCCACCTCAGCCTCCCGAGTAGCTGGGACCACAGGCTTGCACCACCAGGGCTGGCTAATTTGTTATATTTTGTAGAGACAGGGTCTCACCATGTTGCCCAGACTGGTCTCAAACTCCTGGGCTCAAGCAATCCTCCCACCTTGGCCTCCCAAAGTGTGGAATTATAGGCGTGAGCCACTGCGCCAGGCCTGACTTAGTGTCTTAGAACAATAGAAATTTATTCCCTTGAGGTTCTGGAGGCCAGAAGTTTGAAATCAGCATGTCAGCAAAATTGATTCCCTTTGGAAGCGCTGAGAAAGAATGCAATTCATGCTTTTCCCTTGCTTTTGGAAGCTGCCAAACCCTTGTCATTCCTTGGTTTTTAGAAGCATAACTCCAGTCTATGCCTCCATCTTCACAAGGGTTTTCTGTGTGTCTGTGTCTGCTCCCCTTCTCTTCTAAGAATTTAGTGCCCACGCAAATCCAAGATGATCTCATTTCAAGATTCTTACTTTAATTACATCTGCAGAGACCCTTCCCTCTGGAAAACATTCTGAATGTCCAGGTGGACATAATCTTTTTGGGGTCACAATTCAACTCACTACATCCATTTACAGCAGGACCCCTCCACCAAATAACTCAAGGATTCACAGAGTAGAGCTCAGGGAACACAATTCAGTGACACACAGACTCAGATGTACTCTAGATGTGACTGGTCCCCTTCAGAGGTAACAAATCTACCTTGCAAAAGTCCAACAGCATTATTGGGTGATGGAAGTTATGTCCTCAAATTATATTTTATAAAACTTTCCAATGTATTAGACAGTAAATATATGCGCTTCCAACAACAGATTCAAAAACAAAGCAAACACCACCTCCAAGATCAACAAATTCTAAAGATGTTCCTAATATATAAGAATTTATGTCCCACACCAAAGACATGCTCAGAGCCAAGGATATTGATCTCATATGAGTTTTCCAGCTGGGCTGCATGCACCACAATGAAAAAAAAAAAACATGGATAGAGAAAATATGAAAGTTGATCAACCTATGACATGAAGTGATAAGTTCAGAAAAATGTCTAAAATGTTTCAGTGGACACAGTTATTCAACACCTTAAAGATCAATTTAAAACTCATTCTCATCTTTGCAGCAGATATCACAGATATATAGATATAGATTTAAACAACTTTAGTCACAAACACTAATATGTCTGATTTAGCTTCCAGAAACCTTTGTGACCTAATCAGCAAACAAAACCTATTGGGAACTAAGGTGGAAATTTAGTCGGAAATATTTTTCTCAGAAATGGAACACATTGAAACTATCTTTAACAACGTGTAGAAAATAGAAACAGTAGCTGATTAAATGACTTAAAGGAGAGAAAAGTCAGAATTCAACAGGAAATCAGAAACTAAAGTGTCCACAAGACTTGTTTCCTCCTTTTGGAAGTACTATGTTCTTCAAAATGAAACAGGAAAAAGAAAATTTTCTGCCTTCAAGTATGTCAATACCAGAATGGCTGCTTGGATCCTTCATCCTTTGGAGACAAAAGTATATGTAATGTGAAGACTTCTAAGAGGACATGGCCTAACTGATCTTTCCTGCAGATAGCCTAGAGTATCCAGATTGGAGGCACACCACATCACATACCCCCAATCTGGGTGTCTAGACCAGGGAATTATCCTCTTGTGCCAGGGACCACTACACAGCTTATTTGTTCTCATTCTTTAATCCAGCCCTAGCAGAAAGTATTTCCATGTGATGGATCCAGGAAACACTAGGGGAGGGAGAAGCAATGATGGAAGAGGGTAAGTTCAGTGAATCTTTGGTACAAAAGGAGAAGGGTTGGGTTGATCTGGATGTTATCTAAAGAAGAGAATCATGAACTACAAACCAGGGACAAAAGATCATTCTCTTAGCTCTTTGTAATTCCCTGTGTTCCTTATTGATGAATACCTAGACTGTTTCCATGTTGCAGGTAGAGTTTCCTCTCTGACAGCCCCTTTAAGTAGCCTGTTATGGGCCGGGCACGGTGGCTTACGCCTGTAATCCCAGCACTTTGGGAGGCCAAGGCAGGCGGATCACGAGGTCAGGAGTTCGAGACAAGCCTTAGCCAACATGGTGAAACCCTGTCTCTACTAAAAACACAAAAATTAGCCAGGTGCAGTGGTGGGTGCCTGTAATCCCAGCTACTTGGGAGGCTGAGGCAGGAGAATTGCTTGAACCTGGGAGGTGGAGGTTGCAGTGAGTCGAGATCACGCCATTGCACTCCAGCCTGGGTGATAGAGCAAGACTGTCTCAAAAAAAAAAAACAAAAACAAAAACAAAAAAAACCGTGGTCTGTTATGGTCTGAATGTTGGTGCTCCCCACCCCAATGCATATGTTGAAATCTTAAGCCCCAAGGTGATAGTATTAGGAGATGGGGACTTTGGGAGGTGATTAGATCATGAAGGTAGAGACCTCATGGATGGGACGAGTGCCTTTATAAAAGGGACCCCAGAGAGTGTCTTGCCCCTTCCACCATGGGAAAGCACAGAGAGAAGGTGCCATCTGCATACCAAGAAGTGGGCCCTCACCAGACACCAACTCTGCCAGCGCCTTGATCTTGAACTTCCCAGCCTCCAAAACAGTGAGAAATAAATTTCTATTGTTTATAAGCCAACCAGTGTACTGTATTTGTTATGGCCACTCAAATGGACTAAGACATGGATGGTCCCAGGATGCTGCTTCAGGAAAATCCTCTTCTATTTATTTCTTTCTGCCTACACTAACCTTCCTCACACATAGACCCTAAAGTTCCCTCTCACTTAGCTCCCAGCTTGGTGCCCCCTTCTCTGCTGCCCCTGTATGGATGTAACTCCAACTCCAGATTTCGCCTTGTTTTGTAACCAAGATCACTCTTGAGATGCACAAGCCACAATCTCAGGCTTATTATGGTGCCCCCAAACCTAAGCCAGGCCCTTGGGAATGACTGACCAAGCCCACAGCACCCCAATAACCAAGCCTATTTAGGGAGGGCAATCAGACAATTATGAGAATAATCCCAGGAGCTGGGAACTAGAAATCTAGCCTCCTCTGCTGCCAGTTTGGGGACATAAAGAAGCCCAAGGGATAAAATAGGAAGTAGCATGGTGATGAAGAAAGAAAAATTAAAAGAGAAATTAACTGAGTCCCTGTAGGTAGGGAGAAAGTATCTGTAGAAAGAGAGGCAAGAAGCTGGAGTGGGCAGATTCCTGATAACGTCACAGACAAAAATGCATCTTCAAAAACACATTCATGATTTTGCATTTCTAGTGGTGTTTAAGTCAGCCACATGAATTTCTGCTGTTAAACCATTGAGATTTGGGGATTAATTTATTATCAAAGCATAACTTAGCTTATCCAGATTAATACAATACCTTAGACCTTAAGCTTTCAAAAACAAATATGACCGAAGGATGGTGTGCATATAGAAACTGCCCCAATTTAACCTATTGGTATCCAGCTACAGACCTGACCTCCCCTCCAGATAGGCTTGCATTCCCCTCTCCTATTCCCTCCTCCTGAGGTGGAATTATTCTCCCACCCTGCCCTAAAGTCCCCACCATGGATGGCATTCCTTGTATTTGTTGCTTCTTCGGACTTTAGCTCATCTTGCTTTAGATTTCTGCTGTGTACCTTGCAACCCAACTAATGTAAGTTCTTTGGGGGCCAGGACCACCTCCCCAACCTCTTCATGTCCTTTACTCTGATGCATTCCTAGCAGGTACACAGTGTTTGCTAACCGCACAATTGCTGAGATGTACCTGTTGCTCTTCTTACAATCATGTCTGTGAAGTCCCTGTAACAGCTCATCCTGTATCCTTGGCAGTATCAGTTCTATCAACAGAAAGTGTCTCATACAGTTTCAGAAACAGGAAGATGGTGTGTCTCAGTTTGTGGTCTTTGTACTAAACAGACTAAACAGCAAATTGTAGGATAATTTACTCCTCAGTGATTGGCCTGTCTCAGGCCCAGCCAGAAAGTTCTGTTGTGGTTGTTGTTGCTTTTCTTCAAAAGTAAATTGCTCTGAGAGGTCAGCACACAGTATGATGCTAATGGAATAGTAGAGATAGTTTTCATGAGTCTATATATCCAAAAAATCCCTTCACCTTCCAATGTTCAATCATGACACTTCCCTCTTATCCCTTTAATTAGCATGTTAATTAACAGTGGCTGGCTGGGTGTAGTGGCCCACACCTGTCATCTCAGCACTTTGGGAGGCTGAGGTGGGTGGATCACTGAGCCCTGGAGTTTGAGACCAGCCTGGGCAAAACGGCAAGACCCCAGCCTGGGCAATATGACAAGACCTCACCTCTACAAAAAAATACAAAAATTATCTGGGCATGGTGGCCCGTGCCTGTAGTCCCAGGAGGCCAAGGTGGAAGGATTCCTTGAGCCTGGGAGGTAAAGGCTGCAGTGAGCTATGATCACACCACTGCACTTCAGCATGGTTGACAGAGTGACACCCTGTCTCAAAAAACAAACAACAAAACAATGGCTATCTCTGCACGTTGAGATTTTTGTGCCTTTCTGTATTTTGTAAATTTTCTCCAGTGAACATTTATTTTTATGATCTGATTTTATGATTTATAAACATTTATTTTTTGCCTTCTCCCTCTACCCCCCATGCATCCTCTCCCCTGCAATAAAACCTGATGATTTCATTCAGAATACAGTTAAAGACATGCTAAAATTCCCTCAGGGGATATCAAGGCCTCGTCTATGGCTCAGTCCCATCTGTAAGTGACCATCCTGACTGGGGGAAGTACTGTGATGGGTGTCTTCATCCATCAACAAAAATGTTCAGCCAAGCAACAGAAGCTAAGCAAGAGAAGTCAATAGGCCCCTACACTTGTACAGCTACACACAGGAGTCTCAGTCTCCACAGAAAGTTGTCCCAAATCACCAACTTGGGCTGGATGCCAGTGGTGCCCCATTAACACTCCGTGGTGTTCCTGGTGGGAGAACCAGAGTGGGCACCAGCAGCTCCATGAACCAGGACTCAAACCGGGGAGCAGGAAGGAAATGTCTTGGTCAACACAACCCCAGCCTACTCCTTTCCACTACCTAGAAACAGGACGCCAAGAGATGATACTTTCCAGGTGAACAGGCACCAAAAGTGTGGGATTCTCAGATTGAGAACCAGAGAATATTTAGAATATTAACATTGGAATTTAGAATGGAATTCAGACATTTCAGAGGCTCAGAGAAGCAAAACGATGTCTCCTAAGTCACACAGCTTGCAAATGACAGAGGCAAGACTGGACTGTAAGTCCCTTGAGACTTCAAGTAAATTATGTTTCAATAGGAAAGAAAGAAAATTCAGCCTATAGATATGGAAAAACACAGCAATATTAGCAGTGTCTGTGGTCATGAAGTCACAGAGATGCAAGATTGGACTCTAAGTACCTTGTCATGCAAAGGCATGACATCACACTGGAAAAAGCACAGGGACATCAGAACCAAGTGTGCCTCACCTTCCTGGGACCAGAATCGCCCCCTCCTGGTTCCTTAGCCCAGGATAGATCCACTGGGTCATGTTTGGGTACAAAGAGATCATATTTAGCAGCACAAAAATTGGAAGACTGCCTCCTGTTCTAGCTAAGAAGCTGGATTTATTTATAAATAAACTTATTTATAAGAGTCTCTGTCCTCCTAACTCTAAGCAGGATGTCTGTTCCCTCTTCTAAATTCCACTTCTCTCCCATGACCCTAAGGAGGGTCACTAACCTTTGGAACATTATCCAGTTGCCCCCTAAATATTTTCTACTCCCTATAGCACTTAAATTCACATGTATATTACTTATTGGATGCCTTCTAGGACTGAATTCTAGTCATATGTCTCTTTTAGTAAATTGAATCCCATCAACTTGATGTTCTAATATTTCAGAATGGCTAGAACCTAGTCACTTAGGACCTTTTCCTCAATCCCTTCAAATCTTTGGCAGCCAGAGGTGACATTAATAGTTTTTATTATCTATGGCTTTTATAAATCAGATTAATCAGTTGCCTTCCAAGTTTTTTTTAAGGTGACTGTTGTAAAGGAGATTCATTATTTTCATATTATCAGATCAGGGGAAAGCAGGATCCATTTTTCATCCTATTGAGAAATTAGCTTCATTTCAACAATAGTTTTGAACCTAGAAATGTCAATGTCTTCTTATCAGGAAATCTGTATTATTTCACAGGCATGGAAGGCAGCAGCCCATAGACTGGAAGGGCTGGAGGCCTTTCTAAAACCCCTCTCACTGCTGTGCAATATTGGCCATGCTGATAGATCCTGATGCAGCATCAGATCAAACAGAACCCCTGAGATCACTCATACAATCCAACTCCTGGATGCAGACTGTTGCTGATATGCCACTGTCACCTCATATGGCCTGAGACATTTTAAAAATGCTTAGTTGTAGGGCAGCAATTCACCCCTCTTTGCCCAGGACAGGAGCAGTTTCCAATTCTTGTACTGGCATAATTATCAACATAGCTTTATTTAATTCACTCTAATGTCATGATTTGGGCAATATATAATAAAATGGTCATCCTATTTACTGATCATCTAGTCTGGCCACTTCTTTTCATACAAGGGGAAACTAAACCCCAGGGAAGTGAATGACAGATATCAGCTCCCAAAGGGAGGTGATGGCACCAACTGACCACCCCAACCACCAGCCAGCCAGGCTGTACTGGCATCTTCATGACTTCATGACTACAGACATTCTGCTAACATTGCTTGTTTTTCCATATCTATAGGCTGGATTTTCTTTTTTTCCAATTGAAGTATAATTTACATATTTAAAATACACAGTTTTTAAATGTTCAGTTTCACGAATTTTAACTCCCAAAACAACATACAAAATATTTCTGTCAATCCTGAAAATTTCCACTGGGCCCCTTTCAGTCAATTCTCCCACCTTGAGGAAAACATATTCTGATCTCTGGCCCCACCAATTATTTTGCATGTTCTTTGACTTCATATAAAAGGAATCATACAGCTTATAGGTCTGGAAGGGGTGGTGGAGGGAATGTAATCATTATAAAATATACCCAGTTCGAGCCTTATCTGTAATAAAGGCCCACTCTCCAGAGGAAAATATTTTGCCAGCGCCTTATACCAGCTTGGGGAAGAGAATTCCTCCCACTCTAGCCTGCTGTAGCCTTCCTGTCTTACCTAAGAGAGAAAAAAAATGCAATCCACAGAGCTCAGAGCTTCAAGAAAATAGATTGGGAGTGGTGCAGCCAGGGATAGGAAAGAGAACTAAAGGGAAAAGAATATGACTGAAGAAACACTTGTGAAGTTCACCTCTCTGAGACACAGGCCCACTAAAAGACTGAGATTTAGGTTAGAGAATGTTCTTTCTACATATACCTTACTACTACACCAAAAGAATACTAGTATAAAACAGGGGCATACAGCCGAAAGAGCCACAAAAACATAGACACTGTCTGAGAAGGAGGACTTACGAAAGCCCAAAGTCAAGAGGACACAAAAACAAGGATAATACAAGAAGCTGAAGCCTTTGGCACCTGTAACTACAGCACATATTAAACACAATCCAAGTCTTAGTCAAATTAATGTAAATTCTCACACTAAAGGCCTATTTAGCTCAGTTTCTATTACCCAAAGCAGCATGCTTGGCTTTCAAGAAAAAACTATAAAGCAAAACAAAATGAAAAAAAAAAACCAACAGAATCCAAAGAGACAATCATTAGGTCAGAAATAATACAGATGTTGGAGTAACAAGGAATTTTAAATAACTATGATTATTATGATAAGGACTCTAATGGAAATAAAAGACAACATGAAAGAACAAATGGGTAATGGGTAGAAATGGAAACGCTAAGAAAGAATCAAAAGGAAATGCTAGAAGGTAGAATGGTGGTTACCAGGGGCTAGGGAACGGGGTTTGGAAGATGCTGGTAAAAGGATACAAAATTTTGGTTAAGTAGGAAAAATAAATTCAAGAAATCTATTTCACAACATAGTGATTATAGCTAATACCATGTATTGTATTCTTGAAAATCACTAAGAGATTTTAAGTTTCCTCATCATAAAAAATAAGTATAAGGTAATGCGTATGTTAATTAGCTCAATTTAGTCATTTCACAAGGTATATATGTTTCAAAACAACATATTGCACATAATAAATATATGCACCTTTTATTTGTCCACTAAAAATAATTAATTATTTTTAAAAGGAAATGCTAGAAATCAAAAATGCTATAAGAGAAATGCAGAATGCTTTTGATGGGTTCATCAGTAGACTGAACACAGCCAAGGAAAGAATCAGTGAGCTCGAAGATAGGTCAATAGGAACTTCCCAAGCAGAAATACAAAGAAAAGAAAGAGTGAAAACAATAGTAACAATAACAGAACGTTCAATAACTCTAGGATAATATCAAATCGTACACCACATGCATAATTGCAATACCAGGAGAATAAAAATGTAATGAAACAGGAGAAATATTTGAAGTAACAACTGTTGAGAACTTTCCAAAATTAATGACACCAAACCACATATCTAGGAAACTCAGAGAACACGATGTTTTTCAGTTCTGCTACTTTATCACTGATTTTTCTGTCAATTGTTGAGGGGGAATAAAATGACCAATTATGACTGTATCTTTGTCTGTTTCTCCATTTAAAAGGTCAATTTTATGTCATAATATTTAAGTTATCTCATTAGGCATAAGTACATTTAGGAATATTACATTTTTTCATGAATTGGCCCTTTTATTATTATAATATATCCCTCTTTATCTCTGGTAATACTCTTGAAGTCACTTTTTAATATATTAATAAGCTACCCAAACTTTCTTATGCTTAGAATATGGATGGTATAGGTTTTCCACCCTTCTACTTTTGATCTGTTTGTATCTTCATAAAGTGTGTTTCATGCAAAAATCACATAGATTGTGTGTGTGTGTGTTTATTTAATCTGACAACAAAGGTCTTTTATGTAGGATATTCAGATAATTTACATTTAATGTAAAGTTTACTGGAAACAATATATTTGAACAGATGCTTCATCAAAGAAGACATGCAGATGGCAAATAAGCACATGAAAATATGCTCAACATCATTAGCCACTAGGGAAATGCAAATTAAAACACAATGAAATGCCACTACATACTCATATAAATGGCTAAAATCAAAAAGGCTCACTACCAAATATTGGTGAAAACACAGAGAAATTGGTTCTCTCATACACTGCTGGTGCAAATGTAACATGATACAGCCACCTCGAAAAACAGTTTGGTAGTTTCTTAAAAAGTTAAACATATATCTACTCTATGATCTTGCCATCCTATTCCTTTTTATTTACCCAAGAAAATAAAGCATACGTCTATACAAAAGTTTGTGCACAAATGTTCACAGCGTCTTCATTTGTAGCAGCCAGAAACTGTAAATAACCAAAATGCCCGTCATCAGATGAACGGATAAAACACACAGTGGTGGCCAGGTGTGGTGGCTCACGCCTGTAATCTCAGCACTTTGGGAGGCCGAGGTGGGTGGATCAGGAGGTCAGGGGATCAAAACCATCCTGGCTAACACGGTGAAACCCCGTCTCTACTGAAAATACAAAAAATTAGCCGGGCATGGTGGTGGGCGCCTGTAGTCCCAGCTACTCGGGAGGCTGAGGCAGGAGAATGGCGTGAACCCGCTAAGCGGAGGTTGCAGTGAGCAGAGATCGCACCACCGCACTCCAGCCTGGGCGACAGAGCCAGACTCAGTCTCATAGAAAAAAAAAAACAACACACAGTGGTATAGCTCTACAACTGAATACTACTTAGCAATAAAAAGAGAGGAACTAGTGATATGCCCAATAACATAGATGAATCTCAATGTAATTATGTTAAGTGAAACAAGCCAAACCTAAAAGAGTGCGTAAATACTGCATGATTGCATTCACATAAAATTTTTGAAAATACAAACTAGAGTGACAGAGAGCAGACCATCAGCTGCATGAGAATGGAAGGGTAGGTGAGGAGGGTTGAGAGGGAGGATTACAAGTGGACAGAAAGAAACTTTTGGAAATGATAGATACATTCACTACTTTGTGGTGAAGGTTTCATGGGTGAATACTGATGTCAAACTTATCAAATTTTATACTTTAAATATTTGCAATTTATTATGTCAATTATAGCTCAATAAAACTCTAATATATTTTTTAAGTTATTTGGAGTCCAGTTGGTTTCTTATCCCTGCCTTTGTGTGTTCTCCCCCGGCCACTGCACTATTCCTCTTTCCTAGGAAAAGCTCATCACTTTCTGGGTTATATTTGCTTCAGGTTTCTTTCCATCCTTGGCTCTCTGATTTTTTATAGTAAAGTTTATGTAACATACAATTTATAATTTTAACAATGTTTAGGTGTGCAGTTCAGTGGAACTAAGCACATTTACATTGTTTTGCAACCATCACCACCATTCATCTCCAGAACTTTGTCATCTTCCTGAGCAGAAACTCTGTCTCTGTTAAACAATTCCCATTTCCCTCTTTCCCCAGCCCTGGGCAACCACCATTCTACTTTTTGTCTCCATTAATTTGACTGCTCTAGGTAACTCATAGAAATTGACTCATATAATATTTGTCCTTTTTTGGCTGGCTTATTTCACTTAGCATAATGTCCTCAAGATTCATCCATGTTGTAGCATGCGTCAGAATTCCCTTCCTTTTTATGGCTGAACAATGTTCCACTGTATGCAAACCACACGTTGTTTATCCGTTCATCCATTGATGGACACTTGGATGGCTTCTACTTTTTGGCTACTGTGTCTGATGGGTTTTTTAAGTTATGGTTTTGTAGCTTATCTGGCTTATTCTTCTTTTTAAGGTGGAAACAGTGGTATTTTGCAACCTCCTATTCCCTGACAAGAATTAGAAGTCCTCTATATATTGAGTTATAATCTCATTTTTTAATCTGGCACAAAATCCTAGAATTGAAAATATATCCATGGCCTATCAAAGAACAATAACAAATCATTAAAAAAATCCATAAGTAATAAAGCCTCTGATTTCTAAAAGAGTTTATGTTTTTCAATGTCTGTGATGAGATACCTGCAGCACAAATAGGTATGCAGTCACAGCTGGGTAGAAACTAGAATTCACATGCTTCGATTCTTAGTCTAGTTGCTCTCCTGCGACATTGTGTTGTCTCCATAGCATTAGTGGGAGATGTAACATCAAATTGAGACATGATTTCACCAATTAGTCCATTTTTAAATAAGCTGATATGTAAGTTTAACAAAATTCCAATAGAAATTTCAACCAGATAATGGTAATAGAAGGCAGAGATCAAGGCAAAGGCCAACTTAACTTGACAAAATGACTATTAATCTCAGCCTGAAGAATAACCATCAAAAAAATCCAAAAATTATTGAAAAACAATTAGTAATGAATGACTAGCCTTGGCAGATATTAAAACATATTAAAAAGTTACTATAATTAAAAGCATATTGCTAGTGAATGAGCAGACAGAAAAATCAATATGTTCTCTTCTTAACAGAAATTCTGAAAGCAGATCCAAGAATTCAGTATCTGATTTTAATGACATCTTAAATCAGTGATTAAACAAATGGTATTGAGAAAAATTGGCTAAGCACCTGGGAATGAATAGTAAGAATGTTACGGTCATTCAGATTTCCATATCTAAAGAGAGGTTGTTGTTGCCATTCTCATTGTACTGTTGTTTTTAACACCATCTCTCATGTTTCCATTAATATAATCTGTCCCATTGTATTTATTTTTTTGTTTCATTCACCAGGAAATTTTTACCAGATCACTCAAACATTTGGATAACTAATCACCTTGTAAACAGTCATTTACCCAAAGTAAGCAACATTTTTACTGGCAAATTTTTACAAATTGGGATTTCTTTCATAGGACAAGCTGCAATGGAAAAGCGAAGGAATATTCTTTAGATATTTTCAAAACTGACATATTATTTACAAATATTCAACAAACACAAATTAAATTCATTCTACGGGGCCATCAGTGTGCTAAGTCCTGAGGATACAAAAATGATAAGGCTCAGTCCTCCCTTCAAAACACTGTTTAACCCATCAGTTATGTCGATAGTCTGTCTGCAATATACGTCACCAATTTGCTCATTGTTAGATCACATTGTTTGGTTGTAATAATAAGAGCGCATGGGGTAAAAATATGAAATACTAGACAAAAATCTAAAATTCCAGAAAAAGTATTCAATATAGATTTTGCTTATTAGATCTGTGCAGAGATTAAGCAAGATCATTAGCATCTGATACCTGTGTCTGAGGATGTTCACTCTAGCAGATTTGCTGAACGAGATGGATCCTCGAGTCTTTCCCCTCTCGCCCCACAAAGCAGACACAGCTGGATGCTTTATCATTGCTCTACCCTCTCCCTGAACAAATCTGACAAGCTGATCACATTAGGCCGTGACATACAAAATATGGCATAATTGTAGACTGTAATCATCACGATGATAGCTGACTTGATAAGAGAGGTCAAATCCCATTTTTATATCCTGAATTCCTAAAATATTGTTTCGTCAAAAAAATCAATTTCTCATTTTTCTAGCGTTAACTTGAAAAGGGTATAATTGATCAAGCCTAAATCCTTTATATCACCCAGGACTGTGTGAAAGGCTCAGACCCAGCAAGCCACTTGAGTTAGGGCCCGGCGAACAGCAGTTGTCTCCAGCATCTAACACCCATGGGCCTGAACGGCTTCAAAGCAAGAACACGTTTTATATCCCTTGGTTAAGACTGTGGGGAAAACACAGGCTCACGGAATATAGATGCTCAGCTGGCTCATTTGGGTTTTGTGGTCCAATTTGTGGATGAGATATTTATAAAATCCGGTGATTACAATGCCATCTCATTAACATTCGTTAAATGAAAACCACAAAGTGCAGGATGAGAACTCCAGTCTGAGGGGAGAGGAAGAAGATGCATAGGGAGGCTGGTTTTGCTACCTCAGCACAGGCTAAAAGAGAGACCTGAGACAGAGGACCTCTCCCACTTCCTTTAAGTAAGACATGTGACTGAAGGACAAAGGGAGGGAAGAGGAAGGAGGGTAGCTTTTCTATTTGTCAGTTTTTTTCCATCTCTGTGCAAACCAAATCTAAGTCAAGGCCAACCCGATTTTCCTATGAATTCAAATTCTCCATTCCTTGTAAGATTTAGCCAAGGAGACATCTCCTCCAGGATGTCTGCCTAGGCTACATTTACCCCCATGAGATCTTTGCATGCTCAATAAGGCTGTGTGGACTGGACTCCACTCACAGTATTTCAGCACACAGCTGTTGTTCCTGCCTTGTGACTGATTTCTGCCCCTGTCCCTGTGGGGAGGAGTGTGGCTTCATAGAACCAAAACTACAGTGTCAGAAAAGCCTGGATTCCAGTCTCAGCTCGGGCACAAATAGTCCCAGAACCTCTGGTAATATTCACTTTGCAAGAAAGATACAGGGGCAGGGATTGGTGGAGGGGAGATTATGCAAATTCCACAATATGTATCTAGCAAGTGGGCACCCAATAGTAGTTATAATTATTATTATTTTATTAATATTGCTGACTTTTCTCTTTTAGTCAATCTCAAAGTCACAGGCGGTTTAGATAATGCATTCTATGTAGACTCAGCAATAGGATAATTCATTCAGTGGACAGTTAGTAAATACTAACTAAATGTATGAATGATGCTACATCCACTAGGAGAACATTTCAAAGTTGGGCTCCATCTTCAGTGATTTATCAAATTTAGTGATTATGGCTACTCTGTGTGCAGAAACTTTACTTAAGGACTCTGCAAAATTTTCAGACAGGTCTGTCTTCCTTCTTGGTCAAATATAGAAAAGTCTAGATCTCCAGCTTTCTTCTCTCCTAACACCCTACTGCACCCTAGTCCCCATGACAGGCACAAATGCACACACACACACACACACACACACACACACGCACACATGCACACATACACAGAGCCAAGATTGACTCAGTGGTGCTGACTCACTAAATGGGGAGCCAGAAATTTCAAAGGAATATGCAGAGGCAGAGACTATCAGACTTCTGCCGCACTGTCAACCAAAAATCCTGACCCATGTCTGTATCTTTTGTGTATTTGGGGGTGACAGGCAGAGGGCCATCAGCCAGAAAGAACTGTTTCTGTGACTTTAATTCCATGGGGCCTTTTGTGCTTTTCTTCTGCAGACCAGTGCTGCATGTATAATTAACCCTCTGCAGGCTGAGTAACTGAAGCACAAGACTGCTGTCCAGAAGAAGCAGAAGACTGAGGCTGTTCTCCTGAGGGCCAAATAGAGACCAAGAAGAGGAAGTTACAAGTGTGAGGACGATTTTCTAACCCTACTAGCCTGAAGGCAATAGAACAGGCTGCCTCGGAAGGAAACAAAATTTTCCAGATGATGACAGAAACTGTTGGAGAGATTCTTGCACTGGGAGGAAACAGAAGTGGCTAGCCTCTGGGGTTCCTTAACCTTCTCAGATTCGGTAAGCAGGCACCACTGAAAGGCTGGGAGGCAGAAGTAAAGTGAGCACCTTTGATGCAGTAGTTTTGGAGCCATTAAGAAGCTACTGCACTTCCCTGTTTATTATGTCTAGGTTCATATGAGAGAGTAGATTGTTATACACAGAGTCACATCATTCTATTCATTAAATGCTTTCACCAAGGGACGAAGAGGTTTGGAGAAAATATTTTGTTTCATTTTTCAGCACAAGAATCTTAAAAGCCTTGACTTGTCACCTAATGGTTCCTTCCTTACAGCTGGAATATCCTTAAACTCCTTGTTCGAACTTCCAAACACACACTCTCCTTGTCCCTACGTTTCCCTCTCAATTCCACCCTATGAAGCTTAAGTAGAATAAGCAGCAGACAGCCTGGTATGATTTTAAAGACATCCAAATTCCCTTCCACCCAAAATCTAGCTCCTCTACCTAATTGCAACTGTCCCTGAAAAAAAAACTGCCATCAGAGACACGGGTTTAGGTCAAAGCAATTATTCAAGAAGGACCCTGGCAAGTGCACAATAAGCACCATAAACCTAGAGGCACACATTATTTTTACCAACTTCCTAGCAAAGAAAGTGTCCTGAAAACACTGGTAGCAAGACCAGAAGATCTAGATGAGGGCAGGGTTGGGGAGGAGGCCAGTATGCAAGGTGAAAGATGGATCATAGAGTTAAGAGAATGGCAAAACCACGAGAAGTATCAAAGTAAGGGAGGGGAGATGAGTAGCCAACAGTTCTGGAGTAGAGTGGAAACACTTCCTGAGTGGCTATTCTGTTCTGAGCACTGCATATTGTACTGAAAAACGTCATGGCCTTTGATGTCAGCCAGGCCTGTGCTCGGTCACTAACTCAGCTTACTCGTGGTCAGGTATTTAAGTCCATCAGCTCTGGTTTTCTCCTTTGTTTTGCCGGGGAATTAAATGAGATAACTGTGCATGACACAGTCCTTGGCACATACATGTTATTCTTCTCACCCTCCCTTCACCCTACTTCTACAATTTGACAAGATTGACTCTTGTCTCTTTGCTAGAGGTTCTAGCTGTTCCAGACAACCACACTACCCAAAGCACGTTCAATTTCAGGAAGGTGCTAAATTCCACTAGCCCTGGGCCTCAAGCAAGCATCCATCTCCAGAATCTCAGCAGAGGAGTTCTGCAGCCATGCTCAATGGTGAATACTATTTTTCTTTGAAAATAATGACAGGGAGGCAGAGCAAGATAGCAGAATAGAAGGCTCCACCAATTGTCCCCCCTGCAAGGACACCAATTTAACAACTATCTACACCCACAAAAAAAGCACCTTCATAAGAGTAAAAAACCAGATGAGCATACACCGTACCTAGTTTAACTTCACATTGCTGAAAGAGGCACTGAAAAGGTAGGAAAAACCATCCTGAATAGTCACTGCCACTCCCACCCTTCTCCATGCAGCAGTAGTGTGGTGTGGACAGCATTTTTGCTTGCTGAGGAGAGGGAGAGTACAGCAATTGTGAAGCATTGAAATCACTGCTGCAGAAAGTGGAATCAGACTGAACTCAGCTGACACCCACCCACAGACAGAGCATTTAAACCAGCCCTAGCCAGGGGAGAATCACCAATCCCAATAGTCAGAACTTGAGCTCCCACTAGCCTCACCACCACAGGCTAAAGTGCTATGGGTACCTAAATAAACTTGAAAGGCAGTGTAGGCCACAAGGACTGCAACTCCTAGGAAAGTCCTAGTGCTGAACTGGGCCCAGAGCCAGAAGACTGGCATGGAACATGACTTACTGTGAGACACTAGCTGAGACAGTTAAGGAAGTGCTGGAATCACCACCTCCCCTAACCCCAAACTGCACAGATCACAGCTCCAAAGGAGATCCTTCTTTTCTTCTACTTGTAAAGAGGAGAGGGGAGAGTGGGAAGGACTTTGTCTTGCATCTTGGATACCAGCTCAGCCACACCATGATAGGGTACCACTCAGTCATGAGGCTCCCTTTCCAAGCCCTAGTTCCCAGATGACGTTTCTAGACACACCCTGGGCCAGAAGGAAATCCGCTGCCTTGAAGGGGAGAAAAAAAAAAAAAAAACAGCCCTGGCAGGATTAATCACCAGCTAACAAGAGTCCTTGGGCCCTGAATAACCAGCAGCAATACCCAGGCACTACATAGAAGGCCTTGGGTAAGACTCTGAGACTCACTGGCTTCAGGTGACAGTCAGCACATTCCCAGATGTGATGGCTACAGGGTGAGACTCTTTCTGCTTGAAAAAAGTGAAGGAAAAGGAAAATGAACTTTGTTTTTCACCTAGGTACCAGGTTGGCCACAGAAGGGTAGAGAACCAAGTAGGCTCTTGGGATCCCCAATTCCAGAACTTGGCTCTTGGATGGCATTTCTGGACCTGCCCTGGGCCAGAGGGGAGCCCACTGCCCTAAAGGGTGAGAGGGTGATTTCCAGGCCAGGCAGCATTTACAAGCTGACTAAAGAGCCCTTGGGCCTTAAGGGAACATCAGCAGTAGTCTGGCAGTACCCTCCATGGGCCTGTGGTGGTGATGGCCATGGGGTGAGGCTCCTCTGCCTTTGGAAAGAGGAAAGAAGAGTGGGAAGGACTGCATCCTGTGGTTTGTGTGCCAGCTTAGTCATAGAACACCAGGTAGACGTCTAAGGTTTTTGACTCTAGTCCCTGGCTCTAGGATGGCACTTCTGGACCTACCTTGGGCCTGGGAGAATTGTTGCCCTGAAGGGAAGGACACAGGCCTAGCTGGCTTGACCATCTGCTGACTGTAGAGTCCCAGGACCTTGAGCGAACATACGCAGCAGCAAAGGAGTGATTACTGCAGGCCTTGGATGAGATCCAGTACTATGCTGGCTTCAGGTCTGACCCAGTACAGTCCTAGTGGTGGTAGACACAGGGGTGCTTATGTCACTCCATCCCCAGTTCCAGATGACTTAGAACAGAAAAACAGACTTCATTAGTTTGTGAGAAAGTAAGGGAAGAGAACAAGAGTCTCTGCCTGATAATCCAGGGGATTCTTCTGGATCTTGTCCAAGACCATCGAGGCAGTACCTCTGTGAGTCTGCAAAAACCACAGCCTTACTGGGCTTGGGGTGCCCCCCAAAAGCAGATACAGCTTAGATCACAACACCCAAGTTCTTTCCAATATCTGGAAAGCCTTCCCAAGAAGGATGGGTACAAACTAGCCCAGACTGCAAAGACTACAATAAATACCTAGCCCTTCAATGCCCAGACACAGGCAAACATCTATAAAAATCAAGACCATCTAGGAAAAAAAAGGCACCAGGGGCCAATCCTGGAGAAACAGAAATATGTGACATTTCAGAAAGATAATTCAAATAGCTGTTTTGAGGAAACTCAAAGAAATTCAAGATAACACAGAGAAGGAATTCAGAATTCTCCCAGATCTATTTAACAAAGAGATTGAAATAATTTTTAAAAATCAATCACAAATTCTAGAGCTGAAAAATGTAATTGGCTTACGAAATATGCATCAGAGTCTTTTAATAGCAGAAATGATCAAGTAGAAGAAAGAATTAGTGAGCTAGAAGACAAGCTATTTTAAAATACACAGAAGAAACAAAAGAATAAAAAGCAATGAAGCACACCTACAGGATCTAGAAAATAGCCTTAAAAGGGTAAATCTAAGAGTTTTGGCCTTAATGAGGGGGTAGAAAAAGAGATGGTGTAGAAAGTTATTAAAAGGAATAATAGCAGAGAACTTCCCAAACCTAGAGAAAGATATCAATATACAAGTACAAGAAGGTTGTAGAACACCAAAGAAGACTACCTCAGGCATTTAATAATCAAACTCCCAAAGGTCAACATAAAGAAAGGATCCTAAAAGCGCAAGAGAAAAGAAACAAATAACATACAATGGAGCTTCAATATGTCTGGCAGCACACTTTTCAGTGGAAACCTTACAAGCCAGGAGAGAGTGGCATGGCATATTTCAAGTGATGAAGGGAAAAAAACCTTTTACCCTAGGCTAGTATATCCAGTGAAAATATCCTTCAAATTTGAAGGAGAAATAAAGGCCTTCCCAGACAAATGGAAGCTGAAGGATTTCACCAATACCAGACTTGTCCTACAAGAAATTCTGAAGGGAGTACTTTAATCAGAAAGAAAAGGATGCTAATGGGCAATAAGAAACAATCTGAAAGTACAAAACTCACTGATAATAGTAAGTACACAGAAAAACACAAAATATAACACTCTAACTGTGATGTATAAACTACTCTTATCTTAAGCAGAAGGTCTAAACAATAAACCAATCAAAAATAATAACTACGACATCTTTTCAAGAAAAAGACAGTACAATAAGATATAAATAGAAACAACAAAATGTTAAAAAGCAGGGGGACAAAATTAAGGTGTAGTATCTTCATTAGTTTTCTTTCTGCTTCTTTGTTATGCGAACAGTGTTAAGTTGTTATCAGTTTAAAATAATGGGTTATAAGATAGTATTTGGAAGCCTCAAGATAACCTCAAACTTACACGGATACACAAAAAGTAAAAAGCAAGAAACTAAATCATATTGGCAAAATGCCTATAATCCTAGCATTTTGGGAGGCCAAGGCAGGCGGACTGCCTAAGCTCAGGAGTTCAAGACCAGCCTGGGCAACAGAGCAAAACCCCGTCTCTGCTAAAAAATAAAAAATTAGCCAGGCAATGTGGCATGCACCTCTAATCCCAGCTAGTTGGGAGGCTGAGGCACAAGAATTGCTTGAACCTGGGAGGCAGAGTTTGCAGTGAGCCGAGATTGAGCCCCTGCACTCCGGCCTGGGTGATGGAGTGAGACTCTGTCTAGGAAAAAAAAAAAATCACCAGAGAAAATCACCTTCAAATCACCTGCACTAAAAGGAAGATAGGAAGGAAAGAAAGAAAGAAGGAAGAGAAGACCACAAAACAACCAGAAAACAAATAACAAAATGGCAGGAGAAAGTCTTCACCTATCAATAATGACATTGAATGTAAATGGACTAAATCAAAAAGATATAGAGTGGCTGAATAAATAATTTTTTTAAAAGACCTATTGATGTGTTACCTCAAAGAAATACACTTTAACTATAAAGACTCTCATAGACTGAAAATAAAGGGATGGAAAAAGATATTCCATGCCAATGGAAACCAAAAAAAAGAGCTATAGTTATATCAGACGAAAATGCATTGCAAGACAAAAACTATAAGAAGAGACAAAGAAAGTCACTATGTAATGATAATGGGGTCAATTCAGCAAGAGGATATAACAATTATAAATACATATGAACCTAACATTGGAGACCCCAGGTATATAAAACAAATATTATTAGAGTTAAAAAGAGAGATAGACCCCAATACAATAATATCTGGAGACATCAACACTCCACTTTCAGCATTGAACACATCTTCCAGACAGAAAATCAGCAAAGAAACATCTAACTTAATCTGCACTATAGACCAAATGGATATTTACAGAATATTTTATCCAACAACTGCAGGATACACATTCTTTTCCTTGGCACATGGATCATTCTAAAAGAACATATGTCAAGTCACAAAACAAGTCTTAAAACTTCAAAAAATTAATAACTTTATAGCTATAAAAGTGTTTACATCAAAAAAGAAGAAAAACTTTAAGCAACCTAACAATGCATCTTAAAGAACTAGAAAAGCAGGAGCAAACCAAACCAAAAATTAGTAGATGAAAAGAGATAATACAGATCAGAGGAGAAATTAATGAAATTGAAATGAAGAAAACAACACAAAAGATCAACAAAATGCAAAGTTGGTTTTTTGAAAAGCTAAAATTGAGAAACCTTTATCCAGGCTTTAAAAAAAAGAGAGACGTTCCAAATAAATAAAATCAGAGATGAAAAAGGAGACATTATAACTGATACTGCAGACATTTAAAGGATCATTAGTGGCTACTATGAGCAACTATATGGCAATAACTTGGAATCTAGAAAAAATGGATAAATTCCCAGACACATGCAACCTACAAAGATTGAACCATGAAGATATCCAAAACCCGAACAGACAAATAACAAGTAATGAGATTAAAGCCATAATAAAATGTCTCCCAGTAAAGAAAAGCCTGGGACCCAATGACTTTACTGCTGAATTCTACCAAACATTAAAAGAAGAACCTATACCAATCTTACTCAAACTATTCTGAAAAATAGAGTAACAGAGGATACTTCCAAATGTATTCTACAAAGCCAGTATTACTCTGATACCAAAACCAGACAAAGACACATAGGAAGGAAGGAAGGAAGGAAGGAAGGAAGGAAGGAAGGGAGGGAGGGAGGGAGGGAGGGAGGGAGGGAGGGAGGGAGGGACAGAGGGAGGATGAAAGAGAGAGAGAGAGAAAAGAAAGAAAGAAAGAAGGAAGGAAGGAAAGAAAGAAGGAAGGAAGGAAGGAAGGAAGGAGAAAGAAAGAAAGAAAGAAAGAAAGAAAGAAAGAAAGAAAGAAAGAAAGAAAGAAAGAAAGAAAGAAAAAGAAAGAAAGAAAGAAAGAAAGAAAGAAAAGAAGGAAAGAAAGAAAACAAACTACAGGCCAATATCTCTGATGAATATTGGTGCTAAAATCCTCAACAAAATACAAGCAAATAAAATTCAACACTATATTTAAAAAGATCATTCGTCATAACCAAGTGGGATTTATCCCTGAGATAGAAGGATGGTTCAACATATGCAAATCAATTAGTATGATACATTATATCAACAGAATGAAGGACAAAAACCATATGATCACTTCAATTGATGATGAAAAAGCATTTGATAAAATTCAACATCCTTTCATGATAAAAACCCTCAAAACTGAGTATAACATAACTCAACATAATAAGAGCCATATACTACAGACCCACAGCTAGTATCATACTGAATAGGGAAAAACTGTAAACCTTTTATCTAAGATCTAAACATGACAAAGATGTCCACTTTTACCACTGTTATTCAACATAGTACTGGTAGTCCTTGCTAGAGCAATCAGACCAGAGAAAGAAATAAAAGGCATCCAAATTGGAAAGGAAAAAGCAAAATTATCCTTGTTTGCAGATGATATGATCTTCTATTTGGAAAAACCTGAAGACTCCACTGAAAAACTATTAGAATTGATAAACAAATTCAATAAAGTTGCAGAATACAAAATCAATATACAGAAATCAGTAACATTTCTTTTTTTTTCTTTTTTTTATTATATTTTAAGTTCTAGGGTACATATGCACAGCATGCAGGTTTGATACATAGGTATACATGTGCCATGTTGGTTTGCAGCACCCATCAACTCATCATTTACATTAGGTATTTCTCCTAATGCTATCCCTTTCCTAGCCCCCCACTCCCCGACAGGCCCCAATGTGTGATGTTCCCTGCCCTGTGTCCAGCTGATCTCATTGTTCAATTCCCATCTATGAGGAGAACATGTGGTGTTTGGTTTTCTGTTGCTGTGTTAGTTTGCTGAGAATGGTGGTTTCCAGCTTCATCCATGTCCCTGCAAAGGACATGAACTCATCCTTTTTTATGGCTGCATAATATTCCATGGTGTATATGTGCCACATTTTCTTAATCCAGTCTATCATTGATGGACATTTGGGTTGGTTCCAAGTCTTTGCTATTGTGAATAGTGCTGCAATAAACCTAAGTGTGCATGTGTCTTTATAGTAGCATAAAAATCAGTAGTATTTCTATATGTCAACAGTGAACAATCTGAAAAAAATTTTTTAACTAATCCCATTTACAATAGCCACAAATAAAATTAAATATCTAGGAATTAACCAAAGAAGTGAAAGATCTCTATAATGAAAACTATAAAACATTGATGAAAGAAACTGAAAAACACCAAAAAATGGAAAGATATTCCATGTTCATGGATGGGAAGAATCAATGTTGTTAAAATGTCCATACTACCCAAAGTGATCTACAGATTCAATGCAATCCTTACCAAAATATCAATGACATTATTCACAGACATTGAAAAAACAATCCTAAAGTTTACATGGAACCACAAAAGACCAGGATAGCCAAAACTATCCTGAACAAAAAGAACAAGACTGGAGGAATCACATTACCCAACGTCTAATTATACTTCAGAGCTACAGTAACAAAGTAGCATGGTACTGGCATAAAAATAGATGCATAAACCAACAGAACAAAACAGAGAACCCGGAAACAAATCCACACGCCTACAATGAACTAATTTACAGCAAAGATGCCAAGAACATATTCTGGAGCTGAGAAAACTGGATATCCATATGCGGTAGAATAAAACTAGACCTTTATCTCTTGCCATATACAAAAATCAAATCAAAATGGATTAAACACTTAAATCTATAACCTCAAACTATGAAACTAGTACAAGAAAATATTGAAGAAACTCTCCAGGACATTGGTCTGGGCAAAAATTTCTTGAGTAATACCCCACAAACACAGGCAACCAAAGTAAAAATGGCAAATGGGATCACATCAAGTTAAAAAACTGCACAGGAAAGGAAACAATCAACAAAGTAAAGAGACAACCCATGGAGTGGAAGAAAATATTTGCAAACTACTCATCTGACAAGAGATTAATAACGAGAATACATAAGGATGTCAACCATTCTATAGGAAAAAAATCTAATGATCCAATTTAAACACGGGCAAAAGACTTGAATAGACATTTCTCAAAAGAAGACATACAAATGACAAACAGGCATTTGAAAAGGCACTCAACATCACTGACCATCAGAGAAAAGCAAATCAGAACTACAATGAGATATCATCTCACCCCAGTTAGAATGGCTTATATCCAAAAGACAGGCAATAACAAATGCTGGCGAGGATGCAGAGAGAAGAGAACCCTCATACACTGTCAGTGGGAATGTAAATTAGTATAACCACTATGCAGAACAGTTTGGAGATTCCTCAAAAAACTAAAAATAGTGCTTCCATATGATCCAGCAATCCCACTGCTGGGTATATACCCAAAAGAAAGGAAATCAGTATATCAAAGAGAAATCTGCAGTCTCGTGTTTGTTGCAGCACTGTTCACAATAGCCAAGATTTGGAAGTAACCTAAGTGTTCATAAACAAATGAATCAATAAAGAAAATGTGGTACATATACACAATGGAGTACTATTTAGTCATAAAAAAGAATGAGATCTTATCATTTGCAACAACATGGATGAAACTGGAGGTCATTAGGTTAAGTGAAATAAGCCAGGCACAGAAAGACAAACATTTGCATGTTCTCACTTATTTGTGGGATCTGAAAATCAAAAAAATGGAACTCATGAAGATAGAGAATAGAAGAATGGTTAGCAGAGACTGAGAACGGTAGTTGGGAGATGGGGGTGAGAGGAAGGGGAAGAAGGGTATAGTTAATGGGCACAAAAATAATTGTTAGAAAGAATGATAAGACCTAGTATTTGATAGCACAACAGGGTGACTATAGTCAATAATAATTTAATTGTACATTTTAAAATAACTAAGAGGGTATAATTTGATTGTAGCACAAAGGATAAGTGCTTGAGGGAATAGAGACCCCATCTTCCATGATGTGACAATTATGCATTGCATGACTGTATCAAAACATCTCGGCTGGGAGCGGTGGCTTAAGCCTGTAATCCCAGAGCTTTGGGAGGCCGACGCGGGTGAATCACCTGAGGTCAGGAGTCCAAGACCAGCCTGGCCAACATGGTGAAACCCTGTCTCTACTAAAAATACAAAAATTACCCAGGCATGGTGGCGCATGCCTATAATCCCAGCTACTCGGGAGGCTAAGGTGGGAGAGTCACCTGAACCTAGGAGGTGAGGTTGCAGTGAGCTGAGATTGTGCCACTGCATTCCAGCCTAGGCAACAGAGCGAGAGTGAGACTCTGTCTCAAAAAAAAAAAAAAACAAAAACAAAAACAAAAACTCATGTACTCCATAAATATATACACCTACTATGTACCCACAAAAATTTAAAAAGAAAATAATGAAGCACTGCAGATGGAACCAGCCATTATACAAACAAGCTAACAACCTTTTGGGAAACCATGTCAACCAGACAGTGCAATGAACCAGCCAGTGGGGATGAAAAGGTATCCACAAGGTTTACTAAATGACTGCCTTTCAAGGCAGTCTGGACTGCCTTGAAAAGGAGAGAAGACTGGCCCAAAGAATGCATAAGTTTAAACAAATCCTCAGATCATCACCACAAGGCTGATGTCACCAAGGCTGAGTCACCATCATACGTGATTCCAGAAGCTAGGGCTTTAAGAAGTCACTGCACTAATGCAAAGGCAAGAAGAACACATGCCAAACATAATGTCTAAGCAGCTGAAGGTGCTGTGGCACTTCCTGCTATTTACCCAGGCCAATTATGTCCGGTTCTAGAAGAAAATGGGATGAACTAGAATAACTTCTCCAGTGGTAAGGAGTCTGGATTACTAACAGTTCAAGTATAAATGTCTTTATCCAGTTGAATGGACCTCATTCATTCCATGAACAAATATTTATAGAGCACCTACTATGTGCCAGGCACTGGTGTAGGTGCTGAGGATACAACTGTGAATCAAACATAAGCTCTGACCTCTTGGATTTCACATCTTAGCAAGGAGACAGACAATAAACAAAGACAAAAAGAAAGAACAAAGGGAGGGAGGCAAAATGTATCACTATCTAAAATTAAAAGCTGGGGTCATATGTTAGAGTGACTAGGTGACCTGAATGACAAGAAGCCAGCCATGCAAACATCTGGGTGACAGCTATGAGTTCTTGCCTCAGGTTTCACAGAATCATGTACTTTTCTTACTGAAAGGGACCTCAGTGATCAACTTCAACACTCCATTTTTTATATATAATGAAATTGAGACTCAGGCAAGTAGTATGATGTCTCCAAAGCCACTCTGAAAATTACACAGGGACTTCCCTGTTTATTTGCGAGAAGGCTTAAACAGACAAAATGATAATTATTCAACAAACATGTATTGAGCCAGTACTTTTTTTTTTGAGCCCTGTAATGACCACTCTAAATTCTTCAGAGGAAAATGAGAAATACACAAGTGAAGTAAGCAGAGACCCCTTCTGTACTAACTGCAGGCCTGACCATTTGATACAAAGTAGCAAGGAGGAAGATTTACATGGGTGATTCACCCCAGAAGGCTGAATAGAGGAGGTGGGATGAGTAGGATTTTGATAAGCAGGAAAGGCAGGAGGGTGATCCCATCAGGAGAAACATACTGAATCAGTGCAGAAAAGACAAAGAATGGGGCGGGGAGGACTCAGGGAGTCCCTAGGAAACTAGGGAGTAGTTGAGGAGGGATGGGGCATCAAGACTGGGGATGGTGACACCTCAAACACAGAGAGAGAGTTGGGGGAAGAGGAGTTGTAAGACATATAAATGTCACCAGGCTCACCCTTTGCCCATCACTCAGTACCTATCACCTTCCAGCTTGCAGAGGTGCTAACATTTGAGGTACTAAAACTCATCTTGATCCTTTTTTCTCATCCCCTTCACTTTTTCTTCACAACAGGTGCTGCACTGGGTACCCTATACATATCAGCTCAAAATAATACCAGTTATCCACTCATTCATTCAGCACTTCATGCCTCCTATGTGTCAGGCATGAAGCTAAGCACTTTACAAAGAATATGTCTTGTAAGCCCCACAGTAACCCTATGAGGTAGGTACTTGTCATTACAATCTTAGCTAGCAAACTGAATCTCAGACAGGTTAAATAAGTTGCCTGAGGTCACTCAGCTGGAAGACAGTGGAGCTAGGATTTTAATCTCTGTCTTTTGAACTCCAAAGCGCAAGCACTCTCTAATTTTTACTATGAAAATATTCAAATACAAAATTATATAGAAAGCAAAATCAAACTTTGCCTCCTTCATCATCTAGCCATCAGCCAGTCCTACCTACTTGAAGACTAGAGGTATTTTGGCTCCCTCTGAAATTCTCTTTTTACCTCTTGTCAAATTTCCCAGACATAGCTCAACTATGGACAACTTGTACCAACATTTGTTTCACAAGCTATTACTAAGTCCTCCACACAGGAAATATGGAACGTATTTCCACAGGTTTTTGAGCCTTTGCAGGTGGCATAGTATTATCAGTATCACATCTTTCTGAGACACACAAAAAAAGAATTGGTTAAAAGATGGAAGAGGAACAACAGGGATGAGGCATGAGCAAGTTCAGAGGACACATGTAAGCTTCATGAACAGGTGGTCCAGGCCCACATATCCTCCACCCCTGTTGCCCCAGCACCATTTCTTCACTGTGAGGGAGGCCTTCAGGACCAGCTGATGTAGGAGAAAAAAGGCTGAGTTGCTGCTGCACTTCAACACACTCTTGGGTGACCCAGAAGACTGCAATGAAGGCAAATCTTCCCAGTAGTCAGAGCTTCAGGTGTTGCCCCATCACCCACCTTACGTGGGAAGATAAGTGGTCCAAGGCTAGGCTATACAATAACTCATGGACGATGGCCTAGCTGGTTATTCAGAGGATTGGCAGATCATTTGGAAGACTGAGGACAAGGAGGTCTAGGAAGAGGCATGTGAATAACCTATAGGAAAAGAAGATGAATGATAAAAATCTTTATATTATTTGTTGATTCTCATTACATAGCATCTCTGATGGAAGACACCAAACAACCAAGTTGACAGAATGAATTGGCCAACTGACTTCAGCCTATTTTTTTTCATCAGCCACTCCAGTGCTGGGATGGTGCCCGATCACATTTAGTAGCAGTGATTGCACGAATGAAGCCTATGCATGGCCCCAGCTTACCAAAGCTACTTGCTGCTGCTGCTGCTGCTGCTTGCCACTGTCATCACCAAATGTCCACCCTGCCAGCAACAGAGACCAGTGCTGAGCCCCCAGTGGTGGTACCGTCCCTCAAAGAGATCAACCAGGCATTTAGTGTCAAGTCAATTACATTGGACCTCTTCTACTCTGAAAAGGGCAGCAATCTATCTTGGCTGAGATAGACACCTGTTGCAGCTATGTGTTTTCCTTTTCTGCTACTGCTATCCAATGATTTGCAAGGTTTTAATGTGCCAACATGGGATTCCACAAAACACTACCTCAAGACCAAGTGACCCATTTTACAGCAGAGGTAGTATGACAAAGGGATACGTGACCATGGAATCCACTGGTTCTATCACATACTGCACTACTGAGAAGACACTGGCCTGAAAGACCAGTGGCATGCCCTCTTAATGATACAGCAAAGGGGCCATTTTGGATATTATACCCTGGAAGGATGGTGCACTATCATCCAGGACTCAACATATACCCTAAATGACCTATATGATTCTGTGTCCCCAGCAGGTAGAATACATAGGTCCAGGAACCAAGAGATGGAATGATTTACCAATACTGCAACCAGTAATCCTCCTGAGATATTTGTTTTCTATCCACTCAAGGTTAGGCTCTTTAGATCTAAAGATCCTAACTCCCAAAAGAGGAACACTTGTACCTGGGGACATAGTTAAGAGTCCCTTTGAACTTTAAGCTACAACTGCCACTCAATTACTTTGGGATCCTCATACCAAGAAACCAGCAATAAACTAAAGAAATCAACCAACCAACTAGCAAGGGTAATCGACCCTGCCCATCAGGAGGGGCTTAGCTTCTGCTACACAATAGAAGAAGGGAAGAATATGCTTGGCGGTCAGGTGGTCCACTAAGAGGTCTCTTGATGTTCCCATGCTCACCACTTAATGGTAATACACAAGAATAGCAACCATAGACTGAGAAGGGCACAGTAACTTGGGGCTCAGGACCCTCTGGGATGAGGGTTTCATTACTTCCAGCAGGTAAGTTACCCAGTGCAGCACAGGGAATAGCCAGAGTGGAGGGGAATGAGTGTGTTTAAAAAAAAAGGAGGGGAGCAGTAATAAGCCTTGAGACCAAACTGCAGCAGCAAGCGCTGTAGTATTTCTTACTAAACTTTCACTTATAAGCTCTCAGGAAACGAGACCAACCAAAATTCAATAGAAGGCATTCCCAAACATAGTGCAGTTATTATAAGAAGTAAGTGGGTTTGAGCGACATGAGGGCTGGATGGGGCACACTAAGGAGATCTCCACCCAGATCCTCTCTTCAGCACAGACACACTCAACCCCTTGCTGCTAAGAATACTGAGTGCTGGGGACTCACAGCTGAGTTACTCACCAGCAGTTACCTCAGTTGCAGGGAACTGCCTCATCCAGGATGACGGCCCCTCCTAGGGGACAGCCTATGGCCAATGACTGGCTTATGAAGGGATACAGACGTCTGACCACGTGCTTCAAACAGGATTAGCTCCAAGAGGCTGTCCCAGCTCCAAACTTCTGTGTAGAGCCACCTGAGACCTTTTTTGCCACAGGAATACAGGTCAGTTGCTTCATCAGCTTACAGGTGTATCTCCTGAAAACACCTGCAATAACTTTCTGTGTCAAGTCTATTTCAAGTCTGTTTCCAAGTCTGTTTCCCAGTACACAATCTCAGGCAGCCTCACTCACACCCATTACCACATGCCCCAAGCAGAACAGCACTGGAACAGAGAGCAGGAGAGTTTCTTGTCTTGGCCCCATCTCCTTTAAGTTCTCTGTTTATTCAAACCTACCTACCCTCTCAAAACCTAGGTGGGTAATCCTCCCTCCATGCCTCATTTTGAATCTATGAGGGTACAGAGATTATTAAATATACACTTTGCAAAACACTCTGTTCCTTCTAACAAAAAAGGCCAGTAAAGACAGTAAGGCAAGGACATTTCTGACATTTTAATGTCAGAAAGTTCACATGCTGGTGTCATCGTAGACTAGTCCATGAGAAAGGGATAAGAAGACTAGGTCATTAAAGTCAAATGACTCTATGAAGGTCATTTAACCTCCATGACCCTGTTTTCTAATCTATTTTAAAAGCTTGCTCTGACTACCCTCAAAACTTTCATGAGACTCTTCTTGGTAAAGACAACAATACCTACCTCATGGGTTTCTTAGAAAGACTAGACGAAATCATATATTACAATATCTGGCACATGGTGAACACACCACATATGGCTAAAATCAAATGATAAAATGCCTGCCAATGACTTTGAAAACTCGAACATGCTACAAAAATGACAACAATTATGATTACAGTGCAACATATTTAATATATAATGTTTTACATTTTTTCAGAGGATTGGCCTTGTGTCCCTAACATGAATACAGTTCCTCTTTTCCGTTTCTTTTAACTACAAAGCAACTAGTGCAGTGTATGCCATTTGGTAAATGCTTAAAACCTTTTGCCTGACTTGCAAGGCAGGGATCAGTGAGTAATACCATGCCTTGGTAACCTGTCACTACTAGAAAGTGCTTCTGTAATGTTCTGTGGAAGAGAGATTTTTTATTTTTTGCATTAGACTGGAAAAGGGGAGAAGGAGCTACATTTCCCCAAACCACCTGAGACATCACCCAATGATTTCAAATGCACTTCTATTTGTCTGAAAGTATTCTATTCAAGAGTTACTTCTAACCACCTGATATTTCAGGGTGCTGGTGTATGTGCACCCATTTTCCTTTGCATTTTATTAAATGAGAAACCAAGGATTGTATCTAGCCTGTGCTCAAACTTTTTAATGGAATCAAAATCCTCTAAGATTATCTTAAATCCGGTTAATATTTTTAAGTGGGACCTGAATTTAGCCAAATAGCTGGGTGGTTTAGAAACATGTCTATCTGTCTCCTTAAAGTGATTCCATGAATTTGGATCTCTGTGTCACTGATCCACTTCAATGTTGGCATATATATTATGAGGAAATACGTTGATAGAAATTCAAGAAACCCTCAAATAAGTGCCAGCATATCTCTAGATAAGGATATTTTAGACAGCCCTAAGCTATGTATTCCCTTCCCATGAGTGAGGCTTTTTCCCTTATCCCTCATCTCCCTCTCTTTATCTATTATTAGTGTCCTAATCTCTGCATCAACCAAACAGCTTTCTTTCCCAGAGTTATCTCAAATCTTACTTTCTACTGCCTTCCTAATACACATTAATTTCCAGAACTCATCTCACTTGCAAAACTTGGAATGTCCCTCATATAAATAATCACTGCAAATGCCAGGCCAGGAGCTTTGTTCAGCTTGATTTCTCCCCAGAGGACTGAGTCCAAAGCATGCGCTGCCACCTGTTATCATGGAAAAAGTTGTAATCATTATAGAATAACTACCTAAGATAGGCCGGGCGCAGTGGCTCACACCTGTAATCCCAGCACTTTGGGAGGCTGAGGTGGGCGGATCAAGAGGTCAGGAGATCGAGACCATCCTGGCTAACATGGTGAAACCCCGTCTCTATTAAAAATACAAAAAATTAGCCGGGCGTGGTGGCGGGCGCCTGTAGTCCCAGCTACTTGGTAGGCTGAGGCAGGAGAATGGCGTGAATCCGGGAGGTGGAGCTTGCAGTGAGCCAAGATGGCGCCACCGCACTCCAGCCTGGGCCACAGAGCGAGACTCTGCCTCAAAAAAAAAAAAAAAAAAAAAAAGAATAACTACCTAAGATACTCTGTAGCATTTGGTGTTTGAATGACAGGTCTCTGTTTCACAGAGGAAACATACTACAGAATTTTTTTTTCATTCATTCCTATTATAAAATGTTGTTTCTTCACATTAATGAACTACATTGATATTACCCTGGAAGACCTATAAGATTCACTCATACTTGATTAATTTGAGACACTGATCCCCATAAATCACAGCAGCCATATCTCAAGCTGACTTTTGCATAGAACCTGAAAACATATCCTTGCAGAGTTCCATTCCCTGAGTTACTGCTCTATGCCAGAGCAACATGATGGAAGCATTAGTGCTAAAGTTTTGATAGTTGAGTCTATGTTCCTTTTCAGGATAGTGCCTGTTTTTTCATAAGATCTTCACTGGCTGACCTTAAAAAAAAAATGAGAAGAAACAGAAATTTCAGATGCCATGGAAAGCCAGGTAAAGGGTCATTTTTTAGCAAAAAATTCAGAAACTCTATCAGACCATCCCATGTAAATGGTCAATTTTATGTCAAGCAAATTCTTCAATCCTCTTCAATGCTGTGTGTACCAACATGCAAATGACCCAGCTGTATAAACAGACAGTGGCTCATGAGACTTAAAGGTTTCAGGGCTAAAGAGAAACACTCCTCTCACTAGCAAGACCATGAGATGAGACACAGAGTCCAAGCACCCACCATGCTGCTGTCCAAGGTCTTCATTCCTGCTTCCTCCTCCTCTTATCCAGTCTCCAGATGAATTTCACATCTGATCCTAACACACTTAAATAACAGAACTTGTAACAGAATGACCATATAGAGTGGTAATTAGAGGCATGGTCAGGCAGACCTCCATTCAAATCCCAGCTTCGCCATTTATTAGCAGTATGATCAAATTACTTAACCTAATTCTAAGTTTCCCTTTCTGTAAAATGAGGATAGTAGCAGTTTCTATCTCATAGGTTTGTCGTAAGGATTAAATGAGATCAAACAGGTAAAGTCATTGCATGTGCTGTCTTGTCACATTCAGCTTTGTATCCCAATGATCAGCAGAGTAATTTAAAATTTTTTACATCTTGATCAAATGAATAAATAAATCCAAAAGAGAGAGATAATTGACCAGGAAGCATGAGAACTATTTCTAGTCCTGTCCCAGACAAGTGACTTAGCCTCTCCAGATGTTATATACCTCATTAGTGAAATGGGGATAAGAACACACAGTATGGGTTTAGTCATTGCATTGTTATAGCCAACATTTGGCCACTCAGAAATCTAGCCACCACCAAAATATGCCAGCTGCAAAATTATCATCAGTCTTGTCTTGTCTGACTCTAGTCTTCAACATGGCTGAGGGTGAGGCAGGGGGATCCCTGAGCCAAGACCAGGAACTGGAATAGAATAAGTAATAATTGTCCTTGCTTTGCCACTTACCAGCTGTGAGTTTCAGTAGCCCATTGACCTTTCCTGGCTTCAGTTTCTTCACAGATAAACCATGAATAATAATGTTTTCCCTGTATTCTACCCCAGTGAGTTGTAGTGACACATAAATGAGATAAAGTATAACATAATACTTTGAAACTGTAAAGTGATATAAAAAAGTATTATTATTAAATTTCCAGCAATAGGTTCTTATCACAGCCATAGCTGGAAGGATGCTATTCAAACCTAGAGATCCATTTCTTCTCTCACTCTCTCGATCTATTTCTCTATCTATATACTAACTACTTATCTATCTATCTATCTATCTATCCATCTCTGTCTCACTAGATAAGGGAAAAGTCTTTCAATTAGAGATTTTTTGCTTCAGAGTTAATGCTATATGAGTTGTAAATTATATTCAATAACAATAGTAGTTTGCATTGGTAGAGTCTCCTTCCTATTGCAAAGCACTTTAAAACTGTCACAAGCTGGAATTCTCACAGTAAAATCTGTCTTGTCACATTCAGCTTTGTATCCCAATGATCAGCAGAGTAATTTAAAATTTTTTACATCTTGATCAAATGAATAAATAAATCCAAAAGAGAGAGATAGTTGACCAGGAAGCATGAGAACTATTTCTAGTCCTGTCCCAGACAAGTGACTTAGCCTCTCCGGATGTTATATACCTCATTAGTGAAATGGGGATAAGTATAGCTTGCCTCCTAATGCAGAAAGCTGGAAGGGAGTATAAATCCTCTTATTCTATAGATGAAATGAGGACAAGTGACTTTATGGCCTGGAGTTGGTAAATACTTAACATAAATATATGTTACACCCCACAACACAGTATTGTTTTGTGTAATCAGTGTTCACTTATTTACCCACGTATTTGTTCTTCCCAATGCTCTTCACTCCTTCCTGCATTTGTTTCCAGATATCATCATTTTCCTTCTGCCTGAAGAACTCTCAAGGTCTGAGAGCAACAAAGTCTCTCAATTTTGTTTATCTAGAATTGTATTTCTTTTGCCTTCACATTTGAAGGATATTTTTTCACTGGATATAAAATTATAGTTCAGCTTCTTCCCTCAGTACCTTAAAGATGCCATTCCATTGCCTCTAGCTTTCATATTATTATTCTGCCAATTATATTTTTGGATTATTTTTAAGCATTGTATTTTTTCACAGGCTTTCTGTAAAATTTGTTAGAAGCTTATTATGAGAGTTTTCTTTGTATTTATCCTTTTTGAAGATCATAGAGGTTTTAAAACTGTTACTTGATGCATTTCAACTGTTTTGGAGGATTTGGGGAATTATGTCTTCAAATATTGCTTCTATCCCATTTTTTCCCTCATTCTATTCTGGACCTCCAATAATACAGGTATTAGGCCTTTTCATTGAGTTGAGTAAATTTTTTATACATTTTCCTATATTTACATCCTTTTTCCCTTTCATGCTTTAGTGTAAATGTTTTCTACTCACCAGTCTTCCGGCTCCCCAAAAGAGTAACTTGGACGTCTACCATCACCTGCCAATAATGAGGCAGTCTTCCTACTCTTCCCTGGGAAATGTCAGAACAAGCTAACTAATGTTTAAATAAAATCCAAAGTCTCATAGCATAATACTCAAAACATCCATGTTTCAGTGAAAACTCACTTACACAAATAACCAAGAAAATATCAACATTAATTTTAAAATAAGAGCAATAGTCACATCACTAAGATGACAGAGATGTTAGAACTGTATAACAAAGATGTTAAAGAATCCATCATAACTGTTCTTCACTGAGCAATTATAAACATGCTTGAAACAAATGAACAAATCACCTCAAGAAAGAAACACAAGATAATCAAATGGATTTTTTAAAACTCAGTGGATGAGCTAGACAACAGAGTGGAGTGGGTAGAGGAAAGAATCAGTGGAACAGAAGATAAAACAATAGAAATTACCCAATCTGAATAACAGAAAAAAATAGACTGGAGAAAAATAAACAGAGCCCTAGGGATACATGGGACTAAAACAAAAGAGCTAAAAATCATATAATTAGAGTCCCAAGAGATAAAAGGGCAGTGCTGAAAAAGTACTTGAAGAAATACAGCAAAAACTTCCAAATTTTACAGAAGACATACACCAAAGATTCAGGAAACATGGTAAACCCCAACAATATAAACCCAAAGAAATCCACACTAAGACAAATCATAGTCAAACTTCTGAAAACTAAAGATAAAGAAAAAATATTGAAAGCACAGAAAGAGAGAAATGATATCTTGCCTATGTAGAAAATACAACTCAACTGGCAGTGGATTTCTCATCAAAAATGATGGGAGCCAGAAAAAAACATGGCACAATATTTTTCAAGTGCTGAAAGAAAAGAACTGTCAACCCAGAATTCCATATCTGCATAAAATATCCTTCAGAAATGAAAGATAAATCAAGGCTATCTCAGATGAACATAAACTAATTTTTTTGCCAGCAGAACTAACCAAAAGGAATGGCTTTTAAAAATCCTCTAAGTAGAAATAATATTAGAAAAGAAAAAATATTGGATTATCAGAAAGAAATATACAAAAAGCAAAAATATGAATAAATATACTAAATTTTTCTTCTACTCTTGATTTCTCAAAATTATGGTTGACGGTTGAAGCAAAAATTATAACACAGTCTGAAGTAGTATTAAGTAAATGTAAATGAAATATTCAAAACAAATATAAATGGGGAAGGTAAGGTATGTAAAACAAAGTGAAGTTTCTACACTTCATTTGAACTGGTAAAATGTCAACAATAGCAGGCTGTGATAAGTTATATATATGTAATATAATACATAGGGCAACTGCCAAAACTATATAAAGATATAAATTTTAAAATGTAGTAGATAAATCAAAATAGAATTTTAATAAATTTTCAAGCAACACACAAGATATCAGGAACAAACAGAAAAACAGACAACAGAAAGCAAAAAATTAAGCACAATATATCAATAGTTACATTAAGTGTAAATAATCTAAATACATCAATTAAAAGACAAAGATTGGATGAGTGGGTTAAAAACCATGGCTACAGGAATTCGAGTCCAACATGGTGAAACCCCATCTCTTCTAAAATGCAAAAATTAGCCGGGCATGGTGGTGTGTGCCTGTAATCCCAGCTACTCAGGAGGCTGAGGCAGAATTGCTTGAACCAGGAGGCCGAGGTTGCAGTGAGCCGAGATTGTGCCACTGCACTCCAGCCTGGGCAACACAGTGAAACTCTGTCAAAAAACAAAACAAAACCATGACCTAACTATATGCTGCTGTCTACAAGAAAAACAATTCAAATATTAACATAATGAAATAGGTTGCAAGTAAAATGATAGAAAAGGATATATCACGTACATATCAATCAAAGAAAGCAGACATGGCTATATTAATATCAGATAAAGTAAGTTTCAGAGCAAAGAAAATTACCAGCAGGAAGAACATTACATCATGATAAGTTCAATTTAATAGGAAGACATAGCAATCCTAAAGAGTTTTCACCAGACTCAGAGCTGCAAAATATGTTAAGCAAAAACTGACAGGACTGAAGGACAAATAGATAAGTCCACAATTATATTTGGAAATGTCAACACCTCTCCCTCTCTCAGTAATTGATAGAACATCTTTTTAAAATCAGCAAGGATACAAAACTCAATAACATCATCCACCAGTAGGAACTAATCAGCACTTGCAGAACACACCACTCAAAAACAGGAAGTATATACATTATTTTCAAGCATTTATGGAACATAAACCAACATACAACATATGATGAGCCATAAAACAAACCTCAAAAAATTTAAAACAATTGGCTAGGCGTGATGGCTCACACCTGTAATCCCAGCAGTTTGGGAGGCCAAGGCGGGTGGATCACCTGAGGTCAGGAGTTCGAGACCAGCCTGGCCAACATGGTGAAACCCCGTCACTACTGAAAATACAAAAATTAGCCAGCATTGTGGCAGGCACCTGTAATCCCAGCTACTCGGGAGGCTGAGGCAGGAGAATTGCTTGAACCTGGGAGGTGGAGGTTGCAGTGAGCCAAAATTGCACCACTGCACTCCAGCTGAGCGACAAGAGCAAAATTCTGTTTCAAAAAAAAAAAAATTTTTTTAAAACAATTGCAAAGATAGAGTGTGTTATTTGTCCACAAAGGAAGCAAACTAGAAATCAATAACAAAAGTAACAGGAAATCTTCAAACACTTGGAAACTAAATGATACACTTCTACACTTCATTAAGGAGTCCAAAGAAAATTTAAAGATACACAGAACTAAATGAAAATGAAAATTCAATATATCAAAAGATGTAGGATGCAGATAAAGCAGTGCTTACAGGGAAATTTATAGCACTAAATGCTTACATTAGAAAAGAGGAGAAGTTTCAAATCAATAATCTAAACTCCCATCCCAAGAAGTTGGGAAAAGAAGAGCAAAATAAACCCAAAGCAAGTAGAAGGGAGGAAATAAAGAGCAGAAGTCAATGAAATTGAAAACAGAAAAGCAATAAAGAAAATCAATGAAACAAACAGCTACTTCTTTGAAAACAGATCAATAAAATTGACAAAGCTTTAACTAACAAAGAAAAAGAGAGACAAGGTACAAATTCCCAACATCAGGAATGAAATAGTGGATATCCCTTCAGACCCTGCAGAAATCAAAAGTATAATAAGAAAATCATATGAATAATTCTACACCATAAATTTTAAAGCTTAGATGAAATTTACCAATGCCTCAAAAAGCACAAATTAGCATCCAGTATGAAATAGATTGAATAGTGCTTTAATTATTAAGAAGATTGAATTTACAAGTTTAAAATTCTCAAAAAAGAAATCTGCAGGTCTAGGTGATTTCATCAGAGAATTCTACTAATTGTTCAAAGAATTAACATCAATTCCTTTTTTAATTTTTTTATTTTTTTAATTGACAAAATTATATATGTATATGGGGCACAACATAATGTTTTTTGTTGTTGTTGCTTTTGTTTGTTTGTTTGTTTGTTTTTTTGAGATGGAGTCTTGCACTGTCGCCCAGGCTGGGGGGCAGTGGCGCGATCTCGGCTCACTGCAAGCTCCGCCTCCCGGGTTCACGCCATTCTCCTGCCTCAGCCTCCCGAGTAGCTGGGACTACAGGCGCCTGCCACCACGCCCAGCTAATTTTTTGTACTTTTAGTACAGACGGGGTTTCACCGTGTTAGCCAGGATGGTCTCAATCTCCTGACCTTGTGATCCGCCCGTGATAATTTTTGTGAGCCACCATGCCCGGCCATACTGTTTTGATATATGTATACATTACAGAATGGGTAAACCAAGCTAATTAACATATCTATTACCTCACATACTTATCTTTTTTTGTGGTGAGAATATTTAAACATCTACTCTTTTAGTAATTCTCAAGTATACAATGCACTGTTATTAAGTACAGTCACCATGTTGTGCAATAGGTCTCCAGAACTTATTCTTCCTAACTGAAATTTTGTATCCTTTGACCAACACCCCTCCAGCCCAGCCTCCACAAGCCCTTGATAACCACCATTCTATTTTCTGTTTCTGTAAGATAATTTTTGTAGATTCCATATTTAAGTGAGATCATGCAGTATTTTTCTATGTCCGGTTTATTTCACTTAGCATAATGTCTTCCAGATCATACAGTATTTATCTTTCTATGTCTGGTTTATTTCACTTAGCATAATGTCTTTCAGATTTATCCATGTCATTTTATCCATGTCACACACAAATGGCAGGATTTCTCTCCTTTTTAAGGCTGAAGAGCGTTCCATTATATACATTTCTCCGCTTTTTTAGGATGAATATGTATATATATATTCACACACAAATGCATGCACACACACACACAGTATATATATATATATATATATATATATATATATATATATATATATATATATATATATATGCGTGTGTGTAAGTGTGTGTAGGTATATATATATAGTAGTCTCCTCGTTATCCACAACTTTGCTTTCTGTGGTTTCAGTTACCCACAGTTAACCACAGTCCAAAAATATTACATACAATAAGATATTTAGAGAGAGGTAGAGAAAGATCACATTTATATAACATTTATTTAAGTATACTGTTATACTTGCTCTATTTTATTATTACTTACTGTTGTTAATCTCTTGCTATGCAAAATTTATAAACTCTATCATAGATATGTATATATAGGAAAAAACATAGTATGTATAGGGTTTGATAGTATGAAAAGTTTCAGGCATCCATCCACTGGAGGTCTTAGAATGTATGCCCTGCAGATAAGGGGGGACTACTGTGCCACATTTTCTTTATCCATTCATCAGTCAATGGATCCTTAGGTCGATTCTATATCTTAGCTACTGTGAATAATGCTACAATAAACATGAGATTGCAGATATCCCTTTGACATACTAATTTCATTTCCTTTGGATATATATTCAGAAATGGAATTGCTGGACTATATGGTCATTCTGTTTTTAATTTTGTGAGGAATACCCATTTTTTAAATAATGGCTGTACTAATTTACCTTTCCACCAACAGTATAGAAGTATTCCCTTTTCTTCACATCCTTGTCAAATTTTGTCTCTTGTCTCTTTGATAATAGCCATCCTAATAAGTGTGAGGTGATGAATTAAACACCAATTCTGTGAAGTCTCTTCAAGAATGAGAGAACAACTCTCAATTCATTGTATGAAGCTAGTATTATTCTGATATCAAATACAGACAATGACAATATAAAAAAGGAAAACTACAGACCAATGTCCTCATGAATTTAGATGCAAAAATCCTAGCACCAAAATATGAGCAAATGGAATTCAGCAGTATATGAAAATAATTAGACACCATGACCAAGTGGGGTTTATTCCAGGGATACCAGCCCAGTCCAATACTAGAAAAGCAAGCAATGTAACCCACCATATTAACAGGCTAAAGAAGAAAAATTACACTATTATATCAATCAATGTATAAAAAGTATTTGACAAAATTCAACCTCCATTCATGGTAAAACTCTTACAAAAATAGGAATATAAGAGAACTTCCTCAACTTGATAAAGAGAATCTGCAAAACCCAACAGCTAACATTATACTAAATGGTGAAAGACAATGTGTTTGCCCCTAATATTGGGAACAAAGGAAGGATAGTCACTGTCACCACTCTTATTCAATATAGTACTAGAAGTACTAGCCAGTAAAATAAGGAAACAAAAAATTATGCAGATCAGAAAGGAAGAAATACTTTGATCCTTATTTGCATGTGTCTAAATGTTTATATAGAAAATCACAATGAATCTATTTTTTAAAATTAGAACTAATAAGTGAGTTCAGCAAAGTTGCAGGAGACAAGGTAAACACACAAAAATCCATTGTATTTCTATAAATAGCAATGAATATATGGCTATCAAAATGTTAAATATAATATCATTTATAATTTTTATCACCCAAAACAAAATTATTGGGGAAAATGTAACAAAATATATATAGGACTTGTATGCTGAAAACTATGCAACACTGATGAAAGAAGATATAAATAAATGAAGACACATATGTACATAGATTGGAAGACTCAACATACTAAAAGATATCAATTCTTCCAAAACTGATATACAAGTTTAACATAATTCCAACCAAAATCCCAGCAAGATTTTTGTAGATACACACATGATTATCCTCAAATATATATGGAAAGGTAAAAGAATAAAACAGATAAAACCATTTTTTAAGGAAAGAATAAAGTGGGAGGAATTAGTCTACCTGATTTCAAGATACTGTCTAGCTACAGTAATCAAGACTGTGTGACATTGGTGAAAAGACAGACGCATAGATCAATGGAACAAAGTATGGAACCCAGAAACATACCCACATATTTATACCCAATTGATTTTTCACAAAGCTGCGGACACAATTCAACTGAGGGAAAGATAGCCTTTTGAATGAATGGAGCTGAAACAATTGGTCATCCACAGGCAAAAAATAAAATAAAAAAAGACCTAAACTTCACACCTTATTCAAAATCAACTCAAAATGGATCACAGACTTAAATGTAATATGTACAACTAAAAAACTATATAACTACAGAAAAAAATGTGAGAACATCAGGCTCTAGGACCAGGCAAAGTGCTCTTAGCCTTGAAACAGAAAGAATGGTCCATAAAGAAAAAATTAATAAATTGGACTCCATCAAAATTAACAATGTTTGTTCTGTGAAAGGTCCTGTTAACAGGGTGAGTAAACAAGCTGCACACTAGGAGGAAATATTTGCAAATCACACATCTGACAAAGGACTACTATCTAGAACATAAAAAGAATTCTCAAAATTCAACAGTAAAAAACAAAAACAGTAAAAAAAAAAAAAATCCAATTAGAAAATGAGCAAAGGTATGAACATTTACTGAAACATATACACAGATGACAAAAAAGCACATGAAAAGCTGTCCAACATCATTAGTCACTAGAGAAATGTAAATTAAAACTAAAATAAGACATTATATACTTACCAGAATGACTAAAATGAAAATATCAATACCTAAGCTGGCAAAGATGTAGAGAAGTTGAATCACATATTGCTGGTGGGAAAGTAAAATGGTATACTCTGGAAAAAAGTGTGTAATTTCTTTAAAACATGAAATATGCAACTACCAAATGACCTAGCAACTGCACTACTGGGCATTTATCCTAGAGAAATGAAGACTTATATTGACACAAAAACCTGTACATAAGTGTTCATAGCAGCTTTATTCATAAGAGCCAAAAACTGGAAACCACATTCAAATGCTGAATAGTTAAACAAACTGTGGTACATTTGTGCCATGGAATATTAGCCATAAAAGGGAGCATATTACTCATATACACAACAAACTAGATGGATCTCCAGAGAAGATGAATAAAAAGCCAGTCTCAAGGGGCTACATACTATATGGTTGCACTTATGTAATATTCTTGAGACAACAAATTATAGAAATGGATAGTAGACTAGTTAGTGGTTTCCTATGGATAATGAGGGAATAGATATGTGAGGGAAGTGAGCATGGCTATAAAAAGTCAATGTGGGGGATCCTTATGATGATGGACATGTTCTGTATCTTGATTGTATTGATGGTAATATCCTGATTGTGAAATTGTACTTAGTTTTAAAAGATGTTTTCATTAAAGAAAACTGGATAAAGTGTACAAGGGATCTCTGTATTATCTCTTACAACTACATGTGAATCTACAGTTATCTCAAAATTAAAAGTTTAATTAAAAATTGGGAAGTACAGAGTTACCAGTTACTTTGATGGGAAGACTGTGAGCGCAATTTTGGGAAGTAGAAATCAAGAGTGCTTAGACATGTTGAGTTTTAGGTCATTGTTAGAGACCCAAATATCAAGTGAGCAGTTGGATATATTTGACTGGAGTTCAGAAAATAGTTCTGGACTGTATATGTAAACATGAATATCATTAGCAAATAAATGTTACTTAATGCTATGGAAGATCTCCTTGCATAAGGAGGAAAAGAATATAGAATCAAAACAAGAGAAAATCTAAGATCAAGCCTTAAAAAATTCCATCATTTAGAAGTCAAAGGAGACAGAACTAGCAAGTCTGGAAAGACTGACCAGAGATACAAGCAGAAAAGCATGTTGTCACAAAACAACAATCGAAGGGTGTTTTGGGCCAGGCGCAATGGCTCATGCCTGTTAATACCAGCACTTTGGGGGACAGAGGCAGGCGGAATGCTTGAGCCCAGGAGTTTAAGACCAGCCTAGGCAACATAGCAAGACCTCATCTCTACAAATAATAATAATAAAAAAAACATAGCCAGGCATGGTGGCAAACCTGTAGTCCCAAATACTCTAGAAGCTGAGGTGGGAGGATTGCTTGAACCCAGGAGGTTGAGGCTGCAGTGAGCTATGATCATGCCACTGAACTCCAGCAAGACCCTGTCCAAAAAATAAAGTGTTTCAAGAATGCAAATGTGTTGTCCACAAACTGTAGTTGAGAAAATACAAGATAATGGGACCAGACTTATAACAATGAAATTGCCTAGTCTCTGATTTGCATGATCTAATGCAAAACCGTCTGTGCAATTTTAAGTATTTTTGTTTTTCTCATTTTTTTTTTTCTGGTCATAGGAGAAGGAGCAAAATCATAGGCTCTCTTTTTGGACCTAGTTTCATTACCTCAACTGACACTACTTCCTAAGAAAAACATTCCATTTTTTTAAGGCAGGGCTTACACTTACTCTCCTTCATGTTCATTTATTGGACTCAACCTCTGCTGTCCTCTGCTATTCTTCTACCCTCACTATCTCCTACCATTCTGTCCCTGCTCACACTGTGTGCAAACATCCTAAGCACATGCCTCACTGGTTTGTTCTTCTCAATCTCTTTTGGTACTCTCCTTACATTTCCAAACAGTTCCAGATCCTTACGTTTTCCCTATTTAGATACACTCTCTAGATTATCTCAACCAGTCCTATGGCTTTCACATATCACCTATACACAAACAACTCTTAAATTTCTGTCTCTAGCCCCAACTTCTCACCTTGCCTCCTGACTTATATCCAATTGCCTGCCCAATATCTATCTCCTCTTGAATGAATAATAGACACTTATAGTTAACATGCACAAACACTTGATTTTTCCCCATTCCCAACTTGTTCCTCTTTGTCTTCCCCAGCTTTCATGGAGCTCCCTAATAAATGGTGTGATAGTTTTAAAACATGGTCCCAAATTCTTTGATGCTCCAATGTCCCCTCCTCCTTGAATCTGGAATGGGCCTGTGATGAATTCTAAACACAGAATATGGTAGAAGTGACGTTATGTGACTTCTGAGGCTAGGTCATAAAAAACCATGCAGCTTTTTCCTGGTTGTCTTAGAATGCTCATTCTATGGACACTTCCTAATGGAATACTCCTTCTTAAAGCCCAGCCATCATGCAGTAAGAAGCCCAAGCCAATGGAGATAGCAAAAATGATTGTTGTTTAAGCTCACTACTTTGGGGCATTTTGTAGTGATAGAGAACTGGAACTGATGGAACCTGATGGTAGCTTTATTGTTTCAATTTTTGAGACCAGAACTCTAAGGTCATCCTTGACGCCTTTCCTTTTCTCACATTCCATATCCAAACCATTAGCAAATCCTGTCAGCTCTCTCTTCAAATATGCCCCAAGTCTGACCAATTCTCACCAATCTGACCAATTCTGACCAGTATCTCATCTATAAAGTGAATCTCTCCTAGGCAGAGATTCTTGGTGGGAAACAACAGAAACTGACTCGAGCTAATTTTCACAGAAAAATATTAGGCAAAAGGAACCCAGATTACTCACAGAATAGACTGAAAGGGATAAGAACCAAGTTCAGAAAAGGATCTGAAATCAATGGGGGTTAGGTGCAAGAACCACAGCCAGAGAACCAGCTGGGTTGGCGAGCTGCCTCTGTTGGACACAGAACGCACCACCACACCAGTGCAAGTTGTAGGCTGTCTCCACGCCATGGTCTCTCTGGCATCTGACATCCAAGGAGGTGTATCTTACTGGTTGGATCTAGATGACATTTCTGAGTCACAGCTATCAGGGGATGGGGAAAAAGAGAGTTTGGGCTTTTTGGATTTCACAGTAAGAAGTAGGATCCTATCTTCCATAAAAACTCATTTTACATTTCACAGTGCATTTTCTAAACACAATAAGTGGGTACAAATTCTGAGCAGCCAAGTAAAAGTGAATGTCTAAGGGTTGGGTGAAGAGAAAATGAAGTATTTTCTATTACAAACAGGCTCCCAATGTATGTTAATGTGTTGGAAATATAACTACATTGTGAATTAAAGCCTTGGATTCAAGTCCTGTTCTACCACTTACTGAATGTGTGACCCTTAACCAATTCCTTAAGTTCCCAGAGATTAAGGTTTTTCATCTTCAAAATGGGAACAATAACATCACTCCCACTTATCTTACATGCTGTTTTGAGGATCAAATGAGTGTGTGAATACTTTGAGGCACTCTTTTAGTTCTCATTCATCTTTGTAACATGGTTGCCTAGCTTAAGGCCAGCCTGGAGTAGGTGTTCTATAAATGTTCCATAAAGGTCCAGAATTAGCAATAACTACAGAAAGAATTTGTAAAATGAAAGCCATTAATTAATTTATGCAAATAAGTCATCTATGTAGGCCAGAAAAGTATGATATTGTCATCCAGGGCCAGACTTTTTTTTTTCTTTTTTTTTTTTTGAGACAGTCTTGCTCTGTCACCCAGGCCAGAGTGCAGTAGCGCGATCTTGACTCGCTGCAACCTCCACCTCCAAGGTTCAAGCAATTCTCCTGCCTCAGCCCCCCAAGTAGCTGGGATTACAGGCATGTGCCACCATGCCCAGCTAATTTTTGTATTTTTTAGTAGAGACGGGGTTTCACCATGTTGGCCAGGCTGGTCTTGAACTCCTGACCTAAGGTGATCTGCCTGCCTCATCCTACCAAAGTGCTAGAATTACAAGCGTGAGCCATCGTGCCTGGCCCAGGGCCATTCTTAAGAAATATCAAGTATGGGAGGAGGCCCTGACACTGATCATTTTTGCCACTGACCTCTTTATAAAATAAATATGGAAATAGAAGAACAACTTATGCTTCATTATATAGTACAAATTTGGTTCACAGAGAAAACTCCTTCTGTGACAAATTTTAGGGACTCATTAATAGTTCTTGGGAATTATGGTACCATGGGGAAGTTATATAGCTTATTGTCTAGATCTCTGGCCAATGGATTCAAGTTATCCTGAGAAACAAGAAATATCAAACTATAGGATAACTAATAATACAAGTGCACAATCTCTTAACCAAATCCTTTAGAGACAGATGCTTTAGAATTGAGAATTTTTCAGATATTTGAAAGATTTTAGCGGTAAATATTATTTATTACATAACCCCCAGCAAGGTCTGGGGCAGCACTTTCTCATCAAACACAACAATATTTCTGCACAGGTATGTGTGAATACTAATTCTAAGTGGAATAAAGACTATAAAAAGGCTGAGTGCAGTGGCTCATGCCTGTAATCCCAGCACTTTGGGAGGCCAAGGTGGGCGGATCACTTGAGGTCAGGAGTTCGAGACCAGCCTGGCCAACATGGTTAAACCCTGTATCTACTAAAAATACAAAAAAAAAAAAAAAAAAAAAAAATAGCCGGGTGTGGTAGCATGCACCTGTAATCCCGGCCACTCCAGTGGCTGAGGCATGCAAATGGTTCAGGAGGGAGGCAGAGATTGCAGTGAGCCAAAATTGCACCACTGCACTCCAGCCTGGGCGACTGAGGAGGCTATATTAAAAAAAAAAAGACTATAAATAGCTTCATATCAGTTCAGTTATGGTTACTTCAACATATGAAATTCAAAAAAACTTCTGGTTTTTAGAGCTTTTTGGAATTTTAGAAATGCAGACAAGAAATAATTCTTGTACTTTCCATAAAGAAATTGTACTTTTCATAAAGAAATGGTTTTTATAGAGATAGAAAATGCTCCATCATGTACTTTTAACGTCTTTATAAGCTTGAATATTAATATTAGTCTAACCCTTAAAATTATCTACATAAAATTACGTTCACAATATCATTTTTAAGTTTTATTTTTAATTGAAAAATAACTGTACATATTTACGGAGTACAACATGATGTTTCAATACATGTTTACATTTTGTAATGATCAAATTAGAGTAATTAGCATATTTGGCAACTCAAAAATTTATCATTTCTTTGTGATGAGAATATGCAAAAACCTCTTTTCTATTTTGAAATGTATAATACATTGTTATTAGTTATAGTCGCTCTACTGTGCAATAGAACACCAGGTTTTATTCCTCGTATCTAATTGTAATTTTGGGCTTATTGACCAATGTCTCCCTTTTCCTCTTCCACCCCTTTCCCCCAACCTCTGGTCACAATAAGGTCATATGTGACAGACCCACTACTAATATTACGCTGAATGTAGAAAAGCTGAAAGATTTTCCTCTAAGATCAGGAACAAAACAAGGATACTCACTTTCTCCTCTTCTATTCCACATAGCACTGGAAGCCTGGAAGTCTTAGCCAGAGTAGTTAGGCAAAAGAAAGAAATTAAAAGTATCCAAGTTGGAAAGGAAGAATTAAATTGTTCCTGTTTGCAGAAAACATGATCCTATATATTAAAAAAAAAAAAAAAACCCTAAAGACTGTACTAAAAAACTGTTAGAACTAATAAGCAAATCCACTGAAGTTTCAGGATACAAAATCAACATACAAAGTTCAGTAGCATTTTCATACACTAATAGCAAAAGATCTGAAAAAGAAATTTAAAAATCCTATTTACAACAGCTACAAAAAAATAAAATACTTAGAAATAAATGTAATCAAGGAGGTAAAAGATCTTTACACTGAAAACTATAAAACATTGATGAAAGAAATTGAAGAAGATATTAAATAAATGGAAAGATATTCCGTGCTTATGGCCTGGAAGAGCTAACATCGTTAAAATGGCCATGCTGAAAACCAAACATCGCATGTTCTCACTCATAAGTGGGAGTTGAACAACGAGAACACATGGACACGGGGAGAAGAATATCACACACCGGGGCCTGTCGGCAGGGTGGCACGCTAGGGGAGGGATAGCATTAGGAGAAATACCTAATGTAGATGACAGGTTGATGGGTGTAGCAAACCACCATGGTACATGTATACCTATGTAACAAACCTGCACGTTCTGCACGTGTACCCCAGAACTTAAAGTATCACAATAAAAAATAAAAATAAAATTTTATTTTAAGTTTGAATAAGGCAGTAAATCAAATAAATCACCTTTAAGATATAATTTAAAAATATACCTCCAGGAAAAAAAAATGGCCATGCTACCTGATATGGTTTGGATTTGTGTCCCAGCCCAAATCTCATGTCAAATTGGAAGAGGGGTCTGGTGGGAGGTGATTGGATCATGGGGGTGGATTTCCCCCTTGCTGTTCTCATGATAATGAGTTCTCATGAGATCTGATGGTTTAAATGTGTGTGGCACTCCTCCCTTCTCTCTTTCTCTCTCTTACTCCACCATGGTAAGATGTGCTTGTCTCCCCTTCACCTTCACCACAGCCATGCTTCCTGTGCAGCCTGTGGAACTGTGAGTCAATTAAACCTCTTTTCTAAATAAATTAATAAATTATACAGTCTCAGGTAGTTTTTGTTTGTTTGTTTTTTGTTTTTTGGGTTTTTTTTTTTCTGAGACAAAGTCTCACTCTGGTGCCCAGGCTGGAGTGCAGTGGTGCGATCTCGGCTCACTGCAACCTCTGCCTCCCAGGTTCAAGTGATTCTCCTGCCTCAGTCTCCTGAGTAGCTGGGATTACAGGCATGCACCACCACGCCCAGCTAATTTTTGTATTTTCAGTAGAGATGGGGTTTCTCCATGTTGGTCAGGCTGGTCTTGAACTCCCGACCTCAGGTGATCCACCCACCTCGACCTCCCAAAGTGCTGGGATTACAGGCATAAGCCACCACGCCCAGCCCAGGTAGTTCTTTATAGAAGTGTGAGAATGGACTAATACACTACCCAAAATGATCTACACATGGAATGCAATCCCTAGAAAAATACCAATGACATTCTTCACAGAAGTAGAAAAAACAATCCTAAAATTTGTGCAGAACCACAAAAGATCCCAGATAGGCAAATCCATCTTAAGCAAAAAGAAGAAAACTGAAGGTATCATACTAACTGACTTCAAAATATACTACAAAGCTATAGTAACCAAAACAGTATAGTACTGGCATAAAAACAGACACACAGACCAGTGGAATATAATTGAGAGCCCAGAAATAAATCCATGTATCTACAGCCAACTGATTTTCAACAAAGGTAACAAGAGCACATAAAACTGATATCCACATGCAGATTAATGAAATTAGACTCTTATCTTTTACTACATACAAAAATCAACTCAGAGTGTATTAAAGATTTAAATTTAAGACCTGAAACTATGAAGCTTCTAGAAGAGAACACAGGGGAAAATCTCCATGACATAGGTCTGGGCAAGGGCTTTTTGGATAAGACCTCAAAGCACAATCAACAAAAGTAAAAACAGACAAGTGGGATTACGTGATACTAAAAAGCTTCTGCACAGCAAAGGAAACATCAATAGAGTGAAGAGACAACTAACAGAATGGAAGAAAGTATTTGTAAATCAGACATCTGATAAAGAGCTAATATCCAAAACATATAAGGAACTCAAACTACACAATAACAAGAAAATAAATAATCCTATTTAAAAATGGGCAAAAAACTTGAATAGACATTTCTCCAAAGAACACATACAAATGGCCAACAGATACATGAAAAAATGCTTGAAGCAAGCAAAAACTCTCTAAACATCAGAAAAATGCAAATTAAAACCACAATGATACATCACTTCACACCTGTTAGCTTGGCTATCAGCAAAAACATGGAAGAGAACAAGTGTTGCTGAGCATGTGGGGGGAAAGGGAACCCTTCTACACTCTTGGTAGTATTGTAAAGTAGTAAAGTAGTAGAGCCATTTTGAAAAAAATAGTACGGAGTTTCCTCAAAAAAACTAAATATAGAATTACCATGTGATCCAGCAATCTCACTACTGGTTATATACCCAAAGGAATTGAAATCAGTATGCTGTAGAGATGTCTGTACTCCCATGCTCACTGCAGCATTATTCACAATAGCTAAGATTTGGAAACAACCTTAGTGTTCATCAATGGGTGAATGGATTTTAAAATGTAGTATATATATGAAATGCAATACTATTCTCCTATTTCAAAAAAATAGAAAATCCTGTCATTTGAGGCAACACAGATGAACCTAGAGGATAATATGTTAAATGAAATAGGCCAGGCACAGAGGGACAAATACTATATAATCTCATTCATCTGTGGAAACTAAAAAAGTTGAACTCATAAGAGTAGAGAGCACAATATTATTCTTTTTAATGTCCAATTCAGCAAATCCTGGGATTCAACCAAAGAGATCATCTATTTCAACCTGCTGCCTAATTCAGCTGATTCCTACTAATAGCATCCTAGCCAGGTAGTCACTAAGCCTTTGCTAAACAGTCATATGAGTGAAGAATTCACTCCTTCATGGGGCAAGCTGCTGTCCTCTAGACAACTTTAATCACTGGAATCAAAATCAGCCCCTCTGTCACTTTTACCCTTTGGTCCTAACTCTGACTTAGAACAGGAAAAACTAACCTCTCTGCCGCGTGACAGCTATGCAAATATTTGAAGTGGCAGCCATGCACCACATTATTGGCCTCTTCTCTAGGCTAAACATTTGCTCTAACTCTTCCACATAAAGCATGATTTCCTCTTCCCTCACATCCTAATGACCCATGTAAGCTCTAATTTATTGATATCTATATTAAAATTAGGTACCTAGAGTTAGATTCATCTCCAGCCCAGAAGACAGGGAATTTGCTACCTTTCTTGTAAGTTGTATGCCATATTTCTTGTAATGCAGCCTAAAAATGCATTATCTTTTTTTCATGCCGCATAATACTGTTGAGCCATTTGCATTTATAGTAAATAAATGCTTCCTTCTTTCTCACATGCATTCTTGTCACAATCCAGGAACCTCCCTTGATTTCTATTTTTCAGCCTAAATAAAGGACTTTATATTGGTCCTTGTAAAATTACATGATGTTTATTGTAATTCTAACATGCATATTCCATTTTGAATCTTGATTTTGTCTTTCAATATGTTAGCTCGAGAATATTATATTAAGTGAAATAAGCACAGAAAGACAAATGCCGCATGCTCACTTACATGTGAAATCTAAAAAAGTCAAACTCATAGAAGCAGAAACTAGAATGATGGTTACCAGGGGCTGGGGAGTGGGAGTGGGGGAAGGGAGACACTGGTCAAAGGATACAAAATTTTAGTTAGACAGGAGAAATAAGCTATAGTGATCCACTATACAACATGGTGACTCCAGTTAATAACGTACATATTGTATACTTGAAAATCACTAAGAGAGTAGATTTTTTAATGTTCTTGACACAAAAAAAAAAATATGTTAGGTGGTACATATGATAATTAGCTCAATTTAGCCATTCTGCAATATAAACAAATTTCAAAACATCATGTTGTAAACCATAAACATATAAAATTTTTGTCAGTCAAAAATATAAATGAGAAAAAATTCTTTTCCTTCCTGAAATGTGTGTGTATATATATACACACATACATATATTGTGTATATATTACATATATAACATATATATATATACAAGATATATAACATATATATACAAGATATATAACATATATATACACACACAAAATCAATTTCCTACTATGGGTCTCACCCAGAAAGTTTACAAACACAGTATTAAAGTATGAGTGAGATTTGAAGTAGCACAGAGGAGAGGAGAAGACAAGGAAAAATCTTATCCCATTAAGGATGAATAAATTCCTATAAAACATAACTCCTTCACTGACCACCGTACTCACCCCACCCCAGCTACCCACCACTGTAAGCCATCCCAACATGCAGAAATCAATATTTTAAGTATATATATTTTTAAGTGATTGTTTGGTATTCCAAGGTATTACTCACTTTTAAAATTGGTCATATGAGGGCTCAGTTACAAGGCAAGTGACTCTGGTTTAATATGTGTTCATTTGATGGACACCCAGTTTTTTAAAAAACACCAGGAATACAAATACAAAATATCCAGGATTTCTGCTGTTTGCTTATATTGTGTAACAAAACTAATGTTAAACATGACCCTTGAAACTGTCCTGGCATCCTTCAGTCAGATACTATGATGAGTATGATGAGCCCATAGTAAATTTCACTATAGTTCCACTTGGAAGAAAATACTTTTTCCTAAGTTCTTAGATGGGAATAACTTAAAATCTCTTCAGAAGAAATACCCACTCAAAAATCTATAGTAAATTTTAAGAAGTCACGTAACTCTGAAGCGATTCTGGCTCAGTGATCACTTCAAATTGTGACTGTTTTTTTCCTCTCTCTCTGTTCTGTTTCTTTTGCCTTTCTTGGTCTGAAAATACAGAGAGGTACCAAAAACTCAGTACATAATTTGAAACTAAAAGCAACAAACCCATTCATTGAAGTATAATAGGTCATTTGGAAATAAAATTCATTTTTTAAAAAGAGAATCCTTTTTTGGAATCCATTTTTGGAATATGAAGTCAATCATTATAGCTTTATTCCATCAGAAATAGCTTTTTAAGGCTATAACTCCCAAACTATTTGGATTAAGAATTAAAATATCTAAAGAGCCCATAGGAAATTAACCCAATCATCATAAAGGTCCCATTTTAATAAAAGGGGATCCATATCAAATCAGACTTTACATGTGGAAGGGACCTTGAAGAGCATCTACAGAAGGAAATGCAGGCTGTCGGTCACACAGCTAGACAATAATAGGATTGGGACCAGAATGCAGGCCCTGCCTCTTGATCCAGGACTTGTTTTCACTGCACCCTTGACCTTAAGAGGGTGATGGAGTAGACCTAATTCCTCCTAAACCAGTCATTTATAACTTCCTCTGACCAACATCCAATCACGTCAAAAGAGAACAAGAAAAAACAAACAAACAAACAAACAAAAAACAGGTGGAAACTTAGTCCATTACTTTGAGATGGGATCTGACTGTTTTTTCTCTTTATACAGAAAATGGAGTTATCATCATCACCTCACTAAAATGTAAGGTCCATGAGAACAGGGACCACATCTAACTTATTCATGGTTCTCTTGCGAGCACTTATGTGGTGACATATTTTTGGGTGCTTTTTATTTATTTGTTTTTGTTTTTACTGACCACTATTCAAACACTCTATTTTGAGGTGACTCCCTAAAGTGTGCAGTACAGGTGAAATGCAGTGCTCCTTTCTCAGTCCCTGGCGGCCAGGACTCTAGTATATGCTCTAGGAGAGGTCACACCCTAATTGGCTCTTGTAGAAGTGACACGAAAACATAGGACAGTGTGGACGTTACTCTTGGCTGCGGCAGCAGCAGCAGAGACAAGTGGGTCAGCAGAGGCTTCCTAAACCAGTCTATTGCAGGGCATGATCTTGGCTTTGTTCCTATTCCTAGTCTCCCTTGGAACTAGGAATTGGTTCCTGCTTCACTCTCCTGCCTTCCTATCACTTCTTCCTCATTTATTCTTCCTGAATTATTTGGTTTCTTCCTCAGACGTTCTTTCCTACTTTTTTGTCTAAGGCAGCTTCTGTTGCTTGCAACCAAAAATTCTAATAGGCACATAGTAGGCACTCAAATAAGTCTTAAATGAAAATAAAATTAATGAATTATTATCATAATTTTTGTAGAACACTTCACAATTTCCAAGCACTCTCTCGTATCCTAATTACTGCACCTGGTCACTGTCTCATTTGTCTTCCAGTTAAGTTATAATATTTAACAAGGGCAAATCCTTCTTGATGCAAGAGTCAAGTTAAAGAAAATTTTAAAAATCTAAACCAGGCTTAGACGTGATTTTTTCCAAAGTATGCTACGCAATCTCATGGTATTAGGTACCACTATGAATGGTATCATTTAAGTAAAAAGGAAGCCCTAAAAAATGAAATTTAGAATACCAACTGGGGAGTAAAAGCTGGAAAGTATAGGGCATGAAATAAAGTTTAAAACTTTTTGAAGGAGGCTGGGTGTGGTGGCTCATGCCTGTAATCCCAGCACTTTGGGAGGCTGAGGTGGGTGGATCACCTGAGGTCAGGAGTTGGAGACCAGTCTGGCCAACATGGTGAAACCCCATCTCTACTAAAAATACAAAAATTAGCCAGGCATGGTGGCACGTGCCTGTAATCCCAGCTACTCAGGAGGCTAACGAACGGGAGGTGGAGGTTGCAGTGAGCCCAGATTGTACCACTGCACTCCAGTCTGGGCAACAGAGCGAGACACTGTCTCAAAAAAAAAAAAAAAAAACTTTTTTAAGGAAATTTGATATGCAAATAGTTGCACAGAAGAGATGTAGAAGTGATAACTGAAACTTCAAATATGAGCTGGCATTCGCCAGATGAAATAGCATCAAAGAGCTCTAGAAAAGAGCACTGAAACTTCAGATAGGAAGTTCACCCACCACTCTACCAGGTGCAGTGGGGTAGAAACGGTTCAGTGTAGAGGTCTAGAAATGAGCACTGAAACTTCAGATAGGAGCTGGCATTCACCAGGTACAGTGGAGGTAGAAGTGGTTCAGACGCTGAAGGAGCAACATCTACAAAGGCAAAAACTATGTCCCTTCAAAACACAAAGAATATTTGCTTTAATCATATGGCTCTAACCAAGGGGGGGAGGGTTGTGAATTCTTAAAAATATCTTCACCCACCCCATCTCACTTTACTAGAAATTGAAGTCAACCATAACCCACACCGTTCTCCAAGAATTAAATGGGAAATTTTATAATTACAAATGGTATTTCAAAACTTGATGTTTCAGAATTCCCTTAATAATTCCACTACCTTGTTATCAAATTATGTTGATAAGGTAAAGAATTTGACACAGGGCATCCTATTTGGTCTCTGTCAACACGAAGCCCCCAAACCAGGTTTCCTCAGTCTGATAGTTGGAAAACAGTTACAAAATCCATTAGTCCATCTCAGTAAGGGAGAGAGGAACAGCCATTTTGTGTGCAGTGACCTATCCTCAGCCCCATGGACTATGTAGCAGGAGATGTAGTGGCGAGGTTCCTTTTTTACTCTCTATATCTGATCTCCAAGGAGTCAGTGCTCAACTCTTTCCAGGATAAAGTCTGAAGAACACATTTCACCAATAAAAAAAGATAGTAAATACTTGAGTCGTTTCAGAGAGAGAAAAATATGAAACACTGAAGATGAAGCGCTTAAATCTTTAATGTTTTTGGACAACACAGTCTATATGTTTTCTGCATAATGTATCATTTCTTTAAACTATAGTATTAAAAATAATTTCAAATTGTAATGAAAAGTCATTTGGCTTTAAAACCACCCAGGAAGAGGATATAAAATGCGTATACCAAAAGACTATGATGCGGCTTCCAGTGTTTTTCTGATATAGATCATAATAATTTAAAAAGGCTTTTGTCAGGCTGTCTGAATACATCAAATACTTTCTCATTTCTGTGTCGGCTGTGAAGCTCTAACTATAGTGGCTTCTCTAGCAGGTATTCTCCGCACAACTGTGCCAAATCGTTCTGAGGACACCCAGATTCTCCTCCTTCTCAAAACAGACATTCCTGACTGGGTCCTAGGGCAGGGAGAGGGGCGTTGGACCCCTACTGCCCTCTGGGTTCTCCGAGCACCAGGACTTGTTGCTCCGGCGGGAACTCGCGCGGATCCACCGGCTCGGCACATCCTGCCTACAAGTAGGGCGGCGTGTGCTAGGAGCCGGGCCCCGGGCCGAGTCGTCCGTGCCGCAGCGGAGAGCTCCGACCGGCGCGGCCCCACCATCCGCTGACCTTCGCCCGGTCCGGCCTGGAGCCCGGCCGCGGCCTCCCTAGGCCTCTCTAGGCCGGGCGCCGGTTCAGCGAGGACCGGAAGCGCCCGCCGTCCGCCCTTCCGCCTCCAGGCCGCGGGCGCCAGGCCGGGGGCGGGCTGGGGACGCCCTGGGAGTGCCCCGGGGGCCGCCTTCTTCCCCGCAAGCCCGGAGCGGGCGTCGCTCCCGCCCCCGCCTCGTCTTCAGTTCCCCCGTCGCTTCCGCCGCCGTGGGTAGAACAGACCCGAGCTGGGAGCCAGGCCTGCGGCCCCTCGAACACTAGCCACATCTGGCCCGCCGGGCCTAGCACGGAGAGAGGCCCTGGGGCTTGGCGGCCGGGGCCGGGAGAGGTCGCGCGGCCAAGGACACCCGAGGGCCTGGGCTGCCTCCCCGCCCTTCCCCGCCCCTCCCCTCGGCCCTGGAATCAATAGTGGCCGCTGACTTTTCACGACAATTGCAGCTGTCTAATTCATCAGCGAATAATTAAATCAGAGGCCGCCGGGCCTGCCTGGAGTCGGAGACGAGGGGTCGCTCCTCTCAAATCCTGTCAAATTGGGGAGCCAGTGGGCAGCGCGGAGAGCGGACAGGCCTCGCCCTGCGCCGAGGCTGCGAGAGCCGCCTGGACCCGGCGCCATTCCGAGTGTAGGGGGAAGCAAGCCCCCAGGTGTGGGGAGCAAAAGGAAGGAGGAGGGCACAGGCGGGGGCCCCGCCGAGGCTGGACTCCCTCGTCAGCAGGGCCCTCCTGGCCGGTGCGTGGTCCGGGTGCCCGGCGTGGGGCAGCGGCCGTGGGGCCCACAGACACCATCCTCACGCAGACTTCGCGAATGTCGTGGAACTCCATCCTCGGGAGGCGCTTTGCCTTTGAGGAAGATGGAGAGGAGTCGGGAGAAGCGCCTAGAAACCGCATTGATTTAGACATCAATCCTGGCCGGCTCCCTCCGCCTGCCGAGCTGCGGGGCCGCGCCGCCCCGTCCCCGAGAAGCGGACCTAGGGTACGCCGGGCTCCGCCGAGCGGGCAAAGGGAGCGGCCTGCGCCGCCACCCCGCGCCCGCGGCCTCGACGCCGCAGCCGCCACGCCAACACCGATTCCTCGTGGCCAACAGGTTTCTCGCAGCCCTCCGAGTCGGCAGCGCCGCCCGCGTCCCTCTTCCAGCCGGGCCGGCGGGACGCCCTCAGAGCTTGTGCTCTCTCGAGGCCGCCGAGCCCACTGAGCCCGGCCGGGGCGCTGGTTCGCGTGGGCCGCGGGGAACAGGTCCCGCTTCTCCAACGACCACGGCCCCGGCGGCTGCGAAACGGCCACCTCCGACCCTTGAGTCCGCCAGAGTCGCTCTCCCTTTCACATTTGCAAGCAAAACAACATACGTAATAGTGACATCGAGGCACTTTTCCAAACTAAAATGATCCTAAAATAATCTGAATGTACTGTTACTTTTGATCGTGTTACCCCAAAAGATTAGCTCAGATTCACTTGGTTCTTTTATTTCTTTGGGAGATGATACTCGAGGAATCTGAAAAAATATACGATTTTTAAAAACGATATGATTCGCATACCTATTTCAACCCCTCGGTTGGTTTTGTTAGTTTCCAAATAGAAATATTGCCTTTTGAAATCGGAGATCATATTTCTCAAGTTTAAAATCTAGCCAAGTCTTTTTTTTTTTAATACTCCGTCTGAAATTTTTTTCCATGGTAGCTAGACAATTGAAATTATACACAAAGATTTTTTAACTCTCGGATTTTCATTGGAAGGGGACGTAAATAGTTTTTGTACTAATGCCTAAACAATATTGGATCTTCAATCAAAAAGTATTTTCAGGGCAAATAAATGATAGTTTTAAGAGGGTAATAAATAAAAGCAACACCCGTGCTTAGTGTCTCAGGGCAACTTGAAAACAGCTCCACTTTCAGGGAGTTAAATTTGTCCTTTTTACAATCAACTGCAACTTTTGCCTTCCTTTGGAAAGGACGACAAAAAGATTTCACGCACAACTTGACCGGAACAAAGGGACATCATGCCAGTTTTTCTTTTGTGGGGTGACAACTAGAAGAGAGGAAAAGTTTATTTTAACCATACTTGAGTTGTACTTTTGGAACCCTCCTTTAAAGAGAAAATGTGACGGCAGATCTTTCAACTTAAAAATCGAAGCTATGGGGCTTTGGGGCAGAAGGGACAGATAGCGCGAGCAAAACTGAAAGTCGGTGAGGGGAAATTTTGTCTTCGTTCTCAGACTAAGTTGCCTATTTAAAATGAAACTTTCTTCTAGAGCAAAATCTCCGTTCCCCTAAGAGCTGTGCTTCCCCCACCCCTTCCGCAAAAAGAAGCCCTTGGGTATTTGCAGGTTCGAATCCTCAACCTTCCCTCCTTTGAATTTCATTTTCCCAAAAGAGTAGAATTATTTCTCCCACCAGCTTCTGCAGCGTTAGCATCCGAAAAATCGGGTGGGTGGGGCGTTGCAGAAAGGGTCTGCAGTTGGCCCCGAATTCGGAGGAAGGAAAGTCCCTGGAAGGGACCGCAGTCCCAGCCCCCAGTCCTGGGGACCGGTCCGGATCAGAGGCCCGGCCACCCACTTCCACCCAAACTCCTCACGGGAGGGGGCTGTGGAAACCCTGAGAGGGCAGGGAGCTGGAGAAGCAAAGAAATGTACGTGTGTGTGTGTGTGTGTGTGTGTGTGTCAGGGAAGTAAGCGGTTCCCGAAGACACAAAACTTCAACAGTCCCCTATCTATATGGGTAGAGGAGGGCGATCAAGGTCGGCCGCCCTGGTGTTCTTTTAAACTAGACAGGTGGACGCGCTAGCAGCTTAGCTAGGCAGAGCTGGGATTCCGGTTTCCCCTGCAGACTGACACTCCCTGGAGCAGGTGCCAAAGCCCTTTGGGGTGGGGTCTCCTCCCCTTTCCCCTCTCTCAAGCCTGCCCACTCTCGGCGTCTGGACTTCGGAGGAAACTATAGTTTGCTTCCCGCAGCCCTACTCCCCCACCTTCTAATCCAGGTGCTGGGCTTGGGGCTCGGAGAGAACCTTCCCCCAGCACGCAGGGCTCCTGTCGCTTCTTTTTCCTTTCCCTAAGAGGCCGGACAAGGGTGAGAACAAGACTAACAACCCCATATCTCTCCCTGCCCTCACGCAAAGTATCTTTTGTCAACCAAAAAGTTAAGGGCAGTCCCCTGCCAGCTCTGCTAACCTGGCGTTTTGAATTTTAACAAGATTAACGAAGAAGAAGGAGACAAAAAAGGACGCGTTTGGCCTCACCACCCAGAAAAACAAACAAACAAAAACTTTCCAAGATCCAACTGGCAAATCTGAAAAGTGACGGTGAATTGTGACAGTGAATTTCTGAGCTGAGAGGCCAAAGAGAATTAGTGGGGCCCGGCTTCGGTTTTAGTTTTATTCTCCCTGGGCTCAGCCAGCCCGAGCTTTCAAACAGAAGAAACCTGAAGCTAATGAAGATCTCAAACAGAGCCACAATTCCGAGGGCCCCTTTTCCGCCACAAGCACCCACTGTCCATCTGCACGTGTAATCACAGAGACTTGCCCTGTCTTCATTACCAGGGGATCCGAGGAAAGGGGAGAAAATTCTCTGTCGTGAAAAGGAACCTTGTGTTATCACTACTATTATTTGTGTATAGCGACCTAAGAGTTTCCTTGTCCTCTTCAAATTCCCCTACAATATTGAAACAGCATTTGTTGCCCCATTCTTACAAACGTTTGAGGCCTTTCTGGAAAACCATTACCATTCAAAGGCTAGAAAATTGCTCTCCTTCCTTTTTTTTTTTTTTTTTTTTAAAAAAAAGGCAGGCGCAGCAGCAGCTATAACAGATAACAAAAACTTTCTACCGCATAATCCTCGCCCTCAGAATGACAAAGAAATGATATTGACTTACCCCCGAACGGATGATGTGTTTGATAAGGGAGGGAAATTTTTTTTTTTTTTTGAAGATTTCTGTTGAGGAGCTGCACAGACAGCTGCAATTCATGGGCGACGCTGATTGCCAGAAACGCTATGGATTGGCATGGGGTCTGCAGCTCACAGATCCCTGATCAATACCCCTACACTAACACGCCAGATGGTTTGGGGAAGGACAAAAATAAAATAGTCCAAATCAACCCACCATTATGTTTTTTTGTGTGTGTATTGCTCTGATAACCTAGTTGTAGCATAAATGTGTTCTACCCTGACACAAAACCTGACAAGATTTCGAGCATTGGGGTAGAAATTAGCAGCTCTCCTCTACCCTAGATTTGGGTCGTGGTTACTGTTGTATAGTAAAAACAAAGATATTGGGCCCCTTATGCAGATTGGGTTTACTTGTGGTCTGTTTATCTTTTTCCGTGAATAATTTATAAAGTATCTCTTTTAATTGAATGTTCACCTCTCTGTGTGTGTCTCTCTATACCTAAAAACAATTTTATTGTGGAAAACACATACGAAAAACTCCGATAGTAAATAGTTATTTTCCTGCAATTGCTAACTCAAGTTCAGAATGTTTTTCTTTTACAGTGCAATAGCCTATAATAGTCTTGTTGTCGAAGCTGCATTTTATTTTCATGCTTCTTTTGACCCATTTAAGTTTCTGATCTTCAAGAAAATTGGACCTGTGAATGTGGCATGCTAAGTGAATATCCAGGTCCTGATATAATGCTTGGTACAACTGTTTGTCCAGATTCTAATAGCCGTGAATTAGCACTTATCATACCACATTTCTATACAGTGTGTTTGTAAATCAAATGCTGGTGGGGAGGGGGGAGAAGAGGAGTGTAACTTCAAATTAAAAGAAAAAATTCCAAGTTGCAGAACTTCTTAAGGTTAAAGTATGGATGCTAAACAAGGGGCAGTTAGAAAGCCACTTTCCCTTATATTTTCTTAAAGAACTATAGAGAAAGAAACATCAAAAATATTTCAAAAAATACTTGAAAATCGTATTAGTATTGATACTCCAAAAATTGTCTTGAAGTAAAAAACAAATATTGTTCCTTTTTAGAAAGAAAGAGAAAAGGGCATCCAAACCTAATTCAGTAAAAATTAGGGTGCTCACTAAACAAGCACATCCATTTTCCTTTTAAATGGATTTTGGGTTGAAACATAAAACCTCAAACCACCATTATAAAAACAACGTGAAAAATCTGCTTTAATTCTAGTCCAATGAAATTATACACAAAGAAGCCAATACGATTTCATGATTTCCCTGAGATCGCCAATATTGATCGAGGGAAGGCGGAGGGATGGTGGGAGTGAGGGAGGAGGGAGGGAGGAAGGAAGGAAGCGAGGCAGCGAGAAAATGCAACTCACCTTTCTGCTCCCAGGCACACCGAAATATAATTCCCAAAAGCAGGTTTATCTCAGTGTCCTGGCAAATGAGTTTAACATTTTGAAAATTTATTTAAATGGCAATTTATATACCTAGGTTTCTGTATGGAGGAAGCATCAGCCTAGGGTAACTGGCCACTCCTTGAGACTGAAGCCAGCAGAGCAGCAGAGGCTACCTTAGCACTGGGGCATATCAGACCCACTACTTCCCAGTTCTGCTTCTCTCCTGCTGTATTTCAGTCCCTGTGCACTCATGGACCAAGAACAGGTTGCACTCTCGTGAACTTTTGCTCAACTCAGTATTATATTTCAAACATTAACTGACTCAAATCATCCCAAGTGTCCAGATGCCATATATAAGGTAGGGAGTGCGAAGAGAGACAGTAGGAGGGGGTGAGGAGGAGAGGAAAAACAGAGAAACCAAAATCTGAGTTATTTTACCTGGCTCCTGTTGTGACACTAGAGATGTGAGCAACCAGAAAAGTATGTCTGGCAAACCAGAGGATCTGCCGCTTTCTTACTCAGGCTTTGATAACACAGAGAAGACGCTATTTGAAAGAATAATTGGCAGCGTATTGGCCAGAGCTCAATGAAGTTGATCTATGAATAACGTCACTGTACATTCATGTGACAGGGTGGGGGTGGGGGTGTTGCTCTGAAGCAAGAAGAGAGAGGAGGGCGGCAGAAAAGGTCACTGAGACTAAGAACTGTTTTCCAAATGAATCAAACCTTTCTCTGGCACCAAGAAGGGACATACAGTATTCCGAGCTCTGCCCTTGTTTTCTTATCAAGTTTTCTCTAACAGCTGGAAGTGGTTGAAGGGGGCTGTCTTAAGGAGACCCCCTGCTCTTCTTTTGACAGCTGATCAAAAGAAAATAGGTCACGCTTCTCAAACTTATGTCCACCCTGTCCTTAATTACTGTCTCTTTAAACAAAGGCAACATCTGCGCAACCTCAGCTAGCTTGAATCTTCGGAGGCAAACAGAGCGCAACCTGCTTTGGAAGAATCTTGTTACGTTTAAGGCTTTATGCCGGGTGTTGGCCTCTCTGTCTTCAACTACCCCTCCACCCCGACTCGGACTGCAGAAATCTCCAACTCTCTGTCCCCCAGTTCCACTCCCACCTCCAGACCTGGGGTTGCCAAACAACGGAAATTCTAGGAAGACGTAGGTGCGGTTTTTAAAGCCTTGGCTTGTGAGCGTTCTCAGGCTGGCCGGGGCGCTGGTCTTTTCAGAAACAAGGTTTGAATATGCAGGTGTCAGCCAGGATTCCTTGTCGTCTGCCCACCGCCGTTTCTCTCCCGGGATTTGAGAGAAGCGGGAGTGTGTGTGTGTGTGTGTGTGTGTGTGTGTGCGCGTGTGTGTGTCTCGTGTTAGGAGAAAGGTCCGTGGTTGCCGTCTCAGCTGGTTTGCTTACTCTCTGCCCCCAGGAGAAGTTTGCTCACTTGGGACACCAGCGACCCTCCTCACCTCCACCTCACCGGTTCTACACTCTCCCCACTTCTTTCCAAGTCGCTGATGCAGAAAGCACTTGGTCACCTTGAAACGGCAGCTCCCGGAATTCTAGTTTTGTTTTGCAATCTAGCAGGGCTCTTCGGAAGCCTCATAACTGAGATTTATGGGCTCACCGGGTAATTAAATGATGTTATTGTGTTAACTTTGCATGCATTACTGCTGCCCGCGCCGCCCGTGGGCCGCCGGCCGGCCGCAGCTCGCTGGCGACGAGGGCACTACAGTTGCTCTGACCGCGTAGATTATGCATGTCCCGGCCTCGGGAATTTACCATGCATTAGAATACATTAGCGCCTGCATTTTAAAAGGCTAAACTATTGGCTCCCAGCTAGGGACTCTCGGTAAGTGGCTTGTTAGTGACGAGTGTTTGTCTATACTGGCACATAGCGGAGTCTTTTGCTCCCGGCTTACTCGCCTCCAGGAAAGCTTTGGGGTGAGGCGAAGGCGATTGAAGCAATGCCCCTTCCCCCAGATCGCAGCTGCTCAGGGGGGACACAGCACGGCATCTTTCACCGAATCTCTCTCGCTCGCTCGCACTCCAGCCTCCCTCTCCCCAGCGACCCCCCCACCTTCTCCTCCCTCCCTCTCCTTGACGTTTGATTCCAGTAGCAAAGGAGGTAAAAAAGGCACCGAGCCGTCAGCCAAACCTGAAAAGTGCGGCCCCGCCCCCTCCACAGCCACTGGTAGCTTCCCGTGGAAGGCCCGCCTCCCGGGGCAGCTGCGGCCTCGGAGTGGTTGCGCTTGGCGCCCGTCGGGCGTGGCCCCGCCCCAGGTCCGGGAGGGTAGGTTGGCTGCCCCGGCGAGCGGCAGAGCCCTTCTGGACAGCTCCCGCTCACCCAAACAGAAGACGTCGGCGCCGGAGCGGGCTCGGACATGGCGAGGCTGCGAGCCGGCCCGAGCGGCGGGGCCCGGTGATCCCTCCCTCCCTCCCCGTCCCCTCCCCTCTCCCGCACGCACGCCCCGTCCGCCCCCACCCCGCCCCCACCCCGGGCGAGCCCGCCCGCAGCCCGGGGCGCACACCCGCACGCGCACTCCTCTCCACTCACTCCCGCGCCCGCCCCCACTCCCGCAGCCGAGCCCCGCCACGCGCGCCTTGCCCGCCCGCCGGCCGCCCCCGCCGCCCCCGCCGCCCCCGGGCCCTGATGGACTGAATGAAGGCTGCCTACACCGCCTATCGATGCCTCACCAAAGACCTAGAAGGCTGCGCCATGAACCCGGAGCTGACAATGGAAAGTCTGGGCACTTTGCACGGGCCGGCCGGCGGCGGCAGTGGCGGGGGCGGCGGCGGGGGCGGCGGGGGCGGCGGCGGGGGCCCGGGCCATGAGCAGGAGCTGCTGGCCAGCCCCAGCCCCCACCACGCGGGCCGCGGCGCCGCTGGCTCGCTGCGGGGCCCTCCGCCGCCTCCAACCGCGCACCAGGAGCTGGGCACGGCGGCAGCGGCGGCAGCGGCGGCGTCGCGCTCGGCCATGGTCACCAGCATGGCCTCGATCCTGGACGGCGGCGACTACCGGCCCGAGCTCTCCATCCCGCTGCACCACGCCATGAGCATGTCCTGCGACTCGTCTCCGCCTGGCATGGGCATGAGCAACACCTACACCACGCTGACACCGCTCCAGCCGCTGCCACCCATCTCCACCGTGTCTGACAAGTTCCACCACCCTCACCCGCACCACCATCCGCACCACCACCACCACCACCACCACCAGCGCCTGTCCGGCAACGTCAGCGGCAGCTTCACCCTCATGCGCGACGAGCGCGGGCTCCCGGCCATGAACAACCTCTACAGTCCCTACAAGGAGATGCCCGGCATGAGCCAGAGCCTGTCCCCGCTGGCCGCCACGCCGCTGGGCAACGGGCTAGGCGGCCTCCACAACGCGCAGCAGAGTCTGCCCAACTACGGTCCGCCGGGCCACGACAAAATGCTCAGCCCCAACTTCGACGCGCACCACACTGCCATGCTGACCCGCGGTGAGCAACACCTGTCCCGCGGCCTGGGCACCCCACCTGCGGCCATGATGTCGCACCTGAACGGCCTGCACCACCCGGGCCACACTCAGTCTCACGGGCCGGTGCTGGCACCCAGTCGCGAGCGGCCACCCTCGTCCTCATCGGGCTCGCAGGTGGCCACGTCGGGCCAGCTGGAAGAAATCAACACCAAAGAGGTGGCCCAGCGCATCACAGCGGAGCTGAAGCGCTACAGTATCCCCCAGGCGATCTTTGCGCAGAGGGTGCTGTGCCGGTCTCAGGGGACTCTCTCCGACCTGCTCCGGAATCCAAAACCGTGGAGTAAACTCAAATCTGGCAGGGAGACCTTCCGCAGGATGTGGAAGTGGCTTCAGGAGCCCGAGTTCCAGCGCATGTCCGCCTTACGCCTGGCAGGTAAGGCCGGGGCTAGCCAGGGGCCAGGCTGCTGGGAAGAGGGCTCCGGGTCCGGTGCTTGTGGCCCAAGTCTGCGCGCCGAGTCACTTCTCTTGATTCTTTCCTTCTCTTTCCTATACACGTCCTCTTTCTTCTCGTTTTTATTTCTTCTTCCATTTTCTCTTTCTCTTCCGCTCTTCCCCTACTTTCCCTTCTCCCTTTTCTTTTTCTTTCTTACTCTCTCCTTGTCCCTGAGCTTTCATTGACCGACCCCCCCCCATTTCATTCGCCCTCCCCTCAATGTGCCAACCTTTGCCCTATTTCCGATCTTCCCAGGTACTGGGAGGCGGGATGGGGGTGTGCGTTTTCCTCTAGGAGCCCTGTCTTTCCAAGACCCACAGAAACCAGGACCTGCCCTTATTCAAAACCCCATGCACTTCAAGTCTCTTTTAGACAACACATTTCAATTTTCCGGGCTGACTAGTCTCCCTGTGCAGAGGCAGTTGAGAGGCTTTGCTCTGCAGAGGGAAAAGAGCTCTCTACTCTCCCACCCACCATATAGGCAAACTTATTTGGTCATTGGCTGAAGGCACAGCCTTGCCCCCGCGGGGAACCGGCGGCCAGGATACAACAGCGCTCCTGGAGCCCATCTCTGGCCTTGGCGTTGGCGCAGGGACTTTCTGACCGGGCTTGAGGGGCTCGGGCCAGCTCCAATGTCACTACCTACAGCGAGGGCAGGGTGTAAGGTTGAGAAGGTCACATTCACCGCTTTGGGAGGACGTGGGAGAAGAGACTGAGGTGGAAAGCGCTTTGCCTTGCTCACCGGCCGTCCTTGCCCCGGTCCCAGCGTTTGCTGGGATTTGCCAGGATTTGCCGGGGCTCCGGGAGACCCTGAGCACTCGCAGGAAGAGGTGCTGAGAAATTAAAAATTCAGGTTAGTTAATGCATCCCTGCCGCCGGCTGCAGGCTCCGCCTTTGCATTAAGCGGGCGCTGATTGTGCGCGCCTGGCGACCGCGGGGAGGACTGGCGGCCCGCGGGAGGGGACGGGTAGAGGCGCGGGTTACATTGTTCTGGAGCCGGCTCGGCTCTTTGTGCCTCCTCTAGCGGCCAAGCTGCGAGGTACAGCCCTCTATTGTTCTAGGAGCACAGAAACCTCCTGTGTGGGCGGCGGGTGCGCGAGCTAGAGGGAAAGATGCAGTAGTTACTGCGACTGGCACGCAGTTGCGCGCTTTTGTGCGCACGGACCCCGCGCGGTGTGCGTGGCGACTGCGCTGCCCCTAGGAGCAAGCCACGGGCCCAGAGGGGCAAAATGTCCAGGTCCCCCGCTGGGAAGGACACACTATACCCTATGGCAAGCCAGGGTGGGCGACTTCCCATGGATCGGGTGGAGGGGGGTATCTTTCAGGATCGGCGGGCGGTCTAGGGGAACAATTCGTGGTGGCGATGATTTGCATAGCGCGGGTCTTGGGATGCGCGCGGTTCCGAGCCAGCCTCGCACAGCTCGCTTCCGGAGCTGCGAGCTCAGGTTTCCACCCCCGATCCCCCGGGCTTTCCTCGCACCGCTGAGCCCAGCTTGTGGGGTGCACTCGACCAACGCCCGACAGGGCTGGGGAATGTGACAGGCAGCAGGTTCACCCGGGCTTGGGGAGGGGGAGTTTCCGCTTTGACAGCATTTTCCTTTGCCGTCTGCTGGTGGATTCCTATTCCCAGTCGGTAATCGCCCCGCAGTGTTGATCTAAGAAGGTAAAGAAAACTAGGTTTCCCTGCAAAGAGCCTCCCCCAAATCGGCGGACTCCGGATACTTTGAGTGGATTTAGAAATTTATGTAATCTTTCTCCTTTAGTTTATTTTTCATCCTCTCCTACAGTTTTCTCTGATTTGCTGTTGGTTCGGGGCAAGATAAAGCAGCCAGTAGAGAGCGATAATAATAGCGGCGGGAAATGAACTGGAGACTGGCTGACAGTTCTTAACATTTTGTCATAGATCCCCCCGAATGTCCCAGGCTGTCTCTGGTGGGTTTTAGTACCCGCCGGCTTCTTGGGCACCGGGGACCAGAAGGAACTTGGCAGCTGGTCTTAGGGGTACAGTTAAAGGCAGGATGACAGCTATTCTCCTGCTCATCTCAGAGCGCTGCCGCCCCCTCATGCCGGTCGCGCAAAGAACACAGCTTTTAAAAAACACGTGCCTTCTGCCCATATAGGTCTGAAAGTGATGAGGAAAGTAATGCTTCGCCTATTAGCGAGTTTCAGCTTTTAAAATGATCCCAAGCGTTGCTGAGATGAGAAAGCGTGGCATCCCGGGGGTCCTCAGCCCCACCCGCGCCCATGGTGCAAGTCTGCAGGGACAGGCCCGGGACAGCACTGCCCACGCTGCTAGATTTTCCGCAGAGGATCGCTGAAGCTGCCTTCGTGGGAGACAGAATGCCTCCTCCAGCGAGTGGAAAAGGCCTGCTGAGGACCCCGCTTTGCTCGAGCATTCAAATGTGTGTCTGTTTTATTACCCTGGGTTGAAAAGGGACAAGAGCTTTAGCCTTTTTATCTGGCCATTTTATCAGCAACTACAAGTGTGTTGAGTGGTTATTATTACATAGGAGGCTTTTCAGTTTGGGGTCAGTAGATCAGTCTCTTCAGACACTGATGCAGAAGCTGGGACTGGTAAGTAGGTATTATGTGCTCGGAGCGCTAGGGGACAGGAGCAAATGGAGAAGAAAAGCGGAGGCTTTCTCCGCCCGGAGTATCGATCGGAATCCCCGCCGGTACGCCGCAGAGGGCCCTCGCCGTTGGGCCCCGGGGGTTTAACAAGCCCAGCCGCTCCGCAGGCGGCTCGGCCGGACTCTCAGACCGGTGCCTGGAAGACACCGTCCCTGCCCCCCTCCCGCCAAACCTGCCTCTTCTCTTTCTCTCATAGGTTATAGGTTCCCTTTCTCTCTCATTTTGGCCCCGCCCCCGGGTCCTGCCAAACAGCCAAGCAGGCCGGGGTTTAGGGGGCTCAGAATGAAGAGGTCTGATTTGGCCAGCGCCGGCAAAGCTCACCCTTAGGCGAGGTCACAACAGAGGCAGGTCCTTCCTGCCCAGCCTGCCGGTGTAGTCACAGCCAAGGGTGGCACTTGAAAGGAAAAGGGAGAAAACTTCGGAGAAATTTAGATTGCCCCAACGTTAGATTTCAGAGAAATTGACTCCAAATGCACGGATTCGTTCGGAAAGGGCGGCTAAGTGGCAGGTGGTTGCAACCCCGCCCGGTCGGGCCTTCGCAGAGGTTCCCCAAGACCAGCCCTTGCAGGGCGGTTTTCAGCAACCTGACAAGAGGCGGCCAAGACAAATTTCTGCGGGTTCGAGCACACACTCTCGGGCGTTGGGCCCCAGAGACCTCTAAACCAAGCACAAACAAGAAGGGAGTGAGAGAACCCAGGCTAGAACTTGCACGGGCATCCCACTGAGGAAAAGCGAGGCCTCGGTGGCAGGCATGTTTTCTTCCGACGCCCGAAAATCGAGCCGAGCGCCCGACTACATTTACTGCAGAGGTTTCCGCCTCCAGTGAGCCCGGATCCCCCAGCGGCCTGCCCGGAGCTGGTCTCCAGTCCCCGCCGTAGTCCGACGCACGGCCCTCTCCTGGCAGCAAGCTCCCAGCGGCCAGTCTGAAGCCAATTCTGTTCAGGCGGCCGAGGGCCCTTAGCCAACCCACCATGATGTCGCCTGGGCCACCTGATGCCCGCAGCGGCGGGACACGGCCCGGGCAGTGCGCAGTGGCTCCTGCTAGGGGCACCGCGTGCGTGCTTGTCTCCCGCTGCGCCGGGGACGTCCTTGGGTGACACGGGCCGCTGGGCACCTCCCAAGCCGAGGAAACGGACCCCCTTCGCAGAGTCTCGCGCCCACCCCCCAACCTCCCACCTCGTTTCTCGCTGCTAGGGCTCCCGACTCAGCCCACCTCTCCTGGCGGTTTAGTTAGGGATCAGAGCTGGAGAGGCTGAACGCAACCCGTGCCAGTACGGAACAGACGATATGTTTGCCTGCTAGCTGCTTGGATGAATAATTGAAAAGTTCGCTGCAGTCTGTGCTTCGTCAAGTCCCGGGTGCCGGGAGAACACCTTCCCAACACGCATCAGGGTGGGCGGGAGCGGGCAGAGGAGGCGGGACCCGAGGGAGGAGAGTGAACCCGAGCAGGAGAAGCAGCCCAGGCAGCCAGGCGCCCTCGATGCGAGAGGCTGGGCATTTATTTTTATTCCAGGCTTTCCACTGTGTGGTTATGTCACTTTCTCAAACAAATGTGTATATGGAGGGAGATCGATGCTGATAATGTTTAGAAGATTAAAAGAGCATTAATGCTGGCAACAATAACGTAAACGTGTGGACCCAGATTTCATTGATCTGGAACTTGATCCGGCGCGTTTCCAGTAAGCCCGACGGCGCGCTCTTCCCAGCAGAGCGCTCACCAGCGCCACGGCCCCGCGGTTTTCCAGCGGTGCCGCTTCGCCAGCTCTGCGCGGGTTCTCCCGTCTGACCGCAGCTCCTCCCCCGCGAGGCCCCAGCCCGCCTTACTTCCCCGAGGTTTTCTCCTCCTCTCGCGGGGCTCTCTGCCCTCTGCACCCCCTCCCCCGACCTCTGCACCACCCGCCCCTGTGCGCACACACCGCTACTTGCGCTTCCGGCGATCCGCCTGGGCGGCTGGGTCCGCGAAGCCAATGCGCTGAACGGTGCCCGAGTCTTCCTAACTATCCTGTGCTTGGCCGTTGCCACTGGGCCCTGGTGACTAAGCCCAAGTTTGAAAATGACGTGGCTAAAGCTGCCTGCTAACGGCAGAGCTTAATCAGCCGCAGATCCCCTCCTATCCTCATCGGTTCTCGTACTAAAAAGGCTCACGCGCAGACTTTTTACGCAGGTGCATTCGTTGGACAATTAAACGTGGCCCTAGTAACAAAAGCCTGAGCTTCATCCCTCCGAGTAGCAGGCTCTGCGCTGGACTGGTCGGGTCTAACAGGGAGAATCTTGTGTCCTACCTTGGCTGGGACAGGAAGTAAGAGAAGCAAACTGGGGAACCCCTGCCCCACCCCTTCCCACCCCCTGGACGTCCTGGGCCGAGGCCCGGGTCACTGGCCCATCGCGGGTAAGGAGGTGTCCTGTGGAACACCTGCATTGACTGGAAAAGAAAGAACTTTAAAGCTCTTCCTTCCCGCTTGTGGGGGACACCACCACACCCTGCCAACCACTCCCCTGGCCAAATGGTGGCTTGTTTTTCCAGAAGGAGCACTAAGGTGAATTTTATGGAAAAAAAATAAAAGATCAGGGACCTAAGTGGGAGTAGGATGAGAACTAATTCTTCTGGGTTTTTTTTTTTTTTTTTTGAAATTATGAATCCCACCTGTTGAAGAAGGCTGAGCTTTTCCAACAGCGGGTATCAATCGGGAGGGAAAGCAGTGTTTTCCAGCCCTCTCCAAGAACAGTAATTAATAAGAGGAAGGAAAAGAGAGATGGGAAAGCAAATCGTGCATTGTTCTGCTTTGAGTTGAGGCAGAGGGTAGGCTGGTGTTTCTTCCTCATCTTCCCACTAGTGTTCTTCCTTAAAGAAGGGAGCTTTGGTACACCACCTTGGTTCCTAGTCAGAAAGTGCCCTACCGGACCCTTTTAAACTACAATGAGATAGCTGGGTAATCAGATATGTAACTAAGGAGGAGAGCAGGTGGTTTCCCTTTGGTCTGGCGGACAACTGGCTCCCTCCCCACAGCCCCCACTTGAAAGACTCCTAGGCCCTGGGAGGGGCGAGTGGGCCTTTAGAGGATAGAATCATAGACTCTCTCCTACTCCCATCTTAGAATTCCAAGATTGGGCAGGATTCCTGGTGAATGGTGAGGTCTGGGCAAAGGATAAACTGATTACCCCAGATTCTCTGTCCCTACAAGGCACCAGCAGCTGCTTCACTCTCCTTTTGAGCCAGGTCTGCCCTGAGGTAACAGTACCCTAGGCCAGTTTTACCATCCCAAGTGCCAGACTTCAGCCCTGAGGGAAGGAGAGCCAGCCTCTCCTGCTGTCTTCAAACCAAGGCTTCATTTTACAGTCACCCCCGATATGAGAGAGAGCCTCCCCACCAGGTTTTCTGGCCTTTAGACACTTCTCTTCAAAGAAGAGACCAGAGGAACAGGACTGAAAAACTCTCAGGAAGAAAGTCCTGGGCTCCACACTCCATGGCTAGTGGCTGGATTTGGCAGAAACTGTCTTCATGAAAAGTGGTATCATGGAGGGGGATCCCTGGAGCAAGGAAGACCTCAAGGGAGAAGCAGAGAGATTTAGTTTCTGGGTTCTTGCCAAAGGAAGGGAAATTAGGAGGGAATAAATAGAAATAATTGCCTGTATAAAGGGCCCTGGGGAGGAGGGTGAAGACAGAGGCACCCTAGGCCTTAAACTTCATCTAGACTCCCTGGGCTGTGCTGACTTCTGACCCTTTTAGGGACCTTTGTTTTTGCTGACTTGGGAAAAGTTGCTTCCTCCAGGGAGACAACTCTTCTTAGAGGGGAGAGTCCATAATGAGGAAGCCCTCTGGGGTGATTTATTTATGCTGTCAGGTATAGAGCTCCGTCAGGCTAACTCACCCTGTGGGGCCCTATCACCCCCTCTTATCACCCAGGCTTTTTCCCTAACCAACCTCTGTGCCTTTGGGGGAAAGGCTTTTTGATTTCCCAGTCTCATTCAAGGCAATGGCTGAAAAATGTGCATAGGTTTTTCTAGGGGCAGGTGGGGAAAAGGTAGGGACGTGGATTGTGTGACCCAGCCCATCTAATGCCTGACATGGTGCAGATGGGCAAGACTTGGAGGCAGGCTGTGGGCTGTGCAGATAGAGATAGCCTCACTTCGGGAGCAGGATTCCTAGAAGCTGTGGACGTTTATTATGAAAAACTGTCCCACACAAATTGTCCCAAAGGGCAGGGAGGCTCTGCATTCCACCTCGGCACCTCTTTCACCATTTGAGGACCCATTACTCTTCTGTAGAAAGCAGACTTTGTTTGGGTTGGAAGCACACCTCCAATGTAATTTAATCAGCATTGGACTTTGGCTCTTGTAATCAAATATACATATACTTTCTCCTGCAAGAAGAAAAATAATTTCTCTGTAACTGGTATTGACTTGAAGTCATGTAATCTCTGGAAAGCATCACATTTTTAAAGGGAAAGGTAAAATTAAGGGGAAAAGAACCCGCAGTGTTAGTGGTTTGCTTTGTCATACTAAGAAGAGCCAGTTACCACTTAAGAAAGGGCAGAAGAAGCATTCCTAGAGCATAAATACTTGTGCTGCTCCAATTGTAGATATTTCATTTACAGTTTTCTCTGTGCAATCAGCCTTGGAGATGGTTAAGGATAGGAAACTAGGTTGACTGGCTCACCAAATTCTAGAATGTGGGCTTTATTACTTATGTTGCATTGACATCCTTGAAGGAACCTGTTTGACGGCTCATTTTTCTGCCGTATTTGGAGAGGCCACAGGCAGCAGCAGCTCCTTGAGTTCCAGCAGGATCTGGGTGGGTAGCAAGCCTTTCCTTTTAAGGGTGATTGGCAGCCATTGGCAGCTTGCTTCCCACTCCACCCCAGTGCCCTTGAGCATGAAGCTGTGCCCTACTGCGTCCTCCTGGAGCAAGCTTGGAGTCCCCACCCCCCAGGGTGAGGTTCTGGGCTTTGCCCAAGTTGAGTCTGCTAGGGAATCTGTTGTAAACACAGATCCATTGATTTGCATTTGTCAGAGAGTAAAGTTAAACCAGTGAAAAGAGAAGCCCTTATCCTTTTATGCAGGGCCAGGGAAACCTTTCATATTGATCCTATTGATCCAACCTTTCCCTTTAAGGAAACCACATAGTTAAAGACCCTCGTTCAATAGATTTACCCTTCGTGCTTGTGATATTCCTTTAAGTGTTCTCATCTAGGATAGCTGGGCATTAAGCCCACACTCCAAACCAAACAAAAATGGGAAGGGGGGTGGGAAGAGAGGGGGTCAGGAGGCAGAATTGTGGGAAGTGAAATTAAATCAAACTGAAATGTGTAATGACCCAGTTGGGGATGTTTTTCTCATTCTTCTAAAATGACATGCAGGGATAAAGACAAAATAGATGCATTTGGCATCTTTTTTTTTATGAGAAAAGAAAATCTGTTTATATGCCTAGAGTAAAAATGTCTCAGGAACATCATTTTCTACTGTAAAATTATTTCAATTAAGCCACCAGTTTGCTTCATTAAGATTGGTTCACTTAAAAGCAGTGATGTTGCCACAATTATTTTGGTTCATTTGTAGCAAATCAGAAAAAGGATTCTCCCCAGAAATGCAATATTTTGGACTCTGTATATGAGCATAAACACTGAAGTCACTTGAAAAGAGAGAGGATTTGGAGTTTTTGTGTTCTGCTGGATGTGGGAAGCAACGGGTAGAACTTTTGTTGTGGAGCAGAGTAGACGCAATAGGAATTGCCAGATATTGCTCAGTATCCCTCTTGCTTGTAGATATGAAAATGTAAGTCTCATTTGCCTCCAGAACCATCGGCACAATCCATTTCATTTCTTCCCTGATCCTTTTTTCCTGTCTAAATAACATCCATTTGTGATTTTTTTCAACACGGTACATGACCTGTTTCTAATTGGCTATCTCTTGGGTTGTTTTTGTACATTCATGTTTGTTTTATGTGATTGAAAAATATTAATGATTTCGTAGGTGAGCTAATGTATTTATCTGCTGAGCGAGTTCAAAGGGCAGAGTTCAGCTATGGTTCAGGTTAATTGAACAGGAAGCAGTGAGCTCTCCAGGCTGTGTTGAACAAGGGATCAGTCCCTTAAAATATCACACTCAGCAAACACAATTTCACTGTCTTCATCCTAGAGTCTGATGTAAAAGGCTCAGATCAACTTGGATCACTTGTTTAAAAAACCAAAGCAAAGCACAGTAACTGCAGCAATACCCTGGAGTCCCCCTCGGGGAAGAAGAGTTTTCTCATTGGCTAATTGCTTTATTGGTAGCACTGACCTGCAGAGCAGCTGCAGGAGCCTGGATGAAGGCTTAGGCCTCAGAATAATGTGCTCCATTAGAACAGGGCAAGGCATTTTTTGTTTACTCAATTGGAGCTCCCTGCAAAGTGCCATTAACCCCGGCCCAACTGCTTGTGTGCTGCAAAAGCCAAAGGTCACGCCAGTCAGTCTGTAGGCATAGCAGCTCTGCCCTGGTAGGAAGGTTGGGGTCGCATCCTGCTGGCACTGCCCTCCCAGGGGCTCGGGCCAGCCCTCTGGGCCCTTTCCAGAGTTTTGACTAAAGCAAGCAATTGCACAACTTGTTTACATTTCCCAACTGCTGAATCATGTTTTGATGATTAAACAGTTTTGATCTGAGCACCATCAATCACACACATACAGAAAATCCCCCCACTGCCCCTCTATTTTCTATTTATGTTCTCTTCATTACTGTGCATTACAGTAAACAGAATTGTGCAAACGGTGCTTTTAGCAGGAATATAGTTCTGATAAGTGCTTGGATCAAGGGGAAGACAGACCTCCAAACATGGCTGGGGGGCTGTTTGGTGGAAGAAAGGTTTCAAGTGGAGTCGGGGAGCACAGTCAGGGCTTCCACCGCCAGCAGGTGAACTAGAGTGCCACCTGCCGGGAGTCTTCTAACTGCACTAAGCCCTGCACCTTCCACAAGGTCCAAGCCCCTTCCTTCACTTTGTTCCTAATATCCTTGTCCCCATTCCCCACCCTGCAGATCACTACCCATGCAAGCATTATCTTCCTAGAAGTAGCTTAAAGGGCTTTTTCCTGGTCCTTTGAAACTGTAACCTCTGCCTCTTCTAATTCATTGCCAAGGAGAAATCAACAGTTCTGCTGTCATAGGTGAGGTGATTTGCCCATCCTGCACATTGAGGTAATAGTCTCCTGCTTAGTTGGACTGTGCTTGGGGGAAGAGAAGCAAAGAAAGCAAAAAATAGCCGTGGGAGGGAAAACGAATGATTATGTGTGGAAGAAAAATGGCTCCGTTGATTGTGCCAGTGAGGGCTGTGCCAACTGTAAGGTGTTCTGCAAAGATAAAATATTGTACAAAGGAGAGAGGATGGGAGAGAATTAGCATCTACAGGGAGGACATCGAGAAAGAGATATGCCAAATCAGCAAACTCGAGTTTAGGCTTTGTGAAATCCCCTGGAAAGAGAAAAAGTGAACCAGCCGTTTTGCAATTGCAAAGAAGTGAGCCAGTGAGCTAGACTTCGAGCCAGACTGTGGAGCTGGCTGTAGCTCTGTGGGTGGCAGCTATTTCCACACTTGCTTCACATGGACCCCTGCCTGGAGCCCCTGGTAGCAGAGCGCCTGTGGGTGGGTTGCTGCCTCCACGCCCCGGCGCAGGCTTCAGCACCACGAACAGCGCCATGGAGGAACGCTGTTTGAGCGAATTGGAGATGGACCCTCTACTGCGGTTAAATCCAGGCAAGAGCCTGACCAGTATCTCCAGCTCTGTAGGTCTCAGCGCCCCAGTGCAGGGCCTCATATTTTCCTCTGGAGCCCTGTGGCTTTTCAGCTCTCTGTGTGAGATCAGCGATAATAAAGGGAAGAGGAGGCGGCATCTGGGTGAGAAGACAAAAGATGCTGAAAGACTTTCCCTCTGAAGAGGAAGAGCATTACCACCGCTGGGGGGCGGGGGATTGAACTATTTTTCTCCATGTTGCTGCCTTCTGCAGGCATGATTGCCACCCTCAACGGGATGTTTTAGATTTAGGATTTCCTTTCAAGTGTTACTGTCTGCCTGCCCCCACGCCCCACCCCCCAGGTATACACAAACGGATGCTTTTGTTTCCCCAGATGCATGCTCCTGATTTTTGAAAGCATGACTTTTATTATATTAAACAATATTCTCACATTATAGCAGCAGTAATGTCACAAGGAGAACCAACTGTGGAGCATCACCACCTTCGATAAATCTAGAAACTGGATTTGATTTCTTGAGAGTCTAGTGATGAGGCTCTTTTTAATGAAAACCTTGCCACTGCTTCTGTCCCTGACCCCCTACGAAGGGCCAGAGATGTTGAGTGACTTCCTCCAGGCCACACAGTGGAGTCATATGGCACTGGCCAGGGTGAGAACTGACAGTAGGCACTGACCCCTGACTCTGGCCTTTTTCAATCAGTTGCTTTGCTTTATTTCTGGTTTTATTCCAGAGAAAAGAGATAGGAGAGTCCTTTTGGTCAATGATTGAGCACAACTCACATCTCTTTGGGTTTCGAGTAAAATGGTCCTTGACTTCCCAAAGCTAATTAAAATGTAAAACTCTTGCTTTATTTCAAATAACTTTAGTTCAGACCTAATTTATTGCTAAGGTGGTTCTCAGGGAGGTAGAGCATTGGAATAGACAAGTGTGTCTCCTTTAAAAGTCAAGGGTATGATAAATGAGAATTTTTTTTCCCCTGTGACAATTTATCTTCAAGTTCCAGGTGGCCCTTTGTGTAAAAGGAGGGAAAATCCATCCCAAAACAAAACAAACCTGGTAGAGCATTCAAATTTGATGTTGAAAAAAATTGTTTCTGTGTGTCTAAATGCCCAAAATTTTGTTCTAAAAATGAGCAGGAACATATCTGAATCAGATATAAAAATGGGTGTTAAATGTATTTTGTAAGCTTTGACTAAAGAAGTTTCTTCCAGCTGTGTAGTCTTCGAATCTGTGGACGTGCCTTTCTCAGGAGTTGTTGGGTTCCACTGTCAAAACCTTTTCCAGTAAAACATGGATTTGGCAACAGTAAGTGTAGCCTTTTTGGCCTACTTTATATGCATCACTGCATCTTACTAAAATGAGGCATTACACTCTACAAGGACTTGTACTGAATGCATTTCCTTTGTAGTGAACTCAATATGCTTTTGAAAAGATATTTTACAGAACTGCCACATAAACAAGACCTTTTCTATTATCTGTTTTGACCCTAAATACTGAAAAGTGTGTGGAGTAAGATAATTTTATGCTTTTCTGAATCAGTGCCATAGATCCCCAAACCTAAAAGATGTAGGGGAAAAATTCGTCTTGGATGCAATTGCCTCCTAATGTATACCAGAGTTCATTTCTGTTCATGTTCAAGGGACAAGAGTGAATTCTGTATTCACTTTCAATGACTAACCCTTCTCATCCTTTCCTTCATTCTTCTGAAGAGGAAGAGGTGGACTTCCTGTTGAAGACCAAATCCTCTCCTGCCTTCTCAGGACCCCATGCTTCCTGTATATAGATGTCCCTGCTTTTGTGAAGTTTTCTCTGTCCTCCTAAATTGGGATCTCTTTGGACCATCCCTCCCTTTGCATTTAGAACATAGATAGGTATCGCCTGCTGACTTGTCAGTGTCAGCCCATTAGATTAAGATCCAGAAGAGGAGGTTAGATACAGCATACAGGAGGCAGCCAATAAATATCTGTGAATAAGTTAATAAATACTTTTCTTTTATATGACACTGTTTCTACCCATTGTATTTCCCCCATATTATTGTAGATGGCATCTGAGTAGGAATCATCAGCCCCAGCACATCATTTAGGAGAAGCATTTCACAATGTCAAGTTCTCATCAATGTCATTTTCCTCCCAAATTACGATATTATAACTATGTATTAATTTTAAGGGAATCTCAAAGTAGGATTGAGTCTTATCCAAATCTTCAGATTATCGCCAGTGGAGCAAGAGATGTGAAATGATCATCACTAGACTCTAGACTAAGGACCCATTTTGCCAATTGGCTCTAGTTACCCCAAAGTAACCCTCCCCAGTCAGTCAGTTCTCCTCGTTTTCCTGCTCAGGCATTGTCCTCACTGTCCTGTCCATGTCTTTGCACGTTCTGTTCCTTCTGCCTGGAATTCCTTATCTCATCAGTCCTTCTCCAGGTCCTATCATTCCTAGCCACCTCCGATCTGCCTCTGAAATCTTCCCAGCTAACTTTGGCCCATTCCTTTCTGTTTCTTTCTGAACTCGATTTGCAATCATTGCAAATGACAGAACAGCCTTGTTGGCTCTGGTCTTACACTGCTCTCTAGGTCTTTTCTGTGTCTCCCTTTCTTCCCCATGGCTCTGGAGGGGAGATAGCATATCTTTGAGCTCCCCATGGACTGCTGGTCCATGGCTGAACCCACACCAGGTATTCTTTTTTGAGTAAGTCATTTGGTGGCCTCCTGTCTATCTTTACAGAAGCCCCTATTCTCAACGAGAGAATAGGTTGGGTATGTTTACTTACATCTATCATTCTTTTCTAGCTTCTTCTCTCAAAAGGGGGTATTCTTTTCTTATTTTATTTTTTTGATCTGGAGCCGTACTTTGTCACCCAGGCTGGAGTGCAGTGGTGCGATCTCGGCTAACTGCAACATCCGTCTCCAGGGTTCAATTGATTATCCTGCCTCTGCCTCCTGAGTAGCTGGGATTACAGGCACCTGTCACTATGCCTGGCTAATTTGTGTATTTTTAGTAGAGATGGGGTTTCACCATGCTGGCCAGGCTGGTCTCAAACTCCTGACCTTAAGTGATCCACCTGCCTTGGCTTCCTAAAGTATTGGGATTACAGGCGTGAGCCACTGCACCCAACCTGAAAAAGGGGTATTGTTTTCTATAAATGCTTTGGTCATTGTTGGAAATATTGGCTACATAATTTAAAATGGATTTCTATGTTAATCTGAAATGAGACATAAGCTTAATATAGAGAAACAGGGCTTGTGATGTCTTCGTTAATAGCAAAGGTTGTTCTGCTTCATACAAGATGGAAAATTTTACCCACCTCAGGGCAATTGTGCCAGCAATTATATCAGCAAATCAGAGGGACTGCTTTCCTATTTTAAGTCATTTTAATTATCAGTAAACTAAACTTGCATCTAAACAGCCATTACTTGAGATACTGCAAGTGCTTAGGTTGTTAATAACGTAAAGTTACCTGTGAAGAAAAAAAACAGAGGTTAATATTTTTATCTTTTTATTTTATTTTAATTTTATATTTTATTATTTTCCTTTGATGAATCCATTGCTGCCTACACTGTACTGAACTAAGTAGTTGGGAGTGAAAATATATGAACTAGCCCTTGTCCCTTTTTGACTTTACTGTATATTTAAGATTTGAATGGATACATCCTCACTTACCTTTACATATCCATATGGAATTGAGTGAGAACAGAGTTTATTACTATGTCAACTTTAGTTGGAAACTGAAACTAAGATCATTTATTTGCTATACATCTTACGTGGAAATTATATATTAGCTCGTGATATTTCATCTTTTTTACAGTTATGTTTTGACGTTCATATTACATGAGTAACAAATTATGAAGACTAACCATTTATGAACAGAATTTAGTGTTAAATGAAAGCATTCCAGATTTTTATTTTCTGTTGCCTTGAATTGAATGCATTGCTGTGCTGCATGATAACTAGGTAAGCAATTGACCTGTGTGACTGTCATTTCTGTGCCTTGCATAACCAAACCAAGTTTCCTCTGACACTGAGGCAGAGACAGGCAGGGTTGCGCTGGGCAGGAAGCAGCTCTGAGGCCTCCCTGAAGGGCCTTAGACTCCCAATGGGGGAGTCAGAGGCCACCCTGTTCTCTGGCTACGGCACCATAGCCTAGACATGGGTGTCACCAAAGGCTATACACTTCTTTACCTCCTTTTCTGCCCTCTTCCTAAAGGAAGCATCTGGAACCAGAAGGAGTCCATATCGCTAGCCCCACTCCTCCCTAACCAGTTCTCCATCCCGAGCCTTAGATTCAGGCTTGCATAGGCAGATTCTGGAAAGTCCATTAAAAGGGCAGGATGTGGAGTAAATAGGTGATTGGATTGGAGGGTAAAGGGCGGAAAATTCACAGCAGAGACAGGTGGACTTTTCTAACTGGATAAGCTACACCAACTCATGAATCCAAGTATTCCACCCCTGGAAAGCAAGAGGTGAAAGCAAGTTGGTTCCATTGGTGAAAGCAAGTCACCTGCCTGAGCCCAGAGACAGGGTGGAAAGGCTCTACAAAGTTACATGGCAGGAAGCATGGGCACAGAAAAGGCAAGCATGAGGAATGGGGGGGGCGGTGTTGGTGTTTTTCTTTGTTTGTTTGTTTTGTTTTGTTTGCATTCTACCTCATGCCATGTATTTTAGCTCATTTATTCTTGGAAGCTGCCACTGCTATGGTGATACACAGACATCAAGGATGTCCAATAGTATAGGGCTAATTTTGGCAACACAGAAGATAAGTGTGGGGGTATTTCACATTCATAAGTAACAAACCTATGCCCACCTGGACAGGAACCACGCCTCTTTGTATTGAGACTGTTTGTGACATGCTTGATCTTCTCGACTAGATCATAGCAAGCAGGGACCCTGAGCTTTGTTCTCCTGCATCTTCCCTTTAGCCCCACCACAATGCCTAACACATAGTTTGCACTTAGTAAATATGCAAGGATAAATGATCCCCAGAATCCCACTGCTCTAGTGTCCCAATGGGAGATCCCCTCAAGACCCACCAGGTGATTGCTTGTAGCTCAACCTGTATTTTATTTTATTTTATTTTATTTTATTTTAGAGACAGAGTCTCACTCTGTAACACAGGCTGGAGTGCAGTAGTACAATCTTGGCTCACTGCAACCTCCACCTACTGGGTTCAAGCTACTCTCCTGCCTCAGCCTCCCAAGTAGGTGGGATTACAGGTGCCCACCACTATGCCCAGCTAATTTTCATATTTTTAGTAGAGATGGGGTTTTGCCATGTTGGCCAGGCTGGTCTCGAACTCCTGACCTCAGGTGATCCACTCACCTTGGCCTCCCAAAGTGCTGGGATTACAGGCGTGCGCCACCACGCCTGGCCTCAACCTGTATTGTAAAATAGGGTTTCACTTTAAACTTTTAAATTTTGTTCTACTACAATAATTACCAAATTCCAGGGGAGCAAAGGTCCAAGCCTGTTGCCTACAGAATTAAGGCATCCAATTCAGATCTCAATTATTTTGTGTTAAGAAAATCTAAACAAAGCAAACACTGCTTAGGGTTTACCAATGAATAAAGAAGCAAGTTGGAAGGGATATCAAAAAGATCAAAATGTTTGCGCATTTATAACTTTAACAATGTCTAAGTTTTTTTAAACTTAGGTTCTACATCTGGAGCATACTTTTTTAAAAATCATAAGCAGTGTTAAAAAATACTTGACAGTTTTGTCTTGATTCTTAATGTGGGTGTTAAGGGATGCCGTCCATTAGTGAGTACACCCCAGATCATGTGTTTATTGCATCCTCCTTCTTCCCTGCCTGTCCCCTAATGATCTGGTGCACAGAGGGCTACTTGAGCTGAGTTATATGGATCTCAGTTGCTGTCATTTGCACATACTTAATTCAGAGAGGTGATCACATTGATTTCCAAGACCCAATTTTTAAGACACTGTACTCACGTAGATATCTTAGCTGCTCTGACTATGTTGTCTGAAAAGGAAAACATTTTAAGCCTTTGGAAGCAATTTTGATGGACATTTCATTGTGTTCTATATTACTCACATAATTAAATTTCCTTCAAGTCAAAGTCTGTTTAAAATTAAATTGAGAAATATTTTTGAGTTCCATCAGGCAGATAACTTTGTTTAGCTAGATTTGTTCTGCATTCACATGAAATGGCGTCCTACGAATCAATACCCAGTGCTCACAGTTCCCCTGAATGTGAAGAAATGGCACCCTTAGTAGTTCTTGTGTTTTTATGCCTATGGTTTTGCAGGCTGGTTTATTCAGATTCTGAGCATTGTGAACTAAATTCATAACTTCTTTCATGCATTAGCCGGAGTCATAGGACTCTGATTTACAGACTCGCAGTCCAGCTCACAGCGGCTAGCTTTCTTTGGGTCATACCAGAGTTTCATCTGCATGGCCAAAGGGGTAGAATTCCAACTTGGGTTTGAAAGCAAATAGGATAAATTGTCAGAAGATGTATTCCTGTGTACATCTTTGGAAACAAGACATAGGAACAAACCCTTATTTTTCAACTCCACCCACCCTGCTACTGAGGACAGAAGAACAAGCCCTCCTCATCTTTTATCCTGCCTCTCCTTGAGACAGCCATTCCATTAAATTCTATGGCGAGGGAATCTATGGTGTTCGAGCTGTAATTGAAGAATTAGCATTCCATAAATGCTGCCTTAATTTTTTTAAAAAAATTGTTCCAAAGAACTGCTTTTTGTTGCATTGTTAATTAGCCTTTGAACATTTTTGAATTCATTATAACCTTCAAGGTCTGCCAAGGTCTTTAAGGTTTCTTCTTTATGGCTTTGCCTCTAAATAACAATAGGTACATTGTAAGGTTATTGTGAGCCTTAAGTAAGTTAATGCATACAGATGCTTAGAATAACTGGTAAATAGTAAATACTTGCTAAAATATCTGCCATTATTGATTGATTGATTAATTTTTTGTAACTTCTCCATATATCAGCAGGAAATTTGGCCTGAGTCACCAATGTTCCCATAGCTTTTATATATTAAGAATATTGCTTGGCATTGTCAATGACAGCATGAGCCAAACAGATCCAGTTTGTATCTGAGCCACCATTTACTAGCTCTGTGATGTCAGGCAGGGGACGACTCTTGAAGAGCCTCAGTTCCCTCCTCTGTAGGAGGAGGACAAGGTAGGTCCTGACGTTATCTAGTTGGTGTACAGATTAAATGAGACGCCATAAGGGTATATGGCACCTGGTACATTGCCTCCTATCTCCTCAGTTTTACAGCTAACATCCTATTACACATGGGCCACATCTGTACTTCAACATAAATTTTTTGTCATTTTCTCAGATGAGATTTAGGATGAGTGAGATTGCCAGACTCTACACTCATCACTGGGCATGCTGTTTGCAAACTGGCCAACCATGCAGCCGGACTATTTACTCCCCACCCCCAATGTCCTTTTAAGACTCCCTTAACAGTTATGGACATTTTGCTAAGCTCGTGCTTAGAACCCAGAAGTTGACTGTGCACACAGTAGGTTCTGACTGAATCCCTACAGGCTTAGATTGGAATACAGTCCATTTTGCAAGTGTGGTATGTATTGAGCAGACATTCTGTATTTGATGGAAGTTCACATATAAAAATGGCAACTGAGCCAACAAAACTCACATCATCTGTCTCTATAATGATCACAGGTTTGGGGGGCCTTATCAGAAAGTTATTTTTATAGACACCCCGGTGGTCATGAGATTTAAAATGCTAAGGAGAATGGCTTCCTCTTTAACCTCTTTTCTGTTTTTGATATGTCTGGGCCCTGCTTCTTTATCTTGTTCCCCAAATCCATTCACTTAGGTTCTGACTTGGCTCCCTGGAGAGCTCCTGTTTTGGTTCACACCATCATCTTTATTCCCAAATTAGGATCCTTAACAAGAAAAGAGAAAAGAAAGAAAACCTGTAGACATCCAGATGTTGCTTTTTCTGAAGTAACAACTTTATTTGATAATATTTTGAAGCCATGGGCCACCGAATTCTCAACATGCAAGTTTATTTAAACAGTCTCTAGTATCCTTTCCTGACCCCAAATTACTTTCAAGCATTAATTGTCCTAGTGGTTTCATGGCCATATTATTTCATATTCATTAGTGTTTTCATGAAAAATTATAACACTAATTAGAGTGGCTTCCAGTTAATTCACTTGGTGATTCATTACTCTCTCCTTCTTGGTGATCTGCATGTGGTCATCCTGGAGAAAGCATCCAAGGGTAATTGCAGCTCTATTCCCTGAGTGATTGCCTAATGCCATTAGTTCTGATCCACAGGAGCATCTCGGGAAGCTCTGATGGGGTCTGGTTACAGCTGCACCCTTGTCCTGCCCTTTGGATGCAGGGAGAAAGGGAAGCCTGCAGTGAGGACTGGTCCTCCGGAGGGGTCTAGGGAAACAGAGGGGAGGGACGTCTTAGGGAAAAGGAAGTAGGGGCAGGGGAGGGAGTTCAGGGATTTGAACATCACTTTAACATCTTCTAGAACTTGGGTAAGGACAGTATAGAGTAAAATCTGCCCTGAGAACTTGCACGTAGAGTAAGGAAGGTGGTTTCTCTTCAGTTTCAGCAGACTTGTGGCCAGGCACTGAGCTGGAGTTTGGAAACCCGGTTCCCTCTCAGAGCTCTGACATCCAGTTCTTCCAACTGAAAGTTTATTTGACCTCATTCCCATTAGGATGGCTGCTGTAAAGCAAAATGAAAACAAAAAATAACAAATGTTGGCAAGGATGTGGAAAAATTGGAACCTTGTGTGCTGTTGGTGGGACTGTAAGATGGTGTAGCCACTGTGGAAATAGTATGGCAGTTCCTCAGAAATTTAAAATGTGAGTTATCACATGACCCAGAAATACCACTTCTGAGTATACACTCCAAAAGAACTGAAAGCAGGGTCTGAAAGAGATATTTGTACACCCGTGTTCACTGCAGTGTTATTCACAACAGCCAAAAGGTGGAAGCAACCCAACAGTTCATCAAGAGGTGAATGGATAAACAAAATATGGAGTTTTCATACAGTGGAATATTATTTAGCCTTAAAAAGGAAGGAAAATCTGACATATACTATGGTCTGAATGAGTCTTGAGGATATTAAGCTAAGCTAAGTGAAATAAGCCAATCACCAAAAGACAAATACTATATGATTTCACTTATATGAAGTGTCTAGAATAGTCAAACTCATAGAAACGGAAAGTACAATGGTGCTTGCCAGGTGCCTGAGAGAGGGAAATGGAAACTTGTTTAATGAGTATAGAGTTTTAGTTCTGCAAGATATAAAAGTTCTGGAGATTGTACAAGAATGTGAATATACTTAACACTATGGAGCTATAACCTTAAAAGTAGTTAAGATGGTAAATTTTGTTGTGTATATTTTACCATAATTTCAAAGAAAGATTGTTTGTTATTTATATTGTATTGCTTGCTCAATTTTTAAAAAAAATTAAAAATAGAAAAACAAAAAGCCAGGTGCGGTGGCATGTACCTGCAGTCCCAGCTACTGGGGAAGCTGAGGTGGGAGGATTGCTTGAGCCTGAGTTCTGGACTGTAGTGCCCCAGGCCCATCAATGTCCTCACTAAGTTCACCATCAATACGGTGACTTCCTGGGAGTGGGGTATCACCAGGTTGGTGAGGGAAAAAACAACTACTGCCATGTTGCTTTCAGTTCTTTTGGAGTATATACTCATAAGTGGTATTTCTGGGTCATGTGATAATTCACACTTTAAATTTCCGAGGAACTGCCATACTATTTCCATAGTGGCTACATCATCTTACAGTCCCACCAACAGCACACAAGGTTCCAATTTTTCCACATCCTTGCCAACATTTGTTATTTTTTGTTTTCATTTTGTTTTGACAGCAGCCATCCTAATGGGAATGAGGTCAAATAAACTTTCAACTGGAAGAACTGGATGTCAGAGCTCTGAGGGGGAACCAGGTTTCCAAACTCCAGCTCAGTGCCTGGCCACAAGTCTGCTGAAACTGAAGAGAAACCACCTTCCCTACTCTATGTGCAAGTTCTCAAGGCAGATTTTACTCTATCCTGCCCTTACCCCAGGTTCTAGAAGATGTTAAAGTGATGTTCAAATTCCTGAACTCCCTCCCCTGCCCCTACTTCCTTTTCTCTAAGACGTCCCTCCCCTCTGCTTCCCTAGACCCCTCCGGAGGACCAGTGCTCACTGCAGGCTTCCCTTTCTCTCTGCATCCAAAGGTCAGTTGTGTTTGCTCAGTAGTGGGATACTGCCTGTGAATAGCCACTGTACTCCAGCAGCTTAAAACTCCATTTCTTAAAAACATTTTTTATCAAAAGTTCTGCCACTCCACTATTCACAATAGCAAAGACTTGGAACCAACCCAAATGTCCATCAGTGATAGACTGGATTAAGAAAATGTGACACATATACACCATGGAATACTATGCAGCCATAAAAAAGGATGAGTTCATGTCCTTTGCAGTGACATGGATGAAGCTGAAAACCATCATTCTCAGCCAACTATCGCAAGGACAGAAAAGCAAACGCTGCATGCTCTCACTCGTAGGTGGGAGTTGAACAATGAGAATACATGGACACAGGGCGGGGAACATCACACACTGGGGCCTGTTGTGGGGTAGGGGGCTGGGGGAGGGATAGCATTAGAAGAAATACCTAATGTAAAAGACGAGTTGATGGGTGCAGCAAACCAACATGGCACATGTATACGTATGCAACAAACCTGCACGTTGTGCACATGTACCCTAGAATTTAAAGTATAATAATAAAAAAAAGTTCTGCCACTCAAAGAGAACCACATTAATATTTTGCTTTTATTAAAATTATTTTTAATTATTTAAGCAATGCATTAAAACATTCTACTTATAAAAATCAAAACATTAATGATCAGAATAAAGTCCTCTTTGCCTATCTCCTTTAATACCAGTCTTCTTCATTACTTCCCAGCAGTAACCACTCTTCTGGCTACAAAGAGTGGGTCTGCCAATCCAGGCACTTCCAGTGCATTTATTTACCTACATATGTACTCATATAAATTGTATAAATAGGTAGAAAGACAGATAGATAGATCGATAGGTATCTTAGGTTTGCGTATTGTTTTCACATAAGTGGCATCACACTGCATGCATCATTCCAAAGCTCCTTCTTTCCTTTGATAGTATGCCTACCCAGCTTCTACATATAAATGAGGTTCTTGCAACCCACATTTATTGCATAGTGTCCTATGGCATGACTATTTTCATTTATTTAGCCATTTCTGTTTTGATGGGCAATTAGGCTGTTTACCATTTTTGGTTGTTTGCATTATTTGCTAAGCAGTGATGAGTGAACATCCTTGTACACACCTCCCTGTGTACCCATGGGAATGTTTCCTAGGGTGGACACCGAGAAGCAAAATGAGAGGTCATGGAGATGCACATACTGTAATTTTGATAGGCACTACCACACTGTCTTCGAAATTGGCTCCCCATCAGCAGTGGAGGAGAGAGCTCCTATTTCCCTGACACTTGCCAGAAGTTAATATATTAGCCATTTTACTTTTTTTTGCATAGTTGCTGGATTTAAAAATAACATTTTGTGGTTGCTTTATTTTGTTATATTTTTATGATTTCTAATGAACCTTGATATAATCATATACTTGCTGGTCATATATATTTCCTTTTCTGAGAATGTCCTGTTCATATCCTTGTTTGGCATTGTTTTTTATATATTCTGGATGCAAATTTTTGCTTTACAAATTACAAATGTGGTCTCAGTTCTCCAGTTAAAAGGCATAAAGTGATTGAATGGTTAAAGAAACAAGACCCATCTATATGTTGCCTTCAGGAAACCCACTTCACCCATAAAGACACACATCGACTGAAAGTGAAAGAGTAGAAAAAATATTTCATGCAATTGGAAACCAAAGAAGAGTGGGAGTAACTATACTTATATCAGATAAAATAGACTACAAATCAAAGACTGTGAACAAAGATGAGGAGGGTCACTACGTAATGAGAAAAGGGTCAATACAGCAAGGGGATATAACAATTATAAATATCTATGTGCCCAACACTAGAGCTCCCAGGTATATAAAGCAAACATTAATAGATCTAAAGGGAGGGATAGACTATAATATATTGAAAACATTTTATCCCATGGTATTATTTTGAAACTTAATAAGGCTTCTTTTAACTTTGATGTATCAAATTCATCTTTTTTATTATTTATTTTTTATGAGACAGAGTTTCACTCTTGTCGCCCAGGCTGAGTCCAATGGTGGTGCAATCTTGGCTCACTGCAACCTCTGCCTCTGGGTTCAAGCAATTCTCCTGCCTCAGCCTCCTGAGTAGCTGGGATTACAGGTGCTCTCCACCATGCCTGCCTAATTTTTGTATTTTTAGTAGAGATGGAGTTTCTCCATGTTGGTCAGGCTGGTCTCGAACTTCTGACCTCAGATGATCCACCCGCCTCAGCCTCCCAAAGTGCTGGGATTATAGGCGTGAGCCACCATGCCCGGCCCAAATAAATATTTTTGTTGCTCTTCCTTTACTTTATGTGTTTTGCTTCTTGGGTCATTTTTATTTATTTTATTTATTTTTTAGAGGCAGGATCTCACTCTGTTGCCTAGGCTGAGATGCAGAGCCCCAATCATAGCTCACTGCAACCTCGAACTCTTGGGCTCAAGCGATCCTCCTACAAAAGCTTCCCAAGCAGCTAGGACTACAGGTGCCTGCCACCTCATCCAGCTAATTTTATTTTATTTTTTTCATACAGATGGAGTCTTGCTATGTTACCCAGGCTAGTCTCAAACTCCTGAGCTCAAGCAATCCCCCCACCTCAGCCTGTGTGCTGGGGTTATAGGCGTGAGCCACCATGCCTGGCCTTGGGTCATTTTTAAACATTTGAATCTTTATTCTTTAATTTTTCTGAAGTTGCTTTTTATAAATTATGTGAAATTGGAATCTATTTTTTTAAAATCTCAAATGGATAGCCAACTAATCCAACAGTTTCTGAACAATTCATCTCTTCTCACTATTTGAAATGCAATACTTTCTTTATAATATATTATATTCCCTTATGTACTTGGGTCAGTTTCTGCACTCCATTCTGTTCCATGGATCTATTAAATTCTGTGTCAACGTCATACTATTTAAATTATTTTTGCTTTATGATATATCTTGAGCTCTAATAGGATATATATTTTCTCTCCTCATCTTCTGTTTCTACATCTTCTTAGCCTTCCTTGTATTTTCACTTTTCCATAGGAATTATAGAATCAGCTTGAATTTATATATTATTTTGATCTTCTCAATTATACATAGGGCACAGAGTTCTATTCATTCAAATCTTTTTTTTTTTTTTTTTTTTGAGATGGGGTCTCACTCTGTTGCTCAGGCCTGAGTGCAGTGGCACAATCACAGCTCACTGCAGCCTTGACCTCCCTAGCTCGGGTGATCCTCCTACCTCAGCCTCCTGAATAACTGGGACTACAGGCACACCCACCACACCTGGCTAATTTTTTTGTATTTTTTGTAGAGACAGGGTGTCACTCTCTTGCCCAGGCTGGTCTCAAATGCCTGAGTTCAAGTGATCCTCCCACCTCAGCCTCCCTGGCATTATGGCGTGAGCCACCACGCCTGGACCCCAAATCTTTATTTATGTCCTCAGCAAGTAAAAATAAGTTTTAGTTTTGGCCTTTTGATCTTTTGGTTAGAGTTATTTCTAGCTACTTGTTACTGTTGTGAAGGTTTTTTTCTGTTGCGTTTTGGTTTCATAGTTCTTTATACTCAAGTATCCTAACCACTATAGTTTAGTGTTGCTGTTTTTTTTTTAACTTCATATAAACAGACTCACTATATGTGTATTCCTTTGTGTCTGATTTCTTTTTTCCAACATTATCTTCATGCTGTTATGTGTTGCTGCATGTAGTAGCAGTCATTCCTTCTTTTTCATAACTCTATAATATTCCACTAAACTCATATGCCACAGTTAATCAATTCTCCTGTCAATGAGCATTTGGATTGTTTCCAGTTTTACTACAGAGCTGCTCTGAACATTCTTGTACATGTACATGCATCCTAATGTACTTAACCATACATTTCTGTGGGGTTTTCTTAATTTGAGTTTCTTCAGAAGCAAACCCTAAAACAAGAATTCAAGTATGGGTAGTTTATTTGAAAGGTGATTCCAGAAAACACTAGTAAAAGAGTGGAGAAGCAAGACAGGAAAGGGAAGAAGCCCAATAAGAGTCACTTCATGAAGCACATTAGTAGAGTGGGCAAATGGAGCTTAATCCTGCTGAGTAACTCTGTGAAACTCCAGAGAAAATATGCCTTAGAGTTGTTCCAGCTGAAGAACAAGGGTGCTGGGGTATTTATCTGGCAGCTCCAATTATTCCCTAATTGAGGAAATCTCCTGGACCCTTCCCCAGCCCTTCTGGCCTGCACTGCATGTGGGCAGGGCAGGCTCTGGCAGCCAGACAAAGCCCTCAGGCAAAGAGCTGAAGGTACTGGCAGTTAGAAGTTGGGCTGTCGTGCCCCGCAGTGGTGAAGGCCAGGAGAGTGTGGCAGCACATGACAGAGTCTGCTACAAGAGAGTCTTTCCATGAGCAGAATTTCTGGGTCATAGGGCACATATATATTCAACCATTGCAGATACTGCCAAACAGTCTTCCAATCTGTTGTCCCAGTTTGCCCTCCCACCAGCAGCCTAGGAGAACTCCCGCAAGGCTGTGTCCTTGCCAGCTCTTGGTATTGACTTTTACATTTAAGCCATTTTGATAGGTGTTTAATGTTGTCTAATTTGCAATTCCTGGATTACTGATAATTTTGAGCATCTTTTCATGTAATTTTTGAAAATTTGGATTTCTTCTGTGAAGTGCCTGTTCAAGTCTCTTGCCTGTTTTTCTATTGGAATGTTTGGCATTTCCTTATTGATTTCCAGAAGATTTTATATATTCTGGATTCAGGCCCTGTGGCAGACATATGTGTTTAAGATATCTGTGGCTCTCCTTTTTACTGTCATTCCTGTCTTTTGAAAAACAGAAGTTCTTAAATTTTTTTAAGAGACAGGGTCTCGCTCTGTTACCCAGGCTGGAGTATAGTGGTACGATCATAGCTCACTGCAGCTTTCACCTCCTGGGCTCAGGCAGTCCTCCTGCCTCAACCTTCCAAGTAGCTGGGACTACTATAGGCATGCACCACCACGCTGGCTAACTTCTTAAAATTGTTTTTTGTAGAGACAGGGTCTCACTTTGTTGCACAGGAGAAGTTCTTAATTTTAACGGGCCCCAATATATAACTATTTCTCTTTGGGCTAGTACTTTTTGAGTACTAAGAAATCTTTCCTGTGATTATGAAGAATTACCCTATGTTATTTTCTTTCTTTTTTTTTTTTTTTTTTTTTTTTTGAGACAGAGTTTTGCTCTTGTTGCCCAGGCTGGAGTGCAATGGCCCAATCTCGGCTCACTGGAACCTCTGCCTCCCAGGTTCAAGCGATTCTCCTGCCTCAGCCTTCCGAGTAGCTGGGACAACAGGCATCTGCCACCACGCCTGGCTAATTTTTGTATTTTTAGTAGACACGGAGTTTTACCATGTTGGCCAGGCTGGTCTCGAACTCCTGACCTCAAGTGATCTGCCCGCCTCGGCCTCCCAAAGTACTGGGATTACAGGCATAAGCCACTGTGCTCGGCCTACCCTATGTTATTTTCTAAAAACTTTATTGTTTTGCCATCCATACTAAGGTCTGTAATCCATGCAGAACTTATTTTTTGTGTATGACATGAGGTAGGGGTCAAGAATTACATTGTGACACAATGCCTATCCAGTTATTCCAACTCCATTACAGGAGAGAACACATGTTCCTCATGTTCTGCATATCCAACCTTGTCATTGAATCCAGTGTCCATATGTGTATGGATCTATTTCTGGGTTTCTGTCCTTTTCCACTGGTCTGGAGTTGTATGTCCTTGCTGCAGTATTACACCATCTATTGTAGCCTCATTAAAGATCTTGGTAGTTGAAACAGAAAGTTGTCCTACGTTGTTCTTCTTCATCTAGAATAGCTTAACTGTTCTTCGATTTTTTTGCATTCCCAGTTAAATTTCAGAGTCAGCTTGTCAAACTCAAACTTTCTTTCCTTTCCTCTTGAAAGGAAGGAAAGAAGGAAGGAAGAGAGGGAGAGAAATCTGCTGGGATTCTGATTAGAGATTGCATTGTACCTGTAGATCAATATGGAAAGAATTAAAACTCTTCACAATATTGAGTTTTCCAATCAATTTATTTAGGTATTCTTTAATTTCTCTAACAAAGTTTTGTAGTTTTCCCTGTCAATGTCTTGTATACCTATTGCTAGATCTATTCTATGTACACTCTTGATGTTTTGATCCTATTGTAAATGATATCATTTTCATTTACTGTTTGATGTGTTATGGAGAAATACAATTGATTTTGTCTACTGACTTGAGTCTTAGAATCTTACTAAATTCTCATACTAATTCTAACAGTTCATTGTGTATTCTCGTGGATTTTTAAGTACACACAATCAATATTGATTTTCTATGTTCATCTTGAAACTGGCCACCTTACTGAACTTTTTTATTAGTTCTAGTAATTTGCCTTTCAAAATCTTGAGTTTTCTAGGTTACAAAACCAAAAAAAAAAAAAAGTCCCTCATATTAACTTATAATTATGAGGATTCTGTTTCTGGCTGAAGACGCTGTTAAGTAAAAGAAGTATGGAGTCACACTACCTGAATTTGACTCCCAGCCTGTTATTTACTATGTAACTTTAAGTAATTTGCTTAATCCTCTGTACCTTGGTATCATTAATTATAAGCTGCCTCATAGGGTGGTTGTAATAATTAAATGAGTTTATACACGTAGAATTCTGCCTGTCAAATAATGAGCACTCAACTTATGTAAGCTTTTGCCATTTCATCAGTTTCCTAAATTCCTTTATAAATTTTCTTTCTAAATTTTCACTTCTTATTTATTTTTTCTTATTTTATTGTATTGGCTCCTTTTCCGATATAACATTGAATCATAGTGGTGCTTACACCCCTCATCTGAAATTTCAACACTTTGAAACATTTCTTTCTAGTATTTTTTTTGTTTTTTGTTTTTTTGTTTTTGTTTTTGTTTTTTTATATAGGCATGTTGTTTTGTTTTGCTTTTCATGTTTGACGTATCTGAAATTGTCTTTGACTGGACTTCCAAATCTGGTGGTAAACTATGCAAGACAGAGATACTTTTCCAAAGGAATGTCTTTTGTTCAAACTATATTATTCACATAAAGATGAAAAGTAATAACGAAACAATTTGTTTTTAAACATTGAGATTTGGTTGTGAATGGAGACACCGACCCTTTTTCCTTCCTGCAGATTCATTAGTGTAGTCTTAACAAAGAGGTGCTCTTCATTCATGTAATAAAACTTTTTAGGATGTTTGGAAGGAGCTCAGGGATATTCGTAGCCACATAGGGCTGTTGGCCAATTCTTTTTTAAGACAATATCACATTCTTGAGCTTTTAAGTTTGATTAAATTCTTAGTAAGCTAGAGTATGTCTTCAAGTTATTTTCATAGAAAATATTTTCATAGAAAATTTTCATAGAAGTTATTTTCATAGAAAGCCTATAGTTAGAATTTTTGAGTCATTAAATAACTAAGAATGCCTTTCTACGGGAAAGACCACCTGAACCACATAAAATTCTAGCATTACCGCCACAGTGTCAGTTTTGCTCTTAATTTCCTCCAATGCCACTACTGTATTTCTCATTTTCCTGCAAATTTTAAAAATCTTACTCCTCTTTTTTTGCGGGGGGCGGGGGTTGTTTGTTTGTTTTGAGACAGGGTTTCATTCTGTCACCCAGGCTGGAGTGCAGTGGCATGATTGTGGCTCACCACAGTCTCAACCCTCTGGGCTCAATTGTTCTCCCTGCTTCAGTCTCCTGAGTAGCTGGGACCACAGGTGCACACCACCCACGCCTGGCTAATTTTTGTAGTTTTTGTAGAGACAGGGTTTCGCCATGTTGCCCAGGCTGGTCGCAAATTCCTGGGCTTAAGCAATCCGCCCGCCTTGGCCTCCCAAAGTGCTGGGATTACAGGCATGAGCCACCTCATCCAGCCCATCTTTTGTCTTACTACTTTTTCATTACATATGGTTACTTACAAATTGCTATTTTCTTCTTAATAATTTTCTGTTCCTGTTTCATAAAAGCCACCTCTTTTTGCATCATATTGTTATATCAAATGATTCTCTAAAATGTTCTTTAAGTTTCTGGAAGATATTATCTGGTAAATTTTCTCTGGTTTTCAGATGAGGATCCCTTTTTGTCTTCTACTATTTTTTCAATTGTCTCTTTTTCCTGTTTATTCATTCTCAAATGAGAAGAGACCCATTCTGGCTTGCCATGGTCAATAGAAAGGGTGTATGTTTTGCTCATGACCTCTTTTCTGGATGTTAGTGCACTCATTCTCTAAGCCCTATACTAAATCGCCAGTTGATACACCTAACCAAGCTTCCATCTAATCAGCTTCCTTGTTGTGTGGCCCTGCTGAACTGATGTGCACTCATCTCCTGCATCCGATCCTGGGATGCTGAGAAGCTGATCAAATGGAATACACACGACAACCCCCGGTATACTGCACATCGAGGGCTCCTCTTGTACCTGTGCTCACCCTGAGTGCTCTGGAAACTACTTCTCCAAGGGAGTGATGTACCAGCCTTGGTGTCCCTCCTCCACCCTGCAGTTTTGTTTTGTTTTGTTTTGTTTTTTTGCCTAGTTGTTTTCTGAGAGTTGCAGTTCTTAATTGGCAGGTGGAAGGGAGTGGGGAGTACTCTGGCTCTTTCAAAAGGCAGCACCTACCAAGTAGATGGATGGCTGCTGAATTTAAATTTCTCAACAGTTGGAGGACTCAGATGTTATTTTTTCAATCCTGATGTCCCATTTCAACCCAGTTCCATTGGCCTTGGCCTTGTGTTTAGGTAAAAAATCTCCAGATCCCCCAAAACAGACTGACTGCAGTCCTGGTTTTTGGTGTGCTAAGTTTTGTGTTTCATTACAGGACTTCGAGATGATTTTAGCAGAAAGTTGAAGAAGCTGCCCCATGCTCTCCTAGCCATTTTAAGCCAGATGTTTGTATCTGGAATTAAATATTTGTTTTAGCAACTCACGACTTCCTGGATGGCTTACAGGAATGCAGCTTGGCAGCAGAGCTAAAGATCCCTCTTTGCCAGGCTTCTGCATAGGCAGAAGAGATGACTGGGAATTGTGATTTCAAAGGCTGAGTGCCCCAAACTATTTATTCTAATAGGAAGGTGGGAAATAAAAGCCCCACTGGACTAGACAGGAGGGAATATGGGTTCTCAGGGCTGTGTCACTGCATAGGTGACCCTAGCTGGGAGTTCTGATCTCTTATTTCTAAAAACAAGGTTAGACCAAGTGCTCTCTAAAATCCTGCCTTTCTAGGAGTCTGTGGTTTTAGCAGCTGACCTAGACCATCTGCTATTAGAAGCCTGTTCTTTGAGGCTACTCATGTTTGTTAGAGCCTCTGCTGGAGAGAAGCAGAAGTAAGAGGTACATCTCCACTCGGTGTACAGGCTCCAGTGTGCTTCCTACAGGCAGCACCTGCGGGCAGCTACAGGGGCCTGAACCTTCCCCTGGGAGATCTGCCCACCAGGGGCACTCTGGGCCTTTTTCAGGCCATGCCTCCATATAAGAAAGTCGTGAGACATCCAAGAGCCCTCATTTCCTGAGTCCCCTTCAGTGACTTTGTATTGAAAGTAAAAATAGAGACAGGAAATAAAACTTGTTTTTTTCAGAGAATGTCTTTGAAGCTTGGGAACACAGAATGGTCGCTGTGCGGTCTGCCTCCAGCCGACAGTAAGTGGACACTGGGGAGTTGCTCTAGCGCTTGTCAAGACCAGCTTCGACATCCAAGTGAAAGCAGAGGCGGCGGTGTGGAGAAAGAGCAGAGATTTGCCATTGATCATCCACATTTCCTTTGGTTTTTTTTTTGTTTGTTTGTTTGTTTGTTTTTTTTCCTAAGACAGAGCCTTGCTCTGTCACCCAGGCGGGAGCGCAATGGCGTGATCTTGGCTCACTGCAATCTCTGCCTCCCGGGTTGAAGTGATTCTCCTGCCTCGGCCTCCCGAGTATCTGGGATTACAGGCACACGCCACCACACTTGGCTAATTTTTTTTATTTTTAGTAGAGACAGGGTTTCACCATGTTATCCAGGATAGCCTCGATCTCCTGACCTCGTGATCCACCCGCCTCAGCCTCCCGAAGTGCTGGGATTACAGGCATGAGCCACCTCACCTGGCCTATCATCCACATTTTCTAGATGAGAGGAAGAATGTACTACAGGAAATCTCCCCAGGATCTGAGATTTGTCCTGTGTCAGAGGTGAAGCCCAAGACACGGCTCACACCGACATTCCAGGGCAGTGCCAAGCCTTCCCGGACTCCGGGCAGCTCGGAACTTGGGGACTTTGCCCCCACCCTCCAGCATCTCCAGAATGAGGGGAGTGTGTATGTGTGCATCGTGCATGGCCCCTCCTGCCTTCTTGTTCCTTCTCCCTCCTGTCTCCTTTTTCCTCTTGCTCCGCCATTCTCCCGCCCACAATATCTGCTCTAATAAGCCAGGCGGCAGTGCTCCAACTAGCCCATAGGTGGTTCACGCTGGAGTACCTTGTGCAGGATAATTTGCCAAATGGGTTAGAGGTCTGTCTTGCAAGGCCTGTGCATACATCCACAATTAGAAGGGAGTGAAAGGAGGAGGGGAACCTAACAACCAAGAATGGCTCCACATCCATTTGCACAGTGTCCACCCTGTCTCTGCCCTTGGCCTCCCAAATGGATGTTGGTCTGGACGTCACTGGCTCCGCTGCCTGTCTGTATTGGCATCTGGTACATGAAGACCAAGTTTCTGAGGAAAGCCAGCTCTCAACCTTGAAACAAAGCCATTAAGTTTCTCATCTGACTCAGATCAGGCACGTTTGGAGAAATGAGGGCCAAGTTAGAGTTTAGTTCTAGAGGTGGTTGGGGGCGGAGGGCAGGTTCATGGTACTGGCTCCATGGTCATCTGAACCTAAGTGGCCTTTGGTGATGCGTCAGAAATCACAATGAAGCAAGGAAACCTGCAAGGCATCTAACTGGGAACTATTTATAGTTTCCAAAATTTAGGGAGCACAAAATAATCCAATAATGATTTTAAGACAGACCCTCCCCATCCATCAAGGCCTGGCTCCTCCCAGGTGGGTGATCAGTGCTTCTGGCACCAGCTGGCCCTGAATGGCCAGTGGAGCTGCTTAGAGCCTGAGCCCCAAGTCTTGTGTGTTAGGCCCCCTGCTCCCAGGGTCTCTGTGGCAATGTGCTGGCACCTAATTATTTGCTGACCCTGAGAAGCATGCATTGCTGAGATTTACCAGCATTTATGGCTTACTGAATATCAAATATTTATTAGCAGAGTGTACAGTTATTCTATTTTCTTTCTTCCTTGTTTGAATTCAAGGAATCTTATTATTTTTACTTTAAAGGCTCTTGATCATGCAGATTAGTTCCAAAGGAAGGGTTCTCTACTGGACACCATCACCTCTCCCATAGTCTTGTCATTCTATCAGTACTGAAGGGCCACCAGTTCAGAGCAGGGAAGTGAAGGGGGGTTATTTCCATTCTTCTTACCTCAAACACCTGTAGGTTTCTCAGGGAACAAGCCCAGAGGTACAAATGTGAACCTACTTTTGTAATTGATTTTTCCAACATAACCCCAATTGACTGCCTTAGTTAATCTTTCCAACAGAACTGCAGGCCCTATGTCCTCCCGGGAGAGTGCCCTCCTTAGTGGAAAGGGTCACGCTCCCCACTTTGCACAAGCCTTCCTAGGAGGGAAGCTGCGAGCTCTTCAGCTGAAAAGCGAAAAGGCCTCTTCTGCAGGTGTACTTTTCAAACCTGTATCCTTGGAGGTTAAGTGTCTGCTGACAAATGCACACCCTGGATGGTCTCTCTCCCCACTCCCCACCCTTGCCCTGACAAGATCACATTGAACTATTCAGGGAAAGTATTTACTGAATGCAAGGAGAATAGAGCACTTCTGCATTATTTATTAGGGGCTAACAATACCCATCATATGTAGATGATATTGATACCCATCAATGTATTTGGACATAAATTAGTATGTTAGGAAACTCCAGTGGTCCAAAACCTTTTAGGATCTCTGACACGTATGTAAAAACACGTCGTAGTCTTACCTCTTATATGAGGCTGGGAATTGGCTATGAGACAACCTCACAAAGAAAACAAACATCTTTAACCTTTTATTTGCCATTAGCCCTCTGGGCAGTTCATCTACTATCGAGTAAGACTTGAAATCATGAACTCTTAACCTCTCCTTACACACCTTCTTTCTGCTTTCTCTAAGGAAGGAAGAATGTTCACATTTCCTGAGTGTCTACTCTGTGCCAAGTGTTACAGCAAGCCTTTTGATGTCCTGGAGTGCTGGACATTAGCATCCCCACTCTATAGGATCAGGAAACTAAGGCTCACAGTCCTGCAGCTGATAAGTGGCTGACAAGGAGTAGGAAACAGGGTCTTGGCTTCCATCTGAGCTTCTTACAGTACATTTGACTCACCCCTGGGCAGGAAGGCAAAGGTCATTCTTGGCTTCTGTATCAGTTACCTGTCACCACAATAATGCTGCAAAACACAGAACCACAGCATGGGTGATATAAAACAATAAACATCTATTTTTGCCCAGAAGCTTGTTTGTTGGCTGGGTGTGTCTGCTGATACAGGCCGTGCTTGGCTGATCTCAGCTGGACTCAAGTGTGCATCTTTAGTCAGCTGCTGGATCAGCTGGGGCTGTCCCGTCCAAGATGGCCTTGGCCAGGACAGCCCATCCAAGTTGAGTGGGGAGTTCCAGTTCTGGGGCAGCGAGGACTGGAAGATTCTGACCCGGTGTTGAGTTGCTCTTACTTCACAGGCTTCCCAGAAACTGTGGAGGCTGGGAAGGGGTTTTCCAAGATCAAATCCAGGATCCAGTGCTAATTGAGTCACCCTAAACAAACGTGTTTCCTTCTCCAAGAGTAAAATGGGAATCCATACCTCTGCCCCATCTTCCTTTCAGAGATGTTGTGAAAAGAAATTCCCAATGGGGGATCCAGACTTTGGCTTCCACTGGGACTCACCTCACTGTGCCTTCAGTTCCTTATGTGAAACTGACAACCCTGGACTGGACAAAACACTGAGGTTCTATGGCTCTGTGAGGAGGACCAAGCTAAGGGAGATAAAAGATGTTCAGGTGCCTTGAAGAGCTAACACCACTGCACCTGCGGAACTGGGTGTCAAGGTGACATGCGGTTCCAGGGTAATTCCCCAACCTGTATCTGCCTCCCTGAACCAACCAGATACTGTCCCCCTTACCTTACCCTCCACACCACACACACACAACCACACACACACACACACAACCGAGGTCAGTCTACCCTCTGTTCGGGAATGGGCCCTCCCCCATCTCTCTCCTTGCTTCCCCTCCCCACCAGCACAAAGGCCCTGGCTTCCAACACCCCATTACTGCTCAGCATCCAAATATCCAAAGACTTTTGTTACTAGAAGGAAAACGCACGATGCGTGACAAGCAGCCTTTCTGGCCGGGGAAGCTACTCTGTTACTGACCACGCAGTCGGTGGCAAGGTCCCTCCCCAAGCTGAGAGAGAAGGGAGAGCACAGGACACCACGGGGCCTTTTCTGTCCTCCATGATGTTCTCCAGTCTCACACAATCCCTCACCCTGTCCCGCCTCCCTTTGCATCCCCTCTGGATGGGAATCATCCCTGGCTTGATGAGCGTTGCTGCACGACTCTGACCACATACCTTTGTGCTGCCCATGGGTAGGCGATGGACAGGGCCAGGGCCGGTTAGTCTGGGTGTCAGAGGGCAGCTGAGCTCCTAGAACGCCCAGGAGCAGCCACTCTGGAGGCAAAGTAGACCTGGCCCACATGGAGTTGGGTTGGGATGGGGAAGGCATGGAGAAAGGGTCAGTTGTGGAGAGACATTCTCTCTCTCCAGGTTAGAGGTGGGGAAGATCAGCTATGGGGAGCAGCACATTCTTGGAAAGGCACTTTGTTTGTCCTGTGTCTGACCTCCTGAGGGGCAAAAATCCAGTGGCCACCAGGGAGAAGCAAGTTGGTGTCTGAAGATCTCAGAGAGGGCTTGTGCCCGAGGCCAGGGCTTCCCTTGTTTTACCCTGGGAACCCAGTGTTTTGAAAAATTTATCTACCAAGGAACCTATATTTTTAGGCAGTAGCTGTCTGCCATCCTTGTTAATCACAGATTATACACAGATGTGTACATGCCTGCCAGTACCAGGTCCTGGGCCACAGGACACAACCAGCATGACCAATCTGAGTCAATATTATTTCTTTCAAAAAGTGGGGAAAGGTAGCCTTATTGTAGGTAAACAAATGACTTCTCTTCGAGTCTTTGAAATGGAAGCGAGCGCTTGGCCTTCCATGTGGTCCTACATAGGACCTGCTTCCCTGTGAGAGGGAGGGAGCTCAAGAATGTCTGAGGGCTTTTGGGATCTACACCCACCTCCCCATCAGGCAGTGACACATCAGCTCCTGGCATGCCCTCCCTGCTTTCCTCCTAAAAGAGAGAGGAGAAGAATCAGATCCAAATGGTCTAGACAGGGCTGGGCTAACCTTGCACCTTCCGTGGCAGAACTGGCTTTGAGCAGTTGGAGTTCAGGAGACCCTGACCAGCATGTGACTGTGTCAAGACTGAATCCATCAATGCCACTGGAACACCTGCTGTTTCGTTGGGTTTCTATCGCATCCTTGGGTTGGAGGGAGCTATTGACACTTTCCTGGCTGTTCAAAAATGGGCACATGTGGACTATAGAGTGTAGTAATTGAACAGCACCAAAGCCGTTTGCACTCTGCTTGTGCCTGCAGGCACACCTGGCTCCACAGCCCGGGTCTGAGGATGCTGAGGTCACAGCCTCACACCAGCTCCCAGACGTCATTGGATCTGTCTCCTTTTTCTTAGGCTTTCAAGGCAGGTGTTCTCCCTCCTGTTTTTATTTTCCTTTAGCTCCTGACCAACTGCTTTTGTCAAAATCAACAGCTGGCAATTGCTAGCTATAAAAACCCTGGGCAACATATGGACATACTGCCTCATTATTTAGGGCATTTGGGCTTGCTGTACACTTCTAGACTGCAAGCTACAGCTTTGCATTTGTTGCTGTGGCATCTGGTGGCTTCCAAAGGCTGTTGGGAAGGCATAGGCAGGATGTATTGATCTGTTCTCTCTGTGCAGTTTGCTTCACGTTAAGTCTTTAATATTTTTATCTTAAATATGTGTGTGTATATATATATATAATTTTAAATATATGTATCTCACACAAAATATAATCCGACAAGCCAATGTGGACCTGTACCCAAACTGTCTAATCACCCTATTAAAAGCACAAATACAGCATTATCTGAAGAATAATCAATATTGGTATGAAAATTGAGAGCTATGTGGTTAATCCAAAGGAGCGTGAATTGACAGAGGACCTCAGCCAATGTTTGCAGAAGATATTTGCCTGGATTTTGTTATCAGGAGATTATCATGCATCACTATTTATTCAGAATCCTCCAGATGAAGGCTTGACACCAGTTGTCCCAGGGGTAGGGTCAGGGACGGTTGTCCAGGGACCTGAAGTGGCAGTAGGGGCAAGCATAGTGGTTTCTACATCTTAAAAGGGGCTGCAGAGGTTTATAGAAGCACAGATTCCAGAACCTTGCCCCACATGGTGAAAATCAGAATTTCTGGGGGTGGAGACCCAGAGGCTGCCCTGCAAAGAGGGCCCCTCTGATGTGCAGTTGGGTATGGGTGCCATTCCCTACAAGAGAAGTGTTTATTCTTTCTTTCCCTGGGTCTGCAGCAAACCTGGGATGCGGTGTCAGTGTCATCACATATACTCCAAGGTCTCCATGTATTTCCTTTTAAAATGAAAATCATTTTTCCTGATTTGCCTAGCTCAGAGTTACTGGGGTAATACAATGAGAAGGAGAGTATGAAGTGAAGAGGTACCTGTTATCTCACTTAAGCCTCTCTAGAATTGAACATTTTTATTTCCTTATTTAGATGAGGAAGACAGGCACAAAGAGGCTACGTAATTTGCAAGGCCCCAGGTCTTGGAGGTGTGGAAGCCCAGGTTTGAATCCAGAGCTTTCCATTGCATAACATGCTCCTCTGAGACTGTAGAAATCAGGCAGACCCTTGCAACTCAAACCGAGGCATGTGGACCAGCAGCATCAGCATCACCTGGGTGCTCATGAGAAATGCAGAATCCCAGGCCCTGTCCAGGCTGAACTGCATGAGAATCTGCGTTTTGATGAGCCCTCCAGGTGATTCCTATGCACCTTAAAGTTTAGCAGCACTGCTGTAGAGGACTTCAGATTGAGCAAGAGAGAGTAGACCTCAAAACAAGGTTCCCCTGCAAAGGCTATTTCTGTGTGTTACCACCACACAGGAATCATCAGAATCCAACAAAAATATGCAGTCTTCACAGGAATGAGCAAAGAAGAAATCATTACCGGTAAGCTGTTGGAAGGATGGCAGTGAGCAGTCTTAGCCCTTTCTGTCTGAGTTCCCACTGCAGGGGAAGCGCTCCTCATCCAAGAAAGCCAAAAGGCCCCAAAAGAATGAGTTTTAAGATGAAAACAAATTGTTTTTATGTGGATGTGTTGTGTGTGTTTAATTTTGAAGACAATATGAATACTTTTAGAAATGAGAGAAGGAAAAATCAGGAAGAAAGTTTAGCCAAGCTGATACAGCCTAGCAGCTTTCCCATTCAGGGGCTCTCCTCTTCCTGCCCTTTGAGAGTATCAGTGCATTTTGATTATTTCAGGAATGATTCATTTATATTACTTTATAGCACACAGCATCCAGCAGGGAGGGCAGCCAGTTAGGTAGAAGGAAATTCAGCTTCCAAGTATCTTTCCCGTAAGTGTTTGTCTTCAGGTTAAATCCTGTCTTAGTCTGTTAAGGCTCCAGTAACAACCACAACAACAAAATACCGTGACTTAGTGCTTATAAACAATAGAAGTTTATTTCTGACAGTTCTGGAGGCTGGGAAGTCTAAGATTAAGGTGCCAGCGGATTCAGCGTCAGGCGATAGTCTGTGTCCTGGTTCACAGAGAAGACTTTCTCACTGTGTCCTCCCGTGGTAGAAGGGGCAAGAGGTCTCTCTCAGGCTTATTTTATAAGGGCACTAACCCTATTCCTGAGGGCTCCAACTTTATGGCCCAATCACCTCCCAAAGGCCCCACCTCTTAGTACCATCACCTTGGATGTTAGGATTGTAACATATGAATTTTTGGGGGGACATAAACATTCAGACACCGTAGCAGACCGTCCACATAAGATGCTGCCTGCAGAACACATTGAACAGGAAATGCAGTGCCCGAAGGCCAGGAAACAAAATATACAAGCCAGTGCTTTGAGAAACATAGGAAAGCATCTGAGCAGCACCCTGGGTGCCAGTCTTGGGGGAATGTCAGTCCACTGCAAAGGGATTCTCAACCTCTGGCCAGAATATCCAGTAGGATGGATTCTGAGGGCGACTGCCCCATCTGGGCCTCTGCTCCTTCCTGGCCTTTCCCCAGTTTTTCCTGTTGAGGCCACACTGTCACCACACCCCTAGGGGAGCTGGGACTTATTTCAAGTGATTTTTTTTTTTTTTTTTTGAGATGGACTCTCACCCTGTCACCCAGGCTGGAGTGCAATGGCATGATCTCGACTCACTGCAACTTCCACCTCCTGGGTTCAAGCGATTCTCCTGCCTCAGCATCCCGAGTAGCTGGGATTACAGGTGCCCACCACCATGCCCAGCTATTTTTTTGTATCTTTAGTAAAGACAGGGTTTCACCATGTTGGCCAGGCTGGTCTCAAACTCCTGACCTCATGATACACCTGCCTTGGCCTCCCAAAGTGCTGGGATTACAGGTGTGAGCCACTGCACCTGGCCATTTCAAGTGATTATAACACACGTTCTCATGTTTTAGCATTATGATTTGTAATACTGTATTTAACCTTTACAGGTCACTTTTCTGAGACACCGAACCTGTCTGTGAAGTGTACAGATTCCCTGAAAGCGTCAAGAAGCCATTTGTCCTCATTGTCCCAAACATTCATTGTATCCATGGCTCCAAAAAGAATCAGTCAGGAATACTACAGAGGCCTGGTTGCTGCCTTCTAGGAACTTGTAGGCTAAGGGAGAGGTCGTGACACATAATGGCCTTGACTGCATATGTCAGCCCAGGCATGGATACTCACTTCTGCTAAATCAAAGAGACTCTGCATATACTAACATGTCTACAAGCCTGAAGTCCTATTGTAACATTGGGCTTCTTCCCCCACCCTCATCCCCTGTCTTGTACTAGCTTCCAATTTCAAACTAGCCAAATGAGAATTGGCTAAACCAATTTTTCTAGTCTTTCTCTCCCTTGGTCTTCTGTTTGTTTTGTTCTAATTTTTCAAAAGTCTGGACGAAAGGAATTTGGGTTGGGATGATACCATCATTCTGTCACTTCTAAATTCATTCTGTTAACAATTTTTAGAGTCACATGGGTAGAAGCTTTGATTCTGAAAAACTATGCACTTTTAAGTTTTGACTCCAGAAGGTAATTTCAACTCAGCTGTAAACAATTCGAGAGGGTGAATATGAAAGAGGAACTGCCTCACCAGGCTTCCCCCACCCTGGCGTCTGGAGTCCTCCCTGCCTTCGTGGCACCTGATTTCAGAGATAAAGAATTTCAAGGATATGCTAGAGCAGGGAGGATGTAAAAGGGAAAGACAACTGCAGTTAGCTCAAAACCAGACTGTGTGAAACAGCCCTGCTGCTTTGTCCTTTCTCCCATCCCCCACTCACTCACTGATGCCTTCCATCACCCGGAGATTACAGGGAAGGCTGGTTATTGACAGCTGGGCAGTTTGCACAATAAAGTTTAACGGTTTACATCTCTTTGTACAACTTTGTCAATGTTTTCCATGGATCACCTTCTCAGGTGAGCCCACTGACTCCTCTCCTTCTTCTCTTTCCCTTCAAGCGTGCAAACGCAAAGAGCAAGAACCAAACAAAGACAGGAACAATTCCCAGAAGAAGTCCCGCCTGGTGTTCACTGACCTCCAACGCCGAACACTCTTCGCCATCTTCAAGGAGAACAAACGCCCGTCAAAGGAGATGCAGATCACCATTTCCCAGCAGCTGGGCCTGGAGCTCACAACCGTCAGCAACTTCTTCATGAACGCCCGGCGCCGCAGCCTGGAGAAGTGGCAAGACGATCTGAGCACAGGGGGCTCCTCGTCCACCTCCAGCACGTGTACCAAAGCATGATGGAAGGACTCTCACTTGGGCACAAGTCACCTCCAAATGAGGACAACAGATACCAAAAGAAAACAAAGGAAAAAGACACCGGATTCCTAGCTGGGGCCCTTCACTGGTGATTTGAAAGCACAATTCTCTTGCAAAGAAACTTATATTCTAGCTGTAATCATAGGCCAGGTGTTCTTCTTTTGTTTTTAATGGCTATGGAGTCCAAGTGCAAGCTGAAAAATTAATCTCTTAGAACCAGACACTGTTCTCTGAGCATGCTAAGCATCCCAGAAACCCAAATGGGGCCTTCCTGGAGCGAGTTAATTCCAGTATGGTGTCAACCAAGCTCGGGATTGCTTAAAATATCATCCATCCCACTTCAGGTCCTGTCAGCTTCTTGCAGTCAGAGTTCCTATGAGTAACAATAGGAGTTTGGCCTATGTAAGGACTCTGAGTTTAGGCTTCCAAGATACAACAATAAGAGAAGAATCTAGCAACGAGAATGACCTCATTTGCTTTCCACATGCTTAGCCTCATTATACCATGTTATGTCCAAGTTCACAGCCACAACATCAGAATGGTAATTACTGAGCACAAGTTTTAAATATGGACGTTAAAAAAAAAAATCCAAGGACCTGTTTTTCCAACCCAGACATCTTTTCATTGAATGATTTAGAAAGCTTTAAGTTGATCCAGCTTACAATTTTTTTTTTCTTTACCTCCTGGAAATCTCATATGGTCTTGGATCCGTCAAAAAAACCAGTCAGTTCACTTGCGCTCAAAGTATCAAGCACAACAAAGATAAACAGAAGTGAGGAAGGTTCTGGGTTCACTACATCTGGATTTTCAAGACACCTATTGTGAAGTCATTAGGGAATTGATGAGAATATGGCTTCAAGCACATTTTGCAGTTTGCTACAAATTCTGTTGTACATAATGCAGACGCACACTCAGGAGGCCAATTTAACTGTTAACAGTGCATGGAGCGAATGCAGCATTTTAAAAGATCTAGGTTTTTTTAGGTCATTAATGTGTCCTTGGTTGATCAGTCATCTGGTCCCTCCTACTGTGTGTTATGACCACCACGTAATCCATTCTCGCTCTTTCTGATTTGGGGTTTTTCCTCATCCATCCCATTAGTAGGGATGTTTTCTGTGTTTTCTAGCAAGAAAAAAAAATCAATCAATCAAACCTGCATACATGTTACTCATGACTGTCATCTAGTCCTAAATCTCTTCTGTTGTTGAATCATCCTTGCAAAACAGCTGAATACATCTGGAGAAAACACAGCACACCAAAGAAGCAGAATACTGCAAACCAAAGACATTTATGACTTGTCATTTTCTAGCCTAAAAATACTGTGATTACTTTTAGAAATCAGAAAACCTCTGCAACTCCGAATGGCATTCAGCTCTTGCATTTGGCGCATCATCGGGCTGAGCGGACCAGCTACACCAAGGACATTAGCCAAGCCACCCAGAGGGGTGGCTTTGCCACACCAGTTGTCACCTTCCCATAGCAAGTGGAAGAGCGCCCACAGAACTCTGGGAGATTGCAAAGGTCACAATGTGCATATTTACCAGTGAATGGCCCCGGGTGGGGCCACGTGGGGGTGTTCAAAGCAAGCCAAACGCTGCAATCATTCTTTACAGACACTTGAGACTGACTTTTTTATGAATTACTTAGTCGAAACCAAAGAAACTTTTTCTGCACCTACTTCTGCAACAAACAAAACTGTCCCATTAAAATGAATAAATAAATCCGTAAATCAATGGAAATCACCACCAATAAGAAGGAAGCACGCCAGAAAATAAACGAAAACAAAAACAGGGAGACACACTGTGTTCAAACAGACCTCTTGGGACATTTTTTGGAAGCAGATTTTAAAGAAAGGGTTGAGACAAAGATAGAAATAAGGAAGAGCCTCAGTGGCTGCTGCTTCATTTGACAACTCACACGGTAATCTTAAAGCTGAAGATTGTCTTTAATTTGTGCCTATGCAGTTTTTCAAAAGAACACGGAACAGAGCAACAGAAACCTCAACAGCTACAATACCAAAGATGAGGATTTCTCACACCTTTTGTTTCAGTTCATTATCTCCTCTTGCCTGGCTAAAATACTAATAGCGCCATTGAACTGTATAAAGGTAATCAATTATGTTTCTCTGAGCAACAAAAGGAAAGGGCCATTTATTTGATTTTATTGTTTCATTTCAATTTTGTCTTATGGTTTTTTGCCCCAACATGGAATCTCTCAAAAGTTTCCATGGACTCCAAGTTTAAGATGTTGGGATATTGAACAGTTCTCTCTGCTCAGCAGAGGGTAGGGAATAACATTATCACTTGAATGTTCTTTGCTTAACCCTTAGACTTGGTTCCTTCTATGTTCAGAGTCTCATCATCAGGGGAAGGAAAGGGAGTGAGGGTCAGGGATAGGGGTCTTGGTGATGCATCCTCTCCCGAGCCACAGAACCAAAGAGTTTATAGAGGAATTTACAGCCTCGTTTTCATGTGATTGCTACATCCTAACAGGGCTTCATTTGGGGGTGGGGGGAAACATGTAAAAATAATTGCCAGTTTCTACTTTTCTATTAGCTTTTTAAAAATCAGCTGTAAAGTTGCATTTCTAAAGAAAGATATATATAATATATAAAATACATATATAGATCAACTTGACATTGGTGATAACCAAAATTATTGCTGTCCAAATTCATGTCTTGTTTTGGTCCAGTGCTTCATTTGCTAAGTATTCGGTTCAGAATTTTTCTCATTTCTCATGCCATTCCAGAGTTAATTTGCCACTGTGGATGATTTGAAGTATTCAGATCTCTATGGAAGTTTCTGGGACAGGTTTAAAGTCAAGATCAAGCATTTTAGCATTTAACCTGTTGATAAATGGATCCATGGTGTACATGAGTTTTATTTGTATTCGGAGTCATCTCTATTCTATCCCTCAGCCTCGATTAAGGTGGTGAGTGAAGTGCATCCAACAGACTCGGCCCAGAACTGGGTCCTGACAGTGGGGTGCTCATCTTCTGTAACTGTTGGGAAGGCTCGGTGGTCCATTTTCACCAGTTAAAGAATATGAGGCCAGCCCAGAAATCTGTTCTCCAGGAGCTGCCCTGTCCCATCTGGGTGTGCCAGACCCCCTCAGTGAGCAGGTCCACCAAAGGGACTTCTCACAGGGGAAGCCCAACTCCTGTTGCAATGGGTTGATAGATTTCCTCAGGGTGGTAATTACCAATTCGTATTTTGACAAGCCTATGTGCAACCACAGCTGGCACTGGGGTGGGCAGTGGTGTTGGGTGGGATGGGGGAGAGTGTCTCAATCCTGAAGAGAAAATATAAAGCAGGTTTTGGGGAGACTTCTGGAGTCCTGCCCCTAGAGAGCCCCATTGTTGTTCTTTGTGCCCCCTCCTCATTCCCCCTATGTGGGTCTCCCTATGCAGGAGCTGTGAGAGAATGTGACTCTCCACAATTTTTATAATTCATCCTTCCTAGGAGATTGTTCATTGGCTCTTCCCTTGTGTCCCTTTGTCCCTTGCTCATACTCCATGTTTCCTTTGTCAAAGGACTAAGAAAAGAGCATATTTCAGCAGAGGAGTGTTCCCATGTGGGTTGATTTCAACTTGGGTATTTCTAAAAGAGTCCTTGTGACATGTGTCCAGTGGAAATGGTTGCTCTTTTCCAGACTGGATTGAGGAATGGAGCCTGTTTGATTTGGTTAGTGATTCTTTGACATACTAATCTCAGCGTTTGGGTCTCCAGCATCCTCTGAAGATGTCTAGACTAGTAGAGGCTGCCTTTGTGACCTGACATTACAACATTGGTCAAACCAGTCCTCTGATAATCAGAAGAACATGTCATAATTGTTTAAAAAAAAAAAAAAGGCAAGAATTTCTCTCCAAGGAGCTTTAATAAATGTCTCATTCCAGATAATGTCATACCAGAGAAAAGTGCTTGCTTTTAGAAAATTATTTACATACATATATAAATATATATGTGTATCTATACAGTTATGTATCAAAATTTTAAGCCCTGCAGAATTTCAATTTGTTAGAAATCTAACAGAAAAAAATTTCTATATTGAAAGGTAATAGAATTTAACCCAGTGAGTTTACTCAAGGATTTTTAAATTTAAGTTAATAATTTCAGAGAAAATAACCATTTGGGTGTGGTTATAGTTTAGTATCCATTACCTCAATCCAAGGAAAATTCCAGGCATTCCTCAACCATCAGGAAAAGGTACAGTGTGAAGGAACAGTTCTCAGCCAAATTTCACATTCTTGAGGCAACAGAAATCAAAACACTCAGAGCCATTGAGTGGAAAAACAATTTACTTTATTCCTTTACACAAATAGGCTTGCATTGTTTTTGTTTTAATGTGATTTTGGTACTAGGGATATAATTATTTCATTCCAGGAAATAATAAAAAAAAACAGACAGAGCCAATACATTTCTTTTTTTAAAGGAAACAGCAACAACAATAAAAACTCAGCACCAATATTTAAAAGCTTTTCCAAAATGTAAAAGAAGTGTTTAGCTTGCACCATGCATAAAGGTGCAGGCTAGTTGAACCAGGAAGCATGGCACTTCCTCTGGAGAAATCCAGAAAGAGTTGCTTCTAAGCTCCCTTTTCCCCCTGCAGGCTCTTGGCAATTGTAGGCTTTAGCAAATCCAGAATAATTTTCAATTCAAGCTAAAATAAAATCAACATTTGGAATGTAAATCTGATACACACACACTTTTCTAAGTCAAACAACATATTTCAAAACCAAAAATAAATACCTTTTAGATAATCAGTTATTTTCTTTGTCTATACTGGGCACCCACCTACTAGTGCCAGTAAATTCAAGTTGAACAGATTTTTAAAATCACTATTATCTGGGTATGGGGGAAACTTCCCCACTTTTGAAAATGTTGGTAGAATTATAGGAATGTCTGTTTGATTATCATTACCAAAGTGTCATGACAGTATGCCTTTGTAGTGAACTCGGATTTTCAGGAGTTTGAATAGTTGGATATTTTAAAATCTAAGAAGAAAAGGCCTGTTTCCAATGTTGTTGAAGAATAATGAACTCTATTAAAAAGTGGAGAAAAAGATAATACATGTGGTCAAGGTTGACCACAAGGCCCAGGCACAACTACCTTGGCGATAATCTTCTAGATTCGTAACAGGTTAGAGCTGACTTTTTGTTTTTGTTGTTGCTGATGCTGTGTGATTCAGACTTCTCAGCCTAACCAGGAAGAGTAAGTGGAAATGGTAGATGAAGAAGGGGTAGAGCTGGTGTATCTATAACTTTCTGATATTTGTCTGCCAAACTTGATATATTAGTAATTTTTTTATCTTTAGCTAAGATCAAGTCACCCCTGAAACAACAGGAGATTCTAGTTTTAAAATAAGGCCACAAAAATCCTTACGGAATGAAGAATGGCACCCCAGTTGGTTGTATAAGTCTCATAAGATAATGATGTTGATTTTAAATATGGATGTCTCAATGCCTGTTTTCTATCAATGATTTGTTTGTTTCCAAGGTCGGGGAGGGAAAGAGGGGAGGGTTTATCTGTTTTAGAAAGTCTCAGAATACTTATAAAATACAGAAGTAGTTATTAAAATATATAGGACCTCACATAGGTAGATACAGAACTTACCATTGAGGCTGATGGGCTGTTGTGTGAATCACACAGGACCTTAAATGAGGCTCATTATTCTCACACACCAAAATGACTCTGACAGCCTGAAGCAGTTATTGCTAGAGCCCAAGCTTTCCTTGGAGGTTTTGGAGTTAGGTTGATTGGAAGTAACCAGCTAATACCTTTTCTAGTGGAGAAAAAGACATTGCTACCAGCTTGTTCATCCCATAGAAGTCTTCCACTCTGCTCCATTTTTAGCAGCAAGCATTTCATGTAGCATAAACCTTGGCAGATAAGTGTGCCTAAGGTTTATACAGTCTGTCCGCTTGGATGTATACAAATTTAGATACATATTTTAACATGTGTTCTCATAGATGACTTTATAACAACACACATTACCTATAGGTGTCTAGACTGTGTACATACAAGTGTGTACAGACAAGCTTCATACGTATATACTGTAATCCGTTACAACAAATAAATTTTAAATCATCGTTTAACATGTATGTGGTACTTCTACAGTGTACATTGTTTTCATTATTTATTGTAACATTGAAAACCACAGTGCAGGGAAAACAAAAGTATCCCAGCATCTTCATCCTGTACACTTGGAATTAATTTCATTTGGGCATATCCAAGATAAACTCAACTTTCAAGAAATCTTGTATATTATTTAATCATCTGTGTTAGGATGACACCTATGATTGATGACTTCGGTTGAATAGCTTTATTCTGGATTTTTCATAACTAAAGCTAAATCCAAAGACCTGAAAAAGGACAAAAAGAAAAAAAAAAAAAGAAAAAACAAAGAAAAAGAAGAAAAAATAATAAAGTCAAGCGCAAACTGATGGGGAGACAGTGGGCTCTGGTTTCCAGGATTGAGACAATGGTACTGCGGTCTTGGGGAGACTGCGTTAGCTAGTGGGGAGTGGTGATTTTTTTCATGCTTGTCACATCTAAATGGTCTTTAACATGAGAAAGTTTTAGAGGTTATAATTTCCTGCTTTGTTTTTATTTAGACTATCAAATGAAGTTATACATGTTGTCAGTCAAAAAATGAAGACACCCTCTGCCCCACCCCACAGAATGCTTTTTATCTTGTCTCTTTGGGTTATGACCCAACAAGCTAAGTACCATTAATGTAATTAACTTATTTAAATTAGTTCCTAGTACATAAATGTATAGGATTTGGGTAATTATTTAATCATCCTTCCTTAGTTTGATTCTACTCCTTGTACTTATTTATCAAAACCTAGACCAATGGTGCATCAGAGATGCAAAATTCTACTTGGAATACTCTTGAAGTTTAGTTTGCTTTATAAAGCAGTGAAATTCTGTTACAGACAGGGAAGAAATACAGGTTACAAAAAGAGAATTTGGGATATTCTTCCCTCTTAAATTAACTTTTAAAATAGTCTAAGTAACAATTTTTAAATTATTTAACTTAAGTTCGCAGCCCCACCTGGTACCAGGCGAACTTCACCTCTTAATTATTGTGGCCCTCGGAGCCTTCATATTGTAACTTATTTATTTAACTTATTCAGCATCTGTGAAAGGTGCACTGTATAGTTTATATTTTTAATTTAAAACAACAGAGAGCACTGCAGTTTGTTTGCTGTCAGAACAACAGAGCAAATTTTGTGGACAAGCAATGACTATTCAGCCTGAACCTGTGCATTCAGAAAACATAAGCTGAGACCCTGCTTCACCAGCCTGGATTTCGGGGCTTCTATACAGAAACTGGAAAAATAAATTTTAAAAAAATCGTAAACAAAAAGAGAGAAACCCTTACACTAGCTGCTTCCAAGAATGAACTCTGTGTGTATGTAAAGCAACAAAACAAAAAAGGAAAAAAACAAAAAGCAGAAAAAAGAAAAAAAAAATGAAAAACTTTCTATTTCTAGTGAGAACCAAAGAAGGCTACCTCACTGACTTTTTCCATTTGTAATTTTAATCGTGTTGATGACACCAAAGATACCAAAGATTTCTTTCTCTGTGCGGTCTGCATTTTGCTTGTGCTCTTTTATAATTTGAACGATTTTCTCTGACATATGGTATGTACAGCCACAGCTCAGATACCCCAAAGAAATAATTATCTATGCGACGGCGGCTGCTAATTTGGAAAGGGATATTTTCTGTGTTTCTCTTATATGTTTGCTGTCTGCTCGACATGTTCAAGATGCGAGTTCAGATGCTGCTGTAATTGGATTCCTTAAATTCTGATTACAAATTGAGGAAGGAAACTGGTTGGAAATGGCCTTCAGTCCTAGCCATGGCCTCTATCCCCGCTGGGACCTGTCACAGTAAAGACTGCCAATTACTGAACCACAGAAGCTCTGACCATTGAGTAGTTGAGCTGGAAGAGACCTTAGGAATCATTTAGTCCAAGCCCCGGTGGCCCAGAGGAATGAAATAGTTATCCAAATCAAATAACTCTTGAGAGTGAAAGCCCACACATGCCTCCTGGTTCCTGCCCCAGTGCTCCGCTTATTGTACAGTGCTACCTCTGCATGAGAGCGGTCCCACATTGACAAATAGGATGGTGGCAATCCTTTAGCAATGAGCAGGGACTGGGGTTTATCTCTTAACATTTTCAGCTGTAAAATTAGTCACAAGCATTTTCAGTGTCCCATTAGTACATAGTCACATATGGTCGGTTGCTTCGTGAAGGTGGCCTGTCTTGAAATACTAGGGCTCATACGGGATTTTTGCCCTAGGAAAAACATGTTGATCCCAATGATGTGATCACTTTTGAACCTTTCCATTACAAAGCATTGTATAGATAACTTTTTAATTCAGTAGGAGGAGAAAGTTCATTCTTGGCCTGTTGGCTTTGATTATTATGGGTACTTTAAAGTCAGTATTTATCAAGAAAGGGAACTTGACCACCATTGGCACATGTGACATTTAAGCTCTTCAGCCTTTTCCTTTTTAGTTGTAGGTGTTTACATTTCATTTCTAAGCCAACTCTGTATTTATGAGAGAAGTTTAAGCCTTACATCATTTGATACTAAAGGGTTATTTGTGGTAAATGAAAAATGACCCCAAAATTACAGAGGAATATGCCAGTTTAAGAAATGGCTACTTAAAGTTGCTTCTCTCTTTCCTTCTTACTCATGAAATTAATTGGTCTTCTTCAAGTTTCTTTAGATTCCATTAAATGATTAAATCACTATTAAGAGCCATTCATCAACGTGATTTGTGTGTTAGCCAATGAATCTGTCTCAGCTTTTGACCAAATGGGTTTTAGACAAATGCAAAGATCTGCCTCTAGTCCATATGGCTCTTTTTGAGTGCTAGTATTTTGCATTTCACATAATGTAGTTATTTTGAGCTTTTAAAGAGAGCATTTAGACAAAGAAGCAAAGAGAGGAAGGGACCAATCAACTCATCAGTTCCATGCATCAACAAAGCATAGCTAGTAGAGGAATATAAATGACAGATTGACAAACTGTAGGAAACACTGTTACTCTCTTTCTGAAGTTTTCAAGCACCATCCTATGTGAAAGTTCCCTCCTGTCCAAACAAGCTCAAGGCCCATCTTCTCCCTATACAAGGCAAACCTGTAAGGCCTTCCTTCCAAAGAGTACATTGCTTTGGTTTTCTTCCTAAATTCCTATTGGAATTAGAACTCTCAGAATCCCTGGGAGACAGAGCAAAGATGACTTAATTCATTGAGCAGCAGAGCTCCCTATAAGTGAACATCACCTTCCCCATCTTTCCTACTGCCACACCCATACGAGAGAGGATCTAGAAAGAGCGATGGCAGCCTGAACACAGAAAACATCCCCACTTGGCAGACCTCTCCTCAGCAATCCCCCCAGCCTCATGCTTCACTTGCAAAGTGTGACATAACCACGGGACGAGTGCCTTGCTTGAACCAAAGCAACGATTTAGCCAGTCTGGACCTCTCTGTGCTTTTTTTAATTCTTCCTGTGAATACCTCAGCTTCAACTGGGCCTCCATACAGTCAGTTGGTGGGCTTATTGTACTGTGGTGCTTTGCAATGCAACCCTGCAAAGAACAAGATTTGTACTAATACCAAAGGTTCTTTCTCTATGTCTCCTCCTCTGCCTCCCTCGTTCTTCCCTTTTTTCTAGTTCTTCACGGTTCCAAAGCTTTACTATGAACCTGGGCATGTTGGCAATGCAGACCGCGCAATTCCTTACCGAATTTTCTCAGATATACCTCATAGACAATAGTGTTTAGAGTAATGTTATTATAGCGTATGTAATAAATTATTCACTGTTTCTTTTGGTAACTGTGATTTAAAAAAAGAAAAAAGAAAAAAAAGCTTTATACGTTTTAGGTTGTGCTTTTGTAATAGATGAAAAAAGGTGCGCTTAAAAAGAAAATGTATGTTTTTTTCCCCCTTTGGATTTTATTTATGCTGGATTGGGGAAAGTTGCAGAATGAGCCCAAAGTTTACAGTTTCATATTTTGCTGAAGAAACAATCTGTGTTCATTTGCTCTGTTGAAAAGAATAATTATTTTCTACATTTGTGCCACTTGGTCTGAACAATTAATTGTTCCGTGTTAACAGTGTAGTATTATGATTAGCAACTGCCAATCAGTGCTATAATTTTATGCATGAGGCTAAAAATTTAGCAGTGTGATGCATTGTGGTCTTAATAGCAACATTTTTCATTTTGAACTAGATCTTCCCCTTTGGTTCAATGGACTTTATTTATGCATGGGCGCCTATTGTTTGTTAGCAGTTGTGGAACAGTTGTGTATACATTAAACTGTGAAAATGTACACAGTTCAGCCTCAGACGGTGGTAATATTGGTTTTATTGGGAGATGTGTCACCTCGAAAATACCCTTTACATCTGTTGGGATCTGAAAATGAGTCACATTGAATTGGGTTCCAGCTTTATAATGAGAAACGTTATTCCTAATTTTTGAGTTAGCCAATTTGCATTCCACAAATTGGGATCCTCATAACCCAAATATATCACCGTATGTGAGAGGGATTTGAAAGCGAGTATTGAAAAACTCACCTTTGCATATTTAATTTCCACCAAAAGGAGTTATTTTGGCTTTATGCTCATGAACTTAGACCTAACTGGCCATGTATATGTAGATGCAAATTCATCTAGCTGTGGCCCTCTTTGATCTCTGCTTGGGAATGGCTATTTTTGACTATGCGTGGTTTCTTCTCGTATTTTGTGATCAGGTCAGCTCCCAGTAGAAACTCAAATGGCATCAATATTACTAACTCTTCTCTGCCCACTTCTCTTTTGTCCACTCTCCTAGACATTCCCACCAACTGTTCCAGTGATTTGGGCAAAAATACGCAGCCATTTCCCAAAACTTCACATGTGCAGCTATCATGGCTGTCCCTCCCTAGACTTGGAGGTGACTCTCACTTAATTTTTACCTGCCCAACAATGTTCCATCTACCATCTAAAAGGTAATATAAGAAGAAGTTTTGAAACCCACTTTAGGAAAACCATCTTCTTTAAATCCTTCAATTATCTGAGGCCTCTATATGTCAAAACTATTTTTCAGTTGCAGGGGATTGGGCAAACTTGTTCTTTCTTATACTTGGGTTCAAAGACCCATTCTCCAGTTTCATATTTCCCAAACCAAAATGCTTGACATAAAGCCAAATCAACTGCCAAGCACACTTTATTTTGCATAGGAGTATGCAGCCTAGGGAACCTTGGTTGAAAAGCAGCAGTCTGCTATGCAAAATATTGGAAATCACTGACAGTGTAGCATTCATATTATCTGTCAATGAGGGTATATTGGGAACGTGCTCTCGTGAATAATAAAAAGCAACATATTTTTATTTGGCCTTATAAATTAGGTTGTGGTAATGTAAACTTTGATATATAGTCTTTTTATTTTTCTCTTATTAATCTGCCAAAGATGGGAACAGATACAAGAATTTTTCAAATTGGCTTTTGTAAGACAATTGATGATTGTAATAGTGTTTAATCTTCCAGAAAGCTTTATATGTTGTTCCACAATAAAATTGATATTTGTTTCAGCAAAGTTTTCCTGACACTCACAAACCCACAAACTGTTCCTCTTAATGCAGATATTGTAGAATCTACAAAGTTCAAATCCATTTTTGATCCAAAGAAAGTAGAGGAGTATTTGAGACATGAGTGTACCCAGCCCTTTTTTTAATCACAGGCAATGCATGGGTCTGGCTGGTTACACTTTGCCAAGAAGACTTGTCTTATGAAACCCAAGGTATATTTTGTTATGCCATTTTATGTCCTTTTCTTTTAACATTGTGGAAAGTGGTATGTTGAATCAAGTGTAAGCTGAGTTTTCCAGACAACTGAAGTAGCTACATCATGAATGTTATTTTGTTATTAAAGGGTTTTTACTCAGTGCTTTGTGCCAATGGATGTCCTTTTCCTTGGAGACACATAACTACAAAATTACCTCAGCTTGGCCTGGTTTTCTCTCCTGCCCTCTTGGGGAAACATGGGCCTGGCCTGGGAAAAGGCAGGTCATGGGCTGGAAGGTAGGTTTTGGTACTAGGAAGAAATCTCTGTATCTGTCAGCTTTAAAGAGAACTGGGCCAAAAATCTCTAACCTCACTCTCTCTGGACTCCAACACTTCCCTGCAATCCTTTGGTCTTGAGCATGTGCCAGCATGAAGGCAGACTCCAGTTCATACATGAAAGGCAAGAAAAAGAAAATAGTAACCTTGAATCTTCTGTGGGCCACCAGGCACTCACCTTTCCCCACCTTGCACACTATCCAGTCAAGGCTATTGCAGCCCATCTGGTGGCTTTACATGGGACATTACCAAAGGCTTCTTCCTCCATCCTGGGGTTGCAAAGGATCCAGGTCCCCTCCATCCAGTGGGGCTCTTCCACATCAGAAGTCCCCCTCCCACCATCCTCTGCATCCTGTTTAGCTATCCCATCTATACCTTTTGGAGATGATTATTTAGAAAACAAAGAAAGGTATGGAATGGGGTTTCCTATTGTTTGCTAGGTTATATTTTAGCAATTCTCAATTCTTTGATCTGGAAAAATACAAGAGGGAAAAGGAGACCCCACTATCTCCCTGTGCTTTGCTCCCATCTCAGGGGGCAGGGGCAGTGCACATTGCCTATGCTGTTGATCTGTCTTGGGCGACAGGCTGAATCACAGCTATTGCCCCAGCCAAAAACATGGCCCATCAATGCCTACTTTATCTCTGCTTGAAAATCCTATTCAAAAAGTTGTAGAGTTTGAGGTTTTTATCCCCCCATATCCTTTGCTTTGGTCCAGTTTGGCCTTTAGCATAAGAGTCAGCTTTATCTCTAGGAAAGTTTTTTCAGATTATGACAAGGAACCTGCCACCTGGGAAGAAAAGAGTCCGAAGACTAGCAATCGGATAGGTAGTCATACCATTAACAGATACTTCCTTGAAGGTAGAATATTATTTCCTTTCTTTACAGTTTTGTGTTACACAAGTCCAAGTGGTGCCAGCAAACTTCTTACCGTGAAATGTTGTAAAACACCTGGCATACTGAAATTTCTGAAACAAAAACACAAGCTCCACATTGATAACTTGATAAATAACCACTAAAGTTTAGATGCAGGGACTGAGATGATACAGGCAAAATCTTGGTGTTGGTTTCTCTTTTAATTCGTATCTTCGATCACCTAACCTTTCTCAATCCAAGAGCAGTTCAGTCTTTTCTCCCCAAGTCTAGGATGCCAAAGAGCATCATAGGAAAAGATAATTAGGGATTGACCAGCATTTCAATTAGTTCTCTTCTTCATCTTTGCATTTCTCAAAAGTGTTCTCCTGGACCAGAGGGAAAGAGCTGGTCCATTTTTTTTCATTCTTTCTATTCAAATTTTTCCACCCAGACAATACTTTATTAACACAGATACTGTAGATCCTTCCTTGGTCAGTGAATTATTACAAGAGGAGCTATCCTTCCACCAAAGTGAGTGAAAACAAGTTCCAGTATCTTTTCTTCCATCCAGTTTTGTTCTCAGAATCCAAGTCAGTCCTGGGTCTTTTCTCACTTTAGACCCTGGCCTCAGATGTGTTTATTCTTGCTATTTAAAAATACCTTTAAATTTCACATGCTGGCCTGCAGAACTTGCATCCTTTGTTCTATACTGTTGACTGCTTGATGGTATTGAAAGGTGACTATAATGAGGGAAGAAAGGAGGAGGTAAAGAGAGAAGAATTTGTCCCAGATCTGTTTAAAGTTTCAAAATTTAAAAAGGGACCCATTAAATTATGGGAAAATGGCTATAGAGTGTGAGCCTCCGTTGACCATATGCTCAAAGACCGTACTCTGCCACCTGCCTTCCAGGTAGCTATTCTAGAAACTCAGTCCTTTGTGGAAACCCAACTACCTTTTAAAAGTCTCTTTCCAGATTCCAAAAGGACAAGAGATCAGAGAGTCACATATACGCCTCTTGTTTTATTTTCTTGCTTTCACGGGTATTATTGCCAAGAAAATCGTAGGGAAAAACTTTAAACTTTTCTTTTCAGTTGATCCCTTTGACATCACCTCTCATGTTTAAAATCAGGAAAACACACCCCTAAAATTTGCACTCTCTTCCGTTTTGAAAAAGAAAACCCACACACAAATGCACACTATTACCGTCTTTCACCCTGCGCTATATTTCCAAAGTGTATTATAATCCAGATATTGCCCCATCTCAAACATGTTAAGTCAGACTGTGCTGAAAGACTTTCCAGGGACGGTCAACAGGGTATATGTTCAGTGGCTGCCCTGAAATCCTGGTGGGGATGAGGATCACGCTTCATCATCAAGGGGATGCCCATCCCCTGATAAGCTCCCAGTCCTTTTGGAAGATTTCTTTGAATGTTAATTGCATTTTCAGTTTTGCTCATTTCCCACCCCAATGTTTTGTCTGCAACATCGCTTACACTGGATTCTTTCTATTTTTATTCCTATCATTAAATGGTAGTGCTGTAAATTCTGCAATTAATGTTAAATAAACTGCTTTAATTCATTGACCATGGCTCAGTTGCCTTCTTTTTCTTTTCATGGAAGGAATTAAGCACTCTTCCCCCTACAGCACCCCATTGTGGTTTCATAAAAAAACAGTAAATTTGTTCTTAGTGAGACTACAATTTCTATCTCTGACAGTATGCAAGACACATCTTATAATCAACAAACCTGTTATCCTTGTTATAAATCACAAAAGATGAGAGATGCTCCATAAAAACTACCTTTTTTCTTAACCTGTTAACACTTTAGAGATAGCCTGTCCTAGACTTATCTTTGCACAGATTTTGTATGAGGTCACATATGGTGAGTCAAAAGAAGGATCATGTTATTGTCACCCTATGGAAGAATCAAGAAAAATAGACCAAAAAAAATAAGGCCTCATATGAAATCTAAACCCTGCAACAAATTAGTTGTATGGCTTTGAGCAAGTCATTTAAATCATCTGGGCTTCAGTTTCTCCACCTGTACAAGGTCAAGGTTAAACCTGGTTTTATCAAAAGTCCCTTCCATCTTTGCATTTGCCCCAGATTTTTGAAAATACTAACATTTTTATACAGATTTTATCTTGGCTTATTATTTTCTCTAAGTTAATGAGCTAATGAGTTTGTTTATTCGTTTTATTTTATTTTATTATTTTATTTTATTTTCTGAGATGGAGTCTCACTCTGTCACCCAGGCTGGAGTGCAGTGGCACAATGGCTCACTACAACCTCTGCCTCCTGGGTTCAAGCAATCCTCCCACCACCTCCGTCTCCAAGTAGCTAGAATTACAGGCATGCACCCAGCTTAATTTTTTTTTTTTTTAATTTTAGTACAAACGGAGTTTCACCATGTTGGCCAGGCTGGTCTCTAACTCCTGACCTCAAGTGATCTGCCCACCTCGGCCTCCTAAAGTGCTGGGATTACAGGCATGAGCCACCTCACCCAGCCCATCTATTCATTTTAAATTTAGATATCTGAGATTGGAGACTATTATTCTAAGTGATGTACCTCAGGAATGGAAAACCAAATATCGTATGTTCTCACTGATAGGTGGGAGCTAAGCTACGAGGATGCAAAGGCATAAGAATGATACAATAGACTTTGGGGACTTGGGGGGAAGAGTGGGAGGGGGGCAAGGGATAAAAGACTACGAATATGGTGCAGTGTATGCTCCTCAGGTGATGGGTGCACCAAAATCTCCCAAATCACCACTAAAGAACTTACTCATGTAACCAAATACCACCTGTACCCCAATAACTTATGGGAAAAAAATTTAGATATCCACAAGCTTCAAAGGAGTCCCATTGGGTTAACCCTTGGTCTAACTCACCTATAGCCCAGGCCATGAAGCACTGATTGCCTTCATCTAGACTGGTGGTTTTCAACCCTGGGTGCACATGAGAATCACCCAGAGAGCTTTTAAAATATACTGTACCTAAAGTCCATCCCAGACCAATTCATCCAATTCCACAAGTGTGGGCCTCAAACATTGGTGTAGCCATTAGCTTTTGCTAGAGTTAGTTTGTTAGTGGGAACAAACCACCCTAAAACATAGTGGCTTAAAAAGCAACTATTTTTAACTCATAATTCTGTTGGTTGTCAATTTGGGTTGGTCTCAGCTGGTTAGTTCTTCTGATTGGGCTGGGCTCACTCATGCATCTGTAGTCAGCTCCCCAGTTGGCTGGGGGCTGGCCAGTCTAGGATGGCCTTAGTTTAATCAACTGAGCTCTGCTCTCCTTTATCATCCAGCAGACTGGCCTGGGTAGGGTTCCAAGAGATCAAGTGAATCACACAAGGCCCCTTAAGACCAAAGCATGGAACTGGTATGATCACTTCTGCTGCATCCTCCTCACTGAAGGACACCATAGGTCCAGCCTCACAGGGGTAGGAGTGAAAAGAGATTCCACTTGTTGATGGGAAAAGCTGAAAAAGCACATTACCAACTGAGAAGTGAAAGACAGACTGTAGCCATTTTTTACAATCTACCACAATCTATATTTTTAAAAGCTCTCCCAGAGATTCTAATGTGCAGCCAAATTTGCAAAGCATTATTTCAAAGCCTAGTGTTTTTCTATTTTTTTCTCACAATTCAACACTTATCTGTGTTAACTCCCTCAAATGCCTTTATCGTGTTGCTTGAACTCATTGTATGAAAAAACAATTCACAACCTTCAAACTTGTAGAGTAGGTATCATTACAGGCTGAATTTATACAGATGAAAAAGTCTTCCACAAACCAGAGGGATTTAGACACTGGTTTTATTGGCAGGTGAACTCGCAGCCTCAGCTGCTGGTGGCTGCAACCACTCACTAAGCCATCCCATGTCCAGGGCTGGTGGGAAGCCCTGGGAAGGCAGGAGCCACACATGGAGTTCTTTCTGTTGGAGGAATCTTGGGCTGTCTCAGGCACATGCTGAGAATATTACTGGGCCTAGGCACCGCCTTGGGGTCCATCATGGAGATCTTGACTACAAAGCAGCATGGCCTCTGGTTCTAGGATGAAATCCCTGTTATCATAATGTGCTTTTGCACCATTCTTCCTCGAATGTCGTGTCCTTATTTATTCGCAGACCTTTGGACAGAAAGGAGCATCTTAAGAGAACAGTTGCATAAATAGTCTCAGCTTATGCCAATGCTAAACTAGATAATCACCAAAACCTCTTCCACCTCTGCTATTTCCTGTTTCTAATGATCCATCACTCTTACTCAGAGAAGGAAACAGTAGCTAAACCTGGCAAATTTCAATGCTAAGAATCTCTGGTCTCAGTTTAGCCACATCAGGATAGCCAAACTAAGAGAAATGTAAAAGTCTAGGTGGGGCCTTTGAATGAGAGATTAGGCTCATTGAAGGAAAATACTTCCACACTTTGGGAGCTCATTGGCATGAGCCCATTTTTTTAGCCTCTGGTTAAGGGCATTTGATGGTATGAAGTATCCTTTAGTCAAAATGCTTTAAGTTATTGGTAACTGCCCTTGCAAATCTATTCTCTCACTTTTGTCTTCTCCCTGGATTCTTCCCTCCTTAAGTGGGGCTAGAAGGGGGGAAATCACTTGCAAAAATAAAATTAAAAGGAAGAATAAATCCATGTGGACCCATTAAGCATGAGGAAGCATTGCTCAGTCCACAGTGGCTCACTGAGCACAATTATTTCTAGAATTAATGATGGTGGTTGCCAAACTTAGAGGCAGCCACTATGCTGTCACCTCCAGAATCCTCCTTCCTTGATCTGCACAACAATCATTTAGGGGACATAGGTAGGGCAGGGTGCAACAACCTCAGGACCAAGAGGCAGAATTAGCATTCAAACTCAGATGTCAGAGTTGACCCCGTGCAGCTGGTCACTCGGTGCTGCACCATGGAGACCTGGAAGTTAGTAGGGCATGCTTCCTCGGGTTGCAGTGATAGAGCATATATTACCAAGTCATTCCTGCTATGGAGCCATATCAGCTGTATTCCAAATAAGTCACACAGACAAAAAAAATGCCAGGAGTTCAGAAGAAATGGGGATCATGCCAAACGGGGCTAGTTCAAAAAGGGCTCTCTCATTTCATAAGATTTCCAAGTACTACAGTTTTATTACTAAATCTAATTGAGCATAACTCAATGCATGGCCAAGTGATCTCGGTTTGTGGGAGTAGATTACATTTCTGCCCCCACGTAGCTGCTCCCAGGTAACTAACCTAACTACCCCAGGTAGTATTTTCCTCAGATTATCAATATGTAAATGTCTGGCTCATGCCTCCAGTAGTACTTCTAGCTCTGATTTGAGAGAGAAACCAGCGGTTTGAGTCAGAAGATGTTAATTCATGTCCTAGGCCTACCTCTTACTGATATGTGGCTCTGGGAAAGTCATTTAAATTCCCATCTATAAATTGGGGATAAGAATATAAATTGTATCACTGTCCTGCCTGGTTCACAAAGTTGTGTGTATATATGAATATATCGCTATTAAAGACAACCAACATTTTATAAAAGAGAAATCTGAGGCTCAGGGAGGTTAGGATACTTGGCCGAGGTAACACAGTAGTGGAGCCAGAATTTGAGCCCAGGATCGTCAGCTTCAAAGCCCACCTGAAAGTGTCAACTAACATGAATTCCCCTAGTGACAGGAGAGAGCTGCATCATGGCACTGTAGCGAAGCATGCCACAAGACGTAAACTATTTCTTAACAATTAGCTTTGACAATGGAAGTGCAACTAGTAGAAGAATTTATAAACTTCCTCAGAAATAATGCCGCATATCTACAACTATCTGATCTGTGACAAACCTGAGAAAAACAAGCAATGGGGAAAGGATTCCCTGTTTAACAAAATGGTGCTGGGAAAACTGGCTAGCCATATGTAGAAAGCTGAAACTGGATCCCTTCCTTACACCTTATACAAAAATCAATTCAAGGTGGATTAAAGACTTAAACGTTAGACCTAAAACCATAAAAACCCTAGAAGAAAACCTAGGCATTACCATTTAGGACATAGGCATGGGCAAGGACTTCATGTCTAAAACACCAAAAGCAATGGCAACCAAAGCCAAAATTGACAAATGGGATCTAATTAAACTAAAGACCTTCTGCACAGCAAAAGAAACTACCATCAGAGTGAACAGGCAACCTACAAAATGGGAGAAAATTTTCGCAACCTACTCATCTGACAAAGGGCTAATATCCAGAATCTACAATGAACTCAAACAAATTTACAAGAAAAAAACAACCCCATCAAAAAGTGGGCAAAGGACATGAACAGACACTTCTCAAAAGAAGACATTTATGCAGCCAAAAAACACATGAAAAAATGCTCACCATCACTGGCCATCAGAGAAATGCAAATCAAAACCACAATGAGATACCATCTCACACCAGTTAGAATGGCAATCATTAAAAAGTCAGGAAACAACAGGTGCTGGAGAGGATGTGGAGAAATAGGAACACTTTTGCACTGTTGGTGGGACTGTAAACTAGTTCAACCATTGTGGAAGTCAATGTGGCGATTCCTCAGGGATCTAGAACTAGAAATACCATTTGACCCAGCCATCCCATTACTGGGTATATACCCAAAGGACTATAAATCATGCTGCTATAAAGACACATGCACACGTATGTTTATTGCGGCATTATTCACAATAGCAAAGACTTGGAACCAACCCAAATGTTCAACAATGATAGACTGGATTAAGAAAATGTGGCACATATACACCATGGAATACTATGCAGCCATAAAAAATGATGAGTTCACGTCCTTTGTAGGGACATGGATGAAATTGGAAATCATCATTCTCAGTAAACTATCGCAAGAACAAAAAACCAAACACCGCATATTCTTACTCATAGGTGGGAATTGAACAATGAGAACACATGGACACAGGAAGGGGAACATCACACTCTGGGGACTGTTGTGGGGTGGGGGGAGGGGGGAGGGATAGCACTGGGATATATACCTAATGCTAGATGATGAGTTAGTGGGTGCAGCGCACCAGCATGGCACATGTATACATATGTAACTAACCTGCACATTGTGCACATGTACCCTAAAACTTAAAGTATAATAATAATAAATTTTTTAAAAAAAGAATTTATAAACTTGCTTGTTTTGCCCTGAAATGACTATTCATAAAAATTGCCGTGAGCTGACTAAGCCAATTTGGTTATGCACAACATTTAGGTTCTTGTGGTAGCTAATGGTAGCCACCCAAAGGTTTTGAGATGGGCAAGAGTCAACTACTTCCCCACAACTTCTTGCCAGATTTTAAAGAAAGTGAGTCTGAAACCAAATGTTGCCACATATAGGTATTTACTTAACATGTTTTATTTAGAAAATCAGGCACAGAACCACACATACCACTCACGGTGGGAGTTCTGTGAAGTGTGAGATCTCTGTATTATTGGGAGTCCTAACCATACTCCAGATAGACCTAGGAACATTTTGGAGGCAGGCTTTCATTAGTCCTTGGGCAGCATCAGACGACAGGTAATATTCTAGACTGAGGACTGAACACAGGAACTTTTAGGGATCAAACCTCTCCTCTATTCCCTAAAGCAGGCTAAAGGTTTCACTGAAGTCTTATACTCTGTCCATGCAAGAGAACAGAGTTAGGGCTTCCCCAACCCACCTATCTCAAATACCTTTAATTTTACCAGTCACCAGAATCCATTTATAACATTTTCCATGATACAGTGATAGGCGACTGTCTTGTAGTAGACTGAGATGTGGATGGCTGAAGCACTGTTAGTGACCAGTCTGCAGTGAGAACACTCTGAAATAATGTTCACCAACTCCCTGTTCTTGGTTAGGATGATTTACTGCCTCCATATTGAACCTTGAACAAACAGACACATGAGTAACACCAAGCTGTCTGTGCCAAAGTTTATTAAAATAAGTCACAGTCATTGCAACAAAGAAGAAACATAGTCCCATCCTGTTGAAGACCATATGTTAATTTCAATATAATGACACTTTATGTGTGCATTTATTCATCTCATTTTTTCCTGCAGCCTATACTGCAGGTATTATTATTATTATTCCCATTGAATAATTAAATGGTAAAAGTTTAAATCATCTTCCACTGCCTCATGTAATAAGGACAGCTTACATGTGTAGATATTTACTCTGTGCTAGGTATTGTGCTAAACTTTTCACGATTTATCTCATCTTGTTCTATCTTGTGAGGCAAGTACTGTAATTATCCCCACAATACATATGAAGGAACTGCTCTTTAGAGAAATAAAGTAACTTGCTTCAGGTCACACACTAGACAGGCTGACTCCAAGCCTAAGCTATTATTAGCGTCGAGTTTTCCTTCAGCCAATGGCAGAGCTTATCCTCGTATTCACTGCTTAGGACTCTGACTCATGTGTTCTTTCAACAGAATTCTGATTGCTAAGCAGCTGAGATGGGTAGAAGTGAAGGTAACTAGTGCTAACGCCCTCCCAGCATCTCCAATATAAATGCATTCACAGCCGTGATGCTGTGGTTTATGGCTGCTCAGAACTTGCTCACATTTCCAAGTCTTCATTTCACCCTTGGAGAACTCCATTCAGGACATGTATGTAGAACTCCATGGAGCTTACAACCAATGATTTGGGATGTCCCAAACCACACAGAAGCATACAGAAGTGCAGGTGAGATATCACTGTGGGCTGTGCATATTCACAGGATTGCAAGAGCTGCCACATTGAAACCAGATAGAAAGAGCCTGGTATTGGCGTGAACTAGTGGCTACAAATACATCTCCTAACTGGGGCACTTTGGGTAACCTCACTTGAGCTTTAAATGGTCTCAAAAATCATCATTGCCATTGTTGTCATCATCATCTTCACCTTCACCACCCTGGCTGAATTTTTAGGAGACCAGTAAATAACACTCCTGCTTTCTCTTTCTGAGTTTAGATCGAATAGAAATAAGACACAAAAATGAGAGTCTTTTTAAAAATCAGCTTTATTGGTAAAGCTGATTCCCCCCAAGCTGAGCTTCCCCGCCTAAATCTGCAGTCCAATTCTTTCTTCACCCGTCACAGGGAGGCGGGAAGGAGTTACTCCAAAGAGCACTTCCAATAAACCTCCACATGTAAATTTTGGCTTCTCAGAGTCTGTTTCCCAGGGAACCTAACCTAAGACACCCATTTACATGCCTCCCTTTACTCCACCTCTTCCCAGAACTGGCCTATTCTACAATTAGAGACCTTCCTTTCCTAAGGAAAAATGTGCAAAATAAAATATCAACGTTCTCTAAGATCTGCTGTGAGAAGGTCAAATCAGAACAATGGACAGCCTCCAAAACCATCCTCCTTCCCATGCTTAATGACTGCCCACTGCTCCTCAGCTGCCTCCCTCTGGCTGGGCCTCTTCCTGCTCAGCATTCTAGAGCAGCCCCGCAGGCTCTCCTCTACCCACAGGGAAGAGCAGAACAGGAGACAGGAGGTCCTTGTTCCTTGATGGGCTGAAGAAGGATGTTCATGGTCCACTGTACCAATGAGGCAACTAGTATCCCTTCAGAGAAGCAGTTGCACCTTCCAAACCCAATCTGGCCATCTAGCTACTCAGGATTGAGCTATGCTCAGGCATTTCTTCCAGGGACAGCTTTCAAAAACCACAAGTCTAAGAACAAAGAATGAGTTTGTACCTCCTGCACGCACCATGGAAAACCTTACACACAGAGAGAATGGACAGTAGCCTTTATGGAATATGAGATAAAAGTGCTACCTGCTCTGACATTGTGTCTAAAACCCCACCAACACAGAGTACTGGGGGGAGGGGGCATTGTCCTCTTTGGGTATTCACTTTTGTTTATCTTTCCTTTAAAGTACATCTCTTACATTTATATATATATATATGCAACATTTTTTGTTGTCACAGCTGAAGAAGTGTTGCTGGCATCTAAAGGGTAGAGGCCAGGGATGCTACTAAATATCCTGTAATGCACAGGATGGCCACCCGCTACAAAGGTTCTCCACCCCCGAGTGTCAGTAGTCCAAGAATGAGACACTCTGCTCCATACCCATTTCCTTCTCTCATAGCAATGTTATCATTTCTTTTGTATGTGTTCACATAAAATCTGCATTGTAGGGTGCATGCATTTTCAATTTATGTAACTAGTATTATATTAGATTATCTCACGCTACCTTATGGTTTATACTGTTTTTGAGGTCTGTTTATATTACTGTGTGCACTCTAATGCATTGCTTCTGGGTTCTACATAGAAATCCACAGAATGCATCACCACATTGTTCCCATCCATCACCTCCAGAAAGGGATCCCCAGGTTGCCTCCTAGTCTCTACCATCATAAACTTTGCTACAGAGAACATCCTTGTGCATGTTCCAGTATGGCCCTGCATGAGAACATCTGTGGGGTAAATACCAGGAGTGGAATTGCTGGATATCAGGTAGATGTATTGTAAACTTGACCAGATATTGACAGACATCTCTCCAGAAAGACTCTCCCAGTCCATACTGAAACCAGCAGGCCATGACGCTTTGTAGGTCCCTCATTTAAAAGGTACTCTTCTTGAAAATGCACATAACCTATATTAAGATTAGCATATTAAATCATTATTACCTTCCAGATGAATCCATCAGACCATCTTCCTCACAGGAAGTAGCTTCAGTGGCCTGGGTGCCTAGGCTAGAAAGGCTTCAGGTAGGGGTTATAAGTAGAAAGAAAAGTGGGAGGACCCAAAGACAGACCCTCTTCTGCCCTCCGGGAAAATTTTCTTCCCTCCTGAATTCGCTGCCATCCGTTTTAATGGATTGTTTGTGTCTTCCATTATTAAACTTTCTTTTTAACTTTTATAACTTCAACTTGAAGGGTGTTTTCTTTTTCCATAAGCAGTCTCAGCCTAAATCAAGGGGAACAACCTAGAGAAACAGAAGCACGCAGGGTTCAGACTTCTGAGAGGCATTCATGCTCATCGCGGCACCGCTCCTGCTTCCTCAGTCATTCAGCTCGCCCACGGGATCAATAAAGCGATCAATAAAGCGATAGAACCACAAATAACACAGGCCTATCAGCAATATATTAGCAAAGAGTGTTTAAAAGCAACTTTTAAAGAAGATTCAATAACATTCGACTCCAAAGTTGGCCAACTCCAATGTCCTGAAGCTCAAGTTCATTCCTACCGAGTTAGCAAATGATGGACAACGAGCCTGACTGTCAGACAGATGGGCCTGGACTGCTGGGAAGGCCATCTGGGGATGCCAGAGGGGTTGGACCGACAACAGGGAGCCCCCTGGGAGGGTCTTATGCTCTTGATGGCAGTGCTTTTGAGGGCCAAATGTCCTCAGAGGTGGGTCAGGACAAAATCTTCTCTAGAATAAACAGCTCCTTCAGGTAACAAAAGGGATTTTGCAAAACCCCATTACTTTCTAATACTTTTTTTTTTGAGACATAGTGTCACTCTGTCGTCCAGGCTGCAGTGCAGTGGCACGATCTCAGCTCACTGCAACCTCCACCTTCTGGGTTCAAGTAGTTCCCCTGACTCAGCCTTCCAAATAGCTTGGACTATAGACATGTGCCAAGACGCCAGCTAATTTTTGTATTATTAGTAGAGATGGGGTTTCACCATGTTGGCCAGGATGGTCTCGAACTCCTGACCTCAAGTGATTCACCTGCTTCAGCCTCCCAAAGTGCTGGGATTTCAGGGTGTGAGCCATCGCGCCCAGCGTCTAATACATTTTTCACCTCAGAACAAGGAGTAGCTACTAGGAAATCCCTTTTTATCCACTCTCATGGGTCATTAGGCAACTGAGCTGAGCCCTGGGGTTCCCAATGAGCACCACCCCCCTGGGAGTTTCAGGCCAGAGACAGAACACCTGCTCTCTATGAGGTATTGGACTTGATGTTCAATCAGGCAAAAGGTAATATATATAAACTACTACAACTGGGCCTCACACACAGTGTGAGCTCTACAAGTGATTGCTATTCTTATTGTTGATCATCATAATTGTCATCATGATTATTAGATTCTGAGGATTCAAATGTACGTAAGACAAAGTCCTTTCTTTCAGGGAGTTTGTAGGTAAGTAGTGCAGAGACATATAAGAAACCATTAAAAAAATAAGCATGTAGAATAATAATTGAAAGTTACAATAAGGGCAGTGGAAGAAACAAAGGCCTGGAAGAGAGAATTGGGATGATTCAGGGAATTGTAAATGGGATTAAGCTGTAAAAAAGAGGAAATGCTGCTGGGCACAGTGGCTCATGCCTGTAATCCCAGCACTTTAAGCTGCCAAGGCAGGAGGATCGCTTGAACCCAGGAGTTCAAGGTTACAGAGTGAGATCCTGTAAGCAAAGCAAAGCAAAGAAAAGAAAAAAGAAAAGAAGCAAAGAAAAGGAAATGGAAAAGGAGAGGAGGAAAGGAGACGGGGAGGGAAGGGGAAAAGCTGGGTCCCGTGGCTTACACCTGTAATCTCAACACTTTGGGAGGCCAAGGCAAGCAGATCACTTAAGCCAAGGAACTCCAGACTAGCCTAGGCAGCATAGTGAGACCCCATCTCTATAAATAATATAAAAATTGTCTGGGCATGATGGCACATGCCTGTAGTCCAAGCTACTCGGGAGGGTGAGGTGGGAGGATTGCTTGAGTCCGGTAGGTCAAGACTTCAGTGAGCTGTGATCACACCACTGCACTCTAGCCTGGGTGACAGAGTGAGACCCTGTCTCGAAAAAAGTAAATAAATAAAAGAAGAAGAAATGAGGAAATGCTATGGCCTATGGTAGCTTTGGGCTCTGTCCACTTAGATCTTGAGTTCCCAGAATTTTCTTCCCTGATTAGTTGGGGGTTCATATGAACATAAGAGACATTTTGCACAAGAAACTGGAAATCAAAAGTAAATGAACTGGCTTTTTTTTTTTTTTTTTTTTTATCCTAGGAAGCACAGTGCAGGGCACCGGTGACTGGTGCTGTCACAGATTACACGTGCTGTCCCCGATCCCCTTGTTGGTGCAGGGCAGCAGTCCACCCCGCAGCTCCTGCCCTTGCTCCTCCTTTAGCTGCTCCAAATCCTGGGCTGGTGACAGCAGCTCCATGAAGGGTGCCAGCTTTTTCTGCAGCACCAGCATCGTGAAAGTTGACTGTCAGGAGGAGGCAGTGAGGGACGGATGTGGATTCCAGCTCATCCGCGGAGTTCCCACTCATTTTTCTTCCCCCCAGTTCACATTCTTAGATTGCTTGTGCTTTTGCTGCCACACCTAAGATCCCCTAATCCAAGATCATGAAGATTTACACCTATGTTTTCTTCGAAGAGTTTTATAGGTTTAGCCCTCACATGTACATGTTTGATCCACTTCAGTTTTTGTACATGTTATGAGGTAGAGGTCTAGCTGTTGCATATTTTCCCAGCACCATTTGTTGAAAAGACTGTTCTTTCCCCATGCATTGTCTTGGTAGCTGCACTATTTTACATTCCCACCAGTAACGCTGGAGGATTCCAATTTCTCCACATCTTTGCCAACATTTGATATTGTCTGTCTTTCTGATTATAGCCATCCTAAATGGGTGTGAAGCCATATCTCATTCTCATTTTCATTTGCACTTTCCTAGTGACTGATAATGTTGAGCATATTTTCATGTGGACATTGATTTTTAAAATAAACTTTATGTTTTAGAACAGTTTTAGGTTTGGCCAGGTGCGGTGGCTCACGCCTGTAATCCCAGCACTTTGGGAGGCCAAGGCAAGTGGATCACTTGAGGTCAGAAGTTCAAGACCAGCCTGGCCAGCATGGTGAAACCTCGTTTCTACCAAAAGTACGAAATAATTAGTTGGGCATGGTGGCACACACCTTTAATCCCAGCTACTCAGGAGGCTGAGGCAGGAGAATTGCTTGAACCTGGGAGGCAGAGGCTGCAGTGAGTCGAGATCCCACAATTGCACGCCAGCCTGGGCAACAGAGTGAGACTCTGTCAAAACAAACAAACAAACAAACAAACAAACAGTTTTAGGTTTACAGAAAAATTGCAAAGATAGTACTGAGAGTTCACACATACCCCATAACCACTTTCCACTATAATTAGCATCCCACATTAGGACAGTACATTTGTTACAATTAATGAACCAATAATGGCAGATTATTATTAATTAAAGTCCTTTTTTTTTCAGACAGATTTCCTTTGTTTTTACTTAATATCCTTTCCTGTTCATTCCATGTTATGTTTAGGCATCCTATCTCCTTAGGCCCCTCTAGGCTGAGACAGTTTTTCAGACTTGCCTTATTTGTGACACTCTGGGCAGTTTTGAGGAGTACCAGTCAGGTATTTCATAGACTGTACTCCTATTGGGATTTATCTGATGTTTTTCTCATGATTAGACTAAGGCTATGGGTCTGGGGGCAACCACGGAAGTAAAGTCCCATTCTTATCACATCATATCAGGGGCATACACTATTAACATGACTTACCATTGTTGATGTTGACCTAGTCACCTGGCTGAGGTAGTGCTTCTCTGTTTCCTCCACTGTGAAGTTACTCTTTCCCTACCCCCCTTCCATACTGTCCTTTTTGGAGGGAAGTCACTATGTGCAGCCCACATTTAAAGAGTGGGCTGTCTTTCTTCTTTTCCACTTTCTGTCCCACGTTTCCCATCTTTTCAAAATCTTCAGCTCAGCTCAATCCTAGACAGGGGCGAAGAGTTCATTTGCAGTGACACAGAGCTGCAAGCTGCTTCCCTTCCTCTCTTTGGCCTTGCCAAGCTTGGACTCAGGAGGAGCAGCCCCATCTTTGAGAAAAGTTACCTGTCTCTATATCTCCCGTTGCGATGGAGACAATAGTGTCAGAGTTCCTACAAAAGTCCCAATCTCAGCAGTTTGGTCCAGCATTCCCTAAATATGCTTCAATCCTCAACTCAGGAAGAAAAAGAAAAAGTTCATCAGATCATTAATGTGCATGCACACACACACACACACACACACACACACACACACACACACACACACACAAAGTGTGATGTAGAGCAGACCCTCCGCAAAATTCTGAAGCAGAAGGAATTTATCTTTGATGTCCTCTCTCTTGCCTTTTCAGGCTCTCCCTAGAGGTCCCCCATGAAAGCCCCCATCCTGGCCTGTTCTCCAGTAGCCCTGGATCTCTTTGCCTCTCCTCCTTCCTAAACTGGGAAACAATAACAAGCTAATTAGTAGCTGGGATTGCAAACTGTGTCCAGGACAGGCAGAGCGGGATGGAGACACCAAACTCTCTCTAGGGGAAGAAAGAGGCCAGGGAGTGTGGGTTGGCAAAAGCAATGATTTTTAATTCATTCACCTGTTATTTCTTGAGAACTTTGAAACTTTCCTACTTCTGTGCTTTCAACCTATAGAAAACGCAGTCATCATTGAACAGTGAAAAATTGATTCTGCTTCTAGGAGTTTCTATTTAGCCAGGGGATCTAGAGGCAGCTTTAGATTTACATTTCTATCACTCCCTTTCCAAGCCTGATTAAGGTAACCTGTGCTTCCCAATTGCCCCGTTATTTTTCATAGTGGTTACCTTTGGCTTCTCACATTCCCAATCCAACTCCATTTTGGAAATACTAGTCATTTCTCAAAAACTTAGGCAACTTTTTCCCTGTGTGAAGTTTTAGAAAAAGGTTTATTTTCCCCTCTAGGCTTATTTTACTTGGCTGAAGTCATTGGAGACAACATAGACTTTGCATTTTTATCAGGCCTCTTTCAAATGTGCTGGCACTGCAGTTGAATTCCAATGACTGCATTCAATGATTTGCAGTAGAGACTATCAAAAATGCCCACTTCCAAAGCTTTCCTGTTGAGAAAAGTCCAGACAGCACAGCATTTACTGTCTATTTATCCTCAAGATAAGTACTCTGTCGTCTTATTCTTTTCACAGATAATTATGAGCACTCTCATTTGGGCCCAACATTTATGTTAACAGCCAAAAACACACAAAAAGTTTAAGATAATCCACTTTCCTTCAGAAGCTCGTAATCCAATTGGGAGTCAAGGTACACACATAATATTGTTAAATAACATTCTAAAGTAGTGTGAATATGTCTGAAATAAGTACTCTAGGACTTACATATCTACAGTAGTCAACTTATGGGACAAGCCCTCATTCCAACAGTACTGCCATGGCTCAAAATGTGTACATTTGTTACAATTAATGAACCATCCAATTACAATTAATGAAAGATCCGATCAATGGACCTTTCATAGGGTTAACTCCAGTGCTCGTTTAACAATCACAAAAGAAAACCAGCTTGTCTATTTCAATGTTAGAGCTTGGTTTTGTGGTTGCTTTTAATATTATAGCTTCCTATTTGATCACCCACTTTCTAAAGCTTTGACTAGAAATGACTTTAAACTATAATCAAAATAATATCCATTCTCAAAGGAGTATTTTTCAACCTGTTTCATTCTCAATCCACCAGCCTCCTGCCATCTTGATTTCTATCCAGTCTAGAGCATGGAATTTAATCTCTAGTGACACTCTGCCCAAGCTCTTAACTCCTTTGCTTCTGTGGGCTTCCATTCCACACACATGGAAACACCCCAGCCTAGGATTCATTCCACTTTCTGCCTCCTTGGCTTTACACCCAGGTCCTCAGAAACTGGGAGTTCTCCTTGGCTTCTCTCTGTCCCTCATCCTTTACATGATTGGTGACAATTTCACTTGCTCAATATCTCTCAGATCTGCCTCTTTTTCTGTCCCTCTGCCACTGCCCCGTCTCAAGGACCCTCATCCATCATTTCAATATTGGATCTTTAAAAAGTGTCTTGACTGATCTTTTTGCCTACAGGATGGTCTCTCTCCAAATCAGTGTCGACACTGCAGTCAGATCACTTTTTCTAAATCATTAATCTGATTTTGTCACTTCCTAAAACAATTCCAATAGTTCTCCAATAAACATTTTAGGATAAAGTCCAAAGTCTTAGTGTGTCTCTCATGGCTTTTCTTGATCTGAAATCTGTCCATCAGCCTCACCTATTACCATCCAGCCTCCCACCCTAGAGCCACTGGCAGGTACCTACAGGCTCCATCCACTTGTTTGCCCCTAGCCCTTTATATACCCTCTTCCTTCTTTCTGGAATACTTTTCATTGGCTGATGAACTCCTACTCACCTTTTAAGGCCTATGTCTGGATTGAAGGTCTCTCCTATGCCCTTCCATGATCCTTCCAGTTGGGGATCTACCCCTTGACTTGCTATCGTCCTCATTGCACTGTGAGTTGCTCTGAAGTAAGTGCTGAATTTTACTCCTTTTCATATCCCCAGAATCTAGCATGATGTCTTCCACATAACTGTACTCAAAAGTGTTTGCTGCATAAGTAAAAGATTTGATGCCATGAGGACATTCAAAAGGAAAATAATAGCTAATACTTGTAGAGAACTCACTATGCACTAGGCACTGTCCCAGGCACTTTATGTGTAGTATATCTTCTTTTTTTTTTTTTCTGTTTGAGATGGAGTCTCGCTCTGTCACCCAGGCTGGAGTGCAATGGTGTAATTATAGCTCACTGCAACCTGTACCTCCCAAGTTCAAGCAATTCTCCTGTCTCAGCCTCCTGACTAACTGGGATAACAGGCATGTGCCGCCATGCCCGGCTAATTTTTGTATTTTTAGTAGAGACGAGATTTCACCATGTTGGCTAGGCTGGTCTCGAACTCCTGACCTCAAGTGATCTGCCCTTAGCCTCCCAAAGTGCTGGGATTACAGGTGTGAGCCACGGTGCCCAGCCGTATCTCATTTTAATTATTACAGGAAACTCTGAGAGAGGAACTATTGTTATCCTCCATTTCATAGATGGCTCACAAAGAGTTTAAGTAGCCTGTCCCAAGTCATAGTGGGCTGCAAGCTTTCAAAAGGCAATTCCAAGAGAAGAATTCCCAGGACCACCTTCTCTCCCTGGTAAGAGACTGCACCAATGACTGCATTATTGGTTACTGATGATGTCACGCTATTTGCAGCTCTTGCCATCAGGTACAAACAGCCCCTCAAGAGCACTGAAGTTATCATCTAAAATTACTTTTGCTGAATGATGCTTCCCAGGACCTCCATATGAGACAACAAAAGCAGCAAGGAAAGTTGAGAGTCGGGTAAAGATGATTCTTTCTAGAGTCAAGGTGACTAAGCCCCAGTTCATGACAGGCAATTTTCCGATTGATTCTTGCCTTTTGCTATATGAGCTGGATGATTGCCTCATCACAGAACCCTAAACTTACTTTGCTCAGGCTTCCTGAGCACAAGAATGGGGGGGTAGGAAAGGCTTTGTCACAGTAGGGAACTTTCCACACTTGCCAGAGAAGATCAACATGAGACAAAGGATGAGTATATATGTGCCACCTACCTTCTCACTCCCCTATGGTTATTTGATTTTCTGCAGATCTTAGAGCTCCAGAGAGCTGATTTTCTGACCATTCAAGATGCCAGGATGATTTACTTACAGGTAAGTTGATAAATTCATCCTCCTGCTCTATGTCTGTAACAGGACTCGACGGTGACTGTACGTCAATGTATAAAGTTCAACAAGGAATTTTATGAACGTCAACAGGTCTCACGGCTTCTGCCCCAAGATTTTTCCTGACTCTGTCTACTGCCTTCTGACCTCATTTCCCCTCCCTCCTCATCAAACTTTAGGACATTCATCTTCTAGCTGGTCTTGTTCCTTTCTCATCTTCCCTCCCTTCCCCTAAGACATTATCCATACTACAGCTAAAATTAAAATGACAAAGCACGGGTCTGATTATGGTGTTCCCTTGCTCTGAAAACCTGAAGTCTCTTCAGTTGGCTACAGAGTAGTGTAAACACCGTAAGTTGGCATCTTTCCTGCTTCCCAGCCTCCTATCCCACTTCCCTCTTTCTTGCTCCAGCCATGTGTCACCACTTACTTCTCCCCAAGAACTCCCATGCACTTTCCCAACTCCATGTTGGAAAATGCCTAGGAATATCCTTCTCTATCCCATCTGCCTGCTGAGGTACTCACTGTCAGTAAACGAAGACTAGGTAGTTCAGATAAATCCTTCCTCAGGAAATAATGAGGAAATCTGGATGAAATACAGAAATATTGTATTAAAAGCATCAACAACCTAATAAGATGGTGAAAAACTGCTAACCAAAGTGTGGGAGGGGCCAGGCACCTAGAGAGATAAACATCGCTTGGGGAAGCTTTCACCTGGGAGCCTGTACTGATGCAGAAGAGTTGAGATGCTGGGATGTGCTTTTGGCAGTCTCTCAAAAGTTAAGGGAACAAAAGATAGACTGGTGGCCTACCAATGGCTAGGATGCTTAAGGACTGCACCGCAGGCATTTAGATACCTGGAAGTAAATCAGTCCACATGCGGTCATCTGTTCAGCCAAGAAAGTGTCAAAACTTGAATGTGCATCAAGTTTGCTGCCCAAAACTGCTAGCATCCCCAAGGATTGTGGCAGAAACAAACAAACAAACATCTCTCCGGGGGAAGATAACATCATATGAGGTCATAAATATTTCTATAAACAGTCTTTCAAACACAATGCTCAGCACACAGTCAAAATAACCAAACTTCTCCAGGAGTGGGGCAAAACCAGAAACTAATATTAGTCTTTGATAACTCAAGGGTGCATATAGAGTAGCTTCTCATGAATAGAAAATAAGAATGGAATACTTCTTAACTAATAAGGAAAAAAAATGGAACAATAGTATTAATAAACCCAAAAGAAGGCAAGAAATTAAAAAAAAAAAGGGAACACAGAGCAGGGGGCACAAATTGAAGAGCTATTCATCATTCAAGGTGCAGCTCAGATATCCTCTTTTTCCCTAACAATCCCTTATCTCCTCCCACCAGTCCAGTGCTCTCTTCATACTTTATTTCAATTTCTACCATACCGTTTATCCCATTGTGCTGTAATTAATTGTTCAAGTGTTTACTTTCCCAGTTGTATTTTGCACACCTTGAAAGAAGGTGTTCTGCTTATTCATCTTTGTATCTTCAATGCATAGAACAGGGCTTGGCTCACAATACACATTCAACAAATACATATTGAAGTAAATTTAGTTGAAATGAACTAACTAAAAAAATACTGAGGTGTGATGCTGGTGGAGCTGTCAGTGATTGTTCCTGCCTGCAGAGAGGAGCACATGGCTCAAGGAGGCTATCACGTTACTTATTCCCCATATAGAGTATTAATACAAAGGCTTATGACCCAAGTGGTGCTAATCTTCCATAAAAATTAGGCTGGGCGCTGTGGCTTACGCCTGTAATCCCAGCACTTTGGGAGGCCGAGGCTGGCAGATCACCTGAGGTCAGAAGTTCGAGACCAGCCTGACCAACATGTAGAAACCCTGTCTCTACTAAATACAAAATTAGCCAGGCATGGTGGTGCATGCCTGTAATCCCAGCTACTTGGGAGGCTGAGGCAGGAGAATTGCTTGAACCCGGGAGGCAGAGGTTGCGGTGAGCTGAGATCGTGCCACTGCACTCCAGCCTGGGCAACAGGAGCGAGATTCCATCTCAAAAAAAAAAAAAAAAAAAAAAGAATTAATATACAGGCCAGGCACGGTGGCTCACACCTGTAATCCCAGCACTCTGGGAGGCCGAGGCAGGCGGATCACCTGAGATCAGGAGTTCGAGACCAGCCTGGCCAACATGGTGAAACCCCATCTCTGCTAAAAATACAAAATTAGCTGGGCATGGTAGCACACGCATGTAATCCCAGCTACTTGGGAGGCTGAGGCAGGAGAATCAGTTGAACCTGGGAGGTGGAGATTGCAGTGAGCTGAGATCATGCTATTGCACTCCAGCCTGGGCAACAGGAGCGAGATTCCATCTCAAAAAAAAAAAAAAAAAAGAATTAATATACAGGCCAGGCACGATGGCTCACACCTGTAATCCCAGCACTCTGGGAGGCCGAGGCAGGCGGATCACCTGAGATCAGGAGTTCCAGACCAGCCTGGCCAACATGGTGAAACCCCATCTCTGCTAAAAATACAAAATTAGCTGGGCATGGTAGCACACGCATGTAATCCCAGCTACTTGGGAGGCTGAGGCAGGAGAATCAGTTGAACCTGGGAGGTGGAGATTGCAGTGAGCTGAGATCATGCTATTGCACTCCAGCCTGGGCAACAAGAGCAAAACTCCATCTCAAAAAAAAAAAAAAAAAAAAGATTTAATATACAAAGAAAATAAGAGATAATTAGATTTCCTTTTGTATCACACACTATACAAGTATAAGCTTGGTGATTCCAGAAACCATCTTCCATCCCACATGGTGAAAGTCACGTGAAAGTGGGGCAGTGCACAAAGCAAAACAGAACCAGAGTTGGTGAGAGAGACAAATCCCTGAAAACATTGAACCCCTGGATTCAGCTATGACTGAACACATATCCACCTTGACTTCCTTGGCTAATAGCCGATAAACTCCTTCTGTTGCTTAAGCTAATTTGATTTGTGTTTCTGTGGCTTGGAACAAAAAAGAGTCCTGACAAATACAAGAGACTTCTATGAGAAATTCTACATATGAAGGCTCTTGCACTAGTTTGTATTGGGATCGGCAACAAGGTATAGATGGTCAGAAGACACTGGAACACTGATAGATCTGACTGTAAGGAACATAAAAACTCAGTAACTCTGATTTTTTAGCCAACAGATTAGAATTCATGCATCCATGTTCTCACTCATAGGTGGGAATTGAACAATGAGAACACATGGACACAGGAAGGGGAACATCACACTCTGGGGACAGTTGTGGGGTGGGGGGAGGGGGGAGGGATAGCATTAGGAGATATACCTAATGCTAAACAATGAGTTAATGGGTGCAGCACACCAGCATGGCACATGTATACATTTGTAACTAACCTACACATTGTGCACATGTACCCTAGAACTTAAAGTATAATAATAAAAAAAAAGAATTCATGCATCCAAATGTGTATTGATTCTTTCATAGTAGCTACCTTGGGAAACCAAATATTTATTCCAGCCATTTGACAAGAACTAAGTGAAAGGGCAAGAGTTTCTATGGAAAAGGCCCCCAAATTAGAAGGAGCATGAGGTTTAGAGGCAGGTGGAAACATGAGAATGGGAAGGGTCAATCCCAGGGAGAGGGGATCCAGGGACCATCCCACAAAGAGCAACGAGGTCTGGAACTAGCCAAGCGCTAGCAGCCAGCTCATTGTCCAAGGACTCTTGAGAAGTGGGGACCTGAGCCTCTGTTTTGAGTCTTGTAGACCTAGCTTTCTGGGGCCTACCATTCCCTGCAGAGGGCAAGGCCTGATGATGAGTGAGGTGGAGGAGCAAGGATGCCCCTTCTCATGGGAAAGCTCTGAGACATGCCCAGACACCGTGTCCCCTGAGTGCTCATGCTGCTGAGAATATGCAGAGCCCACGAACCAACACATTAAGGTGGATTTGCTTCGGACCAGAAGCATGAGTCCTGGACAGCCTAGAGAGCCCTTGAATTTCCTCCCTTCCCTGAAGAAATGAGTAAGGATGCTATAAATTTCCTTATTCCATTTTCAAAAGCCTCAGTGAAAATTTGCTTCCTCTCTGTGTCCATCTCTTTGACATGTATATACACAATGGCCCTGACAAGAAAAGTCCCTCTCTTGTATATAAGCTGCCATCTCTCTCCGCACCACCCCCCATGAATGATAATACAATATTTATTAAGGCTTAAATAGCACTGTTAAGTGCACATGTTGATTTAGAATGATGGAGTGTGTCAGCGTACAGAACAGGAACTCAGCCACAGACCAGGGACCCACAAAGGACAAGGAGATATATCATTAGCTAAAGACCCAAGCTAGCAAATGTCATCAGCAGAGACAAACAAGTCCTTAATTAGGGCTTCTTTATACCTACTGTTAACACCAATTTTTATAAGTGTATTTTCAAAAATAATATAACATTATATATGCAAAAGGTTAAAACATTTAAACTGTACACACTGGTATGAAATAAAAAGCAAACTCCCATCTGCTGTCTCCCACACAAGTCCTTTAGGAAACTCTTTTAAGCTTTTTTTTTAGTTCTTCTGATAAGTTACCACCATAATTCTAAACAATATGCATAGATTTCAATTTTTTGGCTTATCATGATTAGATAATATCAAGTCATTTGCACTATTTAATAGAGGAGGAATTTAGTTCACTTGCAATATTTTCAATCATCTCTCTCGATTTTGAGTTTCATTATATTATTGTATTTGGTTCTTCGAGTAGTGACCTTTTTATTTTTAAATAATATACATTATCCTTTATTTTTGTCCCATCTTCTTTCCACAATATCTCTTGTCTCATCCCAAAGTCAAATGAAGAAAGTTGCACCTACACTTGCCCTTCCCCTTCCTGCTCACAACTTGAATTCCCCTAGCTTGGGCATCACCTACACAGTGTCAATTGTTAGACGCACATTCTAGTCTATAACTGCCTTCTGTTTTGATTATAAAAATTGAAACTAGCAAGCATTTAGTTATAACTATGTAAATGTGATTATGTAATTATTGATCACTATAGAAAGAGTATGATCAGACCCACTGAAAAGGAAATATGATCATATATGTCGCTAGCTGACTCTCTCTCGAAGAATGTTCCCAGGAGAAGGTCAAATGGATTCTCTTTTCTTACATTCCATCAGTTGCTCAAAACCAGGCCACGTTTTTGGTGGTTTTATATTTGAACCAAAGCTTTCTTCTCTGGTTTTTCCATTATTTTTTTCTCTCTGGTTTTTCCATTTTTTTCCTTGGCATTTCAAATTGTGCTTCTTCTTTCTTGAATAGAGGGGGAAAAAAATACACCTGTTTCTTTCCCACTGGGATGAGATTTTCCAGCTTCTTCATTGTTCTGCCTGTTAACTGATCCCCATTCTATGCTTGAAGTTTCATTCAGAGTCTTCTGACTTCATATTCTGATTCGAGCCGTGTTTTTAGACCTGCTGTGGAAGTGTCCCCCGAGATTCCTTTCTGTTTCACACCTAGAAGCGTGGCACTGTTTCTTGGACCATGGCTGCTTCTTTCTCTCCTACATCTAGATGATTGGTAAATAAAGATCCTGAATTCATCCAGAATCCAGCATGGCTGGAAAAGTGTTTATTTCACCTTCATATTTGATTAACAGGTTGGCTGGATATTAAATTTTAGATTTAAGATCTTTTCTTCCTCCAATAAATTTAGACTATAATCTTTTGACCAGGCACTACGGCTCATGCCTGTAATCCCAGCGCTTTGGGAGGCTGAGGCAGGAGGATTGCTTGAGGCCAGGAGTTCCAGACTAGCCTGTGCAACATAGCCTGGGTCTCTATGTATTAGTTGGTTTTCATGCTGCAGATAAAGACATACCCAAGACTGGGCAATTTACCAAAGAAAGAGGTTTATTGGACTTACGGTTCCACGTGGCTGGGAAGGCCTCACAATCATGGTGGAAGGCGAGGAGGAGCAAGTCACATCTTATGTGGACAACAGCAGGAAAAGAGAGGGTTTGTGCAGAGAAACTCCCAGTTTTAAAACCATCAGATCTCGTGAGACCCATACACTGTCACAAGAAGAGCTTGGGAAAGACCCGCCAGGTCCCTCCCACAACATGTGGAAATTATAGGAACTACAAGATGAGATTTGGGTGGGGACACAGAGCCAAACAATATCACTCTACAATTTGAAAAAATTAATAAATAAATAAATACTATAATTTTCTGTCCTGTGTTTTGATGGGAAATCTGAAATCGATCATACCCTCATCCTTTTTTATGGATCATCTCTCTCTCTCTATCTCTCTCTCTCTTTTCCTGTCTTTCTCTCTCTCTGGATGCTGTTATAATGGCAATGTACAATAGAAACATAACGTGAGCAACATAAGTAATTTAAACTTTTCTAGTAGTCACATTAAAAAAGTAAAAAGAAACAAGTGAAATTAATTTTATAGTGTATTTTTATTTAACCCATTTCTGTATATCCAAAATAGTATTTCAACTTGTAATCACTATTTTTAAAGCTATTATTTAGATATTTCACATTACTTTTCTCATCCTAAGACTTTGAGATCCGTGGGTGTTTTACTCTTGCATCACATCTCAATGTGGACCAGCTGCATTCAAGCACTCGGTATCCACACATGACACCTGGCTACTCTGTTGGACAGGCCCAGTCCAGAATCGTCTCTTTATCTCTGTGGTGCGTTGCTTCACCTACAGATATGGGTCTGTTTTCATTTTCTTGCTCAGAAATCAGTGCACCTTTTGAATTTGTAATCTTGTGTTTTTCTTTAATTGTTAAGCTCACACTACTTCAATTTATGTGTTCATTTCCTCTTTCCTCCTGTTCTTTCTCTCATCACTTGAATGCTGAATCTCCTGGAATAATATTTTGTCTCTTAATTTTAACTTCATGCTTTTCATCTTTTCACCATTTTGCTCTGTGCTCTAAGAGATTTTATCAAATTCATCTTCAGTCATTTTATTATATTTTTTAATTTTGGCAATTATATCTTTAATTTCCAATTATTCTTTTTTGTCTTCTGGAGATTCTTTTTCATAGTAGCCTGCTCCTTTTTTTTCCTTCTACTTCTGGTTCCTTCTTAAACAAAAAATTTTTTGAGACAAGGTCTCCCTGTGTCACCCAGGCTGGAGTGCAGTGGCGTGATCACAGCTCACGGCAGTTTTGACCACCTAGGCTCAAGTAATCTTCCAATTTCAGCCTCCCTTGTAGCTGGGACTACAGGAATGCCCAAGAAATTTTTTTTTTTTTAGAGATAGGGTCTCACTGTGTTGCCCAGGCAGGTCTCAAACTCCTGGATTCAAGTGATTGTCCTGCCTCAGTCTCCCAAAGTTCTGGGATTACGTGTATGAGTCACTGCACCTGGCCAAAAAAATATTTTTCAATTTACACATAATAATTGTATGTATTTATGGGGTACATAGTGATGTTGCAATACAGTGATCAAATTAGAATAATTAGCATATCCATCATCTAAAACACTTAACATCTTTGTGTTGGGAATATTCAATATCATAGTAGCCTGTTCTTGTTTTATGGATGCAAGATCCTGGATCTCTCTGAGGAGTCTAGTAAGATTTTTAAAATTCTCTCCATTCCTGAAATACATTTTTTCATTGGGTTTTGTTGTTCATGTTAATGTTAGTCTTCTCTTGTGTGCAACTTGCTTCCTTCATTGTCTGTTGTCCTTGGGTTGGCAACATTGTCTACTATGCGTTCATCTGCATGAATGAAACACTAAGTTGACTAATATGGGAAGCCATGGTGGGCTTCCTCCAAGAAGGTATACATTTCCACACATGACCTCACCTCTTATCTGAATTGGGATGGTTGTGGTGGCTGACAGTCAACTCAGCTCTTGAGAGCTGGTACCTCCTTACACCCTTTTCCCCAACCCAGGGCCACAAATTTAAAAAGGCTTTATAGTAGGTGTATTAGTCAGTTTTCACACTGCTGTAAAGAAATACCCATGACTGGGTAATTTATAAAGGAAAAAGGTTTAATTGACTCACAGTTCCACATGGCTGAGGAGGCCTCACGAAACTTACAATCGTGGTAGAAGGCAAAGAGGAAGCAAGCGCCTTCTTCACAAGGTGGCAGGAGAGATATCGTTTGAAGGAGGAACTGTCAAACACTTATAAAAACATTAGATCTCATAAGAACTCACTCACTTCCATGAGAACAGCATGGAGGAGACTGCCCCCTTGATCCAGTCACCTCCCACCACGTCCCCCCATCGACACATGGGGATTACAGGGATTACAATTCAAGATGAGATTTGGATGGGGACACAGAGCCAAACCATATCAGTAGGGCACCAGCATCCACACAGGGAGCTCTAGCCTTCTCTAGGCAGCTCAGTTCATTCTTAGATACAGCTCCGTTGTGATTTATTAATTGAATCTCTTACAGAAACTAGAATCTCTGGGCTGTTGATGCTGTCCCTACTTTCATTCTTAGTGCCATTATGGATTTTTCATTTTTAGATGTCTTTACTGTCCTTTCACTGGGATTTTGTGTTCATCTGCCATCTTGCACTAACGGATCAATTACCTTTAAGGGAACTATTCTGCCTCCCCTAAAGCCATTGTTACCTATAAGATAATGAACAAGGTTTTGACTTTTGAATTTTATTTTCATGCTAGAATTTCTATTGCTACTTGTGTCCAAAGCACAGTGTTTTACACTGACAAATAGTGATCCATCTCAACAGAAATTTAAACAGAGCCCAGGTACATGGGTATGTTCCAATTTTCCTCTCCAGAGTTCTTTTTTTTTTTTTTTTTTTTTTTGAGACGGGGGTCTCACTTTGTCACCCATGCTGGAGTGCAGTGGTGTAACCTCGACTCACTATAACCTCCACCTTCCAGGTTCAAGCAATTCTCCTGCCTCAGCCTCCTGAGTAGCTGGAATTACAGGTGCTCACCACCACACCTGACTAATTTTTGTATTTTTAGTAGAGACGGGGTTTCACCATGTTGGCCAGGCTGGTCTCGAACTCCTGACCTCAAGTGATTCACCCACGTTGGCCTCCCAAAATGCTGGGATTACAGGCATGAGCCACCGTGCCCAGCCCAGAGTTCTTAAATTGAAACATTTTTTAATGAGATGTGTAGAGATATGGCCAACTCTTGTCTTCTCCCTTAATAATCAGTGGTTTCGTAGAATTGAGAAGTGAGGGTTGTTCTGTAATGTTCCATCTACAATAGAGTGGGAAAACGCTGGTCTAATGGTGAAGGGAAGTGGATTCCAGTATCTGCATAGTCACTCTCAGTTCTGGCGATGGCCCCCAACGCTGTGCCTCAGTCGCCTCATCTGTAAAGAGGGCATAAACACTCTTCTTGCATGTCTCATAGGGCTGATACGAAGAGGAAAAGAGCTGATGTGCTGACACATACTCAGTACTCACTGAGTATTCGTTCATCGATTAAACGAAGGGTTCAAGGCAGGGGTCTCTCATTAAGGCTGTGGCTGCTCTGTGGCTGAAGGCCATCAGAGATGATCAACCTCCTTGCCAGCAGCCAGCTTGGCATGCAGAGTGGATCAAGCTCTGCCATCTCTCCCAGAGGTCTTTCCAGGATGATTTTGGTGGTCACTGCAAAAGCAAAGATATACTAATCACCCTGATCTGACCACTGTACATTATATATATGACACCATCACTATGTATCCCATAAATATGTATAATTATTATGTGTCAATTAAAACTTTTTTTAGAGCAAAGATAGCCCTCTTCATGGCCTTCCCCAGCTTGCTGGCCACCGGCCTTGAGAAGCCAACGGTTTCTCATACGATGGAAGAGAAACAGGAACAGCTGCCTATGTTAATACACCAGGAAGGCCAGGGAGCCGATGGGAGGCTGGGGATTATGAAGGGCCTAATCTCATACTCTTCATGTAGACACGGGGGACCAAGTGGCTCTGAGAGGGAAAGGATGTGCTCAGTTAGTGACAGAGCCAAGACTAGAGTGTTTTGTACTTGTGTGTAATCATCACAGATGCCATCACCCAAGACCACACCTCACCCTAAAGCTCCATTTTGAAGCACTTCCTGGAGTGGGTATCTCTTCTTACCATTGCGAAGCTGGGTTTTGGGAAACCGCCCTAAACCCACCTCAAGCCCAAGAAGGCTTTGACCCCAAATCCATACAAACACCTGCTGGAACTCACAGTTGGAAGAGATCTCTTGGAGAGCATGTTCCACTTGCCCAGTCCCCAGGCCACTCTTTTTTACAGTGACCTCCAAAGCCTCTGGACCCAGCTGCCAGCTCCACTCCTGGCTCTGAGGTCCCCCCTGGCAGGAGCACACATGCCACAGCTTTGCACCAAATCCCCAAAGTGCCCAGCACATTCCAGGCTCCCACTGTCTCCAAGGGACCCTAGGGCCCTGGTAGAGGAGGGTAATGGCAGGAAGCCATAATATATTAAAACAGCAGATTAAAACAAACAAGAGCATTTTGGATCGTATTACACATCACTTTCCTCACATCTGACAACAGAAAAAAATCAAAGGCGGTAAAAGACAATCGTAGACCATAATGGTCCAATAACTTGGTGATAAAAGTGCTTGTGGGAGCAGCGTGGGCGTCGGCGGCTCCGGGTGCAGGAATCAAAGCCCTCTTCCAGATCCACAGTGGTGTATTCAGAGGCATTACTGCTTAAGTGCTCGTTTAAGACTTCCTCCAAAATGCAGCGCACTTGCTGGAGAATCATAATTAGGCCCCAACTGTGGGCCATATTCACACATTGTGCATCATTCTTAAAGATGACAGAAAAAAAATTACCCAGGGCTATGTGGCATGGATAGTAGATCTTTTACCATTGTCCTCCATGAAAGAAAAAAAAAAAACACTTAATAATCCCCTGCCTAGACTCATAGCTTTTTGAATACTGAGCAATATGACTTAGTTTTGTTTTCAAATGGAAAAAGGAAAGCTAAGAAAACAGAAGGCTGTGAGCAGTGGAACTCTGGGGTTTATTTTACAGCCTATAGATGTGGTCAAATCCATAGGAAAGTGGAGTGTAAAGGATCTTCCATTTATGAGGCACTGTCCAAACCAAAGTCAGACCAAAATTCCAGAAAAACCTCAGATTGCGTTAGGCAAGAGTATACCACCCCAGATCTGATTAAACATTTGGAACGTGTCAACTTCTGAAAAACACTTTCATTTATTTATTTATTTATTCATTTATTTTATTTTATTTTATTTATTTTTTCAGACAGGGTCTCACTCTGTTGCCCACCTGGAGTGCAGTGGCAGAATCTTGGCTCACTGCATCCTCTGCCTCCTGGGCTCAAGCAATCCTCCCACCTCAGCCTCCCAAGTAGCTGGGACTACAGGCGCAGAACATCACGCCCGGCTAATTGTTTTTTGTATTTTTTGTAGAGACAGGGTCTCACCATGTTGTCCAGACTGGTCTTGAACTCCTGGACTCAAGCAATCTACCCATTTACTTAGCATCCCAAAGTGCTGGAATTACAGAAGTGAGCCACCACACCCGGCTGTCATTTAATAGTCTGTATGCTGAAAAAAAATGCCACAAAAATGTGCAGCCATTTTTCCATATCTCCTCCCCATTTCCTTCCCTACCTTCTCAACCCAAGCCCATTTCCATCCCTATGTTTTGGCTCATGGGAAAGAGCTTTCTAGGAATTGAAAAACAAATCTGCCCATGACTCACATTCTCCATGCCAGCCTCAGTGCCTGGCTCACTGCTGCCTTTGCCCCCAGGGCAAAGGTTTCTTGGGAGAACTTCGTTCAGGTCAGGTCAGGTCAGCTCCCCAGGAAAACAGACCTAAACCTGAATTGAGGTCATCCTCCTCATTTTTAATCTGAACTTACCTACTGCTGTCATTTTTTCATCTGCTTTTTTCAACTGATCCCCTACCCCAAAAGTGGCATCTACTTATTGTTTTTTGTTGTTGTTTGGGGTTTTTCTTGTTTGTTTGTTTTCATTTTTGTTTTGAGAGGGAGTCTTACGGTGTCGCCCAGGCTGGAGTATAGTGGTGTAATCTTGACTCACTGCAACCTCCACCTTCCAGATTCAAGCAATCTTCCAACCTCAGCCTCCTGAGTAGCTGGGACTATAGGCGTGCACCATCACGCCCGGCTGATTTTTTGTGTTTTTGGTTGAGACAGGCTTTTGCCATGTTGCCTAGGCTGGTCTTGAACTTCTGAGCTCAAACTATCCACCCCCATCAGCCTCCCAAAATGCTAGGATTACAGGCATGAGCCACCATGCCCAACCTATTTATCTCATTCTATTCACATAGATTTATACATGTGATTTATAGATTTATCTAAAAATAAATAGTATATTTTCATGACAACGCTGGGTGGTCAGTGACAGATTGTTATTTTTCGCTTTACAGATTCTAAAATCTGCACTTTCATAAGAGCCTCATAGCTAATGAAGGAGGTATATTACAAGTCAGTGAGAAATGAATGAATTCTTTGAATGTGATTTGGAAGAAATTGGCTCTCTTGGTGGTGTAAACATCTAAATCCTTATCTCACATCATAAAATAAAATAAACTGACATATTAAAATTATAATACCTGAAAAACATGGAAAACCATAAGAAAATGTAGATAAGTATTTAATCCTTGCATTGAAAGAAGTTTCTAAGTATAAAATAATGAAGGAAGTCACAAGGGAAAGGACTAACAGACTACACAAATATTGTAAACATCTAGATGTCAAAAAATTAAAAGCAAACAATAAACTGAAAAAATATTAGCCACATACATGACAGGCAAAAGGTTAATATTCTTACTATACAAGGCATTCATACAAATCAATAAGAAAAAGAAACAGAAAAATGGGTAAAGATTATGAATAGATAATTTACAAAAGAGAAAATACAAATGTTTGGCTAATACACATAAGAAAGCTATTCAGCCACAAAAGGAATCCAAAAAATTAAAAATAAAGTCACCAGAGATAGCTTCCTGCTTATCAAATCAGAAAAAAATAGAAATATTAATAGTACTGGATGCTACAAAAGTGAAGTGAGAGAAGAATATAAATTATATGACCTTTCTGGAAGGCAGTTTGGGCAATGTCTATCAAGAACCTTGAAAACACTCGTGTTTTCTGACCTGGTAATTCCTTTTTAAGGACTTCATCCTAAAAAGTAATTAGAAATGTGGGCTAAGCTGTTTGTAAAAGATAATCCTTAGAGAGTGAGTTATACCAGCAAAATAGGTGAACAATGTCCCTCACCCAGAGAGTGGCTTAAATTATAGTGCATCTATATAATGAAATATCGCAAAGACATTAAAATTGAAAAATAATTTTAGTGGCAAGGAAAAATACCCATGCAATAGTGTTAAATGACAAATGCTGCCTGCAAAATAGTCTATAGTATCTCAAATATATAAATACATGCTTAGGAGAAAGAACTGTAAAGTAGTATCAACAGTGTTTACCAGTGAGTTGAAGAATAGTACATACTTTAAAAAATGCTTTTCTAATTTTTTACAATAACAGGTATTTATTTTATAATCAGAAAAATAGAACTGAGAAAACCCTCTTTTTATTTTTTAATACTGATATTCCATTTATGTTTTTAAATTTTTTATTTTAAAATATTTAACTAACAAAGATTGAATATATTCAAGGTGTACAATGTGATGATTTGATATACGTAGACATTGTATAATGATAACCACAATCGAATTAATTAATACATCAATTACCATCCATGCTGTCCATTAGATTTTCAGCACTTGGTCATCTTATAACTAAGGTTGAACCCTTTGACCCTGTCTCCCTGTTTTCTCCAGCCCCCACCCCCTGGCAACTGCTATTCTACTCTCTGCCTCAATGAGTTCAACTTTTTTAGGTTCCACAAATGCATGAGATCATACAGTATTTGTCCTTCCATATCTGGCTTATTTCACTTAGCACAGTGACCTCCGGGTTCATCCATGTTGCTGCAAACAAGCTTCTCTGTTTTCAATGAAAAAGTTTCAAAAAGGTAAACATCATAATGGAACTCCACATCTGGTCACATAAATCCATAACCACAGTTTTTTCTGCCCTGTGAATTTTTCATTTTACAGTAAGGACAAAACATACAAGTACGAAGCCCACAATACTTTAAAATCACTTCTGAGTTGGTCAATATACATAATTGTAAGTATATAGTTATTAGTAATCAATCCTAATTAGTGTTTCTGTGTTTTGCTTTGTCTATTTAATATGATTTAATATTTAAGTGCTCATGTGTCAGCATAGTCAACATGTGTAACTTGTTGACAGTGTGGCAATCACTGCTATGTGTTCACCAAACAATTCCCCTTCCACCCTGGGCTTATAGCAAGACTACATTTCCCAGCCTCCCTTGTAGTTAGATGTGGCCATGTGACTGGGTTCTGACTCCTAGAATGTGGGTAGAAGTAATGTTGCCTCCAGACCTCTGGATCTGGCTCATGAAACTTCCCTTGCAATCCTCTGTTCTCACTCTCTTCCCTCATGGATCTATCAGATACAGGGAGGAAATGGTGGAGCCACTAAACACAGAAGCCTAGGTCCCTGAGTGATGGCATACAGAAACCTCTCTCCCCAACAGACCCACATTGAGTTGCAATGTGTGTAAGAAATAAACTTTTATTGTGCTAAGCCACCAAGGTTTGTGGTTATTTGTTAAAGTAGTTGTCCTACCCTAAGCCCAAAGACTTAGCTACTATCCCATTGTCTTGACAGATCGTAGTGCTTAACCACTTTCCCTTCTTGGATATTTTCATTGTTTCTAAATGATGCCGTGATTATCTTTGAAAAAAATTATGGTTTTTCATTTGCTCCCTTTGGCTTATGCTTATGGAGTATATTTCCCAAAGTGGCATTACCAATGCATTATCTGAGGATAATGTTCATAGTTCTTGTTACACTACTACCAGACTGCTTTCAAGAAATATCGGAGCAAATGAGTGCAGCATCCCCAATACATGGTGTTTCCCACATCTCCAGCAACACTGGGTTTTATTATTTTTAGCTTTGTTTGCCAATGCTGTGGCACCAACTAGAAAGTGCTTCCAAGGTCATTTACACTTGCAATACTTAGTGAGAGTTCTTATACTATAGAGTATGTGGCAGATAACATTTTGATCTACGAACCTCACCCTACTTACTCACCCTTTGGTCTGCCCTCTGATATAGGCAGCCGCAGGGACGTTCACACGCCTCGCATTAGTGAAGTGATGACACTGCAAAATACAGTAAAAGGAATCAAGCTTTCACTTCTGCATTACAAAATAGGCTTCTGGAAACTCACAGCAGAGACCATAGTTTTAAGGGGGGAAGAAGCTTTCTGTATTTCAAAGCTTGGCTTTTGAGCATAAGAAGCCTCAGGCCTGAAAGACTCAAGGCATATGGTTCAGGCATAAATAATAGATTTGGAAGAATATGTGATCAGTCAGAGCCAGACAGCCCTGCCCCAGGCTGGATAAGGTTTCCCTGGACTGAGGCAGTGGAGAGGTAGAGAAGGAAGAAGAGGCTTAAATGGTGGGTCCTGAAGGCAGAAGGCTGCGACAGGAGCAGCAAGAGGCAGATGGACGCTGCATCCCCTACACTGCTCATGTCCACGTGGTACAGTGGAGAAGGCTGTATGCAAATGCCACTCATTCAGGAGGGGTTCCTGCACAGATGCTGTCTTGAGCACTGTGGATATGGCAGTGAATGAAAAAGACCAAGTCCTTGCTTCTGCAGAATGATGTTCTAATGGGGGAAATAGACGTCAACAAACAAATAAACAAATACGCAGGCAGACTTCGCTACAGTGCGCCTCACAGACATTGTGTATTTTACAAATTGAAGGTTTGTGGCAACCCTGCATGGATCACGTCTGTCTGGGACATCTTTCTGACAGCATGTGCTCACTTCATGATTCTGTGTCACCTTTTGGTAATTCTCGTAATACTTTGAGCTTTTTCATTATTATTATTGTGTCTGTTACAGTGATCTGTGATCAGTGATCTTTGCTGTTACTATTATAATTGTTTTTGGGTACCACCAACAGCACCCATACAAGATGGCAAACTTAACAGATGAATGTTATGTGTTCTGACTGTTTGGACTCCCTATGCCCTGAGACACACAAATATTGAAATTAGGCCAATGAATAGCCCTACAATGGGCTCTAAGTGTTCAAGTGAAAGTAAAAGTCACACAACTCTCACTTTAAATCAAAAGCTGTAAGTAATTAAACAGTGAGGAAGACACAGTGAAAGCCAAGACAGGCTGAAAGCAAAGCTTCTTGTGCCAGTTAGTCAAGTTGAAAATGCGAAGAAAAAGTTCTTGAAGAAAATTAAATGTGCCACTCCAGTGAACACACAGATGATAAGAAAGCGAAACAGCCTTATTACTGATGTAGAGAAAGTTGTAGTTGGTCTGGATAGAAGATCCAACCAGCCACAGCATTCCCTTAAACCAAAGCCTAATCCAGAACAAGGCCCTAAGTCTCTTCAATTCTATAAACACTGAGAGGAGAGGACAGGAGAGGAGAGGAGAGGAGTGGAGGAGGAGGAGGAGGAGGAGAAGAAGAAGAAGGAGAAGGAGGAAGAGGAGAGGAAGAGGAGAGGAAGAGGAAGGAGGAGGAGGAGTAAAGAAAGAAGAAAGAAGAAGGAAGAAGAAAAGAGGAAGAGAAGAGGAGTTGGAAGCTAGCAAAGTTTGGTTCAGGAGGTTTAAGGAAAGGAGCCATTTCCACAAACATCAGCACTTGAGGTAAAGCAGCAAGTGCTGATGGAGAAGCTGCGGCAAGTTATCCAGAAGATCTAAATAAGATTATTGATGAAGGCAGCCACACTAACAGATTTTCAATGTAGATGAAACATCCTTATGTTGGAAGAAGATGCCATCTAGGACTTTCATAGCTAGAGAGGATAAGTCAATGCCTGGCTTCAAGGCTTCAAAGGACAGACTGACTCTCGTTAGGGTCTAATGCAGTTGGTGACTTTAAGTTGAAGCCAATGCTCATTTTCCATTCTGAAAATCCTAGGCCCCTTAAGAATGATGCTAAATCTACTCTCCCTGTGCTCTGTAAATGAAGCAACAAAGCCTGGCTAATAGCACATCTGCTTATAGATGGTTTACTGAACATTTTAATCCCACTGTTGAGACCTACTGCTCAGAAACAAACAAACAAACAAAAACTCTTTCAAAATATTACTGCTCATTGACCATGCATCTAAGCACCCAAGAGCTCTGATGGAGATATACAAGAAGATTAATGTCATTTTCATGCCTGCTAACACAAAATCTATTCTGGGGCTCATGGATCAAGGAGTAATTTTGACCTTCAAGTTGTATTATTTAAGAAATACATTTTATAAGGCTATATAGGTGCCATAGTGATTCCTCTGATGGATCTGGGCAATGTGTGCAACTCACTTTATCATAATGTTTGCTTTATTGTGGAGGTCTAGAACTAAACCCACAATATCTCTGAGACATGCATATATATATATACACACACGCATATATATATACACACATATATATACACACATATATATATGTGTGTGTGTGTGTGTGCCTGTGTGTGATATATATATGTGTGTGTGTATGGTGTATGCATATATGTATATGATGTCAGTGGTGATAAGTGCTCTGAAGACAAATAAAACAGGACAGAGAGTGGTGGATGGTGGAATTATTTTAAATAAGGTGGTCAGAGAAGGCCTTTCTAAAAACATGATATGTGAGCAGTTGAAGTGGGAAGGGAGCCCTGAGCATATTTGGGCATAGAGCATTCCAAGAAGTAAGAACAGCGAGTGCAAAGGCCGAGACAGAAGTGTGTCTTGGCATCTGCCAGACCTATAAGAAGACCAGTGTGGCTGGAGCATGTGAGACAGAGGGAAGAAGACGGTGGAAGGGAGAAAGTCAGAGAGACAGCAGATAGACAGTGGATGGGCTGTCTGGACAGACAGGATGGAGGCAGTCTTGGTTAACACAGGGCCTCTCTCCTCCTTTCCCAGCATGGTGTCTAAGTCCCAGAAGGCACTGAGGGGTCAAGGCAATTAGAGTAGTGTGCCCAGGGGGACAGTGTTTGGATGTGGTTGATGGTCCTCAAGGCCTCCACCGCATCCTCCTGGCTCCGCACCACTAGCCTCTATGTTCACTTTCCACTCCCTACCTCTGGGCCTTTTCTAAGCCACAAGCAGACAGTTGGCTTTCCCCGTACCTTTGCTTGCAGGGTGCCGAGCAAAGTTCGGAGGAGAAGTTGGTTCCTGGATCCTGGCATCCCTTTTTCCCCTGCTTTGCATCTGTGATGGTTAATATTGTCAACTTGATTGGATTGAGAGATGCAAAGTACTGTTCCTGGGTATGTCTGTGAGGGTGTTGCCAAAGGAGATTAACATCTGAGTCAGTGGGATGGGAAAGGCAAACCCACCCTCAGTCTGGGTGGGCACCATCTAATCAGCTGCCAGCAAGGCTAGAATAAAACAGGCAGGAGAAGATGGAAGAGCAGATTTGCTGAGTCTTCCAGCCTTCATCTTTCTCCTGTGCCGGATGCTTCTTGCCCCCAAACATCAGACTCCAAGTTCTTCAGCTTTTGGATTATGGGACTTACACCAGTGGTTTGCCAGGGGCTCTCGGGCCTTTGGCCACAGACTGAAGGCTGCACCATCAGCCTGACTGAAGGCTGCACCATCAGCTTCCCTACCTTTGAGGTTTTGGGACTCAGACTGATCCACTGCTGGCTTCCTTGCTCCTCACCTTGCAGACAGCCTTTCATAGGACTTTACCATGTGATCTCATGAGTTGATTCTCCTTAATAAACTCCCTTTCAGATATATGCATATATCCTATTAGTTCTGTCCCTCAAAAGAACCCTGAGTAATGCAGCATCCTTGCTCCTACTTAAGGCCACACTACTGCTGGCTTGGCCCACCATCATGTATATGCACCAGTTTCAAAATCCCCACGCCTTCCTTGAGCTCAGGAATTCAGGCTGAAGTCAACTGATTATGTGAAGAAGTAACATGTACATTGAAATATGAGTTAAGGCCAGGCATGGTGGCTAATGCTTGTAATCCCAACACTTTAGGAGTTCGAGGCAGGAGGATCACTTGAAACCAGGAGTATGAGACTAGCCTGGGCAATATAGCAGGACCCCTTCTCAAAAAAAAAAAAAAATTGCCAGGTGTGGTAGCACATACCTGTGGTCTCAACTTCTGGGGAGGCTGAGGTGGGAGAATCACTCGAGTCCAGAAGGTTGAAGCTGCAGTGAGCCATGATTGTACCACTGCACTCCAGCCTGGGCAACAGAGTAAGATCCTGACTCTAAAAAAAATAAAAGAAAGAAAAGCAAGGAATGAAAGAAAACAAAAGAAAAGAAAAGAACCCTCCATGGAAGTTAGTTGCTAAGCAAGATAAATCTCTAGGTGAACATGGAAGAGGAGTTTTTCCTTTTAGCAGCTTCTTACCTATTTCTCCACTCTGGCAGGTGAGCGCGCGCGCGCACACACACACACACACACTCGCATGCACACCAACACACCCCTGCATGCTCCAGAAGCGCAAGGATCAGGAATCTGGTCCCAGCTATTGACAGATGGCCACTCCTGTTCTAAATGAACTGCCGGCCTCGGCCTCCCTTTCATCTCAAAGGCCATTTGCCATAACCTCATTCATCTGTGCAGACTGTCAAATTCTCTCTCCCAGACTTCTCCTGTGACCTTCATTTTATTCTCTGCTCATGCCTGAGTGTGGCAGCTGAACTGGATTGATTAAAGTTTTAGCACTGTCTTGTTTTAATTCAAGAGCTAAACTGAGCATTTAAATGAACTCGCAGCAGGACTGATTGGCAGGCTTCTGGAATCTGATTAACATTCCTCCTGAGGCACTCTTACCCTCCTTATCTCTGCTCTGTGTCCGGGTTGGTTTCTGGGTGAAATTCACTGTTGGTTTAAAATGACATCATTGGAGCAAGTGAGAGTAGACGAATGTTCACTTCCATCCATCCATCCATCACTGGAGACCCTGGGTTCATTAAGCGTGTGCCAGGCACAGTTTCCCTCTACATCCCATAATTCATCCATGGGTCTAATGAACCAAGATGGAGTTTGTCAGTTTGCCCCAGTTTGACTAGATGGGACAATTCTTTGGTGCTCAGAATCTTTTATCCTATAGAGAGAGACTGTGAGGGGAAGAGAGAGCAACTCTCAGCACAGTGACATAAATGTCAGTGCACATCCATTCATCATTTCTACCTACAAACACAGTGCCCACAAGAGCCGGGACACTGAACCCACACCCTTTCTTCTGCAGGTCTTGGTCTGATTGCTATTTTTCAGGGAATCACCTGGCCTCTCCATTCAGTTATCCCACTGTAATTGCCTGTGGTTGCTAAGACAGAGGAGGAAGCATGGGAGGACAGGCCTAGGCATCTATCACCCAGGGCTGGATCAGGCATATAACTTCATACCATGCCCCCTCTAAACTCTCAAGGGCCTTCTCATCCATCCATCCATCCATCCATCCATCCATCCACTCACCCATCTGTCCATCTGTCTGTCCATCCATCCATCCATCTATCCATTCATATATTTAATTCAGCAAGTATTTATCACTTGCCTTCTATGTAACAGGTACTGTGCCAGATGCTGGGATTTTTTAAAAACATACCCAGGAGGTTGTTCTTATTCAGGGATGGTGTGTTAGGCTGTTCTTGTATTACTATAAAAAAAATACCTGTGCTGGGTAAATTATAAAGAAAAGAGGTTTCATTGGCTCACGGTTCTGCAGACAGTACAGAAATCATGGCGCATACTGCCTGCTTCTGGTGATGGCCTCAGGAAGCTTCTACTCATGGCAGAAGGTGAAGAGAGAGCAGGCATCTCACAGGGTGAGAACACGAGCAAGAGAGCGAGTGGGGAGGTACCACACTATTTTAAACAACCAGATCTCACATGAATTCAGAGCCAGAACTCACTGGTCACCAAGGGGATGGCACTAAGCTGTTCATGAAGGACCCGCCCTCATGACCAAACACCTCCACCAGGCCCCACCTCCAACCCTGGGGATTACATTTCAGCAGGAGATTTGAAGGGGACAAATATTCAAACAATATCATACGGTAAGGCCAGCAGATTAGGAGATGACCACAACTGAAAAGATAGTTTGTTACTTACGGTTCCCAAGAGAAGGGGACACACCATGCCACACCATTCAGAGCCACACAGGGAGGCACCAGGTCGAGTCAGGAGGCAGGAGTGAGGGAAAAGCATGGGCAAAGTCTTTCCTTCATTTGTGGTTCTCAAGGGAAGGAACGGGCGAGGCAGGGTAAGCCACTGAGCAAGTTTAGGATTGGATAGGCTGAATAACGTCAGCAGGCTCTGGGCTATCAGGGTGGTCCCCAGTTGAATGGTATCTGGCCCTAGGGTGATTTTGGGCAGAAGGATAACGTCTAGGGTTTCCTAAGCCTGATGAAAGGAGCCAGTTTGGGGAATGGACTTGGGATGAGTTGGTTTGCATATCAAAGGCATCTTGCAGGCAAGTTGTTTGCTACCTGTAGGAAATAGCCAACCCTGGGAAGGGTAGTCCCTTCCTGGGTCCACAGGGCCCCAAGATGTCAAAGCATCCTAAAATACAGAAAACGAAAACGTGGTTAATACATGGGGTTTCAGAAAATGATGTCTGCCCTTAAAGACTTCACAGACTTCAAAACAAACAAGAGTTTCATAGCATATGGCACAAGCTGTGCCAGTCACCTTTGGGGATGTCTGCCCAGCCACAACCTTCCCATTCGTGGGAAATACACCCCAGATCTAAAGGGGTGGGCTCCTCAGTGGCCGGCCAGCTTTATAGTCCATGGCCCATGCCCCTGGCAGTGGCTAATTGGACCAAGATGGACACATGGTCCCAAGCTCAGCCAATCAGATTTCCTCTCCCACTAATTTGGGATTGCAATTCAGAGACCGGTACACCTGTGCTGGCGGGAACAGCAGCTGGTAAACACAGGAGCCAGGAGACAGTCTGACTTCACCGTATGTATATCTGTGATCTCCAACCCTGGGTGCACAGTGGAGTCACTGAGAGTTTTTAAGAAATACTGAGGCCAGAGTCCCAATTCAGACCACTTCAATCAGAATCTCTGAGGATGGGGCCCAGGTGTCCGAGCTCCTGTCCCAAGCCTGACTCACTCCTCACACCCACAAAAGTGAACTGTCCTGGGCCTGCGTCCCCCCTCCAGGAGCATCACCTCTGGCCCTGTCCCTTCATGCTGTGTAGAAGTGACAGGACTGTGCTATGATTGTTGTGGATATTCCACACACACATAGAGTCATGGAGCACAGCAACAGGGAGGGGGCATGCTTAAATTAACACATAACATTCGTGCATTTGCAGGGGGTGCATATGATCTTTTGTTGCATGTGCAGAATGTGTAATGATCAAGTCGGGATATTTAGAATCTCCATCACCTTGAGCACTTATCATTTCTACGTATTGGGAACATTTCAAGTCTGCTCCTTTAGCTATTTTGAAATATACAATTCATTGTTATTAATTACAATCACCCTACTCTGCTATTGCACATTAGAAATTATTCCTTCTGTCTAACTGCACATTTGTACCCATTAACCACTCTCTTCATCCCCTCCTCCCCCACATACACACAAACACTTCCCAGCCTCTGATAACTATAATTCTACTTCCTACCAGAGGGAGCATTTTTTTACCCAGACTGGAGTGCAGTGGCACTTTCTTAGCTCATTGCAGCCTCCAACTCCTGGGGCTAAGCAATGCTCCAGCCTCAGCCTCCTGAGTAGCTAGGACTACAGGCTCAAGCCACCATATCCAGCTAACTTTTTTTAAAAATGTTTTTGTAGAGACATGGTCTCAATATGTTGCCCAGGCTGGTCTCAAACTCCTGGCCTGAAAGCCATCTTCTGTATTTGTCCATTTTCACACTGCTGATAAAGACATCCCCAAGACTGGGAAGGAAAAGAGGTTTAATTGGCCTTACAGTTTCACATGGCTGGGGAGGCCTCAGAATCATGGCAGGAGGCAAAAGGTAATTCTTACATGGCAATGGCAAGAGAAAACGAGGAGGAAGCAAAAGTGGAAACCCCTGATAAACCCATCAGATCTCATGAGACGTATTCACTATCATGAGAATAGCATAGGAAAGACCAGCCCCATGATTCAGTTACCTCCCCCTGGGTCCCTCCCACAACATGTGGGAATTCTGGGAGATACAATTCAAGTTGAGATTTGGTGGGGACACAGCCAAACCATATCAGCCTCCCAAAGTGCTGGGATTACAAGTGTGAGCCACTGTGCCTGGTCCAGGGGGAGCGTGTTAAATCAGTCTCCCACTCAACTTCTGATAAAATGAATGTCCATCAAAAGAAGATGTGCAGTGCACCCAAGAAGTCAATACATCAATTAACCAAGAAATATTTTTAGGAAGAGAGATGAATAAGAGGAAAGACAAGGTTCCTGGCCTGGGGGAGCGTTTAGTTCAGCTGGAGAGGGCTTTAGATGTTGATGTAGATATGTACACATATAAATATGAATGCACGTGGCAGTCTACTTGATTAACATTAGTAAACCAAGCATGATACACACTGGAAGAACGGCACTCCATGCGATCAGAAAGGAAAGATTCCTCTGGGCTGGGCTAGTCCAGGAAGACTTCCTGAAGGTGGGGGCATTTAACCTGGTCTTGTGAAGAAAGGTGAGTTTCAAACAGGCCTATGGGCCAGGGTAACCAGCTCTGTAGGTGCTTGAAGGACAGCCATCCTCTGCACTTGGTGTGCAGAACAGGCCCCATCAGAAGGCGTTCTCAGCCACAGCCTCAGGCTGTGTCCTCCTCCTTCCCCACAGAGTTAATTTTTTATCACTCAAGCAAACCAGAGAAACTCAAAAGCTTGAACTAATAATGGTGGCCCAAGTCCAAGCATGGGTACGGACCCAGGTGAGGTCCTCTAACCTCTCAGAAAGCAGGTATCAGGAGACAAAGGGGGTGATTGGGTAACTAGGGGAGACAGGAGACCTGGACTCACCCCTGCACAGATGCTACCTTTCAAAGACACAGGTGCATCAAACACTGGAACCCAGATCCACTCACAGTCAAACTCTGCCCCTTCTTTAAAATAGCTGCTCTAGGGAGACAGAGATGGAGAAGAGCTTTGCACTCACTGCTCACTCTTCCCAGGAGCTAAGCCTAAATACTGAGGGCCTGGACTAAGAATAAAACTTAGTCATGGCTGGACGTGGTGACTCACACCTGTAATCGTAGCACTTTGGGAGACCAAAGTGAGGGGACCGCTTGAGGCCAGGAGTTCGAGACCAGCCTGGGCAGTATAGCGAAACGCTGTCTCTACAAAAAATAAAAATTCAAAAATTAGCCAGGTGTGGTAGTGCACTACTGGAGTCTCAGATATTTGGGAGGCTGAGGTGGGAGGATTGCTTGAGCCCAGGAGGTCAAGGTTGCAGCGAGTCATGGTAGCTCTGCTGTACTCCAGCCTGGGCAACAGAGTGAGACCCTGTCTCTTAAAAATAAAATAAAATAAAACCCAGTCATTCCAAAGCAAATGTCTTTCCTCTATTTCCATATTCACAAATCCCTCCCCAGCTCTAGAGGAACTAGCCACCCCGTGAGCCGTCTTCCCTCTGAGTCTCTTCTTCTTTCCCTCGGCTGATCCCTTCATCCTCCCATTCTGCCTCTCTCCATCTCCCTATCAGGACCCCTTATTCCTCAGCTGCAATCAACTCCCAAGTATTCGGCCTGCAATTCCTGAACTTCCACCTGGCACTGCTAAGCTTTCAAACCCACAACCTCGGGTCTGAGTTTCAGGCCAGGAGTGTCCCTTTCTCCTGCCCTTTGGGGGAGCTCGGATTTCTACCCATCCACTTTTAAAACATCCCTTCCCTCTACTCAGTTTGAGAATAACATCTGGGGACAGATGTGTCTGAATCATCCCGACTTGGGGCTTGGTTTCCCCCTCTGTGCAATAGAGAGTGGACTGTGCCCTCTCTCTAAGGATGACCGTCCGCACACACCCCATCCTGAGTATGAGCTTTTTCCAGGACGGCAGTTTATTTTCAGCTGTAGGCTTTCAGCGACACTGGCTTTGCTTCTTTCTGCTGCCGTGAAAGATTTTCCATGCCACTAGGGAGTATAAATGCTCCTCACATGCATTTTTGAAAGACCTCGGAAACCTCTGCATAAATCAGTAGAAGTTCATTTATGGTTTCAGAATATTCTGGCTAATTTATCTGGTGTCAAAGATCCTGAGCCTGAGCCTTCAGTTTCCAAACTGGGCCCTGTAGGGCTCTGCTGCATTTCCCTTGCATGTTTGTTTTGGCTGGCCCTGAAATTCGACCCGGCCACAAGGAGACCTTTATCATTATCCAAAGAGATCTTCCCCTTCCCAATGACACACTGTTCGGAGGTTTAACTCCGAGCCAGTGCTTCTTCCCCTTTTAAAAAACCAACAGCAAAGATAGAGCTCTTCCTTCCAAGCCACCAGGTCGCAGGTCTCAGATTTCAGCCTTGCCCTGATGTCCTTCCTGTGAGTTTGAACTCCGCTGTGCCAGCATGTAGGCCCTCCCAACACCCTCCTGCTGGCCTTACGCGGGCCAGGGCAGGCAGTGTACAGAAACAGGGACCCACTGATGGTGATGCAATGAAAAAAAATAACCTGGCAGTCAGCATGTTTGAGCTTTCTGGGGCTGTCTTACCAGAAATCGCTGTAGAAACATGTGGCTGACATTGTTAGCAATTAGCCCAGTGTCCAGCCCCAGAGGCGATTTTACATCCTTCCTGGCTATGGTTTGAGATTTCATTGTTTGATGCTCCCTGCATTTTGCTCTCTCAGTATTTCCTCTACCCTGAATCATGTGGCCAAGCCTTAAACTCCTGTCCTTTGAGGACAATCAGAATGACACCTTTAGTGTTTGTGCCTTATTTTATGGCCTCATGATCTTGTGCCCTTTGGAGTTCAAAGGTCACATCAGGCAGCAGGCCGGGAGGTTTTTGATGTGACCTTTGAACCCCAGAAAACAAAAGAATGGAGGCCCACAGAGACCATCCATCTAAAAAATGATCCTATAAAGAATGCAACTCAATCAGCCCAGAGCATGCAAATCACATAACATTTTTATGGAGCACCCTGCTAAATCCAAACTTACAGCCAGAAGAAGGGACACAAACCCCATGATCCCAATACATAAATCAAAGCTTGAGAAAAGCAAAGACATGAGTTTACAGCTGGCTAAGAATGGAAGGATTTGCAAAATGTGATTTATACATTTGTTTCCTCCCCTCCTCCCACCCAGTCTACACACAAACACACACTCACACACACGCTGGTCAATACCACAGCACCACAGGGAAATCCAGCATTTTCCTTTCCAAAGGTTTGCCCTGTGCTAAGTCTACCATGGACAGACATGGGAGAGCAACTGAAGGCCAAGAGCTTCCTCCCTGGCCACCAGAACCATCCTCAGAGACAGGCAGAAAGTCCATAGGGCAGGCAGCCAGATAAGGAAGATGAGGACTTGCCATACAGGTAAAAGGCTGGCCCCACAAAGAAGGCCACATTCTGTAGAACAGATGTCACCTCCCCTATGACACAGATTGTCCCTCAACAGTCCTTAATACCTGGCACACATGTCCCCAGGGCAAAGGTCAGACTAATTTCTGAATTGATGAGAAATACTGTTCAAATAGTTAGAGACTGAGCAGGAGGTGCTCCTGTTTCTCATGACTATTGAAGTTTTGGTTTTTTAAAAAAGAAATATTTAAGTGTGTTTCTAGATGTCTAGATAACATGCTGATGCTGGGTAATAGATCTTGAGAAGTCTGCCAAGTATGTCTGTAGTAGCAAATGTTCAGAGACCAGAACCGTGGAGTATGAAAAAGAGATCCCCTTTTAAATGAAGATTGGATTTGCAATTAAAATGCGTGTCTTCTTTCTTTTCTTTTCCATTTTTTTTTTTGTTTGTTTTTTGTTTGTTTGTTTGTTTTTTAAGACGAGATCTCACTGTGTCACTTAGGCTGGAGTATAGTGGCACAATCACGGCTCACTGCAGCCCCGACCTCCTGGGCTCATGTAGTCCTCCTGCCTCAGCCTCCCAAGTAGCTGGGACCACAGGTGCATGCCACCACATCCAGCTATTCTTTTTAATTTTTTTGTAGCAATGAGGTCTTACTTTGTTGCCCAGGCTAGTCCCGAACTCCTGGCCTGAAGTGACCCTCTTGCCTCAGCCTCCCAAAGTGCTGGGATTACAGGTGTGAGCCACTGTGCCCGGCCTTTGTGTCTTCTACAGTGAAACTGAAAAATTGTGTAGGTGCATCTAGATCTTCATCATGGATGTTGCATCTGGAAGAATCTCTGCTCTATCTCATCCAGGTTCCTCCTTTCTTTTTAACTTTGCACCAGATTCTAATGTCTCTGGGAGCTATGAATATATTTTTAACTCTGTCTGAACAGTACCACAGCTGTGTCTAATAAAACTATGCCTTCAACAGTGGCACCCCAAAGCAATTTCAGATGAAATAAGAATCCTAGAAAGGACCCTAGAAAGAAAAAATCCTGGCCTTAGAATTGGAAGACTAACTCTGTATGACCATGGTCAAGTCGCTTCACCTCTTTGAGCCCCCATTTCTGAAAGTTGAATGGTCCTGGTGCTTTCTGAGGGCCTGCTCTGCACAGGTCCTGCCCAGGTGTCGGGATAACCTCTATCCTGTCAGATTTAACACTGCATGACTTCTCTGTTTCCAGGACGTCTTACTTAGACACAAAAGAATGAACTAAACAGCTCCTCCTCTACCCCCGTTCTTTAACTCGGGGATTTCACCACCTGTTTCCTACTTAGGAGAGGCAAAATGTAACCCAGTGGACGAAGCCCCATTTTCCAAATGATTCCTAAGCAGCAAACATGATGTTGAAGTGTTCTGCAAAATTCTCCATGCAATTTTGGAAGCCCAGTCTAAGGAATATATATGACTGCTGCTTAAGCTGCTCAAAAATAAGTTTAACCAGGGTCTCAGAGTCTTTCTGGCCCAAGACTATTGTGGCTGGAAAGACTAGGAAATCATCCTGGCTAATCTCGACCTCTTTACACATTCCACACGTGCTCTGGACAGGGGCTAGGGGACACTCACCAGAGGTCACAGGGCTAATTAGGCACAGTCAGGACCAAAGCTCAAGCTCCTCCAGCGCCGGCGCACACTAACAGCTACCCCAGTGCACACTGGGCCGTGGCACTGGCTTCTTACCCATCTCTACAACAAAACTGTGGGTAGATGTTACTATTGCATGTCAGAGATGAGGTGCTAGAGTCCTGGGAGGTTCAGTTACTTGCTTAAATCTCACAGCTGATACATGAGGAGCCGGGATTGGGCTCAGGCTTTGTCTGATTCCGGGCCTGTACTTGTAAGCACCCACCTCAGCCCTGAGACCCCATCTCTATGCCACAGCGTGAAGCCTCACACACAGGAGATGATGAGTCCACAGAACCTGAGTGGGAACAGTCTCAGAGGAAGGGAAGAAGGGGGCATGCAGTGAGTTTAATGGTGCCCCCCTAAGAGATCCTAACACATCCTAACCCCCACAACCTCTGAATGGGACCTGTTTTGGAGAAGGCAACTTTGCAGATGTAATTAGTTTAAGTATATCTTGAAGAGATCATCGGGATTATCCAGGTGAGTCCTAACCCAAATGACAAGCATCCTTACAAAAAACAGAGGAGGAGCCGGGCACAGTGGTTCACACCTGTAATCCCAGCTACTTGAGAGGCCAAGGTGGGAAGATCGCTTGAGCCCAGGAGTGCAAGGCTGCAGTCAGCTATGATAAAAATTTAAAAATAAAATAAAAATAAAATCAGAAGAGAAGACACAGACACAGGAGAGAAGGCCATGTGAAGATGGAGGCAGAGATGGAGCCATGCAGCCACAAGCCAAAGTATGCCTGGAGCCACAAGAAGCTGGAAGACCCAAGGAAGATTCTTTCCTGGCCCTGCTGATGCCTTGACTTTAGGCTTTCTGGGCTCCAGCATTGTGAGAGAATAAATATCTCTTGTTCAAGCTTTGTAGGCCCGCATAGCATGAGAGTCGTTGGGTACTTAGGCTTCTGAGGCCAAGGCATTAGGTTCTGCAGAACTGAAATCTCCACACTTTGGTAAGAATGGGCGCTGAATAGCCCCCTGGCAAGTCAGCCCCAGCCCCAGCTGTGCTCTTTACCATTACAGAGCTCCTAAGAACAGAAGGCCTTTTGCCCATTGGAACCCAGTTCCTTACTCTTAGTAAGATTTGGCAATTGAGCCAAGACATATTCTAGCCTGAGTCAAATATCTAGATTGATAAATTGTCCAAGTCAGGTGTGTGTTGGGGAAAGATTCTTCAATGAAGGTTTCTTGTAGATCCTAACCCTCCCAAATACATGTTCAATGCAATTAGATTTTTAAAACTTCCATGATATGGTTAGGCTTTGGTCCCCTCCCAAATCTCATCTTGAATTGTAATCCCCATAATCCCCACAGTCCCCATGTGTCAAGGGACAGACCAGGTGAAGGTAATTGAATCATGGGGGCAGTTTCCCCCATGCTGTTCTCATGATAGTGAATGAGCTGTCATTCACTATCACGTGAATGGCTGGAGATGACCTGCTTGGGAGCTCAGGCCACCTCAGGCCACACCTGGCTACACTCCAGGCTGAAGAAACTGATAAGTTCCAAGCAAACCGAGGAAACTCCCCAAGCACAAGAGTCAGGAGCTCTTCCCCCTTCACTTGGCACTTCTCCTTCCTGCCATCTTGTGAAGAAGGTGCCTTCCTTCCACTTCACCTTATGGCATGATTGTAAGTTTCCTGAGGTCTCCCCAGCCATGTCGAACTGTGAGTCAATTAAACCTCTTTCCTTTATAAATTACCCAGTCTCAAGCAGTTCTTTATAGCAGTATGAAAAGAGACTAATGCATTCCATTTCAATGGACATTTTCAGAAACACACTTCTATGTAAAGCAAGTTCCGTAGTGCAGACTTCCTGCTTGTTCCCAATGGGTCCTTGGGTTATAAGACTACAAAGACAGAGGTGGCTGGGCTTCTTTATTGAAACTTGCTGGCTCTGAGACAGAACATTCCAGCAGGCAGACAGGAGATGAGGATGCTTCATCACTTCAGCACTGATGGACTGAATGCTTCTTCTCTGGATCACTGTATCCTAGAAGCCCAGTCTGAGGATGTGAATAGCAACATCTACCCACAGCTTTATTGTAAAGATGAATAGAGTTGATGTGTAAAAAGCCAGTTCTCTGGACTGGCGTGCACACACATGGAAGTAGCCATTATTACAGGCTGGGAATGGAGGAACATGTGCTTCAGTCTTGACTGTTCCTAATTAGCCGTGTGTACCTACTTTTCTCATCTATAAACTAGAACGAGCATCTGCCCTAACTAAGGGGCAGATTTTGAGGGAATGGCACAGACTACTTCTCAGGCTGTAAAATGGGGACATGAATGTTTTTAATTGTCATCCTTGACACATGATTCCAGTGTTTTCAAATATTTTCCTGGTAAAACAGAGGTCAGATCCTCCTTTGCTCATGCTGCTGTCAGAAGCCCAGACAGCACTGTTCTGGTGGCCAGAGATGACCTGCTTGGGAGCTCAGGCCACCTCAGGCCACACCTGGCTACACTCCAGGCTGAAGAAACTGGTAAGTTCCAAACACACCGAGGAACCTGCCCAAGCACGAGAGTCAGGAGCTCTGCGTTACATATGTCATATTTTTTCTATCTAGCCCATATTTAATAAACCCAATTTTTTAAAAAAGTAATTGAGTCTCAATCCTCAGAAGCAAATCTTGGAAATATGGAAATATTTGAAGACGCCTCCAAAGTAGATAAAAGAAAAATGGAGGGTTTCAAAAATAGCAGCTTATGCAAGATTTTTGATAAAATGAAATCCCCATAATATAAAATTCCCCATAATATAAAATTCCAGAATACATAGTAAGACCTCTGACAAGGAATAGAGTCAGACACTGCTTCCACCTATGAATCATGCCAAGAAATAACTACCTCTCATTGGGTGTTGAAAAATCCTTGTAAATATATAGTTTGGAAGAAATATAAAAGCCGTACTTTCCTCTGATTTCAGAATAAAGACTCTTCCTCCATCCTCTGACTCCCACAAACTTCGGGTGCACACACATGCACGTGTGCTTACACACGCACACACAAACATACACACACACACACACACAAAATGAACCAAGAAAGGAAGGAAAAGAGATCAGGAATGAGAGAGCCCACTAATGGATTGGCTTAAGTATAGAACAACATCCCATCACTGTTCTAGAAAATAATCAATCGAGCACTTAATTTTAAACATAAAAGTAAGCTGCCAGGAGACTGTTAATAGATAACCAAATGAATTAACAGTTGTAGGTGGGATTTGAAACCAGGTCAGATTTTCCACCAAGCTCCAGGCCCTATGCATACAAAGGGCCTCACCAGCTCGGGCACTTGATCTCACACTGTTTCAAAGTGGGATATCTCCTTTTAGCCAATATCCCTCCTCAGCGGGCTTGTCACTTCAGGGGATTGTTCTTTGTGCATCTTCCATAAATTTTATAACACCACTACTTTAAAATATTGATGGGCAACTTGGCCTTGGCCCAGGCCCACAGTGGGTTAGCATGGACATGAAAACCTTCAGGAGGGCAGAAACAGGAAGAACACATTCCCCGCTGCCTTTTCGTAAGGGACAATTGTGTAAGTGCGGTGGTTACCTGAGCTGGAGACCTGCCCAGCTTTGATGGATGGCTCTGCCCTCTGGGAGGCTGCTGAGAGCTGTTTGGGGACAGGAGGGCACTCAGGACACACACAGGCAATACTGAGGTACCTATAGACCTGCAAAGGGTAAGTAAAATCCACACATAATCCCCCAAGTTGTTCTAACCTGAAACTCAACTTTCTTAACACTCAGACTTTTTGCAAAGTTATTGATAAATAAGAAAAAATGGCTTTGTCATGTGTCTCTTCTTCCTATGCCCATCAATCCCATTCTTCCTATAACCCTATCAAGGCAAGTGACCAAAAAGTAAATGGTAGCAAGGAACAGAAAGAGCAGGACAGGCCGGGTGTGGTGGCTTACACTTGTAATCCAAGCACTTTGGGAAGCTGAGGTGGGAGGATCTCCTGAGCCCAGGAGTTTGAGTCCAGTCTGGGCAACATAGGGAGACATCATCTCTACAGACTCACACACACAGAATTAGCTGGCCATGGTGGTGCATCTGTAGTCCCAGTGATGTGGTTTGGATTTATGTCCCTACCCAAATCTCGTGTAGAATTGGAGGAGGGGCATGGTGGAAGGTAATTGGATAATGGGGGCAGATTTAACCTTGGTGATCTCGTGATAGTGAGTCCTCATAAGATCTGATGGTTTAAAAGTATATGGCACTTCTCTCTCATTCTCTCTCTCCTGCCACCATGTGAAGAAGGTCTTTGCTTCTCCTTCGCCTTCTGCTGTGATTCTAAGTTTCCTGAGGCCTTCCAGTCATGCTTCCTGTTAAGCCCGCAGAAACTGCAAGTCAATTAGACTTCTTTTGACTTTGACTACCCAGTCTCAAGTAGTTCTTTATAGCAGTGTGAAAACCAACTTATACACCTAGCTACTTGGGAAGCTGAGGCAGGAGGATCACTTAAGCCCAGGAGGTCAAGGTTGCAGAGAGCCAGGATTGTGTCACTGCATTCCAGCCTGAGTGACAGAGCAAGACCTTGTCTCAAAAAACAAAAACAAAACAGGACAAGAGAACTGATCCCCTAGATTCCTGCCATCACACTCTCTTCATAATACTCCCAGAAAAAAACTATAACACCACTAAGAACAATACAGCAATAGTGTGCTAACCAAATTAATACAAGTTAATAATGACTACCATTTATTGGGCCTTCAACACACATACACACACTCATGCACACACATATATCTCAGACACTGCACTGTACTAAACACATTACATATGTGATCTCATTTCATCCTTTAAAAAAAAATCTGCAAGAATAGCCTTTGACTCAGACAACACACTTCCAAGAACTTTTCCTATGGAAATGATCAAGGATATGTCCAAAGATTTTGTCTATAAGGATATTTGTCAAAATCATTGTTTAGTAATATGTCATGACAAATAAGACATGTCCATGAGATGTTAAATGAGCAATACAGAGTATAGAAGAAACATATGAGTATTTTTATAATTTTAAAGTATGCATAAAATATGTGGGGTTAGTTTCATCAAAGTGTCATAAGTTCATGCGTAATTTCCCCTTTTTTATGTATCTTACTTTCCACATTTTAAAATAAATTTTAGTAAGAAAAATATATTTTAAAATTATGACCTAGGTGCTATGTCCAAATATTCATAGGTGTTAATGAATAATAGCCCACTACAGATACAAAGCCCTTTCTAGTCTACATTCTGGTTTTACATGTTGTCTCAGATGATTCTCACACCATCTTTTCAGGTGGGCAGAGCAGATGGCTTATAATGCTAAAGATTTTTAAGCATACAAAAAATAATTAAAAGGCTGGGTGCAGTGTCTCATGCCTGTAATCCCAGCACTTTGGGAGACAGAGACAGGAGGATCACTTGAGGCCAGGAGTTCGAGACCAGCCTGGGTAACATAGCGAGACCCCATCTCTACAAAAAGAAAATTTAAAAATTAGCCTGGTGTGGTGGCATGCACCTGTAGTCCCAGCAACTCAGGAAACTGAAGCAGGAGGAGCCCAAGAGTTCTAGGCTGCAGTGAGTTAAGTTATGATGGCACCACTGCACACCAGCCTGGGCAACAAAAGGAGACCCCATCTGTTAAAAAAAAAAAAAAAAAGAGAGAGAGTAACACATCAAACCAACAGCCTTTCCCTGTGACCCACAGGCAGGCACACTCAGGCCTCTCTGAAAAGAGGCTGCCCTTGGCTGTGGTCCACGGGGTGTCTGCTCCAGGCTCCCAATGTTCATTGTGGGGGTGCTCCAACTGCCGTGAAAATAATCTGACTTATCACTCCTTGGGCTCCCCATACTCCCATTACTTCTTAGGTTCTGTAGGATTCTGCTCTGTTCACTGCAGGAAGGGAGCAAGGTGGGGGAACATTCCAGAATACATAGTAAGACCTCTGACAAGGGATAGAGTCAGCAATGTGCAGGAGCTGGCTCATGCTGGCTCAGGAAAGCCAATCTTTAACAACTCCTCCCAACTCTATGATCAGTAATGCCACGTTGGTAGCTTGGAGCCAGCAGCAGTGGTAGTATTTACACCATGAAAATCAGCAAATGCTACAAATCAGGGTTCCTTTTTCTCCCAGAGAGCCCGTTGTTAAACGTTTATCAGCACACCACTGGATGCAGTCTCAGAAAGAAAAATTCGTATATTCAAATGAAGGTTAATCCCTCCAGACCCCTGCTTTAATTAAGCAGGACTACAGCTCCACAGACTAAGCAGACTGTGAAGGTTGTTTTAAAATAACATATTATTCAGAAAACTGTTTATGTATTTACAAACCTTGCCAATTTGCCCACTCTCCATCCCTCCTTGAGGTCTCTTGTTTCCTTTTGCTGTGTTTCCCCCAGAGTCAAAGAAAGCCCACCTAATACAGTTCTTTTGTTTATAAACTTGATGGACCCAAACAATGTTTGAAACAGCCCAGCTCTGAGCAGGGACAGAAGAATGTCCTGCTCACCACGGCAGTGCCCAGTCTTGCCCCGAAGTCAGACTTCGCTGAGCCGAAAGCCTTGATAACGTGTTTGCCCCTGTCCTCCGGCTTCCCAGTCGTTGGGCCGTCTTCACTGGTGCTTCCTGAACAATCTCTACGCTGCACTTGAGGACGACTCAGCTGGGAGTGAAACATGATCAGGAGATAATTTGGCCCAGATGGCTCTAATGCAGGCAGGAGCATTTGGCTGTGCATATCCTTAGTCTAGGGGAACCCATTTAAATTTTTTTGAGAAGGGAATGTAACCAAGCAGCCACACAGCCTCAAAATGCTACCTCATGTTATACAGCTGCAATGAGATGTCTGATCACGCTCCTGGAGAGACATTCGGCTCTTAGGAAGGTAAAGCCAGGCTAGCCTTTGCTGCTGGATACCACCACGGCTCGGCTCGGTACTTGGCCTTTGGGGGATTCAGAAGGGATCAGGCATAAAACCTTGAATATATTCCTAGCTCCTGAGGATCAAGGGATTGCAGCAAAGGGTAATACCGCAACTGGAAACAGGAGAAAGCATCGCAGAAACACAGAGTGAACCAGGAGTTCGGAAGAGGCCCAGGGAGAGGCTTGCGGGACACAAAACGGTGAAGTGGCTGCACAGAGCAGCTGTCTTTATTTCTGTCGAGCTCTGAGGCATAGGAAGGGGTTAGAATTCACTATTTGACACAGTTTTCCTTTTCTGTCATGCAATTGACAGGAGAAAGATACAAATAAAAGAAGCTGCTTGTCTGCAGAGTGTAGCTTCGGGAAAAGATTAGTTTGCTTCAGGAAAAATAGGACCCATGCAACCCGAGGCTCTAGAGTATGACGGGGACACATTGGTGACAGAGTCTCACCAGTGTTAGTGAAAAGGTCGGCTGCCTTCAGGAGCCAGCTGGAGCTCTACAGCTGTGCACACAGGGTTCCATCTCATTCTCTCCAGCGTAGTCATGGACACTTTAACGTGGAGCCCTCCCAGAGGAACAGACGGGAAGAGACCACTTTGTTCCCCACTGCCTAATCTTGAGAATGAGCAATTCATGCTCCCCTAAAGTGGGTCCTTACCCACTGCTGCGTTGGTCTTCCCCTGTGACAAGTTTTCAGGGCCGGATGAGGTGACAAGTAAAACAAAATGTACTTTTCAGACAGACCTTTGTCATCGGAAAGCTTTTGTCCCTTTTAGCCCTCTGGCTGAAACTGTTGATTGGGAATCACTTTCCATGGATTCTGTTAGTACTACAGGCCCATGGGTTTTTGGTGGAGACAAATGGAATCTTACTAAAAAGACTTATACCCCTAGTCACTGTGGGGGTAACTTTTGCTCCAAATAGGCAGTGATTATAGAGAGAGCTGCCTCTCTATGTCGTGAATGTGGAGAATAATACAAGTATGCAATCCATAGATATCATTTCCACCATCCCAGAAAAGTTCCCTTTTAGGCAGCAGTGTGCTGGTAAATGGTGACTAACCAGCAATCTGAAAAACAGTCTATGCATATAATGTAGGTGTGAGAGTATGTTTACTATAAATTTTACTAATCTAAAAGATGTGGAATACACAATTTACAAATAATAATAAAATACACAATACACTTTCCTACAAATTCCATATAGTCAATTCATTCTCAGAGAATGCTTTTGTTGATGTTTACCAAGCTCTCGCATCTGCAGCCAACCTATGGTTGCAATTGATCAACAAGTATAGTTCACACATATCGACATTTTGTTTACATTCATGAGCAATGCAAATATGAAACAACTTCTTTGTATGCCAATACTTCACTTGGATAAGTTGAATAATAGTTTTCAAATAATGGAAGACTATTCAAGTGTTCAAGTGTTTGTGAAAATCACAGTGTAATGGCTACAGAAACAACTTATGTACTGTGTTATTAACGTTTTTCCCATCACTTTCTTAAGTCTAAATAATCAACGACAAAAAAAAGGGCGAAATAATTAGAAAGTAATGAATTTAGAATGTTACCTTTGTTTTTAATATAACTTAATTTGAAAGATATTATTTTAATGATTAACTTGAAATTTTAACAATTGGTTCACAAGCCAACATGCCATGTGCCTGTGCAATCAATTCCATGCCATATATACACTTTTTTTCAGATAAGGAAAAGGTAAAAATACAGAATACTACATGGATTATCAAGGTTAAATCTATTCTTTCTTAACATGACAGGAAAGTAAAGCTTTGACCCGCAGGGGAGACTGGAGAGGGGAAGTTGGCCTGTCTGTTCCCATTTCAGGAGCAGGCTAAGAGTGTGTTTCTGGAAACAAAACTGTCAGAGTGAAGGCTCACAAGAAATCAGAAACAGGACCCAGATCTCTACCCAAGGGCTTATAACAAAGGCTCAAAGCAGGCTTTTTTCCAAAAATGTTTTTAATTCCAACATCCATCTTAATGGCCTACTGTAGCCTAATTTAGCCAATAGCTGTTATTCTAAAAATGGAAGCTAATGATTCCAGCTAAAAACAACGAAGCCGGTACTATCACAGTATGTTGTAAGAAACTGATTATCATGGGGTGCATTTTTCACTTCCTTTTCTCTGAAGAAAGGCTTAGTAAGAGTCCCACATCAAAAGCAAAAGCATTTCTTTCTCTCACGGGACCCCAGAATAGGAGGAATGTGTTCTCTAGAGGCAACCACCTCCCAGAACTACTCTTTGGCAAGATGCATCAGACGCACGGAGCGATGGTCTGGCTGAAGGGCACCACCTGCTATTGCTCATCATATTCGTGCCATTCAACAAATATTAGCAGCATCAATTTACTTCTCTGAAGCACCTGCAGGTACCCACCACTTGGCTGAGTGCTATATAGCTCTACACACTTTATATTTTGCAAAATACGTGCATATGGAAAAGAAGCACAACATTTAAGGCAAAGATCAGATAATAGCCGTATTGCACAAGTGTCTAGCTGGAGAAAATTGACAAAAAAAATAGAAAGTTTGTAAAATGATCAAAATTTTAGATATGCAGGATAAATATGTTCTGGGGATCTAACATACAGCATGGCGAATGTAGTTAATAATACTTCAAGTACTGTAGACAGTTGTCCTTCTATATTGGCAGGGAATTGGTTCCAGGATCCCCCACAGATACTAAAAGTTATCCACACTCAGGTCTCCATTTTGCTATTAAAAATTGAGAAGCTGAATAATCTTAATTTAGGGCATTAGTTTCCGGGTGAGCTCAGAATTTTCTTATTCCAGCTTGTGACATCTCAATGAATTTCCCATTTCCACCTAACGTTAGGAGCCCTGTTCCTGGGCCACCTTCAGGATTCTGGCAGAAGGGGTTTCAGGTGAGGTGAGAAGGTTAAGAGGTGAATTGGAGGTTCTTGGCTGATGCACCTGTGCCTTCACGTGCCCCCGTGCGCACACATAGACGTTCGCTTACAGCTGCCAGCTTTAAATTCTGCCTTCCCGCTGTCGTTGGGCAAGGTGGTCCTTTGCCGCATCGACAGGAGCTCATACGGCAGAGCCCCTAGGAATGCAGGTGCCCCCAGTCATCTACACTCTGAGCAGGGGGCAGGTCTTGCTGCTCACTCCACTTGGGGTATGGCTGCAGCCTAATCTCTCACCCTTTGTGGGTAATAATAATATACTTTGGATAAGCACAATGGCATCACATTGAGCAAAGGATCTCTTTTACATGCCTTAAGTTATGGTTTCTTGAATTAAATATGGAATTTACTAGAAAGATTAGCCCACCTCTTGCATCAGCGTGACCTGGAGGTGAGACATGGAGTCAAAGGAGATTATTCCGGAACTTTAAGATTTATTGAGTAGGCCGGGGATGGTGGCTCACGCCTGTAATCCCAACACTTTCAGAGGCTGAGGCGGGTGGATCACGAGGTCAGGAATTAGAGACCAGCCTGACCAACATGGTCAGGCCCCATCTCTACTAAAAATACAAAAATTAGCCGGGCATGGTGGCACACGCCTGAGTAGCCCAGCTACTCCGGAGGCTGAGGCAGGATGATCCTTTGAACCCAAGAGGCGGAGGTTGCAGTGAGCCGAGATCGTGCCACTGTACTCCAGCTTGGGCAACAGAGCGAGACTCCATCTCAAAAAAAAAAAAAAAAAATTTAAGGAGTGCCCTGCCGGGTTTCAGACTTGCACAGTGGAGTGCAGTGGTGCATGGGGCCTGTAGCCCCTGTGTTTTGGCCAATTTCTCCCATTTGGAATGGGAACATTTACCAATGTCTGTACTCCCATTGTATCTTGGAAGTCACTAACTTGCTTTTAATGTTACAGGCTCACAGGCAGAAGGGACTTGCCTTGTCTTGGATGAGACTTTGAACTTGGACTTTTGGGTTAATGCTGGAATGAGTTAAGACTCTGGAGGACTGTTGTGAAGGCATGATTGGTTTTGAAATGTAAAAAGGACATGTGATTTGGGAGGGGCCAGGGTGGAATGATATGATTTGGCTCTGTTCCCCACCCAAATCTCATTTCAAATTGTAATCCCCATAATCCCCACGTGTTGAGGGAGGGACCTGGTGGAAGGAGATTGGAACATGGAGACAGTTCCCCCATGCTGTTCTTGTGACAGCCAGTTCTCACGAGATCTGATGGTTTTATAAGGGGGCTCTTCCCCTTTGCTTGCTCTCACTCACTGCCATGTAAGACATCTGCTTCCCCTTCTGCCATGATTGTCAATTTCCTAAGGCTTCCTCAGAAAGCCGAACCGAGTCAATTAAACCTCTTTCCTTTGTAAATGACCCAGTCTCTGTATTTCTTTTCTTTTTTTTGGTTTTGGGACAGGGTCTTCCTCTGTCACCCAGGCTGGAGTGCAGTGGTGCAATCACACCTCACTGCAACCTCAAACTGCTGGGCTCAAGCAATCCTACCACCTCAGCCTCCTAAGTAGCTGGAACTACAGGCATGTGACACTACACCCAGTTAATTTTTACTTTATTTTTTGTAGAGTCAGGGTCTCCCTATGTTGCCCAGGCTGGTCTTGAACTCTTGGGATCAAGCAATCCTCCAACCTTGGCCTTCCAAAGTATTGGAATTACACATGTAAGGCACGGCACCCAGCCTCACATTTAAAGGGCTTTTAATAATGAGTTCAGGGCCAGGTGCAGAGGCTCATCCTTGTAATCCCAGCACTTTGGGAGACTGAGGCAGGAGAATCCCTTGAGCCCAGGAGTTCAAGACCAGCCTGGACAACATGGCAAAACCCCATCTCTACAAAAAATATAAAAAAGTAGCCCAGCGTGGTGAAGCACTCCTGTAGTCCCAGCTACTTGGAGGCTGAGGTGGGAGGATCACTTGAGCCCAGGAGGTGGAAGTAGCAGTGAGCCGAGATCGCACCACTGCCCTCCAGCCTGGGTGACATAGCAAGACTCCATCTTAAAAAAAAAAAAAAACAAAACAAAACAATGAGTTCATTTCTCCTGATACGAAGCAAATTTTGAGTGCAAAAATTTATTGTGATTTTTAAAAAGTTAAGTAGTTCAAGAATGCATATTCTTTAGAAGAGCACTATACATGCAGGGACCTGGGCTTTATCATCACCCTGGCAAGCTAAACTGCCTCATCAACACTGTCCCTGCAAAAGTTTCTGTAGAAGTTGATTCATCAATTAAAAGCCAGATCCGTATATACACAGCTGAAGAAACTGCCAGCAGTTCATTGCTAATTACCAGGGCAAACATTTGTATTTCAAAGTTGACCAACAGGATGACAATTCTCAAAGCTCTAAAAAGATTTTGTCCTACCAAACACTAGCCTAATGTATGACCGTTACCCATCCGTGGTTAGTAACAATCAAAGGCAACACTTCTTACAGCAACAAATGCCATGAGCAGTGATCTCAATAAATTCCTCTTTGCCTGTCACTATAAAAGCCAGTCTGGTCCCAACTCAGTATCAAGGACATTATTCCAGACAGCACAGTACTGCTATCAATTCAGGTTTCCTTAGCAAATAAGTGCTTCAGATATACTCGCAAGGGCTCCTGAATTGGAGTTTTCTGCATCATCTCCATAAAAATATTTTTTCACCTCTAAAGTCATCAAAGAATTGAAGCAGGCCCTTGGGAAATATCCTTAAGGGGAGAGAGTGGCTCCAAAAATAACCTTCCTTCCAGCACCACACCACCAGCTCAGAGAATTCACTTCACGGTGGGACGGTCACTCAAAGTCTACTGTGAACCTCATCCCCAAAAAGGTAATGGCAAAGGCTAGAGGAAAATCCTAAACAATCACCTATGCCTTGTATCTTTCTCTAGAAACACAATCTACTAGTAGAAAAACCAATTTGAAATTTTAAAAATGTGGATGCTACTCATGAGGGCTGTCATCAACGTAGGAAAACTATTAACTCAAGTGGATGACATGTTTCTTTTCCTGTATTAAAAAAGCTCCTCACATTTAATAATTCTGATTTAGATCAGTTTTGATTTAACAGACAGCATGAATCAAACTTAGCTAAAACCTTAATGATGTTGTAATATTTATTAACATAGCCAATTCTCAATATAGAAGATTTATGAATCTCCTAATACTTCCACTTTATAAACTGGCTAAAAAAAAAAAAAAAAAGAAACGCTCTTTTGAAGAACAAAGTTTCAGGGCTTGGAGGAAAGAGAAAGTGATCTTTACAAATTCTTCATGGAACCACCGGGGATCTTTTAATCCATTTAAATACAAACATAGAAGATCAGACTCTGATCTGACATTATTTCTATATTTTTAGAAACACTTTTCACTCATAAATCCAAGGTGACAATGGCATTAAATGGCATTAAAAATATCTACAGGAAAGGACTACCACGAAATACAATATTATGATAACAGTTATTGCATTAAAGTGGTTACTTTTCTGTATTCTTCACATGTCCCATTGTATCACTATACATTTTTATAATAAAAAATCGTAAATTAAGAAAGAATTCAAGCAAAGTATTGTTGACTTTATAAAATAATTCTTAAAACAAATGTTCAGAAAGAAGGCATTCAACTAAGATAGAGAAGATGCTGGATGGAGAGGCTTGCAAGGTCCCGGGAGGAGCTCCAGGGTGAAGCTCATCACTAGCCTTTCCAGCAGCACTGTCCCTGGAGACCAGAAGCAGTGGGAGCCCCTTCCCTGTGGCACCACGGACTCCCACCAAGGCACGTATCATGAACACTGTACTTGTACACGTTTATTACCCTTGGGTGTATGGGGAATCTAAGAGCACCTCTGAAATCCATACTTGATTCCTTTTTACATTGAGGAAAGTGAGATTCACACACAAATACCAAGATGACCAATGAATGGTGGCCTCGCTGGCAAAAGCAGCCATTGCAGGTAACCAAATTGCCTCCCTAGCATTCTGTAACCCATGGGCTTAGGGAAAGATTAAGTAACATTTCTTTTTCAAATTCACTTCAAATACTCAACTGTGTTCATTTAAAAAACAGCAACTATATGCACGAGACTAAACAGATCTCATTCACACTGCCAGCCCACAGAGGGGACTCTCCGTACCCTTTCAGGAGGGTTTTGGGCAATAAAGCCAAAATCTGTACTTAAATAGGTGTGTCTCATAAGACAAATTTTTAACTCATTTATTAAAGGTCCTGATGGACATTCCAAACTAGTAACTTATACCTAGAGAGAGAAAATACAAATGCTTACTGTATAGTTATATAAAAATAGAAATCCATCAAGAGTCCAATCCTCAAGAAACCACACAATTTGTACCCAAAGGCTGTATATATATCAAGGAAGGATGACTTCCTTCCTTGATCTCTAAATAACACCCTCTCCACATCGGAGGTATCTGGAGGTTGGGCATTTGCCTAACGCCACGGGGTCCACCGGCGGGGGTCACAGCTGCTGGCTGGTGAAGAAGGATTTAGTCTCCCTGCAGACAGGATTGACACAGAGCGGACAGCTCAGGGTCAGCTGCTTGGAACACAGCTCGTTTGACTGGATGTGTGAATGCACCAAGTCGGCCAGGGCCTGGAAGATAGACAAGAGGCAAAGACGCATGAGAAGCACAGGGTCTGCTCGTCTGCCATGCCCCCTCCTCCAGCTGCCCAGGTCAGCGCTCTGGCTTGGGGTTTCTTTTCATCCGAGTGGTGAGCCCTTTGAACCAAATTCTACAGCATCTTCCTTTCCTGAGAATCCTCAGCTTACAGAAAGTTAAAACAGAGATTTCAGGAGATGAAAACCTCTTACCCTACCCACTAGGCCTTTTCTCTGGAAAGCAGGTTTTAAATCAGACATAGTTATAGGTGGGTAGAAATCAGAAAATTGGGGCTATCTGAAGGAAAAAAGACTGAGCAGATAAGGAATTCGATTTTATTTTTGTAATTAATTGGAACTCCAAATGTTCTAATATGTGAGAAAAACCAATATTCTGCAAGAGTTTCTCAGAGGATTACTCTCTGGTATGTTCTACTAAAACGATTGTAACACTGTAGATACCTTAGAGAACAATGGATTTCCATTAAGAGACTCAGCTCTTCTGATGTTTTCAACTCCACACTGAATCAAATGAGAAAAGGGAGGAAAAACACAGATATATTTTATTTTCCTTTTTTTTTCAAAGAAACTGCTACAAAAAAATAAATACACACAGATACACACACACAATTCAAAGTCTGACTTCAACTGTTCGCAGACTGCTCATTAATGAAAAATACTCATGGGGCAGGGCTGTATGTTGATTCTGTTATCATAAATTATTCCTCAATTCTTATGTCCTTCCCCTTCCCCATTACCTTCCTAAAGGTGGTTTGTTTGCAAATCCTTTTTGTGGTTACACTTGATGAAATTCTCAAGCAATTTAAATCTGTTTACCATTCTTTTTTTATTCTCTTTTGCTAGTGCATAATTTTACAGACTCTTCCTAAGTAGAATGTTACTGTAAATATAGTTTCATACTTGTTTTGATCCCAAGTGCCAAAATGAGGTAAATTAACTTATCGACTATAAAATATGTATTGGACCTACACTGGAACCAATTCAGAGTTGGGTTTTAAAATATATTCTTTTTTCTTTTTTTTTTTTTTGAGATGGAGTCTTGCTCTGTCACCCAGGCTGGAGTGCAGTGGCGCAATCTCGGCTCACTGCAACCTCTGCGTCCCGGGTTCAAGGGATCATCCTGCCTCAGCCTCTCAAGTAGCTGAGATTACAGGCATGCACCACCATGCCCAGCTAATTTTTGTATTTTTGGTAGTGGCAAGGTTTCACCATGTTGGCCAGGCTGGTCTCGAACTCCTGACCTCAAACGATCCACCCGCCTCAGCCTCCCGAAGTGCTGGGATTACAGGTGTGAGCCACCAAGTCTGGCCTGAAATATATTCTTATGGAGAAAAATCTAAAGGAAAACAATGGGAGGATTGTTTCTGTACCATCCCTGCTCCCGGCTCCAAAAATATCCACTGCCTAATAACTGAAAATGGTCTAATTATGATTTACTCAGGTAGTTAGGATTCTTCTCTTTCCCTTTTCTTTTGATAGCTTTTCAATTACTTGATCTTTTATTTTTTATTTATTTTATTTTATTTATTTATTTATTTATTTTTTGAGAGGCAGTCTCAGTCTGTTGCCCAGGCTGGAGTGCAGTAGTGCGATCTCAACTCATTGCAACCTCCACCTCCCAGATTCAAGTGATTTTCCTGCCTCAGGCTCCCAAGTAGCTGGGATTACAGGCACGTACCACCACGCTTAGCTAAGTTTTGTATTTTAGTAGAGATGGGGTTTCACCATGTTGGCCAGGCTGGACTCAAACTCCTGACCTCAGGTGATCCACCTGCCTCGGATTCCCAAAGTGCTGAGATTACAGGTGTGAACCACCACACCTGGCCTCAGCTACTTGATCTTTTAGATTAGCATTAACATCAGGAGACTGGCATGGGAAAAACGTTGAGATTCAGCAAACACATGGATCTCAACTGAAGAGGCTGTATTCTCAAACTTCATATAAAAGTCAGTTACAACAGAATAACCAGCGTTGGTAAAGGGCATTCTCCAACAATGTTGATGGGAGAGTCAGCGATACACTGACTAGAAAAATATATACCAACACTGAAATTCCATGTGCACCTGTAGTCCCAGCTACTCAGGTAGCTGAGGAGAGGATCACCTGAGCCTGGGATTTTGAGGCTAAAGGGAGCTATGATTGTGCCACTGCACCCCAGCCTGGTTGACAGAGCCAGATTTCATCTCTAAGCAAATTTATAAAATCATAATAAATTTAAAATAAAAAAATTGATTTCCAAACATATTGGTATAAACTATATTTTCACTGAAGTTTTAGCAAGTTCACAATTAGCCAAGCTCATAGTGAGATACAGAAGGCATCTTTAAACAAAATCCATAGACAATGCTGCAACCATTTCTTAGCCAATTACAACTTGCCTGCAAATCCTGTGTCAGAACCACTGACAAGAAACTTAGGTGCTCCCTAACTTCACCCATGTCTGATTGATGTCCAGCATGGAAATTCAAATTCCACGGGGATCAGGTGTTGGCTCAAGTTCTGCCCCCACCCACTCTCTACCCTGCCCTACACCTGCTGCCCAGTCCCAGAGAGGGTGAAGTCTCCTGCAGGATGGTCCTCCATCTATCATACTTGGGGTGACCAGGGCCAGAAACTCTGGCAGAGAGGGAGGAAAGGGTTTCTTGGGTCCCAACGCTTCCACACTTCCCATAAAAATAAAGCTATATATTGGAATAGGTTTTAGGCTGGCTCTCAAAAGCCAGGACATAGATGAACAATAGTTTTTCTCCTCCCTGAATGACAATTCACATCTATCTCATATTACAAGACACCAAAGATGGTATTTGTTATTTCAATAATCAGATTGATCACAACATAACAGCAAACAGCTAATTAAGTGAGTGCATAAAAGAGGTCAAGGAAATCACATCACACATTGCTTCCATGTTCATTTCACGCTCTTCTTTTAAATGACAATGACTCCTATATGCCTTGACACTCAACAAGAAGCCATGTAATAATAGCCCTGAGTAAAGGTCATGATTAGGCAAAGAAAAGAAATTATAAAACAATAAAATGTTTTCCTTTGGAATTAGTGAGAAGTACATTTCTTTTTTCTTAAAGAAATATAGTTGTTATTACTTTCGAGTAGCCCAGTAACTCAAACTAAACAAAATGATGTCAGCCACAGTGATCCCTGGGGCACCTGGTTTAAGGAAAGCACAGGTTTCCCCTCCCACTGCATGGAATTAACTCAATGTGTTGAGATTATTACTCAGATGAAGTATTATTCAGGAGAATGAGGACACCGTACATGCAAACAAATACAGTAAACAATATTTCTGAATGATACATTAGTTAGTTGCAGAAAAAATTTCCTTTTAAAACAAGTCATGATGGGAAAAAGGCAGATGGGTGCATTTACCTCCTTGGCTAAAACTTGAGAGTACTCGATGTCCAGCTCATACAGCGTTTCAATATGGTCACTGGTAAATGCTATCGGAACCAAGAGGATATTCTTCCTCCCCCTCTCACAAAGCCCTTTGATAGATTCGTCTGTTTGAGGACCCAACCAGGGCATTGGACCAACCTATGCGAAAGATAGACGAATGCGTAAGTGGACTATGCCTCCTGACGGTCTGTAGTACCCCTGTTTGCCCCCCTGGGCACACGCACTGCCCACTGCGGGCAAGAGCCACTCTTTACACCTGCTTGAATGGATTTTGATATTTTCACATGGAAACTTGAATCCTAGAAGTTGCCTCAATATAAATAAATAACAGTTTCTGTCATTGCAGCTAAAGGTAAAATATTAAACCAATGGAGCTCCACGAGTCACTTGATTTCCCCTTCTATCTTACTCGCTTGCAGAGTTCTTTCTGCCCATGGTGAGCAATCAGGTTATGGAAGAGCCTGACCATGTGTAAGAGCCAAATCTAACCATTTTATAACTCATAAAATAAATTTTACCAATAAGAGCTGGCCGCCCGCCAGTGTGGAAGCCACTTACCTTGGATTGCCACACCAGTCGGTAGGGGTTGCAGTACTCCAGCCTTTCCATGACTTTTTGGACAGTGGCGCTTACCTCCTGAGGATATGGGTCGCCTCTGTTGACCACCTGCAGCAGAGACACAATGGGTGTTCAGCCATTAACACTGGGAAGGCCCCGAGAGCCTCTGACTATGTGCTGACACAGTGTGAGCCCTGGAACAAAGCCCTCCCTTTCTGTCTCCTGCACCAATGATGATATGGTCTGAGTTCAATCACCAAACTTCCTTAGTTCCACTTCTTCATCAGCCAAAGAAAAACACCGCAGTCAATCATCTCTAAGGTCCCTAAGAGGGTGGAGAATTCCATGTTCCACGTTATTCATGGGGGACTCACAAGATCTAACTAAAGAGGATGGTTCTCTCTCCCTCATCCAATAGATGAAGAAGACACAGAAAAGCTGGGCAGGATGGGAACTTCTACCCTGGTGGTCATGTGTGTAGTTGATTTCACAACAGGAACTGAAACAGTGCTGCATGGACAATGTACAGAACTGCTGGATTTATGGTAAACCCTGGTGGAATTAGAGGAGGAAAGCAGCAGCACATCACTGCAGGTTACAGGCACCTCCAAGAGTGTGACCTGCACCTTCCACTTCCTCTCTCCCCACTCTTCCTGCAACAATGGACAACAGGCAAACACTTTGTGCACAGCAAATGTTTCATACATGATCCCTTGTTAATACCTTTGAAAATTTTCAATGCAAATTTTAATGCTTTAAATATTTACTGTGTACTGACTCCCTAGCCCTCACCTGGCTTTATTTTCTTCTATAACATATATTGCCTGCTAATCTACCATACCATTTTCATATGTATTATGTTTATTATCTTTTCTCCCTACTCTCTGCAAACAAAGATTTTTCTCTGTTTTCTTCATTCCCATATCCTATGATATGGCTGGAAACAGTGCCTGGAATATAGCAGGTGCTCAATAAATATTGGTGAAATGAAATATACTGATAGATGGGGCGCAGTGGCTCACGCCTGTAATCCCAGCACTTTGGGAGGCTGAGGTGGGCTGATCGCCTGAGGTCAGGAGTTCGAGACCAGCCTCACCAACATGGTGAAACCCTGTCTGTACTAAAAATACAAAAATGAGCCTGGTGTGGTGGCGCACACCTATAATTCCAGCTACTCAGGAGGCTGAGGCAGAAGAATCACTTGAACTCAGGAGGCGGAAGCTGCAGTGAGCCGAGATTGCACCAGTGCACTCCAGCCTGGGTGACAGAGCAAGACTCCATCTCGAAAACAAAAAATTATATATATATACTGACAAATTATTTTATGATTATTACTACTGGTCTGTTTAAAAGCCATGGGAGGCATAAATGTAGATGGAATGAAGGAAACACAAAGTTGCCATTAGGACAGCAATGTGGTAATTACTACAAACACGATCTACCCATGGATGCTAGGAAATAACAAAATCTCTGTATTGTCTTAAAGTATCTCCTCCAAGATATTTTTAATTACAAAGAGAAAAATAGTAATTTTAGGATGGATCAACACAGCAGACACACCCTTAAACAAGTGGCCAGGGATCACATCACCAGTAGAAAAGCACGCTGGCATCACAGACCCCCGGGTGTGAGGCACAGAGCAGGGCCCCGCACCCCTGTGGGTTCTTGCCAATGATGCATCACCGCAACCTAATCATGAGAAAACTTCAGACGAACCCAGATGGAGGGACGCACCAGAAAACAACTGACATCCTAAAAATGACTCCTCAGAAATATCAACGTGTGGTGGGGCGTGGCGCCTCACACCTACAATCTCAGCGCTTTGGGAGGCTGAGGTGGGTGGATCACCTGGGCCCAGGAGGTCGAGACCAGACTGGGCAACATGGTGAAACCCTGTCTCTTCAAAAAATACAAATATTAGCTGGGTGTGGTGGTGTGCACCTGTAGTCCCAGTCACTCGGGAGGCTGAGGTGAGAGGCTCACCCAAGTCTGGTAGGTCGAGGCTGCAGTGAGTCGTGACTGCACCACAGCACACCAGCCTGAGTGACAGAGTGAGACCCTGTCTCAAAAAAAAAAAAAAAAAAAAAAAAAAGTCAAGCTGATGAAAGACAAGCCAAGTATCAGGACTGTCACAGATTGGAGGATGCTGAGGAAACCCCACAGCCACACACAGTGTGGGACCCTGGACTGGGTCCTGGGAGAGAAAAAGGACATTTTTGGAAACACAAGTGGCATCCACATGAAGCCTGGAGTGCAGTTAATAGTATTGTACCAGCGCTGGTTTCTCAGCGTTGGTAACTGTACAGTGGTTGTGTAAGATGTTAACACTGGGAGAGGCTGAGTAGAGGGTATATGTACTCTTTTAACTCTGTACTCTTTTAATCAGTTTTCTGTAAGTCTAAAAATTTCTTCAAAATAAAGTTTAAAAAGTTGTCAGAAGGGAACGCAGGGGAAGAGAAGAGTGTGCTAGATCAGTGTTCTTTCTCAACTCTCCAATGTCCTCCCCATACCTGACTTATCCTTATGACACTGTGGCATTTCCCGGTCCCACAAGGACGCTCCAGCAGCCAAACCTGGAAGCAGCGTGCTCCGTCCCCAGGTGAAAGAATAAGGAAGTGAGGCCACGGTCAGAGGAGGCAAGGCAGCACCGGAATCCCCACATACAAAAATGGGTTTCAGCCAGGCACGGTGGCTCATGCCTGTGATCCCAGCACTTTGGGAGGCCAAGGTGAGTGGCTCACTTGAGGTTGAGACCAACCTGGGCAACATGGGGAAACCCCGTCTCTACTAAAAATACAAAAAATTAGCCAGGCGTGGTTGCGTGTGCCTGTGGTCCCAGGTACTCAAGAGGCTGTGGCAGGAGAATCGCTTGAACCCAGGAGGTGGAGGCTACGGTGAGCTGTGATCGCATCACTGCACTCCAGCCTGGGCAACAGAGCAAGACCCGTCTCAAAAAAAAAGCAAAGCAAATGTGTTTGCTCCAGGCTGGTTCAAGGGCTTCCCTTCTGGCATCTCAGGCGAGGTCTCACCTTACATAGGATGAAGTGGCAGGAGGATGGACATGTGAAAAGGATTGCATGACACCAGAAAAGGAAAAGCAAACCCATTAAAATAGGCAGGCTTCCAGAAGAGAGGAATTTATCTTCAGAGCCTCCTACCGTCCACACGAGGCCCAGCAGAGACGATGAGTGGAAAATCTGCAGAGGCTTGGCCCTAGTAGCCACCAGGGGGCGGTAAGGCCCAGTTACAAGAGTGGCCCAGACACTGAGGCTGACTCCATTCCCGACATTGTTAAAACCTCAATCACCCCTGTGAAGATGTAATTATCCACCTCTCTGGGTTGGAAAGCACTGGTTTTAGGATAGAATGCTAGTTCTGAGCAGATGAAACTGGTTGCTTATTCCAAGCGCTTCTATATATCATACAGTACACTAGCTTGATCATTCTTGTTTCCAACAATACAACAGCTATGGCACAGATTGTAGCATCTGGATGAATAGCCTAGTGTAATATGATGAACTAAGGAACAGCCAGATCCCAACTTGATCCTCTATATTCACTTGCAAAAATGTGGTCCTGAGTCTTAGCAAACTGCAATGGCTGCCTAACAAGTCCTGAGGACAAAAGCATGGGATTGAGAGCGCTTGTCTGAATGGAGACCCCCCCACTCAACACACAGAAACATCAAGCTGAGCTCTGCTGACAGGGCAGGCAAAAGCAGCCTTCTCTTAACTGTCCCACTTATTAGAAAGTCTTATATATATCTTCAAGTTATCATTTTAAAGAAAAGAGGAGCTGGGTGTGGTGGCTCACACCTGAAATCCCAGTACTTTGGGAGGCCTGGGCGGGTGGATCACCTAAGGTCAGGAGTTTGAGACCAGCCTGGCCAACATGGTGAAACCCAGTCTCTACTAAAAATACAAAAAATTAGCCAGGCATGGTGGTGGGTGCCTGTAATCCCAGCTACTTGGGAGGCTGAGGCAAGAGAACTGCTTGAGCCCATGAGGTGGAGGTTGCAGTGAGCCGAGACTGCACCATTGCACTCCAGCCTGGGTGACACAGCAAGACTCTGTTTCAAAAAAAAGAAAAGAGGAAAAGATCTATTTACAACATTATAATTTGAATTCATTGTTACGAGGTTTTAAGAAGTGAGGCTAGTTAGCACCAAGTCTGAGATTTGAGAATTCATTCTTGCACTGGGCTTAGGACATAATGGAAGCTGGACCCATTTTACACATTTAGAAAATGAAATCACCCAATCCTCTATCACTAGGTCATCCCAGAAAATGTTCTTACTTACAGACATGGGCAGTGAGTGAGCAGAAAACAGAATGACCACCTCGCTTCTCTTCTCAAGTGGAAAATGGTCCAGTTCCTTTAGAATATGATCTGCAAAGCACTGAGTGAGTAACAAGAAAGGAGGATAAAGAGGAAGGGAAGAAAGAAATGGAAGGAAAAAGAAAATAATTTTAAAATGAAGCCTACACCAAAAATCTCAGAGCAACCCTCAAAAATCCGAACTCTCTTTTTTAAAAAATTGCAAACAGTCCAGCCTCTCAGCATTGGTTTATCATCAAAATGGATCATAACAGTTTCAGGGGCCTAGGGAATTTGCTGGGAAACTTCTAAAGCTCGCTAATGGCTCACTGCAAATGCGCGCTGTGGATCTGCTTCCCCTCGGGAAGGACAGGGCACACTTCCAGATGGAAAGGAAACACAGATGGGAAGGAGTTGTTTTAAGACCTCTCATTTGCTCCGTTAGCAGGAAAACAGCTTACAGGGTCTTTCTAAAGCCTCCTTAGTTTGGCTTTCAGGCATACCACATTAAATACATTAGTCAGGAATAGTAGGGAAATAAGAAAATACTGCTCTATTTTTATAACAGTTTCTTCTGAGCCTCATATCCCCATCAAGTCAATTTTTATAAAAACCTTCACAACAACAGATGACAGGTGATACACACCCATTAAATTCACAGAGCCGGGAAAGATGTGGTAAACTTAGGGGCCCATTCAGTCACATCTGTGGAACTTGAGAAAGAACATGGTTCCTGCCTCCCCCTCCAAATCTCTGTCCACCAGACCAGGGAGCTCCCTTCGTCTAGCCGGCACTTTGATTCACGTCGATAGGTGCTGAAATACCAGAACTGAAGGGGCTTTCTTTCGTCTTATACTTTAATCATTCTCTGTCATTTAGCTTATAAAAAAATGCTACAAAAGACACAAATGGGTCAACTGACAAAATCAGAATATGAATGTAAATTAAGTAAAAGTTTAAATATTGACGTTAAATTTACTGAAGTTGAATGTTGTATTGTGGTTATGTAAGAGAATATTCCTGATTTTAGAAAACACACTTAAGTGTTTAGGTGTAGAGGATGGTGATATATGCATAACTTATTCTCAAATGGGTCAGAAAAAGAAATCATGTTTATACAAACACAGACACACACACATACATACACACACACGGGGCGTGTAAATGATAAAGCAAGTGGGATATACATGTTAATAACACATCAATAGGCCAGACGCAGTGGCTCACGCCAGTAATCCCAGCACTTTGGGAGGCCAAGGTTGGACGACTGCTGGAGCCCAGAAGTTCAAGACTAGCCTGAGCAACATGGAAAGACCTAATCTCCACAACATTTTTAAAAATTAGCAGGGTGTGATGGCACCTGCCTGTGGTCCCAGCTACTCAGCAGGCTGAGGCGGGAGGATCACCTGGGCCCAGAAGGTTAAGGTTGCAGTGAGCTATGATCGTTCCACTCAACTCCAGCCTGGGCAACAGAGTGAAACCCTGCCTCAAAATAATAATAATACAGTAATATAGGTAAAAGAGTAGATGAGAGTTCCTTATACTATTCTTAATCTTGTAACTTTTCTGCATATCTAAAATTATTTCTAAATGGTCCTTTGTAACTTTTTAAAAATTATAAAGGACAATTTATCAGAAACATGTAAATCTGCACTTGTTGGTATTTTGATACATCAGTGGTCAGTGAAAACTATGGGATAAGCAAACTATTCCCTAATAAATATTGAGATATTATTAATCTTTCCAGAACTCTCAAAATTTGGTAAATAAATATCCTAAGGCATAAAATGGTACCTAAAGTTAAGTTCCCTTTTCAGAATTTATAATGTAAATTCTCAGCAAATGTGACAGGATTAGATACAAACGAAACCAATATTTTCTGGTCTTTGCAGTGTTTGGAAACTAAAGATGCTCAGAAAGGATTATTTTTGGACCTCAGCCTAGATAAGGAGGCCCACTGCAAGGTTTATACAGGAGCCTAGAAGATAAATTTGCTCCAATTAACCCAACAGCTAAATAAATACCAATATTAGAGAAAACAGTAATAAAATGGCTATTTGGAGCAATTACTACCTATGCCAAGCAGAAATGTGGATTCAAAACAGAATTTGTAGTTTTAAACTATATTTTTCATTTTAGTTTAGGGTTTTGTTTTCTGGTTTCCAAAAATGTCATATCGTATCCAAAGCCTAGTGTTTTTCTTTTCTCGGCTTGCAAAGCTGCAAGTAAAAACACAAATCATATGGCTTGCAACAGCCTCTAAGCCATCTTCAAAACTGAGGCGCCATGGGCAAGGAGAAGTGCTATTTAAATCACCTAAAACCCATCTGCGGTATTTTCTACTCCCAACCTCTCTGCAGAATGAAAGAGGCACCGAGCCTCTCAGAGCCTTCAATCACACCATCTAGGAGGGCAGATAAATGCCTCTAAAATTCCCTTTCATTTTATGAACAGAGACTTCCTCAGTTAAGAGACCTTTCCATCGTTTTGCTTCCCTCCTTTTCAAAGGGCTGAATTTTAATGCAAATCTAATTACTCACTTGATCAGGGCAGGCAGATGCTGTGCAGATCCCTCCATTCCCTGCTACCACATGTCAATGCTGACCTGAAACCCCCCTCCTTTCCAATCGCAGGCCTCCCAAAGCAAAACCCAGGCTGCTGGTGCTTCAGGCAGTACTGGCTGGACCCAGCAACACAGCCATCAATGGTGCACACAGAGACCACAACTACACCCACCCCTAAGGGTAAGCTCCTTCTTTTCAGTTTTTACTTAAAATTGGATTTCAACCCAAGTGTTAACCCTTTACATGCCTAAGGAACACTGCTCTGGGGAGAGCTGGCCTGATTTCAATGATGTCTAGCACCATCTAGTGGTCACAGATTTAAATGACACCAGGCTTCTAAAGAAGTTGTTAGTAGGGTTTTTTGCCGGGAGTCAGAAAACGTTCAAGGAGTGAAAAATAAAATGGATCAAATCTAAATGACTTAATATTTCCCCTACCTAAAATAACTCAAAAGCAGAAACTTCTACTAGCAGAACAAAATTATATTTGCATAATTTAGGGCAATATTTTACCAATTGCCCTCCCATATTTGACAGGCAGAAAAGAATATGGTAACATCAGTTCAAAGCTATTAACTTTAGAACTGTAATTTTAACTTATTCTCCTAAAATCAAGCATCTGTTAATAAAAATATTATAAATATAAATTGCATAGAAGAAATATGAAATTTCTTTTAATATGTGAAACTTTCTCAATCGAAATGTTCAATTTATTTTCATGTCTCAGAACATGTAGATATATTACTTTTACATTATTAAAATCGTTTGACATTTTAAAGGATTTAGAAAGTAGAAAATTTAATTCGTTGGTCAGTCACTCAACCTACAAATGTAAGTTAGCTGAAACACCATGCACAATCTTTAATGCTCTTCTGGTCATAGGAAACACAAAACTCAAAATATCGTTTTGTTATGGTTTGGGACTAATAGCATTAATCTGAAGAAAGAAGAGTCTAGTCATTTTAATCTTTAAATGTATTTTCTCTTTTCATAATAAATCAAGAATATAATACTTTTATTTAATCCCAAACACACAATTTAAGCAAGGGAACAGTAAGGCTCAGAAGGACATCCACAAACCCAGAAGGGATGAGAAGCTGATTCACACTAGATGCTGGGGTGACAGGCAGCTGGCAAGCACTGGCTTACCTGGATGAGGAGGTGATGTGTGGGCCACCTGTCAATAGTGCTCCACTTCATCGTGGGCTTCCGTCCCACTTGATTATAGTATCTGTAAATGGCATTTAAGCTGCTGCCTGAAATATACAGAGACCACTTAGTAGATGCATTTTGATTATGGTGAAAATAAAAAACAGACTCGTAAAGGTAGTATATATAAGTTCAAAGCAGGTAACTGCTTCTTTACTGAATCAGTCTAATTACAATCATTTCAATACTCTAAAATGCATATAGATTTAACTACCCTGCAAATGAAGATCACTAAAAAGCAATCAATTTCAATGGACTTTCAAAGATTATTGATGTCAGTTCTAGTGAAAAACAAGATGGCCGTAAAGTTATGAAATATAAGCAGTCATATTTACAGGGACCAAGTCTTACAATTCAAAGTATGTCGGCCAGGCACGGTGGCTCACGCCTGTAATCCCAGCACTTTGGGAGGCCAAGGCTGGTGGATCACCTGAGGTTGGGAGTTTGACACCAGCCTGACCAACGTGGAGAAACCCTATCTCTACTAAAAAATACAAAATTAGCCAGGCATGGTGGTGCACCTGTAATCCCAGCTACTCAGGAGGCTGAGGTAGGAGAATCGCTTGAACCCAGGAGGTGGAGGTTATGGTGAGCTGAGATCGTGCCATTGCACTCCAGCCTGGGCAACAAGAGCGAAACTCCGTCCCAAAAAAAAAAAAAAAAAAAAAAAAGTATGTTATTTTTTTTCCAGTTACAAAGGTTATCAATCCCATTATAGGAAATGTATGCGATGGGGAAGAAAGGAAAAAAGAAACTGACCATTATCCCAGCATGCTAATTACAGTCATTGCTTTACTCTAATATGGTTCTTTTTTTCTTTATAGATGTTTTGTTTTACAAAGTTGTAATTTTTAATACATATGCAATTCTGCATGCTGAGTATTTTGAGCATCTTTACTTAATATTATGAAATAAATATTTTCCATGTTATGATAAAAGCTTTGTAACTATTGTTTGTTTGTGAGATGGAGTTTTGCTCTTGTTGCCCAGGCTGGAGTGCAGTGGCGCGATCTCAGCTTACCGCAACCTCCAACTCTTGGGTTCAAGTGATTCTCCTGCCTCAGCCTCCCAAGTAGCTGGGATTACAGGTATATGCCACTACGCCTGGCTAATTTTTTACTTTTAGTAGAGACGGGGTTTCTCCATGTTGGTCAGGCTGGTCTCAAACTCCCAACCTCAGGTGATCTGCCCGCCTGGGCCTCCCAAAGTGCTGGGATTACAGGGGTGAGCCACCGCGCCCAGCATAACTATTGTTATTAATGGCCTCATGATAAGGAGAGAAAATTATTGAAGTTTCTGTGAGTTCTCATTCCCTAGAATAAGCTAAATGGACACCAAATCCTTATAAGTAATCTAATAAACTTATATTTCTAAGAGAGAGATGGAAATCATGAAAACTCAAAGCCTAAAGGAAGGCAGATGGTGTCAACCCAATGTAACTTTTTCCTGTCTAGGGGAGTTAGCATTGGGGTCACACCTGAATCCTATGAAACCAAGTCTAACACACAGCCTCTTCCTCAGTCTTAACATAGGGCAAGTCCCAAAACATTTCCATGCTTTCCATCACCGATCCACTGGGCTCTCTAACTATAAGAACTATTAGTTAGGTTTCCAGTTGAAAATGGTAGTCAGGAGAGAGCATATCTTAAATCACATATACTCTCAGACTAAGACTCAACTTCCAAAAAGATAAACAGGTTCAATTTTGGTGAGTAGAATACAGTGAATCAGAAGAATTCAAAGGGACTCCATTCAAGGTTCAGAAACAATCTCTCCAGAAATCAAAAAGTTGTCACGACCATATTCACGTTACAGACCGCACTTCACAGGTGGATATCATTTTCATATGTGCAAGGGGGCATCTGGAAGCTACATTAGCTCTTTCAGGTTGTGTGGAAACATTCAACAAACAACCCAAAGAAGTCATTAAGGAGAAAATGTGACTGAGAAATGTGTTTGTGATAAAGACACACACTGGCTCTGCCACAATAGTGCCAGTCTAAAAGATACAACAGATAAACAGCATTTGAGTGGCCTCGAAGAATTAACGTACTTCGCAAAGCCTTCCACAACTTGGATAGACGGATGTACCTGTCCTTACATGAGATACATTCAAGAAAAACTAAGCATACAGTGAAGTTTTGCATACACTGTCACTTGGTAGAGCCAGCCCTGAAATAAAAACCATAGTCAATCTTCTGTCATGTAAATAACAATCTTCTTAATTTATCTAATTGTGAGAGCAGCCATTTACATATTGAGGTATATTTCTTAAAACAAGGCAAAAGTAGAGCTTAAAAATTCATAAAATCTGACTCCTTCTCCAGTAACATATGACCAGACATTTTGAAGTTGTAGTGGTGCATTTCCAAAAGAAAAATAATAATTCAGGCTGAGTGCGGTGGCTCACGCCTGTAATCCCAGTGCTTTAGGAGGCTGAGGTGGGTGGATCATTTGCGGCCAGGATTTTGAGACCAGCCTGGCCAACATGGTGAAACCCCATCTCTACCAAAAATACACAAATTAGCCGAGCGTGGTGGCACATGCCTGCAATCCCAGCTACTCAGGAGGCTGAGGCAGGAGAATCACTTGAACCCGGGAGATGGAGGTTGCAATGACAGAGCAAGATACCATCTCAGAAAAAAAAAAAAAAAGAAAGAAATGATAATTCAAACTCTTGAGGGTATCTTAGAACTCAGGCATTTTAATGGGTTCTCTGAACAAATATTTAAGGCACATAACAAGCTTTGACTTTTTCCAATAGCCTTTTGATTCTCCTTATGGTTATAGAAGTGATAAACATTAATATCCAAAAGCAATTTGGGACTAAGAATGTGCTGACTTCAATCCTTGCAATGGAATGCAAACAAATGTGTCTGTGGGTGACAGTAGCAGCTTTGCCTACAATGAATGATACAGAGATTGCCAAACACCAATTATTCCCCAGCTCCAGTTAAATATACAGAAAACGACAAGCAGTAACATTTTCCAAAATCAAGAAAACAGAAAATTCTGCAAAGGGAACCCCAAACTGGGCTTTAGTTTTACCAGCAACCAACTCATAACTGAAGCAAAACAACGACAACAGCAACAAAATATCAGTATTTCCCATGTTGTATGGGCATCTTTGCTTTCAAAATGAGAACAGTTACAATCTTTGCTACATCAGTAAGAAAATCTGGGTAGCCATAAAAAGGTTTATCACACAAACCCAGAAAGAGCCTTAAGGTTCATTACTGATCCATTACACAATGGCATTAAAGCACTGAACACTGACAGCCACTGCCTACCACCCACACCATTTGTAATTACCAGCCAAGTGGCCAATAATTCAAGGGACAGATGGACCATGAGATTTCAAATGGACTGACCTGAACTCTCGTGTTTAAAGAAGACAGGTTGAATTTGCCATTCAAATTGCAAATAATTCATCCTTCCCTTCAGTACTTAGACTCCTTGGTTATTTTTGCCAGCACCGTATCTACCTTTCCACTGTCAGAGAGATGCCCTTACCTGTGGTGGAGCAGCTGTACTGTGGATACTGTGTGAAAGCAATAGCCCTTTCTAGGCCATCTCTCTCCATCTCTTCAATTGCTTCTTCTGTTAAAGGATGGACGTACCGAAATCCAATATAGTATTTGTGAGGGGCTATTAGGAAGCACATGTGGAAAGGAGAAAGTGTTAATCCTTATATAGATTCCTCAGAGTCAACAAACATAATGCAATGCCCAGAACAAAGAACAGTTCATGTAATTTCCTATGGCACTGACGGTGAAGGCAAGTTTAGCATATTCCTTGGATCTTATCCACTCTTCAGCTGGTATGTGAACTTTTAATGATGACTTTCTAGGATCAGTACCCCACCCACACACCTTTACTGCACAGTGGTTTTTAAAACTCAAACTTCTCTTCCTAATTCTCTGTTCTTGGCTGGCATAAGAGAGCCTCAAGAGAAAGGAGGAAAAAACAACACTTATTCTAAAATATAACTTCCTCTTGCATACCAGATACTATGGTAGCCACTGGGCATTATTTTTTTAATCATTTAAACCTGATTTTCCAGATAAGGAAACAGAGACTCTGAAGGTTAACTGAACTACCCAAAGTCATACCTTGCAGGTGGTCGAGCTGGAATTAGAGCCTGGGTCTCCCAACCCATGCTTCTCACTCCTCCCAGGCCCCCCACCTCACCCTGCTCCTATTACCCAGTTCCCCGAACCCCCAGGCCACCTCGTTTATATAAAAAAATGCAAGAGCTCTTGCATACGTAAAAAAATTCATTGATAACAAATGATTAAAATGATTCTCCTCATTACACATATAAAACAGTGCTTACTTTGGAGGTGCCACATGGGATTGAAAGCCATTGTTCTTGGTACCTAAATGGCCCATGCCTGCTGTATATCCTCATGTTCTTTCCCTGTCCCTTCCCTGTCCTTTCACGAATACCCTCTTCTATCTTCTTTATCCTCCCGCATCTTCCTTTCTTGTAGTTCAAAAACATCCACACCACATAATTGTTTAAGCATGTATAAAGTCATAAAACTACAAGTTTCCTAAACTTACTTAGTCTTGTTTCCTTGCCTTTTCATAGGATTACACATAACTTACACTCAGGGATGATAGTGAGAATCACTACATGAGTGTCAGGTAATAAATAATAAGACCATGATAATGTTACTGTCCAAAGCATTAGCAGGGGCTGCAACTATGAATGTGACATAAATTGCCACAAGAAACATTTAGGTTAAAGTGAAGGAAAAGACGGGAGTTTATCTCATTTATACCTAGATATATACAAGGACGACATTCCTCCTAACTTGACCCAGAGAGCTAAGAGCCAGGGGAACACATTCCCAAGGGAGAAGCAGAATGCCATTAGGCGAGAGAAGCACATGTGTGCACAGAAAGGCTGGTCGGACTCAGTATTCTCTGGTTGGGTACTGCAAAAAAGAAGAAGGAAGTAAAACTAGATCATTTTTAGCGCTCTGTCCATTTTCCGGCCACCAATTTCGTGCTGCCTTGCATAAAATGGTCACTAGCAGTTAAAACATATCACAGGACATGATCCCATAAGCAAACTCCAAATGACTGATTGTTCAAAGATTATGTGCTTTGTGCTAAAAACCGCCAACTATTACAATACCATCAAATCCCTTGAAGCAACTCTTGGTGATTTGAGCTGAGGTTTAGCAAGCAAGTAGAAACTGCTTTCGATTCTACTTTGAAACAATACGATGATCAGAATGACATCCCCAGTGCTGCAGGTCAACCGGCTTCTCGCATTTTCTTTTCACCTGTCCAGTATCTGAAGGTTACGGTCTAAATGCCTAGGGTCTGGGAGTTCCTCAAATCATGCATACTAAGAGGTAGAAAGGCTGCCCTTGCAGATAAAGACAAGGGCAGGTGGCCACATTTTAAAGTGAGACAGAGTAAAATACCCTGGAAAGAACTGATAATGTTTTCTAAATGCTTTCTAAAGACAACCTGTAAACACATATTGGAGAAAAAGCAGCAAGGTACTCTCCAACTGGGCATATCCTGAGGAACCAACAAACAGTGTTCATGAAGGACCCGTGTCCATCAGGGTGGGTTTCACAATGCAGCTGGCTGTCCCTGGAAGGATGCAGGGATGAGAAGGAGCCTCTCCGATGTTAACCAGTGCCACATCTCGTGGGCAGATCTGGCCAGAGTGAGCCCAAAACACATCACTCACTGGCCTAGCTTACGTACCCTCAGAGCAGCTGTTCAATGAACAGTCTTCAGCAAGAACTACTAAAAGACAGAGAAACTAGATTTTTAAACAGCAAAAACTTCATTAATTTAGCATGTACAATAGTTCAAATGTCCGATTTGTACATGATTTTTTGAAAGAAAAGTTTGAAATATGTAGCAAATGCTTACTTTGTATCAGATCATGAACCCTGTGCCAATGATGAATTAAAAAGCTCACGTATATTGAACTTTTGTCATGTTAATGCCTCTCAGGATTATCGCATTTAATTTTCACAAGGATCTAAGAGTTGAGTTCTGTTACCATCCCCATTTTCTAGCTGAGGCTTAGTTAAGTAAGTAAACTGCCTGAACCAGAGCAGGGAAGCCAACACCATCAGAGAAAGGAACCCATACGCCTATCCACGCTGCATCCGGGAAAGAACAGAATTATTTCATGAGCATCCCTTACTTATAGCTTCACTAAAAGCAGTTACAAGCTAAACAGTTAAACTATAATTTGCAAAGCATATTTGAGATTTAGACTTTCCATCACATGATTACACTTCTCATCTATTTCTGTATCTATTCTCTACATTTCTGCAATGCAATGTAACTACATGAAACCATTTCCTGATATAACTCACTGTCTTAGTTAACTGGTCAATTCTATGAAACCAGTGCAAGTCTCAAAACGTCCACACTGGCTACCAAGCAACAACCACTTCCCTAAAAAACGACAGCATGAAACATGTTTATCTGTTTGCAATCATCACATTTTCTGGCCTAAAGAGAATTTTTCTTAATAGAAATAAATCAATAGACATAGTTCAAAAGTAAACTTTACAACTATATAGGAAAGAAAGGATCAGAAGGGAAGAGGAATGAGAAGGAGATGAAGAGGTACCCCAGCAGCCTCACCGGAGACAGGAGGTGGCGGGAAGGATGCCCTCCTGTCTGTATTGCTTTTTCAAGTCTGACAACTCTACCAGGGCTTTAACTCCTGGGCTCAAGCAATCCTTCTGCTTCAGCCTCCCAAACTGCTGGGGTGTGCCCCACCCCCATGCTCACTAGGGCTCTTTATAATGATGGGTACTACAGTAACATAAAAACAGGAAAAATGGGAACCTTTCTGCCTCCTCTTCCCACGAGAGACAGCATAGCAATTGCAAATCTGGTTCATAATAAAACCTTTTTTTTTTTTTTGAGACAGGGTCTCACTTTGTTTCCCAGGCTGGAATGCAATGGCATGATCATGGCTCACTGCAGCTTCAACCTCCCTGGCTCAAGCGATCCTTCCACCTCAGCCTCACAAATAGCTGGGCCTACAGGCGTGTGCCACCATGTCTGACTAGTTGTTGTTGCTGTTGTTGTTGTTGTTGTTGTCGTGTGTGTGTGTGTGTGTGTGTGTGTGTGTGTGTGTGTGTGTGTGTAGACAGAGTTTCACCATGTTGCTCAGGCTGGTCTCAAACTCCTGGGCTCAAGCGATCCACCTGCCTTGGCCTCCCAAAGTGCTGGGATTACAGGCGTGAGCCACCACACCAGGCCCACAAGAAACCTCTGATCATGATAAACTGTTAATGACTGGAGTTTGTTCTCTAGTAAGTAGGTGTGAATGGAGGGCTGACATTTTAAAGATGCACTGTGGCATGCACGGAGGAACTGCATAAGAAATGCCCTTGAGCCACAGCTTTAAGCAGGAAGCAAGCCGAATATGCAGAAGCACAGTTGAACAATTTTCGAAGTGAGGTGATCTGAGAAGGGGCCAGGGCCCTTTGTTACTTTGTGCCATGGGAACCAGTGGATTCTGAGAACAGCTGGAGTGGATGCTTGCTCAGTGATGTCAGAAAAGAGTGAAATGCTCCTTTTGGTCCTGCCTAGTGGAGCTGTTCTCCCTGAGGGTTCCCAGTGTCACACACCTATCCTGATCCCAAAGCTCTAAGATATATTTGCAATGAATGTAATTCATGTGTCCTAAGATGTACATTTTTTTGGTTTTAACATTTCTCATATCAGTTCAGTCTACAATAGATGTTGTCTTAAAATTAACCGGTAGTGCTTTTGTATCTTAGTATTATACAAAAACAGGGTGTCCTGCAATGAATTGTGTCTTCGATGTGTTTAATACAGCATTTTTACTTCATCCATGCATTTAGTGGTTCATTCTGCACACTATTATTCTGGATAGAGGTTCTCAGATGTGCACAATCCTCTTTTTGGTGCCACGTCCAACAAGGACCTTCAATACCTTACAATGGTGATATTCTGAGAGCTGAAAGCATCACTGCGAGTTGCTTACTGTCCTGTGGCTTCCATGATAGCTAGCTAATACTGCTCTAAATATTCTAATCAGCTATCCAACCAGAAAGAAAAGGCAATAATAGCAGCAGCCTCAATCCATTTCCCAAAGATTTCTTTCCAGTGTAATGATATATGCATCTTTCTTTCATGGTATGTTGCTTATGCCTTATACTCTAGCAATTTAACAAACATCTCGAACTTCCTTTTGAAACTCATGTCCCAAATCCTTAGCTTTTTTTTACTTGTAATGTAAGAAGTCATAGCAAAGGCTAAAGGTCAAGGGATAACGCCTGGAGACCTAAATTAAGTGACCATGTATTATGTAGAAACACCACAAATTGAGTTGCCAGTACATATGAAGCATTTAGCATCTACTACTCTTTTGAATTTCATAACTACTTCGAAAGAACTAATCTAGTTACATGTTAATGAAGAAACACCATACCTGTGTTGGGGGACAATTCATCCAGCAGCTTCACCATGCCCTCTCCCTGCTTGGAAGTCCATATCTTGATGGGGGATCCGCCTCCAATCCTGCGGTACTGCTCTTGAATCTTGGGGGTTCGGCGTTTGGCGATGAATGGTGCCAGCTTACTAAATCATTTAACATACAGGTAAGTGGATTTTATTCCAGCTTAGCAACCTGAGAAATGTTTTCTACTCAATAAAAAAGAAAAAAAGCAAAATTTTAGAGAGCCTAACAAGATTAAGCCTTTAAAACAGAAGCTTGAGGTCATTGACAATAGCCAGCTCTCTTGTTGTAGAATAAGGAGCTAAAGCTATACCCTCTCTGAGGAATACCCAGCTGTGCTCCACAAGCTGTTCCAGCAGCACACCTGAAGATTCAGGACACACAACACCCATGCAGAGAAACCTGGATGTGCGCTAGCTACTAGCGTAACACATTTTGATCCCACACCTAACGAGAACTAGGATATAAGACAAATGAAGTAGACATTTCTCTTAATTTAAAAAATAAAGTCTATTAATCTTATAGATACACTTGCATATAGGAGCAAAGATGTATGCACAAGAATGTTCACTGCAACACTGTAAACAAACTAATTGTCCACCATGAAGCATGGATTAAACAAATTAAGTTACAGCCATATGATGCAGTTCTAAATAGTAATCAAAAAATGAGCCAGACCTATATATCGATATAACGTTATGAAACAAGATACAGTGTTAAGTTTACACATTCACAACAGCAAAGACTTGGAACCAACCCAAATGTCCATCAATGATAGACTGGATTAAGAAAATGTGGAATACTAATGCAGCCATAAAAAGGGATGAGTTCATGTCCTTTGTAGGGACATGGATGAAGCTGGAAACCACCATTCTCAGCAAACTATCACAAGGACAAAAAACCAAACACCGCATGTTCTCACTCATAGGTGGGAATTGAACAATGAGAACACTTGGACACAGGAAGGGGAACATCACACACCAGGGCCTATCGTGGAGTGGGGGGAGAGGGGAGGGATAGCATTAGGAGATATACCTAATGTAAATGACGAGTTAATGGGTGCAGCACACCAACATGGCACATGTATACGTATGTAAAAAAAAAAAAAAAAAAAAAAAAGGAAAGTTTCAAATATAGTACATAAGTACCTTCACATTTGTGTAACGAAGTGGGGGGGGGGGTGTGCATGTGTGTATGTATGTATGTGCGCGTGTGTGTGTGTATGTATGTGTATGCTTGGATATGCACGGACTATTTCTGGATGTAACAGCGCTTTCCTCCAGGTGGATAACTGGGAGTGCAAGGTGAAAGGGACACTTGCCTTTTACTGTAATTACTTTTATACTATTTGTAGTTTTTATCCCATGCATGTACTAATTTTTCATAATAGAAATCTATTTTGAAAGAAAAAGGAGAGAAGGAAGAAGGGAAAGAAGGATGAAAGGAAAAGAAGGGCAGCAACAATCCATATTTATAGTACAAATGAATAATAATCATTGCTTCCCTGAGTGTTAATCAGCCGTTAAGTGACAAGTACAAATATATCTTTAAAAATCTTTAAAGGTACCTAGGCTATGTCAAGACAACTGCAATTTCCAGGGCTCTGGGGAGCAAAGGGCTCAAGGAGAATCCCCACTAACTTATTTGCTCTCTCCCCCTGCAATTTTCTGATATCATATCCTTCTGATATCCAACAGAAAACAATGCTGCTGTTTAACCATTACCAGATACGCATTAAAACTATTTACTGGTTTGAAACTACAGAATTGAGAGACACATGTCAATGTAGTGCCAAGGTTATAATTGAGGTGTTTATATATATCTCACTTCTGAATAGGAAGTGTCATGAGGTCTCGGTCCAAGAAGAGTCTCAGAAGGAAGTCGTGAACATCTCCAAGAGTTTCAGGGCCTCCCATGTTTAGCATTAATATTCCAGTTTTCGGCTTCCTATATAAAATAAAATACAACGGTTGATTTGTCACACTTCTTATTTTCTTCCAGGGTGGACTCTTGGTTCAGCCAGCAAACTCTAATCTGTTCCATACAAAGGTAAATACTATGGCTCTTTTCACTGCCGTCACACAGATACCTATTCGGGGACATCTGTGGCCTCCAGTTCCCCATGGTCCCAGCTCAGACTTGGACCTTTGTCTTTTGGCTTAATTCATGATATCAGTCTTCACTCCGCTAGAAATGTTTCCCTTTTAAAGTCTCGGCCTGAAGAGAGATCGAACCTTTAGGGACTGGGAGTCAAGGTAGAAATCTAAAATTGTCCTGCAGCTAAAGCACCTGTACATGTGAGTACCATATGAATACAGAGGTTACCTGACCTCTCCCAACTTCAAGTTTCCTCATCTGGAAAACATAGCACCCACCACCTACTCAAAATGCTGTTTTGAGAATTCAGTGGGTAACATCTTCAGTCACTTAGCACGTGCTGGCACATGGTAAGTTCTACTCTACACAGAGCAGGGTTCCCCCAAAATTTTAAACCTCCACAGTCTAATACCAGCCCATCCCCACTCTTGCATCTGCTCCTGTCTCTTTAGTCAATTATTAAATTAAATGACTACTGACTGAAATTAGTTTTTACATTTTATTTTTGAAATGGATTCTCACTCTGTCACCCAGGCTGGAGTGCAGTGGTGCAATCTCAGCTCGCTGCAACCTCCGCCTTCCAGGTTTAAGCAATTCTCCTGCCTCGGCCTCCCAAGTAGCTGGGATTACACGCACCCAGGCTAATTTTTGTATTTTTAGTAGAGATGGTGTTTCGCCATGTTGGCCAGGCTGGTCTCAAAATCCTGACGTCAGGAGCCTGCCTCGGCCTCCCAAAGTGCTGGGATTACAGGTGTGAGCCACCACACCAGGACTGACTTAAGTTATTGCTTGCTCCTCTGCTTCCTTCTCCAAGACCTCCCTCTATTCCTTCATCCATGGCTCCTGTTATGATAAACTTCTCCTCTCCATCCTGCATGTAAATTCACTGTGTAGATAATTCCTGCAAGAACCGGTGCTAACATTCAAATTAGTCCCAGGCTACAGAATCAACCCCTGAATAAGCAGGAAGAAGCAAAAAGAAAGCAGAGCTCCATAACAAGTTTTAGGTCAAGCAGCTTCTGGAAACTTAAAAAAACAAAGTGCTATGCAAAAATGTAAACCTAAAATCCAGATCAAGCTCCGGAGTCAACACAGCCCAAAGTGAGCCAGGCCAGGAGCTCCCCACTCCTAAGCCCCGCCAGAGGGCAAGGTGAAGTCGGAGCAGGACCAGGTGCCTCTGGCACGCTGGCAGGAGCCACCAGAAGACCTTGCGTGTCCCCATGAGCAGGTAGCCATGGGATGGCAATAACTGGGGAACTAAAGATCAAGGAGCATTTCTTCCATTCATTCATTCATCTTTTTTTCATATTTAAAAATTGAGATATAACTCACATACCACAAAATTCACCATAATCTGAACAATTCAGAGGTTTCTAATACATAAGGAAAGGCAGGAAACCATCACGACTATCTAACTCCAGGACATCTTTACCCCACAAAGAATCTTCGTATCCATTAAAGCCACTCCCTGTTCCCTCCCCTCTCACCCCTGGCAACCAGTAATCTACTTTCTGGGTCTATAGATTTGCCTATTCAGGACACTTCATAGAAATGGAATCACATGATTGTGTCTGGTTTTACTCAGCATAAAATGTTCATGATTGTGTCTGGTTTTACTCAGCATAAAATGTTCATGCTACGTGTCGTAGCATGAATCAGTACACTTCACTCCTCTTTATTGCTAAATAATATTTCATTATATGGTTATACCCTCTATTCACTTTCAATAAAGCAGCTGAAAAATAACCAGCCTGAAGTTTATCTAAACACCGTTATTATGAACGCTGAGGGGTCTACTTCCTGAATCTCCTACACCAGACTACCTCTGACCACTGCAGTGACTAAACCAATGCTGCTGAGACAGAGCCTGTATAGAGAAACATTCTTTATGTGCTCGAAAACTAAAGATACTATGATGACATCTTTTTTGTTTTTGTTTTTTTTTGAGACAGGGTCTCACTCTGTCACCCAGGCTGGAGTGCAGTTGCACAAACAAAGCTCACTGCATCCTCGACCTCCCGGGCTCAAGTGATCCTCCCGCTTCGGCCTCCTGAGTAGCTGGGACCACAGGCACATGCCTCCATGCCTGGCTACTTTTAAAATTTTTTATATAGACAGAGTCTCGCCATGTGGCCCCGACTGGTCTCAAACTCCTGGCTCAGGCTCCCAAAGTGCTGAGATTACAGGTGTGAGCCATTGCCCCAGGCTTATGGTGACATCTTAATGGGCAATTTTTAAACAATTATTAACAACATTTGGCAATAACGTAAGGCAGCAGGGTATGTCAAATGTAAACAGGTAGAAACTGTTTTCTTGATCAAACCTGTTGTATAAGTGGATGAGGTAAAAATCTGAATTCTCAACCTACTTTTTCAGAATACGAATCAATTCCTGGGGAAGGAGAAATATGGCATTACAATGAGATCAGGGATTTTCTCATTTAGACCCCATTATAAAGATTAACTAAGGTCCCTTTTCACATCAATGCCTTCAACCGGGGTTTTTCAACCTCAGCACTACTGACGTTTGGGGCTGGAGAGTCCTTTGTTGTAGAGGACGGCCCTGTGCAATGCAGGAGCCTTGGCAGCATACCTGGCCTCTACCTGTACACAATAATAGCACACACCCCACCCCAGTGTGACAACCAAAAATGTCTCCAGCCATTGCCAAATTTGTCCCAGGAGGCAAAAATGCCCCCTTCCCCCTATTGAGAATCACTGTCTTAGAGAAAGAGGGCTTAATCCCCTTCTAAAACAACCAAGCAACTGCACTGAAGATGTGGTTGTTATATAACTCTTCCATGCTCGAGTCCTACAACTGCATTAACGGGTGTGTTGAGTTTTCTTTCCTTGATATTTGAAAATTCCAGATGCATTATTTTGTGAAACTAATATTCGTTTAATCTTTCTACTTAGACCACTAGTCTTCTCCTGGGATCCTGTCTTTCACCTTCAAAATCTGTGACTCACAATAAATTAAGTGCATTTTCCCATGGATTGCTGCCAGTTAACAGATTACTGGTTAAAAAAACCTCAGGCTAAAAGACTTACCTAAGCCACAGACGGTATCAGTGTGCAAACGGGATTTAGAGCTGTTTTTCATCTATAACACCTGAGCTCAGAACAAGAGTGGCTTTAAAGGGGATGCTACTCTGCCCTGCTCATGGTTTTGCAAACGCATGTTGATCTTACACATGAAAGAGATGCACACGACTTGAAAATACCTAAATACACATGCACTTAATTCAAAACTGTGTTGTGCATGATGAATAGCGCATTAGTAAGCCCCAGTCTGACACCCCTCTATTCCAGAATGTGAAGTGAAAGCTTTAGTCAAGGGTCTCCATCTCCTCTCCCTCCAGACAGAACACACCTGAGACCAAGGTCTGAACGTTCATGTTCCGTTTGTTTGAATATAAAAGTGTATACAGCAAAATATATTTAAAACTTCTCACTTGGAAAGGTTTCAACATTTTGCCATTTTTATATCCCAGGACTCTCAAAATACAAGGTTTTTCCGTGAAATATTAAATGTACGTAACAGAAACTTAAGCTTGTCAATTAATAAACAATAATTCTATTCTACTCTATATGGTCAGCCTCAAGAAAAAGTAATACGATCCCAGCTCTTCATTAAACCTCTAAGACATGATTGGCCTGTGGGTCTATGATGCCTCTAGAACAGAATTTGGTGAACTATAGCCCATGCACTAAATCTGTATACACACATACACCCCTACTGCCTGTTTTTGTAAATAAAGTTTTACTGGAACACAGCTCCCCTCATTGTTTATGTAATATCTATGGCTGCTCTCACACTACAACAGCGGAGTTGAATAGCAGCAAAAGACAGAGTTTGGCCTACAAAGCCTGAAAAATTTACTACCTAACCCTTTACAGAACTAATGTCAACCCCTGGCCTAGTGTAGTGTCTACTCTAGTATTGCAGTCTAGTCCAGCCCAAGCATTAAGCAGCACAATGCCTTCATAATGACTGCCATCAGAAGAATCCACAAAGACACTCACTGCTTCACCATTTCTAATATTAAAAAACTAGAAATCACCTACGTGTCCCAGAATGTTGGTCAAGGTAGTTTATGACTTAATAAAATACTCTTCAGTTACTAAAATAATATAGACAAGTATTTATGATGATAAAGTAAATAAAAAGAGGGCATTATAAATATATGATGTACAGTACGGTCACATCTTGCTAAATACATACAGAGTGAATATTTAATAGTCATACAGACAAAATTGGCCTGGCTGGTCGCTCACACCTGTAATCCCAGCACTCTGGGAGGTTGAGGCAGGAGGACTGCTTGACCCCAAGAGTTCAAGACAAGCCTGAGCAACACAGTAAGACCTCGTCTCTATTTTTTTTTTAAGAAGACAGAGAGAGACAAAATATTGGGTGGTAAGATTATTCATAATGTTTTAAGGTTTTTTTTGTTGCCTATCCGTATTCTCTAAAATGATCCCATTTATTTTATATAAATATGATCTAAAGTTACTTAGTAGAATTTAAAGACTTTCATTTAATTTTAATAATATTAAGCCTACTTATATTAATGAGTTGCTGCTAGAAAAACACACAAATGAAATAATTTTTCTTCTAGGATTCCAAACTGAATCAGTTCTTCAGTTTCTATCAAATCCCAACCCTCAGTGCATATGGCTGAGGTGGGGAGAGGGGCTGGGAGGGGCAAGGAGAAATGGAATGGGCCCTGCTTGGCAGGCTGCCAGATGAAGAAGGTATCTAATGCCCATCCCCAACTAACCTCAGGTTACACAGCACTCAGTCATCATACCCATGATCATATAGCAAAAAACAATAAACACACAATAAGAAAATTTTGGTTCTGGCCAGGCACGGTGGCTCGTGGCTCATGGCTCATGCCTGTAATACCAGCACTTTGGGAAGCCATGGCAGAACTGCTGGAAGCCAAGAGTTCAAAACCAGCCTCGGCAGCAAAATGAGACCCCCATCTTTACAAGAAAAAAAATTTGTTTTAATTAGCTGGGTGTGGTGGTGTGCACCTGTAGTCCTAGCTACTTGGGAGGCTGAGACAGGAGGATCACTTAAGCCCAGGAGTTCAAGGATGCAGTGAGCCATGATCACACCACCGCACTCCAGCCTGGGTGACAGAGCTACACTCCTCAAAATAAAAACGGTGGCTCACGCCTGTAATCTCAGCACTTTGGGAGGCCAAGGTGGGTGGATCACTTGAAGTCAGGAGTTCGAGACCAGCCTGGCCAACATGGTGAAACCCCATCTCTACTAAAAATGCAAAATCAGCTGGGTGTGGTGGCATGCACCTGTAATCCCAGTTACTTGGGAGGCTGAGGCAGGAGAATGGCTTGAACTTGGGAGGTGTAGGTTGCAGTGAGCCAAGATCAAGTCACTGCACTCCAGCCTGGGTGAAAGAGCAAGACTCCCTCTCAAAAAAAAAATAAAATTACAGGCTCATGCCTGTAATCCCAGCACTTTGGAAGGCCAAGGCGGGCGGATCACTTGAAGTCAGGAGTTTGAGACCAGCCTGGCTAACATAGTGAATTCCCGTCTCTACTAAAAATACAAAAATTAGCCAGGCGTGGTGGTATGTGCCTGTAATCCCAGCTACTCGGGAGGCTGAGACATGAGAATTGCTTGAACCCGGGAGGTGGAGGCTGCAGTGAGCTGAGATTGTGCCACCACACTCCAGCCTGAGAGACAGAGTGAGACTCTCTCAAAAAAAAAAAAAAGATATATATATATATGTGTGTGTGTATATATGTGTGTGTGTGTGTGTGTGTGTGTATATATTCATACCTGTATAATTTTCATCAAACAATGTGTGATCTAGCAGAAAGGTCATGGAGTTAAATAGGTCCCAGCTACTTTCTCTCACTCTGCCTGATGTTAAAGGGTGCTGTTTCTATGTACTCATCTCGATAACTTCCCTTTATAGAGTCTTCTGTTGCCTCTGTACAGAGGAAGACTTGGGAGCGGTTGTGACTCCTGTTACTAAAGAGGACCCTTGCAACAATGCCATGCCTGCTGCCAGCCACCAGCAACAGAAGAGGTGAGGTATGAAACGTGTACTTCACTTCTTTAATAGATGATAAATCCTGTTACTTCTTTTATAATTACGTTCACTGTGTTAAGGGATGAAAAACAATACTCTAGCTTCCTATAGAAATTCTTGGTAGACCAGTTATTCGTTATCCTGTACAGAACATACATTTCATAGGCATAATTATGTTAGGTTCGTAAATACATTTCCAGCATATATAATTTGTGTTATGTGACATATTCCAGAACCAAATTCTTAACACAATTTGCAGACTGTTTGTACTCAACTCTGTGTCTTTTAACAATAGCCCTGTTGCAGGGAAGGATCCAGTGGGGAAGGAGGGTGTAAAATCTATGGTTTAACAGCTATTGAAAGGAAGCCAAGAAAATAGCTCCTTCCACACTGGCTTTTCCCAGCACCTTTCCTCCCAGGCAGCTTGTGTCTATTGGTGTCTGCATCGATAAAGAGAAATTCTTATTTGTACCTGATGTTAGACTCATACCTCTTCTGCGGTTGAACTTGAGGTTTTGCACCCTGGGCATGCTGGGCTGTTTCTGTGGTGACGGCCGCTGCAGCTGCACCTGACTTCCACCTCCATGGCTGACAGACCCTCCAGCTGCTGGATGCCACTGTGACAAAATTAAAGTGCTCGCATGAAATCTAGCTAGAAAGTAATTTCTTCTGAAGAGGTCCTCAGAGCATAATTCCTGACTTTAAAATTTAAAGAGATCCCATGGCAGAAATGATTTTCCTAGCATTTCTCTGCAGGCAGGTAAAGGAACTTAAGCCCTCTCCAAGGGGATGGGGTGGAGGATCGCTCCCCTAGGATGGCCGATGAGAGCCTGCAGAGAAGCATTTTAGAAACTACACACACCTCCTCTCCCCACCTCGGCTGCAGATTTTGATACAATCCCTCACAAGAACCCCTGCACGAGACCAACATGACTGACAGTAGCGTGCTGCTCCTGTGGAAGGAGAAGGGGCTGCAGAAAAGTGAAAAGCCGCCGATTTCGGGAGTGGCGAGTGGGCCAGTTTCCAAATAGCTGCAGTTCTCCTTTCTGCCTCCAAGCCTTCTTCGGAAAGCACTCGTGCTGAGAACCCAGTACTGCCCTTGAACCTTGACAAGGGGCCTCTGCTTCCCAGGGCCTGTTCTGGCCCTCCTCCCACTGCACCCCACCCCACGGGGTATGCAGTCTCTACCACCAAGGAGACATGCCACCCCAGGAGTCCACATCCCACGTGCCAGACCAGGCTCCCAGCGCCCCAGGATTCCCTGTCCCCCAAGCTCCACACCCACTCCCAGGGTCTGTGCAGGCATTTTTTCAGATCCATCCTCCTGAGGGAGGTTGTGCCATCAGTGGATCAAGTCTTGACCTGAATGGTGGCCAAGGGATAGATAGCTGTTTGCAGGGGCAAGAGTGGAACTGGGCATGAAGACCAGAGAGTCCATCCAGGCTGTCTGTGAGGCTCCCCACAAGGCCAGAAAGAGCCAGCGGCAAGAAGAGAAGCAGGAAAGCATGTCAGTCAGAGGCAACTCTCCAAAGGCCTCTACACTTCTGCAGGAACTCAGAGAGTTCAAGAGCTCATCCTTCCAGGTTGTGATCAAGGTCTATTTGTCAACATAGGAGGACAGAACATATTTCCCAGTTTGTTAGCTTGCTATATCCCACATACCATATATGTGCCTTCAAGTATACCCTTGTCCTGGGCCCCACAGGAGGTGGCAGTGGGTCTGAAGAACCCACCTGAATTGAGGAGATCATGTGCCATACTCAGCTGTCATATGAAGAGTACTGGTCCTTAAACAGCCAGTGAAATGAAACTGAAGCCATATAGGAAGTACTGAAGATGGCCATGTGAGACGGTGGTTACTGTGGTGCCTGGTGCTATGCACATGACCTCTTCCCCATTCTCAAACCAGCCGGTTAGAAACCAGCTTGCGATCAGTCTCCTTCTGCCCTCCTCCTCCTAAGAGGCAAAGGTGCCCTGAGGAGGAATTCAGGCTGTGGGTTAAGCAGCTCTGACTCTGAATTCAGCTCTGCCACTTACTAGCAATGTGACCTGGGGCCAGGTCTTCCTGAGCCTGAGTTTCCCCACCTGTAAAATGACACCTTGCTACAGGGATTCTTGAAAGGAGTAGAGCAGAGGAGTGAAGCGTTCTGCAGTGTCCACCATGTGATTAGTACTGGTGTTAGTTTCAATTGTCAGTTTCTAGAGGACGGGAACTATACCTGCTCTGATTTTATCACCTAGCATGTCTGTAAAATATAAGAGAATTATATCTCCAGGCCATTAGATTTCCAACCACCCAGATTGTACACATTCCTAGCACAGCCAATCATGTCAGCTTATGCTGAATAATCTTTACCAACTCAAAGTGGAAGTGCAAAGATTCCATAAAGAAGTTCAATTCCATCTGGTTTGAGTTGGTGTTTTAAAAAAAAAAAAATTCAATTCCAAGGCTCAAACCAACTCACATCTCCTTTTTTACTAAGTTTAATTCTGAACTTCATCGTGGGATTTAACCAGGTTCCTAATCATGCTGCAATGGCCCTAATTCCTTATGAGTGAGATTGTATCGGATTCCATGGGGCATGAGAATGAAACCTTGGCATTCCACAGTTTGACTGCTGGTACAAGTTTAGCATCCCAAATGTGAAAATCCAAAATCCAAAATGCTCCAAAACCTGAAACTTTTTGAGCACTGACATGACACTCAAAGAAAATGCTCATTGGAGCATTTTGAATTTTAGATTTTCAGATTTGGAATGCTCAATCTGTAAGTAAGTATATTCCAAAACCTAAAAAAAATCTGTCCAAAACACCTCTGGTCCCAAGCATTCAGGATAAGGGGTACTCAACCTGTAATAAAATGACATTTCCTCCTTCAAACCTAAAAAAAGGAAGGAGTGCCAGGTGTGGTGGCTCACACCTGTAATCCCAGCACTTTGGGAGGCAGAGGTGGGAGGATCGCTTGAGCCCAGACATTTGGGGGCAGCCTGGGCAACATAGCAAGACCCTCGTTTCTACACAAAATTTAAGGAGTTAAAAAAAAAAGAAAGGCCGGGCGCGGTGGTTCATGCCTGTAATCCCAGCACTTTGGGAGGCCGAGGCGGGTGGATCACGAGGTCAGGAGATCAAGACCATCCTGGCTAACACGGTGAAACCCCATCTCTACTAAAAATACAAAAAAAAAAAAAAAATTAGCCAGGCGTGGTGGCGGGTGCCTGTAGTTCCAGGCTGAGACAGGAGAATGACATGAACCCGGGAGGTGGAGCTTGCAGTGAGACGAGATCACACCACTGCACTCCAGCCTGGGTGACAGAGTGAGACTCCATCTCAAAAAAAAAAAAGAAGAAGGAAGCGGTGGGGAGGGACTAGATTTTCCAACTAGTAGATGAGGATTTCCTAATAAATTTGGGAGCTAGTAGCTTTTCAAGCTGCTTAACTATTACCATGTCTTACTTACAAAATTATTTTCTCCATGGTTCACCAGATTCTCAGAGAGGAGAATGATGTCGCTGCCAAGGGACCCTTTCCACTCAGGTTCGTTAATACACTCACCCTTCAAGGACTCATCCAAAACACTCCTCTCCCCTAATGATCTGAAGATTCTAGAAAAATGAAAAGCGTCTCCTACCAAACAATTAGCATTCGTCCAGGCTAAAGGAGTTTAAAGTAAACATTCAAAGGGCCAACTGAGACTCTGGAAAAGACTCAGCTCACAGCTGAAGAGAATCTGATGGCACGGGCAGCATTGCGTGGCGTAGAGAGTACGTGTTCGGAAACCAGAGAGATCTGAGCAGAAATCCCACACGGGACCAAGAGGCTGTATGGCTGGGCCTGGGCCACTCACTGAGATGCTGCGAGTCTCACTTTTCTCATCTGCAAAATAGTGATAAGGCTACTTCTGCAGGGCTGCTGTGAAGATAAGAGGGGAAAAATATGTCCAGCCCCAAGAGCAATGCCTTGCACACTGCATGTGGCTGAGCAAAGGGGTGAAGAATATCCAATAGTATAGACTTGCCCATTTATGAACTAAGACCAAGTAATTCTGCCCCTCCTCCTTACATGGATAACTGATCTACCTTTAGAAGGCCTACAAACAGGCCGGGCATGGGGGCTCACGCCTGTAATTCCAGCACTTTGGGAGGCCGAGGCGGGAGAACTGCTTGGGCCCAGGAGTTTGAGACTAGCCTAGGCCATGTGGAGAGACCCTATCTCTATTTTGTTTAATTAAAAAGAAAAAAAGAAGGCCTACAAACAATAAAAATGATCAAACCGACAGATAAGCAGCAAAACAGAAGATGACATAAGAAAACGAAACTTCACCGGGCACAGTGGCTCATGCCTGTAATCCTAGCACTTTGGGAGGCCGAGGCGGGCAGATCACAGGTCAGGAGATAGAGATCATCCTGGCTAACACAGTGAAACCCATCTCTACTAAAAACACAAAAAAATTAGCCGGGTGTGGTGGCACCTGCCTGTAGTCCCAGCTACTTGGGAGGCTGAGGCAGGATAATCCCTTGAACCTGGGAGGCGGAGGTTGCAGTGAGCCGAGATCATGCCACTGCACTCCAGCCTGTCGACAGAGCGAGACTCCGTCTCAAAAAAAAAAAAAAAAGAAAACAAAACTTCATAACTCCTGCAGTGGTGGACACCTGTAGTCCCAACTACTTGGAAGACTGAGGCAGGAGGCTCACTTGAGCTCAGGAGTTCAAGACCAGCCTAGGCAACAGAGTGAGACTCGGTCTCAAAAAAAAAAAAAAAAAAAACTCTCAAAAAACAAACTTCATAATTCCTGGACAAATCCAATAGGTGATCATTCAGAAGTATACCTATGACTTAAGAAGTTCCTAAGTTATGACTTCATGTTGTTGCAAAAAGAAATAAAGAAAAAGGAAAAACAGAAAAAAAAGTTCTTAAGTATCAACTGGTTCTTCAAAACCAAATTAATATTTTGGATCCTTGTGGGCGAGGCAGAAGAGGGTGGGGGGCGAGATACACAAGTATTGAAATCTATAATGGCACTTTTCTATCACATAGGAGATGAGGATTACTTCAAAAGTACTTATAAAATATGCACCGTTTTTAAAATTAACAAAAGAAATAAGGTTCTATATTATAACTATTAATAAACATAGTGGGTGCTTCAAAATATTGGTTAGTTGCTGATATGGAGCCAAAATGTTCTAATGTCTCTTATGTAAACCCTACAACTCTTTTATTATCCTAGAATTGTTTTTCTAATTACATAAGACAATATATGCTCAGTGAAAAAAAATGTTTGGGGGGCCAGGCACACTAGATCATGCCTGTAATCCCAGCTACCAGGGAGGCTGAGGCGGGAGGATCACTTGATCCCAGGATTTCAAGGCTGCAGTGAACTATGATGGCACCACCGTACACCAGCCTGAGCGACAGAGCAACACTCCATCTCTTAAAAAAACAAAAGAAACAAAACGTTTAAAGTTTGGAAAGAAAAAGGCACCAAGAAAAAAAATAATTCATATAGATAGCTAAACAGACAGATAATATATGGCCCACCCCCGGAAGCTTCTTATTAATTCTGTAATATGCTAAATACATAAAGTATAAAACTTTGCTTTTCCACTTTTACTTTCAGAACTCATTTTCGGAAATAATCCTCAGTGTTTTCTCACACAGAAGTTGATCTTTTCCTATCAACCAAAATGATGAAGTATTATAACTATGCCTTCAAATCAAAGTCTGTAACACAAATAAGACTCCAAATCTACTTCTGCTAGCGTTTCTGAATCTTTCCACTTTTAACCTAGACTACAAATAATTTAAAGTTTCACATATTGTTCCACGACCTCAAATCTAGGACCTGTCAGACTTTATTTGCCACAGGAAAGGTCAGTGAAAGAAAAGATTAGTTCAATACTTCTTTCAGCCCCACGACTGGCACTGTGCTGCCTCTTCTTAAAAAACAATGCCCTTTGTCCCCCAGCGCCCTTAGTGAGCTAGCCTCATTGTACACTGGGTCCTTAGTATTTTCCTAACAAAGGCACGTCTAATGAGATATGGAGGTTCAGAGGGGATTCCCTCCACTCCAAGTAGGTGTCAGACTGACGAACGTCTTAGAAAAATATGTCCGGTCTGTGTCCAGTCACCGTTCGGATGCATTGAATAAGCATCTTATTCGTGGCAGCCTTCTGCATGAATGGCTAGACATCTTGAGGATGCCTGTGTACTACTGTGTGCCAGGCAAGGTGCTCATGTTCAAGGCAAGCCTTAAAAAAAAAATTAGGATTTCAATGTACATTTACCAAAGCTCTGGCGAGGTTAGGTGCCTTGTTCAAGGTGTCACAGTTGGAAATGCTGTCCCAGCCAGGTGTGTGAGATCCACAGTCCCATCAGCTCATCCTGTGGTCACAACCTATTCACGGTTTGCATCAGAAACGTGGGAGGCTGTTCCTGGGTCTTACAAGTTCCCCAGATATCTCTAGAAAACGCTAGCCCAGGCTGCCCCACGGGGGGTCCCGCTGCTAAGGAGAAGTGGGCACAGAGGGACCAAGGACCATGGGCTTTCCTCAGCAGGGAGGGAACTGCAGGGCAGATGTCCATGGTGGTGATGATGAAGATGCCTTCCTTACTATCCTCTATGGCAGGCCCATAACATACCTTCCCTCGCGTAATCTTCTCAACAGCCTGGTTATTGCAGGTGACAATAACCAAGGCTCTGGGAAATTCCAGCCACTGCTCCAAGCCACCCAGCCGACCGATGGGACTTGAACCTGCGCCTCCTGGATCCGGGCGCCCTCCCCGCGGCCTCCCGAGCCCTGAGTGCTGCCCTCAGCCCTCCCTTCTCCGCGACGCCCCTCGCCCGGTTGCTCGCAGCACCCCCAAGGCCGCTCCCCGAATCCCCCGGGCGCGAGGGCCCGGGCGCCAGCTGCCCGCTCTGCCCACGCCTTCTCAGGGATCCTGGCCCTGGCGGCCGCCGCGACAGACCCACTTACGCGGATCGCGGAGCAGGACGCCCGCGGCGCGCAGGGCCGCAGCCATGTTTGCGCCGAGTGAACGCATTGCCTGGGCAGCCTCGGCCCGAGTCCGGGCTCCTCCCGCGGCGGCGCGCCCAGGTGTCCGCCCAGCAGTGGCCGAGCCGGGTAGCGATCCCCACGCGCGTCCCCAGCCCCCTGACCTCGCGCCCTCCCGGCGCGCCCGCTCATTCGCTGCCGGGCCGGGGCGGGCGAGGCCAGGCAGAGACACGCCCCTCGCGGAGAGCCCGCCCCAGCTGGGCGCCGCTCCCTGCGTGAAAATGGGCCCGGGGGCTGAGCTAGAAGCCCGCTCCCCACCACCATCGCAGGTCACTGCAAAACCTGCTGGACTCCTAGTTGCGTGCCCTGTTTGCATCTGCCAAACTAGCGAAGTCAGGATCCTCAGCCATGACTCAGCAAATAACTTTTTTCGACGTTTCCATTACTATTATTTAGATATAAGGATGCTTTTGCCTCAGTTCTCCAGTTTGCCTGCCTAGTCACAACACAAGTGTGCAGATCCTGTTTTGTTTTGCTTTATTTTCAGAATAGAAAAAGGGATTATTCAGTTTCTCTGCACCCTCTCTGTGTAGCAGAATTTGACAGGTGAAACTCACTGAAGAGCATTAGGAAAAGTGAAGGCCAGCCTGGCAAGTGCATTTCTTGGAGGGACGGTATGATGAGGTTTGTCTGTATCATATCCGCGCACCTTCCCAGTTTAGCCGCCCGTCCCGCCCCCAAGGTCGCACACTGAGATCACTGGGAGGAACAGGCGCCCATTTCATTCCTACACCTCCGTCAGCCCACCCTGCCTATATATGTTCAGTGCATTGTGGAGTAGGAAACCAGCCCTTGGTACAGAAAGGTCTCAGGCATCGGTATTCATTGAACAAATATTGAGCACCTACTATGTGCACTGGGAAAACAGTAGTGAAAAGAGTAGACGGGGGCTTACATGGGGTTAGGGGAGACACAGAAAATAATCACAACATGTAATACTTTGAATGATGGAGCCCTTCCACGGCCTCCCCTCTTCTTTTTCCCTCTCAGGACAAAAGAAGAATGAAGCAAGGTAAAAGAGATGGGGTAGGGTGGGGGAAGGGACTAATGCAATTTGAAGCAGGTGGGTCAGAGTCTCACACATTCGAGCAAAGGCCTTATACACATTTGAGCAAAGGGGGCAAGCCATATGGAACATTCAGGGAAGATGGAGTCTAGATTCAGCTGAAACCCAGTTTTCTGTAGCTTAAATATGTGCTACTGATGGAATTAGTTTATTTCTTATTAAAGTTGGTCCTCCTGATGGTTATAAGCCCAATGCAAAATGTCAAATTAAATGGATAGCCTTTCATATTACCTACATGATCTTCATATCCAAGCGGATGTCCTGAGAAAAGCACAGTAAAACCTGCTCCAGGTATCAACCCACCTTCCTTATATGTGTGGCTATTCTCTACCCTCATAAAAAAATTATAGTCTTCTTAAGTTGCCCTGTAAAGAGGTGATCTTCATGGATAACATACTTCTCTACCTACAGTCTGAACCCATTTTTGTTGTTGTTGTTGTTATTTGTTTGTTTTGTATTTCCAGTAGATACAGAGTTTTGCCATGTTGGCCAGACTGGTCTCGAACTTCTGACCTCAAGTGGTCCACCCACCTCGGCCTCCCAAAGTGCTGGGATTACAGGCGTGAGTCACCATGCGCGGCCTGAGCCCATTTCTTCTAAAGAAACTAAATTGAAAGGCTGCACACCTCGCAATGCTGTGCTGGCAGACATGTAGACAAGGCCAGAGAATAAAATGGCCGGGGGGGTTAGACGTCTGAGCTATGAAGGCTCTTCTTGTCCCCTCTGGGAGGCCCTGGAGAAAGTCATCCCCTCCATCCAGGGTGCTGGGCCCTCCTGCTGGGTAGAGATAAGGGGGCTTCTGGTCCCTCCCAGGCAAACGCTGATGATTAGTGACAAGGCATAAAGGTGCCAAGTCTCACCAGTACAAAATCAATGGCTGGCGTGGGTTAAATTTCTGTCCAGAAATGATTATGGAACTAGCAAGACATACTTTATTAAATATTTTAATGAATCAGCATCATTTCATTTCTTTTATTCGCATCTTGCACTTTCATTTTTACTGACTTCTTTTTTTATTTTTTATTTTTTCATTAATTAATTAATTTTTTTTGTTTTTTTTTTTTTTAGAGGGAGTCTCACCCTGTTGCCCAGGCTGGAGTGCAATGGCACGATCTCGGCTCACTGCAACCTCCGCCTACTGGGTTCAAGTGATTCTCCTGCCTCAGTCTCCCGAGTAGCTGGGATTACAGGTGCTTTACTGACTTTTAAAAACTCATTCAAAATTCCTCATGTATAAAACCTCCTGGTGCACATATTAAGAACTCATGGGTTATAACTGAAAACAGAACTTCATTCTTTTTCCCCAACAGAGAGTACCATAACAATTGTTATTCCTAATCTATGGCTTATTTCTTACAAACATTGAATATAACAGCTTTCCAATGAGTAAATTTTTATGTTCTTATGCAGTGAAAGCAGATAAAATGTGCTTTATGTTGGTCCTTTTCAAAACTGGTAGAAAACACAGTCCTTAATCCAGAAATTGTGAACTCTAAATACAGGCTTACCAGAAAAGCCCTTGAAAGGCTAAAGAAATTTGCGGAACCATATGATATACATAATATGAATTTTTTCTGACTTAACATATTTTTAACAAAATGACACACCAATTCCATTAGCAAACAGAAGGCTAAAAAGGCACAGTGTGTGGGCTAACGGAGATAAGGAGCACCCCAACCAGGAGGGAGAGGGTTTGTCTGGGGCCTGGTGAGTTCATTAGTGAATAAAGCACTCACCTGTCACAGACACCACTCTGAGTGCAGCCTGTGATCCTAAATAAAATGAATTTGTTGGTTTCAGCTCAGTGCTTCAGGGAAAGGGGTGGGAAATCTCTTCATTCATTATTTGCCATGATTGGCACCTCTGAGCTACACAAACTAAATTTAGATTATTCAACTCTGATTCCTTAATCAGAAAAATAACTGGGGAAGGGAGGAATCAGGAGGCATTCAGGGCAAGAGAAACAGTGGCTGCATGTAACAAATGGTAAGCTATAATGATTACTCAGAGAAATCTGATCAATTGTCCCTAGAATCATTTTACAACAAAGAGGCCACCAAATCCAGGCCAACATGCCATGCGTTTTGACTTGCCCCTCTTCACCACGCAGAGCCTTCAGCCCAATGGTGGTGACGGGTTTATTAATCCATCTGCCCATATTTCCTGACCATCTACCATGAGCAAAACATTAGGTCATGTAGAGGATAAAAGAGTGAAAAGGAAAACAAACAACATTCTCAAACAGCTCATTCGCTTATGAAACAAGCGTATGGGAGACTCCAGTCTATGTCAGGCACATGGCAGGCACTGGGTGTGCAGCAATGAACCGGACAGTCCCTAATTTCACGGAACGTACCTTCTAGAAGGCAAGGCAGACAATCGTTTTACAACAAAGATGAAAGACATACAACATATTGTCAGGTATGGCTAGGGACCAGAAGAAAGCTAAAGGAGGTGGAGGAAGGGAGAGAGGCCGCAACTGCCCAGGTCAGTAGTGCAGTCAGGACCAGCCTCTCTGCAAAGGTGGCATTTCAGCAGTGACCTGAAGGGAGTGAGGGCGTTGTCCGGGGAAGGGCTTGCAAGCAGAGAGGCCAGCAAGCGCTGGAACACATTTGAGGCTTGTATTCATTTCCTAGGGCTGCTGGAACAAAATACCACAAACCAGGCAGGCAAATGTGTTGTCGTCCAGTTTTGAAGGCTAGAAATGCAAAATCAGGGTGTCAGCAGGGCTGTGCTCCCTCTGAAACCTGTAAGGGAGAATCCTTCCTTGCCTTTTTTAGCTCATGGCGGTGGCAACAATCCTTGGCGTTCCTCAGCTTGTAGATGCAGCACTCCATCCTCTGCCTCCACAGTCACAGCCTGTCTTCTCCTCTTGGAAGGACGCCAGTCATTTTGGATTAAAGGCCTACTCTAATAACCTCATCTTAACCTGACTGCGTCTGCAAAGACCCTGTTTCCAAATAAGTTCATGTTTACAGGTACCTGGGGGCTAGGATGTCAACATGTCTGTTGGGGGAACACAACTCAGCCCCATAACAAGGCTGTCAAAGAACAGCAGGGAGGCCACATGGCTTGAGTAGGGGGGCGGCGAGAGGTAGGGGAACCAGGGCGGATTGATGTAGAACTTTGTAGGTAATGAAAAACTGTGTCTTCTGAGTGACCTCCATTCTTCACTTATACTGCATGACTAAATGTGCCCATTGTGGCTGGGTGCCGTGGCTCACGCCTGTAATCCCAGCACTTTGGGAGGCTGAGGCGGGCAGATCACCTGAGGTCGGGAGTTTGAGGCCAGCCTGAGCAACACAGAGAAACCCGTCTCTACTAAAAATACAAAATTAGCCGGGCATGGTGGCACATGCCTGTAAACCAGCTACTGAGGAGGCTGAGACAGGAGAATCGCTTGAACCTGGGAGGCGGAGGTTGTGGTAGGCCAAGATTGCACTGTTGCACTGCAGCCTGGGCGACATGAGCGAAACTCCATCTAAAAAAAAAAAAGTGCCCATTGTGATTTTTTTTTTTTTTTTTTTTAGCTCATTCATACTGGGTGTTTTTTCCAGGGTTCTCTGCTTCCTGGGTGGTGGAAGGGTCCCTAAGAGGCCTTTCTGATTTGCTTCTTCCAGGACCCAGGGGTCCCACCAGTCTTAGACCAAGTTTGTGTGAATATCTCAACTTGGTTGTCCTGTTCCCTGCAGTTGTATAAATTCACAGCCAGGGAGTAGGCATTCCCCAGAGCCCTGGGAAGATGGCAGGCTTCCTTGTGCTTCTCTGGGCTAGAGAGCCAATTTTCTGGATTACTTTTCACAGAAGTGCCGGGCCTCTGCGGCCCTGCTTCATGGAGGGGTCTGGTTCTAGCTCCACCTTCCTATGGCTGCATGGGCATTCTAGGAGCTGGGCACATGATGTGTTCACTGTGAAAACTCATGGAGTTGCATGCTTATGATGTATGCCTTTTTCTGTATAAATGTTATACTTTAATGAAACTTTTTTTTTTAAGGGGCCCCTTGGTGCCTTTATCTGGCTGGGCACTGGCTGGGCTCAATTCTCCCTGGAGCCCCCATTCCTAACCTAACAGCTCTGACTTTGAGATTCTCTCTAGCCCCTCCCCTCCAATTCTGATACCCAGAGATGTTCCTTTCTCACCTAGGATTTTGAGGGCAAATAGATGTATCTAGTAAATCTGTTTATAATGCGGTAACAAGAGGTGAGCAGAAGTTTCCCTGATAAAAGTGAGAGAGGGTTTCAGGCTAAGAAGATGAAGGAATGCTTTCCATCGAGGAGGTGTCTGAACTTACAATAAGAGGACTGAGATAGGCTGAATGTGCAGAGACAGCAAGAAGGTGGAAGAGCACATGAGAACCAGGAGCAAGACCTTCACTTGGCCATAGCACAGGGTATGGCGAGGACTAGGAGAAAAGGCTGGGGTCCCAGCCCGAATGCACTGAGGGCTTGGCCCTTCATAGGCCAGCAGAGGCATCAAGAGCCATGACAGTCAGGGAGGTGAGCAGCTGCTGTGGCAGAGAATACTGAGCAAACAGGGTGTGGGTCATAGGACGTAATAGGGGCCAGGCAAGGAGACCAAGCTGGACAGAGTGGCCACAGGTGAGGATTGAGGTGTGGAGCAGAGTGGCAATGGAAGTGAAGATGGCAGGGGAGCAAATGGTATGGAGAAGGCCAGGCCCAGTGGCTCACACCTGTAATCCTAGCACTTTGGAGGCTGAGGCGGGAGGATTACTTGAGCCCAGGAATTTAAGACCAGCTTGGGCAACATGGCAAAACCCCATCTCTACAAAAAATACAAAGATTAGCTGGGCATGGTGGTGTGCACCTGTAGTCCCAGCTACTCAGGAGGCTGAGGCAGGAGGATTGCTTAAGCCAGGGAGGCCAAGGCTGCAATGAGCAGTGATCACGCCACTTGCACTCCAGCCTGAGCAGCAGAGTGGGACCCTGTTTCAAAAAATATATTTAAAATTTTTTAATTAAAAATTTAATTTTTTTAAAAAAAGATATGGAGAAGTCGAGAGGACAGGCACAGGTTATGGCATCTTAAAGATAAGAAGCAGGCTGGAATCAAGTAACTCCAAGGTTTCTGGTCTTCATGAGGCCGAAAAAGAGAAGCACATTAGTTAGCAGCAGAGCTGGTCTGAGACAAAGCTGGGGGCTCTTTGTCATTGCTGTTCTCATTGTTTTGTTTCTAACCACATATATTTTATGCTGCAGGAAGTAGAAAAGACAAAGAGGTACAGCTAATTTTTTTTTTTTTTTTTAGACAGAGTTTCACTCTTGTTGCCCAGGCTGGAGGGCAATGGCACCATCTCGGCTCACTGCAACCTCCGCCTCCCAGGTTCAAGCAATTCTCCTACCTCAGCCTCCCGAGTAGCTGGGATTACAGGTGCCTCCCATCACACCCAGCTAATTTTTTGTATTTTTAATAGAGACAGGGTTTCACCACATTGGTCAGGCTGGTCTCAAACTCCTGACCTCAAGTGATCCACCCGCCTCAGCCTCCCAAAGTGCTGGGATTACAGACATGAACCACACTGTGCCTGGCCAAATTTTTTTAAAAAGTTTTAGTGGTCATTGATATAGCAATAGTGATTGAACCTAGCCATTCATTCATCATTTTTTCAGAGCCTGCTATGTGCCTTGCATAGCCCACCGCTGCCCACAAGCAGCTTATACACCAGCAGAGAAGCAGCTATCTAAACAAAGAGAAATAAAAGGTACAGAGGTCTGTTCTGGGTTCCATACAGCAGCGGGAGGCAAGGGGCAGGGCTGTCAGGACAGCCCCCAGGCAGAGGCTGCTGGTGCCCCGTATCATTTCCAGGAAGACGGGGCGGCTGCTGGGGGACAGGCCTTGCAGGTCAGGAGGGCAGCAAGCCCTGTGACAGCAAGATGGGTTCTGCAGCTGCTGGTTGGTCAGTGAGAAGGGACGATCTGAAGGATTTAGCGAGGTGAGTACTGAGTCCTGGAGGTGGGCAGGGGCCGGCTCACAGGGAGCCTGGTGAGCCAGGGTCAAGGTCTGGGCTGGGTCCTGTATGCCACAGACTAGAGTAGCTGCAACAAGGAAAGTTAAGACAGGCTTCTGGGTCACACTCACATTTAGCCCGCAGGAAAAGGAGTCACAATAACTGTAATGGCTTCCATTTATTAAGTGCCAGACATGGAATCGCTGCAACTGGCTTATAAAGAGGAGGTACCACCCTGTTTTACAGATGAGGAAAACAGAGTCACAGAGGTCCCCTGACTTGCCTGAATCCAGTTAGCAAGGGGCAGAGCCAGTATTTGGACCCAGGTATGTTTGGCTCCCAAGCCAGGGCTGGCTCCATACCTTCAGGGTGCATCTCACAAGAGAAAAAGGTGACAGAAAGCAGGGGTCAGGCCAGGCATGGTGGCTCACACCTGTAATCCCAGCACTTTGAGAGGCCGAGGCACACACCTGTAATCCCAGCCTTTGAGAGGCCGAGGCAGGCTTGAGGTCAGGAGTCCAAGACTAGCCTGGCCAATGTGGCAAAACCCCATTTCTACTAAAAATACAAAAATTAGCCTGGTGTGGTGGTGTATGCCTATAATCCCAGCTACTAGGGAGGCTGAGGCAGGAGAATCACTTGAACCCAGGAGGCAGAGGTTGTAGTGAGCCGAGATCACACCACTGCACTCCAGCCTGGGCAACAAAGCAAGACTCTGTCTCAAACAAAAAAAAGAAGGCAAGCAGGGGTCAGAGAGCGCCTATGGAGTTCTCACCACTCACCCAGGTGTTCCTGTCACCAATGTCACGGATTTGTTAGAGGCACTGAATTATGAATTCAAATTTGTGCGTGAACCTGAATGCACGAAGGAAATTCTTTTTTAACAGACATAGCCAGAGAATAATAGGTATCTACCCATTCCCATAACCCAGTTAAATTTCACTTATAACCTTTCAGAGTTACATACTGCTTTTTTCCCATTTACAGAGAATTCATCATTCTCCTTGCTATTTTTTCCTTCCTAATAGCTAATAACGGATCATTTCTTCCCTTTTGTTTATGCCCACTCCCTTTTGATTGGTCTTCAAATACAGAGTAATGACCTCTGGGTAAAGATGGGGCTTGAACACTAGGGTATAGTTTCACTCTCTCCCAAAAACCACACTGAAATGATGGTAGAGGTTTTGTTCATGACGGTGGTATTTTTTGTTTTTAAGCACAAACCTAAAAGAATGGGAAAAAAGAAAAAGGGAACCACCATGGAATTTTTAAAGTGGCAGCAGATGAATAAATACTTAATGTTTTAGCAGACCTGAGAAAACTGAATCCTAAGCTGGCCATCCGTATTAAACAAAAACCATCCAGATTACACTAGGGGGCTCAGGACTGGCAGTCGCAGGTACCACTGGAAGTAGGGATGAAAGGAGATGCTAGAATGAGATGGACGGAAAGTCTGTTAAAGCAGGCTGGGCACGATGGCTCACGCCTATAATCCTAGCACTTTGGGAGGCTGAGACAGGAGGATCCCTTGAGCCCAGGAGTTTGAGACCAGCCTGGGAAACACAGGGAGACCCTGTCTCAAAAAATAAATAAATAAATAAAATCAATAAAATAAAATTAAAAAAAGAGTCTGTTAAAGCAGCAGATTGCCTAGATTCCCACCCTGCAGTGGAGTGACTGCTCCCCCCAAACCCCTAAAGCTAACTAGATGTTTGGTTCCTGGAGAGGTAACAGAGGGCTATGGACTGCAGATCCCAAGCACAGCTGAGAGCAGGGCCACCACAGAAAACAGCTTAGTGAACTGTACTAACTGAAGGTGCAGAGACCCAGCCCTCTTCTTTTTCCCTCCACAGGAAACCCAACTAGCCTAAGAAGAAAGACCTAACAGACAATGGCATGGGCCTCCCCTGCTAATCCACCTAGGGCAGATAGCCTACAGTAAGGCTCACATCTATTCACATGCTTGGAGCATCCAATGGACATTTTAATCTCCTATCCTGAATTATCTCTGAATTTTCAGCAGATAACCAAGCAGCACCTGCCATCTCAAGAAAGCCTGTAACAGGAAAGCCAGAGACCAAACAAAGCAGGAAAAAAAAAAAAAAAAAAAAAAAAAAAAAAGCAACCCAACGTGGAGGAAACTGGAATGATACAGGAAGAAAACTAGAAAACTTAGATAAAAAACTAAAGACAGAACTTTCTGAAACCGGAATAAGAATTTTTTAAAATATATTTTTACTATGGTTAACAGAAATAAAATACTCAAAGGACTGGGGAAGAGTTGAGGAAAACGCCCCAAATTAGCAGCTTAATAAAAAAGATGGCCAGGCGCGGTGGCTCATGCCTGTATTCCCAGCACTTTGGGAGGCTGAGGCAGGTGGATCACTTGAGGTCAGGAGTTCAAGACCAGCCTGACGGACACGGTGAAACCCCATCTCTACTAAAAAATTATGAAAATTAGCTGGGCATGGTGCCATATGCCTGTAATCCCAGCTACTTGGGAGGCTGAGGCAGGAGAATTGCTTGAACCCGGAGGCAGAGGTTGCAGTGAGCTGAGATCACGCCATTGCACTGCACTCCAGCCTGGGCAACAACAGCAAAACTCTGTGTAAAAATAAAATAAAGTAAAATAAAATAAAATAAAAAGATAAGGGCCAGGTGTGGTGGCTCCACTATAATCCCAGCACTTTGGGAGGCCAAGCTGAGAGGATTGCTTCAAGCCTGGAATTCAAGACCTGCCTGGACAACATAGGGAGACCCCATCTCTACAGATAATTTTAAAAATTAGCTGAGTGAGCTGGCATGCACCTATAGTCCCAGCTACCCAGGAGGCTGAGGCAGGATCACTTGAGCCTGGGAGGTCGAGGCTGCAGTGAGCTATGATCATGCCACTACACTCCAGCTTCAGTGACAGAGTGATAACTTGTCTCAAAAAAAAAAAAAAAAAAAAAAAAGACAAGAAAATTGAAAAGAGGATTTCTAGTATCTAAATAGCAGTTGTAGAAAGAACAAAAAAACAGAGGGGAGACCTTCAATGAAACAATTTAAGAAATTTTTTCACAACTGAAGGGCATGACTTTCTGTATTGAAAGGGCCAATTAGAATGGATACTCTCAATAAATATCATCATGAAATATCAGACATTGAACTAAGCTTCCAGAATAGACAGGTCATATGTAAAGGACCATATATCAGAATGCTTAGGAATTCTCAATAACAACACCAGAAAACCAAACTTCAAAATTCTGAAGGAAAATGCTTTCTTTTTATTATTATTTTTAGAGACAGGGTCTCACACTGTCACCCAGGCTGGAGTGCAGTGACACAATCATGGCTCCCTACAGCCTCAAACTCCTCAGGGCAAAAGATCCTCCTGCCTCAGCCTCCCAAGTAGCTAGGATTACAGGTGTGTGCACCATCACACCCAACTAATATTTTAATTTTTTTGTAGCAACTGGGTCTCGCACCAGCCTTGCCAACATTGCAAAACCCCGTCTCTACTAAAAATACAAAAAATTAGCCAGGCGTGGTGGCTCCTGGCTGTAGTTCCAGCTACTTGGGAGGCTGAGACATGAGAATCACTTGAACCTGGGAGGCACAGGTTGCAGTGAGCCAAGATGGCGCCACTGCACTCCAGCCCGGGTGACAGAGTGAAACTCCATCTCAAAAAAAAAAAAAAAAGGCGGTCTCAAACACCTGGCCTCAAGCAATCCTCCCACCTTAGCCTCCCAAAGTGCTGGGATTATGGGCATGAGTCATCGCACCCAGCTGGAAAATGCTTTCTAACCCACAATTCTTTATGGAGAGTATGTGAAGATAGATTTAAAACATTTTTAGACAAGCAAGGTCTCAATGAATTTACCTTCCATGAACCCTTTCTCAAAAAACTACTGGACAGCCAGGTGCAGTGGCTCAGGCCTATAACCCCAGCACTTTGGGAGGCCGAGGCAGGCGGATCATCTGAGGTCAGGAGTTTGAGACCAGCCTGGGCAACATGGTGAAGCCCCGTCTCCACTAAAAACACAAATAATCTGGGCGTGGTGGCAGACGCCTGTAATCCCAGCTGCTTGGGAGGGTGAGGCAGAAGAATCGTTTGAACCCAGTTGGTGGAGGCTGCAGTGAGCCAAAATCATGCCACTGCACTCCAGCCTGGGCAACAGAGTGAGGCCTCAACTCAAAAAAAAAAAAAAAAAAAAAAAAAAAAACTGCTGGAGGATGTGCTCAACCAAAATGAGGATGTAAACTGAAAAAATCAGGAAACATAGAAAACAGGAAACAGGATGTCCAGTACAAAAAAAAAAGGTAAAGGGAACACACAGGATGGTAATGAAAGATCCCAAGATGACAACTATGTTCCTCGAGGGCAACTCGTTCAGATTAAAGCAGGCAAAGGCTCCAGAAGATGGGAAGAAGTAACTGATAGACAACCCAATATATCCAAACATCTTTTGTGATTGAATTATTAAAGAAAAAATAAGACAAATTTAGTATAGGGAAAATAAAAAGTTGGGCAGAAAGAGAAAACAACTATTGTGAACTATGCAGCCAACCAAAATTATAATTGAACTAAGTTGGAAATATGGCGACATGGTTTGAACGTTTGTCCCCTCCAGATCTCATGTTGAAATGCAATCTCCAGTGTTGGAGGGGGTGCCTGGTGGGAGGTGGTGGTCATGGGGAGGAATGGCTTGGTGCTCTTCATGAAGTGATACATGAGTTCTTGCACTGAGTTCACAGCAGATATGGTTGCTTAAAGGAGTGTGGCACCTCCCCCATCTCTTGCTCCCTCTCATCATGGGATATGCTGGCTTCCCCTTTGCCTTCTGTCATGATTGGAAGTTTCCTGAGGCCTCACCAGAAGCAGATAGCAACACCATGCTTCCTGTACAGTCTGCAGAACGGTAAGCCAAAATAAACCACTTTTCTTTGTAAATTACCCAGCTGCAGGTATTTTTTTATAGCAACCCCAAAACAGCTTAATACACTTGGGGAGATGAGAAGGGTGAACACGAATGGTGGGGATAGGAAAAGGAAGAAATGAAATCCTTATATGCCAGAGAAGGGCAATAAATAACGCCTAAAACTGAAAAATCAATAAAGTAATATAAGCATGTTATTTAGCAATTTGGAGGTAAATACTGAAAAAAAGCTAAAACTTTTGAACACCTTCATTTCTGTAAGTTGGGGTACTAAGACAAGTTTTATCCAATACAAACTTGATTTTGACTGTAGAAACTAGTCTTTGTCCCACAAACAAAGTTTATCAATATCTCTTCAAAGATGTTCTTCACCTGATCATCACATTGGTTATGATCCATAAGGCAGAAGGAAACTTTTCAGCATAAGAAACTGAGTCATTAACCAGCAATTTCCAAATACTAGAAATTGCAGTATTTGTATATCATGACATCCCTTTTTTCCCAGAAGGGCTGGATGAAATATACTTATTCTATGGCAATTCAAAATTCAAGCTTTGAAGTTTCTCAGCCCTCAGTGTTCCCATTTCAACTACAGAGATTAATACAAAATCAATAGAGAACCTACAGCAATAATAAGAGAGGCTTAAGGTTGAGTTTAGAAGTAGGAGGAAGCCACCTGGCGACTGTCAACCTCACTGTGCAACAACCTCCCCTGGGGAGCTTTTAAAAAATACCCTGGTCCCATTTCTGAAATTCAGATTCAACTGGCCTGGGGTAAGGCCCAAACACCATTATTTTTAAGGTCCCCAAATGATCCCACTGTGCTGCCAAGATTGCTTTTCACAGAGTTGAACTACTCTACGTATTAAGGACAACATTTTTAGGAACCATTACGAGGCAGCAAGGTGGCAGGGGCTGAACGGCAAGGTGGGAAACTGGGTCGCTTGAAATGGCTGAAGGACATTTAAGAGGGCAAGTTGATATTTAAGCAATTGAATTAGCCTCCTGTTTGTCTCCAAAACTGAGCAGGTCACACAAGTGCCAAAGGTGGAGGGGTTTTTGGTATGAAAAGCAGAGAGTTTCAGGGAGGAGAAAGTCACGTGATGGAAGTCCTGAGAGGGCAGGGGTGTTTGTGAGCTAGCCATGGGAATGCGGGATGGCATCTGTGACACCTGAATTAGGGTAGTAACTACACAGCGAAGGGAGTGAAGTCCACACGCGTGAGGTTTGCTGCTCACCGTGCTCAGTCTCTCGGCCTGAGGTCACCACCTTAACTCCCTTATCCATATCCTGGCTCTCCTTTAATATTTTAAAACTTTGACCTGTTTACACCATTAAAATTAAGGCTAACTGAGCCTAACCTCTTCACTTTAATTCTGATAAAATGAATTGCTTAGTTGAAGTCATCTACAGCTCATTCACACTCTTCCAAGTATTTTTTATTTAAAGATGCAGGCTGAATAGATTATAAATGCATCATTTCTTCCTTTGTTTTTTTTTTTTTTTTTGAGACAGTCTCGCTCTATAGCCCAGGCTGGAGTGCAATGGTGCAATCTTGGCTCACTGCAACCTCTGCCTCCGGGGTTCAAGCAATTCTCTTGCCTCAGCCTCCTGGGTAGCTGGGATTACAGGCACCTGCCATCATGCCTGGCTAACTTTTTTATTTTTGTAGAGATGGGGTTTTACCATGTTGCTCAGGCTGGTCTTGAACTCCTGACTTCAGATGATCTGCCCGCCTTGGTCTCCCAAAGTGGAGGGATTACAGGTGTGAGCCACTGCACCCAGCCTAAATGCCTCATTTTGACCTGTCATTTCACTTAATTGCAAAACAGGATAAAATCTAATGTGTCCAACAGTAACACAAAAAAGATTACAAAAAAGATTTAACCATGACCCACATATCTAACGTTAAAAAATCATTCGTTCTCATTACCATATAACGTTAGCAATATCTACTAAATTTAGTAGTACTTAATTTCACATATATACATCATAAAAAAGATAAAATAATTGCAAAAGCATGAACGAATGTGACAAAGAGATGTTTAGCTTTAAGAAAATTAAGCCAGCAAAGAGTTTTTACGGGTGTTCATTTATTGACTGCTGGGAATACAGCCTATTGAGAATACATGACATGCATTTGGTGGAGAAATCAACTAAATCTGAAATGAAGCCATTCAGTAAGCCTGCTGTGAGTTAATAAGGTAGCACAGATTAGATCTAAGGACATGGTGGGGGCAACTCAAACAGCCACTCACAATTGTTATTAAGATTCCAGCTACAATTTCTTTTGGAACTTATTTATTCTTAATTACTTAGGAATTACCAGGAAAGAGGGAAAATCAATCTGCCTCTTTACCTTAAATTAATGCTAAGAGGGATACTGTGAATCACTAAAAAACTCTCCCCAAAATTATGTTCTTACTTCAAATCCTTTAAGGCAATTCTATTTTTACAAATTCTTCAATTTCTATGCCTCAGGATTATTAGCAGCTAAGCAGAGTTAGAAAAGATTAATAACTGATACAAAAGGCTATTCATTTGATTCTAGTGTTTACTGCTGAATTATACTGTGTTCTAATATGAGCAGATTTTTATACGATATTGCCAATTTCTTCCCCCAAGATTTTTGTTTTAATTCATTGATGCAATAAAATAAATCAAAGAATTCAAGGTACACTTAAAAGGACAGAAAGATAAGTTACTGGAGTATCTTACACCATAATCTAAAATTGTTGAATTATACATACATATAACTTGAATAAAATGAATAACTTGGATAAAGTGAGTAAAATGCTGAAATGTATCCCTAACTACAGTTTCATGCCAGGTATTTTCCCCGAACTTTGTTTCCCGAACTTAAGAAAAAAATGGATATTTTTTCTTAAGATGACAACCTTAATATCACTTGATGTTCAGGTGATTTGAGATAGTTTTTATGGTAGTAGAAAGAAAAACAGAAAGAGAAACCCCAATGAAACAAAAAAAGGAAGATTCTGGCTTTTTGTTTTCTTTTTTAAAGAGCCTGTTCCTTTCATAATCTTTCCTCCACGCTTCTGGAGAAAATGGTTATGGCGTGCAACGCTGGACAAATCGAGGGTATAAGCACACGTCTCGGATGTGATACCTATTCAGAATCCACGTTAAGAATCGTTCCAAGCCCAAGCCATATCCTCCATGGGGACATGTACCGTATTTTCTCTGTTTAAAAAAAGAAAGAAAGAAAGAGGAGTAAATACTTAAGTTAAAACTTTCATCTAAGACAGTTAAAATTTTCCACCATGAAAGGAGTTAGCTCACTGTGGTTAAGAATTCAACTATGGCCAGATTCAGTGGCTCGTGCCTGTAATCCCAGCACTTAATCTCTATGCCTTCATGAACCATGCATAAAGAAATAATTTGGTATGAAAAAATCAACCAGGGAATAAGTACTACCCTGGAAAGAAGAGATTTTTAAAAACTTTTAAAATAAGTCAATGTCTATTTATAAGAGGAAAATGAAGAAGGGTACTAGATACTGGTAGGATCAATTTTTTAAAACTCAGTTGCAATCAACAAGCCGGCCGTTAAACAGGTTTTCAAATGAAATTAACATATAACTTGGCCAAAACAAAGCTGGCAATATTCACACACCACATTATAACCTGCAAACTGAATATAGCTCATTCAAATACCAAAGTACTACCCTGAATTCTCCCCTTTTAAAAATTTCAATATATACAGAACGATTACAGTGGAAAAAAATGTTGAGTACTTAAAAAATTGGTTTTACCTGATCCGTATACCAGTAATAGGGAGTGGGGTCAATCCCTTCCCTTTTATAACCTGCCAGTATTTCTTCACTATCAAAGATACGCATTGAGCCTCCCACAATCTCACCAACATTGGGCATCAACACGTCGACCTTTAAATATAAGTGAAAGAAGATACACAATTACTATCAAGCGATCAGACACAGCACTGCCCTAGAGTTTAAATGAAAATTACAATTAAGCTCCAAGGGCTAAAGGAGCCACTATGATCATGTAATATTCAAATGTTTACATTTCTCTAATTTAACAAAGCATGTCAACTTCAATCAGGGGAGGGTGAAAAAACCCAACGTCTTTAAATATTGTTATTCTAGATAGAGAATGAAATATTTGGCATGAGCTGTACCTGATTCCAGATGACAGTCCCCACCCCCTTAAAAAGCAAAATTATTAATACTCTTTGAAACAGAAACTGACAGATTCAGTAAGACGGGAATCCTCAGGACATCGCTGCATGTAGAAGGACTTGATCTCCACAGGAAATCGACACAGCAAGATTGGTTCATTAATGGTGTCTGTCATCAGTCTCTCAGGAGCTTCTGGGATATCCTGAGGTCAAACAAGACTTCATTAACATTTACAACTTGGATCGCAACAAGACAGAAGCAGCTCCTTCACCCTGTACCAGTCCTTCCTCCTATCAATTCAACAGAGTAGAGGATACACACCTACCCTTAACCCATACACATTTGTGTAAAGAATAATTTCTTTCAAAAAGAAATAAACATATTCTTAAAACTCAGTTATTTAATGAAGCATAAAAGATCTGTCTCCCTTTACAGCATATCTCAAGCACCATGCTGTTTGATGAAGGAAAATAAAAAAAAAAACAAAAACAAAAGCCAGCCCCAAGCTGTGACTAGACACAGCTCAGTATTTTTCTCAGTGGCCCGTTTTGTCTAGCTCTGAAGCAAATGAGGTCCACTTAGTCCCGTAAGGCATACGGTAATCATGAATGCTCCAGAACATCATTGATCTACACACAGAGTATATTACTAATGACACTTATCTTTAAACTCTCCTGTTATCTACCCTTCTTTCCTGTTGTAATCAATCAGTTATGCCTTCGATGACAGACACAATCATAAGACAAATAACCAATGTCAAACTGGTAAGTGTAAGCACACCTGGAATAGTTACCCAAACAATGTTAGATGATGACTTAAGCGCATCAGTTTCTCTCTCAAAACATCCTTCTATACCACACATAAATTAAAGTTAACACAGAAGTTAAAACTGACAACTCTCGTCCCAGTAAAAATGGATTGAGAGAACTGGAGAAGACTCATAGATTTGTTTAATGAAGAAGTGAAATGGAGGTAGCAATCACCTAGCACACCTGTTTTCAAGCTCCAGGCTCTGGAGCCCTTGCGTCCTCGGAGACGCCGAGAGGTAACAGGAGATGAGTGGGAGAGCTCTAGTCTCTCAGCTTGCATCTGCTTTACACAGCGGGGTTCTGCATAAGATTTAGTTAGGGGAAAACAGGTCTTATTTCATACCCCCCAAAGCCTGAGGGTCATGTATCCACTCTAGTGTCCTCATGTGTGTGGAACAGTAGCAATGTATAGTAAATGCTGACAGGCTCCCCCTGCCATTGTCCTGCCTAGGCATTTAGCTCCGGTAGTCCCCACAATCTTGCAAAACAGATGTTACTTCCAAGGTAGAGATAAGGAACCTGAGAGGGGGTCACTGGTCTTCAGTTACACAGCACAAAAGAAAAGAGGTGGGAGCTAAGCCCACCTGGGGGGCCTTCTGACTCCACAGCTTGTGTTCTTTCCACTCAACTACACTATTTTACTAAGTATTAGGAACACTAAAAGTATGCAAGTTCTCAATACAAAATTTTGTCATTATACATCATAAACTGAATTCATAGGCTGGGCACAGTGTGGCTCATGCCTATAATCTCAACACTCGGGAGGCCGAGGTGAGAGGACTGCTCGAGGCCAGGAGTTTGAGACCAGCCCAGTCAACACAGCAATACCTCCATCTCTTTAAAAAAAAAAAACCAAAAAACCAAACTGAATTCACAGAAACAAGAGTGCTTTACATAGACCCAGTATATTGTTTCACCTATTAATTCCTTCTAAAACCCAAAACTAGTTAGCAGCATCTACACACATTTCAACTGTAAAACAATTAGATGTGCAAATATTATGTAAGTAATGGTTAAATGCACAGGAAAGAGGGCCTAGCATAGTCTTGGAAACTTGAGCCAGATGCAGTGGCTCACGCCTGTAATCCCAATACTTTGGAAAGCTGGGGTGGGAGGACTGCTTGAGCCAAGGAGTTTGAGACCAGCCCGGGCAACATAGGGAGACGCCATCTCTACAAATAATAAAAAATTAGCTGGGCATGGTGGCTCACACCTGTAATCCCAGCACTTTTGGAGGCTGATGTAGGAGGAACACTTGAACTCTGGAGTTCAAGGTTGTAGCCAGCTATGATCGCACCAATGCATTCCAGCCTGGACGACAGATGGAGATGCTGTCCCAAATAAAGAAAATTTGCAACCCAAGTGCATGCTGGGAGAGTGGTTCTCAGGCAAAACCGAAATGCTAAGTTTACCTGGGGCACTAGGCTACCTTCTCCAAGACCTTCTCTCTTGGTTTTGCATTTTTAACCAATGGCTATCTTCTTTCTCGCCTTCCACATTAAGAAGTTTTAAATCACTGTTTTGGGGGAGGGGATGAACCTCTTTTTAAAAGCACAAGATACATTCTCCAGAAAAAAAAAAAAAATATATATATATATATATATCTATATACCAACATTTTGCATGTGATTTCAAAGGCTTCACAACCTTCTAAAGCACTCCTACCAGCCTAGAGAATGATAAAGAGAGCTTATAAGCTGTGGCCAAGGAAGAACAATGAAGGAAGAGGGAAGAGGCAAAGCATGAGACATGAAGGCAGCTTAGAAACTCACACTTGGCCAGAAGCGGTGGCTCACGCCTATAATCCCAGCACTTTGGGAGGCTGAGGTGGGCAGATCACGAGGTCAAGAGATCGAGACCATCCTGGCCAACATGGTGAAACCCTGTCTCTACTAAAAATAAAAAAATTAGCTGGGCATGGTGGTGTGCGCCTGTAGTCCCAGCTACTCGGGAGGCTGAGGCAGGAGAATCGCTTGAATCCAGGAGGCGGAGGTTGCAGTGAGCCGAGATCTGAGATCATGCCACTGCACTCCGTAGGCGACAGAGCGAGACTCCGTCTCAAAAAAAAAAAAAAAAAAGAAAAAAAAAGAAACTCACTTACGCTTACTGGGTGGTACAGAACAGGCACTGTCCTAAGGCTGACTCTGTTAACTCAGCGAATCTGCAGGCAACCCAAGAAGCAGGTCCTGCTGTTACCATTTATTTGAGGACAGGCAGATGCCACCCATGTTACTAGTTCATTAACCAGAAGAAGAGAATTGGAGCCCAATCCCACCTTGGAAACAATGAGAGAAAGGGATACATACTTCTCCAAATTCATAGAAAGTTCCATCTTCTTTCTTTACATCATGTTCTTTTAGCCAAACGATAGCATCTGAATAGTTCATCCGTTTGAAAGGCCGTTTGGGGGGCTGAAAGTTCTACAGAAGAAAGGAAAAATATAATGTGTATATATACATAAATATAAACATTAACACTAAAATTTCCATTAAAAAACTATTATAAAGTATTACTTCAGTGAGGTGTGGTGGCTCATGCCTGTAATCCCAGCATTTTGGGAGGCTGAGGTGGGCAGATCACTTGAGGTCAGGAGTTTGGGACCAGCCTGGCCAACACGGTAAAACCCCATCTCTACTAAAAATACAACAATTAGCTGGGGGTGGTGGTGGGCTCCTGTAGTCCCAGCTACTCAGGAGGCTGAGGCAGAATCGCTTGAAGCTGGGAGGCAGAGGTTGCAGTGAGCAGAGATCGCGCCACTGTACTTCAGCCTGGCGACAGAGTGAGACTCTGTCTCAAAAAAAAAATATATATATATATATATATATATATAACTTCAGACTAGAAAACTATGTAGACATTCCTAAAATGGAAAACATGAGCCTGTTATATAACTGAAAACATTATAAAATTATTGACAGTGACTAACATCAAATTCTAGTCTTCAAAATAATTAGTCACTTATTTCAGCTCACCAAGCCATCAAATCTACAAAAACTGAGGGTGAAGACTTCATTGTCTTCCAAAAAAGGACTGTGACTTTTTCTTTCCATAAACACTGCACCTACCGGGTTGAGCTCATGCACTATGCTCCCTGCAGGTGACTTCAATATTCGATCTACCACATCACAAACCAAGTCCTCCAACCGGTTCAGGAGGTCGTCAAAAGTCAGGAAAGGACACTCAGCTTCCACGTGAGTGTACCTGAAGAACGAGACAATAGCTCAGCACTGCTTTTCTCCTGCACTGGTTTTTTATCCAGCAAGGCTTTTAACATTGGGAAGCTGTCCATAAAATGCCAACAATGCTACCAATTCCCAACTTTGCAAATTAGCTGTGGACTCCCCTCTTCTCCACTGAGTAGCAATTTCTTGTTTGCTCCTTTATATATAAAAGATCAAGTCAAAGTGAAAAAAGAGAACTTAGCTACGATCTAAGGTGGCAAAACTTTGTTATATGTTCTTCCATTAACCACTTAATATATCAGTTGGTTTTTTTTAAAACATAAACATAATTTACCTACACTAAGATTTCTTCTCTAAAGATATTACCTAGAAAGAAATAAAACAAAAAGACAACTTCATACTCAGCCAGGTGCCTTCGTGTTCTGGACTGCTCTGCCCGGTATGACTGAGCAATACAAAAAACATCTCCCAGGGCTGGGAGGCAGGTCTCCAAGTACAACTGAGAGGATTGAGTCAAAAATGCCTCTTCCCCAAAATAGTCAAGCTTGAAGAGTGTGGCACCACCTTCTACTTGTGTTTGCACTAATGTTGGAGGAGTAACCTGTTCAAATGCAAAGAAGGAATAAATCAATGCTATCGTGAGCACCACTATTCAAGTTTCAAAACGGCAAAAAACATATTCTTTGCAAAAGCTGACGAATGCATACTTACTTCATAGTACCCCCTATCAAAGAAGTGATCTCTAAAGCACCTGGTGACCATGGATCGTGCTTTTAGGATTTTGGACATGTTTTCTCCTCGGATCATCATGTGTCTGTTGTTGAGCTGGACATCAACGTCAGACTCCTCATTGATCAGGTTGTCAGCTCCTCCAGCAGGGGCCAACCCAATTAGTTCCCAGAAGTCACAACTCAGCTCATGGCCACCTGGAGCCTGCATTTTTTAAAAGTGGGGTCCAGAGAAAGAGGGAAAAGGAAATAAAAAATTAACAGTATTGAGGATTTTAATTTATGTCAAAGTTTTGGTAAGCTGAGATTTTTAAGAACCTCCTAATTCTCAGCTTTAGTTTAGTTTTATATTGATATTTTTACCAATGTTCTTTCTGGATAAATACACACTCACATACACACAAATATCTTTTTTTTTTTTTTTTGAGACGGAGTCTCACTCTGTCGCCCAGGCTGGAGTGCAGTGACGCAATCTTGGCTCACAGCAACCTCCGCCTCCTGGGTTCAAGCGATTCTCCTACCTCAGCCTCCCGAGCAGCTGGGATTACAGGCGCCCACCACCACGTCTGGCTAATTTTTGTATATTTAGTAGAGACGGGGTTTCACCATGTTGGCAAAACTGGTCTCGATCTCCTGACCTCGTGATCCGCCCGCCTCGGCCTCCCAAAGTGCTGGGATTACAGGCATGAGCCACCATGCGCAGCCTGTGCGTTTCCATTTTTAAAAGATATTTGTGTCTGGGCACGGTGGCTCACTGAGGCGGGTGGATAACGAGGTCAGGAAATCAAGACCATCCTGGCCAACAAGGTGAAACCCCATCTCTACTAAAAATACAAAATATTAGCCAGGCATGGTGGCGCACGCCTATAGTCCCAGCTACTCAGGAGAATCGCTTGAACCTGGGAGGCAGAGGTTGTGGTGAGTGGAGATCGCACCACTGCATTCCAGCCTGCGCAACAAGAGCGAAACTCCGTCTCAAAAAAAAAAAAAAAAAAAAACAATAAAAACAGGCTCAAATTCTAATAAGAAATTCTCTGAACATATTTAGGTGGGTTGTTAAGTTTTTATTTCCATCTGGCTGAAAAGTAATTCATATATCTACAGCACAGTGGCTATATTATAGCCCATGAGGATGATTCAGGAATTCCGTAAGGCTGGAAATCATTGTATTCTTTTTATCACCTGAGTTGTACAATGTACATATTTCACTGGAAAAGGCATAGTGAATTTGACATGTACTTCACATTTATTGTATTTATATGCTGTGATGGTTAATATTAAGAGTCAACCTGATTGGAATGAAGGATACAAAGTATTTTCTGGGTGTATCTGGGTGTTGCCAGAGAAGATTAACATTTAAGTCAGTGGTCTGGGAGAGGCAGACCCACCCTCAATGTGGGTGGGCACCACCCAATCAGCTACCAGCCTGGCTAGAAAAAGCAAGAGGAAGAAGGTGGAAGAGCAGACTTGCTAGGTCTTCCAGCCTTCATCTTCCTCCGGTGCTGGATGCTTCCTGTCATTGAACATCAGACTCCAAGTTCCTCAGCTTTTGGACTCTTGGACTTACACCAGTTCTTTGACAGGGGCTCCTGGGCCTTTGGCCACAGACTGAAGGCTGCCCTGTCGGCTTCCCTACTTTTGAGGCTTTTGAACTTGGACTCAGCCACTACTGGCTTCCTTGCTCCACAGCTTGCAGATGGCCTATCGTGGGACTTCATCTTGTGATCTTGTGAGCCAATTCTCCTTAAAAACTCCCTTTCACATATACATCTATCCTACTAGTTCTGTCCCTCTGAAGAACCCTAATACATATGCCAAATGTACAAACAAAGACACTGGAAAACAAACCAATAAATAAACTATTCATTCACCCAGTGCGAAACTCAATCCACTCACCTGCTTGCCCTTTGGGGTAAGATTTAGCATTCCATACACTGCAACACTGCTCTCCGTGGACAAGAGAACTCCATTGTAGCACTGACACTATAAAAAGGTCAAAGCTCAAATTTAGTTATTCACATTGATTTAAAAATTCTACCATATAGAAAGTTAAAGGGATTGTTTACAAACAAGTTATCTGATCAAATACTAGTAAAATAAAGAGTGAGATGGCCACTGATTCTTAATATTAAAATAGATATTTTTGTGGAAGACAGAGGTTTATCTATATATAGACATATACATGTAAATATATACATATACATGTAAATACACATTTTACATACATGGATAAATGACACTGACCCACATCACTTAAAAATATCTGGACAGTTTATTTATTTATTTTTAAAAATCTAGACTATTAAAGTAACATACAGGTTAGGCACAGTGGTTCATGCCTGTAATCCCATGAAGGAGGCTAAGTTGAGAGGCTCACTGGAGCCCAGGAGTTCAAGACCAGCCTGGACAACAAAGGGAGAGATAAATAAAATAAAAATTGGCTGGGTGTGGTGGTTCTTGCCTATAGTCCTAACTACTCGGGAGGCTGAGGTGGGAGAATTGCTTGGGCCTGGGAAGTCGAGGCTGCAATGAGCTATGATGATGCCACTGTACTCTTTCTGAGAAACCCTGTGTCTCAAAACAACAAACAAACAAACAAAACCATACAGAGCCCATCTACACTATAATCACTTCTTACTAAAGTCATTAGGAAAAAACTGATGGGGAACTTTAAAAGGAAGAAGTCAGGCTGCCAACACCTGAACCCACTAGTCATAAAAAAGACAACTGGCCGGGCACGGCGGCTCACACCTGTAATCCCAGCACTTTCGGAGGCCGAGGCGGGTGGATCACCTGAGGTCAGGAGTTCAAGACCAGCCTGGCCAACATGGCAAAAACCTGTCTCTACTAAAAATACAAAAGTTAGCTGGGTATGGTGGCATGCACCTGTAGTCCCAGCTACTCGGGAGGCTGAAGCAAGAGAATCACTTGAATCTGGGAGGCAGAGGTTGCACTAAGCTGAGATCACGCCACTGCACTCCAGCATGGGTGACAGAGCGAGACTCTGTCTCAAATAAAAAAAAGAAAAAGACAACCACACCTTACATGCCTCTTGACGTGATGCAACTAAAAGAACACAGCTTTGCCCATGAAGTAGTTGTGCCAAAAAACTGAACCTAATCAGACCTAACCTCCAATTTATAAAAAATGCAGACACTAGAAGAACATGCTAAAGGACACCACAAGGATGCAAACAACCAAATCCATAATGTGAGAAGTTCCACAGGACAATCCACCAGGGTTTTCCCAAGAAATACATAGTAATGGGTGGGGAGAGGGGGCGGGTTGCAAAAGAAGAGAGAATGCAAAGAGAGCAGCAGAGTTATAAAGAAAATTTCAAAGTCATATCACTAAACGCAGCATGTTAGTCTTGTCAGAATCCTCGTTCAAATCAATCAACTATAAAAAGGCAGTACGAACTGATAACAAGAATCTGGATATTAGATGATATTTAGTAGTTGTATTAATTTGGTGGAGGGTGTGATAATAGTAGGTGACTATTATCTTTTTTTTTTTTTTTTTTTGAGACAAGGTTTCACTCTGTTGCCCAGGCTGGAAGGTGGTGGCATCATCTTGGCTCACTGCAACCTCTGCCTCCCTGGCTCAAGAGATCCTCCCACCTCAGCCTCCTGAGTAGCTGAGACTACAGATATGCACCACCACACCTGGCTAGTTTTTGTATTTTTTGTAGAGATAGGATTTCACCATGTTGCCAGGCTGGTCTCAAACTCCTGGGCTCAAGCAGTCTGCCCACTTCAGCCTCCCAAAGTGCCGAGATTACAGGCATGAGCCACCATGCCCAGCCACATTATTTTTCTTAGAGATGCATAAGCATGTGTAATTAAATAAAATGATATGATGTCTGAGGGGCAGTATCATACCAGGATTAGCCATATATAGGTGGTTACAGAAGCTGGGTGATGGGCATTTGATGATTTTTTATATGGTTCTATTTTGTAATGTGCTGGAAATTTTCCACAAAAGTTTTCTCCCTCTAGCCTTATTAAGGTATAATAAACAAATAAAAATTGCATGTTTATGGTATACAATGTGATGTTTTGATTCATTGACATTCACTGTCGACATAATAAATGTTTTAAATAAATGTATACAAAACAATAAAGGAATCTACTGAAAACATCTAATTTTCAGGCATAAATAAGAGAAAATATTTACCAACTCATCCGCCAAGACACACTGAAGATAACCTGTACCATCTCGCAACACCAGAAACATTAAATTCTTTCCTAAAAAATGAGAAATAATAATTTAGGCAGACTGTTCTCAAGGCATTAAATTTTATATATATATATAATTTTAAAGATAGGGTCTCACTTCGTCACCCAGGCTAGAGTGCAGTGGCACAATCACAGCTCGCTGCAGCCTCTACCTCCTGGGCTCAAGCAAACCTCTCACCTTACCCTCCCAGATAGCTGGGACTACAGGCACATGCCACCACACCTGGCTAATTATTTTGTAGTGACAAGGGTCTCACTGAGTTGCCCAGACTGGTCTCAAGCTCCTGGGCTCAAGCAATCCTCCTACCTCAGCCTCCCAAAGCGCTGATATTACAGGTGTGAGCCACTGCACCCAGCCATGACTTAATCTTATCTAAAGGAAACTCCAAGGTTAAACATTCAAGTTCAGACCTCCCACATGGCTCCCTGCCCCTGAAGTACCCACTGGTAATACCACTACTCAGTATTTGTAAAATATTTTATTTTCAATGTATTGGACTTTCAAATCCTACATGATCCCCAAGATCCACACAACCAGGGGAAAGCAGGACAGAAGGCAACATGAGTTAAGGGATTATGCCTTATCTACCCTTGAGTCCCCTGCAATGCCTGGGGTAGTACTGTGCACTCGGTGATACATAAATGTTCTTGAACAAAATCACTTTTTCTTATTTATGTCCTAAAGGTCCAATTACTGAAATCCGCTTAAAACATTTCATTTGTATTTTTGTCCCCTCCACCGTCGCTTTTTTTTCAGATGGAGTTTCACTTTTGTCGCCCAGGCTAGAGTGCAATGGCATGATCTCGGCTCACTGCAACCTCTGCCTCCCAGGTTCAAGTGCTTCTCCTGCCTCAGCCTCTAGAGTAGCTGGGATTACAGGTGCTCACAACCACACCCAGCTAATTTTTGTATTTTTATTAGAGAAGAGGTTTCACCATGTTGGCCAGGCTGGTCTTGAACTCCTGACCTCAGGCGATCCACCCGCCTTGGCCTCCCGAAGTACTGGGATTATAGGCGTGAGCCACCGCACCTGGCCTGTCCCACTTTTCAATGAAAGATTTGCTAATCCCTTACAATAAATAGTAAAAGTGACATGTTTATATATTATAAAATATATAATAAAAGGGGAAAGAGGAAACAAAATGTCAGAACCAAGGGAGAATGCAAATATACTGTTTATAAGAGTCAAAACTATGGCCAAGTTTCAGACTCAGATGTCAACCTCCTATAGTAACATCCCTTGATTTTCACTAAATAATTAAAACTCAACTTGACAAATATTTACTGGACGCATCTTCATCACTATAATTGCTAACCATTAAAAGAGCATTTAAAAATTTTTATACTTTCAATAGTCATTTTAAACAAGAACAAATTTAAGATATAAATCACTCTATCCTTTAAAGCCAGGTGAGGTGCTATGTGCCTGTAATCCCAGCTGCTCAGGAGGCTGAGGCAGGAGGATGGCTGGGGGGAGTTCAAGTCTAGCCAGCATACCAAAAAAAAAAAGAGGGCCGGGCGCAGCGGCTCATACCTGTAATCCCAGCACTTTGGGAGGCCAAGACAGTGGATCACCTGAGGCCAGGAGTTCCAGAGCAGACGGGCCAACATGGTGAAACACCGTCTCTACTAAAATTACAAAAATCAGCCAGGTGTGGTGGCAGGTACCTGTGATAACAGCTACTCAGGAGGCTGAGGCAGGAGAATTGCTTGAACCTGAGAGGCGGAGGTTGCAGTGAGCCGAGATAGCACCACTGCACTCCAGCCTGGGCAACAAAGTGAGACTGTGTCTAAGAAAAAAAGGGGGAGAGAAAAAAACCCCTGCAAATCTTTGTATGTTTTTCTTCATCTAAGAGCAGGGATATTTAAACATTAAAAAGAAGGAAAAGCTTTGCCATTTACCTTGCCTGCGCAGCCTGTGGACCCAGCCAAACACCTTTACTCTTTGGCCTCTATATCCTTCTAACGCACCAATCTTCACCTGTCAAATTGAAATAAACAACATTTGTTCAATAATGTCATTTATACACACCAACTTTTTCACTAATATTAGGCAGACGGTAGTAAGTGTTAAAAATCACAAATGGTGCAAAACTGGAGACAGCCCCTCTACTGCAGCTCAGAACCAAACGCATTTCACTGTATTGGCATGGTTTAAAACAAAACAAAAAAAAATCCAAGTCTTCTTTCTTAATGTAAAACTGATAATGAGAAACACCCAGAAGAATTTCAGATATTGCTAGATAAAATTAATTAATAAATGAATTCCTTTGTCATAAGTGGAGCACTTGCTTCCCACAACAGCAACAATCCCAGTCCACATGAAGCCTTTTCCATGACCCCACAGTTCTTCAATACCTTCCAGAACATGGTACTTAAAAGGCTAGCTTTTGTTTGGGGGATGAAGGAGAGAGGAGATGAGTAGAGGAAGGGGCTGTTGCATGTGGCCAAAAAACCCCAGCTCCATCACTAAGGAAATAATACAAAAATTCATCAGCAATAAGAACTACTGGAAATCTGGCTGGGCGTGGTGGCTCAAGCCTGTAATCCCAGCACTTTGGGAGGCTAAGGAGGGCAGATCACCTGAGGTCAGGAGTTTGAGACTAGTCTGGCCAACACGGTGAAACCCCATCTCTACTAAAAATACAAAAATTAGCCAGGCGTGGTGGCAGGCACCTGTAATCCCAGCTACTTGGGAGTCTGAGGCAGGAGGATCACTTGAACCCGGGAGGCGGAGGTTGCAATGAGCTGAGATCTCCCCACTGCACTCCAGCCTGGGTGACAAGAGTGAAACTCTGTCTCATAAATAAATAAATAATAAAATAAAATAAGAACTACTGGAAATCAAACCATTTTCATTCATAGTCCAGCAATCTATTTGGGTTCCAGAAAGAACAGAAGAAGAGTGAATCTAATTTCACAATTCACAAACTTTTACTCTATTTAAATAAAACATGAAAATCATAGATTTCAACCTCTTCATTTTATAAGCAAACTGACACTAGAGAGGGTTAAATCACTTGACCAACATCATGAAGCGTAGCCAGGCCTGGGTCCCCCATCTGCTGGCATTCAGTTGGGACAGAATTCATTCAACATGCATTTACTTAACTGTGTAATAAAATGAACCCCTAAAGAACTAGCCTCATAACTCTAAAACATTATTTCTCTATGTCCCTTCTGAAAGGAAAGTAGGCCAGGCATGGTGGCTCACGCCTGTATTCCCAGCACTTTGGGAGGCTGAGGTGGGAGGATCCCTTGAGCCCAGGAGTTTGAAACCAGCCCGGGCAATATGGGAGACTGTTTCTACAAAAATTAAAAATAAATAAAAGTTAGCCAGGTGTGGTGGTGCATGCCTGTGGTCCCCCCTACTTGGGAGGATCGTTAGAGCCCAGGAGGCAGAGGTTGCAGTGAGCAGAAACTGCACCACTGCACTCCAGCCTGAGCAACAGAGCAAGACCCTGTCTCAAAATAAATAAATTAAAATTTAAAATTAAGAAATAAAAAATAAAAGGAAAGTAGGCCGGGCGCAGTGGCTCACGCCTGTAATCCCAGCACTTTGGGAGGTCGAGGTGGGCAGATCACGAGATCGGGAGATCAAGACCATCCTGGCTAACACGGTGAAACCCCGTCTCTACCAAAAATACAAAACATTAGCCGGGCGTGGTGGCGGGCGCCTGTAGTCCCAGCTACTCGGGAGGCTGAGGCAGGAGAATGGCGTGAACCCGGGAGGCGGAGCTTGCAGTGAGCTGAGATTGAACCACTGCACTCCAGCCTGGGCGACAGAGCAAGACTCCGTCTCAAAAATAAATAAATAAATAAATAAATGGAAAGTAAAAACAAAATGTAAAGGAACAAACCATGTGACATGCCCCTCATACACAGAAATAATGATCTGATGTAGCCAAGTCCACGGTATTTGAAAAGATAAACAAACTTACACATTTTGGCTCTGGGAGACTTGGATCATTTTTAATGGTAATCTTCTTTGCTTCTTCCAGGTTCTTTTCTCTTCGTAAACTATCTTCTGCCTAATTTTAATGATGAAGCAGTTTGTTAACATGGTTGCCAGAGTTCTAACTTTAACAACGTTCACGATGGCAAGGTCAGGACTCACCTCTTTCTTTTCCCGGGATTCACTCTTCATTTGTTCCCTATGCCACATCTTTTTAATGTTCTTCAACTGTGATTTAGAAATAACATTCCACCTCTCATTTTCTTTTTGTGAATCTACGTAAATGGTAGGAAATGGTTCTTTCCCTACTGTCATCAAAGCCTTGGGTAGGGAGGAGAGAAAAGACAGTTCTTGAACATTGTACAATACTTAAAATCAAAATAACATCTCAAGTATAAGGCAACTGGAACAATCTAAGCATAAAGACCCCAACAGCCAAAAGCTGATATTGGCACAGTGACTGGTTGAACATTTAAGAAGCACACTGGTTGGCTGGGCGCGGTGGCTCACGCCTGTAATCCCAGCACTTTGGAAGGCCGAGGTGGGTGAGGTCAGGAGATCGAGACCATCCTGGCTAACATGGTGAAACCCCGTCTCTACTAAAAATACAAAAAAATTAGCCAGGTGTGGTGGCAGGCACCTGTAGTCCCAGCTACTCGGGAGGCTGAGGCAGGAGAATGGCGTGAACCTGGGAGGCGGAGCTTGCAGTGAGCCAAGATCGTGCCACTGCACTCCAGCCTGGGCAACAGAGCGAGACTCTGTCTCAAGAGAAAAAAAAAAAAAAAAAGAAGCACACTGGTTAAAGCTGAAGCTCTGAGGTCCTCTCACAAACAATTACAGCAAGTTCGGGTATACACGATACAGTTCCCCAGGAAAAGCAGACTATAAGCAACAGATCTTAAGTGGCTGTAGCAACCAGCACAGGTACAAGGACAACAGAAGAGACACCTGACAGCAAAACTCAACTGCAAGTGACATCTAAAAGGTTAGTTCTCTGTGAGAAATCAGAGAAGTGTCAGACATTTTTGAAACTTTCAACAAAACAATGGTTAAGAACACAAAAAGCGGCCGGGTGCAGTGGCTCAGGCCTGTAATCCCAGCATTCTGGGGGGCCGAGGAGGGAGGATCACCAGGTCAGGAGATCGAGACCATCCTGGCTAACACAGTGAAACCCTGTCTCTACTAAAAATACAAAAAATTAGCCGGGTGTGGTGGCGGGCGCCTGTAGAGCTTGCAGTGAGCTGAGATGGCACCACTGCACTCCAGCCTGGGCGACAGAGAGAGACTCTGTCTCAAAAAAAAAAAAAAAAAAAAAAAAAAAAGAGCACAAAAAGCTAAACTCATTTAATCTGAAAAACTCCCCCATGTAGAATACCTCTTTTCCCCAATGGGACATATCAAGCATTGCTGTGTTATATATCATTTGATAAAATGTATTGTTTGTAGTTTTTAAAAAATAGTTCAAAGTACATAAAAGATGAATATTTTAAAGCCTCAAATAATCTTTCAAAATCTCTTCCAAGTTATTGAATCAAACAAGAAATGCAGTGAATTATTCTCTGTTGCAAGATCTGCAGCCTGCAAAAACGGACTTTTTCTCAGTTCTACGACTGCTGCAGAGAAGGAGGGAATCTGAGGCCGGGCATGGTGGCTCACACCTGTAATCCCAGCACTTTGTGAGGCCGAGGTGGGCGGATCACGAGGTCAGGAGATCGAGACCATCCTGGCTAACATGGTGAAACCCCGTCTCCGCTAAAAATACAAAAAATTAGCCGGGTGTGGTGGCGGGCACCTGTAGTCCCAGCTACTCAGGAGGCTGAGGCAGGAGAATGGCGTGAACCTGGGAGGCGGAGCTTGCAGTGAGCCGAGATCGCACCACTGCACTCCAGCCTGGGTGACAAGAGCAAGACTCCGTCTCAAAAAAAAAAAAAAAAAAAAAATAGAGAAGGAAGGAATCTGGATCTTTTGAAAACATTCAAGGGCTGGGCGTGGTGGCTCACGCCTATAATCCTAGCACTTTGGGAGGCCGAGGTGGGCGGATCATGAGGTCAGGAGTTCGAGACCAGCCTGGCCAATATGATGAAACCCTGTCTCTACTAAAAATACAAAAATTGGCCAGGTGTGGTGGCACACGCCTGTGGTCCCAGCTACTCGGGAGGCTGAGGCAGAAGAATCTCTTGAATCCGGGAGGCAGAGGTTGCAGTGAGCTGAGATTGCACCACTGCACTCCAGCCTGGGTGACAGTGTGAGACTCCTTTTCAAAAAAAAAAAAAAGAAAAAAAAGAAAACATTCAATAGTTCATCCTTTTAACAACTAGACATTGTAAGAATACATGTAGGGGCCAGGCGCAGTGGCACACGCCTGTAATCCCAGCACTTTAGGAGGCCGAGGTGAGTGGATCACCTGAGCTCAAGAGTTCGAGACCAGCCTGGCCAACACGGTGAAACACCATCTCTACTAGAAATAAAAAAAAAAAAAAGAAATTAGCCAGGCATGGTGGCGAGTGCCTATAATCCCAGCTACTCAGGACGCTGAGGCAGGGAGAATTGCTTGAACCCAGAAGGCAGAGGTTGCAGTGAGCCGAGATCATGCCACTGCACTCCAGCCTGGGCAACAAGAACAAAACTCTGTCTCAAAAAAAAAAAAAAAAAGATAGCCATTGATGAAAATGCAAAACCAAGAGAGAAGGTCCCATGAATACATGTAGGTCGTTCGGAATTCACTTATTACCCGACAATCTGTACTGATCCCTCCTTTTGTATCATTGAAATTGAAAGAGCCAAACTATCAGTTCCCAAATCAGAATGCTACACTTTTGTTAACAGTGACATTCTGTTGTTAACAGTGACATTCTGCAAACGTTCATCTAAACGGTGTTGTCAGTTTTCAGGAGCTGCAAAACGAGGCACCCGATAATCCAGAAATGAAAGATTTCCCCTTAAGAGTGGTTAAAAAGTAAAACCCAGCCAGGAGTGGCGGCTCACACCTGTAGCCCCAGCACTTTGGGAGGCCAAGGCAGCAGGATTGCTTAAGCCCAGGAGTTTAAGACCAGCCTGGGAAACATAATGAGATCTCGTATCTACAAATAAGAAACAAATTAACCGCGTGTGGTGACATGCCCCTGTGGTCCGAGCTACTTGGAAGGCTGAGGTGGGAGGATCCCTTAAGCCCAGGAGGTTGAAGCTGCAGTGAGCCATGAATGCGCTACTGCACTCCAGCCTGGGCAACAAATTAAGATCCTGTCTCAGAAAAATAAATAAATAAGTTAAATTAAAAACAAGTACCCATGTATGACACACCAAAGTTTATAACCATATGGTATGACCTAAAAGAGAGGAGAATGCTCCCAGATTAGGACTTGATAGTAACTATAAATGTTGTAACACAGTTAACAAAAAAAGGGGATGCACAGAAAAAGGAGTGTCAAGGCACTGCTTTTCCTAATACAGTTCAAAGAAGGAACTTTTTTGTTGTTGTCGTCCAGGCTGCAGAGCAGTGATGCAATCACGGCTCACTGCAGCCTCAACCTCCTGGGCTCAAGTAATCCCCCTATCTCAGTCTCCCGAGTAGCTGGGGCCACAGGTGCATACCATACCACCATGCCTGGCTAATTTTTTTTTTTTTTTTTTTTTGGTAGTTGGCTGAGTGTGATGGCTCACTCCTATAAACCCAGCACTTTGGGAGGGTTAATATCCTGTCTCTATTTATTTTTTAAATTAAATTTATTAAAAAATTTTTAAGAAGTTAAATTTTTTGTAGAGATGAGGGTCTTATCATGTTGCCCAGGCTGTTCTCAAACTCCTGGGCTCAAGCAGTCCTCCAGCCTCAGCCTCCCAAAGTGCTGGGATTACAAACGTGAGGCACCAAAGCCCAGACCCAAGGAAGGAACTTTTAACCATCTTCCTTATGTGGCAGTTATAGCCAATGGATTCTAGCATATGAGTTCAACAGCTAAGTCCATGGTCTATTTTAAGAAGGTTGTCTTAGGCCACACTTTACTCTGATATAATCAACTACCTAACACCCATGTTGTGAGTCCAAGCCCTTTTTTTGTTTTTTCTTCTGAGACAGGGTCTCAGGCTAGAGTGCAGTGGCGCAATGGTGGCTCACTGCAACCTCCACCTTCCAGGCTAAAGAAATCCTCACCTCAGTCTCCGGAGTAGCTGGGACCACAGGCACGCACCACCATGCTGGGCTAATTTTTATGTTTTTTGTAGAGCCAGGATTTCACCAAGTTGCCCAAGCTGGTCTCAAACTCCTGCGCTGAAGCAATCCACCTGCCCCGGCCTCCCAAAGTGTTGAGATTATAGGCGTGAGCCACCACACCAGGCCTGAGTCCAAGCTCTTGACAAACCCCTTTGAGAATGAGCTAAACTCATTCAAGGATTCTAGATCCTGAGAAATAACAGCACTGTTAATTCATTAACAGAATGTTAATAAATTGGCATTCTAGCTTGAAGCTCCAGACTCATGAGTCAGCTCTGACAAATGAATCCATTCTTGGTGGTCTTGGAGTCAAATCTCAGGATCACACTCTGGATTGTGGTAAATTCACCAAAAGCCCTCTCAGGAGCCCCCTGGTCATGAGCTCACTGTAACTGAGGAAAGGTAACTTTTATCTTTACAAGAATTGAAAACCCAGCAATCTGACTCAATGGAGAGAAAAATTCCAAGAAGCAATGCCATGTGGTAAGAAAGAAGAGACCTTTTTTCAAAATGTTAAAAAGTAAGTTTAGACTTTGATCATCTAACAATCTTAAAGTCACATATCTGTATGCATTCCTTACTTTCCCTTTTCTGAAAATTCTCTTTGGAACCTAGTGTTTGAAATTAAGTTCTTGGCAAGTCACAAGAAAATTGACATAACTCATTAATAAATGCAGTCTCATTTTCCTAATGAGAAGAGACTCTACCTTTAGACCTGTTTTAAATGGTTTCTCCTTGGTTCCATCTCCCGTGGCATCGCTTCCCTCTCGGTCAGAGACGTACAGCTCTGCTGTTTGACAAAATGAGGGTAAGTTATGGTCTGGCCATTAACTATTAGTCACCTTACTACTTTATTCATTCCTTATCTTTGTAAACAGAACAAGCATCGATTAATAAAAATTGAGGTCCATAAGTAATTAATATCCTAGTTATTTCCCCACTCCATTTCAATAACATCCATCTCATAAAAACATTAGTTAATAATCCAGGTTTTCAAAATGAACTCTGATCATTTTAATTTGTGATATTTATTCTATCTAATTGGGCACCCAAAAATAAAATATGGGCTTTGAAGTTGATCAGACATACGCTGGAATGTTGGATTTTGTACCTTAAAAGGCAGGGTGACTCTGGAGAATTTACTTAACCTTTCTGAGCTTATTTCTTTACCTATAAAATAGGAAAAACAATCCCCATCTTGAAAGGCTGTGCTGAGGATGAAATAAAATAACACATACAAATCAGATATCCCAGTGCCAGTTTTTGTAGAGATGGCAAATAAACACCAGCTCCCTCTGGACTTTAAAGGAAACAGAAGCTCTGAGGTTAGAAAATTTCAGAAGGCCTCACAACTAGTAGGTCTGAACAGTTAACATCCATCCAGGTCTCTCTCTTTTTTTTTTTTTTTTTCCTACTGCACAGTATGGTCTCCCCGGAAACCTCAATAAAAAAATGAGGGTGGGAGAAAAACAACTAGAATCCTAAAGCCCCTTCCTGACGATCACTTTGAAGAACTGCAGGAGTAGGGGCTACCCTGTGTCTGAACCCGTCCCAGCGCCTGAGTCTCAGCGCAATCGGGAGGTTTCGCAGCGGGGCAGGGGAAGGGCCCGGAGCCACCGCCATCGCAGCCCGGGGGAACGACGGACTCGGGGAAGCCCGGCCTGGCCCTTCAAGTCCCGGGCCCAGCAAAGGCCAGCACCCTCCCTCCCTCCCTCCCTGCAATCGGTCCCCAAACATTCGCGGGGCGCCCACTCTGGTAGGCACTAAGGAAAGCGCCGAAACCCGACTGGAGCAGAGTTCCTGCCCCAGGCAGGGAACACCGCGCCATACACTGAGTCTCACCCACCTAGCACCATGCCTGCAGTGGCCCTGGTCACCTCCAAGGACACAGACTGCAACACCGACGCCGTCTTATGACTCCAACGTGCACCGGCGGTTTCCGCGATTCCGGCGTTGCATCAGAGAGCGTAGATCTGAGGGCGCCTGCGAGAATCGGCCGAGCGCCGCGGTTCCATTGGTTACGAGAGGTGGGCGAGCGGCGCCGGGGCCGCCATCTTTGGTGAGGGCAGAGGCAACTTCCGGATCCAGAGACGCCCCGCCCCACGCGTTTGTGCAGCTCGGAAGGCGCTGCCTGTCCCGGAGCTCCGCGGCCCTGGAGACCCTGGCACAGTGTCACTTTTGCACCCTTCCTTCCCCGCCTCCCCAACTTTCCTTTCTGAATCTTCCAATTCCGCCCCAGCTGGAGGCGTGCGGGTCCTCTTGCAAACCAGACCAAGGATGTCGCCCCGATCCCCAGATGGTGGAGGCTGGTTGAGTTCATGTCACCAGCAAACACCGCGCCAGCTGCGAGACGGGGTGCGCGGCGGTGGAGGGGACGCAGCGGGTTGCGTAAACTTCCTTTTTTTTTTTTTTTTTTTTGAGACGGAGTCTCGCTCTGTCACCCAGGCTGGAGTGCAGTGGCGCGATCTCGGCTCACCGCACCCTCCACCTCCCGGGTTCAAGCGATTCTTCTGCCTCAGCCTCCCGAGTAGCTGGGATTACAGGCCTGTGCCACCATGCCCAGCTAATTTTTGTATTTTTAGTAAAGACGGGGTTTCACCATCTTAGTCAAGCTGGTCTCGAACTCCTGACCTTGTGATCCGCCCACCTCGGCCTCCCAAAGTGCTGGGATTACAGGCGTGAGCCATCGCGCCCGGCCAGATGCGTTAACTTTCTAAACTCCGTGAGCCAGCGTCCCTCGGTGTTCAGGAGAGGAGCTATGGTATATGTTCATTTAAAATTGTAAGGATTACCGTTAGGAAGGCCATAATAATGTGGTGGAAAGAACGAGGGCTTCGGAATACAAACCTGGGTTCTGCCTTTTACTAACCGTGTGTCTTCAGATAAATTACCTAAACTGAATGAGCTTCATTCAGCGAGTTGGGACCGATTGCAGGGAGGGAGGGAGGGTCCTGGCCCTTGCTGGGCCCGGGACTTGAAGGGCCAGGCCGGGCTTCCCCGAGTCCGTTGTTCCCCGGGCTGCGATGGCGGTGGCTCCGGCCCCTGCCCCTGCCCCGCTGCGAAACATCCCGATTGCGCCGAGAGTCAGGCGCTGAGAGGGGTTTATCTGTGTCTTCAGATAAATTACCTAATCTGAATGAGCTTCAGTTTTTCTATTTGTGAAAGATGATATAAATTCACTGCCCGGGCATGTAAGAGGTGCTAATAAAGGGTCTGTCATCATTTTCAACTTTTTTTTACTTTTTTGGTGGGCTTTTTTTTTTTTTGGAGACTGGGTCTTCTCTGTTGCTCAGGCTGGAGTGCAGTGGTGCTATCATAGCTCACGGCAGCCTCGAACTCCTGGGCTCAAGTGAGCCTCCCACTTAAGCCTCCCAAGTAGCTGGGACTATAGGTGCACGCCACCACGCCTGGCTTATTTTATTTTTATTTTTGTGGAGATGGGGGAGGGGTCTCCCTGTGTCGCCCAGGCTGGTCTCCAACTTCTGGGATCAAGTGATCCTCCTGCCTCAGCCTCCCAAAGTGCTGGTCTTACAGGCGTGAGCTACCACGCCCAGCCCATTCTCAATTTAGTGGAATACCAGAGTTTGTCCCTGAAGCAAAAGAAAACCTTTTTTTTATGAGAGGTCCTCAAAAAAATAACTCTATATATAGGTTCAGGGCCCATCAAGAATATGAACCAAGTCCGGGCACAGTGGCTCATGATTGTTATCAATCCCAGCACCTTGGGAGGTTGAGGCGGGTGGATCACTTGAGGTCAGGAGTTGGAGACCAGTCTGGCCAACATGGTGAAACCCCGTGTCTACTCAAAATACAAAAATTAGCCGGGCGTGGTGGCACGCGCCAGTAATCCCGGTTACTCAGGAGGCTGAGGCAAGAAAATCACTTGAACCCAGGAGGCGGAGGTTGCAGTGAGCTGAGATCGTGCCACTGCACTCCAGTCTGGGTAACAGAGTGAGACTCCATCTCAAAAAAAAAAAAAAAAAAAAGTACCAAATACTATTCCTAAGGAATATTTCACCCAATTTTATGAACTTTCCCTTTTCCTCTTGGCTGAATGTTTTCTGTTGGCTCATGGATTAGTATCAATTGCTACAAAGCAAATTTTCCCAAACCTTAGCAGCTTAAAACCCCGAACATTTATTACCTTAGCAGTTTCTTTTGAGACAGTCTCAGTTCTGTCGCCCAGGCTGGAGTGCAGTGGCGCGATCTCAGCTCACTGCAACCTCCGCCTACCAGATTCAAGAGATTCTCCTGCCTCAGCCTCCCGAGGAGCTGGGATTACAGACGTGTGCCACTACGCCCAGCTAATTTTTGTATTTTGAGTAGACATGAGGTTTCACCATGTTGTCCAGGCTGGTCTTGAACTCCTGACCTCAAGTGATCTGCTTGCCTCGGCCTCCCAAAATGCTGGGATTACAGGCCTGAGCCACCATGCCAGGCCCTACCTTGCACAGTTTCTGATGGTCAGGAATAAGGTAGTGGGTTAGCTGGAGGTTCTGGCTCAGGTCTCTCATGAATCATGCTGAGGGCAGGGTCTGTAGTCATCCGAAGGCTTGGGTGGGTGGGGATCTGCCTCCAGGCTCACTCACAAGCTGTGGTCAGAAAACCTTTCCTTGCCAGGTGGGCTCCCGATAGAGCTGCTAATGACAGCCGCTGACTTCACCTAAAGCAAGTGATCAGAGAGAGAGAATATTAGTTACCTTTTATTTTATAATAAATTACCCCAAAACATCAAATGGCATTTGTTATCTCACATTTCTGTGGAATAGGTATCTGGGCACGGTTTAGCTGAGGACTCAGAGCTGAGTCCTTCCAGAGGCTGCAGTCAGCTTAAGTTGAGATTCTTAAGTCTCACCTGGAGTGGATCCCCTTCCACACACACTCAGGTGGGTGTTGGCCAGAGGTCTCCCTCAATTCTTTCCACACGGGCCTCTTGCTTGGCTAAAGCCAGCAACCAAGATGGAAGTTAGAACCTTTAGTTGCCTAATCTCACAAGGGATATATCCCAATACTTTTGCCATATTCGATTAATTAGGATCAAGTCACTTGGTCCAGCATACACTCAAAGGAAGGGTATTACACACTGGCATGGATGCCAGCAGCTGGGAATCATGGGCCATCTTAGAAAGCTCCCCACTGCAGTGACCAAAACTGAGGCTGCAGTGCCTTTTCTAACCTGACTTGTTAGGTGAAATGTCATTGTCTCTGCCATATTCTACTGGTCACACAGACCAGCCCTGGAGGTGAATGCCAGGAGGTGTTGCTCACTGGGTACCATCTTAGAGGCTGCCCACCATAGCCTGTCCAGATGAATTTCTCCACTTCATCCTGCTCCGCCCCAGAGGCTGACTCATGTGAACCACATCAATGGGCTCCCTCGTTCTCTGACTCCTGGTCAGCTGCAGCCAATGGGGAACACTTGTGGAAGAACAGAGGTGGGATGTGAGGTTGGGGTCCTTATTCCCGTAGCTCCTCATTGTAGGCTGGCTGCATCCTCACTTGAGGGCCACCGCTCCTGCCAGGTGGCACTGAGAGATTCATCTGAACTGCCCTTGGTGAATTTAGTTTCATCTGATCGTTAAAACTGAATTTACTGGCCAGGCACGGTGGCTCACCTTTGTAATCCCAGCACTTTGGGAGGCTGAGGCGGGCAGATCACTTGAGGCCAGGAGTTCGAGACCAGCCTAGGCAACATGGCAAAACCCCGTCTCTATTAAAAATACAAAAATTATCTGGGTGTGGTGGCATGCTCCTGTAATCTAGCTACTCAGGAAGCTGAGGCAGGAGAGTTGCTTGAACCTGGGAGGTGGAAGTTCCAGTGAGCCAAGATCAGGCCACTGCATTCCAGCCTTGGTGACAGAGTGAGATTCTGTCTCAAAGAAAAAAAAAAAAAAAGTGAATTTACAAAGCAACATTCTGTTGTGAAATAAAAAGTGTACATAGGACTGTGCAAGCAGGTTGTACAAGAGGGTCATTTAAATTCCTACCCCCGCCTCAGTCTACACCTATAGACTCATAGGATTTCTCTATGTCAAGTTAGTGCAGGATGGAAAAAATGGGCCTAGTGTTGACATCTGCATAATATGCTGGCACATGCCAGATATGAACAGCCATTCTACTCTAGCCTTACTTAGGAGAAACCCTAAAAAGACAGTGGGGAGGGTGGGCAAGGTGGCTCACACCTGTGATCCCAGCACTTTGGGAGGCCGAGGCGGGCTGATCACCTGAGGTCAGGAGTTTGAGACCAGCCTGGCCAACATGGCGAAACCCCATCTTTACTAAAAGTACAAAAATTAGCTGGGCATGGTGGCAGGCGCCTGTAATCCCAGCTACTCAGGGGGCTGAAGCAGGAGAATCGCTTGAACCCGGGAGGCGGAGGTTGTAGTGAGCCTAGATCACGCCAGTGCATTCCAGCCTGGGCGACAAGAAGGAGACTCCGTCACAAAAAAAAAAAAAGAAAGAAAGAAAAGAAAAAGAAAAAAAGAAAAAAAAGAAAAAAAAAGAAGTGGTGAAGGGAAGTCATCTCAGATGGTGGAACTCTGAGCACTGTGCCTGGTTTTCCACTTCTCAGCTAAGTAGGGATGGCCTGAAGGACCAGGCTGGCAATAGTGGCTCACGCCTGTAATCCCAGCACTTTGGGAGGCCTAGGCAAGTGGATCACCTGAGGTTGGAAGTTCAAGACCAGCCTGACCAACGAGGAGAAACTCCGTCTCTACTAATAATACAAAAATTAGCTGGGTGTGGTGGGGCATACCTGTAATCCCAGCTACTCAGGAGGCTGAGGCACAAGAATCGCTTGAACCTGGGAGGCAGAGGTTGCAGTGAGCCAAGATTGCACCATTGCACTCCGGCCTACACAACAAGAGCAAAACTCCATCTCAAAAAAAAAAACAAAAAACAAACAAAAAAAGGACTGATGGACACTGGCTCACGGGTTGGCCAGTTGATCAGGGACTAAGAAAGAACAAGATTAAAGATTAGGTACAGGAGGTCTGCTGGGGATGTGGATGGACCTTTTTGAATGGGCACTGAATGTGAAGACTTCTTGTCCTCTGCAAACATCTATCAGAAGGCATTTGGTATGGAGGAGGTCTCTGTCATCTCTGGATGTTGGACTTTTCCTCCCAAAACATCTCAGTTCTTGCTCAAAGAGCCCATATGTGAAGTGGCTATAGTAACAGGATAGAGGCTATGCATGTGTTCAACCTCATAAACTGCCCTTCATCCTGGCTGATCTTGCTGGCCACTGTCACTGTTAAGTACCCAACCTGCCAACAGCAGAAGCCAACTTTGAGAAACTGACAGGACACGATTCTTTTTTTTCCTTTTTTCTCTATTCTTCTCTTTTTTTTTTTTTTTTTTTTTTGAGACGGAGTCTTGCTCTGTTGCCCAGGGTGGAGTGCAGTGGCGTGATCTTGGCTCACTGCAACCTCTGCCTCCTGTGTTCAAGCAATTCTCCTGCCTCAGCCTCCTGAGTAGCTGGGACTATAGGCGCCCACCACCACACCCAGCTAATATTTGTACTTTTAGTAGAGACAGGATTTCACCATATTGGCCAGGCTGGTCTCTAATTCCTGACCTTGTGATCCCCCCACCTCGGCCTCCCAAAGTGCTGGGATTATAGACGTGAGCCACCGCACCTGGCCAGGACACGATTCTTTAGGGAGACCAGCTGGCCACTTGACGGCAAGTAAATTAGATCAGACTCCTGGAGGAGGCAGTAATATGCCTCCCAGGTATAGACTCAGTCCACACAGGGATGCGCCTTCTCTGCCTGCAGCACCCACATCTATGGACTTACAGAACGCTGCATGTGTCTTTATGGTATTCAGCATCTCTCACCCCAGGACACATTTTCAGTAAAGGAAGTGTGACAGTGAGCTCATACCTATGGAATTCAGTGGTCTAACCATGTTCTTTGTGTTAGATTATTATTTAAAATAATCAGACATGCTTCTGTGAACCCAGAAAATCAGAGACAGGTCTCAGTTAATTTAGAAAGTTTATTTTGCCAAGATTGAGGATGCATCCATGACACCGCCTCAGGAAGTCCTGACGACATGTGCCCAAGGTAGTCGGGCACAGCTTGCTTGTATACATTTTAGGGAGACACGAGACATCAATCAGTAGAAGAATTACATTGGTTAGGTCTGGGAAGGCAGGACAATTTGAAGCAAAGGCAGGAAGACTTGAAGCAGGGAGGGGGTTTCCAGGTCACAGATAAGTGAGACACAAATGGTTGCATTCTTTTGAGTTTCTGATTAGGCTTTCCAAAGGAGGCAAATAAGATGTGCATCTCTCTCAGTGAGCAGAGGGATAACTTTGAATAGAATGAGAGGCAGGTTTGTCTTAAGCAGTTTCCAGCTTGAGTTTTCCTTCGTAAAAAGGAAAATATTTTGGGGGTCCAAGATATTTTCCTTTCACACTCCCTTCTCCCATACAGAAGGAATATACTTCCCTGCTTCATTTCTGCTGGGCTTAGCCATGTGCATTTACTTTGGCCATAGGATATTGGCAGGTGTGATGCAAGCAAAGGTTTACAATGTGTTTGTGCAGTTGGACTTGTGTTCTTGCTTCTGCCATTGTTAGAGAAGCCGAGGCCTAGGAGGGCCAGAGTGACACCATTTTAAGTTGAGCTCCATCTTGAGACTCCTTGCCAGTCACAACCCATGGTCATAAGATGTTTACAGTTGAGAAAACAGCCTAAAGATACCTGCAAGGACACAATCCTGTAACAACAGAAAGACCAGATGTCCCAATACCCGTAATATATGCTTTCAAGATAATTATAGTTATGCTTTAATGTACTTATACACTAAAATGTCAAGGAGAGTTTTCTTTAAATCAATAAAATAATAAATTTTGTCATGCTGTCAGACCACATGCACAAAGACACAGCTTAGTTTAGCCTTTACATAGACAAAACCCCTATATATCAAATTTTTTTTTTTTTCAGACAGAGTCTCGCTCTGTCTCCCAGGCTGGAGTGCAGTGGCGCAATCTCGGCTCACTGCAAGCTCCACCTCCCGGGTTCACCCATTCTCCTGCCTCAGCCTCCCAAGTAGCTGGGACTACAGGCGCCCACCACCACAGCCGGCTAATTTTTTGTATTTTTAGTAAAGATGGGGGTTTCACCGTGTTAGCTAGGATGGTCTCGATCTCCTGACCTTGTGATCTGCCCACCTCGGCTTCCCAAAGTGCTGGGATTAGGCGTGAGCCACCGCGCCCGGCCTATATATGAAAAATTTAAAATGGCCAGGCGCAGTGGCCCAGCACTTTGGGAGGCGAGGCGGGTGGATCATCCTGAGGTCAGGAGTTTGAGACCAGCCTGGCCAACATGCGAAGCCCTGTCTCTACTAAAACTACAAAAATTCACCAGGCGTGGTGGCGGGCGCCTGTAATCCCAGCTACTCAGGAGGCTGAGGCAGGAGAATTGCTTGAACCCAGGAGGCAGAGGTTGCAGTGAACCGAGATTGTGCCATTGCACTCCAGCCTGGGCAATAGAGCAAGAGTCCATCTCAAAAAAAAAAAAAAAAGAAAAAGCTAAAACAAAGACGGGGCATTCCTTTGCTTGCTTCCTAAGGACGCCCTACTCTGTAATGGAGGCGCTTTCAATAAACTCTCACCGTACCCTGCAACTTGTCTTGAATTCCTTCCTGCGTGTAATTCAGGAGGCCTCTCTTGGGGTCTGGATCAAGACCGCTTTTTCTGTGAACAACCACCATGAGAAGAACACGCCCTGACTGACCCACTGGTCCAGGGAAGCTGAGACATGGAGAAGACAGGGACCCAATCTTCAGCTTGGAGACACGTCCAGCTGAACTCAGCCCACATCAGTGACCTGCAGATGCATAAGTGAGAATAAACGATTGTTGGGTTACGCCTCTGAGTTTGGGAGGCATTTTGTTACACCTCTTTAGTGTGGCAATAGTAGACTAATAATACATGCTCTATTATGCAGAAGTGTGTGGCTTAAAATAATAGTTGAATGACCAGGTGCGGTGGCTCAGGCCTGTAATCTCAACATTTTGGGAGGCCATGGTGGGAGGATCACATGAGGCCAGGAGTTCAAGACCAGCCCGGGCAACATAGTGGGACCCCCGTCTCCATAAAATTTTTAAAAAATTAGCCTGGCGTGGTGGGCGCACGCCTGTAGTCCCAGCTACTCGGGACGGCCAGAATGAACGGCATTATCGTCTGTCTCTTCATTCTGATTCTGGCCAGCAAGGGGTGGCCTCCCCCTGCGGTCCTTGCTGTTAGGTCCCTGCGCCCCCTCAGCTTTGCGCTGAAGGTCGCTTTACCGGACCCCACTTCGCCCTACCAGGCGCAGGATGAGCGTCTCTGTTCTTTTAATGTGGCGTCCCCCACAGGCCACCGTACCAGGCCGCCGGTCCGGGGTTAGGGCACTTGACGCCGGCGCCGCCATGTTGTCTCCGGGCCACTTCCGCGTTTCTGGCGCGTGGTCTTGCATTTCCTACTTGGTCCTGTTCGTGGCGCCGCGCCTCCGGGTGTTGGGGAGTCCGGGATGATGGGGAATCCGGGGCTCGCCCTAGTCGCGGGGACACCGCCTTCCAGGAGCTGTCCCCAGGCAAACTCACAGACATCTTCAAAGAGCCTTCTTGGACATTCTGCTTTTTGCTCCTCATAACAGGCTTCGGTAAGAGAACAGGCAAACATCACTGCGGGCGCCTCTAGGGCTCGTTTCCCTGTCCCAGTACCGGGAATCGGGGAGGGGTCCAAGCAGAGTTCACTTAGTTAACAAATCAGTGAAGCAGTTGGAAAATCTCAGTTATATTTTAAATGAGATCGAGGGCGGTGACTCACGCCTGTAATCTCAGCACTTTGGGAGGCCGAAGCGGAGGTGGAGGGTCGCTTGAGGCCAGGAGTTCGAGACCAGCCTGGGCAACGTGGTGAGCCACCCCCGCCCCCGCCCCTCTATAAAAAATACAAGAATTAGCCGGGCTTATTGGCATGGGATTGTGGTCCCAGCTACTTAGGAGGCTGAGGTGGGAGGTCGCTTGAGCCATGGAGGTCGAGGCTGCACTGAGCTGTGATCACGCCACTGCACTCCAGCCTGAGGCTACGGAGAGAGACCCTGTCTCTAATTAATAAATAAATTATAGATAGATGATAGATAGATGCAATAAAAAATAAAATTGGCTTGTAAACGGCAAACTAAAAGTGGAAATTATCATTACAATGAAAATATTAATTTGAGGAACCGAAAACTTAACTTTCCTTTTCCTGTAGTTAAGTTTAAGCACTTAGATTTGCTTCAGTGATTCCCAGGCTTCATGATTGCAAGCTGCTTGCTTGTAAGCACCTTGTCTCTCACTAAAAAAAATTACAGTTATTTTAAAGTCCCGCTGGATGCTCATTCTTTAAGGAGGGTGAACAATGGTAACTCCTGTACCGTTAGAGCTCTGAATGAAGCCAGATACGTTCCATAGATCACAGAACTCATTTTCTGGCTTGGTGAGCCTGGTCAAGTTTCTTAACCTTTCTGAGCCACAGATGTTTCAATTATAAAGTGATAATAACCCTTCACTGGGAAGGTTATTGTGAGGATAATATGAGATCAGCTATACCAAAATATGCCTAACATGTACTTGACATCCAGTAAGCTTTCTGAATTAGGATATAAATGGCATTAATGGTTAATCATTGTTATTCTTTTGTTCCATGATATGCATGAATAACAACTTGAAGCCTTCAAACTGCTGAGAGCTGCTTGGTGGACCTCGTCTCTCAATTTGCCCTTCCCACTAAACCTGTCTTCCCCCAACAGTGGGCTTTCTGGTCAGCATTTCAGAATGTCTCAAACCGTAGGTCCTTCCCACAGCCCCAAATCTCAGCAAATGACCAGTCTCTTGCTTCAAGCTATTAAATGGATGCTGTCTGACAGCCCTCCCTTGAAACCTGCAAACTCTCGTGCTTTGGCATCCATCCTTTCCCTCTAGTGCAATGCAAGTCACATCCTCCCTCTGGCTAACCTCTCCACCCATCTTCTGGATTCCCCACACCTCTCCAATCTAATCTTCACACTCCAGCCAGGGCGAACACTTACAAATATAAACACAGTCATTTCATTCTCTATCTAGCAACTTTCCATGGACTTCCTTTTGCTCTCAGGGTTCACCTCAACATCCTTACAGGCTTTCCAGGCTGTGTATGCTCTGGCTTACCACTGCTTCTTATTTTTTTTTTTATTATTTATTTATTTATTTATTTATTGATTGATCATTCTTGGGTGTTTCTCGCAGAGGGGGATTTGGCAGGGTCACAGGACAATAGTGGAGGGAAGGTCAGCAGATAAACAAGTGAACAAAGGTCTCTGGTTTTCCTAGGCAGAGGACCCTGCGGCCTTCCGCAGTGTTTGTGTCCCTGGGTACTTGAGATTAGGGAGTGGTGATGACTCTTAACGAGCATGCTGCCTTCAAGCGTCTGTTTAACAAAGCACATCTTGCACCGCCCTTAATCCATTTAACCCTGAGTGGACACAGCACATGTTTCAGGAGAGCACAGGGTTGGGGGTAAGGTCACAGATCAACAGGATCCCAAGGCAGAAGAATTTTTCTTAGTACAGAACAAAATGAAAAGTCTCCCATGTCTACCTCTTTCTACACAGACACGGCAACCATCCGATTTCTCAATCTTTTCCCCACCTTTCCCCCCTTTCTATTCCACAAAACCGCCATTGTCATCATGGCCCGTTCTCAATGAGCTGTTGGGTACACCTCCCAGACGGGGTGGTGGCCGGGCAGAGGGGCTCCTCACTTCCCATAGGGGCGGCCGGGCAGAGGCGCCCCTCACCTCCCAGACAGGGCGGCTGGCCGGGCGGAGGGCTGACCCCCCCACCTCCCTCCCGGACGGGGCGGCTGGCCGGGCAGAGGGGCTCCTCACTTCCCAGTAGGGGCGGCTGGGCAGAGGCGCCCCTCACCTCCCGGACGGGGTGGCTGGCCGGGCAGGGGGCTGACCCCCCCACCTCTCTCCCGGACGGGGCGGCTGGCCGGGCGGGGGGCTGACCCCCCCACCTCCCTCCCGGACGGGGCGGCTGGCCGGGCAGAGGAGCTCCTCACTTTCCAGTAGGGGCGGCCGGGCAGAGGCGCCCCTCACCTCCCGGATGGGGTGGCTGGCCGGGCAGGGGGCTGACCCCCCCACCTCCCTCCTGGACGGGGTGGCTGCCGGGCGGAGACGCTCCTCACTTCCCAGACGGGGTGGCTGCCGGGCGGAGGGGCTCCTCACTTCCCAGACGGGGTGGCTGCCCGGCGGAGGGGCTCCTCACTTCTCAGACGGGGCAGCTGCTGGGCAGAGGGGCTCCTCACTTCTCAGACAGGGCGGTTGCCAGGCAGAGGGTCTCCTCACTTCTCAGACGGGGCGGCCGGGCAGAGATGCTCCTCACATCCCGGACGGGGCGACAGGGCAGAGGCGCTCCCCACATCTCAGACGATGGGCGGCCGGGCAGAGACGCTCCTCACTTCCTAGATGGGATGGCAGCCGGGCAGAGACGCTCCTCACTTTCCAGACTGGGCAGCCAGGCAGAGGGGCTCCTCACATCCCAGACGATGGGCGGCCAGGCAGAGACGCTCCTCGCTTCCCAGACGGGGTGGCGGCCGGGCAGAGGCTGCAATCTCGGCACTTTGGGAGGCCAAGGCAGGCTGCTGGGAGGTGGAGGTTGTAGCGAGCCGAGATCACGCCACTGCACTCCAGCCTGGGCACCATTGAGCACTGAGTGAAGGAGACTCCGTCTGCAATCCCGGCACCTCGGGAGGCCGAGGCTGGCGGATCACTCGCGGTCAGGAGCTGGAGACCAGCCCGGCCAACACAGCGAAACCCCGTCTCCACCCAAAAAATACGAAAACCAGTCAGGCGTGGCGGCGCGCGCCTGCAATTGCAGGCACTCGGCAGGCTGAGGCAGGAGAATCAGGCAGGGAGGTTGCAGTGAGCCGAGATAGCAGCAGTACAGTCCAGCTTCGGCTCGGCATCAGAGGGAGACCGTGGAAAGAGGGGAGAGGGAGAGAGAGGGAGAGGGAGAGGGAGAGCTGCTTCTTATTTTTATTTATTTTATTTATTTATTATTATTATTTTTTTGAGACGGAGTTTTGCTCTTGTTGCCCAGGCTGGAGTGCAATGGAGCGATCTCAGCTCACCGCAACCTCCGCCTCCTAGCTTCAAGTGATTCTCCTGCCTCAGTCTCCCAAGTAGCTGGGACTACAGGCATGCGCCACCGTGCCCAGCTTATTTTGTATTTTTAGTAGAGACGGGGCTTCTCCATGTTGGTCAGGCTGGTCTTGAACTCTCGACCTCAGGTGATCTGCCTGCCTCGGCTTCCCAAAGTGCTGGGATTACAGGCGTGAACCACCACGCCCGACTATTTTTTATTTGTTCTTTTGAGACAGGGGTGATCCTCCCACCTCAGCCTCAAAAGTAGCTGGGACTTCAGGCACACACCATCACACCTGGCTAATTTTTTTTTTTTTTTTTTTTTGTAGAGACGGGGTTTGGGGGTTTTGCCTTGTTGCCCAGGTTGGTCTCGAACTCCTGGGCTCAAGGGATATGCCCACCTTAACCTCTCAAAGTGTTAGGATTACAGGTGTGAGCCACTGCGCCCAGCCCTATTGCTTTTTAAAGGTACAATTAACTTTAGCCCAGGCTAGCTTTTTCACTGAATTGATCTGGGTACGATGTGGGGTTTGGGATAGCTGTTCAGAAAGGTGAAGACAGAGTCAAAGAGAGAAAAACATTTTCTCTATAGAGGTGGGGAAACTTTCAGAGAGAATTAATTGTGTCCTCTAAAAGCAATGAAGTCCGCTTGGTTAGTTTGAAGAACGATCATGTATCAGTTTATAGGAATTGAGACTTTTTTTTTTTTTTTTGAGATGAAGTCTTTCTCTGTCCCCCAGGCTGGGGTGCAATGGCATGATCTCAGCTCACTGCACCCTCCACCTCCCAGGTTCAAGCAATTCTCCTGTCTCAGCCTCCCAAGTACCTGGGATTACAGGCGCCTGCCACCACGTCTGGCTAATTTTTGTATTTTTAGTAGAGATGGGGTTTCACCATGTTGGACAGGCTGGTCTTGAACTCCTGACCTCAAGTGATCCGCCTGCATTGGTCCCACAAAGTGCTGGGGTTACAGGCGTGAGCCACCATGCCCGGCCGGAGTTGAGGCTCCAAGGGGTCTCGGGGGGTCTCAGAAGCTCAGCTGATGATATCTTAATCAGGTTTGGGTTTTTTTTTTTTTCTGTTAGAACAGGTCATAAAAATACTTTCACCCCAAGCCACAAAATCCTATAAAATAGCTCAGTCTTTGACAAATACAGTGAATATAAAAGAGCTCTTTTGAGTTTCTATTTACTCAAGATGTTTGCAGTGATAAAATCTTGATATAAGTTTTCTAGAATCTTGAACTTTCAAAGCTCCTTTAGAAACAGTCCTTTGTGTTGTTTTTATTAAACTCTTCAATGAACACAAAGTTTTTATGTTGTTCACACAAAATTTAAATAAGGAAGCTGAAGGTAGGTGGGAACCCCCAAATGGATGGTAATAGAAAACCTCCTATAGCATTTCCATAGACTGGTTTATTCATTATGCAGCTTGGCTCAGCAGAACCATTTTATAATGAAACTGCAAGATGACTCCCAGTGGGCAAATCAACCTCTATTCTAAAGGTTGATTCTTGTCAACTGGGAGAATTGATTCCTGATGAGAAATGCTAGACTAAAAAACCCTCCCACATTCACTTCACAAGCCAGATCCAATATCTTTAATCCTCTTATGGAAAAGAAACAAGGAGACATTTCAGGGCTTACAACAGCCTTCCAGAATAATTGCAACAGTCTCACAGCATCAGGGGCCAAAGGAATATTGACATCTTTCCAACTGGAAATCCTAAACCGGTTATCTGGAGTGAGACAATCTATGTCTTAAACTTGGCCAGAGCACCTTGGATTTTTTTTTTTTTTTTTTTTTTTTTTTTTTTTTTGACGGAGTCTTGCTCTGTCCCCCAGGCTGGAGGGCAGTGATGTGATTTTGGCTCACTGCAACCTCCGCCTCCTGGGTTCAAGCGATTCTCCTGCCTCAGCCTCCCCGTAGCTGGGACTACAGGCATGCGCCACCATGCCTGGGTAATATTTTTGTACTTTTAGTAGAGACAGGGTTTCACCATGTTGATCAGGCTGGTCTCCAACTCCTGACCTCAAATGATCCACCCACCTCAGCCTCTCAGCGTGCTGGGATTACAGGCGTGAGCCACCGCGCCAGGCCAGCACCTTGGATTTTAACCACCATCCTAGATCAGGAAGTTTAAATTTCTCTCCATGTTAAAATTTTCCTTTCTCATATTGTTAATACATTACTATTTGATTAATACAAATTACTATTTGTTAATACAAATACATGCTATTTGATTCAGGTTTTGAAGCAAAATTCCTGATAATTTTAAAACTATGAGAGTTATTTCTTTCTATGCATCTTATTGCTGAGGTCATCTTAGCTGATCATTAATTGGACAATATAGTGGTAAATCCATACTGGTCTTTGACTCTGAAAACATTCTTTCAAATTCCATTGGTGCTTTCCACTGTTTTGACACGACTTTAAGATGTTATCCAGACTCTTCTGAGCGCAAAGAATATGTGTCTGCATATAAATGGCCTAACAAAACACACCACTCTGTCTATAGCCATGAACAGGAAGTCCCCATCTCTGGGCACTGCCAGTCACCCAAGAGGACAATGTGAAGAGCTGGGGTTGCTGCTCTAGGGAGAAGCTTGTGGGCTTGGGCGAGTTTCAGTTTGGGAGTCTTTGTGACTTAAGCAGGAAAAATATTAACTCAGATTACTCCCTTTGGCCTAAAAATCATTTCTATTTTTTATTGTTTAATTTTTGAAATAGAAAATGTATTCATATGGTTCAATATTTTTAAAGTATGAAAAGATAATTCAATATTTAAAAGTCTCACTCCTCATAACAACTGTAGTCTCTTTTTTTTTTTTTTTGAGACGGAGCCTCACTGTGTCACCCAGGCTGGAGTGCAGTGGCGTGATCTCGGCTCACTGCAACCTCTGCCTCCCGGGTTCAAGTGATTCTCTGCCTCAGCCTCCCGAGTAGCTGGGATTGCAGGCATCTGCCACCACGTCCGGCTAATTTTTATATTTTTAGTAGAGACGGGGTTTCACCATGTTGGCCAGGCTGGTCTCGAACTCCTGACCTCGTGATCCACCCGCCTCAGCCTCCCAAAGTACTGGGATTACAGGCGTGAGCCACCGCGCCTGCCCTACTAGTCTCTTTTATATCTAGAGATTCTTGTTGAAAATATGACTATATTCCTCTAAATCTACCTCCTTTATTCCTTCCCTTAAAACGGCCTTTTTTTTTTTTTTTAGGCATAAATAATATACAACAGCCTGGGCACTGTGGCTCATGCCTGTAATCCCAGCACTTTGGAAGGCTGAGGTGGGCAGATCGCCTAAGGTCAGGAGTTCAAGACCAGCCTGGCCAACACGGTAAAACCCCATCTCTACTGAAAATACGAAAATTAGCTGGGCATGGTGGCGCATGCCTGTAATCCTAGCTACTCAGGAGGCTGAGGCAGGAGAATCTCTTGAACCTGGGAGGCAGAGGTTGCAGTGAGCCAAGATTGTGCCCCTGCACTCCAGCCTGGGCAACAGAGACCGCATCTCAAAAGGAAAAAAATATATATGACAAAGTGTACACATTTAAAATGTGCAATTTGATATGTTTTAACATATGTGTATACCTGTGAAACCATCACCACAATTGGGGTTAGGGAAAAAATCCATCACCCCAAAAAGTTTTCTTTTTTTTTTTTGAGACAGAGTCTTGCTCTGTTGCCCAGGCTGGAGTGCAGTGGCCTGATCTTGGCTCACTGCAAGCTCCGCTTCCCAGGTTCATGCCATTCTCCTGCCTCAGCCTCCCGATTAGCTAGGACTACAGGCACCCACCACCATGCTCGGCTAATTTTTTGTATTTTTAGTAGAGACGGGGTTTCATCGTGTTAGCCAGATGGTCTCGATCTCCTGACCTCGTGATCCACCGGCCTCAGCCTCCCAAAGTGCTAGGATTACAGGCGTGAGCCACCGCGCCTGGCCTACCAAAAAGTTTTCTCATGTATTTCCCTAGTGACTAATGATGTTGAGCATCTTCTCATGTGCATTTTTGCTTTACCTGTATCTTCTCTGTTGAAGTATCTGTTCAGATCTTTTGTGAGGACAAGGTACGGGGTTCCAGGTAGGGATCCAAGTTCATTTTTTCGCATGTGGATATCAAATGTCCCGGCACCATTTATTGAGATGGCCATCCTTTCTCTACCTCATCGCTTTTGTAACCTTGTTCAATATCAGTTGTCCATTGATGTATGGATTTATTTATGGACTCTATTAGGTTCCATTGATCTATCTGCCCTCTTTAAGCCAATACTATGCTGTTTTGATTGCTATAGCTTTATAACAATTTTCTCTTTTTTGGCCCTAATTTCACATTTATTTTATTTTTAAAATTTTGACTTTTATTATAGACTAAAGGGTATATGTGCAGCTTTGTTGCATGGGTAAATCGCATGACTCTGAGGCTTGAGGTCCCAGCGATCCTGTCCCCCAGGCAGTCAGCATAGTACTTAACTAGTCGTTCTTCAGCCCATGCTGGTAACAACTTTCAAAATCAAGTAGTGTTCTTCCTCCAACTTTGTTTTTCTTCTGCAGAGTTATTTTGGCTATTTTAGGTCCTTTGCATTTCCAGATGAATTTTAGAATCAGCTTATCAATTTTTACCAAAAAAAGAATCTCATGGGATTTCAATTGGAATTGCATTGACTCTACACATCAATTTAATTGCCTCCTCTTGTTTCTTTTTTATATGAAAGGTTGTCCCCATACACACAGTTCTGCACCTGGCTCTTCACACTCCACAATGAATGGAGATCTTTCATTCTTCTCCCTTAGCTCCCATTATAGTTTCATTGTATCCTTTTGTTGGGATGGAACTTATTTCATTTAACTGTAGTGAAACTGATGGATTGCTAGCTTACTGCTGATATTTTGCTATTACAAACAGTGCTGCAGTATAATCACTGTACGTGTCATTTCCCTTGTGGGCAAATATATCTGCAGGATGAATTTGAGAAGTGTGATTGCCAGGTCAAAGGGAATATACATTTAACATTTTACTGGCAAGGGCCAGGTGCGGTGGCTCACGCCTGTAATCCCAGCATTTTGGGAGGCTGAGGCGAGCGGATCACAAGGTCAGGAGATTGAGACCATCCTGGCTAACACGGTGAAACCCCATCTCTACTAAAAAAATATACAAAAAATTAGCCGAGTGTGGTGGCACCCGCCTGTAGTCCCAGCTACTCGGGAGGCTGAGGCAGGAGAATAGCTTGAACCTGGGGGGCAGAGGTTGCAGTGAGCTGAGACTGCGCCACTGCACTCCAGCCTAGGTGACAGAGCTAAACTCCATCTCAAAAAAAAAAAATTAATGGTTATGGCTAAATCCTTTCCTAGAGTTTCATAATTTATATACTTTTCATTAATACATTAGAAGGCTTGTTTTGCCATAGCCTTAACAGTGCATTACCAAACTTTCTTGTTTTTGCCAAATTAATAGGTGAAGATGGCCTATCAAAATCATTTTGATTTTCACTTCTTTATTTCAGGTAAGTTTAAACATTGTTTCATGTGTTGAAGAGCCATTTGTATTTCTTTCTTTTTTTTTTTTTTTTTTTTGAGATGGAGTCTCGCTCTGTTGCCTGGGCTGGAGTGTAGTGGCGCAATCTCAGCTCACTGCAAGCTCCGCCTTCCGGGTTCACGCGATTCTCCTGCCTCAGCCTCCCGAGTAGCTGGGACTACAGGCACCCGCCACCACACCTTGACAGGGTTTCACCGTGTTAGCCAGGATGGTCTCGATTTCCTGACCTCGTGATCCGCCTGCCTCAGCCTCCCAAAGTGCTGGGATTACAGGCGTGAGCCACCGCGCCCAGCTGTATTTCTTTTTTTGAGACAGAGTCTGGCTCTGTTTCCCAGGCTGGAGTGCAGTGGTGCAATCTCAAATCACTGCAACCTCCGCCTCCTAGGTTCAAGTGATTCTCCTGCCTCAGCCTCCCTCGTAGCTGGCACTATAGTTATACACCCAGCTAATTTTTGTATTTTTAATGGAGACAGGGTTTCACCATGTTGGCCTGGCTGGTCTCAAACTCCTGGCCTCAAGTGATACGCCCACCCTGGCCTTCCAAAGTGCTGGGATTACAGGGATGAGCCACCGCACCCCGCCCCATTGTATTTCCTTTTTTCTGACTTTTTGTTTTCACAACCTTGGCTGCTATGGTCTGAAGGTTTGTGCCCCCTTAAAATTCATATGCTGAAATCCTAACCTCCAAGGTGATACTAGGAGGTGGAGACATTCAGAGGTGATTAAATCAGGAGGGATTATGTCTTTATAAAATAGTCCTGAAGGAGCTTGTTGGCCCCTTCCACCACGTAAAGACACAGTCAGAAGGCACCATTTGTGAACCAGAAAGCATTTCCTCAGTAGGCACCAAATCTGTCAGCCCCTTGACCTAAGAGTTCCTAGCTTCTGCCAGAACTGTGAGAAAAAATTTCTGTTGCTTATATAAACCACGCAGTTTGTGGTATTTTGTCATAGCAGCCTGAACTAAGACTCGCACACTTTTTCTCCATTTTGCCATCTTTGCTTATACCTTTTTTCTTTTTCTTTTTTTTTTTTTTGCCATAATGGAGGTTTTAAAAATATTTATGCATTTGAAATTACTAGCCTTTCCTTTGAGGCTTTAGATTTTTAGTCTTAATTAGAAAGTCTTTCCCCACTCCAGTATTTGAATTTCCTCGTGATTTTCTTCAAATACTTTGATGAGTTTTTTTTTCTTTTACATTGAAATCTCTTCATTATTTGGAGCCTATTCTACTACAGTGCATGATATCTAATTTGTTTCCCTGTTGTCTCAACACCAGTCCATCTTTCCCCCCACCCACCTTTGATGCCACTTTATATAGTAAATGTTCACGTGTTTGAGGCTATTTCTGGATTTTTCTGTTCTGTTCCATGGAATGTCTGTGTAATCATGCATCAGAACCACACTACTGAAACTGTTTTTCAAATTATAATATGGCGTAATATCTGGTAGGAGTGGTCTCACCTCATTGCTTAGTTTTCTGACATTAATTTTTCCATATGAACTTTAGAATCAGCCCATTACAGGAAACTGTTTGCATTTTTATGAGGATTATATGCCATTTTTAAGTTATTGTAGGAAGAATCAACCCTTTCTAGTGTGATTTTTTTTTCTTTTTTTCTTTGAGACAGAGTCTCACTTTGTCACCCAGGCTGGAGTGCAGTGATGCAATCTCAGTTTACCACAACCTCTGCCTCCTGGATTCAAATGATTCTCCTGCCTCAGCCTCCCGAGTAGCTGGGATGACAGGTGCATGCCACCACGCATGGCTAATTTTTGTATTTTTAGTAGAGATGGGGTTTCACCATGTTGGCCAGTCTAGTCTCCAACTCCTGACCTCCGGTGATCCGCCTGCCTCAGCCTCCCATAGTGCTGGGATTACAGGATTACACGGTGGTGCCCGGCCTCAGTTTTGACGACTTTCCCTGATGACTAATGATGTTGAGCATCTGTTCATATGCTTATTGACCATTTATATCTTTTTTTTTTTTTTAGATGGAGTTTCTCTCTTATTTTCCAGGCTGCAGTACAGTGGCGTGATCTCGGCTCACTGCAACCTCCACCTCCCAGGTTCAAGCGATTCTCCTGTCTTAGCCTCACGAGTAGCCGGGATTACAGGCACATGCCCCCATTCCCAGCTAATTTTTGTATTTTTAGTAGTGACGGGGTTTCATCATATTGGTCAGGCTGGTCTCAAACTCCTGACCTCAGGTGATCCGCCTCGGCCTCCCAAAGTGTTGGGATTACAGGCGTGAGCCACCCACTGTATCTCTTGTTCGGAGGAATATCTAATCAAGAAAATCATTTTTACTGTTTTTATTTTTTGGTTTGTTCGTTTTTTTCCTGTGAGATGGAGTTTCACTCTTGTTGCCCATCCTGGTGTACAATGGCGCGATCTCGGCTCACTTCAACCTCCGCCTCCCAGTGCGTCCGGAATTGGTGGGTTCTTGGTCTCACTGACTTCAAGAATGAAGCTGCGCACCCTCACGGTGAGTGTTACAGTTCTTAAAGGCGGCGTGTCCGGAGTTTGTTCCTTCTGATGTTCAGATGCGTTCGGAGTTTCTTCCTTCTGGTGGGTTCATGGTCTCGCTGGCTTCAGGAGTGAAGCTGCAGACCTTCGTGGTGAGTGTTACAGCTGTTAAGGTGGCGCGTCTGGAGTTGTTCGTTCCTTCCGGTGGGTTCGTGGTCTCGCTAGCTTCAGGAGTGAAGCTTCAGACCTTCACGGTGAGTGTTACAGCCGTTAAGGTGGCGCGTGTGGAGTTGTTCGTTCCTTCCGGTGGGTTCGTGGTCTCGCTAGCTTCAGGAGTGAAGCTTCAGACCTTCACGGTGAGTGTTACAGCCGTTAAGGTGGCGCGTGTGGAGTTGTTCGTTCCTTCCGGTGGGTTCGTGGTCTCGCTAGCTTCAGGAGTGAAGCTTCAGACCTTCACGGTGAGTGTTACAGCCGTTAAGGTGGCGCGTGTGGAGTTGTTCGTTCCTTCCGGTGGGTTCGTGGTCTCGCTAGCTTCAGGAGTGAAGCTTCAGACCTTCACGGTGAGTGTTACAGCCGTTAAGGTGGCGCGTCTGCAGTTGTTCGTTCCTTCCGGTGGGTTCGTGGTCTCGCTAGCTTCAGGAGTGAAGCTTCAGACCTTCACGGTGAGTGTTACAGCCGTGAAGGTGGCGCGTGTGGAGTTGTTCGTTCCTTCTGGTGGGTTCGTGGTCTCGCTAGCTTCAGGAGTGAAGCTTCAGACCTTCACGGTGAGTGTTACAGCCGTTAACGTGGCGCGTCTGGAGTTGTTCGTTCCTTCTGGTGGGTTTGTGGTCTCGCTAGCTTCAGGAGTGAAGCTTCAGACCTTCACGGTGAGTGTTACAGCTCATAGAGGCAGTGTGGACCCAAAGAGTGAGCAGTGACAAGATTTATTGCAAAGATGAAAGAACAAAGCTCCCACAGTGTGGAAGGGGACCCCAGTGGATTGCCTCCGCTGGCTCGGGCAGCCTGCTTTTATTCTCTTATCTGGCCCCACCCACATCCTGCTGATTGGTCCATTTTACAGAGAGCTGATTGGTCCATTTTACAGAGAGCTGATTGGTCTGTTTTGACAGGGTGCTGATTGGTGCGTTTACAATCCCTGAGCTAGACACAAAAGTTCTCCACATCCCCACTAGATTAGCTAGATACAGAGCGTCTACACAAAGGTTCTCCAAGTCCCCACCAGAGTAGCTAGATATAGAGTGTCGATTGGTGCATTCACAAACCCTGAGCTAGACACAGGGTGCTGATTGGTGTGTTTACAAACCTTAAGCTAGATACAGGGTGCCGATTGGTGTATTTACAATCCGTTAGCTAGACATAAAGGTTCTCCAAGTCCCCACCAGAGTAGCCAGATAGAGTGTGGATTGGTGCATTCACAAACCCTGAGCTAGACACAGGGTGCTGATTGGTGTGTTTACAAACCTTGAGCTAGATACAGAGCGCTGATTGGTGTATTTACAATCCCTTAGCTAGACATAAAGGTTCTCCAAGTCCCCACTAGACTCAGGAGCCCAGCTGGCTTCACCCAGTGGATCCTGCACCAGGGCCGCAGGTGGAGCTGCCTGCCAGTCCCGCACCCTGCACCTGCACTCCTCAGCCCTTGGGTGGTCGATGGGACTGGGCGCTGTGGAGCAGGGGGTGGTGCTGGTCAGGGAGGCTTGGGCCTCGCAGGAGCCCACCGTGTGGGGGAGGCTCAGGCATGGCAGGCTGCAGGTCCCGAGCCCTGCCCCGCGGGGAGGCAGCTAAGGCCCAGGGAGAAGTCAAGCATAGCAGCTGCTGGCCCAGGTGCTAAGCCCCTCACTGCCCGGGCTGGCGGGGCCCACTGGCTGCTGGAGCGTGGGGCCCGCGGACACCCACGCCTACCCAGAACTCACGCTGGCCCGCAAGCACCGCGTGCAGCCCGGGTTCCCGACCACGCCTCTCCCTCCACACCTTCCCGCAAGCTGAGGGAGCCGGCTCCGGCCTTGGCCAGCCCAGAAAGGGGCTCCCACAGTGCAGCGGTGGGCTGAAGGGCTCCTCAAGCACCGCCAGAGTAGGCGCCAAGGCCGAGGAGGCGCCGAGAGCGATCGAGGGCTGTGAGGGCTGCCAGCACGCTGTCACCTCTCACCGGGTTCAAGCGATTCTCCTGCCTCAGCCTCCCCAGTAGCTGGAATTACAGACGTGCGCCACCACACTCCGCTAATTTTTATTTTTAGTAGAGACGGATTTCTCCATGTTGGTCAGGCTGGTCTTGAACTCCCGGCCTCAGGTGATCTGCCCGCCTGGGCCTCCCAAAGTGCTGGGATTACAGGTATGAGCCACTGCACCCAGCCTTTACTGTATTTTTTAGCAGAAAGAAAATGATTGCATTACAGTGGTTATTTTTAAGGGCCCCAACCTCCACTTTGTCCTGAGATCTACGTTGTGTTGTTTTCAGTGTTTTAACAGGCCTTTTTATTTTTATAAATGCCCCAGAAGTTGTAGCGCAGCCCTAACTTTCTAGCAGGACTTTTAGAAGCTGACAATTTTCCTAAGTTTCATTCACATCACATGAAGGCAGCAATTGTTAAAATATATTTAGATTCCATTAGGGTACATTTTGCTATCACATTGAAGTCTCTCAAGAATCATTTTATTCCCATCAGATGTTGTTACTGAGCAGTTTCTAGTGCTGAACATGACTAAGAACCTTTAGGTGGTGCTCTTTGATTAAAAACATTTATCCCTCAAACAACTTAAATACAGTAGTATATTGCAGGAAAAAGTGACCTTTATTTTTTTAGGGATGATCTCCCAGGTCTGCTCAATTTTTCTGCCATTTCTATTGCAGAGGCTAATAATTTGCCCATCTCCTCCCAGCCCAAGCACCCCAAGACTGATACTTTTCTATCACCTGCTGCTAATTTTGCCTCCCAAAGAGTCTCCCATCTCGACGCAGAGAGAACCTTCTTAGTGGGGTCACAGCTTCCCTTGCGTCCAAGAGCTGTCTGTCCCACAGCCTGGTCAGACTCCCACAGCCTCGTCAGACTCCCACAGCCTCAAACCCCAGGTTTGCCACTCACTTCCTCACTCACTCCTCTTTGCTCATTTTTCTGCCAACGATTCGTCATGTATTTCTAGGACTATCTGCTCACTTCTCACCCCTTACTTTTTTTGTTTTGTTTTTTGAGACGGAGTCTCGCTGTCACCCAGGCTGGAGTGCAGTGTCACAATCTCAGCCCGCTGCAACCTCCACCTCCCAGGTTCAAGTGATTCTCCTGCCTCAGCTTCCCAAGTAGCTAGGATTACAGGTGTGCACCACCATGCCTGGCTGCTTTTTTTTATTCTTAGTAGAGATGGGGTTTCACCATGTTGGCCATGCTGGTCTCGAACTCCTAACCTCAGGTGACCCACCACCTTGGCCTCCCAAAGTGCTGGGATTACAGGTACAAGCCACCGTGCCCAGCCCCAGTCCTTACTTTTGGTTGAGGGTTACCTTTCCTTTCATTCTGGCTAAAGAGTTGAGGTCAGTTGGAAAAACCCAGACTCAATCTTCCTTTTTTTTTTTTTTTTTTTTGGAGAGAGTCTCACTCCATTGCCCAGGCTGGAGAACAGTAGCACAATCATGGCTCACTGCAACCTCTGCTTCCTGGGTTCCAGCAATTCTCCTGCCTCAGCTGCCAGAGTAGCTGGGATTACAGGTGTGCACCACCTCACCCGGCTAATTTTTGTATTTTTAGTAGAGACGGGGTTTCGCCATGTTGGCCAGACTGGTCTCAAACTCCTGGCCTCAAGTGACCCGCCCACCTCAGCCTCCTAAAGTGCTGGGATTATAGGCATGAGCCACCATGCCTGGCTGATCTCCCTAACTCTAAATCTTTACCCCTCTGTCTCTAAAGTCTGGCCACCTTTTTAATTCTTTTAGAGACAGAGTCTTGCTCTCACCCAGGCTTCAGTACAGTGGCATAATCGTAGCTCACTGCAGCCTCAAACTCCTGGGCTCAAGTGATCCTCCCACCTAAGCCTCCCAAGCAGCAGGGACTACAGGCACATGCCACTACACTGAGATGTTTTTTTTTGAAAAGACAGAGTCTTGCTATGTTGCCCAGGCTGGTCTCAAACTCCTGGCCTCAAGTGATTCTCCTGCCTCAGCCTTCCAAAGTACTGGGATTACAGGCGTGAGCCACAGTGCCCGGTCCTGATCACCTTTTCTCCATCACCTTTTCCCTAACACTTAGTTTCCCTTTCTCCATCACTTCTTCCCTAACACTTAGTTTCCCTGTCCCCGACTTTCTCACTACTAAAGGACCCCTACATTCCTCTAGAAACCTTGTGGGACTAGATTCTTCTGTCACATACCCTATTCTTAAAAATAACAACAACAACAAAAGCCAATTTAAATACTTTAGAAGATCATACTTTTCAAAGATTTTACTAAATCATTTTTTTAAACAAAATATACATTAAATCTCAGATTTACAGAATATAGAAATAATTTATCCAAAGAAATTTGCATTTAAAATTGTTAATATTGCACCCAACAGTATGTCTTTGACACATTTGCATTGTCAATCTTTCCCACAATTTGCAAAAACAGGAGAGAAATCTGAAACTAACAGAATTACACAAGCTAAGTTTTCTGTAAAAAAAGAAAAAACTTACAATTTTTTATTTACAAGTTAAGGAAAAGTTGTAAACGTTCAGGATTTTACTTCCACAGAATAAAAAGCCATACATTCTTTTATCATACCTAGAAAATGAACATATACACATTGTGATTACCTCATAGGAATTCAACAGGACTGATATTGTGAACATTCACAGCCCAATGGTAAAAAACAGAATTCTCGAACTATGGAAACTAGTGTGTGAAAGACACAGAATGAGAAAAATGTCTGGAAAAAAATTACTTTCTCCTCTTTGAGGAGTTTCCATAATTACCTAAAGTTATCTTCAAATTTAAAAGGACACACCATTCCCCAGTCTTAGGAATGTGGCTGCCAATAACCTTTTCTCTCGACATAAGACAAGTGAAAAAGAGTGAGGTCTTTGTTCAAGTCCCTGATAAAATACTTTGCATATAGGCAGGCACAAAAGTTTGCTTTCCAAAAGAAAGCTTTGCAAAATATTCTGCAATTTATTACTGATATCCTCAGTTTTTAAAAACCCCCTTTTTAAGCCCATAAATATTTATATGCTTTAAAAAATGAGAGTAGGGAATCAAATCATTTGGTACTATGGGAAGCTGCTAAAATAATATTTGATAGTAAAAGTATGTAATGTGCTATCTCACCTAGTAGTAAACTAAAAATAAACTGAAACTTTATGGAATCTGAAGTTATTTTCCTTGATTAAATAGAATTAATAAACCAATATGAGGAAACATGAAACCATGCAATCTACTATCAACTTTGAAAAAGTGATTGAACGAACCACTTAGCTTTCAGATGATGAACACTGATAAGTCATTTGTCATTACTATAAATTTTAAAATCTGTTAATAAGATGGCCTATAGGGAGGAAAAAGGGGCCTCTGGGAAATTATGCTGAAGATCACCGAAAGGAAAATGTAACTGTAATTTTATAATACAATACCATTTGAACTGAAATACAACATGCTTTGTAATTCTATTGCCCTGGATTGAGACTGGATTAAAACGTTCCCTTTCAACCATAATGTACATAACCAGTTGAATAATAGGACTTTTATTATTATTAAAAAATTTTTTTTGAGCTGGTGTCTCACTCTGTTGCTCAGGTTGGAGTGCAGTGCCACGATCTCGGCTCACTGGAACCTCCACCTCCCAGGTTCAAGCGATTTCCAGCTAATTTTTGTATTTTTAGTAGAGATGGGGTTTCACCATGTTGGCCGGGCTGGTCTCCTGACCTCAAGTGATCCACCTGCCTTGGCCTCCCAAAGTGCTAGGATGACAGGCATGAGCCACCATGCCCGGCCTATTTTTAAATTTTTCTTAAGACAGAGTCTTGCTCTGTCACCCAGGCTGGAGTGCAGTGGCGCAATCTCGGCTCACTGTAACCTCCATCTCCCAGGTTCAAGCGATTCTTCTGCTTCAGCTTCTCAAATAGGTGGGATTACGGGTGCCCACCACCAAGCCCGGCTAATTTTTAATTTATGGTAGAGACAGGGTTTCACCATGTTGGCTGGGCTGGTCTCGAACTCCTGGCCTCAGGTGATCTCCCCTCCTCAGCCTCCTAAAGTGCTGGGATTACAGACCTGAGCCACCACGCCCGGCCGAATAATAGGACTTTTAAAAGTCCTATTTCTTGGCTCTGCTATTGTTTAATAGTCCAACCCAAGGAGTTTGTTATAAAGATTATTTATTGTCTTCAATATCTTTGTGATGAATGCAATTCACACACACACACAAAGTCCTGAGAGTCTTTCATAAAAAAATAGACGTGCTTTGTGGCCGCATCCCAGCCTGGGGGTAAGGGATCAGCTGTCCCCGGTGCGCCTGTACTCCGCGGTGCCATCCGCCACGATGGCATCAAGCGGCGAGCGCTTCTTGCGGATGCTGCGCCCGGAGGAGATGAGGTCCGCGTAGCCCCGCTGGTGCGAGAAGGCGTAGGCCGAGCGCCGCGTTGACACGCCCCGGCGGAACACCTGCTGCCGTCGCTGCCACTGCTCCTCCGCCTTCAACCGCTTGCGATGCTTCTGGATCTGCAAGGGGGAGAGATGGGGAGGGATGAAAATAAGATCCACACCAGGGAGGAGGCCTGGCCAGACGGTTGACAGAAATGAACACTGATGAACTCCCCTGACACCTGCCCCATTTTGATGCAGGCAGTTCTGTCCCCACTTGTGTGTGTGTGTGTGTGTGTGTGTGTGTGTGTGTATGTGTGTCTATATCTTTTTTTTTGTTTTTGAGACAGTCTCGCTCTGTCACCCAGACTTGAGTGCAATGGCACGATCTTGGCTCACTGCAACCTCTGCCTCCCAGGTTCAAGCGATCCTCCTGCCTCAGCCTCCTGAGTAACTGGGGTTACAGGCACGCACTGCCACACCCGTCTAATTTTTGTATTTTTAGTGGAGACAGAATTTCACCATGTTGGCCAGGCTGGTCCTGACCTCAAGTGATCTGCCTGCCTCGGCCTCCAAAAGTTCTGGGATTACAGGCATGAACCACAGTGCTTGGCTATATCTATCTATCTATCTATCTATCTATCTATATCGACATATATATATGATGATATAAATCTATATCCATCTCTCTATATCTATACATAGATTGATTGATCAATCGATCTACCTACCTACCTACCTGGAGATATATATTGAAGCCAAGGGAAGGTTATTTAACTTTTCCAAGGTCACACAGCTAGAAAATGCAAAGCCAAGATTCCCACTCCTCTGAAGCTAGTGCCCTTTTCTAGTTCAGACCAGATGGGTACAGTCAAAGAGAAAATTCAGTAGGGCCTCTTTCCTGGGTTGTTACTGCATACTGTTGGCACTGCAAAAGGGAGACCCGAGGGATACTGAAGGTTGCCTCAGTAGCCTCTACTCTCTCCTTCTTTCTAATGGAAATTGATTGTATTCAGATTGCCCCCCCCAACCCCTCACAGCCACATTTCTCATGGGCGGTGGGCAGGTTGATTTCCCTTGCTAAACTAGTCCAGAATGGGCAAGTGACCTAATTTTGGCACGTGAGACCTGAGGGCACTGTACTGGGGCCCTTGGGTGAGAAGTTCCACGGCCCCTAAGGAGCTACAGAATAGGCTCTTATCTCCCCCCGACACTGATAGGTCAGGAAGTGATACCCAGAACTGCTCTGGCCATCTTCCAGCATCCATATGAAGCTAATAATGAAGGTTTCTGAGAGAAGAGATGGCAAGAACCAGCCCAATCCTTTCTTGACAACATTAAATTGCTCAATCAACTGGGCCTGAAGCCTACTAATGATTAATGATGACGCACTACTGTAGAGATGTTTTGAGTCACAGCTTTCTGTTCCTTGTAGCTCAAAGGATCCTGCTACAGAAGGTGACATTTTTCTTAAATAAAGAAAAAAAACCCAATCTGATTTGTATGACAAAATGTTAATACTGTAATTGTTAAACTGAGGAGATAGATATATGGGGCTCATTCTGTTCTCCCTTTTTTGTTTATGTTTGGTAATTTTTGTATTAAAAAGCAAGCACACTAAACTCCCAATTCCAAAAGACTTATTTGTGAGATAGAGTTAAAGAGAAGCAATCATGAAAAATCATTCTTACCAAACTTCCCATGAGCTTAGAATTTTGCAGGAAACGTGCTGTTGGGAAACGCTTTGGTTTCTGTGAGGGACAGAGTTGGGAAAGGACTATATTCTTTATACCTTATCACTTTCTGATGGCCAGATGGTCATTGACAGGAATCGAATGGCAACGACGGGTAGTAAGCACACAGCAACAGCCAGGATGATAGTTAACCAAATGTATGGCTGTCTCAGAGCGTTTGAAGCTGTGCCTGTAAAGAACATGGCAAATGCATCACTGTGGTTCTTTTTTCCTAAGAACATAGTTAATATTTCGCCAGGTGTGGTGGCTCATGCCTGTAATCCTAACACTTTGAGAGGCCAAGGTGGGTGGATTGCCAGAGCTCAGGAGTTCGAGACCAGCCTGGGCAACATGGTGAAACCCCGTCTCTACTAAAATACAAAAAATCAGCCGGGCATGGTGGTGTGCACCTGTAGTCCCAGCTACTCAGGAGACAGCAGAATTGCTTGAACCCGGAAGGCGGAAGTTGCAGTGAGCCGAAATTGTGCCACCGCACTCCAGCCTGGGTGATAAAGCAAAACTCTGTCTCAAAAATAAAAAATAAAATAAAAAAAAGAACATAGTTAATATTTCATAATCTATAAATAGATCATTTATGGTAAAGTTTTACAACTGGATTGGCCTCCCCAAAATATCCATTATGGCTCAAAGAACAGACATTTTAAAATCAGACTAAGCAAAGCAAAATTGGGAAGGTAAATTATTTGAAACAAGGCAAATTTACATAAGTGAGCAAATAAGGAAAAAAAGCACATTTGTTGACATTGCATTGATTAAAAATGCAAAGTTAGGTGATCAAGACTTCTGACTTTTTTTTGAGATAGGGTCTCACTCTGTTACCCACGTTGGAGTGCAGTGGCGTGATCATGGCTCACTGCAGCCTCAACCTCCTGGGCTCAGGTGTCCTCCTACCTTAGCCTCCTGAATAGCTGGGACTACAGGTGTGCGCCACCACGCTTGGCTAATTTTTGTATTTTTTGTAGAGATGGGGTTTCACCATGTTGCCCAGGCTGGTCTCAAACTCCTGAGCTCAAGTGATCCACCCATATTGGCCTCCCAAAGTGCTGGGATTACAGGCGTGAGCTACCACATCTAGCCCCAGTATTAGGTTTTATGGGAAAGAAAGAATAGGCTTTTATCCAGCCTTTTAAGTCTTAAGTTATCTAATTCAACACACGTACAGCGCTATTGTAAAGCTATTTTAATTTGTCTTCCTCCCATCATGTTATGCCCTTTCAACCCACCATCACCATTTAATTTCCAGACAAGACATTAATTTTCACTAGCAATAATAATTTGTATATATTTGTTTTGTTGTGCTTTGTTTTTTTTGTTTTTTTTTTGAGACAGGGTCCCGCTCTGTCACCTGGGCTAGAGTACAGCAGTGCCATCACGACTCACTGTAGCCTCAACGTCCCAGGTCAAGCAATCCTCCCACTTCAGCCTCTCCAGTAGCTAGAACTACAGGCATGTGCCACCATGCCTGGCTAATTTTTTTGTATTTTTTGTAGAGATGGGGTTTAGCCATGTTGTCCAGGCTGGTCTTGAACTGCTGGGCTCAAGCAATCCACTTGCCTCGGCCTCCCAAAATGCTGGGATTACAGGTGTGAGCCACTGTGCCCAGCCATTCCACCTTGTATATTTTATTACTTAACAGAAGTTATGTCAAAATCTAAACTAATGACATTTGTCTGTACATTTATTTTTGGAATTTGGAAATACCAACCTGTAAATTGAAATGCAGATGGAAAGAGAACATGTATTCCAGCACTATGAAAGTCAAACATGATGCCAAAATAAAGTGCAATGCTTCCAAAAATTGAAAAAGCATTCACAAAAGTCCAATAAGAAGTATCCAAGCCAATCTGTTGGGAAACCAGAGAAAAACAGAGCACTCATTTTGGGGAGTTAGCAAGAAATAAAGGATCTAACAATCCTGAAAACAGAATTCAGCAAGTTAGGCATGATGTGGCTTGAATACTGGACCAGAAACTAAACCATCCTTGACTCAGGCAAGAAATAGAAAATGTGCTTGGTATAAGAGATGAAAATAGCATTTATATTTTGTAAGTGGCACAGGTGCAGTGGGAGTCAGGTGGATGTGCATGCCACCCTATATACAGAAATATAAGTAGGTACCAATAGACACTGAATACGGCCAATGAAAGCCACGTACCTGGAAATTGACTGTTATTACAAGAGCAGAGGCAATGGTGACGGCAAAAGACTGGTAGTCGGAAGGTGCCTCTCCATCCTGCCCTACGGTTTGCAGATAAGCTCCAAGAGGTATGAAGAAGAGGATCATCGATGTTAGGACCCCATGCAACAAGCTTACAAAGAATCTCTTATAGTTGAATAGTAAGTCTCTTTGTCCCACTATGTATAACCCAGGGAATCGGAGGCTCAGTTTGTCACTCACATCCTTAAGGAGAAAACAAAATGATGGTATTTTATTCATCAGGTCAAAGCAGTCAGAGATATGTTATAATTAATATCTCACAAAAAGTTGCAGCCTGCTGTTAAATTTTAGGAAGGCAAAAACTGAACAAGATAATCGATCAATCCTGCAATATTTGTGGTGTGCAGAGCTCAACCTCATTGCTTAGACCACCATTACTTAATATTTAATTCAGAGAAGGGCTAGGTATAAGTTTATTACTTTGCTACTTATGGAAAGAAAACAAATTAGTAATGTCCAAAAATATGTAGGGAGGCTACTGTTTTTACCTCCTGAGTGAATATATATTGTTGCAAATCCTTTGGGAAAAAATTTTCTCATACAAGTTGATGAGTTAATTATAAATTATTACTTTTTAGTCTTTATAGTGCTTCTTTCTTTTTAAGAATTGGTATTAGATAAAAATATGCACTAGCTACATAAATTTTGGAAAGGATTTAAACTGACTTTAAAATGAGTAAATTATTATTGTGGAGACATATTGGACTCTCGGGTGCCTTTTTTTCCTTTTCTTTTCTTTTTTTTTTTTTTTTTTTGGAGACAGGGTCTCACTTTGTTGCCCAGCCCGGAGTGCAGTGGCACAAACACAACTCACTGCAGCTTCAACCTTCCAGGCTCAAGCGATCCTCCCACCTCATCCTGCCAAGTAGCTGGGACTTCACAGGTGTGCACTACCATGCCCACAATTTTTAAATTTTTCTGTAGAGATGGGGTCTCCCTATGTTGCCAGGGCTGGTCTCAAACTCCTGACCTGAAGCAATTTGCCTGCCTCAGCCTCCTAAAGTGCTGGGATTACAGGCATGATCCACCATGCCCTGCCTTCAGGTATCTTCATAGTAAGCTCTTACTGTCTAAAAGGAACATAACAAATATGTGTGCCAATGAATTCAACCCAGTCACAGAAATCCTCTTTTCTCTTTTTTTTTTTTTTTTTTTTTGTCTTAGAGATGGGGTCTCACTTTATTGCCCAGGCTAGACTTGAACACCTGGGCTCAAGTCATACTCCTGCATCAGCCTCCCGAGTAGCTGGGACTACAGAGAAATCCTCTTTCCTTATTACAAAACAAGAAGCACAGCCATGACCCTTGATGCCTGACAACAGAATTATAATAGGGTTTGATCAGAAAGAAGTAAACACCAGAAGAATGCATTGAAACGTTTGCTTGGGACTTCTCTAACGCATTCTCATCTGTCCAGAAGTGTCCCTGCTTGTGCGAGGCTCCTACCTGGTCGAGCAGCCCCATGAGGAGCACGGGCAGGCTGGTGTACAGCACGTTGTAGAGGGTGATGAACCAATCCTCGTATGCAGTCTGTGAGGGGATGACAGAGGCTCCATGTCACCAACAAAGACACATGCCAGCCTAGTTAGCACATACTCATCTGCTTCCTTTATTTAACATTTTGTTTGTTTGTTTGTTTTAATAGAGATGGGGGTCTTGCTATGTTGCCTAGGCTGGCCTCGAACTCCTGGCCTTAAGCGATCTCCCCATCTCAGCCTCCCAAAGTGTTGGGATTATAGGCAAAACTCTATGCACCTGGCCTGTTATCAATATTCTTTTTTTTTTTCTTCTGAGACAGAGTCTCACTCTGTCGCCCAGGCTGGAGTACAGTGGCGTGATCTTGGCTCACTGTACCTTCTGCCTCCCAGGTTCAAGTGATTCTTCTGCCTCAGCCTCCCAAGTAGCTGGGATTACAGGCACACGCCACCATGTCTGGCTAATTTTTGTGTATTTTGTTGAGACGGGGTTTCACCATGTTGGCCAGGTTGGTCTCCAACTCTTGACCTCAGGTGACCCGCCCACCTCGGCCTCCCAAAGTGCTGGGATTATAGGCGTGAGCCACTGCACCCAGCCCTGTTATCGCTACTCTTAATGTCAACATGAAAAAATAACCAAAGATAAAGATAAAAACATACAAGCAAATCCCCTCCTTTTTTTTTTTTTTTTTGAGACAAAGTCTTGCCCAGGTTGGAGTGCAATAGCGCAGTCTCGGCTCACCACAACCTCTGCCTCCCAGGTTCAAGCGATTCTCCTGCCTCAGCCTCCCGAGTAGCTGGGATTACAGGTGCCTGCCACCACACCCGGAAAATTTTTGTATTTTTAGTAGAGACCAGGTTTCACCATGTCGGCCAGACTGATCTCAAACTCCCGACTTCAGGCGATCCACCTGCCTCAGCCTCCCAAAGTGCTGGGATTACAGGCGTGAGCCACCATGCCTGGCCAAATCCCCTCCTTTCTAAGGTAAAATGTTTTTACAGCACCAGAAACATTTAGAGAAGTCATGATCATTCTTAATTATGCCCCAACTGTAAGGAGACACAGCCCCAAAACTACAAATATAGAAGAAATAAATTGTCTTTTCAGAACTAGATTTTTATTCATTTAAGAGCTCTACTTAGTAAATAACAATAATAACAACATTACATTACCTGCGCAGAGTAGCCATTGAAGAAGGAGTACCAGAAATGAACCAAAGTAAAGGCAAAGTTTTTGTAAAAGAAGTATCGTAGGAACTTGCACATCCTTATGTAAGACCATCGGCCATGCACCAGCAGTAGCCTCTGCAGATATCGGAACTGAGCAAAGGAATAGTCACTCGACATGACAGCTTGCATTCCTTCTTGTCCACTTATTCCAACGCCAATGTGGGCAGCTATGGGGCAGAGGGAGAAAACACTGTGGATCATAAACCGATTGTGAGGCAAAACATCAGTTGATAAAAATGGTTCCATAGCAAACAAAAAACAAAGACAGACATTGATGGAACAATAATACAGAAGCTCTTGCTCACCATCCCTCACCCCCAGCTCTTGAACTCAACTCAAAGTCTGAGTTACAAGTTGCTAAACAGAGCACACAGTAGGGCCTCCATAAATATCTGGGAAAGGATCTCATGTGGGTGACGAATTCCATTTGGATTATCTGCCAAGATCACAGCCATCCCTTCCATCCACAGGGTGAGCCCCAGGCACCCATGTGTACACTGTGTCCTTGCCTCTTTGGCAACAGCTGTGTCAGTCATGGGCAGATATGTAATTTGTGGTAGATACTACAAATCGGCTCCCCCAACTTCATTCCATCCTTGTTCTAATTAGAGAGGTGGGAAAGGAAATAAAAACCCTACATTTCCCAGACTCCCTTGCAGCTAGGCTCTTTGTGAATTAGGTTCCACTGTTTAGATCCACTTATGACTTGGAAGCAGAAGTGAATCAGAGCCCAGCATCGCTTCCTCTTTTGGGATTTCTGCAGCAGAGCTCATATCTACTTTCCAGCTACCTGGATGTTGACAGGCAACTATAAAGGCTTCTTAATTTGGAAGCTCTTTAGAGGAACCTCTTATCACTTACCAGAAGAGTAGAAGCTCTTCTGGTAAGTGACCCAGCCTAGACCCTGCTTCTGTAGACCATCCAGAGCTTTTGAAAGTACCTAGTCCCCTGTATGAATCTTTTCTTGCTTAAATACCAACTGGGGTCTGTTTCCTGTGCTAAACCCTGACTGACAGAAAACCCAAGCTGAGCCAGTCTCTCTCTTGATATTCTGGAATTAGAAGTCAGTTATTTTGTGTCTAGAATTTTAAGGTCTAAATTCTTGAGGTAAGAAATAGTTATATTTCTTTCTCTCTCTTTTTTTTTTTTTTTTGAGATGAAGTCTCACTCTGTCACCCAGGCTGCAGTGCAATGGCGCAGTCTTGGCTCACTGCAACCTCTGCCTCCTGGGTTCAAGCGATACTCTTGCCTCAGCCTCTCGAGTAGCTGGGATTACAGATGTGCGCCACCACACCCAGCTAATTTTTGTAGAGACGGGGTTTCACCATGTTGTCCAGGCAGGCCTTGAACTCCTGAACTCAGGTGATCCACCTGCCTTGGCCTCCCAAAGTGCTAGGATTACACACATGAACAACTGTGCCTGGCCGAAATAGATATATTTCTTCCTGAAGATTTCTAAGGGGCAGAGAAATAAAGTAGTGGGGAGAGAGGGGTGGGGAGGAGGGAGAGAATGGAGGGAGAGAATGGGGGGAGAGAAGAGTGGGGAGAGAAGAGTGGGGAGAGAAGGGAGGGAGGGGAGAGAGAGAAGGAGGGGAAGAAGGAGGAAAGGGAGAGAGAAGGGGAGAGAGACAGACAGACACGGGGTTCCTGGTGCAAATCTATGTCCTTGTTCCAGTATCTTCCTGAGGCCTGGCTTCTTCTTGGACAACAGGAGGTGTTTAAATAAATTTACTTTTTTCTTTTTTTTCTTTTAAGTTACAGGATACCTGTGCAGAACGTGCAGGTTTGTTACATGGGTATACGTGTGCCATGGTGGTTTGCTGCACCTATTGACCCATCCTCTAGGTTCCCTCCCCTCGTCTCCCACTCCTCAAATTTAATTTTTTCTTAAGCTAGCTTTGGTTGTTCTCCAATACTTGTAATCAAAAGAGTTTTAACCAAGAAACTATTAAACTTTCAAAGTCTTATTCATGGCCCTCTGGGACCTTAAGACATTTTTTTTTTCTTTACGGGGGAAGGTTTCCAGAATATATAAAATTAAAGTCACAATTTTATTTATGCTTCCAATAGTCATAAATAACACTTTCAAATTAGAGAATGATTAGTTTTGTCTGGGTCTTAAAAGTAACGAATGTGAAGATAGACAAGATCATTTAGAAAAGATATGTTGGAGAACACAACCTATCATTGCTCAGACCCTGAAAAGTGGCTGCAATGCTGCGGCGTTCCAACTAAAAAGAAGCTTCAAAAATCCTGCCCTAGTTACAGAACACAAGGTCTGGCAAATTCAAAACATAACTGTAGTGATGTATCCAAACCTACGTTTTCAGTAACACTTCTAAAAAAACAGAACAAACTGCATCTCATATAATATTTATGTTCTCTTTGAAAACACACAAATATTTCCTATGACCAGCATGGTTGCCAAACTTGCTCTTTCCTGCCAAACCATGGCCTTTTCTTTCCTGAACAAGCCACTGAGGAAAATGCTGAGATTCTCTTGGCTTATGTGGCTGAGGAAGAGGAAGCCCTGCCCCAGGCCCTGGTATCCAGTCCTCAACCTTCCCGCTGAGCAGACCAAGGACAAATGTGAAATGAACACTGTCATAGTTCCCAGGGCAACCAAAAGCACTGAACAGATACACTATAAGGTAACATTGGTCTTTTTTGTAAAATTTAAGTACAGGCATTTAGAGTTTCCTGAAATCTCAAATGCGGTGTTAGGTGCCTCACTGGTAGACATTCTTTTATCATTCCTTAACAAAAAGAATATTTCCTCGCTACAGCAATAATCCCTCTTGCCTTTTTTTTTTTGAGATGGAGTCTTTTTCTGTCGCCCAGGCTGGAGTGCAGTGGTGCGATCTTGGCTCAATGCAACCTCTGCCTCCTGGGTTCCAGTGACTCTCCTGCCTCAGGCTCCCGAGTGGCTGGGATTACAGGTGCCCGCCACCCCCATGCCCGGCTAATTTTTGTACTTTTAGTGGAGATGGGGTTTCATCATGTTGGCCAGGCTGGTCTCGAACTCCCAACCTCAGGTGATCTGCCTGCCTTGGCCTCCCAAAGTGCTGGGATTACAGGCATGAGCCACCATGCCCCACCTTGCCTTTATCTCTCTCCTGCTTCACGTACATTCTCAGGGTCTAAGACCAAGAAGAGACAACATCCACCCAGCTGGTATGAGATATCTTCAGGTAGGATAGAGGGAGAAGGCAGCCTATGATAGTCCTTGGATCCTTGCTAGGGGCAGAAACATGGTGGGTCATGATTCCTTCACTTCTTCCAGACTACACTGCTAAACGTGAATGTTAGCAAATGCTCAGATTATTTTTTGACACTTGAATAATTTCACTCGACTACTTTATGACCAACAATTTCTTTGTGTGTGTGTGTGTGTGTGTGTGTGTGTGTGTGTGTGTGTTCTTTTTTGTTGTTGGAGAAAGGGTCTTGCTCTGTCACCCAGGGTGGAGTGCAGTGGCACAAACATGGCTCACTGTAGTCTCAACTTCTCAGGCTCAAGTAATCCTTCCGTCTCAGCCTCCCACGTAGCTGGGACTACCGGTGTGTGCCCCATACTTGGCTAAACTTTCTGTATATTGTTATTGATGTGGTTGGAAGAAATGACAGCTTTTACAAAGTACATAAAGGCACTAATACTACTTGTATAACTTCTAAGGAGACCCCTAAAGTTTCCTATATTTTTATCCCAAAGGGATGCTCTATAACTTATATATAAAAGTACCTGGGGCCAGGTGAGGTGGCTCATGCCTGTAATCCTAGCACTTTGGGAGACTGAGGCAGGCAGACTGATTGAGCCCAGGAGTTCAAGACCAGCCTGAGCAACATGGCAAATTCCCAACTCTACAAAAAATACAAAAATTAGCTGGGCATGGTGGCTCATGCCTGTAGTCCCAGCTACTTGGGAGGCTGAGGTGGGAGGATTGTTTGAGGCCAGGAGGTGGAGGTTGCAGTAAGCCAAGGTCATGCCACTGCACCCCAGCCTGGGCCACAGAGGGAGACCTTGTTTTTTTTTTAAATGCACCTGGCATATAACAGTGCTTAATAAAAATTTTAAGACAACTTAAGAAAAACAAGCCCCTCTAAGATTATCTACATTGACTTTGTGCAATCCCTCTCATTATGTATTGGTGAACTCAGAGGAACAAAATGTTTCAAGTCTAAGTCACATAATCAGTTGATAAATCTCCAAAGCAAACCCGTCCCCTCCCATTATCTAGAAGGCTACTTTATAACTGAATAAAAATCATGTTTGACTTGTCCTTTTGGCACGGCTAGTTACGTTAAAGGTACGTAATGGAAAATAAACTAGAGCTGGCTGGCTATGGAGGAAAGAGATAGATCTAACTCCGAGCAAGCAATACCATTCGCATGGTAGGGCAAGCACATGCAAAAAAAAAAAAAAAAACAGTGTGGATGAATTAAACTGCTAGTGACCACAGACATACGCACTGATAAAGAAGGCAAGATGACATACGTCATACAGCTGACTCCTGTTGAGGAAGATAAAGTTGGAATATTCTTAGTATACATCAAGGAGGAGGAGGAGACTAAGAAAAGAAAGAGACAGACTCATGAGTCACAAAATAGACTGAAAAGTCTAGTTATATATAATGCATTTAAGCAACCCAGCATCACAGGAACATGCAATTACCTATGTACAGTCAGGTAATACTTCAGCTCAGTGATAATAATACGACAGAGCTGGAGGTGACATTAGGGATTATTTTCTTTTCCGATGAGAAAACTGAAACCTGAGCATAAGCCCAAGGTGACACCGGATTTTGGCAATAGGATGAGGATGAATATCCAGGTCATTAGTTTGAGTATTTTTAATACAAGATACTCCCTTATAGTGACAGAGGGAGGAAAAAGGAACAGAATTCAGACATAGAGATGAGGGCTGTGGGTGTGCTTCTGCAGGCTTTAATACCAGCACAACTGTATTTCTGCATGGCAGGACTCAATATTTTAATTGTGTGGACTTAAATTCTAGCATCCAGAAAAAGGCAGCCTTCTAGGGAGGTGAGGAGGATGATGAGAGCACGTGGAAGCTTTTCTTCAGTGCTAAACATGTTACTCTAAACTCACACCAGGTGACCCAATGATGAAGTTCCCACAGATTTACCAAAGGTAGGAAGAAAGTCCCAGAAAGAAATGCTTAGATGAAGGAGAATGATATTGTCAAAGCAAGCACCAGCCAGAGTTCAATAATTTATGTCTTACAAAACTTATTAAATATCAGGGTTTTTTGTTTTGTTTTGTTTTTTTGAGATGGAGTCTCACTCTGTCGTCCAGGCTGGAGTGCAGTGGCACGATCTCAGCTCACTGTAACCTCCGCCTCCTGGGTTCAAGTGATTTTCCTGCCTCAGCCTCCCGAGTAGCTGGGATTACAGGTGTGCACCACCACACCTGGCTAATTTTTGTATTTTTAATAGAGACGGGGTTTCAGCATCTTGATCAGGCTGGTCTCGAACTCCTGACCTTGTGATCCACCTGCCTCGGCTTCCCAAAATGCTGGGATTATAGGCGTGAGCCACTGTGCCCAGCCAATATCAGGGCTTTTAATAAACCCAAAATATGGGAAGAGAACCAGTAAGAGAGAAAAAAATACACAACATCTATATAAAAGAATAAAAATATAAGGATAAATTTCCCCCCATAGACCTTATTTTCCTCTTCGCATCCTTCAGAAGCCCTGTCAGTGATACTCTTTCCTCCTGATGGGCTGTGGGCTTTCTGGGGGTAGGGTCACAGGCGTTGTCATGGTTAAGTGACTTTATGAAACATCTGCTCTATGAAAACCTAAGCTGTAAAATCTAAAAAAAGAAAATCCACCCCCTACACATTCCAGCCATTTCTCCTCTCTAGCACGTTGGGCCTCACTGGCCGTGGGTGCATGACTCACTTTTGATCATGTTCACGTCATTGGCCCCATCTCCGATGGCCAGCGTGATGGCTTTCTTGTACCTCTTCACCAGGTCCACCACCATGGCCTTCTGCTTGGGGGTGACGCGGCAGCAGATGACTGCGCTGCACTCGCAGGCCAGGTCCACAAAGTTTTTCTGCCGCTGCTCTTTCTTAGCTTCTAGCCTCCTTTTACTTTGGGTCCGCATCCGTCTTTCTTCTTCTGTTCTTGGGAACTTCAGCTTCAGAATCTTATTTCTCTTGGTCTTTTTCTCGAGAAGAATTTCATTCTGTGAAATCAGAGAGGGAAAAGGTTACATTCACTTTAGTTTTACCCCAGGAGTACCATTCCCAAGATTTAAATTATGTGAAGGATAATTTTTGGATTATGTCACTGATTATATTTGACAAATAAATTTGATTTTATAACCAAAACATGTATATATATGTGTGCGTGTGTATGTATATACACACGCACACATATATGTATGTGTGTATGTATATACACACACACACACACACACATATATATATATATATATTTTTTTTTTTTTTTTTTTTGAGATGGAGTCTCACTCTGTTGCCAGGCTGGAATGCAGTGGCACGATCTCGGCTCACTGTAACCTCTGCCTTCCAGGTTCAAGCAATTTCCCTGCCTCAGCCTCCCGAGTAGCCGGGACTACAGGTGTGCACCACCACGCCTGGCTAATTATTTTTTTTGTATTTTAGTAGAGACGGGGTTTCACCATATTGGCCAGGATGGTCTCCATCTCCTGACCTTGTGATCTGCCCGCCTTGGCCTCCCAAAGTGCTGGGAGCACAGGCGTGAGCCACTGTGCTCAGCTATATATATATTTTTCAATGGAGATGGGGTCTTGCTGTATAGCCTGGGTTGAAGTGCAGTGGCTATTCATTCACAAGTGTGATCATTGCATGCTGCAGCCTCGAACACCTAAGCTCAAACCACCCTCCTGCTTCAACCTCCAGAGGAGCTGGGACTACAGGCGCATGCCACCACATCCAGCTTATAAAATATATATGCAACAAAAATTTAGAAAATCTAACAATCTATAAAGAAGAAAATGAAAAAACCCATTAATTAGTAAACCAAGATAACCACTTTTACCTCTTTGGTATACATCCTTTCATATATCATATATTATTAAGTCTCAAACTTGGAAAAACCACACTTTCATGTATAGGCTAAGAGACTTTTAGGTTGGCAGTTAACATGTGAAAGCATCTAAAAGTGGCTCCAAATGAACTTCTTTCTTTTGAGTTAAAGGCACAGATACACTAATGATACGTACCAACCAAGAACCAGTGATGATTAAGGCACGGTTTCCACCGGGTGGAAAAAAAGATTCCTGCACAGGAGGTGCAAACTTTGCGTAGACGCCACCTCTATTCCTCTGGTTTTCCATCCTTGCATGAAGAAGAGAACTAGGGGAAACCAAATTTCAGTGTTTAAAGTGTAAGACCCTAAATAGGCCCTTGACTCTGAGATAACTTTGACTTAAAAAAAATTGTGACAAAAAAACAAAGTTTACCATCTTACCTATTTTTGTTTCTTTATTTTATTTTCATTATAATTTTTTTGAGAGAGGGTCTCACTCTGTCACCCAGGCTGGAGAGCAGTGGCATGATCATGGATCACTGCAGCCTTGACCTCCCAGCCTCAAGTGATTCTCCTGCCTCAGCCTCCTGAGTTGCTGGGACTATAGGCACACGCTATCACGCCTGGCTAATTTTTGTATTTTTTGTAGCAATAGGGTTTTGCCATATCCCGGGCTTTGACCATTTTTAAGTGTACAACTTAGTAGTGTTAACTATAGTCACATTGTTATCCAACCAATCTCTAGAACTTTTTCATCTTGCAAAACGGAAACTCTATACCTATTAAACAATAACACCTCACCTCACTCGCCCTCCAGTCCCTGGTAACTTCCAGTTAACTTTCTGTTTGAATGAATTTGAGCACTCTAGATACCTCATATATGTGAAATCAAACAGTATTTGTCTTTCTGTGACTGGTTTATTTCACTTAGCTTAATGTCTTCAAGGTTCATCTATATAATATATGTCATAATTTCCTTCCTTTTTAAAGTTGAATATATTCCATTATGTGGAAGCACCACATTCTGTTTATCCATTCACTCACTGATGGGCACCTGGGTTGCGTCCATCTCTTGGCTGCTGTGAACAGTGTTGCTGTGAACATGGGTGTGCATGTATCTCTTTGAGATCCTGCTTTCAATTATTTTGTGGATATACCCAGAAGTGGGATTGTTGCATCATATGGTAATCCTTTTTGAAATTTTTTGAAACATCACCATACTGTTTTGCATAGTGGCTGCACCATTTTATATATTTCATCAACAACACACAAAGGTTCCTTCAACAATGATTGTTATTTTCTATTGTGTTTTGTTTTTGATAGTAGCCATCCTAAAGGGTGTGAGGTGTTATCTTGCTTTGGTTTTGATTTATCTTCCCCTAATGATTAGTGATGATGAGCCTCCTTTCACATGTTTATCAGCCATTTGCATGTCCTCTTTGGAAAAATGTCTACTCAAAGTGCTTTGCCCATTTTTTTTTTTTTTTTTTTTTTTTGAGGCAGAGTCTCGCTCTGTCACCAGGCTGGAGTGCAGTGGTGTTATCTCAGCTCACTGCAACATCCACCTCCTAGGTTCAAGCTATTCTTCCACCTCAGCCTCCCAAGTAGCTGGGACTACAGACGGGCACCACCATGCCCAGCTAATTTTTGTATTTTTAGTAGAGACAGGGTTTCACCATGTTGGCCAGGATGGTCTCAATCTCTTGACTTCATGATCCACCCGCCTCAGCCCCCCACAGTGCTGGGATTACAGGCATGAGCCACCACGCCTGGCCAGCCCTTTTTTTTTTTTTTTTTTAACTGAGCGACATGTAATTTTACTATGTCTCGATTCATCCACCATGGGGGTACCATGTAATTCATCATTTTTCAAAGACAGTCAAAGGAAGATACAGTTGAAAATGTATACACAGCAACAGAAGAAAGGCAATCTTAGGCCAGGCACTGTGGCTCACACCTGTAATCCCAGCACTTTGGGAGGCTGAGACGGGCAGATCAGTCGAGGTCAGGAGTTCGCAGCCAGACTGGCCAACATAGTGAAACTCTGTCTCTACTAAAAATACAAAAATTACCCAGGCGTGGTGGCGGTGCCTGTAATCCCAGTTACTTGGGAGGCTGAGGCATGAGGATCACTTGAACCCAGGAGGCGGAGGTTGCAATGAGCCAAGATTGCACCACTGCACTCCAGCCTGGGTGACAGAGTCTTTCTAAGAAAAAAAAAAAAAAAAAAAAGGAAAGGCAATCTTGATCTGAATTAGAATACTGGCTATTGTTTGTTAGGAATAAACTTATTTTCATATAAACAAAACTATATCTGTGTTTGAGAAATTCTCAGTGCTTTATATCAACAAATTAAATGTTTGTGTTAAAATGATATATGTGACAAGGCTACGTGTAACACTTTCATGTGATAGAAAAATGAGTCATGAAATTTTGGAGTGGAAGGGACCTTAAATATCTTGTCCAATCTCTTCATGTTACAAATAAGGAAATCAAGCCAGAGGAAGGTGATGTGATTTGCCTGCTGCAGGTTGATAGGAAAACTAGAATGAGGACTCAGTTATCTTGTAACTTCTGGCTCAGGACTCTTACTATTACATACAAAAAGCCATTGTTCTTCTCCTTCCAAAGAAGGCTTCTCAGCCTTTGCACTCTTGATGTCTTGGGCCTAATAATCCTTTATTTTGTGTGGCCATCCCTTGCACTGGAGGATGTTTAGCAACATCCCTGGCCTCTACCCACTAGAAGCCAGGAGCACTTCTCTGCAGCTGAAACAAGCAAGTGTCTCTGGACAGTGCCAAAGGGTCCCTGGAAGGCAAACTCACTCCCCACGGAGAATCACTGCACTAGAGGATTAAGTATCTAGTATCCCTTTTCCACATCAATTTAATTCTCATTTTCAAGTTAAAAGTGAGTGACTAAGACAAATCATTGAAAGGCCGTAAGAGAAAAAAAATGAAGATACCTTCTATTCAAATCATTTTATAGGAATCATCAATTTAAGAGCCACCTGGGAAGATGATTCCTCTCTCTATAAAGGTAAACTCAGCTAAGGGCATGGTCACAACATTTGCTACTTGCATACATTTTATCTTTTACTTTAGCTTCGGGACCAATTTTTAAGACTTTCAAAAGAGAGACCAGAAATTTTTTTACAGCCCCATCTACAAAAAATAAACAAAGCCATATAGTAATTAATCAGATTACTTGAAGCCCAAAACTACTAAAGTAAACTCATTAAGCATTAAGCATTTATTTGTCTGTTGCTACTTTTTTTTTTTGAGACGGAGTCTTGCTCTGTCACCCAGGCAGGAGTGTAGTGGCACTATCTTGGCTCACTGCAACCTCTGCCTCCCAGGTTCAAGCAATTCTCCTGCCTCAGTCTCCCGAGTAGCTGGGATTCCAGGCACATGCCACCATGCCTGGCTAATTTTTGTATTTTTAGTAGAGACGGGGTTTCATCATATCAGTCAGGCTGTTCTCAAAATCCTGACCTCGTGATCCACCCGCCTCGGCCTCCCAATGTGCTGGTATTACAAGCATGAGCCACCGTGCCCAGCCTGTTGCTACTTTTTTAAAACCTAAAAGCACAAAGGGGCATGGCTTATGTACCTCTATTTGGGCACATAAACTAAATCAGTTCTAAATGGAACTGATTTAGATCATAAGGCTACTGATTTTGTCTAATTTGACGGAATACCTAATATACTAGAACAACTAGAAAATGCTTTATCACCATCATTAGAAATAAGACTAATATTGACCATCAATTCCCTCATCACTTTATCACACCTGGCAAATGTGTATGTTAACAGTTTAATCTGACCTCATGCTGGCCTGAGAGAAGCTCTGTAGGGAAAAATCTTGAGGAACTGTCAGGCCATCAGTAAACACATCACAGTAACTGTGTGCAGCATATTTATAGCTTCAGAACAAGACAGGGCTTTTTCATCATACATTTCCAGGTCTGCTGCGACTCTGATTCAAAGCTAACAAACGTTTCAGCATATGCTAACATTTGAATTATCAGGCCTGCCCCACCTAGACTAGATTACAGGGGACCTACATGATGTAACCCACCCACACATTTCCTTCCCGCAAAAGTTTTGGGTTTTTTTTTTCCTTTCTTCTATTTCCCTTTCAAAAGTAAAAGTTCCTAGAAAAAGCAAAATAGGACTATAATTCATATTAATTTGCTAGCGATATTACAGGCTTTTTACGGAATTTTTAGTAGGTGAACCGAGTTTTTTTTTTTTTTTTAATGAGACAGAGTTTCACTCTTGTCACCTAGGCTGGAGTACAGTGGCGTGATCTTGGCTCACTGCAACCTCTGCCTCCTGGGTTCAAGTGATTCTCCTGCCTCAGCCTCCCGAGTAGCTGAGATAACAGGCACCGGGCACCACACCCAGCTAATTTTTGTAGTTTTAGTAGAGACGGGGTTTCACCATGTTGGCCAGGCTGCTCTAGAACTCCTGACTTCAGGTGATCCACCCGCCTCGGCCTCCCAAAGGGCTGGGATTACAGGCATGAGCCACTGCGCCTGGCCTGAGCTGAGAAGGAATGGAGAAAAATGGCCTCTGAAGGGCCCCAAGTTTCCCTAAAAGTAAAATCTGCTCAAATTTAGGCTGCACCTTGATTACTTGGAACTGCCTGTTGTTGTCTTGCCTCATTTAAACATGAGGAAACTGCCCCAAGTGACACATCGTAACCCCTATTTCTTCATATCTGCTATCTTCTACAGACAGTCTTGCATTTGCAAAGATGAGCTATTACGTAATTTCATACTGCAGGCTTTTACTCACTTAATATCCTCCCCATAGCAGATGGTGGTGTCTTCAGTCAGAAGTTCACAAGCAAATCCTATATTTTCAGCAGTTTCTACAATAGAATAAAATTAAGTCAAATGTCATTCCTGCTGTTTTTATTTTATTTTATTTTGTTTTTTGAGACAGCATCTCACTCCCACTGCCTAGGCTGGAGTGCAGTGGCACAATCTCTGCTCACTACAGCCTCAACCTCCAGGATTCAAGTGATCTGCCCATCTCAGCACCACCCGCAGCCCCCAAGTAGCTGGGACTACGCAACTCGCTGCCAAGCCACCAAACAATTTGTGTTTTTTCTAGAGATGGGGTTTTGTCATGTTTGCCAGGCTCATTCTTACTGTTGAACTGAATAATTGATTTTACCTAGTAATGATATTTTTTAGTTCATGAACATAACCAGATTCACACAAACACACTATTTTTCTATAGCAATCTGTAGGAATCACATGCAGAAGAAAAATCCTTTTCTCCATAATAAAACAAGTGAAAGTCAAAGTCTAATTTGAAATGTTTTCAATAATAAAATGTGCTATATTATCAAACATATAAACTGGTTATTTAGTAAACCAATGTTCATTAAATTACTAAACACTCTCAGTTCCTGGTTCAATTACTCTGTTATTGGCGGGGGGCGGGGGCAGAGGGAAGCATAATAATTTCCACCAACCCTTACGTGAAGATTTTTTTTCCTTTTAAATTACCACCCAATTTGGCATTTATTTAAGGTCAGGGCTGTGCTTCCCATAACTTTGCAGAGTGTGTAACCCGTTGACGATTTCAGCGCAAGAGACATTATTTGATTTCTTGTGGAAGGCTTACAAAGTAAAGTATCAATACCAAACAAGTGCTTGTTGAGTTCTAAAGTTAAAAAATTAAAATCGTTCTTTCCTTAGGTATACAATTTTATTGCCAAGCAATAAAATTGGCAAGAAAACCAAAGTTATTGTTCAGTACTTTGTATTGTTCTACTCTGTGCCCACCAAATGTCAAAGCACTGGAAGGACAGAGGGACAAGAGGGATGGCCCTTTCAGGACGGGAACCCACGTCTGGCTGGAGAGATAAGACCAATTATAATCAGCAAGACATGGCCAGGAGCTAAATTATAAGGAAGAAACTGCTACTGAGGGGGATCAGGAAAGGATGCAGAAGAATGTGCTGGAAAAACAGAGGAGGGTTTCTCAGAAAAAGCATCTTCCGTCCAAAGAAACAGTGTTTGTACAGGATGAAAAGTCTGAGGAGGTCATCTTGGGCAAAGGAAACGGCAGCTATAAATATTTGTGAATTAACAGATATGCTTCCCTGCACAATGAATTACCCTTTTTGTCTCCAGTAAGCACCCAGATCTTAATGTCAGCTTTTGCAAGTTTTGAAATGGTTTCTGGAACTCCATCCTGTAGCTTGTCTTCAATAGCTGTAGCTCCCAGGAGCTAGAATGTATATTAAAAAAAAAAAAAAAAGGAATTAGCAAACAAACCAAAAGTTTTCTGTAATTACAGGTTGCCAACCTGTAAAAAGAAGGGCTAATTATACATCCTGGTTGCTGCTCTCCTGGGGCCAATGGCCAGTGTTAACAGGGAAGGCTGCCATGTTTCACAATTACTGCAAACCAACACACCTAAAAACTTTTTCCCTAAAGGATGAACTATTTAATTTACCAAGACAAAAATGCAAGTACAAAATCAAGGATGTTAAAAATACACTTTTCTTGTGTATTTGTGGCTTTATACTGACATAAACCGTAAACCAGTTGCAATACTAGCTATTTGTTGAATATTTTCCACTTATCTAAACCCTACAAAAACTATGTATTAAATTTGGAAAACTTTTAGAAACAATATATTTTTCTTATTTCAAGATTTTGCAGAATATGAATTGTTTCGGTAATTCCCCCAATGTAATAAGTATTAGATGCAGGTTTGTTATTGTTTAAAAATTATAATAAATTTTAATAAGTGATATACAAATTATGGAATTAAATTAGAACTTCTCCTAATGTATTTTGTCTTTTGGTTTCTCATAATGGCAACTTCTGTTCTGCTCCTATTTTGGTGAATAAAAGAAATAACCTTCTTCCATTGTGCCAGTGTCAAATGCTGAAGTTACAATTATCTCTTAAGCATGAGATCAAATATTCAATAAAACTTAATAAAAATTTCAATTCTGCTTAGAATATCAAAGAAAAAGTTATTAAGGCTAAAACTCACAATTAAGTCTTTTTCAATCTCCTCATATACTTTATCCAGAGCTTCGTCCCGGTTGGTGGAGGCCACACTGGCAGCCATAAACTTTTTATTCCATTCTGTAAATTCTTTTTCTTCAATTTCCTTGTAGCAAAGGCATAGGGTTCTAAGAGTTTCATTTGCAAAGATCTGTTTTATTTAAAAAAATAAATCCACCAATGCAAAGAATAGTTAATTTATGTAATTCAGGATCAAGTCTGAAATTTTACTTTGAAGTAATATACTAACAGAATTTAAAAAGAGATCATTAAACATGACAGATTCTGTACAAATACACTTTAGAGAGGGGATTAAATGTCACTTTTTTTTTTTTTGAGACAAGGTCTGGCTTTATCATCCAGGCTGGGATGCAGTGATGCAATCCCGGCTCACTGCAACCTCTGCCTTCCAGGCTGAAGCCATCCTCTCACCTCAGCCTCCCAAGTAGCTGGGACTACAGGTGTGCACCACCACGCCTGGTAATTTTTGTACTTTTTTTTGTAGAGATGGGGTTTCATCATGCTGGTCTTGAACTCACGAGCTCATGTGATCTGCCCAACTCAGCCTCCCAGCGTGCTGGGATTACAGGCATGAGCCACTGCACCCAGCCTAAACATCACTTTATAATAGACTTTGCTTTTCTAAACTTCTATAGGGTCCAGGACTGCACTTCCAGTTTCCAAAGGGAAAAGCTTACCTTTCTTCTAAATCTTCTATTACCTTTCTCATTTTCTCATTTTCTCTTTTTCTCTTCATGACTAGGAAAATATCAGACCAAGGGAGCTGCCTTGGGGTGTAATGACATAAGCACGAACCTGACAACTTTATAACTTGTTCCAACAAACTGTGATACAAGTCCAATCACCTATGAACTCTCCACTAAGCATTATTCCCTCAAACCAATTCTAAAATACACAAGCCATTGTTAAAGCTGAGGTCAAAGCTTTTAATGGAAAAGAGTATCTGGCAATTTTCCCATGATGAACGATTCAAACATTTTCTTTTTTTTTCTTTTTCTTTTTCTTTTTTTTTTTTTTGAGATGAAGTCTCACTCTATCGCCCAGGCTTGAGTGCAGTGGTGCGATCTCGGTTCACTGCAACCTCTGCCTCCCTGGTTCACGCCATTCTCCTGCCTCAGCCTCCTGAGTAGCTGGGATTACAGGCGGGTGCCACTGCATCTGGCTAATCTTTGTATTTTTGGTAGAGACGGGGTTTCACCATGTTGGCCAGGATGGTCTCGATCTGTTAACCTCGTGATCTGCCACCTCACCCTCCCAAAGTACTGGGATTACAGGCGTGAGCTACTGCACCCAGCCTGATTTAAACATTTTAAACAGTTTCAACATGAACCAGTAAACATCTCATTACTTTATAGTCACATCTTTTTTATTTTGACCAAGTTTTGCTCTTGTCGCCCAGGCTGGAGTGCAATGGTACGATCTCGGCTCACTCTACCCCCTCCCTCTGGGGTTCAAGCGATTCTCCTGCCTCAGCTTCCCAAGTAGCTGGGATTACAGGTGCCCACCACCACACCCAGTTAATTTTTTTGTATTTTTAGTGGAGACGGGGTTTCACCACGTTGGCCAGGCTGGTCTTGAACTCCTGACCTCAGGTGATACACCCGCCTTGGCCTCCCAAAGTGCTGGGACTACAGGCATGAGACACCAAATACTCAATCAGTTGAACCGCTTCTGCCATCTTGGCTAGACAAGATGTGACCTATAGTCAGCTCTGTCATCCTGTCACATATGAATGCTTTCCTTCCTTTGCACTACAACTTGAAGTTAGTGGAGGTCTTGGGGACCACACACATAGTAAGACTACAACCTAGTATGGTTATGTAGCTTGCTCAAGGCCACTGGAAGAGAGCTAAGCCATTCCCCTGCCTCAGTCCTATAGACCTTGAAGACCCACATGCTGGGAGAGGGCACCATGGTGATATCCCAGGAAGTCAGTGGCAGGGGCAGAACTGGGACCCAGGTGGCTGTATTCCTACTTTACTGCTCTTTCCACCCCAACTATTGCAAAGCAAAGGGAGGGTCAGCAGTTAACATACAGCTTTCATGCAAACTTAACAGACAGCATCAGAGAGTAAGTTCAGAATCCCTTGCAGAAAGAATAAAAGTGAAACTTACATCCAGGGCATCCTGTGTTTCTTGCTTAGTAGGATTCATTCGATGTAACCGTTCATAAATAACAGTGTCAGCACCTTTACAGTAAAGCTTGATATTGCCTTCTGGGGTTCTTACTGGTAGTAAAAGAAGGAAATAAACACAACAAAGTTTGATTTTTTATATATATATTTTTTGAGACAGGGTCTTGCTCTGTTGTCCAGGCTGGAGTGCAGCAGTTCAGTATCGGCTCACTGTAGCCTCGACCCCCCAGGCTCAAGCAATCCTCCCATCTCAGCCTCCCGAGTAGCTGGGACTACAGGTGCATGCCACCATGCCTGGCTAATTTTTATTTTTATAGACATTGGAGGTCTCACTATGTTACCCAGGCTGGTCTTGAACTCCTGGGCTCAAGCAATCCTCCTGCCTCAGCCTCCCAAAATGCTGGGATTACAGATGTGAGTTACCACACCCAGCTAAGTTTGATTTTTTAATAGAAAACTACATTTATAAAGTTAATTTGAAATGTTACTATCTCATAATTCACTGTTAGCTTAAAACCATCAGTTCCTCTAGAAAAGTGTTGCCTTCAACAAAACTGGTAAGTCATTATCTACATTGAATGTAATAGTGAAATAAATATAAAAAGATTCCTTCACAGTCAGCTCTGTTTTTTATAACCTCAGTTATTCTTCCAACAAATATTTACTGACTCCCTACCATGTGCTATGCCATGTTCTAGTTACTTTCTTTTGTAGACTTTTTCTCCATCCAACCAACAGGTAGTTTCTCACCTATGAACTCACAACACTTACTGCTTTTAATACTTCGACCACAACACCACTCCTAATGACCATTTTTTTTGGGTTTTTTGATTAATGCAATAATTGTAATACATCCCTCACTGTTAACCAGATTTTAAATCAAGGTAGATGGCAAGCATGATAATCAGTCTAGATCTGTGTAAGGGACACAGAAAGCGTTCAGTAAGTGTGCCTAAGGAGGGTGTAATAGTTAAACCTGTATATTTTTATTGGTTAAAAATTCAATCATAGTGGAGAAGGCTTGTAGATACCACCTTAACCAAGTGATCAAAGTTAACATCCCCATTAATGAGACAAACCAATAATATATACCTTCTGGCTAGGCAGGGTGGCTCACGCCTGTAATCCCAGCACTCTGGGAGGCCAAGGCGGGCCAGTCACCTGAGGTCGGCAGTTGGAGACCAGCCTGACCAACATGGAGAAACCTTGTTTCTACTAAAAATACAAAATTAACCAGGCATGGTGGCACATGCCTGTAATCCCAGCTACTCAGAAGGCTGAGGCAGGAGAATCACTTGAACCAGGGAGGTAGAGGTTGCAGTGAGCCGAGATAGCACCATTGCACTTCAGCCTGGGCAGCAAGAGTGAAACTCTGTCTCAAAAAAAAAAAAAAAAAAAGTATATATATATATATATATATATATATATATATATATATATATATAACATGTATATACACATATATACATACATATATCTACATATATACACACATATATAAATACATGTATATATAAATATACATATATAAATATATGTATATATATATAAATATAAATGTGTGTGTGTGTATACACCTTCTGATGTGATACTTAAAGAAAAGCACAGCATCACTTACGGACTCTTCCTGCCAACAATGTGTAACCTAGCTCTAATCATGAGGGAACATCAGACAAACGCAAATGGAGGGATAGCCTATAAAATAACCAGCCTGTGCTTTTTAAAAATATCAATGGATGAAAGATCAAAAAGAGATTGAACCGTCCTTGACTCAGAGTCATGATCACCTAATATAACCTGTGATCTTAGATTGGATCCTGGACCAGAAAAACAAAGAATGAACCTCCCTGGTAAAATCTGATAAAGTCTATTGATTAGATAATATTGTACTGTGTTAAATTTTCTGGTTCTGAACATTGCACTGTATATATAAGTGAGTGCTTCTGTTCTTAGGAAATACCTACTATGGTATATAGTACAGTATTTAGGGGAAAGGGACATTAGGCCTGCAATTTATTCTCTTTTTTATATTTTTATTTTCTTTTTTTATCATGTAATCTTGCTCCTTCTAACGCAATTTACTCTCAAATGGTTCAGAAAACAATAACCTGTATGTATGTGTGTGTACATATATATGTGTGTATATATATAGGTATATATAATGAAATTACATATATATAATTAGATATATATTAGATCTATATATAGAGATATGTAAATGAAATTTCATTATGTTAACAATTGGTGGATATGGAAGAGTATGAGGGCTCTTTAAACCATTCTTGTAACTTTTCTATAAGTTTGAGATTATTTCAAATTACGAATTTAAAGCAGTTCAGTGGTAGGAAGTGATTTTCATCTTCACTTGGTGGTCTGTTATGTGCCTGCATTGCAGATATGATTTTGATTCATAAGCATAGCTTTGCTTTTCTCAGAAATCTTTTCCTGCTGAGTCCTCCCTTCCCTGCCATCAAGTACAGAAGAGAGCACTCAGAGGTGCTCAAAAAATAAAAGAGCATGTGTTGTTTAAAATAAAAGACTGCTACAAATGTCTACCTGCTGCTTCAGAAATGTTCCACCTGCTGCCCCAGATTCAGCATCTGGCAGCCCACGTGGTTAAAGAATGTCAGCAGCTGTAATCCCAGCTACTCAGGAGGCTGAGGCAGGAGACTCGCTTGAACCTGGGAGGCGGAGGTTGCAGTGACCTGAGATCGCACCACTGCACTCCTGGGTGACGGAGCAAGACTCCATCTCAAAAAAAAAAAAAAAAAGAAAAGAAAAGAAAAAAAAGAGAGGGATTAAAAAAGAACGTCAGCAGCATTTGCAAGATTCAGAGATACTGTGGCTACCCCTTTGAGTAGGGAACACAGTGAAGAATGAAGAAAACAATACCAGTTTCTTTTTTTTTTTTTTTTGAGACGGAGTCTTGCTTTATCGCCCAGGCTGGAATGCAGTGGCGCGATGTCGGCTCACTGCAAGCTCTGCCTCCCGGGTTCACGCCATTCTCCTGTCTCAGCCTCCCGAGTGGCTGGGACTACAGGTGCCAGCCACCACGCCCGGCTAATTTTTTTTGTATTTTTAGTAGAGACGGGGTTTCACCGTGTTAGCCAGGATGGTCTCGATCTCCTGACCTCGTGATCCACCCGCCTCGGCCTCCCAAAGTGCTGGGATTACAGGCGTGAGCCACCACGCCCAGCCAACAATACCAGTTTCAGTAAAGCTGCAGAAATCTCCCAGGAGCCAAGTAGCTCTTTCACTGGCTGCTTTATCCTGATGCCACTCAATACAATGGGCACAAGCAACATCTAAATGAGCGATTCATAGACAGACTCTGAGGGGGACTTACCAATGATAGACATTCGCTTCCGGTCACTGTTGAAGTCCAAAATGGCAAGAACATTGTAAGTCCTTTCAGTGCCCAGTTCACTGATGGTGATGGTGTTCTGGGTCCTGGCGAGGAAGGCAAAGCCAAAGTTCCTGGCAGCGTTTACCAGGGCACCTTCATCGGGAGAGGCTGCCTGGTAGTTGAGCTGACCTAACAAGGAAGCGAGAGAAATCCCAGAAAAGCTGTAAAAACAAATGCAGAGCTCATTGTTGAGGCCTCTGCTGAGGCTCCTGTGGGGGTCAGATGGGCTGCAAAGCCCAAAACATCCCCAGGAAAACGAGTCATTGACTTGGAAGGGTTATGCCAAGATTAAAACTTCTTTGTTTTATCTTGACTTATAAACAGTAATATAAACTAAAAAAGAAACATTGGTGGAGAATGAGGGAAAATTCCCATAATCCCACCATCCACAGGAGAAACAACAGGTGTTGACATTTTATCATTCCCTCCAGTGCCTTTTAAAATGTCTGTATCTGAAATTGTTTCTATCAAGCTGAATATACATTTACATCCTGATTATTTTAATGCTGTATCTGAGCATATTGCCATCCCTTTTTAAATTCTTTATAAACATTTGAACAAATGTAAATATGTTATCATTTTCCCATTACAGACACTTAATTTCCAAATTTTTTTACTCTCAAAAAGTCACACTTTAATAACCCTTTTGTATGTGTGTAAAGATTTTTCTGTTTCTTTTTTCTTTTTAGAGACAGAGGTCTCCCTATGTTGTCCAGGCTGCTCTTGATCTCCGGGGCCCAAGTGATCCTTCTGCCTCAGCCTAATGAGTCGCTAGGGCTACAGGCTCATGTCACCTCACCTGGCTTATTCTCTTTCTTTCTTGTTTTTCTGAAACAGGGTCTCACCGTGTTGCCCAGGTTGCAGTGCAGTGGCACGATCATGGCTCACTGAAGCCTCAATCTCCCCAGGCTCAGTGATCCTCCTACCTCATCTTCCCATGTAGCTGGGATTACTGGTACACGCCACCACACCTGGCTAATTTTTTGTATTTTTTGTAGAGACGGGGTTTCACCATGTTGCTCAGGCTGGTCTCAAACTCCTGGACTCAAGTGATTCGCCTGCCTCAGTCCCTAAAGTGTTCGGATTACAGGCATGAGCCACTGCCCCTGGGCCCCTGGCTTATTTTCTAAGAGCAGATTCCTATTAGGAAAATACTGAGCCAGAGAACACTGATAATTTTAAAACTCATTGGTATACAATACTAATTTGTTTTCCAAGAAGGTTGTACCAGTTTATCTTCCCTCTAAAAAAGTATGTTTTCTTTCTTTCTTTCTTTTTTGTTTTTTTGAGACAGTCTTACTCTGGCACCAAGGCTGGAGTGCAGTGGCACCATCTCAGCTCACTGCAGCCTTGATCGCTTCAGGCGCAAGTGATCCTCCCACCTCAGCTTCCTGAGTAGTTGGGACTATAGGCGCACATCACCACGCCCAGCTAATGTTTGTATTTTTTGTAGAGACAGGATCTCACCATGTTGCCCAGGCTATTTTTTCTTTACCATAGCTATATTCTCCTTATTAAAAAAAAAAAGAAAAAAAAACCACACAGGCTGGGTGCAGTGGCTCACGCCTGTAATCCCAGCAATTTGGGAGGCTGAGGCAGGTAGATCATGAGGTCAGGAGATGGAGACCATCCTGGCTAACACAGTGAAACTCTGTCTCTACTAAAAACACAGAAAATTAGCCAGGCATGGTGGCACGTGCCTATAGTTCCAGCTACTCGGGAGGCTGAGGCAGGAGAATCACTTGAACCCAGAAGGTGGAGGTTGCAGTGAGCCGAGATCTCGCCACTGCACTCCACCCTGGTGACAGACCGAGACTCCATTTCAAAAAAAAAAAAAAAAAAAAAGAAAGAAAGAAAAGTTGAAACAAACCAACCAACCTTAGTTTGATCACTATCCGATATCTTAATGTTTAAAAGTTAAATAATGGAAAATTGTCTTCTATTCACAACTACATTTCAACAATAAGAATAAGCTAGGTTCAGTGGCACGTGCCTATAATTGCAACTATTCAGGAGGCTGAGGCAGGAGGATCACTTGAGCCCAGGAGTGTGAGGTTACAGTGAGCTTTGATATTCCACTGCACTCCAGCCTGGCTGACAGAGCAAGATGCAGTCTCTTTTAGGAAAAAAGAAAAAACCAATAAGAAGAGGAATAAATCTCACAGCCAGATACACAAAAGAGTACATATGCTACATGATTCCACTGAAATAAGCCAAAAAACTGACAGAGCTAACCTGTGTTATTCGTAGTCAGGAAAGTACTTTTCTTGTAATCACTGGAAAGGAATGTAAAGGGAATTCTAGGGGGATTGATAATGTTCTTTTTTAAAAATCTGGGTGCTCATTACAAGAGTATTGGTTTGTGAAAATTCATTGAGTTATATACTTATGATACGTACATATCTCTGTATACACATGTTGTACTTCAATAAAAAGTTTAAAAAATACTCTGCCTACCCAAGATCTTCTATTTTTCTACTCTAGTTATTTTGTCTCAAAATAGAAGGAAAAGCATTTCCGTGGCCAGATGACTTTGGACAGAAAGAGCATTTAGTTTTCCAAAATACTTTGACCAGGATGAAGGCCACAGATGCATGAGCAGCCTCACTTGGAATGGTTGGTGCTCTGGGGTAACGGTGGCAGAGAGAGCTAAACACACCTTCCTTCCTTCCTTCACAATTGGCTCAGAGGATTCACTTTTTAAGTCAATATTAATCACTTCCTAATTAATAATTAAAGATGACACTTAGGGTCTCTCTGTATTTGTTCACTCAGAAAGTCATTCACTAGAAGCTATAAACGCACTTCCTAAATCCGGCCATCTAGCAATCATATACAAATGCTAGAGGGCAAACTATTTAACCAGAGACAAATCAGCAGCGGTGAGAACAAAGCCTTTCCCTTCGGCAACTTAAGTTGGCACAGCGATATATGGCATAATATTGACAGCAAACGCATTTCCAGCAGAGAAAAGGAACAAAATAATAAAAAGTGGTAAAGTTCCCACAAGTAAGACACTCATATCTAGAGCAAACACCTTGATATTTTTATCATTAAAGAAAAAAAAATGTTTTCCATTACCTTCTGATAATGGAATCACAGAATTGCAGACTAACAGAGATGGGAAGAACGTCAGTGACTTGGTCCAAATTCCAACCTTATGACTGCTGGAAGACACTTGGACTAAAAAACTATGCAGCCATAAAAAGGAACAAAATCATGTCCTTTGTCACAATAGAGATTAGGCCATTATCCTAAGCAAATTAACTCAGGAACAGAAGACCACATACCTACCACATGTTCTCACTTAACATTGGGTACTCATGGACATAAAGACTGCAAAAATAGATAGTGGGGACTTCAAGAGAAAGGAGGGAGGGAGGGCAACAAGTGTTGAAAAACTTACTATTAGGGCAGGGCACGGTGGCTCACACCTGTAATCCCAGCACTTTGGGAGGCTGAGGCGGGTGGATCACAAGGTCAGGAGTTTGAGACCGGCCTGGCCAACATAGTGAAACCCCGTCTCTACTAAAAATGTAAAAAATTAGCCACGTGTGGTGGTATGCACCTGTAATCCCAGCTACTTGGGAGGCTGAGGCAGGAGAATCGCATAAACCCGGGAGGCAGAGGTTGCAGTGAACCGAGATCACACCATTGCACTCCAGCCCAGGCGATAGTTCGAGATTCTATCTCAAAAAAAAAAAAAGAAGAGAAAAGAAAAGAGTGTGGTGTTGATGGTATAGTGGTGAGCATAGCTGCCTTCCAAGCAATTGACCCGACTTCGATTCCCAGCCAATGCAGCAGGCTGACCTTTTGTCCTGGCTAACATGGTGAAACCCTGTCTCTACTAAAAATACAAAAAAAATTAGCCAGGCATGGTGGCGGGTGCCTGTAGTCCCAGCTACTTGGGAGGCTGAGGCAGGAGAATCGCATAAACCCGGGAGGCAGAGGTTGCAGTGAACCGAGATCACACCATTGCACTCCAGCCCAGGCGATAGTTCGAGATTCTATCTCAAAAAAAAAAAAAAAGAAGAGAAAAGAAAAGAGTGTGGTGTTGATGGTATAGTGGTGAGCATAGCTGCCTTCCAAGCAATTGACCCGACTTCAATTCCCAGCCAACGCAGCAGGCTGACCTTTCGTCCTGGCTAACATGGTGAAACCCTGTCTCTACTAAAAATACAAAAAAAATTAGCCAGGCATGGTGGCGGGTGCCTGTAGTCCCAGCTACTTGGGAGGCTGAGGCAGGAGAATGCATGAACCCGGGAGGCAGAGCTTGCAGTGAGCCGAGATCGCGCCACTGCTCTCCAGCCTGGGCAACAGAGCAAGACTCTGTCTCAAAAAAAAAAAAGAATAAAAAAGAAAAGAAAAACTAACTATTAAGTTCTGTGTTCACTACCTGGATGATGGGATCAATTGTACCCCAAACTTCAGGATCATGCAATATACCCATGTAACAAACATGCACATGTATCCCCTGAACCTAAAATAAAAATTGAAGGTGTAAAAACAAACTAAAAAAACAAACAAAAACAAAGCAACCTTCCTAAGAAAACTCTTTATTTATGGCACATTTAGAGGCAACCAGAAAGACCTTCTTTTTCTTTCACACACTAATTTGTGGCTCATGAAATTGATGTAATCAAAGAAAGATGCTCAAACCACAAATCCCACCTCTCAGTTCTCATCAACCTGATTCCCTAGCTTCAGGGTAATGGTGGCAGAGAAAGCTAAATGCACCTTTCTTCTCTCCTTCACAACTGCCTCAGCTGATTCACTCTAATTTCTTTTTGAGATGGAGTCTCACTTTGTCGCCCAGGCTGGAGCGCAGTGGCAAAATCTCGGCTCACAGCAACCTCCGCCTCGCGGGTTCAAGCAATTCTCCTGTCTCAGCCTCCCAAGTAGCTGGGACTACAGGTGCCCGCCACCACGCCCAGCTAATTTTTGTATGTTTAGTAGAGGTGGGGTTTCACAATATTGGTCAGGCTGGTCTTGAACTCCTGACCTCAGGTGATCCGCCTACCTCAGACTCCCAAAGTGCTGGGATTACAGGCGTGAATCACTGCACCCGGCTCACTCTAATTAAGTGACAATAAACTACCTGGCCAGGCATGGTGGCTCACACCTGTAATCCCAGTGCTTTGGGAGGCTGAGGCGGGTGGATCACCTGAGGTTAGGAGTTCAAGACAAGCCTGGCCAACATGGCAAAACTCCATCTCTACTAAAAATACAAAAAGTTAGCCAGGGTTTGGTGTGGGCGCCTGTAATCCCAGCTACTCGGGAGGCTGAGGCAGGAGAATCACCTGAACCTGGGAGGCAGAGGTTGCAGTGAGCCAAGATTGCGGCACTGTACTCCAACCTGGGCAACAGGAGCGAGACTCAGTCTCAAAAAAAAAAAAAAAAAAAAAAAAAGACTGGGTGTGGTGGCTCACACCTGTAATCCCAGCACCTTTGGGAGGTCAAGGCTGGAGGATTACTTGAGGTCGGGAGTTTAAGACCAGCCTGACCAACATGGAGAAACCCCATCTCTATTAAAAATGCAAAATTAGCTGGGTGTGGTGGGGCATGCCTGTAATCCCAGCTACTCGGAGGCTGAGGCAGGAGAATTGATTAAACCCGGGAGACGGAGGTTGCAGTGAGCCGAGATCATGCCATTGCACTCCAGCCTGGGCAATAAGAGTGAAACTTGGTCTCAAAAACAAAACAAAACAAAACAAAACAAAACAAAAAAAAAACCACACACGCTCACAAAAACAAGCCCTAGCTCTCAGATGTCTTTTTCTCCTCAATCCTCTCACCCCCTTTAAATGATTTGCCAAGTGTCTCCCACATCCATGGCTTTGTTATCCTTCCCAAAGACCCCATACTAATGCAAACCTTCAGCCTCTGTGCCAATCTCCAGTGCCTACCTGCTCCAGACTCTCACACCCGTGATGCGCAAAACTCCTGAAACAAGCTCTCTGATCATTAACTCAGAACCTCCAGGTGAAGTGAAGGCTTCCAAGCCTTCCACATTCTGCTCTCACATGACCTCTGTGCAGGCGGGAGTCTGCAATGGCCTCAAGGTTCCCATCCCAGTGCTGTACATTCACTTTCTCCCATTTACTCAATCAAGCACTAATCTAGGTACTGCTGTGAAGGGAATTTGCAGATGTGCGATCCTAATCAGCTGACCTTAAAATAGATTATCCAGGTGTTCCTGACTGAATTAGATGAGCTTAGGACAGAACTCTTCTTGGGGAGAGACTTGGAGCAGCATGAAAAAGGTTCAATTTAAGGGAGATTCTCCACCGCTGGCTTTGAAGGTGAAGTGGACCAGCTGGCAGGGAATGAGGACAGTCTCTAGGAGTGGAGGGCAACCCAGTTGATAAAGAATAAAGAAATGGGGACTTCAGTTCTACAACCACAGAGAACTGAATCCTGCTGCAACCACACGTGAACGTGGAAAAAGACACTGAGCTCCAGATGAGAACATGGCCCAAACTTGATTTTAGTCAGATGCTGAGCGGTGAACCCAGTCATGCCATGCTCAGAATTCTGCCCTACAGAACCGTAAGCTAATGAACAGGTGTTTTCAGTAGCTGAGTTACACTAATTCACTACAGAGTAGCAGAAAACAAATGCATGTGGCAGGGTGTGGTGGCTCACGCGTGTAATCCCAGCACTTTGGGAGGTTGAGGTGGGCAGATCACCTGAAATCAGGAGTTGGAGACCAGCCTGGCCAACATGGTGAAGCCCCATCTCTACTAAAAATACAAAAATTAGCTGGGCGTGGTGGTGGGCCCCTGTAGTCCCAGCTACTCAGGAGGCTGAGGCACGAGAATTGCTTGAACCTGGGAGGTGGAGGTTGCAGTGAGCCGAGATCATGCCATTGCACTCCAGCCTGGGTGACAAGAGCAAGACTGTCTCAAAAACACAAAACAAAACTTGAAGGTGTAGTCCCCAAGGTCCCTTTCAAGGGATCCTTTCCTGGTACTTTATGGTTAAAAGCCGAAAGCAATTTCTTTCTCTAAGCTCCTGCACTAGAAGCCAACATGTCTCTATTCGTACAACCCTTGACCTCAGCTGACAGTGGACAAAGAGCTGCGGTATGTCAGGCTGGAGGGACTTTGTGTTATTTTTTTTTTTTTTTGAGATGGAGTCTTGCACTGTTGCCCAGGCTGTAGTGCAGTGGCGTGATCTTGGCTCACTGCAACCTCTGCCTGCCAGGTTCAAGCGATTCTCCTGTCTCAGCCTCCCAAGTAGCTGGGATTATAGGCACATGCCACCATGCTTGGCTAATGTTTTGTATTTTTAGTAGAGATGGGGTTTCACCATGTTGGCCAGGCTGGTTTTGAACTCCTGACCTCATGATCTGCCCGCCTCGGCCTCCCAAAGTGCTGGGATTACAGGTGTAAGCCACCGCGCCCAGCCCTGCTGGAAGGAACTTTGTACATCCAACCTTCTTACTACAACACCGAGGAAGGTGGTTCTCAGAGAGGGACCCAGACTGGGCTGACTCATCTCTAGCATGTAGTCCAGGGCTCTTCCCATAATATCCCACTGGGGAAAGATAGAATAGGGACCACAGGATGAATTTACATTTGCCTAAGTTGGCCAGTTAGCCCTTAAAATCCTATCACGTACCCAGAGAAGAGTACAATAATTGTGCTTATGAGTCAAAACCAAAGAGAACCAGGTGACTTTGTAATATCATACTTTATGCTTATTGCCTGGGTAAAATTGGCTTGGTGAGTCAAATAGACTTAGACCTCTGCTTCCATGATTCAGGACCTGGTATCGCCCCTTTCTATCCTTCCCCACATCATCTGCTGATAAACCCTTCCATGTATCCACCCTAATCTGAACTCTGTTACCTTGCTTCATTGCAATATTAGATTCATCCTTGGAAAATGGGTTTCTTTGAAACTTGCTGAAAGGTATCATGTACAGCTTCTATACATTTAGGTGTTTTTTGTTTTTTTTTGAGATAGGGTCTCACTCCATCACCGAAGCTGGAGGGTAATGGTGAGACTATGGCTCACTGCAGCCTTGACCTCCTGGGCTCAAGCGATCCCCACCTGAGTAGCTGGGACTACAGGCATGTCCCATCACACCTGGCTAATTTTTTGTATTTTTTGGTGAGATGGAGTTTTGCCATGTTGCTCAGGCTGGTCTTGAACTCTTGAGCTCAAGCAATCCATTCACCTCGACCTTCCAAATGCTGGGATTACAGGTGTGAGCCACCAAGCGTTGGCCTACACATTTAGTTTTTATGCATATTCCTTCTCTGGAAATTTCATACCTGCTACATATGAAACATTAAGGTTGAGAAAAGAGAGGGACTTATGTATGCCGCACTGACTGAAGTAAAAAGTGGAAGATGTAGTGAAGTGGATGAAGTGAGGGAATGAAGTGAAGGCAGACTACGCTTTATTACAGAAACACCAAAAGAACTCCTTTTGCTCTTTCTATAAAGTGCATGTGTGTCTATATAATTTATCATTATGTCCATTTGTGATAAAATGACTAGCTTTCCTTGATACAGGACAAACTTGCTGTGACAAAGCTGGCACAAACTGCATCGAAGGATTCTGCAAAGGAACCTACAAGCCATTCTGGCTTGTTCCCATGAAATTCACATTAATTATGCTCCTTTAAATGGAAAAAGGCACCTTAAAGAGATCCAGGCTGAGGCTCATATTATTTCAAACCCAAACTATAACAGAATCTAGTAAATAAGAGCATATATCTGAAATTATTTGGTAGAAAAGATTAGTCAAGTTCAAAGTCCATTTCTGATACAGATAAAGCTTGACTTTTCACTCTCAGTCAATGCTCAGTAATAAATGTGCTAAGAAAAGTTAGTTTCTTCTATCATAGTTCAAGTACCAATCATTTCTTTCAACAAGATTTCATTTGCAAAGTGAAAAAAATACACCTGGAGCTATAGCTATGAATAAGTGTAAATTTTCAGGGACAAGAAGCTTGTTTCCTACTTTGCTCTTCCATAAACCATCTAGTGGTAAGTGCTGAGAAATATTCACTGCATTCTAATATGAGACAGATTTGTGTACTACTTGACATGCATTTGAGCCATAAGCAGGAGTTACCTGGAAACAAAAAACCTGGTCTCTAATGCCTGAGATGCCAGAGAAACACTCACCATCAGTCCTATCCACCATGACTGTGTGGCAAACTGCGAGCAAGAAGAAGAACTGTCGTACTTCTGGCTCTTTCCCTGACTGGATTTGCTCAATAAGATAGTGGTCATAAAATGCAAGCTTCCCATCAGCATATGTATTCCAGCTAAAATCAACTTGCTGAAAGAAATGGAGAAAAACAAAATATGATTTTATAAAATATTTTTGACTTAACAAATGACATGAACTTTTCTTCAAAGGCAAGGTTTCAATTATGCAAAAACCACCTTAGGATTTTAGCACATTCTTAAATGTCAAGAGGCTCACAACTGTCTTAAATAAAAAGCTCCCCCCCTTTTTTTTTTTGGAAACATATATGACCATATATGGGTCTCACTCTGTCACCCGGGCTGGAGTGCAGTGGCTTGATCTCAGTTCTCTGCAACCTCCACCTCCTGGGCTCAAGCAATCCTTCTGAGTAGATGGGCCTACGGGCATGCACCACCATACCTGGCTAATTTTTGTATTTTTTTGTAGAGATGGGGTTTCTCTGGTCTCAAACTCCTTGACTCAATTGATCTGCCAAACTTAGCCTCCCAAAGTGCTGGGATTACAGGCATGAGCCACCATGCCTAGTCAAAAGGTACTTTGTGGTGGACTAAACTATGTTCCCCCAAAAGATATGTTGAAATTCTAACCTCTGGTACCTATGAATGTGACCTTATTTAGAAACAGGGTCTTTACAGATGTAATCAAGATAAAATGAGGTCATACTCAATTAGGGTAGGTCCTAATCCAATGATTGGTATCCTTATTAGAAGGGGAAATGTGGACAGAGACACACAGACACACGGGGGACACCACGTGACAACAAAGGCAGAGACACAGAGTTGTGTTTCCAAGTCTCCAAGCCAAGGAACACCAAGGACTGTGGGCAACCACCAGGAGCAGGGAAGAGGCAACGAAAGAGTCTTCCCTAGACCTTCAAAGGAAGCATGGCCCTGCTGGGACCCTGACATCCCCAGCATCCCAAACGATTCTTCGGCTTAAAGGTCTTACCTCTATTTTGTTGTGGTTGTGTTGAGAGGCATCCCGATGGTCCCCTGAGAAACAAACAGGACAAAACAAATTGATTCTACACCTATGTCCAGAGGCCCCTCCTTACCTGGCTTTGCTTATATAGTGATGGTGGTAAGACCATATACGGCCTGGACAGGCTAAAATATTTATTATCTGGCACTTTACAGAAAACGTTAGATGACCCCTGGTCTAGATATTCAAATACCAGTGGCTGTCCCTCTCCACTACCTTCTCCTAGGGGCCTGAATCATATCCTTTGAAATGCTTTACCTCTCCCAAGTCAGAAGGACTCACATATGTGAGCCACGTCCTCAGCCCCTCAGTGCCCTACCATCTTCACTGATACTTCTTATGAGAAAAGGCACTCACGGTGCCTACAAGTAGGAAGTATATATGCATGTCCCTATATCATTTTAAACAATTGTGCTATTAAGTATATTTAAAATAGCACTCTATTTGAATCTAGTATTAGCCTTAATATTATCTCTAAATTTACATAAAATTAAATTTCTAAATGTTTCAGAAAATTAGAACTGAAATCAACTTTTAAAACAATTGGCTGGGTGTGGTGGCTCACACCTGTAATCCCAGCACTTTGGGAGGCTGAGATGGGCTGATCACCTGAGGTCAGGAGTTCAAGACCAGCTTGGCTAGCATGGTGAAACTCCATCTCTATTAAAAATACAAAATTAGCTGGGAATGGTGGTTCATACCTGTAGTCCCAGCTACTCGGGAGGCTGAGGCAGAAGAATCACTTGAACCCGGAAGGTGGAGGTTTCAGTGAGCCAAGATCGTGCCACTGCACTCCAGCCTGGGCGACAGAGTGAGACTCTGTCTCAAAAAAACAAAAACAAAACCAAAAACACAATTGTAGGCCGGGTGTGGTGGCTCACGCCTGTAACCCCAGCACTTTGGGAGGCTGAGGCAGATGGATCACTTGAGGTCAGGGGTTCGATACCAGTCTGGTCAACATGGTGAAACCCCATCTCTACAAAAAAGCAACAACAACAACAACAAAAATTAGCCAGGCATGGTGGTGTGTGCCTGTAATCCCAGCTACCCAGGAAGCTGAGGGAGGAGAATCATGTGAACCTGGGAGGCGGAGGGGTTGCAGTGAGCTGAGATCGCACCACTGCACTCCAGCCTGGTGACAGAGTGAGACACTGTCTCAAAAACAAAAACAACAAAGAAAACAAACAATTGTAGTGAAATACACATAATAAAATTTACCATATTAACCGATTTTTTGTTTGATTTTTTTGAGTCAGGGTTTCACTCTGTCACCCAGGCTGGAGTGCAGTGGTGCAAACCCAGCCCACAACAGCCTCGACGTACCCAGGCTCAGGTGATCCTACCTCAGCCTCTCAAGTAACTGGAACTACAGGCACACACAATTTTGCTCACTGCAACCTCCACCTCCCGGGTTCAAGCGATTCTCCTGCCTCAGCCTCCTGAATAGCTGGGACTAGAGGCATCCACCACCACGCCCAGGTAATTTTTGTACTTTTAGTAGAGATGGGGTTTCATCATATTGGCCAGGCTGGTCTCGAACTCCTGAGCTTGTGATCCACCCACGTAGGCCTCCCAGAGTGCTGGGATTACAGGCATGAGCCACTGTGCCCGGCCAGAGATGGGGTTTTGTCATGTTGCCCAGGCTGGTCTCAAAGTCCTGGGCTCAAGGGATGTGCCTGACTCAGCCTCCCAAGGTGCTGGGATTGCAGGCGTGAGCCACTGCACACCAGTCAACCAATTTTTGTTGTTGCTATTTTGAGACAGGGTCTTGCTCTGTTAGCCATGCTGGAGTGCTGTGGTGTGATCTTGGCTCACTGTAGCCTTCAACTCCCAGGCTTAAGGGATCTTCCTGCCTCAGTCTCCCAAGTAGCTGGAACTATAGGCATGCAGCACCATACTCTGCTAATTTTTAAAAATTTTTGCTTTGTTACCCAAGCTGGTCTAGAATTCTGGGCCTCAAGCAATCCTCCCACCTTGACCTCCCAAAGTGTTGTTATTATAGGCATGAGACACTGCACCCAGCCCATTTTAACCACTTTTAAGCATACAGTTCAGTGGCATCAAGTATATTCACACTGTTGTGCAGCTGTTTCATCTTGCAAAATTGAAACTCTGTACCCATTAAACAGTAACTCCCAATTCCCCTGACTCCAGCCCCTGGTAACCATCATTCTGCTTTGTCTCTATAAATCTGATTATTCTAAGTACTTCATATAAGTAGAATTATACAACATTTGTCCTTTTGTGACTGGCTTACTTCACTTAGCATAATGTCCTTAACCCATTTATGCCTAGTGTTCCATTATTGGAACGCTAAGCATGTGGGAGTTATTTATATCCTACTGCTCAAGGTCATCACCAAGTTCTGATTGCAAAAATTCAAAAAATTGCAACCTCTGGCATAAACGAGTTCAGGTTCATCTGTGTTGTAGCATGTGTCAAATTTTCCTTCCTTTCTTAGACTGAATAATATTTCATTGTGCGTATCCACATTTTATTTATCCATTCATCCATTGATGAACGCTTGGGTTGCTTCTATCTTTTGGCTATTGTGAATAATGCTGCTATGAACATAGGTGTACAAATATCTCTTTGAGCCCCTGTTTCAGTTCTTTTGAGTATATAACCTGAAGTGGAATTGCTAGATCATATAGTAATGAGACTTCTAATTTTTTTTTTTTTTTTTTTTTTTTTTAGACAGAGTCTTGCTCTCTCACCAGGCTGGAGTGCAGTGGTGTGATCTCAGCTCACTGCAACCTCTGCCTCCCGGGTTCAAGCAATTCTCCTGCCTCAGTCTCCCGAGTAGCTGGGATTATAGCTGTGCGCCACCACCACACCTGGTTAATTTTTGTATTATTAGTAGAGACGGGGTTTTGCCATGTTGGCAAGGCTGGTCTCAAATCCCTGACCTCTTGGGATCTGCCCACTTCACCCTCCCAAAGTGCTGGGATTACAGGCCTGAGCCACCACGCCTGGCTGTGAGCCCACTTCTGGCCACTGTCCTCTCCCACGCATGTGTCCCCAGTGCTGTCCATGGTGCTCCTCTGGTGCTTAGCTGGAGAATGGCCCTAGCAGCAGGACTCTGCATCGAGAGGGCACCAGCAATGCCAGGAGACAGGCTATAGTCCAAGTAATGACCTGCACACGGCAGGCAGCCCCACTCACCCAGAAAATGAGTGACGGCTTCCACTTACCATATATCTGCCCGTTGATACAGCACTTTTTAAAGGTCATGATATTTTGTGTGAGTGTCCCCGTCTTATCAGAGAAGATATAATGGATCTGCCCGAGCTGTTCATTGAGTGTGGTGGTTCTAGCTTTTGCGGGTGTGTCCTTCTCAGCATAGTACATTTGCAGGTCCCAGTTGATGAAGTGACTCTGTCCAAGACGAATCACTTCCACGCTAGGAAGACAGAAGATTATTTTCCGTAGAGAGCTCGGATACGAGTGGCAAGTAGTAGAGATTTTATTCTCATTGTACAGACGAGAGCAAGCTGCTTATTTACTGCTATGGTCTGAATGTTAGAATCCCCCTCCAAATTCATATGTTGAAACCCAATCCCCAATTCAACAGTATTGAGGTGGGGCCTTTAGAAGGTCATTAGGTCATGAGGGCTCCACCCTTATGAATGGGATTAGTGCCCTTATTAAAGTGGCTCAAAGGAGCTTGCTTGCCCCTTCTGCCATGCGAGGACATAGCTAGAAGGCACCGGCTGTGCCTATAAAGCAGAAAGTGAGCCTTTGCCAGACCCTGAATCTGCCGATGCTTTGATTTGAGACTTCCCAGCCTCCAGAACTCTGAGCAATAAATTTCGAAGGTCTTTTGTTATATCAGCCCAAACTAAGCCCTCTACAAGGAGACAAGCCCATGCACTCAGCCTCTGGTTTCTCCTAACCACATGCATCATTCTCAGGCTTCAGGGTCAAGCTGATTTTAGACAAGTAATTTCCACTCAAAATTGCTCAGTGAGATTTCCCACTCACTCCTGGGCACATTTAGCCAAGGCACCCATGTTCAGAATACACAGCCCAGCAGAATGGAAGACACAGCAACACTGCAGACAGAGCAGTGGACACAGCAAGCTTGACTCTTCCCCCATTCCCCATAGCACCCAGGGGCACTGGAATGGCCATGTTCACCTTTGCCCTAAGTGGTAGGGCAGAGGGAGTGAGAGTACCCTAGGGTACAGACTCCACTGTGCTCTCAAACAGGGCAAAAGGCTTTTGGCAAATACCCCAAATCATGATCCCTAAATTATGATAAGGTTATAGAATATCCAAAATAAGATATTATAAAAGGATCATCTGAATTTTAAAACTATAAGGGACATTACCTATCTCAGTTATAAGGAAGCTGTTTACATAGCCAGCAATTGTTAGGTGGGCCAAGGAAGTCCTTAACAAGTTAAACAGATGGAAAAATGATGCTCTCCCCACTTCTCTCCCTTCCGTAAGTATTTCCTAAGTGCCTACTATGTACCAGATACCATTCTAGGTGCAGGGGACATGTCTGTAAACAAAACAAAGTCCTTTCTCTTAAGGAGGTTACTTTCTAGTAGAGACAGACAAATAAATTAATAAAGAGAGGCTCTATCAGAGGTGAAAGTTCTCTGCAGAAAATCAAAGCAGGGGGCCAGGTGTGGTGGCTCACGCCTGTAATTCCAACACTTTGGGAGGCCGAGGTGGGCGGATCATGAGGTCAGGAGTTCAAGACCAGCCTGACCAACATGGTGAAACCCCGTCTCTACTAAAAATACAAAAATTAGCCAGGCATAGTGGCATGTACTTGTAATTCCAGCCACTAAGGAGGCTGAGGCAGGGGACTCACTTGAACCCAGCAGGTGGAGGTTGCAGTGAGCTGAGATCGCGCGACTGCACTCCAGCCTGGGAAACAGAGCAAGACTCTGTCTCAAAACAAAACAAACAAACAACAAACAAACAAACAAAAATCAAAGCAAAGCAAGGTAAGGAGATATGAAGATCTCCAGGAAGGAGAAGTGGTCAGAAACAGAATGAGTCAGGAAAGGTCAGGGTAATAAGGTGTTGTCTGAGTAAAGGCCTTTGTAGTGAAAGGGGAGCAGATAGATACCTATGTAAGGAATGCCCCTGGCAGAGAAAAGAGCAGGGACAAAGGCCCTGTGCAGGAAGAATATCAAGGGGCCAGAGTGGCAGAAGCCCAGGGAGGTGGGCTGAGGTGCAGAAGGTACGGGCGGAGTGGAAGGCTGAGCACCAGATCACACTTGGGGCCCTGGGGTTGGGTTTATTCTGAATGAGGTTTGAAGTCAAAGCAGAGATACTATCTGGAAGAACTTGCTCCAGCATGTTTTCAAAGGACCTTTATCTCCAAGAAAAAAGAAATCGTATTTGTCACATGACATACCTTTATATAAAATTATGTATACAGTTTCTTTTATAATACACATTGATGGTTTTAGGCAAAATTATCTATGTAATAGTTCCCTTGACAAAGGTAACACTCAACTCGGTTTTTCTCAAAGTAGCTGTGGAACAGATGGCTGCCCCAGGGCTTTCCTTCATGTTAAAAGAACAACAGTAACTACATGTAATCAAATTAAAAATAAAGCAAATGCACATATAATGACACTAAAATAAAATAAATGCCTCTAATTATAGGTGTGTATGTGATTCCTATGTCTCTGGGCTATTCTTTATCAGAACTAAGAATGAACTCTGGCTGCTGGGTTTATTCCAAAGCACTATCCCTCCCAAAAAGGTCTCAAAGTCAGTTTGGCCAAGGGCAGTGAACTTTCATATTAAAAAGAGAAAAAGGCCGGGTGTGGTGGCTCATGCCTGTAATCCCAGCACTTTGGGAGGTGAGGTGGGCAGATCACCTGAGGTCAGGAGTTGAAGACCAGCCTGGCCAACTTGGTGAAACCTGTCTCTACTAAAAATACAAAAAAGTAGCCAGACATGGTGATGGGCACCCGTGATCCCAGCTACTCAGGAGGCTGAGGCAGGAGAACTGCTTGGATCCAGGAGGCAGAGGTTGCAGTGAGCCTAGATCATGCCATTGCATTCCTGCCTGGGCAACAAGAGTGAAACTCCATCTCAAAAAAAAAAAAAAAAAAAGTAAAAGTAAAAAATGAAGAAGTATCACCAAATCAGCTGCTTACCACTTATCGGAGATATGCCCCTGACTTTGTTGTTGTGGTTGAGATTTGAGATGAAAAAGAGAACATTTTGAGAGGTTGATGAAGGACAGGGAGTTTCTTTCCTACTAGGAGGTAGTGGCCGGAAAGCACAAGTTCTCCACCTTGGGTGTGGCAGATGATAATAAAGGCTCAGATAAGAGGTGAGGACCACTTCCAAAAGGGAAAACTAAGTTTTTCCATCACCTGCTAAATCTTCCCCTCCTCCCAGTCCCTTTCTGAAGTCTGGGCTTTGGAACCCGGTGAGAAGGGAACCTTACTAATAAGACAATGACTACAGGAGTAGCAATCGATCTTTGAAATTCCCTACCCTTATCTGCAAACAGGATGAGATAAAAGGTGCCTGGCACAGAGTGGATACTCAAATGTTAATTTCCTTTTCCTCTCTTACCCTCAATTCTGAAATGAACGTGATTTTCTTACCTGTTCTTTGTGACCTTTGAAACAGTGATCACTAGAAATGAAGGCACTATGTTGGGAGAAGGTACAACATTCTTCCATTAAAGCAAAATGCCAGAGAGGACAGCCTTACCTGACATAGAGAGAGATGGGTACCATGGTGTTGAGAACAATGATATAGCCCCAGAAAATGAGGAATCCACGGTAGGAGGGTGTATCGTCTTCTCCATCATAGAGGTACCAAGAGGAATTGCCCACCTGTGCTTCCCAATAAGCATGGCCGATGGCAAGACCAGCAGAAAGCAGAATAAGAACAACAAAGATCTAGAAGACAGAAAACATTTAAATGCATTCTGAAGATGGATTTCCAACCTCTTGCATTTCCTAGATGCTAATTAACCTTACTCAATACTTCATATGATTGAGAATTTAGTAGTCTGAAAAATAATATATGTCAAATAAAAACAGCACTATCATAACGCTTTGAAAGTCTATTTGATTGCTGCAATTGACTGATGTATCCTACATCTCCCATAGAAGGTAAGGTTTTGTTCCCAAAATTATCTCTCCAAAGAGAAGGTGGTGTCTTATATTCAAATCCTTGAAGAATCTTATATTACAGGGCATTCTCTCAATTACGTTTACTTTGAACAATAACATACTGTTTGGGGAAGATATCTTACTTAGCATGAAACAACTTCCAACAAGGCTGAACTGGAAAACTGGAATGCTTATAGAAGATATTCAACAGATTTTTTTTTTTTTTTTTTTTTTTTTTTTTAGACAGCGTCTCACTGTATCACCCAGGCTGGAGTGCAGTGGTGCCATTGTGGCTCACTACAACCTCCACCTCCCTGGTTCAAACAATTCTTATGCTTCAGCCTCCTGAGTAGCTGGGATTACAGGCACGCGCCACCAAGGCCGGCTAATTTTTGTCTTTTTAGTAGAGACGAGTTTCACCATGTTGGCCAGGCTGGTCTCGAACTCTTGTCCTCAAGTGATCTGCATGCCTCAGTCTCCCAAACTGCTGGGATTACAGGTGGCCCTCACCCAGCCAGAATTTTTTTTTCAGGGCAAGAAAATTTCACCTATATTTGGGCGATTATTCCTTAAGGTGTAATGTCATAAGTATTGCATGACATTGTAAAATAAGATCACTTAAGAAGCAATATGATAAGTATTATGTTGTAGAAGTTATGAGCATATATTTATGGAAGGAATAAAAAGTCAACCATCCTAGTGGTACTTGGAGATTCGCAAGTGGGAATAAAATTTCCAGAGACAAATTTAAATTTCTGGACATGGAGTCCAAAAGTGCTATATCTCACAACTTTGTCGTGGAAAGAGCAGAGTGCCAAACAGGCTCTTTGAGAGTGGATAACCACAACCATGACACCAAAGATGAATGTGAAAAGTTCAAATACAATTTTCATGAAATGAGAAAGCAGGGGAAAATGTTTCTTAAATTATTATTTTTATGTGATTTTAAACATGTATATGCAATCAAAGAATAAGTTTTAGAAGTATGCATTCAAATTGAATTAAATACTTGAAAAAATTTTTCATTGGGAAATAGAAGGAGTGCTTAATATTTGGGGTCACCACGTGGGCAGAAAAGAGCAAACATAGCAGGTCTGAGACTGCTTCCTCCGAAGGCCGGCTTGCAAGGTTCGCCCTGGGCTGGTATCTGGTAACTTAGATGTTTGGAGGATTTCCCAGTTATTTTTTATTCTCTGATAAGAATAGCTCATGGGCCGGGTGCAGTGGCTCATGCTTGTAATCCAAGCACTTTGGGAGGCCGAGGCAGGCAGATCACTTGAGGTCAGGGGTTCGAGACCAGCCTGGCCAACATGGTGAAACCCCGTCTCTACTAAAAATACAAAAATTAGCCAGGTGTGGTGGCAGGTGCCTGTAATCCCAGCTACTTGGGAGGCTGAGGCAGGAGAATCACTTGAACCTGGGAGACGGAGATTGCAGTGAGCCAAGATCATGCCATTGTACTCCAGCCTGGGCAACAAGAGTGAAACTCAATCTCAAAAAAAAACAAATAATAATAATAATAAAAAAACTCATGATGCCTAACTGTGCAAACAGCATGGTTTATGCTGACCATCTGCATTCTTTTGGGGAGTCTAGAGTTTTTTTGTTAAAAACCTTTGACACTGAGTCTCTCATGAGCTTCCCTGGTATAGACAACATTTCACATGTGGTGTCATTAATTGCTGCTGGGAGAATTAAGTGCCTATTGTGTGTGTGGTTTGGTGGGGAGTGGGGGCAGGACGGCCGACTTTTGGAAGCTTGTGCCTGGTTTCCTTTGCACTTTGCTCCATGAGTCTTTGGTGATCTTGCTCTGTGTCCTTTTGTTGTAATGACTCACAGCTGTGAATACGACTATGTGCTGAGGCCTATGAGTCCTTCCAGTGAATCATCAAACCTGGGAGTGGTCTTGAGTGTCCTCGACATACTTTATTTTTAGCCTTGCCTTGTATTTGGAGCTATACAGTATATGTTGGGGGTGCTGGGGGAGGCTTGCTTCTAAGAGAACTGCCTCTATGGGAAAGTAACAGCAATGAAATCAACCCTACATTGACTTCAGGAGTCCAGCTTCACTAATTTATCTAGGGCTTCCTGGTTTTCCAGTTCCCGTCATCAAAGCACTCAGGGCACCCTACAACCGAAATTTCCCTTCCCAAGGGAATTCTCCTGTTAAAAGTGTGGCATTTCTGAGAAAAAGTAAGGCATTTCTGGAAAAAAAAATCCCTTCTTCCTGCATTTGAAGCTTGGAGTGCCCAATAATTTTTCTATTCCACCTAAAGAGGTAAGATTTTGTATTAGAAAAACATACGATAATATTAGTGCAAAAGACAGCAATCTAGATGAGAGATCTACTGAGATGAAAAATAAATACCGTGTAAACCATGTAGTTCATCAAGTAATCAATTTTAGTTCTTTTAAATCTGGTTTTCCCACTATTCTTCATTATTTTAGTGTCAGCACCTGAAAATGGAAAATTCAATGTAGTCATCAGTTGGGAAAAATCAATTCACTAGCTCACCAATAAAATTACTCTTCTTGGCCAGGCATGGTGGCTTACGCCTGTAATCCCAGCAGTTTTGGAGGCTGAGTTGGGCGGATCACCTGAGGTCAGGGGTTCGAGGCCAGCCTGGCCAACATGGCAAAACCCTGTCTCTACTAAAAATACAAAAATTATCTGGGCATGGTGGCACATGCCTATAATCCCAACTACTCTGGAGCCTGAGACAGGAGAATCACTTGAACCCAGGAGACAGAGGTTGCAGTGAGCTGAGATTATGCCACTGCACTCCAGCCTGGGCTACAGAGTGAGACTCTGTCTCAAAAAAAAAAAAAAAAAAAAAAAAAAGCTCATGATGCTATTACTCTTCTTTTGGTTTTGATGGACAAAGGACAGAAAAGCAATCCCCTCTAAGTCTTTAAAGATCATAGCTGATTAATTTCCCAAGAAACTCTGAACGTACCTGCAAAAATGACTAAGCCGTGGCAGAAATCGGTGTTCCTAATTACACAGCCACGTAACAAAATTTTATCAGCATCCAAAGGAAAACTTGTGTTTCTCCAAAATAGTGTTCCTGTAAACTTATCTAGTCTGTTATTGGGTTCTTCACATTCAATAAAACCTTTTAAAAATATAAGATTCACATAATTAATCACATACAAAAGTCTTTCTGGTTTTAATCAATAGGAATTGAACCAAGCAACTAAAATTTAAAGCAAAGTAAGACATGTTTGGTACAAACCATCAAATGTAGCCAATGTATCTTCTCTTTGGAGGTACTGGTCTGTGATTTCAAGTGACATCTTAAATTTTAAATTGGTTTCTCTAAAGGAATGGGGAAAAAATGAATTAAATGAACAAATTTTTGAGTTCAAAGTGGAAGTTAATCATCCAAAGTTACATTAGCCATACCTGGACATGAAGCCTAAATAATTAGCTGTTTCTATTTTCAAACTCTGTTCACCTTGGAACTTCAGGTTTGGAAAAGGTTATCCCCTGAAGTCGAGAAAATTTCTGACCTTGGGAAATGTTGGTTCCCTTCACTGTTTGTTGTTGTGAAGGTTAGGACAGAGGTACCCACAAACATCCTTCTCATTAACTTTAACTTTACCATCAGCTAGGACTACCAAAGTGCTGTTTGAAAATGTAGTGTCTAATATTTAATCACATTAAAATGATTCTATAACACATATTTGTTACAGAAATTCTGTTTCGCCTCTGTCAAATTCTTTTCCAGAGTGAATAACTGGATCACATGTTTTTGAAAGACAATTTTATTTGGAAAAGGAAGTCTTAGCTTTACTCCCAACTGCCCCACCATAGTGCAAGGTAAGGTCGTGGGTGGGCACAAGGGCAGGCCGGGGCAGGTGCTCTCAAGGGTGAGGCTGCCGTCTCACGACTGAAGGCTTTATATAGGATTCACGAATACTCAGGAATTTTCCCTAGGGAAGTTCATTCTCAACCTCACCATTCTGTTCTGGCAGGGCATGTTAGGATCTTATGTCTTTGTAAAGCTTTAGAATCTCTCATGGAAATAATAGCAGTTTTATAGTTGAGAATAAACAGTCGGGCGCCGCGGCTCACGCATGTAATGGCAGCACTTTGGGAGGCAGAGGCAGGCAGATCACTTGAGGTCAGGAGTTTGAGACCAACCTGACAACAGAAAGCTCTATCAGGCAACTGCCCATAATCCAATTTGGGTATAGCCTCGGGGCCTTAAAGAGAATGCAGTGTCTTTGTCAGTTAAGCCTTTACAATTAAGAAGTGGTTAATTGGTTTTTAACCAATTAGCCTGTACAATTAAGAAGTGGTTAATTGGCTTTAAGTATTTTTTTCCGCCAAAAAAAAAAAAAAAGTGTGATAGATTTCCAACAGTCAATTGCCTGATCTATGAAGCAATGACAGCCCTAGTTTTCAGTCTCATGATTTCCGCTCTCTGTAAAGCAGTGTATGCACATCTGGAGCGTGAGGCGCGAGGAGCAGAGGGAGCAATGTCCCGACTCTACCACTTACTGTGTGACCTTGGGCGGGCTGCTGCACCTCCCTGGGCCTCCGATTCCTCATGGGTAATACAGACGAATAATATTCGTCTCACATGGTCGTTTAGAGGATTAAATGAGCTAATATGTAAAGTGCCGGCAACCTCGTGAGCACTCAATAAATGCCTTGAAAACTGGTCAGAAAACTGGTCAAAAACAGAACTTCATTCTCTTTTAAATGATAGCATAGTAACCAAAACCAACACAAGGAGAATTCAAAATTGCCTCCTGGGGCCAGCTGCTGTGGCTCACCCCTGTAATCCCAGCAATTTGGCAGGCCAAGGTGGGCAGATCACTTGAGATCAGGAGTTCGAGACCAGCCTGGCTAACATGGTGAAACCCCATCTCTACTAAAAATGCAAAAATTAGCTGGGTGTGGGGGCTGGAGCCTGTAATCTCAGTTACTCAAGAGGCTGAGGCAGGAGAATTGTTTGAACCCAGGGGGTGTGGAGGTTGCAGTGAGCTGAGATAGCACCACTACACTCCAGCCTGGGCGACAGAGTGAGACTCTGTCTCAAAAATAAATAAATAAATTGCCTATTGGTAAAGACTTTAAAAATCTGTTCCTTTCTCTGACACAGATAATAACCTCGATATTATTCATATCTGTCTGGACGCTGCTCAGCAGTTGATAAAGGGCTCAGACACATATGCTCCTGTCTGATCCTTTTACCTTCCCTGAGAGGTGGAGAAACGCAGGTAGTAAGAGCTCCACTTCACAGAGGCGCAAAGGTGAGATCAGTAGGGACAGCAGCAGGTGGCAGAGGCAAGGCCAGATATCAAGCCGTCTGGTCCACAATGCCCCGATTTCAGTGGAATGAATGTGCCTTCAAAGGCCAGCTTTAAATCAGGCCCATCGAGACACACTTACCCATCCAGTTCTGCTGTTTCCACATAGCAGAGGCTGTTAGGCTCAGAGCTAGACAGCAGGAGAATGTCAGCCTGTCCAAAACAAAACACACAAATAACACCGAGACCCTGAGGGAAAAGCCGAGCACAGGGGCTGGGGGAGAACAAGGAACAAGAGAAGCAGAATTTGTTCACTTACTGGAACAAAATCATTTTTTTTCAGACGAATGACGTCTCCAACTTGAATTTCTTTCCACTTAGCAACTTTGAACCTAAGGATTAAAAATAATGAGGATTTATTGACATTTTAAGTTACAGGCAAGGGAATTACTATTCTTTCTGGATGTTATAGATTCTGGAAAATATGCAAGTCACAGAGAAAATGCTAAAATTTTGCTCTTTAATGGATGTAAACATATTAAAGGGGGGCATGAAAATTGTATTGACCTCTGAAGGAAGCAATGATGAATGACTTTGATACATTCTTTTCATCTAGGTCATGTAAGGAAGAGTTTATGGGGGCCACTTATGTGCGTGGCAGGGAAATACTTGCCACCCCCTTTTGTTTTTGCTTATGTCCAACTTGCCTCCCTGCTGTGTTCCTTCTCAGTGACCCATCACTTGCTCCATGCTGGTCCCAGGACAGAAGCACCTACATTATGGCACCCACCTGGGCCTCCCAGAGTCTTCGTGGGGCTTCAGAGCTTGCCTACTCTCTGCTGTTTAAATTATCTTTATTATTTATTTATTAATTTTTTTTTTCATTGAGACAGAGTCTTGCTCTGTTGCCCAGGCTGGAGTGCAGTGGCACGATCTCAGCTCACTGCAACTTCTGCCTCCTGGGGTTCAAGAGATCCTCCTGCCTCAGCCTCCCGAGTAGCTGGGACTACAGGCACGTGCCTTCACGCCTGACTAATTTTTTAGAGATGAGTTTTTACCATATTGGCCAGGCTGGTCTCGAACTCCTGACCTCAGGTGATCCACCCACCTCGGCCTCCCAAAGTGCTGGGATTATAGGCATGAGCCACCTCACCTGGCCGGTTAACTTCTTAATTGTAAAGGCTTAACTGACAAAGACACTGTATTCCCTTTAAGGCCCTGAGGCTACACTCAAATTGGATTATGGTCAGTTGTCTGATGGAGCTTTGTGTTGTCACCACAACTTGTGTTTACACAGCCCCTTCAGCCTCCCTAGGGCATCATTTTCAGGGCTTTGCTCACGTCTTGACATCTTTCCCCACATTCCCTCGCTAAAGTGAATTTTCCCTTCCCTGTACTGTCAGAGCATTTTGTTTTTATCTTTTTTATTCTGATATGGATTTTATTAGAATGATGTGTGTAGGTGTCTCATCTTCTGTCTTGAACTATAAATTTCTCAAGGATACTGTCCTGCCTCCAACATGCAGAAAGTACTCCATAAGTGTTTGTTAAATTAACGTAGTCAACTGTGACGAAAGCACCAACTCAGGGATCAGTAATGAGTTGTTTTTTGAGCAGGAGGCTTCAGGCAGAACTGCAAATTCAAGTGCTAAAAATAGTAACTAAGGCCTCATTCCAAGACTTTTTATGTGTCAACACTGAGGAAAGTAACCTGACTTACAGCCGTACTTCCACTCTAATGCAAATATAGACTATACCAAGCTATAAATATGTTTAGATGGCTTTTTTTCCTTTGCAAATAAGAAAATTATGTTCCAAAGTTACCTTTCAAGTGTCAAAAGACAAAATCACAACAATTTAAAGATCTTAATTGGCTTTATTTACAATTCTAGGATTAGGAAACACTTCATTCAGTAAAATAGAATAAGTGTCCCAATGAGCCTAGCAGAGGAGGTTGTTGTTGTTAAGACAGGAGTCTCGGCCGGGCCCGGTGGCTCACGCCTGTAATCCCAGCACTTTGGGAGGCCGAGGTGAGTGGATCATGAGGTCAGGAGATTAAGACCACGGTGAAACCCCATCTCTACTAAAAATACAAAAAATTAGCCAGGTGCAGTGGCGGGCGCCTGTAGTCCCAGCTACTCGGGAAGCTGAGGCAGGATGCTGTGAACCCGGGAGGCGGAGCTTGCAGTGAGCGGAGATCGCGCCACTGCACTCCAGCCTGGGCGACAGAGCGAGACTCCGTCTCAAAAAAATAAAAAAAAAGACAGGAGTCTCACTAAGTTTTCCAGGCTGGCCTCGAACTCCTGGCCTCAAGTGATCCTCCTGCCTCGGCCTCCCAAAGTGCTGAGATTACAGGCGTGAGCCACCGTGCCTGGCCAACCCATATGTTTAGCCTGTACCATACCTACCTACACTGGTAAAGAGGAGCTCTGGGTTGCCTTGAATTTGGAAGTCTAGGGTGCATGTCTGGCAGGGCCATGGCCTGAGCAGCCCCTGCAGTGGGGTCACACCTATAGGAACTTGAGCATTAGCAGGGTAGAGCACAGGGGGCCTCCTCAGAGGAAACTGGAACATCGGATAGAAGAATCTAACAGAATTGCCTCCAATATTTCAGTATTCAGAATTGCCTTCCAGTAGCCCTGCTAAGAAGGTGCTGGCCTATCCATTTGTCATTTCGGACTTACATGCAAATTTCTATTTTAAAATTTCAGAAATACTGAAATGTAAAACATCTACAATTTCGTCAATTGAAAGATAAGCCAAATTTTTTTTTTAATGCTGGAGTTAAGAATTGTATACTAAATTCATTAGGGGAACTGGGGCATAAACATATATTTAAAAAGTATTTTAAATCTCCAAGTCATTTTTGGCCATAAATGAATGGCAGATAAACACATAGTGATTAGACGACTGCCTCCAGTGAAATTAAGTTTATTATTTATAGCAGGTTCATTACGTCCACTGGGTATATCATTTGTATATGTGAAAATCTTTAAAACAATATTATAGTTTAAAACTTTTAAAAGTGTTGATATGTTAAAAATTTTAATGAATATTTCCTATGGAATTTAGTACTCAAAATAGTCATCTTTTTATCTATTTTTATCACTATCCTTATTAGATTTATTACAACAGGGGTACATACTCATTAAAAAGATAATTTAAGGCCAGGCATGGTGGCTTACACCTGTAATCCCAACACTTTGGGAGATCAAGGAGGATAACTTGAGGTCAGGAGTTTGAGACCAGCCTGGCCAACATGGTGAAACCCCATCTCTACTAAAAGTACAAAATTAGCTGAGCATGGTGGTGCACGCCTGTAATCCCATCTACTCGGAGGCTGAGGCAGGAAAATTGCTTGAACCTGGGAGGTGGAAGTTGCAGTGAGCCGAGATAACGCTACTGCACTCCAGCCTGGGCGACAGAGCGAGACTCTATCTCGAAAAAAATAAACAGTTAATGTACTAATAGCCTTCTACATTGTAATAATTATCTCTGAATGTGTTTCTAGGCAGAGTTATGCATTACATCCTTGAAACTCAGTTACTAATTAGACACAGTACCTGCCATCCTTAATGACTTCACACGTCCTATTGTTGATTTCCTTATCCATTTTATGGCGAGCCTTGAGAAGGAAGATGGGGAAATGCTGTTTTAAACATCTCAATAGAGAAGGAAGGCACGAGAACTTAAAGTCAACTCAAAGCAATGAGTAGAACGTTGTATGAGAAATCCTCACCACATCGTCCACCAGGTCTTTGATTGCAGTGACGCCCAGCACCACAAGCAGGGGCACTAGTGTGGTGTACCAAGCCAGGGTAGAGATTTGAGGAACTGCCTAAAAGAATAAAAGGGCTTATGTGTGTGTCCATGAAGGCATATCAAGCTTACAGGTAACTTATTGCTAATTCTAAGCTTGCTAATTCCAAGTCTCATCACCGTCATCACATAAGTCTACATCCTGCAGAGTATATAGGAAAGGCTCTTCAAGCATTTGGACAACCTCCTTCTAGTGGTTCTCTCTAGCTTCTGGATACCTGGAACAGAGCCTAGAGGGCAGTGGCTCCTGAAATTATCTCATTGCAAACTTAACTGGACACCAAGGAAGTTTTGTATTATGATACCTAAAAAAGAGTTGCTCTAAATCTTTTGTGAAAATCATATTTAACTGGGGGTGAGGGGGTAGGAGTGGCAAGGGAGAAGTCTCGTCTTAACTTTTTTTTTCTTTTTTTTTTTTTGAGACAGAGTCTCCCTCTGTCACCCAGGCTGGAGTGCAGTGGCACAATTTTGGCTCAATGCAACCTCCGCCTCCCAGGCTCAAGCGATTCTCCTGCTTCAGCCTCCTGAGTAGCTGGGATTACAGGTGTGTGCCACCACCCCCGGCTAATTTTTTTGTATTTTTAGTAGAGATGGGTTTTCACCATGTTGGCCAGGCTGGTCTCGAACTCCTGACCTCAGGCAATCCTCCTGCCTCAGCCTCCCAAAGTGCCGGGATTACAGGTGTGAGCCACCGTGCCTGGCCAAAGTCATCTTAACTTTTAAGGAATGCATGCATAGTAGGTTCTATACTGCAGGTTTCTCAGTCAGTGGTTTCTGAGGATCCCATGCTGAAGGCAATGATGGCAAGAGGTACTAGCTGCCTCTGAAAGTGAGGGATTAGGGAGAGCATCTCTGAGGGCATTAGAAGAAAGTGCTTCCTTCATGATCATCACTATTGGCCTATCCAAGAAAGTGAGCTGGCCTTCCTCCATCAAGACAGCCTCTAAGTTTGAACAAAGATTGGGATGCAAGTTTAATAAAGTTATTTCATAACCATCCTCCTGATCACTGGGCTGTATAATGTAGTGGTTAAAATGACAGGCTTTGGAGTCAACTCCTAGATCCAAGTCTTGGTCAGCTCTATCATTTATGGCTTATGGGACTTTGAGCAAGTTACTTTAGCTTACTAGGCCTCAGCTTTTCTCTGCAAAATGGAGGTCATGCCAGGCCTGACCTTCTAGACTAGAAGAATTAAGTGTAGTGACAACACAAGTTAAGAAGCTGCCTACGGCTATTACTGTTACCCTAATTTGGATTGCTGACCTTAAGAGAAGATAACTGCGCCAGGCACGGTAGCTCATGCTTGTAATCCCAACACTTTGGGAGGCCGAGGTGGGCGGATCACCTGAGGTTGGAAGTTCGAGACCAGCCTGACCAACATAGAGAAACGCCGTCTCTACTAAAAATACAAAATTAGCCAGGTGTGGTGGCGCATGCCTGTAATCCCAGCTACTCAGGAGGCTGAGGCAGGAGAATAGCTTGAACCTGGGAGGCAGAGGTTTTGGTGAGCTGAGATCACGCCATTGCACTCCAGCCTTGATAACAGGAGCGAAACTCCATCTCAAAAAAAAAAAAAAAAGAGAGAGAGAAGATAACTGGGGTGCAGTTAGAAGACAAAAAGATCCTTCTTCCCACATCACAGTGAATATGTGAAACTCCTCTTCCCTGCTAGAAGGAAGTAAGGGAAAATGGTCTACTTCCTACAGAGCAGCACCTTGGAGTTTGCAGTGCTAACCTCTACACACACCTTTCTAAGCATCTCCTTTGATAACAGGGCCATCCTTTACTATCTGACTTGAAGGTCTTACAGTTTCCTAAATCATTGCCTATCCATTTCTCCTTACCATCGTCTCTTCTTTTTCTCTCCTCTCCACGCATCCTCCATCCCCACCTAGACACACATTCTACCCCATTTTCATAAAACCTTAAAGGGTCAATCCCAGCAGGTATAACTTTTCCAAATCCAATGCTTGCCGTAAAGAATCTGATAAAGTGCCGGGCGCAGTGGCTCATGCTTGTAATCCCAGCACTTGGGGAGGCTGAGGCGGGTGGATCACCTGAATTCAGGAGTTTGAGACCAGCCTGGTCAACATGGTGAAACCCTGTCTCTACTAAAAATACAAAAATTAGCTGGGCGTGGTGGCTGGCAACTGTGATCCCAGCTACTCAGGGGGCTGAGGCAGGAGAATCGCTTGAACCCAAGAGAAGGAGGAGGAGGTTGCAGTGAGCCAAGATGGTGCCACTGCACTCCAGCCTGGACGACAAGAGCGAAACACGGTCTCAAAAAAAAAAAAAAAAAGAATCTGAAAAAACCAGGTGGATATTCTGAGCTTAAGCTATGTAATCCGCACGGCAGACACTAAAGGTTGATTCTGGCGCTAACTAGTGTGTGTAGAGTTCCCTCGGTTACAGCAACAGTTCTTGCACAGCTAAACTCATGCTCTCTGGATAACTGGATGCTTTGCCACAATTAGGAAAAAAAATTTTTAAGTAGGCCTTTTAAAATGTAAAAACAGTTCACAAAAATAACTTACTGAAATTTATGACCAAAATTTTAATAAAAAATCAATGATCTTTTTGGGGGGGAAATTCAGCATCTAACTACAATGATAAAAGACAAGCACAAAATAGCTTTAATTTTAAGGTGCAAATAATTTTACAAAGTAAGGATTTTATTTTATTTTTTTTTAAGATGGAGTTTAGCTCTTGTTGTCCAAGCTGGAGTGCAATGGTGTGATCTCGGCTCACTGCAACCTCCGCCTCCTGGGTTCAAGCGATTCTCTTGCCTCAGTCTCCCGAGTAGCTGGGATTATAGGCATGCACCATCACGCCTGGCTAATTTTTTGTATTTTTAGTAGAAACGGGGTTTAACCATGTTAGCCAGGGTGGTCTGGAACTCCTCACCCGAGGTGATCCACCCGCCTCGGCCTCCCAAAGTGCTGGGATTATAGGCGTGGGCCACTGAGCCTGGCTGGATTTTAGTTTTATTCACTTCAGGGATACCAATTTTAACACCCATATCAGTATAACATGAAATTTTTTAAAATACAGAATTAGAATAATATTTCCATTTGCTCCCTTTCCCTGTTCATATAACACTGATTGAGCTGGTTCTGTGTATGAGGCACTGTTCCTTTATGTACAGAACCCTGATGCTAATATAAAACACTTTCAAGATTATTCACATTATATGTGTCTACAGCTTAAATGTTATCGAGTCACTATAATTCAAACAGATTTAAGATAGCAAAGGGCATTACCTGTAAGATAAGAAGAGCCAGGAAATATAAATTGGCTGCTCTCTTAAACTGCTCAAACAGATTCATTGGTATAAAGGTAAATGCGTTGTACTTGTATGTTTTAATTGCATTATTCTGTTGGAAAAAATAAGAGTCATTCTAAATGATGCTGTATTTATCACAATGTATACACATCTGCAAAAGTCACAAGTCCCACAGCTTACAGTGACAAAGGAACATCATCTGTCAGAAAGATATTGAGGATTTTGTCTGGGTGCGGTGGCTTATGCCTGCAATCCCAGCGCTTTGGGAGACCGAGGTGGGTGGATCACCTGAGCCTAGGAGTTTGAGACCAGCCTAGCCAACATGGTGAAACCCCACCTCTACTAAAAATACAAAAATTAGCCAGGCGTGGTGGCCTGCACCTGTAATCCCAGATACTTGGGAGGCTGAGGCAGGAGAATCGCTTGAACCAGGGAGGCAGAAGTTGCAGATCGCCCCACTGCACTCCAGCCTGAGTGACAGAGTGAGACTCTGCCTTAAAAAAGAAAAGAAGAAAGAAAGATACTGATATTTCTTTTAAGCTTTTAATTCTAGCCAAGCAGCCAAGCCTCAAAATGACTACTTGGAGTCTTATGACAGAGGCAGTAACAAGAAACAGACATCAGACTGTGACCAAATAAATCCTGCTGTCAGATTCCTTGACCCATTAGAGACTGTTAGAAAACAGGGTAAAGGTAGACAACAACATGGCCAAAGCCAGGAAAAGTGAGGCTTTTATTTAAGTGAGGAGACAGAGCCTACTATGTAAGAAAGAGCAAAAGGTACTGTAGTGGGTTGCATTGTGTCCTGCAAAAGATATGTTCAGGTCTTAACACTAATATCTATGAATGGGATCTTATTTGGAAATAGGATCTTCGCAGAGATAATCAAGATGAAGTCATACGTGATTAGGACAGGCTCTAATTTAATGAGGTGCTTATTCGGACTGGGGTCCCTATAAGAGGAAAGTTGCACACAGACACACACAGGAAGAGTGCCCCTTGAAGATGGAAGCAGAGATTGGGGTGACTTCATCTGTAAGCCAAGGAACTCCAAGGATTGCCAGTGGCCACCAGAAGCCAGGGGAGAGGCAGGGAACAGATTCTCCTGCAGAGGCTCCAGAAGGAGCCAACCCTGCCAACACCAAGATTTCAGACTTCTGATCCCTGCATCAGGAGAGAGTAAACTTCTGTTGTTTTAAGCCATCCAGTTGTGGTACTCTGCTATGGAAGCCCTTGGCATTAAAACACACATCTTACAACATTTAAGCCCACACTTAATATTTATTATTATTATTATTATTGAGACAGAGTCTCACTCCTGTCACCCAAGCTGGAGTGCAATGGCACAATTTCAGCTCACTGAAACCTCTGCCTCCTGGGCTCAAGCGATTCTCTTGGCTCAGCCTCCCAAGTAGCTGAGACTGTGGGCACATGCCACCACTCCAGGCTAATTTTTGTATTTCGCATTTAATCTTTAAGCATTCTTTATCACATTCCAAAGGTAATAAGCATTTTTGAGTCAAAAATATGTTTAAAATCTCTAAATCCATTCCAGGCAGAGAAGGGGAAGATAAGTTCTTAAGAGATTCCTTTCAAACTCATTACTTTCAAACAGGAGGCTTCTGTGCCATCATTGTATATTCTTTCATAAAACATTTCTAAGAGAGCTTAAAATTTAAAAAAGAGAGAGAAAATTTCAATCTACATAATTCTGTTTTGTTTCAAGTCACCCGCTACCCACCCCAAAGGTAAACATCAATAAAAATGACATTCTATAGAAACAATGATGATTATCAGTAGCCCCAGGCAGGTGGTTACGTGGAAGGCAGGTGTAGCATGAAGGTAGTAAGCATGCCAGCTACTGGAAAAAACTGCATTTTAATGAAAACAATTCAGAAAGTTAACAACTCACCGCATATTTACTCTCCTTAATACACAAGAATTTTGTGTTCATAAAGTGAGGTTGTTCGTGGTACTTGCGATCGTTTGCTTTGACTTGCCATGTACATTCTTTAAAAAAAAGGGAGAAAAGTTCGTAAGTAGCAAATTAACATGTTGTTATGAGTTGAATTGTGTCTTCCCCAGATTCAAATGTTGAAGTCCTAAACCTCCATCCCTCAGAATGTGACCTTATTTGGAAACTGCTCATTGCAGATGTAATCAAATTAAAGTGAAGTCATTAGAGAGGACCCTAATTCAACATGACTGATACCTTTACAAAAAGGGAAATTTGGACACAGAGATAGATGGAAGACGATGCGAAGTCACAGGGAGAAAATGGCCATCTGCAAGCCAAGGAGAGAAGCCTAGAACAGATCTCTCCCTTGTAGCTCTCAGAAGGAATCGATCCTGCTGACATCTTGATGCCTCGAGGAAGGCATAAGCATGCTGCTGCTATGAAAGCTGGAGGCAAGCATGCTATAAATCAGGAAGAAAATGAGGAAGCAGGCCGGGCGCGGTGGCTCACGCCTGTAATCCCAGCACTTTGGGAGGCCAAGGCGGGTGAATCACGAGGTCAGGAGTTCAAGACCAGCCTGGCCAAGGTGGTGAAACCCCGTCTCTACTAAAAATAGCCAGGTGCAGTGGCGGGCACCTGTAATCCCAGCTTCTCAGGAGGCTGAGGCAGGAAAATTGTTTGAACCCGGGAGGTGGAGGTTGCAGTGAGCTGAGATTGCGCCACTGCACTCTAGCCTGGGCGACAGAGCAAGACTCCATCTCAAAAAAACAAACAGAAAAGAAAAGAAAAGAGAATGAGGAAGCACCTCTTTGGCACCAAGTTCTCCATGAACATGCATGCTGGATGAAGCTCCCTTGAGTGACGCACATAATGGAGAGAACTAGGTGTTGATGAATCCCCACCAAATTGGCAGAGAAGAGAAATTAACAATGAGTGTGGCACAACTATTTTTGGAGATGGGAATATATTAAAAGACACTTGAAAGTAAAAAATTACAAAAATATCAGTCTTAACAACTATAATAATAAAGATTGTGTGATCTCGGCTCACTGCAACCTCTGCCTCCCGGGTTCAAGTGATTCTTCTGCCTCAGCCTCCTGAGTAGCTGGGATTACAGGTGCCTGCCACCACACCCGGCTAATTTTTGTATTTTTAGTAGAGACGGGGTTTCACCATATTGGCCAGTCTGGTCTTGAACTTCTGACCTGGTGATCCACCAGCCTTGGCCTCCCAAAGTCCTGGGATTACAGGCGTGAGCCACTGTGCCTGGCAAAATGATGTATTTTCTAGACTCCTACTCCAAAGGAAATATAGACAATATGGCAAGAGTAACAAGTGTAGGCCGAGCATGGTGGCTCATGCCTGTAATCCTAGCACTTTGGGAGGCCGAGGTGGATGGATCACTTGAGGTCAGGAGTTCAAAACCAGCCTGGCCAACATGGTGAAACCCCGTCTCTACTAAAAACACAAAAAAGTAATGGGGCATGGTGGTGCATGCCTGTAATCCCAGCTACTCAGGAGGCTGAGGCAGGAGAATCTCTTGAACCTGGGAGGCAGAGGTTGCAGTGAGCCGAGATAGTGCCACTGCACTCCAGCCTGGGCGACAGACGGAAACTCTGTCTCAAAAAAAAAAAAAAAAAAAAAAAGTAACAAGTGTAGACTATTGAGGAATGCAAATAATTAACCTGATTGCTTTTTTAAAGCCACAATATCACTATTGAACATTTTTCTCGCATCATTTTGGCTGCCTTTCATCGGGTAATCATAACAGTTGTGTTATTACAAATGAAAATGTTCCTGGTATCTTTGTAGCTCAAGTGCAATCTTATCAAAAGGGAAAATAAAAATGGAAATATAAAGCCACTCATAAGCACTGTAATCACATAGGCAATCAGAACAGCTCATTCCACTCAAAAAGGCGTTCTCAAAGTAGGTAGATAAGACCTTACATAAGGTACTCTTGAATCCATTCTATTTGGTGGTAATTTGCAAATGCATGTGCTTTTAATGGTTTACTTTAGCACACAGATGACTTGTGACACATCCCCACCACCAGGGTTCTAGAACACTGTTCAGAACCACTGTTACGCATTTCAGGAAGGCTGAGAAGAAAAACAGACAAGATTTCTCAAGAAGACAGAAAAGGCCAATAAGGGATTTTTAAAAAGTCAATTTTAGAAATAACTCAAGTGGAAAGAAGAAACTGCCCTGTTAAGGAGCTGGACATAATGATCTTTCCCAGTCCACTTCTGGTCCATCCCCCTTGTGGCTCTATAAATTTGCTTCATAATTAAGCCACCAGCTGGTGGTGGCTCTGTCTGGTCCCAGCACTATACCCTCATCCCTGGCCAATTTTGATTTGGATGATTCAGACAGAGAGGGTGGCATCAGACCTCGAGTAGGTGCAGTGAGGGGTTACCAGAAATGACCTTGATCTCTTAATTTTACACTTCTGCCAATACTGTGGGGAGCCTGGAGAAAGTAACCAGTATGTCTTTGTCTGCAATTGAACCGCAAACACGTTTTTACTCAATTTTAGAAATCTGACTGCAGTCAAGTAATCAATAACCCTATTTCCAGTTAAAGATCCTTGTTTGGCCTAATTCAGACAAATCAGGGGACAAACAAATTGATGTCTACTCTTTATTCATCTATGAGTTTAGGCTAATTGCTTGAGCTGTATTTCAATGAGATACCATGAAAATATGAAAACAGAGCTCCATGGACAGACACACTTGCAGAAGACAGCACCTTGCAACCCTCTCTTGGAAGTTCGGTGGATTTGCTTGTACATTAAAGGCTGTGAGAAGTCCTGTAGTAAATAAACTGATTTTATTTTATAAGTTAAATGTTTAAAATGCTTTAATATTTAAAATAGCTTTTCCAAAATTAATATAATCATAGGCACTTTTTAAAAAATCACAGAACACTTATTAACATCAGTTAAGAAGTGCTGCACTGATACACATGCCTTTAGGAAGGGCAGCAAAACAGCACGTGGAGGAATTGACCTTTTTGAGCAAATATTTATTTTAAGTGTCTGCTTGGAACAGAGAACTTTACTGGACACTTGAACTACAAAGATAATTTACAGAAAGAGTAAGCATCTTGCCCCATTTTCTTTTTTTGTCCTTTTTTCTTTCTTTTTTCATTTTTTTTTTGTTTGAGACAGTCTTGTTCTGTCATCCAGGGTGGAGTGCAGTGGTGCGATCTCAGCTCACTGCAGCCTCTGCCTCCCAGGTTCAAGCAGTTCTCCTATCTCAGCCTCCCGAGTAGCTGGGACTACAGGTGCACACCACCACGCCCGGCTAATTTTTGTATTTTTAGTAGAGACAGGGTTTCACCATATTGATCAGGCTGTTCTCAAACTCCTAACCTCAGGTGGTCCACCTGCCTCGACCTCCCAAAGTGCTGGGATTACAGGCTTGAGTCACCATGCCTGGCCACTTTTTCTTTTCTTTTCTTTTTTTTTTTTTTTAAGAGACGGAGTCTCACTATGTTGCCCAGTGCCTAGGCTGGCCTCAAATTCCTGGGCTCAAGTGATCCTCCTGCCTCAGCCTTCAGAGTAGCTGGGATTACAGGCATGCACCACACTGTGCCTGGCTCATCTCATTTTCTAGAATGGATATATTGACAAAGAAAAGAGAAGAAATAAGAAATGCAAAAAATGCACCTTCACCATATGGCCCTTTAGCTAAAAGCTACAAAGCTAACAAGGGTGTGCCATCAGAACTATCCATGTACATGTACAGAGATGATTTTAACAGCTGCCATGTGACATGTGGCTTAAAGTCACCCTGAGTCTACTAAATGGTTGTGTTGTCAATATATCTAAATATGGCTACGTGCTCTCCAGAGTGTTCCCATGATCACCACGTCCTTTGATCAGTGCCATCTGGAAGAGCAGATGAGTGCAGCCCTCCTCTCATCCTCTCTGTGCTGGCTCCGAACGCTTGCTTACAGACCCACCAACAACCAAGAAGCTGCACTGGTTGGTACACACTGCAGCAAACAAGGAAAACAAGTAGATAAAAAGTCCAACATCAAAAAGAAAAAAAAACCATAGAAACAATTGAAGAGAGAATGGCTAAAGGACATGAAAAGACAGTTCATACAAAGGGAAATTCAATGCTGTTCTCGCTGAGGCTGGAGTCCAATGATGCGATCTCAGCTCACTGCAACTTCCGTCTCCTGGGTTCAAGAGATTCTCCTGCCTCACTCTCCTGAGTAGCTGGGGTTACAGGCGCCCACCATCATGCCCGGCTAATTTTTGTATTTTTAGTAGAGACCGGGTTTCATCATGTTGGCCAGACTGGTCTTGAACTCCTGACCTCAGGTGATCTGCCCACCTCGGCCTCCCAAAGTGCCGGGATAATGGGCATGAGCCACTGTACCTGGCCTCAAATGGCTCTTAAACCTGTGAGAAGATATTTGGGTTCCTAAAAGAGAAATGCAATTCTTCACTGAGATAGTAGTTTTTATCCTATAATAGCAAAACATTGGCACATGGTAATGCTTGGGATGACATTCTAGGTTCAAAAGAGAGCAGAGAAACAGACACTCTGAGGTAGCCTTTATGGAGAGTAATTTGGCCAGATCTCAAAATTTAACACACACATGCACTGACCAAATAATCACACTTCTAGGAAATATCCCCCATGTACCTACTGCAGGGATTTTCAATGCAGCCCTATTTATCAGAACGACTAGAAACAACCCAAATGCCTACTGGGAACAGCCAGTTAAACACGATTACAATGATAGCCTATGCAGTCAGCAAAAAAAGAATGAGGTGACCCCATAAATATGGTAGGAATTACCTCCAAATTACACTGTTAAGAGACAAAAGCAGAAGGGTATCTACCATCTTGTGCTTTCAGCTGTGTGATGCATAGAATTCATACACAATATGAATGCATATATGTACACACACGTGCACATCTGTTTCTGCATATGTGTATGGGTATATGAGGAAGCAAGTTTGCAAGCATTCTTTGCGCATACAAACGTGTATCTCTCTGGAAGGACATATTTTGAGAAACTGGTAACCGTAATTTCTTTTTGTCATTTTTTTAAAAGACAAAGTCTCACTGTGGCACCTGGGCTGGAGTGCAGTGGCATGCTCATAGCTCACTGCAGCCTCTGAACTCCTGGGCTCAAGTGATCCTCCCACCTCAACTTCTGGAGTAGCTGAGACTAAAGTGCACGCCATCGTACCTAATTTTTAAATTTTTTTGTAAAGATGAGGTCTTGCTTTGCAGACCAGGCTGGTCTTGAACTGCTGCCCACAAGCTATCCTCCTGCCTTGGCCTCCCAGAGTGCCGGGATTACAGGTGTGAGCCACCGTGCCCAGACCAGCAGTATTTTTTTTGGAAAGGAAACTGCATGACTGAGGGACAGGAGAGGCAGGAAGGAAAACTTCATTTTCATTCTGGACCCTTTTCTAATTGGATCATTTACATGTATTACTGTTTTAAAGCAATGTTTGTGATTCCTCTCCTTCCCTCTATTGGCATATATATATATATATATATGGCGAATATGGAGAGGAGCAAGGTGGCCAAATAGAAGCTCGCACGAATTGTAATTCCCATAGGAACATCAAATTTAACAACTATCTACAAACAAAAAAGCACCTTTATAAAAACCAAAAAATCAGGCACTCACAGTACCTGGTTTTAACTTTATATTGCTGAAAAAGGACTGAAGAGGGTAGGAAAAATAGTCTTGAATTGCCAATGCCACCCCTCCCCCAGCCCCAGCACCAGATGTGTGGCATGGAGAGAAAATCTGTACGCTTGGGAGAGGGACAGTGCAGCGATTGTGAGGCTTTGCACTGAACTCAGTGCTGCCCTGTTACAGACAGTAGAAAGCAAAAGCAGGCTGAACTCAGCTGATGCCAGACCATAGAGGGAGCATTTAGACCAGCCCTAGCCAGAGGGGAATCTCCTGTACCTTGGTCAGAACTTGAATTCTGGCAAACCTCGTCACCGAGGGCCAAAGTGCCCTGGGGCTCTAAATAAAATTGAAAGGCAGTGTAGGCCCCATGAACTACAACTCTTAGGCAAGTCCTAGTGCTGAGCTGGACTTGGAGCCAGTTGACTTAGCAGGCACATGACCTACTGAGACACCAGCCAGAGCAGCTAGTGGAATGCTTGCTCGGCCCCTCCCCGCCAACCTCACTGCTCCAAAAGAGACCTCTTCCTTCTGCTTGAGGAGATGAGAGGGAGGAGTAAAGAGAACTTTGTCTTGCATCTTGGATACCAGCTCAGCCACAGTAGGATAGGGCACCAGGCAGGGTCATGAGGCTGTTTCAGGCCCTAGTTCCCAGACAACATTTCTAGACAATCCTGGATCAGAAGGGAGCCTGCTGCCTTGCAGGGCAAGGACCCAGCTCTGGCAGGATCCATCACCTGCTGATGAAAGAGCCCTTGAGCCCTGAATAAACAGTAGTGATACCCAGTTAATATCCAAGGCTGTGGGCCTTAATTGAGGCTAAGATATTCTGGCTTTAGTTGTGACCCAGCACATTCCCAGCTGTGGTGGCCATGGTGAGAGATTCCTTCCGCTTGAGAAAAGCAGAAGGAAAATTAAAGGGTGCTTTGTCTTGCTCTTGATCTTTCTCTTTCTTTCTTTCTTTCTTTCTTTCTTTCTTTCTTTCTTTCCTTCCTTCCTTCCTTCCTTCCTTCCTTCCTTCCTTCCTTCCTTCTTTCTTTCTTTCTTTCTTTCTCTTTCTTTCTTTCTTTTTTCTTTCTCTCTCTCTCTCTTTCTTTCTTTTCAGAGATAGAGTCTTGCTATTTTGCCCAGGCTGGAGTGCAATGGTGTCATCTCAGCTCACTGCAACCTGTGCCTCCTGGGTTCAAGCAATTCTCATGCCTCAGCCTCCTGAGTAGCTGGGATTACAGGCATGTACCACCATGCCCAGCTAATTTTTAAAAATTTTTTATTTTATTTTATTTTATTTTATTTTATTTGAGATGGTTTCTCACTCTGTCACCCAGGATGGAGTGCAGTGGTGCGATCTCAGCTCACTGCAACCTCCACCTACCGGGTTCAAGCAATTCTCCTGCCTCAGCCTCCCGAGTAGCTGGGATTAGAGGTGTGTGCCACCATGCTTGGCTAATTTTGTATTTTTAGTAGAGATGGGGTTGCACCATGTTGGTCAGGCCAGTCTTGAACTCCTGACCTCAAGTGTTCCACCCACCTTGACCTCCCAACATGCTGGGATTACAGGAGTGAGCCACCGCGCCCGGCCTAATTTTTTTTATTTTTAGTAGAGACAGGGTTTCGCCATGTTGGCCAGGCTGGTCTCTAACTCCTGGCCTCAAGTGATCTGCCCGCCTCAGCCTCCCAAAGTGCTGGGATTACAGGCATGAGACACTGCGCCCAGCCTGCCTTGCACTTGCTACCACCTTGGCCACAGTGGGGTAAAGCAACAAATAGAGACCCCTCTTGGGGTCCCTGAGTCTAGGCCTTAGGTTCTTGGATGACATCTCTGGACTTGCTTTTTGCCAGAGGGGAGCTCACTGCCCTGAAGGGTGACTGAAAGGATTTACCACAAGCTGACTGAAGAGGCCATAGGCCTTTACCGAACATCAGCAGTAACCTGGCAGCACTCCTCATAGGCCTGTGGTGGTGGTGGACATGGGGAGAGGCCCCTGAGCCTGTGGAAAGGGCAGAATAGTGGAAAGGACTGGCTAATGGTTTGAGTGCCAGCTCAGCCACAGTAGAATAGATAGGACACCAAGCAGATTTCTAAGGTTTTGGACTCCAGTCCATGGCTCCCAGATGGCATCTCTGGATCTGGCTGCAGCCTGGGGGAACTCACTGGCTTGAAGCTAGCCTGGCTGGCTTCACAACAGGGCATTGAGGGAACATAGGCAGCCAGATCATGGTTACAGTGGGCCATGGCGAGACCCAGTGTGGTGCCAGCTTCATGTCTGACCCAGTACATTCTCAGTGGTGATGGCCATATTGGTGCTTGTATCTCCACCCCCCTAGCTCTGGGTGGCCCAGAACAGAGGGAGAGAGAGAAGGAGAAAGGGAGAGGAGGGAGGGGGGAAGGGGGAGAGAGAAAGAGCAAAAAAAGAGAGAGAGAGAGATTGATTCTGTTTGGGAGAAAGTAAGCAACAAGAACAAGAGTGTGGGCTTGATAATCCAGATAATTCTTCCAGATAGTCTGCAAGAAATGCAGCGTTATTGAGCTTGGGATGCCCCCTAATGCAGATATGGGTTCAATCATAATATCCAAGTTCTTTTGAATACCTGGAAATCCTTCCCAAGAAGGATGGGTATAAACAAGCCCAGACTGTGAGAGCTACAATAAATATCTAACTCTTCAATGCCCAGACATTGATGAACATCCACAAGCATCAAGAACATCCAGGAAAACATGACTTCACCAAACAAACTAAATAAGACACCAGGGGCCAAACCTGCAGAAACAAAACTATATGACCTTTCAGACAGAAAATTCAAAATTGCCATTTTGAGGAAACTCAAAGAAATTCAAGATAGCACAGAGAAGACATTCAGAACTCTATCAGATAAACTTAACAAAGAGGAAACTCAAAGAAATTCAAGACAACACAGAAAAAGTTTAGAATTCTATCAGATAAATGTAACAGAGATTGAAATAATTAAAAAGAGTCAAGCTGAAATTCCGGAGTTGAAAAATGCAACCGACATACTGAAGAATGCATCAGAGACTTTTAATACCAGGATTGAATAAGTGGAACAAAGAATTAGTGAGCTGGAAGGTAAGCTATTGGAAAATATGGTCAGAGGAGACAGAAGAAAAAAGAATAAAAAAGAAAGAAGTACACCTACAAGATCTAGAAAATAGACTTAAAAAAGCAAATCTAAGAGTTATTGGCATTAAAGTGGAGGTAGAGAAAGAGACAGGGGTAGAAAGTTTATTCAAAGGATAATAACAGAGAACTTCCCAAACCTAGAGGAAGATATCAATATCCAAGAACAAGAAGGTTGTAGAACACCAAGCAGATTAACCCAAAGAAGACTACCTCAGGCATTTAGTAATCAAATTCCTAAAAGTCAAGGATAAAAGGAAGGATCCTAAAAGCAGCAAAAGAAAAGAAACAAATAAAATACAATGGCACTCCAATACGTCTGGCAGCAGACTTTTCAGTGGAAACCTTATAGGCCAGGAGAGAGTGGCATGACATATTTAAAGTGCTGAAGGAAAATATATTCAAGCATAAAGGAGAAATGAAGACCTTCCCAGACAAACAAAAGCTGAGGGATTTCATCAACACTAGACCTGTCCTACAGGAAATGCTAAACAGAGTACATTAATCAGAAAGTAAACGATGTTAGTGAGCAATAAGAAATCACCTGAAGGCACAAAACTCACTGGTAACAGTTAAGTATACAGAAAAACCCAGAATAGTATAACACTGTGACTGTGACATGTAAACTACTCTTCAGTAAAATGACTAAAAGATTAACTGATAAAAAATAGTGACTAGAACAACTTTTCAAGACATAGTACAATAAGATATAAATAGAAACAATAAAAAGTTAAAAAGCAGAGGGAGGAAGTTAAAGTGTAGAGTTTATTAGTTTTCTTTTAGCTTAAAATAATGAGTTATTAGACAGTACTTACAAGCCTCATGGTAACCTCAAATCAAAAAACATACAATGGATATATACAAAATAAAAAGCAGGAAATTAAAGCACACCACAAGAGAAAACCACCTTCACTAAAAGGCAGAAGGGAAGGGAGGAAAGAAGGAAGAGAAGACCACAAAGCCACCGGAAAACATAACAAAATGGCAAGAGTAAGTCCTTACTTATCAATATAACATCGAATGTAAATGGGCTAAACTGTCAATCAAAAGATATAGAGTGGCTGAATAGATTTAAAAAAAAAAAAGACCCAGTGATCTGTTGCCTACAACAGACACTCCACCTGGACTGAAAATGAAGGGATTGAAGAAGATATTCCATGCCAATGGAAAGCAAAAAAGAACAGGATACCTATATTTATATCAGACAAAATAGATTTCAAGACAAAACTATAAGAAGAGACAAAGTCACTATATAATGATAAAGAGGTCAGTTCAGCAAGAGGATATAATAGTTTTAAATATTTATCCACCTTACACTGGAGCACCCAGATATATAAAGCAAATATTACTAGAGCTAAAGAGAGTGATAGACCCCAGTAAAATAATAGCTGGAGACATCAACACTACACTTTCAGCACTGGACAGATCTTCCAGACAGAAAATCAACAAAGAAACATGGGACTTAATCTGCACTATAGACCAAATAGATATTTATAAAATATTTCATACAACAGCTGTAGAATACACATTCTTTTCCTCAGCACGTGGATCATTCTCAAAGACAGAACGTATATTAAGTCACAGAACGAGTCTTAAAACATTCAAATAAATTGAAATAATATCAAACATCTGACTGACCACAATGAGTAAAACTAGAAATCAATAATAAGAGGAATTTTGGAAACTATACAAAAACATGGAAATTAAACAATATGTTCCTAAATGACCAGTGGGTCAATGAAGAAATTAAACAGGAAACTGAAAAATTTCTTCAAACAAATGATAATGGAAACATGATAAACCAAAACCTGTGGGACACAGTGAAAGCAGTACTAGGAGGGAAGTTTATAGCTATACGTGCCTACATCAAAAAATAAGAAAAACTTCAAACAACCTGATGATGCATCTAAAAGAACTAGAGCCAGGTGCAGTGGCTCACGCCTGTAATCCCAACACTTTGGGAGGCCGAGGTGGGCAGATCATGAGGTCAGGAGATCGAGACCATCCTGGCTAACACACTGAAACCCCATTGCTACTAAAAAAATACAAAAAACTTAGGTGGGCACAGTGGCGGGCACCTGTAGTCCCAGCTGCTGGGGAGGCTGAGGCAGGAGAATGGCATGAACCCGGGAGGCGGAGCTTGCAGTAAGCCGAGATCACACCACTGCACTCCAACCTGGGTAACAGAGCAAGACTCTGTCTCAAAAAAAAAAAAAAAAAAAAAAAAAAAAAAAAAAAAAAAAAGAACTAGAAAAGCAAGAGCAAACCAAACCCAAAGTTACTAGAAGAAAAGAAATAATAAAGATCAAAGCAGAGATAAATGACATTGAAACAAAGAAAACAATACAAAAGATCAATGAAACAAAAACGGTTTTTTGTTTTGGTTTGGTTTGGTTTGGTTTTTTTTTGGAGACAGAGTCTCACTCTGTTGCCCAGGCTGGAGTGCAGTGGTGCGATCTTGGCTCACTGCAACCTCCGCCTCCCAGGTTCAAGCAATTCTTGTGCCTCAGTCTCCTGAGTAGCTAGGAGTAGCCAGGACTATAGGCATGTGCCACCACACCTGGCTAATTTTTGTAGTTTTAGTAGAGACAGGGTTCCACTGTGTTGGCCAGGCTGGTCTCAAACTCCTGCCCTCAAGTGATCCACCTACCTCAGCCTCCCAAAGTGCTGGGATTACAGGTGTGAGCCACTGTGCCTGGCCAAGAAGTTAGTTTCTTGAAAAGATAAACAAAATTGACAAACCTTTAGCTGGACTAACTAAAAAAAAAAAAAAAAAAAAAAAGCAAAAAAAGAGAGACCCAAATAAATAAAATCAGAGCTGAAAAAGAAGACATTACAACTGTTACCACAGAAATTCAAAGATCATTAGTGGCTACTATGAGCAACTATTTGCCAATAAATTGGAAAATGTAGAAAAAAATGGATAAATTCCTAGATACATAAAACCTACCAAGATTGAATCATAAAGAAATCCAAAACCCAAACAGATGAATAACAAGTAATGAGATCAAAGCCATAATAAAAAGTCTCTCAGCAAAGAAAATCCCAGGACCCAATGGCTTCACTACTGAATACTACCAAGCATTTAAAGAAGAACTAATACCAATCCTACTCAATCTATTCTAAAATAAACAGGAGGAAATACTTCCAAACTCATTCTACAAGGCCAGTATTACCCTGATGCCAAAACCAGACAAAGACACATCAAAAAACAAAAACAAAAACAAAAAGACCTATAGGCCAATATCATTGATGAATGTTGATGCAAAAATCCTCAACAAAATACTAGAAAATTGAATTCAACAACACATTAAAAAGATCATTCATCATGATCAAGTGGGATTTATCCCAGAAATGCAAAGATTGTTCAACATACACAAATCAATTAATGTGATATGTCATGTCAACAGAATGAAGGGCAAAAACCATATGATCATTTCAATTGATGCTGAAAAAGAATTTGATACAATTCAACATCACTTCATGATAAAAAAAATCCTCAAAAAACTGGGTACAGAACAACATACCTCAGTATAATAAAAGCCATATATGACAGACCCATAGCTAGTATCAAACTGAATGGGGAAAAACTAAAAGCCTTTCCTCTTAGATCTGGAACATGTCAAGGATGCCTACTTTCACCAGAAGTCCTAGCTAGAGCAATCGGACAAGAGAAAGAAATAAACGGCATCCAAATTGGAAAGGAATAAGTCAAATTATCCTTGTTTGCGGATGATATGATCTCATATTTGGAAAAACCTAAAGACTCCACCAAAAAACTATCAGAACTGGTAAACAAATTCTGTAAGGTTGCAAGATACAAAATCAACATACAGAAATCAGTAGCCTTTCTGTATGCCAACAGCAAACAATCTGAAAAAGAAATCAAGAAAATAATCCCATTGGGAGGAGCCAAGATGGCCGAATAGGAACAGCTCCGGTCTACAGCTCCCAGCGTGAGAGACACAGAAGACCGGTGATTTCTCCATTTCCATCTGAGGTACCGGGTTCATCTCACTAGGGAGTGCCAGACAGTGGGCGCAGGCCAGTGGGTGCGCGCACTGTGCGCGAGCCGAAGCAAGGCGAGGCATTGCCTCACCTGGGAAGCGCAAGGGGTCAGGGAGTTCCCTTTCCGAGTCAAAGAAAGGGGTGACGGACGCACCTGGAAAATCGGGTCACTCCCACCCGAATATTGCGCTTTTCAGACCGGCTTGAAAAACGGCGCACCTAGAGACTATATCCCACACCTGGCTCGGAGGGTCCTACGCCCACGGAATCTCACTGATTGCTAGCACAGCAGTCTGAGATCAAACTGCAAGGCGGCAGCGAGGCTGGGGGAGAGGTGCCCGCCATTGCCCAGGCTTGCTTAGGTAAACAAAGCAGCCGGGAAGCTCGAACTGGGTGGAGCCCACCACAGCTCAGAGGCCTGCCTGCCACTGTAGGCTCCACCTCTGGGGGCAGGGTACAGACAGCAGTAACCTCTGCAGACTTAAATGTCCCTGTCTGACAGCTTTGAAGAGAGCAGTGGTTCTCCCAGCACGCAGCTGGAGATCTGAGAACCAACAGACTGCCTCTTCAAGTGGGTCCCTGACCCCTGACCCCCGAGCAGCCTAACTGGGAGGCACCCCCCAGCAGGGGCACACTGACACCTCACACGGCAGGGTATTCCAACAGACCTGCAGCTGAGGGTCCTGTCTGTTAGAAGGAAAACTAACAAACAGAAAGGACATCCACACAGAAAACCCATCTGTACATCACCATCATCAAAGACCAAAAGTAGATAAAACCACAAAGATGGGGAAAAAACAGAACAGAAAAACTGGAAACTCTAAAACGCAGAGCGTCTCTCCTCCTCCAAAGGAACGCAGTTCCTCACCAGCAACAGAACAAAGCTGGATGGAGAATGACTTTGACGAGCTGAGAGAAGAAGGCTTCAGACGATCAAATTACTCTGAGCTACGGGAGGACATTCAAACCAAAGGCAAAGAAGTTGAAAACTTTGAAAAAAATTTAGAAGAATGTATAACTAGAATAACCAATACAGAGAAGTGCTTAAAGGAGCTGATGGAGCTGAAAACCAAGGCTCGAGAACTACGTGAAGAATGCAGAAGCCTCAGGAGCCGATGCGATCAACTGGAAGAAAGGGTATCAGCAATGGAAGATGAAATGAATGAAATGAAGCGAGAAGGGAACTTTAGAGAAAAAAGAATAAAAAGAAATGAGCAAAGCCTCCAAGAAATATGGGACTATGTGAAAAGACCAAATCTACGTCTGATTGGTGTACCTGAAAGTGATGGGGAGAATGGAACCAAGTTGGAAAACACTCTGCAGGATATTATCCAGGAGAACTTCCCCAATCTAGCAAGGCAGGCCAACGTTCAGATTCAGGAAATACAGAGAACGCCACAAAGATACTCCTCGAGAAGAGCAACTCCAAGACACATAATTGTCAGATTCACCAAAGTTGAAATGAAAGAAAAAATGTTAAGGGCACCCAGAGAGAAAGGTTGGGTTACCCTCAAAGGGAAGCCCATCAGACTAACAGCGGATCTCTCGGCAGAAACCCTACAAGCCAGAAGAGAGTGGGGGCCAGTATTCAACATTCTTAAAGAAAAGAATTTTCAACCCAGAATTTCATATCCAGCCAAACTAAGCTTCATAAGTGAAGGAGAAATCAAATACTTTACAGACAAGCAAATGCTGAGAGATTTTGTCACCACCAGGCCTGCCCTAAAAGAGCTCCTGAAGGAAGCACTAAACATGGAAAGGAACAACCGGTACCAGCCGCTGCAAAATCATGCCAAAATGTAAAGACCATTGAGACTAGGAAGAAACTGCATCAACTAACGAGCAAAATCACCAGCTAACATCATAATGACAGGATCAAATTCACACATAACAATATTCACTTTAAATGTAAATGGACTAAATTCTCCAATTAAAAGACACAGACTGGCAAATTGGATAAAGAGTCAAGACCCATCAGTGTGCTGTATTCAGGAAACCCATCTCACGTGCAGAGACACACACAGGCTCAAAATAAAAGGATGGAGGAAGATCTACCAAGCAAATGGAAAACAAAAAAAGGCAGGGGTTGCAATCCTAGTCTCTGATAAAACAGACTTTAAACCAACAAAGATCAAAAGAGACAAAGAAGGCCATTACATAATGGTAAAGGGATCAATTCGACAAGAAGAGCTAACTCTCCTAAATATATATGCACCCAATACAGGAGCACCCAGATTCATAAAGCAAATCCTGAGTGACCTACAAAGAGACTTAGACTCCCACACATTAATAATGGGAGACTTTAACACCCCACTGTCAACATTAGACAGATCAACGAGACAGAAAGTCAACAAGGATACCCAGGAATTGAACTCAGCTCTGCACCAAGCGGACCTAATAGACATCTACAGAACTCTCCACCCCAAATCAACAGAATATACATTTTTTTCAGCACCACACCACACCTATTCCAAAATTGACCACATAGTTGGAAGTAAAGCTCTCCTCAGCAAATGTAAAAGAACAGAAATTATAACAAACTATCTCTCAGACCACAGTGCAATCAAACTAGAACTCAGGATTAAGAATCTCACTCAAAGCCGCTCAACTACGTGGAAACTGAACAACCTGCTCCTGAATGACTACTGGGTACATAACGAAATGAAGGCAGAAATAAAGATGTTCTTTGAAACCAACGAGAACAAAGACACAACATACCAGAATCTCTGGGACGCATTCAAAGCAGTGTGTAGAGGGAAATTTATAGCACTAAATGCCCACAAGAGAAAGCAGGAAAGATCCAAAATTGACACCCTAACATCACAATTAAAAGAAGTAGAAAAGCAAGAGCAAACACATTCAAAAGTTAGCAGAAGGCAAGAAATAACTAAAATCAGAGCAGAACTGAAGGAAATAGAGACACAAAAAACCCTTCAAAAAATCAGTGAATCCAGGAGCTGGTTTTTTGAAAGGATCAACAAAATTGATAGACCGCTAGCAAGATTAATAAAGAAAAAAAGAGAGAAGAATCAAATAGACACAATAAAAAATGATAAAGGGGATATCACCACCGATCCCACAGAAATACAAACTACCATCAGAGAATACTACAAACACCTCTACGCAAATAAACTAGAAAATCTAGAAGAAATGGATAAATTCCTGGACACATACACTCTCCCAAGACTAAACCAGGAAGAAGTTGAATCTCTGAATAGACCAATAACAGGATCTGAAATTGTGGCAATAATCAATAGTTTACCAACCAAAAAGAGTCCAGGACCAGATGGATTCACAGCCGAATTCTACCAGAGGTACAAGGAGGAACTGGTACCATTCCTTCTGAAACTATTCCAATCAATAGAAAAAGAGGGAATCCTCCCTAACTCATTTTATGAGGCCAGCATCATTCTGATACCAAAGCCGGGCAGAGACACAACCAAAAAAGAGAATTTTAGACCAATATCCTTGATGAACATTGATGCAAAAATCCTCAATAAAATACTGGCAAACCGAATCCAGCAACACATCAAAAAGCTTATCCACCATGATCAAGTGGGCTTCATCCCTGGGATGCAAGGCTGGTTCAATATACGCAAATCGATAAATGTAATCCAGCATATAAACAGAGCCAAAGACAAAAACCACATGATTATCTCAATAGATGCAGAAAAAGCCTTTGACAAAATTCAACAACCCTTCATGCTAAAAACTCTCAGTAAATTAGGTATTGATGGGACGTATTTCAAAATAATAAGAGCTATCTATGACAAACCCACAGCCAATATCATACTGAATGGGGAAAAACTGGAAGCATTCCCTTTGAAAACTGGCACAAGTCAGGGATGCCCTCTCTCACCACTCCTATTCAACATAGTGTTGGAAGTTCTGGCCCGGGCAATTAGGCAGGAGAAGGAAATAAAGGGTATTCAGTTAGGAAAAGAGGAAGTCAAATTGTCTCTGTTTGCAGATGACATGATTGTATATCTAGAAAACCCCATTGTCTCAGCCCAAAATCTCCTTAAGCTGATAAGCAACTTCAGCAAAGTCTCAGGATACAAAATCAATGTACAAAAATCACAAGCATTCTTATACACCAACAACAGACAAACAGAGAGCCAAATCATGAGTGAACTCCCATTCACAATTGCTTCAAAGAGAATAAAATACCTAGGAATCCAACTTACAAGGGATGTGAAGGACCTCTTCAAGGAGAACTACAAACCACTGCTCAAGGAAATAAAAGAGGATACAAACAAATGGAAGAACATTCCATGCTCATGGGTAGGAAGAATCAATATCGTGAAAATGGCCATACTGCCCAAGGTAATTTACAGATTCAATGCCATCCCCATCAAGCTACCAATGACTTTCTTCACAGAATTGGAAAAAACTACTTTAAAGTTCATATGGAACCAAAAAAGAGCCCGGATTGCCAAGTCAATCCTAAGCCAAAAGAACAAAGCTGGAGGCATCACACTACCTGACTTCAAACTATACTACAAGGCTACAGTAACCAAAACAGCATGGTACTGGTACCAAAACAGAAATATAGATCAATGGAACAGAACAGAGCCCTCAGAAATAATGCCGCATACCTAGAACTATCTGACCTTTGACAAACCTGAGAAAAACAAGCAATGGGGAAAGGATTCCCTATTTAATAAATGGTGCTGGGAAAACTGGCTAGCCATATGTAGGAAACTGAAACTGGATCCCTTCCCTACACCTTATACAAAAATCAATTCAAGATGGATTAAAGATTTAAACGTTAGACCTAAAACCATAAAAACCCTAGAAGAAAACCTAGGCATTACCATTCAGGACATAGGCATGGGCAAGGACTTCATGTCCAAAACACCAAAAGCAATGGCAACAAAAGACAAAATTGACAAATGGGATCTAATTAAACTAAAGAGCTTCTGCACAGCAAAAGAAACTACCATCAGAGTGAACAGGCAACCTACAAAATGGGAGAAAATTTTCGCAACCTACTCATCTGACAAAGGGCTAATATCCAGAATCTACAATGAACTCAAACAAATTTACAAGAAAAAAACAAACAACCCCATCAAAAAGTGGGCGAAGGACATGAACAGACACTAATCAAAAGAAGACATTTATGCAGCCAAAAAACACATGAAAAAATGCTCATCATCACTGGCCATCAGAGAAATGCAAATCAAAACCACTGTGAGATACCATCTCACACCAGTTAGAATGGCAATCATTAAAAAGCCAGGAAACAACAGGTGCTGGAGAGGATGTGGAGAAATAGGAACACTTTTACACTGTTGGTGGGACTGTAAACTAGTTCAACCATTGTGGAAGTCAGTGTGGCGATTCCTCAGGGATCTAGAACTAGAAATACCATTTGACCCAGCCATCCCATTACTGGGTATACACCCAAATGACTATAAATCATGCTGCTATAAAGACACATGCACACGTATGTTTATTGCGGCATTATTCACAATAGCAAAGACTTGGAACCAACCCAAATGTCCAACAATGATAGACTGGATTAAGAAAATGTGGCACATATACACCATGGAATACTATGCAGCCATAAAAAAGGATGAGTTCATGTCCTTTGTAGGGACATGGATGAAATTGGAAATCATCATTCTCAGTAAACTATCGCAAGAACAAAAAACCAAACACCGCATATTCTCACTCATAGGTGGGAATTGAACAATGAGATCACATGGACACAGGAAGGGGAATATCACACTCTGGGGACTGTGGTGGGGTGGGGGGAGGGGGGAGGGATAGCATTGGGAGATATACCTAATGCTAGATGATGAGTTAGTGGGTGCAGCGCACCAGCATGGCACATGTATACATATGTAACTAACCTGCACAATGTGCACATGTACCCTAAAACTTAAAGTATAATAAAAAAAAAAGAAAAAAAATAATCCCATTTATAATAGCTATGAATAAAATAGCTAAGAATTAAGTTTACCAAAGAAGTAAAAGATCTCTGCAATCAAAACTATAAATTGATTGCAATGATGCAAGAAACTAAAGAGGACACCAGAAAAATGGAATGATATTCCATGCTCATGGATTGGAATATTGTTAAAATGTCCACACTGCCCAAAGCAATCTACAGATTCAATGCAATCTCTATGAAAATACCAATGACTGTCTTCACAGAAATAGAAAAAAAATCCTAAAATTTGTATGGGAACCACAGAAGACCCAGAAAAGCCACAGCTAATCTAAGCCAAAAGAACAGAACTGTAGGAATCACACTACCTGACTTCAAATTATATGACAGAGCTATAATAACCAAAACAACGTGGTATTGGCATAAAAACAGACACACAGATCAATGGAACAGAAAAGAGAACTCAGAGATAAATTCATACATCCTTAGTAAACTTGTTTTCAACAAAGGTGCCAAGAACATACATTGGGGAAAGGCAGTCTCTTCAATAAATGATGCAAGGAAAAACTGCATATTTATATGTAGATGAATGAAAGTAGACCCCATCTCTTGTCATATGCAAAAATTGAATCAAAATGGATTACAGACTTAAATCTAAGACCTCAAACTATGAAACTACTCCAAGAAAACCCTGGGGAAGTCTGAGCATGGTGGCTCACGCCTGTAATTCCAGCACTTTGGGAAGCCAAGGTGGGTGGATCACAAGGTCAAGAGATGGAGACCATCCTGGCCAACATGGTGAAACCCTGTCTCTACTAAAATACAAAAAGTTAGCCGAGCATGGTGGTACATACCTGTAGTCCCAGCTACTCGGGAGGCTGAGGCAAGGGAATTGCTTGAACTCAAGAAGTTGAGGTTGCAGTGAGCCAAGATTGTGCCACTGCACTTCAGCCTGGTGACAGAGCAAGACTCTGCCTCAAACAAAAACAAACAACAACAACAAAAAAACCACTTGGGAAACTCTCCAGGACACTAAACTGGGCAAAGATTTCTTGAGTAATACTTCACAAGCACAGGCAACCAAAGCAAAAACGGACAAATGAGATCACAAGTTAAAAAGCTTCTGTAAAGCAAAGGAAACAATCAACAAAGTAAAGAGACAACAGAATGGGAGAAAATATTCAGGCCACTGAATTCATTTTAAATGATAGATTCTTCCCCTTGCCTCATCCCAGAACCACTCTGTATCTTCAGGGGCTGGGTCCAGGCACCTAGAGAGTTTGTAAAAATTCCACAAGAGGTTCTGATGTACAGGCAGGACTGAGAACCCCCAGTTAGTGCAAAGGAGAGTGTCTTCCTATGGTGACTTCTATCATTAAAAATCTACTTCTGAACTTGGGCTGCAAAGTAGCAGGAAGAAAACCACCAGCTGAGTTAGGTTTCCATGAGCAAGAGATTCTTACCCAAGGTTCAATCATAAATTACATGACTTGAAAGCAAATTCTCTAAAATGAGCATGTTGCCCAAGATCTTAAAAATAAATAGAATAGGCCGGGCACAGTGGTTCATGCCTGTAATCCCAGCACTTTGGGAGGCCAGGGTGGGCGAATCACCTTAGGTCAGGAGTTCAAGACAAGCCTGGCCAACATGGCAAAATTCCGTCCTTACTAAAAATACAAAAATTAGCTGGGCGTGATGGCGGGCGCCGGTAATCCCAGCTACTCGGGAGGCTGAGGCAGGAGAATCACTTGAACCCGGGAGGCGGAGGTTGCAGTGAGCTGAGATCACGCCACTTCACTCCAGCCTGGGCAACAAGAGCGAGATTCTGTCAAATAAATAAATAAACAAATAAATAAAAAGAATAAAATAAAATGAGATGGCACAGTATCACCACCCTTCCCCATCAGTAATCACTCAGTGCAGGAATACCCCTCACCCTGCGGCTTTACAAGCATCAATTACTCTGGTGTTTTTAGGCTGTGGAGGTGGATGGTAATTTACAACCGATCAGAGAAAGAAAGAAAATAAGTAGCCAGAGTAGACTCCCATATGTGGTATGTGCCGAAAATGGAAAATTCATCTTATTAAGTGGAACAGCTCCCTCAGCACTTTTCACAGATTCCCTAGGATATCCTACGATTGATACGTTTCAATGAGCCATCTTTATCTGTGTTTTGGTTCCAACTAAATATTAATTCATAGATGCGCTAAAGACCCCACATTCTTAATTCCAGATTATTTTATGAAGATATCACTTTAAGGCCGGGTGTGGTAGCTCACGCCTATAATCCCAGCACTTTGGGAGGCTGAGGCTGGTGGATCACAAGTTCAGGAGATCGAGACCATCCTGGCCAACATGGTGAAACTCTGTCTCTACTAAAAATACAAAAATTAGCCAGGCGTGGTAGCATACGCCTGTAATCCCAGCTACTTGGGAGGCTGAGGCAGGAGAATCGCTTGAACCCAGGAGCGGGGTTGCAGTGAGCCGATATCGCGCCTCTGCTCTCCAGTCTGGGCGACAGAGAGAGACTCCATCTCAAAACAAAAACAAACAAACAAACAACAAGAAAACTCCAAAAATACAAAAACTAGTGTTTCCCAGAACACATGCTGAGAAGTGTGTTCATCAGGAAACGACAGAGCTCATCCCATAGCACTGAAAACATTCCCGCTCATTTCTGAGAATCTTTGCTGAATCTTTACACAAAGGGTAAAGTTACTCCACTCGAACCTGTGGGCTTATCTTTCTCCATGGCACATTCTAACAGCATGTTTGTGCCTGTCCTTCCTTCTCACAAAACACAATAAAGGTCCTTCTAGTGAAAAGTACTCTGAATGGGTCTCTCAAAGCACTTGTTTAACAGGAAAGCTTAGTTGGGCTAGAGGATTTCCTTTCTTTAAAAAAAAAAGAAAGCAACTTTCTGTGCTACAACCCTCATTAAAGAAACTAGCGCAGTTCAGGCTGCTTAGGCAGTGTTTTGCTAGAATGGGTGCTGGTCCCTGGTGTTAGTCTGGTGGTACCTCGCAGGGTGACTCATGTTCTGATGTCTTAAAGAACTGATTCTCTGAAGGAAATTATTCAGGATGTGAAATGTCAAGAAAGACAGATGATGATTAAAAAAAGAAAGAGAAGTCAGGGTGACACTGACCTTAACTGGGAAATTGCACAAATGAGAATATAGTGGGAAAGGAAAGAGGGATGAAGAGGGCAAAGAGAGGAAGGGAGGAAAGAAGGAGAGCAGACTGGCTGTGAGGGAGGCAGGGCACATGGGAAATGGGAGGAAAGAGGTCTGGCATTTACTGAACATCATCTGTGTGCTTGGGAAGGGCGCAGAGAGGTATTAGAATAAGAATTTTTGTAAAAAGTCACAGGCAAAGTCATTTGATATGGGTTTTGAGAAGCGAGAACCACCCAAATCCCCTAGGAATATAAATCACCCTTGGAAAACATGACTAAGATTCAAGACTGAGCATTTTTTTTTTTTTTTTGAGATGGAGTCTCACTTTGTCACCCAGGATGGCGTGTAGTGGTGGGATCTTGGTTCACTGCAACCTCCATTTCCCAGGTTCAAGCGATTCTCCTGCCTCAGCCTCCCGAGTAGCTGGGATTATAGGTGTGCACCACCATGCCGGGCTAATTTTTGTATTTTTAATAGAGATGGGGTTTCACTATGTTGGCCAGGCTGGTCTCGAACTCCTGACCTCAGGCGATTCAACTTCCTTGGCCTCCCAAAGTGCTGGGATTACAGGCATGAGTCGCCGCACCCGGCCAAGACTGAGCTCTTTTAATGCCCATATACCGAGGGTAGAAATCTACAAAACATATGACCTGCAAACTGAATGATCAGGAAAGGATCCTAACCACCAGAATGGGCAGGCAGAGTTGTAAAAAAACAGGGGATGAGAGTTTCCACCCACTACATGCGTCTCTGACATTTCTGCAGGCACCCAATCCCGGTCCCTTTGCTGTGTCTCGGACTACACGTCTGATGGCGTGCCACCAAGCACCAAGAGCAAAGTTGACCCTGGACCCCATGGAGCCAATTCTCCTGCCACCCCATCAGATATCTACATTTGGTAGAGATTCCAAAATTGTGATAGGAGACTAAGCAGTGCAATTAGCGGGGAAAGGAATGAGGAAGAAGCATGTTTTATTCACTGTTTGGGCAATCAACTAGAACTTCCTTGTAACTTGTCTGGCTGCTTCAGCTTTAGCTAGTTCACCAATATCCAGTCTGGACCTGTTATGACAGAGGCCACCTTCCTGTTCAGATTGGTGGGAATTCCATTTTCTTTCTTTCTTTTTTTTTTTTTTTTTTGAGTTGGAGTTTCACTCTTGTTGCCCAGGCTGGAGTGCAATGGCACCATCTCAGCTCACTGCCACCTCTGCCTGCCGGGTTCTAGTGATTCTCCTGCCTCAGCCTCCCAAATAGCTGGGACTACAGGCACTTGCCACCACGCCTGGCTAATTTTTGTATTTTTAGTAGAGACGGGGTTTCACCATGTTGGTCTGGCTGGTCTTGAACTCCTGACCTCAGGTGATCCACTCACCTCAGTCTCCCAAAGTGCTGGGATTGCAGGCGTGAGCCACTGTGCCCGGCAGGGAATTTCACTTTAATTTTGGTCAAGTATCATGAGTTTAGTACCTTCTGATTCAAGGCAGAAGGCACTTAAGCTCAATCCTCAACAGCTTGAAATCAAAACCAGAAACCCACTCTAAGAGGTAATCCATCTAAATGTTTGCTATGGAAAGGTAGCGGACACACAACATACAGGAGTCAATGGCCTCCCCACATTTGGGTGAGATGGGGCTCGCGGGGTGCATGCACTCCCCACACTGAGAATCTCCCCACAGGCAGATTCTGTGACCAGAACAGGAAGAATCATTGCAGAAATGGGATTTCATGCATATCACATCTTCTACAGGTTAAAATTATTAGAAAAAAATAGCTCATCCAGATAGCAGAACCCAAGAAAGAGAAACTAGAGGGGGGGTTTGGCATGGGGGAAAAAGAGGCTTCTAGAAAGCCTTCAAGGGCAGAATGGCAGTAACAGAGACCTCGGGAAAACCAGCTAAAATCCGAGGCTTCTCTGACTAAGGCTGCAGGGAGGCGTGTCTGGAGCGCTGAAACCAGAACACTATGATAATGATTTCTGTGAATGTGATGCTAAGGTTGTTCGGCTAGAATTTTAGGGAACACCATGGAGGAAATATTTTCAGCCTGATATCAAATCTGGGGTCCAGAGAGAAAAGTCTCAGCTTGCTCATGGAGAAGAGCTACAAGAGAAGCCCACATCTGTTTGCCAGGGTGGGAGAACCAGCAGGAGATGAAATAGAAAAGCCACAAAAGAAAAGGCATCATGGTAAAAGCAAGCCATGTTCTACTGCCTTCAGTGATGTACTGTCTGCGGTCACTTACACTCAACATTGGCAGAGACCACGTGGTCCACAAAGCCTAAAATGTTTACTTGCTGGCCCTTTACAGAAAAAGTTTGCTGGCCTTGGTCTAGACCCTGCCTCTGATGCTGGCCTGACCCTGGGCAGACCATATACATATATATATATATATATATATATATATATATACACACACACACACACACACATACACAAGGATGGTTATTTATATAACTCATACCGCCAATTTAACAATACTAATAGTTAACATCTAAGACTGATTGATATGTATCCTTTAAAAATTTCTGGGTGCAGTAACATGCAGATTCTTGCCCGCATAACTCCATTTTAAGAATATATACACTGGCTACGCATCGTAGCTCATGCCTGTAATTCCAGGAGTTTGAGAGGTTGAGGTGGGCAGATCCCTTGAGCTCAGGAGTTTGAGACGAGCCTGGGCAACATAGTGAAATACCATCTACACACACAAACACACACACAAATACAAAAATTAGTTGGACATACTGGTGCATGCCTGTAGTCCAGCTACTCAGGAGGCTGAGGTAGGAGGATCACTTGAGTCCAGGAGGTCAAGGCTGCAGTGAGCCGAGTTCACACCACTGGACTCCAGCTGGGGAGACACAGTGAGACCCTGCCTCAAAATATATATATATATATATATATATATATATATATATATATATATATATATATATATATATATATATACACACACTAACAAAGACCTTAATGTATTTTCTCTGCAGAACTTGTCAGATATGCTCTCCCAGCCCTTCTTACTAAGGACAATGGGTACTTGTCCAAGCCCATCCACCATTCTGTCAGTCGCATCCTAAGAAGAGATCAGAGAAGATTCTCTCCTAGACCACGCAAAATAGACCGATCATCTTTGGCACGTGTGGCCATGACCCACATGAGGATTTATAAGCGACCTAGTCACCGGGACTTCATGTGGTTACCTTTTCTGAATGGCTCCCGGTTCTCCTCTGCTTCCCTGTTGACTCGGTTTTGTTCTGGTTCAACAGCAGACCCCTGGTCATCAAGTTCATCTTCTGTTTCATCATCACTGTAGGGAACCACTTCGTCATTAGGCTGAGAATCCTCGTCAAATGTCGTTTCTGAGTCTCTTTCTGTACTCATTCTGCTGGCAAATTGGAACTACCTGCTTAAAAGGAAAGAGAAACCAGAGTGAATTATGACTCTTGCCCAGTTTTTGGTTGAATACTGCCTGCATGCTGCTACAATGCCCCTTTTACAGAACATTGTCTAACATGTAAATATTCTGGAATAGTACCCCCAAATTCAACTTGACATGAAGACAAGAACAAAACCATTCAGTACTGATTAAATGCTTGGGTAAGATTTTTTTAAAAAATATGGAGCTGCAAACCTTTTATTTTTAAACAAGGGTATATATATATATGTATGTGTATATATATATGTATATATGTATATATATGTGTATATGTATATATGTGTATATATGTATATATATGTATATATGTATATATGTGTATATATGTATATATGTGTATATATGTATATATGTGTATATATGTATATATGTGTATATATATGTATATATGTATATATGTGTATATATGTATATATGTGTATATATGTATATATATGTGTATATATGTGTGTATATATGTGTATATATGTGTGTATATATATGTATATATGTGTATATATATGTATATATATATTCAAGGCAATATTTCAAATTAGGGGGTCTCAATGAAATAAATTTAGTGGGTAACAATCAACATTAAAATAAAATGAAACAGGCTATAAAATATCAGATTACAGCACATATAATAAGTACTGCTTGATAAAATAGTTGTACACATTCACACATTTATTTGCATTGTGGGTGTTAGTGGAGTTGAATTTCTTTTTTTTCTTTTTTTGAGATAGAGTCTCCCTCTGTCACCCAGGCTGGAGTGCAATGGCACGATCTCGGCTCACTGTCACCTCCGCCTCCTGTGTTCAAGTGATTCTCCTGCCTCAACCTCCCAAGTAGCTGGGATTACAGGCACACACCACCACGCCCGGCTAATTTTTGTATTTTTAGTAGAGACGGGGTTTCACTGTGTTAGCCAGGATGGTCTCGAACTCCTGACCTCAAGTCATCCACCCGCCTCGGCTTCCCAAAGTGCTGGGATTACAGGCCCGCGCCCGGCCGGAGTTGAATTTCTTACTGTGGATTGCTGGCAAAGTTGACAAACCACTGCTCTAAGATATCTGGTTTCTGCTAACACTAACGTCCTGAGCCTTTGTTCTGATACAACATTTTTAATATAACCTTAGATCTTCCAAGTTTACTGACTTCCCAGGAACACTCCCTAGCCTTTCTATCTTCCTAACTACCACTGCCCACTCTGTATCTGGAATTTGTGTTTGAGCATCTACCGCATAAGATGACCCCATACAAGTGAGAAGAACAACCTTAGTTAGATTTATTTTAGGAAAATATTTACACAAATACCTCAGGTTACAGACACACAGCCTGGCATTTACATAAGCATCACAGTGCCGTGTAGTCAGTATTGTTAATGACAGCAGCTCGCATTTATTTTGTGTTAACTGCATGCCAAGCCTTGCACTAAGCACTTTATAGACATGTGCTCTTTGAAACTTCCCACACCACCATGGTGAATAACAGTATTATTGTTATTCCTACCCAGCAGAGGAGAAAAATCAAAACACTGGAGTGCTAAATAATTTGCACAATGATTATTAAAAATTTAAGGCAGCCACGCACGGTGGCTCACACCTGTAATCCCAGCACTTTGGGAGGCCGAGGTGGGCGGATCACGAGGTCAGGAGATCGAGACCATCCTGGCTAACACAGTGAAACCCCGTTTCTACTAAAAATATAAAAAATTAGCCAGACGTGGTAGCGGGCACCTGTAGTCCCAGCTGCTCGGGAGGCTGAGGCAGGAGAATGGCGTGAACCCGGGAGGCGGAGCTTGCAGTGAGCTGAGATTGCGCCACTGCACTCCAGCCCGGGCGACAGAGCGAGACTCCATCTCAAAAAAAAAAAAAAAAAAAAAAAATGTAAGGCAAAAACAACTGCTTCACAAGGAGAGGTCTATGCTCTATTTTTGTACTATGGTTTATGATATATTTTGAGTGAAAATTGCCTCAAGTAGAACTATGTAGCTGATTGCAAGTTTTGCACCAAATCTTAGATCTCTAAAATAATTTTTACATTCACAAATGGACACTTAGGAAATTTTCAAATATTTATATGAGGATTTTTACCAAGTATTATGTAAAACAGTAAAAGCCAAAAGCAAGCTGGGTTACAATTGTCGACTGTGTAAATAAATTGTGGCATCTCATATTATAGGATAATGTGCAACAATCTAGATGATCCAAAGAGTATTTGATGACATTGCATTAATGACCTTAAGTTAATAGGTAAGTTATAAAGCCATATGTATAGAATACACCCAGTTATTCACACACACACTTGTTCATTTTCCAAAATTTCAACAATTGACATACATTATTTTATTATTATTATCTTTTGAGACAGAGTATCGCTCTGTCACCCAGGCTAGAGTGCAGTGGTGCAATCTCGGCTCACTGCAACCTCTGCCTCCCAGATTCAAGCAATTCTCCTGCCTCAGCCTCCTGAGTAGCTGGGATTACAGGCATGTACCACCATGTCTGGCTAATTTTTGTATTTTTAGTAGAGATGGGGTTTCACCATGTTGGCCAGGCTGGGACATACATTATTTTAAGTGAGATGATGCATGCAAAATGCTCAACTCAGTACCTAGCCTGCAATAAGTATTCAATGAACATTAACTGTTAATTTTTCATATACTTCTTGGCGATTTGTATGTTTCCTTTTGAAAAATGTCTATTCATGTCCTTTGCCCACTTTTTAATGGTATTATTATTATTTTAAAATATTGCTGGCATTCATTATTACAAAGAACAACTTAGATTCTACTGCATGATGCTGTACTGTGGCACAGTTCTAAAGAGCCCTATAGTCATGGATGCAAAGTTCCTAGCACTACTGGTCCTCAGCACCTCAGGCCATTATCTTATGGCTTCACAGAATATTCATTCCCCAAATCCATAGTCTTTACCTCTGGCCTTAGCTTTTCAGTAGCAAGCACAAGCATTCCTGGTGAGAGACAGGGCTAGCTGGATTTCCTAGGCCGACTATGAATCCCTAAGTCTAGCTGGGAAGGTGACTGCATCCACCTTTAAACAGGAGGCTTGCAACTGAGCTCACACCTGACCAATCAGAGAGCTCACTAAATGCTAATTAGGCAAAAACAGGAGGTAAAGAAATAGCCAATCATCTATTGCCTGATGAACTCATCTATTGCCTGATGAGGGACAAGGATCGGGATATAAACCCAGGCATTGGAGCCAGCAAGGGCAACCCCCTTTGGGTCCCCTCCTTGTATGGGAGCTCTGTTTTCACTCTATTTCACTCTATTAAATCTTGCAGCTGCACCCTTCTGGTTACCGCTAGAACTGAGCTTTCGCTCGCCGTCCACCACTGCTGTTTTGCTGCCGTCGCAGACCCGCCGCTGACTTCCATCCCTCCAATCCAGCAGGGCGCCCGCTGTGCTCCTGATCCAGGGAAGCACCCGTTGCCACTCCTGATCGCGCTAAAGGCTTGCCATTGTTCCTGCATGGCTAAGTGCCTGGTTTCGTCCTAATCAAGCTGAACACTAGTCACTGGGTTCCACGGTTCTCTTCCGTGACCCACGACTTCTAATAGAGCTATAACACTCACCGCACGGCCCAAGATTCCATTCCTTGGAATCCGTGAGGCCAAGAACCCCAGGTCAGAGAACACGAGGCTTGCCACCATCTTGGAAGTGGCCTGCCGCCATTTTGGAAGTGGCCCACCACCATCTTGGGAGCTCTGGGAGCAAGGACCCCTGGTAACACTGGCAGTACTTATACTTTCATTGGTTATACTTATAATTCCCTGGTTATATTTATACTTTCCTGGCAGTACGTATACTTTCATGGTTTATACTATTTTAAAATTATTTTTTATTAAATGGAGCCAAATTTTTTAAAAGTCATCTTTTCCACTAAATTGGCATCACCATGTTAAATCTAAATTTCCCTACTAAGTCTTTATTTTACTTTATTTTATTTTACTTTAAGTTCTAGGATACATGTGCAGAACATGCAGGTTTGTTACATAGGTATACATGTGCCATGGTGGTTTGCTGCACCCATCAACCTGTCATCTAGGTTTTAAGCCCTGCATGCATTAGGTATTTGTCCTAATACTCTCCCATTCCTTGCCCCCCCCACCCCCACCCCCAACAGGCCCCAGTGTGTGATGTTCCCCTCCCTGTGTTCATGTGTTCTCATTGTTCAGCTCCTGCTTATGAGTGAGAACATGTGGTGTTTAGTTTTCTGTTCCTGTGTTAGTTTGCTGAGAAAGATGGCTTCCAGCTTCATCCATGTCCATGGAAAGACCACGATCTCATTCTTTTTTATGGCTGCAGGGATTATTTGTTTTTGAGTTGTTTGAGTTCCTTGTATATTTCTGGATACTAGTCCTTAGTTAGATGAATGGTTTGCAAATATTTTCTCCTATTCAGCAGGAAACACTGTTGATTGCTTCCCTTGCTGAGTAGAAGCTTTTTAGTTTAATATAGTCCTATTTGTCTATTTTTGTTGTTGTTGTTGCCTGTGCTTTTGAGGTCTTAGCCATAAAATCTTTGCCTAGACCAATGTCCTAAAACATTTTCCCTATGTTTTCTTCTAGTATAAAGTTTTACTAGTTTTTTTTTTTTTTTTTTTTTTTTGAGAGAAGGGTTTCACTCTGTCACTCAGGCTAGAGTGTAGTAGGACAATCATAGCTCATTGCAGCATTGAACTCTTGGGCTCAAGGAATCTTCCTACCTCAGCATCCCAAGTAACTGGGACTACCAGTGCATGCCACCATGCCTATTTTTTTTTTTTTTTTTTTGTAGCGATGGGATCTCACTGCATTGTCCAAACTGGTCTTGAATTCCTGGGTCAAGTGATCCTCCAGGCTTGGGCTCCCAAAGTGCTAGGATTATAGGTGTGGTCCCATTTAAGTCTTTAATCCATCTTGAGTTGACTTTTGTGTATGGTGAGAGACAGGGGCCCAGTTTCATTCTTTAGCATGTGGGGATTTATTTCTGGGTTCCCTATTCTGTTCCATTGGTTTATGTGTCTGTTTTTAGCCCATATTATGTTTTGGTTACTACAGCCTTGTTATATATATATGTATCAAGGTGACTGTGAAGGTACTATATGGAAACATTTTTTATTGTTGTAAAATATATGTACATAAAATTTACCATTTTAGCCATTTTGTTTTGTTTTTCTCATTGCAGCCTCCTGGGCTCAAGCAATTCTCCCACCTCAGCCTCCTGAGTAGTTGAGACTATAGGTATAAGCCACTACATCTGACTAATTTTTGTGTTTTTAGAAGAGACAGGGTTTTGCCATATTGCCTAGGCTGGTCTCAAACTTCTGGGCTCAAGTAATCTACCTGCCTCAGCCTCCCAAAGTGCTGGGATTACAAGCATGAGCCACCACGCCAGGCTTTGTTTCTCCCTACTTTTATTTTTTTTTTAATTTCTTAAAGCTGTACCATTGGAGAATTTTAACTTTTTGTTTGTTGGTTGGTTTTCTTTCTCTTATTATTGTTATTTTTTTTTTGCATCTCAGATGACACAAACCACTGTTTGTTTCCTGAGACATGGTTTCACTCTGCCACCGAGGCTGCAGTGCAGTGGCATGATCCTAGCTCACTACACTCTCAAATCTGAGGGCTCCAGCAATCCTCCTACCCTGCTCCCCAGCCTCCCTAGTAACTAGGACTAGAAGCATGAGCCACCATGCCTGGCTTTTTTTTTCTTTCTTTTCTTTCTTTCTTTTTTTTAAAGAGATAGGCTCTCCCTATGTTCCTCAGGCTGGTCTCAAACTCCGGGCCCCAAGCAATCCTCCCACCTCAGCTTCCTTTTAGCCCTTTTCAAGTGTAGGGTTCTGTGGCATTAAGTGCATTTATACAAACATTTTGTAAGTTATCCTTTTCATCATTGCTTCCAAACTGCCAGGCATCTGGATATTAAGACTGTCTCCAGCCCTTTGAGGTTGAGAGAGGAAGCAAGCACGGAGGAATGGATTTGACAACCCACATGTCCGTGACTCAAAGCAAGCAAGGCCTTGCACAACCAACTCGCCACCCACACAATCTGCACAGTCTCAGTGAGAAAGCAGGAGCAGGGAGCTCTCCGCTGAGAGTGAAGAAATGTCCTCAACTCGACTTCTCTGCAGTGTGCATGTGTGTGAAACACAGACACACACGGGAGGAATTTGGCTCTGTCATTTTAGTGTACCAAAGAAAAAAAAACAGGGAGAAATCACTTGTTTGAAGCCCTAAATGACATAAGGAAGATTTTCCCAGATCTAAATAATGATCCCTAAGGTCAGGTGCTGTGTATGGTATGGATTTGGAAACTTCATAATGTCTCTGACCACCACTCCAGGACACTGCAGACAGGTGTGCATTTACTCAGCATCCAGTAAACACCTGCAAGGTGCAGAGTACTACACTAGGCACAGGGAACAGAGCTACTGACTGACTGCCAGAGTTTCGAAGAATACAGATAAGTCAACTATTAAAGCTAGGAAACAGACCGGATGCGGTGGCTCACGCCTGTAATCCCAGCACTTTGGAAGACCGAGGCGGGTGGATCAACTGAGGTCAAGAGTTCAAGACCAGCCTGCCAACATGGTGAAACTCCGTCCCTATTAATAATACAAAAAAATTAGCTGGGCATGGTGGCACATGCCTGTAATCCCAGCTATTCGGGAGGCTGAGGCAGGAGAATTGCTTGAACCCAGGAGGCTGCAGTGAGCTGAGATCGCGCCATTGCACTCCAGCCTGGGCAACAAGAGCGAAACTCTGCCTCCAATAAATAAATAAATAAAATAAAATAAAATAAAATAAAGCCATAAAACAGTAAAGCCAGTCGTTTTTGCCTCAAATACTCCTCCAATTCATCACCTCCTCTCTATCTCCATGGCCACCATCATCTCTCCCTGGAAATGCTGCGAGATCCCTCTAACTAGACTTTCCACAATTAACTTCCACATGACCACCAAAGGCATGCCATTCTCCTGCTTACACCCTTCCTGGGTGTTATGGATTGAATTATGGCCCCCGAAGTCATATGTTGAAGCCATAACACCCCTCAATGTGACTACATGGAGAGAGGTCCTTTAAGGAGGTAGTTAAGGTTAAATAAGGTCATCAGATGGGGCCCTAATCCAATAGGACTTGTGTATTTTATTTTTATTATTTTTTAGACTCAGTTTCGCTCTGTTGCCCAGGCTAGAGTGCAGTGGCATGATCTCAGCTCACTGCAACCTCCACCTCCCTGCTTCAAGCGATTCTCCTGCCTCAGCCTCTCAAGTAGCTGGGATTACAGGTGCCCGCCATGACACTCAGCTAATTTTTTTGTATTTTCAGTAGAGACAGGGTTTCTCCTTGTTGGTCAGGCTGGTCTCGAACTTCTGACCTCAGGTGATCCGCTCACCTTGGCCTCCCAAAGTGCTAGGATTACAGGCATGAGCCACCATGCCTGGCCAATTTCTTATTCGTTAGGTCTCAACTTCAGTGTCCTCTTCCACTCATGGTATTGAGCAGGATTCTGCCCTCCTCTTCCTGCTACCACTGGCCCCCTTGAGCACCTACATTTCTGTTTCCTTCCTAACACTTATCATGATTTGTAAACATGCATTTGCTTTCATTTATCTGCCTTTCCCACCAGACCATAAACTCTACAAGAACAGATTGGTCTGTGAATACTCAGTGCCTACTACACAGTTGACACTGAAAGATCTGGGGAAAGAGCAAATCAACTTTCAATAAAGTCTTCAAGGGCTCAGAGAGTTGTCTTACACCAAAGTTCTTTACCACCTTTACACAGGTCACACCTACCACATGGTAACAGATTCACAAAGTCATTGGACTAGGGATGAAAGATTGAGGGCAATGATGGGAGAAAACAGCAACAGTTAAGGTCAGAAGTCATACAAGATGAAACTTTTTAGGAGTCTGAGTCATTTGAGGCCATCCAAAAACCATTGTCCAAGATTTTACCATGTACGCAAAACCAAACCAGCCCTCTAGTAGGGTACTGAAGATATCAAAGGTGAGGACCAATCTTTCTTGTCCATCACTAGCACCTACCAGAGTCTGGCATATAGGAGGCTCGTTTGTTTCTGTACTTAGGAGGCTTATAGTCTAGACAAGAATTGGCAAATTGCAGCCCATGGGCCAAATTCGGCCCACTACCTATTTTTTTAGATAAAGTTTTATTAGAATGCACCCTTACTCATTACTGACATACCGGCTATGGTAGTTTTGTTTTTTGTTTTGTTTGTTTGTTTGTTTTGAGATGGAGTTTTGCTCTTGTTGCCCAGACTGGAGTTCAATGGCGCGATCTCAGCTCACTGCAACCTTCGTCTCCTGGGTTAAAGCAATTATCCTGTCTCAGCCTCCTAAGATGCTGAGATTACAGGTGTAAGCCACCACGCCTGGTCCTTCATCATTTTTTTTTAATGGCTTTTAAAGTTCACAAGAAGAAAGACTATTTCCGAAATCTGTTTTTCCTCATTTTGTTTATTATTATTATTAAAGACAATGCTGTAAAATATTTAACATATCGTAATATATAATAAGTATGAATTATATTTCTATATGTTCTATGCTATACGTGTTTCTTATTATATGTTCCATACTAAATATAAATTACTACTCTAAGATGGCCCCCAGTGATCCCACCTTTTGGTGTTCACATCTTTAATTTCCTGTGAGTGTGGCATACACATGAGGTGGTTTGCTTCTTTTTTCTTCCTTTTTTTTTTTTTTTTTGGTTGTTGATTCAAGTTCTTGCTCTGTCACCTAGGCTGGAGTACACTGGGGTGATCAAGCTCACTGCAGCCTCAATCTCCCAGGCTCAAGTGATCCTCCTGCCTCAGCCTCCTAAGTAGCTGAGACTAAAGGTGTGCACCATCACACCCAGCTAATTTTTTTGGTTTTTAGTAGAGATGAGGTCTTGCTAGTTTGCTCAGGATGCTCTTGAACTCCTGAGGTCAAGCAATCCTCCCTCCTTGGCCTCACAAAATACTGGGATTACAGGCATGAGCTACCATATCCAGCCCCTTTTCCTTCTTTCTTCTTCTTCATTTTCTTTTTTTTAAAATAAGCCTGAGTTCCTGAACCTTGCTGCTTTATTTTTTGAGATGGAGTCTTGCTCTGTTGCCCAGGCTGGAGTACAGTGGCGCGATCTTGGCTCACTGCAACCTCCACTTCCCTGGTTCAAGCAATTCTCCTGCCTCAGCCTCCCAAGTCACGGGGATTACAGGCGTGCACCACCATGCCAGGCTAATTTTTTGTATTTTTAGTAGAGACAGGGTTTCACCATGCTGGCCAGGCTGGTCTTGAACTTCTGATCTTGGGATCCACCCACCTTGGCCTCCCCAAGTGCTGGGATTACAGGCATGAGCCACTGTGCCCAGCTTGAACCTTGCTTCTAACCAATAGAATATGGCGCAGGTAATGGGATGTCACTTCCATGATTAGGTTATAAAAAACCATGACTTCTTGTTGCCAGCCAACTCTTTCCCCTTCCTTGCTTTGGTGAAGCAGCTGCCCTATGGAGAGGCTCACATGGCAAGATGTGAAGTTAGCATTGACCAACAGCCAGCAGGGACTGGAGCCCTCAGTCCAATAGTCCTTAAGGAATGCAGTGAATTTTGCAATCACTACATGAACTTGAAAGCAGATCCTTCCTCAGTCCTGCCTTCAGATGAGACATCAGCTGGGCTGGCACCTTAATTGTAGCCTTGTGAGAAATCCTAATACGGAGAACCCAGTTAAGCTGTGCTCAGACACTTGATTCATGGAAACTGTGAGATAATAAATGCGTGTTGGTTTAAGCTGTTAAGTTTTGGAGTAGCTTGTTACACAGCAATCGACAACCAATACACATACCATTAGTCACAAGCAGTAATTCTAGGGTCAGGCACTCAATGTAGCCACTATTATTTCCAAGTTATTCCAAAGAGCCCCCATCTAAAAGGTAGCAGAAATCTTCTCTATTTTCCTAGTTAGTCCAGACACATGCCACACCCTGTTTGGAGTCTGCCCAGTATTCTTTTATTTACTTATTTGAGACAGAGTCTCACTCTGTCACCCAGGCTGGAGTCCAGTGGTGTGATCTCAGCTCACTGCAACCTCTGCCTCCCAGGTTCAAATGATTCTCCTGCCTCAGCCTTTCCAGTAGCTGGGACTACAAGTGCATGCCACCACACCTGGCTAATTTTTGTATTTTTAGTAGAGACAGGGTTTTACCTTGTTGGCCAGGCTGGTCTTGAACTCCTAACCTCAAGTGATCCACCCACCTCGGCCTCCCAAAGTGCTGGGATTATAGGCATGAGCCACCACGCCTGGCCAATGCTCAGTATTCTTGAAAGTAAAATGACAAACTTGATGACAGTTGTAATTAGATAAAGAATCTCATGAAGCAATAGTAATAAAATGTATCTAAGATCTGCATTAAATTTAAACTTTATACTGTTATAGAAACAGCGTAATTACAGTTCCCAGCAGGAACAGGATTACATTTTTTATTTCCTCCCAAGGCAGGACCTAAAAAATCTAGAAGCCTGGGATAAATAACATAAAACTAAGGTATCAACAGTATCACTGTGGTGGGGACAATTCAGCCAGGATCTTTACATATGATAGAAAAGGCTTCTCTGAGTCCACAGCTTCACCCCCTATTCCTCAGAAAATCCGCCCCAGAGCCCTTTCTCACAAAGGAAGATTGGCTGCCTGGGTGTGGTGGCTCACACCTGTAATCCCAGCACTTTGGGAAGCTGAGGCAGGAGGATCATTTGAGGCCAGGAGTTCAAGACGAGTCTGGGCAATATGGCAAGACCCCATCTCTACAAATAATAATTTAAAGAATTAGCTGGGCACCTGTAGTCCCAGCTACTTGGGAGGCTGAGGCAGAAGGATCGCTTGAGCCCAGGAGCTCAAGGCTGCAGTGAGTTAGGATCTTGCCACTTAACTTCAGGCTAGGTGACAGAGCAAGACCCCATCTCTATAAAAAAAAAAAAAACAAAACAGACTGGTTCTTGTTTCATTCTGTACAACTTCAATGCGGTCATTAGAAAAGGTACAGGGGAAATCTCAAAACCTTGACATTTCAGAGATGAGCAGCTTTTTCATTCCCCTGGCTAAGGTTCAAAGGATTTCTTAGTCCAGCATTGCCATGGGCTCACAGCATTTCCTAGTAATATTATATTTCTTCTTATCCATAAAAGGCAGCCCCTTCCAGGACAAAGGATTTTTCATACAGATTGTCTCATGCAATTGTCATGGAATTATGCTGAGGCATGTCGCCAGGCAATGTCATTACCTTCTTACTAATGAAAAAACTGAGGTGGTTTCAAAGCTTGCCCAGGGTGATTTAGCTCCTAGCTATTCAGGCCCTTTCCACACATATCCCAGCTCTGTGCTCTCTGTGGTACAGTGAACGCATCGTAGATTCAGATTGGAATTCAAGCTCTGCCCAGGAAGCATCAGAGCCTGCTCTCCACTCCCAACATCACCTACTTCCCTCCCTTCCCCACACCTACTAACAACATCATTAGTCACAAGAAAACCCTAAGCAAAGGAAGAATTTGACAAGCAAAAAATATCAAACTTTGAGGTCTACAGGCAGATCTATCCTACACCAGTGAATTCTAAAATGTAAAATGCTTCCCAATGTATGCCGCTGAAGAGTGAAGTGAGAGCAATCATTATTTCCTAGACGGTTTTTGAGCTGGGCAACCTGGGAGTCACAGAGGTGAGCAAGAACTTGGGGTGGGTGGGAGAGAGATATTAAGGAACTAAAAAAACCTCAGAGGCAGGAAAATGCAATGGAAAGGCCCAGCACCGGCGCAGGTGGGAGATCTGGGGGAAAGAGCAGAGCTGGGGAAAGGTAGTTTTGGAGTCACCTCCAAAAGTAAGGCAGCTCATGCAGCCTTGAGAAGGCTTTATTCCAGGGAGTTAGAGGGCCCATGGAAGGTGTCTGCAAAGGAAAGAAATCTGATCTGCACAGCACTCATCTGACAGGGGGAAGGGTGACTGGGAAGGTGAGAGCCTGGGAGGGAGACTGTTCAAAAGTCACCCTGGAAACAGCATCTCCTTGTCACAGTTTCTTCACCTGGAACACCAAGTGGTTCTACCTTATTACCTCCACCATCACACTCAGCAACAACACTCAGTGCATGAATCTAGCCACAGCAAGAAGAAATACAGGCCTGGGCCGAACGCGGTGGCTCACACCTGTAATCCTAACATTTTGAGAGGCCAAGGTGGGCTGACTGCCTGAGGTCCGGAGTTTGAGACCAGCCTGGCCAAGACAGTGAAACCCCATCTCTACTAAAAATACAAAAATTAGCCAGGCATGGTGGTGTGTGCCTGTAGTCCCAGCTACTTGGGAGGCTGAGGCAGGAGAATCGCTTGAACCCGGGAGGTAGAGGTTGCAGTGAGCCAAGATGGCACCACTCCAGCCTGGGTGACAGAGTGAGACTGTCTCAAAAAAAAAAAAAAAAAAGAAAGAAATACAGGCCTGAACTAGGGTGGTGGCAGCCAGAAAAATGTGCTTAAAATGAAGGCAGGGTGGGGCTGCCATTCTTTTGTCTAGAAAATGAAGGAAAAAAAAAGTAAATAAAAGACTGGGGCTGGTTCCCATAGGATAAGAATGCTGTCATTTCCCCAGATGTTTATTTTGGAGACTCGGCCTCAATCCACAATGTACTTTTATAGTAAATAATGAAAGTTACCAGGAGAAAACCCTGGTTATTTTTACGTTCAAGCGTCATCCTTAGTTGTTAGGGACAATGGCCTCATTTTTACCCCATTACTATTGACTCTATAATTAGGCTTTAAAGTTATATTCATGTTTAAATAATACAAAGTCATAGGAGCTTTATAATTGACAGCTACCTGGAAGCAAACCCTTCAGGGTAAAATAAGTCTGTCAAGCTGAATTAATTTTAATGTTAGAAGAGTCACCAAGCTATTAATACAAAGACTGCACTCCCGAAAGACATACAAAACATCATAGCTTTCTGGAACAAAATATAAACTTTGAAACTTTTGATCTACAGAGAGACAACTTATATTCCCCATCCAGACTCACTAGGAATGGCTTATTTGAATGAAAAGGCAGTAGAAGAGGCAGATAAGTAAATAGAAATAATAAACACATAAAATGATACAATAAAAGATTACTCTTACTAGCAATCAAAGAATGACAAGTTGATGAAAACATAGACACCATTTTATGCCTATTCAGTTGACACTATTCAATGTTTTCAATGTCAGCAGTGGAGATGAATGAATCCTCACCCACCTTGCTGCTGGCCTTGAAATTAGTATATGTATTACTGATGGCCACGCTTTATGTACCCAAAACACTAAAGATATATTTGAAGCAATCACCTCATTTACAGAGCCTTTTCCAACAGGAATACTTCAATGAAAGGACTCTTACTGAAACAAATTTTTTTTTTTTTGAGACAGTGTCTTGCTCTGTCACCCAGGCTGTAGTGCAGTGGGGAGATCTCGGCTCACTGCAACCTCCGCCTCCCGGGCTCAAGCAATTCTCCTGCCTCAGCTTCCCAAGTAGCTGGGATTATAGGCATGCACCACCATGCTCGAGTAATTTTTGTATTTATAGTAAAGACAGGGTTTCACCATGTTGGCAAGGCTGGTCTTGAACTCCTGACCTCAGGCGATCTGCCTGCCTCAGCCTCCCAAAGTGCTGGGATTACAAGAGTGAGCCACTGCACCTGGCCACAAAATTTTTGATTGGCGTCATTAGTTATAAAAAGCAGGAATGGAAACCACATGAGTGTCCAACAAGATCTCATGGTTTTACAATTTTTTTTTTTTTTTTCTGACGCAGGGCCTTGCACTGTCATCCAGGCTGGAGTTAAGTGGCATGATCATGACTCACTGCAGCCTCAACCTCCTGGGCTTCAGTGATCCTCCCACCTCAGCCTCCCAAGTAGCTGGGACCACAGGCAAATGACACCACAACTGGCTAATATTTTGAGAAAATTTTTGTAAAGACGAGGTTTCACTACATTGCCCAGGCTGATCCCAAACTCCTGGCCTCAAGCAATCCTCCCACCTCAACCTCCCAAGGTGTTGGGATGATATGCATGAGCCACCACGCCTGACCTAAACATTTTTATGTTTTAGTATAGCTATTAAAAATAACAGCTATTTTTAATAACACTATCAGATGAAACGTAGGAAATGTTTTACAGTATTAACCGTGGGGGTGAGGCAGAAATCAGAATTGTGTTCTATAACTGCAGCTTTGTAAATAATATGATTGTTTTTAGAACTAACATTTGCACTGAAAGATACATAATTCTCTGTGTGTTTTTCCTTCCAAAATAATCTGCAATTAATAATAGCTATCCACTCCCTATATCCAAACACTGCTGAGCAATTGCTCATATACTGGGTACATTTCATGCAATTTTTACAGCACACACAAAAGGAAGGGCTTATCCTCATTTTGTGGGCTTGAAGAGGTTAGGTGGCATACTTCTCCAGGGTCACATATTGAGGTTTCAACCAGGTCTGTTTGTCCCCAAATCTCTTACGATTTGTCCTGGTGCTGTTCAAAGGGGGAGAAAAGTTGGATCAGGCCATTAGGATTATGCCCACTGATGCTTACTTTTTTTTTTTTTTTTTTTTTTTTGAGACAGAGTCTCACTCTGTCTCCCAGGCTGGAGTGCAGTGGTGTGATCTCTGCTCACTACAACCTCCGCCTCCCTGGTTCAGGCAATTCTCTCCTGCCTCAGCCTCCTGAGTAGCTGGAATTACAGGTCTATGTCACCAAGCCCAGCTAATTTTTGTATTTTTAGTAGAGACAGGGTTTTACCATATTGGCCAGCCTGGTCTCAAACTCCTGACCTCAAGTGTTGCACCTGCCTTGACCTCCCAAAGTGCTAGGATTGTAGGTGTGAGCCACCACTGTGCCCAGCCACTGATACTTTCTTAATATCATTCTGTCTCTTTGCAAATGATTACAAAAACAAAAATGGTAGCATGGAAGTGGGTTCATGGAATCCACTGTGCATGGTGCATGGAAGTGAGCTCAGAAGGGATGGTTTGCATGTCAAGGCAGAAGAGTTGAAACTTGCCACATTTTGTCCCTTGTATTATACCTTTCTGGTGTGTTAGTAAACAGAAGATTCCATCTCCCTCCTAAGGATGGTGAGCTGCATGAAATGTAGTCTGGGTCCACCATTTCCTCCAAGAGCCCTTGCTGATCCTCAGCAAAGATCCCCAACCATTACTTAGCACTAAGGACAATGGACCTTGAGTGCCTTGGAGAGGGGCCAGAGACAAAGATAGCTTGAAAAGTCAGTGGCCCAGGCCGGGCGTGGTGGCTCATACCTGTAATCCCAGCACTTTGGGAAGCCGAGGTGGGTGGATCACCTAAGGTCAGGAGTTCAAGACCAGCCTGGCCAACATGGTGAAACCCCATCTCTACTAAAAATACAAAAATTAGCCAGGCGTGGTGGCAGGCACCTGCAATCCCAGCTACTTGGGAGGCTAAGGCAGGAGAATTGCTTGAACCCGGGAGGTGGAGGTTGCAGTGAGCTGAGACCCCACCACTGCACTCCAGTCTGGGTGACAAGAGCAAAACTCTATCTCAAAAAAAAAAAAAAAAGAGAAAGAAAGAAAAGTCAGTGGCTCTCCTTAGTGATCTGTATCCAAAGCTGTGGCTTCAGCTGCAAATACAAACAGATGCTCTTAAAATTCCCACATGGCTCCTTTTCATTTGTAAATCTGTCTCAAATTTCCAAATATTTATATGTAAACATGTTCCAAAGCTTAAACAGACACTAAGGTGATTGGCACATTAAGTATGATTAGGGCACTTACTTGGTATCTTTTCTAGATACTATCATGGTTTCCTGAACATCTAAGACTGGTCGACAGAGCCTTACCTCTCATTCCATCTGAAGGTTAACACCTTTACAAATTCTGGGTCTGAGATATTTAATCACTGTCTCTTATGCTGTATTTCAAGTCAGCTTAGAGTACTCAACTTAGATTACAAACTCTTCCAAGGCAGCAGAGTTCATATCCTAAGTTTTGGACCAAGATTCTACTGCAAACATATGGTTAATATTTTATAGGTCCCTTGGAAATACTTGCATTTGGCTTGAAATATCTACAGAGCTTCCTACCAACAGTCAGCAATTCTATCTGTTCTGGCTTTCAGAGTTTGAACAGGTCAAATATAAGGAGTGTGTCCAAGCTTCTCCTACAAATCTGATCAGTTTAAGCACCCATGGTAAGACTTCTGATGTAAGGCTTCTGAAACTCCCCATGTTTTCCTAGGATGATGGTGGCGTGCGTTTACAGAGAGCTAACTATGTGTTCTATGCATCAGGCTCTCCACTATGTATTCGCATTAGCTTACTTTGTTTGAGGATCAAATTATTATCCCCATTCTACAAATAAAGAAACTGTAACTGAGAGGTTAAGTTCTTTGCCCAAGGACATATAAGGGGTAACCAGAATAAAATCCCTTGGAGACATGCTGCCACAAGCCAAGGAACTTCCAGAAACTAGGAGAGAATCCTGAAACAGATCCTTCCCCAGCACCCTCACAGGGAAGATGGCCGTGCAAAACCTTGATCTTGAACTTCTGGCTTCCAGATTTGTGAGACAATAAGCTTCTGTTCTTTAAGCTGCTCTGTGTGTGGTACCTTGTTACAGCAGCCCCAGCTAACTAATATATGGCTTGAATGTGTAGCTTTAACATCGGAGAGGGCCTTTCAAATTCCTTAATTCCAACAAACAGAGGACTCCACAGTCAGGTACTGCAAATTTGTTACTTAATGTCTTTAAATTCTGAATCCACCTTTGCCAAGACTATGTGCACAAAAGGAAAAACTGTGGTTACCTTTTGTAACAAGTTATATAAATAAGAACTAAATGACCATGTTTTCTTTTCTCTCTTCTAATTACCCAAAGGTTAACATGCTATTTTAAAGTTTAATTTAATTTAATTTTGCAGCTTACCCAGGTTTAACAGTTATTTGCAGAGAATAATCAGAAGGAACTGCAACTGGTGTTTAATGCAAATAAGGCCAGGCTGCTGAACTAGGGATGACTCATGCAGGCCTTGTGCAAACATCTAGTCTGATTTGCATTTAAGAGAAAAGGTACACCTATAGAAGTATCCAACATGTATTAAAACATCTTCAAAATGTTTTGGAGTTTTAAAGAAGTGCCCATTAAAGATGCTTTCTGCTCCACCTCTTAAAAAAAGCATGGCCCCAGGAAAAATGATAATGTATTCTAGAACTTTTTTCTGCTGTGATATTTTCTCCTCCCAATCAATGTTTGCTTCCCCTTTAAAATCTCTGTGTACTTTCATGGGTGCAGTAGCACATGGTGATGAGGGCTTGGGTTTGATTGAGCAATGCTCACCCCATCTCCAGCCCCTACCCCACAAAGGCAAGTAGTACAGAGAATATATATACTTATGATTCTGACATAAAATAAAATGTAAAGCCAATCAAAATGTTTGCATATTTTTTGCTTTTCCACATTCCCCTTCTCCATAGACCTAGACTTCAATCAACCTGCATCTCCTATAAAGAGAAAATGACTCTCTTGAATGCAACTGGACTCCAATGAAAACAATCCTCTTTAACTCTCTTGTTATCATAATACTATTTATAACTTTTACTCAATTAATGTTATTATAAGCTCTTATATATTCAACATGTTACCAACCTGAAAACTTACCCCCGAATTAACCTGATTTAGGTGAAGACACCCTATAGAACTCTGAGTTGAGTCAGGAAGATTGATCCATTATTTAGGAAACAGAGCTCACTGTCATTGTCCCCTGTAGGTCTAGGGAGGAAGCAGGCTCTGGCTGAATTGTCTAGAGGATTCTCTCCCTTCCAGCAACCAATCTCCTTCCCACCCCATCTCCACTCTTGTGAGCAAACCTTCAGCTGTCCATCAATAAATCATGCCAGGGATAAATTCCCAACAATAGCAAATCTAACTGGCCTCAACTTGCTATTTTAACACTTTGATCCTAACTTCCGAGAGCTCTTTTTAAAAAGAAAGGAAAAAAATGGAATTAGTGTAAGAATAGAGAGAAGAGCATTAAGGATAAACTAGGGGTTTAGTGCCGGGTGCAGTGGCTCACACCTGTAATCCCAGCACTTTGGGAGGCCAAGTTTGGTGGATCACTTGAGGTCAGGAATTTGAGACCAGCCTGGCCAACATCATGAATCCCCGTCTCTACCAAGAATATGAAAATTATCCAGGCATGGTGGCGTGAGCCTGTAATCCCAGCTACTCAGAAGGCTGAAGTACAAAAATCGCTTGAACCTGGGAGGTGGAGGTTGCAGTGAGCCGAGACTGTGCCACTGCACTTTAGCCTGGGCAACAGAGTGAGATTCCATCTCAAAAAAAGAAAAAGAATAAACTAGGGGTTTAAATAGTCCCTAAATCAGCAATCAGAAATAAATCAAGAGTACCTGCACACTGCACAACTCAAAGAAAATTACTGAAAAGCCTTTAAATGTCACATGGATTTGAACTTTACTATTAGATATCTGGAGCTAATTAAAATATTTTCAAAGCATGTTTTAAAAGTGCTCTGAATAGACTGTGCTCTGGATTTACATGATGCCATCCTTTCAAATATTTCGGAGTTGTGACATAGGCTCTTCTACAATATTCATCAATGAAAAACTGAGCTACACTCAAGAGCAAAAGCTGGTGTTTGGGCCACAAAACGGTCACCTCCAAGTGCTCCGCAGCTAGGCCTGCCTTATATATCAGTTCCTAGGCTCATTCTGGCTATTGCCCTACCCATCCTCAGAGTCCAACCTACTCTTTTCCTCCTTCATCTTAACAGACGTGTCTACAGTGAATTTGTGTCTTAGTTTTCCAAAGCTTAAACCTCAGGTACAGAAAACAATGTTGCACTAACCATGACAGCTAACTTTGTGCATGTTTGCATGTGTCACATGAGTATTTAAATATTATCAATGTTTGGCTGGGCACGGTGGCTCATGCCTGTAATCTGAACACTTTGGGAGGCCAAGGCGGGTGGATCGCTTGAGACCAGGACTTCGAGACCAGCCTGGCCAACATGGTGAAACTCTGTCTCTAGTAAAAATACAGAAAATTAGCCGGGCGTGGTGGCGCACACCTGCTATAATCCCAGCCACTTGGGATTCCGAGGCACAAGAATTGCTTGAGCCCAGGAGGCAGAGGTTGCAGTGAGGAGAGACTGTGCCACTGGACCCCAGCCTGGGTAACAGAGCAAGACTATCTCAAAAAATAAAATAGAATAAGAAAATAAATCTTATCAATGCTTGTTATGGCTTAAACATTAGTAATTTAGGCTATCAATAAGGAATGTTGGGCTAGGCTTGTGGCTCACACCTGTAACCCAGTACTTTGGGAGGCTGAGGCAGGAGGATCACATGAGCTCAGGAGACCAGGCTGGGCAGTATGGTGAAACCACAGCTGTACAAAATATATATATATATACTAAATTTAGCAGGGCATGGTGGTGTAGCTGTAGTCCCAGTTACTTGGGCAGCTGAGGGAGGAGTATCACTTGATCCTGAGAGGCAGAGGTTGCAGTAAGCCAAGATGCTGTCTTGAAAAAAAAAAAAAGGGAATTTATTTTGCTGTCTGGACCAAACACAAAATACAATTACACTCACCATACTCTGAAATCAGAATCAATGACTCTCAAGAAACAGCTTCCATAGGTCAAATGGGGATCTACAAGGCTTCCAGATTATCTTCAAAATCTGTTGATAGACATTTCTGTTGTGCTTCATTATAGAAATTACTAGATTTTCACATATGCGTTAGAACTTGGAGAGGCTCTATCTGCTCTGACTGTGCCCATTGCAGGCCCCACCCTAGCTCCAGCCACCTTCTGCTCCCTCACAAGTACACTCACAAGGGCAGCTAGGCAGCTTCATTCCTTTTCCAGGTCCTCAAATCCCGATGTAATGTCTTTATCATTTGTACTTTAACAACTTACTGCCTGAACCATTCTTTGCATTATGGCTTGTATTGTGGTTGTTTTTGTTTCTAACAGAGTAAAAATCCAAAGGTGCAGGCAAGGCATGGTGGCTCATGCCTATAATCCCAGCACTTTGGAGGGCCGAGGTGGGCAGATTGCTTGAGCTCAGGAGTTCAAGACCAGCCTGGGCAACATGGCGAAACCCTATCTCTACAAAAAAATACAAAAATTAGCTGGGAATTATGGTGCGTGCCTGTGGTCCCAGCTACTTGAGAGGCTGAGGTGGGAGGATCGTTTGAGCCCAGGAAGCAGAGGTTGCAGTGAGCCATGACTGCACCACGGCACTCCAGCCTGGGCAATAGAGTGAGACCCTGTCTCAAATAATAATAATAATAATGATAATAATAATAATAATAAATGATAATCTAAAGGTGCAAGATCATGGCCTATTCCTCTTATTTCTCAAGTGGGGCAGAATCAAGAAATGGTTAAGGGCTCCTGTCTGAGGTTAGACAGATAGGGGATGAAATCCCAGCTCTAAGGCCTGCTACCTGCAGAAGCTTGGGAAAAATATTCTTAGTAAGCTCCTACTTCTCCATTTATAACATGAAGATAATGGTTACCTTACAGGGTCCTTGTGAAGCTTAATCTTGATCCCATGTAAAGCCCTTAGTAGCATGCACAGTATGTGGCCCCAGATATCCACTGAGTGAGGCATTCCAGTGATTCATTTCATCAGAAATTCAGTAACACACACAGATATAATTCTTATATTTCCCCCTTCGATAAAGCTTAGTTTAGTTTATTATTAACCATCGTAAACCTGAAACATCAGGGAACTGAAGTTTTCAAGTGAAAAACAGAGTAGGAAAACAATAAAAACTTTTATAATTGCACTTCACAGCTTGCAAAAGCTTTTCAGATACCATTAACATACTTATCTCTAAAACATCATTGAAAAGTAGATTATTTTCATTTTATTCTCTGCAATAGCTCCATTGCCCAGAACAGCATGTAACACACAGTAGAACTTTCATAAAGAACTACCAAATGTAGAATCAAGCTCAGAGTTCAAGGCTGTATCCAGGTTCTCAGAAATGACAAGATGTAGAGGAACCAGAACCAGATCTTAGCATTTGAATCCAAATCCTGCATCCTTTCTCCTCAATCACACTGTCTCCGGCCCCCAGGGTAAGGTTCCACAGAACTGTAATTATTTAAGACATTCTATATTTTCTAGATGACAATAACTTCAAGATAAGAGAGTAGAGTGCTTAAAAAACCCCGATTAAAGAAAAAAAAGATCTCTCTTGTGTCAACAAGGGAAGAGAGAACCAGTAATATAACTACTTGGATACAGATTTTTGCTTTCCTCAAAGTATACTCAGCAAACCACCTTGATCATGGTATGAACAAGTGAAACAAACCACATTTCAAAACCAGGTTGAATGAAAAGATGCATTGGCTGAGCTTACTTGGAAATAATATGGAAAGAGAGGAAGTGGACAGATCTATAGATAAAAACAACATTGGCCTTGGCCATGAACAAGGGGGTTCATTTTACTATTTCTACATGTGTTTGAAATCTTTCTAAATTAAAACAAGGCAACAACAACACAACAAAAACTCTCCTTCACATAAACCAATGTATTAACATGAGGTCACCACTGTGTAAAGCACATGTGTACTAATCACCAACACAGGCTCTGAAGGGAACACATGCTTTATGCAGCCATTGGCTCCATCTTGAAAACTCAGATATTAAATAATCTTTTCATAGACAGTTAAGAGGAGATTATTTTAAAAAATGAAATACAGGCCGGGCACAGTGGCTCACGCCTGTAATCCCAGCGCTTTGGGAGGCTGAGGCGGGCAGATCACCTAAGGTCAGGAGTTCATGACCAGCCTGGTCAACATGGTGAAACCCCATCTCTACTAAAAATACAAAAATTAGCTGGGCTTGGTGGTGCACTTCTGTAGTCCCAGCTACTTGGGAGGCTGAGGCAGGAGAATTGCTTGAACCTGGGAGGCGGAGGTTGCAGTGAGCTGAGATCATGCCACTACATACCACCCTGGGCTACAGACAGAACAAGACTCTGTCTCAAAAAAAAAAAAAAAAAGAAAGAAAGAAAAGAAAAAAAAAAAGATACATCTGAATATTTAATAAAGTGAAAATGTTATAGAAAACTATAATGTTTTATGAGTCAGGGCCACTCCATTTGCATTGGACTTGAGGAGGCATATTTCTTCTTTGGTTAAACAGGAATATTTAGCATTTACTTGTTCTTTTTGTGCATTACAATTTTTTTCTTTTAAGAATCAGTTTCAGCCTGGCACAGGGGCTCATGCCTGTAATCCTAGCACTTTGGGAGCCTGAGGCAGGTGGATCATTTGAAGTCAAGAGTTCGAGACCAGTCTGGTCAACGTGGTAAAACCCCGTCTCTACTAAAAATACAAAACTTAGCCAGGCATGGTGGCACATGCCTGTAATCCCAGCTACTCAGGAGGCTGAGGCAGGAGAATTGCTTGAACCTGGGAGGCGGAGGTTGCAGTATGCCAAGATCACACCACTGCACTCCAGCTTGGGTGACAGAGTGAGACTCTGTCTAACAAAAAAATATATATATATATATATTATGAAGTAATATTGCTGTTCCTCAGTTTATCATCTGTAAAATGAGTAAAAACAATAGCAGCTGCCTTTTACAGCTGCTGTGAGGATAAAATGATTCAATATATGGAAAGCTCTGGAATAGGGCTTGACCCAAAGGAAGGCTCAGTAAATATTAGCTGTTGTTTTTCTTATGTGAGATAATTAAATACTAGGAGAAGAAACACATCACCAAATTGACACTTCAGGGACAGCTGAGAAGTTACTACAGCCCACGCCGGGGCTCAAATTTACTTTCGTGTGTTGAATCATTAATAGCAAGGGAAATACCTAACTCGTAACCTACTGTCTCAGGCCACAGGAAAATGTCACCCTAGTAGTGAGAGAGATATTAAATATTTTACTCTACCAGCTGCTCAGAGCAAAGCAGCCTGGGGTGTATCCATTACTGCCTTTTTCAGATCTCCTGAAAGATGTCACAAACCCCAAACTCTGGAATTTAGAATATAATATGAACAAGGCAACTTAGAGTTGGTATCTTTGCATAGTGAGTAAATGTGGAATTTTTCAGAATGATAAAGTGGTTTTGTTTATGGTGTTTGTTTTTTTAAGAAATAGAAATTGTCTTTACATCTGACACCTCTGCCACAATATCCAGTGTATATCTTGCCAATAAGAGACACATTACACCAGCCAGCCTAAAATAGTCTCAGGTTGTTTACCAACAATGTGTAATTGTGCATTGGAGAACCCGGGGCTGAAAGTATTCATATATTCATGTTACACTCCCATCAGATTTGCCTTATTAAATGGTTCTAATGCTAGCATCCTACATAAATGGCAAAATTCATGCATTATATAATAACATCAACATTTGGGAAGGGAAAGATTATAACAGACACTGAATCTCTTAATTTTTTCTCTACCAAGATAAAAAAAAAAAATCCTGGACATGTGCTTGCTTCGGCAGCACATATACTAAAATTGGAATGATATAGAGAAGATTAGCATGGCCTTTGCACAAGGATGACACACAAATTCATGAAGCATTCCATTTGTAAAAATTAAAAAAAAAATTAAAAGCCTTGATAAAATGTCCTGCGGATTTGACAGTTTCACATTGACGCTTAATCAAGTTAATTCTTGATTATTTGTGTGTTTACTGACTGATGTAGTTATTATCCATGAATCCCAGGCTCTGGTCAGCTGCCTGGCTTCACATAAGTTTACACAGGCAAACTCCCAAAGGGAGCTTTTAACTTTTAACTGTTTAAAAAGCGGTTAGAGGTGATCAATATTCTAATTGTTTCCAGGCCTTGAAAACAGAGAATCCTATATTCTCTCCTGTTCTCTACAGAGTCACAGCAGTGCAATTCCAATTCAATCCAATCCCCAGCCATAACATAATTAACGGCGCAGCACTGCCAGGGACAGACAGATGAAGAGGGCTTGCACGCGCCCAGACACCAGGCTCACTGCTGAACCATTTGAGCTTAAGTTACATATAGTTCATTATCCCCCTTTACCCCTAAATACTTCAGGGGTAGTCTCTCACATTCTCTTACATAACCATAGTAGAATTATCAACTTCAGACAATTTAACATTAACATTCACAGTTATCTAATAGTCTGATTTCGTCATTGACCCAATGATGTCAGTTATAGTATTATTTTTCCTCTAGCACAGGATCCAGTCTAGAATCAGGTGTTACTTTAGGTAGCCATGTCCTTTAATCTGAAACATTTCCACAACATATATATATATATATATACACACACACACACACACACACACACATATATACACACACACATATATATATATGAAATATTTACACAACATATATATGTGTGTGTGTATGTATATATATATATATTTGAGACTGAGTTTATCTCTGTCACCCAGGCTGGAGTGCAGTGGCATGGTCTTGGCTTACTGCAACCTCCGCCTCCCGGGTTCAAGCGATTCTTGTGCTTCAGCCTCCCAAGTAGCTGGGATTACAGGCGCCTGCCACCATGCCCAGCTAATTTTTATATTTTTAGTAGAGACACGGTTTTACCATGTTGGCCAGGCTGGTCTCGAACTCCTGACCTCAGGTGATCTGCCCACCTTGGCCTCCCAAAGTGAGATTACAGGCGTGAGCCACTGTGCCCGGCCTCCACAACCTGTATTTGTCATTTACAACACTGACATTAAAAGAATATGGTATTCCTTCTCTCTCTCTCTCTCTCTTTTTAAAACTGAACCTCCCACTTTTGGGCTTTCTCTGTCATTTCCTCGTGATTTAATTCAAGGTCTCTGTTCTTGCTGGAACATCACATAGGTGATGCTGCGTCCTTTCAGATGTGACATCTGGAGGCACGTGAGGTCTCTGCCCCTTGTCGGTGATTGCATTTTGATTTTATACTTTGGTCATGTGGTCAACGTGTTGTTTGATTTCTCCACTGTATGTATTTTTTGAACTTGTAATTTGTGGGGAGACACTTTTAAGACATCGCAAATGTCCCGTTCCTTATCACAATTTCCTCCTAAACGTGACACTCATGGATGATTCTCCCCTGATCCAGTCTCTACTACAATGGCCATGAAAGGATGATTTCACAGCACCCATCCCCTCCACGCATATTGGTGAGCCTGAGCATGCCGCTGTAAGCATAGCCTCCCTACTTTCCACTTATTAGTTAGTAATCAATATGGATGTGTAAATTCCTATTTTTTCTCCAATGGCATATAATTCCTTACTGTCCATAATTATTTTGGTGTCCACATGGTCCCTGGTTTGGCCAATCAAAGCACTTTCAAGCTAGCACTGTGTCCTTGTGACAGGCTCCCATCATTCTTTCAGCATGTCCATACCTTGTGACAATAACAAGATGTTCCAGGCTCAAGTTGTACCTCTCCTGCCCCAGCCTGTAATCAGCCATTTCTCCCAGTACCCCTGGTTCCTTTGAATGGGAAATGATAATAGAGACCAAGATCTTGGCACTTGATGTGCTTGTTACTAGCGGGGTGACTTTGCTTCTTGGTCCTGGTCCTTTGATGGATAGAGCTAAGTAAAAAATGTATACACACACACACATACATATACACTTATGCACACACGCATGTACATGGGAATACTTATACATGCATGTATTTCAGAAATCAGTTCATACCTATTCTTCTGATTCCAATTGATTCCCACAATGTTCTTTTCCCCCATCTCCCATTTCCTTTCTATATGTTCCTTCTTTCTCAGTGAGAACCCTGGCTCTCCAAAACAATAACTCATTTGCTCAATGCTAAAATACATCTAAAACTGTTTCAGAGTTGCTTTGCCAGTATCACTACATAAAGTATATCGTAAGAGTTTAAAATTTCTTTGCGAGTTTCCCTCACCACCCAACTTTAGACAAGATGGAGCATATCTCATAGAATACTGTGTTCGTAGCTCCCTGGATTATTTCTTTTTCTCCCCTCTTCACTGTGGTTATGGAATTCATTTGAAATACAACTGGGTTTCTTCATTTCATGTTGCTCTCAGTTTTAGGATTTCCCCTATCCCTATTATATATATACTTATATTTAAATATAACTTAAAAAAATAGGGATGGGGGTCTCACCGTGTAGCTCAGACTGGTCTTAGGCGGGAGGATCATTTGGTCCTCAGCTCAAACGATCCTCCCACCTCAGTCTCCCGAAGTGCTGAGATTATAAGCATGAGCCACCAAGTCTGGCCCCATCCTTGATTTAAATTTATTTTTGAATATGTAGGACATTAACAGGCTCCCCAAAGCCAAAACTATGCAAAAGGGTGTCTTAGACAAGTAACCCTCCTCACATATCCCCTTCTCCTTGTTCCCACCCACCCTTTGTTGGTAATCGACTTTACTGTTTTCTGTTTATCCGTCCTGTGTGTTTTACAAAGATAAGAAGATAGGCCAGGCGCGGTGCCTCACGCCTGTAATCCTAGCACTTTGGGAGGCTGAGGCGGGTGGATCACCTGAGGTCAGGAGTTCGAGACCAGCCTGACCAACATGGAGAAACCCCGTCTCTACTAAAAAAAAAAAAATACAAAATTAGCCAGGCACAGTGGTGCATGCCTGTAATCCCAGCTACTTGGGAGGCTGAGGCAGGAGAATTGCTTGAACTCGGGAGGCAGAGGTTGTGGTGAGCCAAGATCGTGCTATTGCACTCCAGCCTGGGCAACAAGAGCAAAACTCTGTCTCAAAAAAAAAAAAAAAAAAAAAGATAGTTGTATTTTTCCTTATGTTTCCTTTTTTCTTTTACAAAAGTAGAAAATATATGTTCTTTTGCACTTAGCTTTTTTCACTTAGCAATATCTCCTATAATCACTAGAAGTCACTTCTCAGGCAACTGTTTGCAAGTAGAGAAATATTTATGTCTTATGTCTATGTATAAATCATTTTCCTGGAAAACTTAAAAGAAATCCATAGGCCGGGCATGGTAGCTCACGCCTGTAATCCCAGCACTTTGGGAGGTTGAGGCGGGAGGATCACAAGGTCAAGAGATCAAGACTATCCTGGCCAACATGGTGAAACCCCATCTCTACTAAAAATACAAAAATTATCCGGGCGTGGTGGCACGCCCCTGTAGTCCCAGCTACTTGGGAGGCTGAGGCAGGAGAATCGCTTGAACCCGGGAGGTGGAGGTTGCAATGAGCTGAGATTGTGCCACTGCACTCCAGCCTGGGCGACAGAACGAGATTCCATCTCAAAAAAAAAAAAAAAAAAAAAAAAAAAGAAATCCATAGATCCCACGATGGCTTGCTTCCCTTTCTTTCTCTGTTTTCCAAGACAGAAGTCCTCATCTACCACCCTAGGTCCTTAAAGTCTAGCTTTCCTTTAAAGACTCAACTTTAACCTAAGGGTAGCATATTACTGCAGTGAATTTATCAACCTCTAGGCGAGATATTTACAACTCCAGGGACCTTCCCTAAGCAAAATTTCAATCTAAGGTGATAGCTCCAATAGCAGCAACCAAGTAAATATTCATTGAGAATTTTTAAAAAATCACCTTGTGAACCTTTAATCCCTAACAGATAATCTGGTAACTCATGGCAAGTGGTCATCAAAGAAACCAGGAAGGGCCGGGCACGGTGGCTCACGCCTGTAATCCCAGCACTTCGGGAGGCTGAGGCGGGCGGATCACGAGGTCAGGAGATGGAGATCATCCTGGCTAACACAATGAAACCCCATCTCTACTAAAAATAAAAAAAAAAGAATTAGCCGGGCTTGGTGGCGGGCGCCTGTAGTCCCAGCTACTCTACTCGGGAGGCTGAGGCAGGAGAACGGCATGAACCCGGGAGGCGGAGCTTTCGGTGAGCAAAAATTGCGCCACTGCACTCCAGCCTGGGAGACAGAGCGAGACTCCGTCTCGGGAAAGAAAAAAAAAAAAAAAGGTATTTGGATGACTCAGAATAGGCCACCATCGCTGTTGGGAAACTCCTAGTCCTGCCCTGTGCAAACCAACTGCAGCTTAATTGTCTCTGACTGGCAATTGCTACCACCCTCCTACCATTCCCATCATGTAGGAGAGCTGCTAGGAGGTCCACTCACTTTGTCACTAGCACCCAAATTCAAAGGCACTAGAAAGAAGCTATCACTCCAAACCCTCTACATACCAGCAAGAAGGAGGTTGGTGCTGCAGTACCTGGATATTCCAAATTGGCCAATCTCTCCCAATCTCTCCAATATACAAAGATCGGGGGGAAAAAATGACTAAAAATTATCCTCCCACATAGTGATTTTAATTCCCGGTAGAAATGTAAGTGGAAGGAAGCCAAAGATGAATTCAGTACAATAATATCATGATTAACAAAGTCTTGGGATGAACATTTCATCAACACAATCACTCTGGGATAATGCCTGGGTGGATGAGATACTTGAGTAGCTTCTGCTTCTACATGTCCTAGAACCAGCAGAGGGAAAGGGCCTGTCCCTAAGACCCCTCCAGCTGGGAACAGAGCCTGCAGCCCCAGAGATGCCTGAGGAACCCCCTCTGTGGCCAGCCTATCTCCACCTTCGTCTTTGCTCTTCCACCTTCCCCAAACTGAACATGGTTTGTTTTAAGGGAAAGAGCAGCTAGTGGCTTCCACAAGATCCAGCCCAAAAGTAATGCACATTCTGGCACTTAACCCGAATCTCCTGCAACCTCTTCTCATCTTCATGAAGCTTCTGACAAGGAAATGTGGCTATACTATATCCTCCTCTTTGTTCACCAAGGTAATAAGGAAGATACTTTTTATTTTTTTATTTAAGATGGAGTTGGCCGGGCGCAGTGGCTCACGCCCATAATCCCAGCACCTTGGGAGGCCGAGGTGGGTGGATCATGAGGTCAGGAGCTGGAGACCAGCCTGACTACCATGGTGAAACCCCGTCTCTACTAAAAATACAAAAATTAGCCAGGCATGATGGCGCGCACCTGTAGTCCCAGCTACTCCAGAGGCTGAGGCAGGAGAATCGCTTGAACCCAGGAGGCAGAGGTTGCAGTGAGCCGAGATCGCACCACCGCCCTCCAGCCTGGGCAACAGAGCGAGACTCTGTCTCAAATAAAATAAAATAAAATAAAATAACATAAAATAACATAAAATAAAATAAATAAAATAAAATAACATAAAATAACATAAAATAAAATAAATAAAATAAAATAAAATAAAAAATAAAATAAAATATAAAATAAAATAAAATAAAATAAAATAAAATAAAATAAAGAAGCCCTGAACTCATAGCCTCAAGCAATCCTTCCACCTTGGCCTCCCAAAGTGCTGGGATTATAGGCGTGAGCCATTGCACCCAGACTGTGTTGTTGTTGCTATCAGGGCAACTGTGATATTTATCTTAAGAAAGTTTTAGATTCAAATGCAGTGGCCTCTCTGAAGATTCTTGAGATAAGACAAAGAGTGGGAGAGAACTATTCTCTACTCTAGCATGGCACCACGAGCAGTACGGCCTTAGCAAGTCACATCCTCACCTGGGCTCAGGTTATCATCTGTCAGTGAGGGTTCTTGACCAGATCAATGATTCTAAGATGTGGCCACACATCAGAATCCCACAGTGTGCTTTTAACAGCAATAGTTTGTTGAACCTGAACCCAATCTACTGAACCTGGAATGGGGAACAGGTAAAGTCTGTCCCTGCATTTCTCCAGAAGATGGCTGAGGTCCTTTCTGGCACTAAATCTCCTAATTCTATAGGTTTTTTTCTTTTCCTATTTTTTTTTTTAATGGACTAGGCCAGGTACAGTGGCTCACGTCTGTAATCCCAGCACTTTGGGAGGCTGAGGCGGGCGGATCACAAGGTCAAAAGATTGAGACCTTTCTGGCCAACATGGTGAAACCCCATCTCTAAAAATACAAAAATTAGCTGGGCATGGTGGTACACACCTGTAGTCCAAGCTGCTCGGGAGGCTGAGGCAGGAAAATCACTTGAACCTGGGAGGTGGAGGTTGCAGTGAGCCGAGATTGCGCCACTGCACTCCAGCCTGGTGACAGAGCAAGACTGTTAAAAAAAAAAAAAAAAAAAAAAAGGATTATTACTGAATAGTTTTAGGTTTACGGAAAAATGGAGTGGCAATCCCCACATATCCTTTCAGCCCCGTGCCTTAGTGTACGCTGTTCACATCTTGCATTAGAGTGGCACATTTGTTACAACTGATGAGCCAATAATGAGATACACACACACACACATATATATATATATATTTTTTTTTTCTTTTGAGACAGGGTCTCACTCTGTTACCCAGGCTGTAGTGCAGTAATGTGATCTCGGCTCACTGCAACCCCCATTTCCCAGGTTCAAGCGATTCTCCTGCCTCAGCCTCCTGAGTAACTGGGACTACAGGTGCCCGCCAACACGCCTGGCTAATTTTTGTATTTTCAGTAGAGACAGGGTTTCACCATGTTGGCCAGGCTGGTCTTGAACTCCTGACCTCAAGTGATCTGCCCGCGTCAGCCCCCCGAAGTGCTGAGATTACAGGTGTGAGCCAATGTGCCCGGCCCCAGTAATGACATATTGTAACTAAAGTCCCTAGTTTACATGAAGTCCACAGTTCACTAGGGTTCACTCTTTGTTGTGTGGGGTTTGGCAAATGTATAGTGACACACATGGTACCTAGTTGAAAGAATGCCCTCTTGCATTAAGTCTTACTCTCAAGAGTGGAACACACAGTAAAGGCAGAAGAGGAGAGCAATAGGCTGCTTATATCCCGTGATCCTCAAGTGATGACAAATCGAAGATATTTACAGTGAACAGTGGTGCATGTGCCCAGCACCATAAACATGAACCTACTTACTTTTTTGCTTTTTCATTGTTCCTTTTTAACACTTGGAATATCTTTCCTACAGCAATACTCTCTGTTACTTAAACTACCAAACCCATTATCTCCTGATGAAGCAATGTGCTTCCCAAACGTAGTAATTCAAGGCTGTGTCTTTACAGCCTTGAACAATCTTTTAAAAATCTGAGACATAGCAACCAGATGTTGATAGAGATTACTTCTCTTGATCCAAAGATAACTGGCACTTGGAGTTCTAAGAAAGTCAGGAGTTCAAAGAATGAGAATCTAAGTGAGGGAAAATGAACTCCTTGAACACACGTTTTTTGCACTGTTATCAAGTCATTTCTTAGGATTGATTGTCAGAATGAAATGGTTGTTAAAAAATTGTACTCTAGGCCGGGCGCGGTGGCTCATGCCTGTAATCCCAGCACTTTGGGAAGCCGAAGCGGGCAGATCACCTGAGGTCAAGGTTCGAGACCAGCCTGACCAACATGGAGAGGCCCTGTCTCTACTAAAAATACAAAATCAGCCGGGCTTGGTGGCACGTGCCTATAATCCCAGCTACTAGGGAGGCTAAGGCAGGAGATTCGCTTGAACCTGGGAGGCGGAGATTGCGGTGAGCCGAGATCGTGCCACAGCACTCCAGCCTGGGCAAGAAGAGCGAAACCCCATCTCAAAAGAAAAAAAAAAAATTGTACTCTAAAGATAGAGCTCTGTTTCCACAAATTGTATCAGAAACGAGAGGTAACATTTCAACATTTAAGCTTTCATATGCATTTATTTTTCAAATTCCAACAAACATTTTCAAGTTTGTTAGAACTAAACAGAACCTACTAGAATCAATTCTATTGATGTCATTTCTTTTAACATAGCAACTTATCACACAATAAGTACTCAATGTCTGGGTTTTAATTGACCAAGTAAGTAAATTGAAGAAAGTTTGGAAAACTTTCTCTTCCTCTGACACAATTCTTCACTGTTCTTTTTTTTGGGGGGCGGGGGGATGAAGCTTTGAAAAATTTATTTTTGCATAACATAAACATGTCAATCTTTCCCTTTAGCTCCTTCCACTCCTCCTTCAGTGTGCCGAAGAGATACTGAGTTCTTCCAGATTTTTGCTTAGCTGGGTAGTTTCTAAACTCAACAGACTCTCCAGGTAGGTAGTTCCTGCACGGGGCTTTCCTGTCACTGGATCTATGACTTTTCCAACTTTGAAAATGATCTTGGCCTGTTCATGTTTCACATGCTTCGTTCATGGGACAGGTAAAGCTCTGAGAAGCACGATATCCCCAGCTGTGCACTGCCGAAGGCCATCGTGAACAAAGGAGGTTTTCCACTTATTATAATACTTTAATAAATAGGGATCCAGAACAAGCCCGGTCACTCTCGCTTTAGCAGTCTTTTGTATTTTTGTCCCAATCACCTTCCCCACGATCCATCTGGCATGGACAGATGAACGAACGACGGACATGATGTGGCTTTGGTCACCTCCGCCATGACTGTGCAGCCACCTGCCCCAGGGAGCCTGCCTTCCTTCCTTCCTTCTTTCCTTCCTTCCTTCCTTCTTTCTTTCTTCTTTTCTTCCTTCCTTCTTTCTTTCTTTCTTTTTCTTTCTTTCTTTCTTTTTCTTTCTTTCTCTCCCTCTTTCTTTCTTTCTTTCTCTTTTTCTCTCTTTCTCTCTTTCTTTCTTTCTCTCTTTCTCTCTTTCTTTCTTTCTTTCATACCGAGTCTTGCTCTGTAGCCCAGGCTGGAGTGCAGTGGTGTGATCTCGGCTCACTGCAACCTCTGCCTCCTGGGTTCAAGTGTTTCTCCTGCCTCAGCCTCCTCAGTAGCTGTGATTACAAGCTCCTGCCACCACACCCGGCTAATTTTTGTATTTTTAGTAGAGATGGGGTTTTACCATGTTAGGCAGGCTGGTCTCAAACTCCTGGCCTCAAGTGATCCACCTGCCTCAGCCTCCCAAAATGCTAGGATTACAGGTGTGAGACACTGTGCCCAGCCTGACACTATTCTTGAATTAACTTTTCACTTTCAGTTGTCAAAAAAAAAAAAAAAAAAAAAAACAGAAAATAAGTGTTGGTGAGGCTGCAGAGGAGTTGAAACACTTTTGCACTGCCAGTGGGAATATAAAACGGTGTAGCCACTGTGGAAAACAGCATAATGGTTCCTCAAAAAATAAACATAGAATTACCATAGGATCTAGCAATCTCACTTCTGGGTATATACCCAAAAGAATTGAAGGCAGGAATCCGAGCAGATATTTATACAGTAGACCCATGTTCACAACAGTGATATTCACAAAAGCAAAGAGGTAGAAACAATCCAAATGCTATCTGATAACTGGATACACAAAATGTGGTATAGAGACAAGGAACTATCATTTGGCCTTAAAAAGGAAATCCTGGCACATGCATAAAGACATGCTAAGTAAAATAAACCAGTCACAGAAGGACACATGATGTATGATTTCACTTACATTAGGAATGCAGAGTAGGCAAATTCAGAGACAGAAAGCAGGATGATGGTTGCCAAAGGTTGGGAGGAAGGGGAGTTGTTTAATGAGTGCAGAGCTTCAGTTGGAGAAGAACTTCTGGAGGTGGATGGCGGTGATGGCTGCACAACCATGTGAATGCCCTTAAAGACACTGAAGTGTATAATTAAAAATGGTTGGGTCGGGTGCAGTGGCTCATGCCTTTAATCCCAGCACTTTGGGAGGTCAAGGCAGGCGGATCACAAGGTCAGGAGTTCGAGACCAGCCTGGTCAATATGGTGAAACCGCGTCTCTACTAAAAATACAAAAAATTAGCCAGACATAGTGGCGGGCACCTGTAGTCCCAGCTACTTAGGAGGTTAAGGCAGGAAAATTGCTTGAACCCAGGAGGTGGAGGTTGCAGTAAGCCAAGATCGCGCCACTGCACTCTAGCCTGGGTGACAGAGTGAGACTCTGTCTCAAAAGAAAAAAAAAAAAAAAGGTTAAGGTCAAGCGCATTGGCTCACACCTGTAATCCGAGCACTTTGGGAAGCTGACTGGATCATCTGAGGGCAGGAGTTAGAGACCAGTCTGGCCAACATGGTGAAACCCCGTCTTTACTAAAAATACAAAAATTAGCCGGGCATGGTGGCAGGTGCCTGTAATCTCAGCTACTCAGGAGGCTGAGGCAGGAGAATCGCTCGAACCCCGGAGGCAGAGGTTGCAGTGAGCTGAGATCATGCTATTGCACTCCAGCTGGGGCAACAAAGCAAGACTCTGTCTCAAAAAGAAAAAAAAAAATGTTAAGATGGTAGATTGTATGTTGTGTATATTTTATCACAATAATTTTTTTTTCTTTTCTTTTCTTTTTTTGAGACAGAGTTTTGCTCTTGTTGCCCAGGCTGGAGTGCAATGGTGCCATCTTGGCTCACTGCAACCTCTGCCTCCCAGATTCAAGTGATTCTCCTGCCTCAGCCTCCCAAGTAGCTGGGATTACAGGTGCCTGCCACCACGCCTGGCTGATTTTTTGTATTTTTAGTAAAGACACGGTTTCACCATATTGGCCAGGCTGGTCTCGAACTCCTGACCTCAGGTGATCCACAGGCAGGAGCCACCGAGCCCAGATAACAATAAATTTTTTTTAAGTACTCAGTTGTTCTTTATCTCCTTTGGAGAAAGGAGAAGAGATTTAAACTGATTTCAACTAAAAAATTTCCTGATCAGACAAGTTGCCAAAAGAATAACTGGAATTTCTTCTCTGACTGTGTTTCTCAAGTATCTAGCCAGGCAGTGTGCTAAAAGCTAGGGACAGTGGGAAACCAAAAATCACACATCCTACCTTAATGGGGCTAAGAGTTCAGCCCAATGGCTCTGAAACTTTAGCACATATGAAAATCCTCTGGTGGGCTTGTTGAGCACAAATTGCTAGCACCTACACTCAGGATTTCTGACTCAGGGGGACTGGGCTGGGGTCCAAGACTCTTCATTTCCATCAAGCTCCCGGGTGATGCCAGTGCTGCCGGTACAGGGACCACCCTTTAAGAAGCTCTAGGGCAGGAGGAGGGACTTGTAGGTAAAGAAGCAGTTTCAATCAAGTGTGCTGTGATGGGAATCCACCCAGTATACATACTAGGTAATGCATCCACCTGTCCTAGGAGAGGTCAAGAAAGCCTTTCCTAGAGGAGGTGTTGCAGAAATTGAGGTCTAACCTGAGACCTACAGGACATGTAGGAGTCAGACAGGTGCATGAAAGGGACAGAGCATTTCAGGTGGAGAGTGTCCGATTTGCACAGGTCTAGAGGTAAGAACAGCCTGTTCTTGAAATTGCAAATCTTTCCATGTCATGGGCAGTCAGAGAGTGATGGGGAAAGTAATGAATAAGGAAGAGAGAGGTGAGGTCTATCAAAAAGGACGTTGGAATCCTACAGTTTATCCACAGGATAAAAGGAAGCCAACCTCAGGCAGGCTTGCAGCATTCAAGAATTGAAGCTCTAAGAACTAAGGTGAGCTCATCAGCTCCGGGAGAAGGCATAGGTCCAGTAGAGTCGCAGACTAAGCAGGTGGGGAAGGGGGCAGTTGTACATGCCCCTCTAATTCTCGCATCATCTCACACAACCCAAGCTCCATTTCCTCAGAAAGCCTTCTGCTGCTCAGGTAAGAAAAACCCAAGGCCATTGTGCCATCCAGTACAGTGGCCACGAGCCATGTGTGGCTATTAAATTAGCTAAAATTAGAAGCCAGATCAGCAGTTGCACTAGCCTCATTTCAAGTGTTCAACAGCCACCTGTGACTAGGGGCTAGAAACAGGAACGCTTTTGGGCCAGGCTCGGTGGCTCATGCCTGTAATGCCAGCACTTGGGGAGGGCGAGGTGGGTGGATCACCTAAGGTCAGGAGTTCGAGACCAGCCTCGCTAACATGGTGAAACCTTGTTTCTACTAAAATAACAAAAAATTAACCAGGCTTGGTGGTGCGCGCCTGTAATCTCAGCTACTCAGGAGGCTGAGGCAGGAGAATCGCTTGAACCCAGGAGGCAGAGGTTGCAGTGAGCCAAGATCGTGCCATTGCACTCCAGCTTGGGCAACGAGAGCAAAACTCCATCTAAAAAAAAAAAAAGCAGAACACTTTCATCATCCCAGAAAGTTCCCTAAGCCAGCACTGGTCCAGGAAATGAAGTATAAGCAGGATTAGATCTAAGACTTGCCAGGCATTTTGGTTTTACTGCCTGAAGCCAGCAAGCAACTGGTTTGGGTCTTCACTCATGAAAACACACACACATACAAATATATACACAGAGAGCTCTAAATTGATTTTTAAAAAATCTATAGGGTATAAAGCAAGACAATTAACAATTATACATTATATACAGTCTACAAATATCCTAGATATCACTTTTATAATGAGATATAAGGAATTCTGGCTGGGAGCAGTGGCTCACGCCTGTAATCCCAGCATTTTGGGAGGCTGAGGCAGGCAGATCACCTGCAGTCAGGAGTTCGAGACCAGCCTTGCCAACATAGTGAAACCCCATCTCTACTAAGAGATACAAAAATTAGCCAGGTGTGGTGGGGGGCACCTGTAGTCCCAGCTACTGGGGAGGCTGAGGCAGGAAAATTGCTTGAACCCAGGAGGCGGAGGTTGCAGTGAGCAAAGATCATGCCACTGTACTCCAGCCTGGGCAACAGAGTGAGACCCTGTCTCAAAAAAAAAAAAAAAAAAAAAAAAGAAAAGAAAAGAAAAGAAAAAAAAGAATTTTCTTAAGCTACTAAGAAGAATCCTAGAATCATACCTATTCTCCAAAGCCATCTGTAAATCCTAAAAATAACCAGTCAAGGGAATTGAGGGAGGAAAACATAGTCCAGATTAGAATTCTAAAAGGCCATTTTTACTGTTTACATGCCAAAAAAAAAAAAAAAAAGCTAAGCTTTTAAAGCTTTCTCTATTGTGTATTTTACCAAAGTCAGTATGAAGGATTCAAAATATTACATAGCTAATCCTTACTCCAAGTTCTAAAAATAAAATGCAAGAGACGGTTGCATGCCAAGTTGGTAACAAATCCCTATGCCAAGGATAGAAGTGGAAATTGATGCAAGGAGGAAATGAGTTATGCTGTAAAATGAAACACACACCCAAGAGAAAGGCTTAACCCTTGGGCTGACCATAGCAGCAAACACTGTAACCAGTTAAAAAGTCCAAGAAGCCAGAGGTAGATGATAATTCTACAAATTCAGAGATGTTCTTGTTTTCCCAGCTGCTCCACAAGGACTTTACCAGCCTAGATAAACAGAGCCCGCCTTCCACTTTCCATGAAGGATCAGGTGGGCAGCTTCCCAGTGAGTAAGGTGGGTGGCTGAGTATCCTTATCTTGATGGTGAGTGACAGGTGGCTTTGGGAAGTGTACTCAGACAGGACAGCTTCCTTGCTCAACCGTGGTCTGACCCAGGCATATTAAGGGGAGGACCAGCTCAGAAAGAAAGCAGAGCCAAGTGTATGCATTGCGCAAAACCTCTGATGGCCAGGAAGGCCTGGCCGCCATTCCCTAGAGCCACGCATTCTGCCTGCCCCACGACTCTTCCATCCTCAGAGCCGTATTTCCTCCTGGGCCTGCCCTGCCAGATCTGATTGGCTCCCTTCTCCCTGCTCTGCTATTAAATGCCTTCCTTGGGTTCAAATAAAGCTAGTTTCTCTAGAGCCTTTCTAGGTATGCCCGTGCGCCTTCCCACTCCAAACCCACTGTGAATGGAAGACCATTCATTCACCAATTCCTCATTTAGTTAAAAATCAAGACCCACCAGCAAGAAACTCAGTGCAAGGCTCCTTGGAGGTGCTGGGGTAAAGCAAGAAACTGCTAGTACTTCATTAAGCCAGTAGGCAACTGGTTTGAGCCTTAATTCATGAAAACACACACACTTCACTCTAAATTGATTTTTAAAATATCATAAATGCCATCGGACTATCTCAAATGGCAAGAAACGGCCAAAGATGACTCCAGAGTAGATAATTGAAATGGATGTGGGGAAAGTAAGCTCATTCAGGAGCACTGAGCCTGGGGCATCCCAAATGCACAGCAAATAGTAGATCTGATCGAAGAACTTTTATTTGTAATTCTGATTTCATAATGTATTAATGATAGCACCAGCTAGCATTTATTGAGCCAATGCTATGTGTCAAGTACCATACCAAACATTTAACACACACAAATGCATTTAAATATACAAGGATCCAATAAGGTAGGTCCTGTTATTCCCCTTGTATAAATGAAGACACTGAGGTCAAGAAACTTGTCCATGGTCTCACAAGTGTGCGGTAGAGTCCAGATTAAAACCCAGCCAGCCCAGCATCCTGCTCATAAAACCCTCATGCTGAGAACTGCTGAACTGCATTTTTTTTTTTTTTTTTTTGAGACAGAGTCTCACTCTCTCACTCAGGCTGAAGTGCAGTGGTGCGATCTCAGCTCACTGCAACCTCTGCCTCCCAGGTTCAAGCGATTCTCCTGCCTCAGCCTCCTGAGTAGCTGGGACTACAGGTGCATGCCACCATGCCCAGCTAATGAGAACTGCTTTTTCTTGCACTCAGGCAGAAGTGCCTCAGCCTAGCAAGCTTCCCTAGGTGCCCACCCACCCCAGCTGCCAATGGGAACCGCAGTCCAATATTTCACATTTCGGTTAGATGTCTCAAAATTTGTTTAGCACTTTCCAGAGCAGTCCACAAAATGCCACTTGCCTTGACAGGCCTGTGTTCTATATGCAATGGCACCACAGAATTTAGTTACCATCCACTTTGCCTCCATCCAGTTTGGGATCTTCCTCACTCCGTGAGACACAAGGCTCCTTTCTCCTGCCTCCAGCCGGCCCACCCTCAGAACAGGGTACCCCTGGAGCCAAATTGTTGAGGCAGGAGCTCCAGATGGGTAGAAATGGGATAGAGGAGAAGGAGAGGCTGAGACAGGGACTTTGAGATGCACTGCAAGCCAGCCAGTGGGGAGGCTACCCCTTGGGGGCAAACCACACGCAGGGGACAGGTATACTGGGGCTTGCCTACTGCGGCAGATCGCAAGTTCATGGCAATATACCTGTAGGTGAAAACATGTCAACATGCCCCAATGTTAAGGACAGAACAGCAAAGGGACAGTCAGATACGAGTTAAAGTCACCGTTCTTCTAGAAACATGGATGTGAATTTTGTTTGTTTTGTTCTGTAACAGAGTCTCGCTCTGTCGCCCAGGCTGGAGTGCAGTGGCACGATCTCGGCTCACTGCAACTTCTGCCTCCTAGGTTCAAGCGATTCTCCTGCCTCAGCTTCCTGATAGCTGGGATTACAGGCACGTGCCACCACACCTAGCTAATTTTTGTATTTTTAGTAGAGACAGGGTTTCACCATGTTGGTCAGGCTGGTTTTGAACTCCTTTTCAAGTGATCTGCCCACCTCAGCCTCCCAAAGTGCTGGAATTACAGGCGTGAGCCATTGCACCCTGCCTGGACTTGAATTTTTGTCAGAAAGAGATTTGCAATTAATGCTGATTGCAACTGATGGCAGAATTAAGATGGTAAGTCTTATATCACAACCACCTCCTAAAATCAAAATGGAGCTGTTTCTGTAGGAGTCAGACTACCTCCTTTAGAGGATATGGGAGTAGTCCATCACTCATTCAGACAGTTTTATTAAGCGTGATATAGTCTACCTCTCTCAGCACTGGGCGTGGTGCATCTCCTATTGTTAGGCAATTCCCTTACTTCCTGATCCTTCAATTCACTTACTTCCTGATCCTTCAATTCACTTTCTTTATAATTACGAAATGGTCTGAGATAACCAGGTTCCCCTTGCTCAAGCTTCCAAAAATCAGGCTGACAAGTTACATTTGGACATCTGCTCTTCAAAAGCCAAAGGCAGAGTTTTCTGTTAAATAATGAGCTGTCCAAGCATATTTTGATTCATTCAGGCCACATACAGCAGCAGGAGTTTCTGGGTGGTGCCTCAGGTCTAAATTTTACTGTAATCCTACAGGTTAGAAATCAATGAGCTGATCAGAACATATCCAGTTTCCAAAGATATGAGTGGCACCATCAATATAAATTAGTTCTCCAGTAATGTCAAAGGGCACACTTAGCAGTGCTGTCAGAACAACCAGAAAAACCACATTCAAAAGGGAACACAGCCTAAGGCACACAACTCATGATAAATACCTGGGAAAAAACCAGTTAGCTCTGCCTTTAGCTGTTCCCACCCCAATTTTCACGATTAAAACTACAATCGACATACTAATTAGTCGGCAGACATCTCTATAATGTTTATACTCCTAAAAAACATGTTATGTTGGTTAACTGAACCTATACAATACTTAGAAATCTCCCTAAAGTTATCCTAAAAACAAAACAAAAACAAAAACTTTGCAAGCTTTCTGAGTTCAAACCTGTAATTTTGTTACCTATCAGTGCTTTATAAAAGAGCTAAGATAATTATAAGGAACAAGCCTCCTAAAATGTAAAATTCCATTGTTCCTCTACTACCCGCCCATCAGTGGCAAATAAACACCTTACCATGACATTCACTGTGAGTATTGCTAGCGGGAGAAGTGGAGGAGAAAGCAGTCAATTATACCTGATGATCAGGGATGGAGAGAGACAGGAGGGATGCTGAGTTGGCCTTGAAGGTCAAGTCCCAAGCTGGGCCACTATCTGATTGGGAGATAGAAAGTGAGAGGAGAAAGGCATTTCTGGAAAGAAATCCCTGGGGGCAAATATTCTGCAGCACTGAAGGCACACAGGATTAGTTCAGTTACTAAAGTGCGGGTAGACAGGGGAGGAAGAAGAAGAGAGTTGGAAGAGGAGACTGGAAAGCAGACTGAGGCAAGGCTGGGAAGGCCTTGGGTGCTAGCGGCATTTGGAATTTGTGTGCTAAGCAGGGAGAGGCCATCTGAGTTCTCCCATGCATTGAGTAAACAACACGTCCCGACCTCGTGGCAGGTATTCAGTCAGCTGCTGGTGAGCAACGTGGCTCCTGTCCCTATGAAGCTTAAAGTCTAAGGTAAGGCAGACCCTAGGAATTCGGCGCACAGAAGCCTCTCTGCTGTGATGGAGAAGTAACAGGGACGATGAGGACATAGAGCAGGGAAGGGGGCCTAGGAAGCTATTCTGGAAGAAGTGAGTTGGTTCCTGAAGTTGAAGCACCTGCAGAGGTGAGGAGGTGGGGAGCAGAAGTGCAGGATCCATCTGTGCAAAGAGGCTGGGGCCTCAACAACATGAACTGTTTTAATCAGATTTGCATTTTAGAAATGATAACCCTAGGCCTGGAGCGGTGGCTCATGCCTGTAATTCCAACACTACGGGAGGCAGAGGCTCTACTAACAAATCTCTACTAAAAATACAAAAATTAGCTGGGTGTGGTGGTGCATGCCTGTAATTCCAGCTACTCAGGAGGCTGAAGCAGGAAAATCTCTTAACACAGGAGGCAGAGGACGCAGTGAGCCAAGATCACACCATTGCACTCCAGCCTGGGTGACAGAGCGAGACTCTGTCTTAAAAAAAAAAAAAAAAAGAAAAGAAAGAAATGATAACCCTGACCAAGGACTCCAGGAAAAGATGGTGTTAATCTGTGGCCAAGACAAGAGTGCAGAAAGTCCTTACTGTCCTCTGGCAACAGGGGCCAAAGGCGGAGGCTAATAAGGTGGTGCAGACAGAAAGGGTGGGATTTCTGGCAGAACTTTCAGAGGCAGAGGCAGCATTTTACAACTCACTTCATCCGGGCAGGGGGTCTGGGAGGAAAAACATTGAAAAAGGTGCCCAGTTTCTAGCCTTAGCAACTGCTGCAGGCAGCTGAACTCTGCAAGGGTTCTTATTTGGCCCTGACATTCTATACGCACTTATTAGCATTTTATTCAAGAAGAGGGTGGTTCCCCCAAATGTTTCCATATTTAGCCAAAGGAAGCTAAATTTCAAACTTCAAGTGTCTACTCAAACCTAAGACTGAACCCCTCAATTTCCCTCATAACTCCATTATCCCCCAGGCTTCCTCACGTCAGTAAAAGGCAACCCCATCTCCCAGGTGCTCATGCCAAACACCTAGAGTCATGCTGGAGTCTCATCTTCCCTCCTACCCTGCTCCCTATTCATCCGTAAGCCCTAGGCTCTGCCTTCCAAATGTTTCCAGAACCTAAAACCTCTCCTCACCTCCCTGCAAGCTGCTTGGCTGAAGCTCTGTTCTCCCTCACCCGGATTAGAGGTAGCCCCAGACAGCATGCCCTTCAGTCTAGCTCCAACATGGAGGGCAGGCTGATTCTTTCCAAAGGTAATCAGATGGAGTTACTCCTCGGCTCGAAACTCTGCAGTGGGTTCTCACTTCTCTCAGAGTAAAACCCAAAATCTACCTGCTCTCTTTCCCTCTCATCTACAGCCACCCTGCTGTCTCCCTGGTCCTGGAGCTTGGGGCCACACAGTGTCTGTTCCTGTACCTGGAATGCTCTTCCCCCGTAGCCACAAGGCTTAGCCCCTCACCTTACTGTCCTAGCTCTAATGTCACCTTTTTAGGAGCCCAATCAATCACCACCATATTTAAACCCCAGCCTTGCCAGTCCCCCTTCTTTACATTGTTGTCCATAGCACTTCTCATCTGCTATCAGACTTTAAAATTTATTAGGCTGGGCACAGTGGCTCATGCCTATAATCCCAGCACTTTGGGAGGCCAAGGCAGGTGGAACACCTGAGGTCAGGAGTCTGAGACCAGCCTGGCCAACATGGCGAAGCCCCGTCTCTACAAAAATACAAAAATTAGCTGGACATGATGGTGTGTGCCTGTAATCCCAGCTACATGGTAGGCTGGGGCAGGAGAACTGCTTGAACCTGGAGGCGGAGGTTGCAGTGAGCTGAGATTGTGCCATTGCACTCCAGCCTGGGCGACAGAGTGTGAGACTCCATCTCAAAAATAAATAAAATTTATTTATTAATAATCTCTTCTAACCGGAATGTACACTCCCAGAGCAAAGGGATTTTTGCTTATTTTGTTTAGCTACATCCCCAGCACCCAGAATACAGTACAATGTACGGTAACTATCTTACAGATGTTTGTTGACTGAATGAAAAGTCACCTATTAATAAGGCTCCCTGAGTCACCTGGACAAAATAGTAAGCCCTCACCTCTTTTGCCCTTCATGCTTATTTATTTTTCCTTGCATATATCATCAACGTGTGATAAATGTTAATACCACATATTAGTGTGTTTATTCTCTTCTCCACACAAGAATGCCAACTCCATAGGGGCAGGAATCTTGTCTCTTTTCTCTTTGTTGTATGATGAACACCCAGGACAGAGCCTGGCACAGAGGAGATGAGAAAGAGAAGGAAGGAGAGACAGAGGTCAGGTGTGGTGGCTCATGCCTGTAATCCCAACACTTTGGGAGGCCAAGAGGGGTGCACTGCTTGAGCCTGGAGAGTTCGAGACCAGCTTGGGCAACATGGTGAAACCCCGTCTCTACAAAAAGTACAAAAATAGTAGTTGGGCGTGGTGGCATGTGCCTGTAGTCCCAGCTACTTGAAAAGCTGAGTCGGGAGGATTGCTTGAGCCCAGGGGTCAAGGCTGCAGTGAGCAATGATCATGTCATTGCAGTCCAGCCTGGGTGACAGATGGAGACCCTGTCTCAAAAAAAGAAAAGAGAAAGAGAAGGAAGGAGGGGGAGAGAGACGAAAGAAAGAAAAAGAAAGGAGGAGGGAAGGAGGAAGGAGAGGGGCGGAATGGAGGGAAAAGGAGAAGGAAAGACAGAAGAAGGAAGAGAGGGAGGAAGGGAGAAGGGAGGAAAGAGAAAGAAGGAGACAGGGAGTGCGGAAAGAAATAGAAAGGAGGAAGGAATTCTAACTCCATATTATCAAGGTCACAGATGAGTAGCCTAAAATAAAAAATTGGTTGTTCTACCTAGAGCAAGAGATTCTGTCAGGATTCTGTCAGAGAGCAGTGAAACAACTGGCCATGTTTTTTTTTTTTTTTTTTTGAAATGGAGTTTCGCTCTTGTTGCCCAGGCTGGAGTGCAATGGTGCATTCTCAGCTCACTGCAACCTCCACCTCCTGGGTTCAAGCAATTCTCCTGCCTCAGCCTCCCAAGTAGCTGAGATTACAGACATGTGCCACCACACCCGGCTAATTTTGCATTTTTAGTAGAGACGGCGTTTCTCCATATTGATCAGGCTGGTCTCAAACTCCCGACCTCAGGTGATCCGCCTGCCTTGGCCTCCCAAAGTGCTGGGATTACAGGCGTGAGCTGCTGCGCCCAGCCTAGGCATTTCTTTAAAATCTATCCATTCATGTGCTCCATTAGTCAAAATAAAAGGCAATATCTAGTAATGATGCCAGGATAAGGAGTAGGCTACATTGGATTCTAATCAAAGGAGGCATGAGTCACTGAAAAACCATCATCATTTGTTGGCTGCTTTCTTCTATAGTTTCTGAACAATAAATAAGAAGGATTGGCCAATCTTGTTACTTGGCATAATAAACCAGGTAAGCATACTTGATGATTCAATTCCATTTGGAACCGATACTACACGTTAAGGAAACAAAACTAACATTGGCATTCAGCTGAGTTCTGTCCAACGACCCTTTGCCTCCACTGTGTCTTGTTGGGCATGCTGCTATAATTTTAAAGGTAATGACTGTAATAGTACCACCTCGCATTCATGTGAGTTCACGTGAATTAGGCTTCTACCACTCTTGAAAGTAATTTTAATTATCTCGTTTAATGACCTTCACCTTGCAGGAAAGAAACAGAGACATGAAGAGGTTAAGACAAGTGACGGAGGTCTCAGGGCCAGGCAGGGAAAGAGTGACTTGTTTTGGAGGGTGGGAGCCCACCCACACAATCAACCACAGTCACCCAGATCTGCCCACTGAGGTGAGAGAAAGGAGGGGAAATAAAACAGCAAGCCCTTTTCTTTCCTCCTCATATCTGTTCTCAGGACTCATTTCCTGTCTAACTCAGAGTCACCTTAGATCCTTAAAAGTGACTGGAACCAAGTCACTAAAAAAAAAAAAAAAGAAAGAAAAAAGCAATTATTTTTCACAATGTGAAGCCTTCTTTGGGAGAAGTTGGCTAGAAAATAATAGGAGAAAAGGCTGGAACAACTGTCTAGGACATTTCCTAATATGTTATTTTCACCCCCCTTCCCTCAAAGGTCAACAAGATACTCCACTGTGGAAGCTTCTTCAAAAGCAGTTCATCTGGATGTCTTCAATACTCCAGATGGCTTCTCTAAGTCCTACTCCAGGCCGATCGTTATGCAATCTGTTATCTTCCTTTCCAACTGTTTTCTCAGGCTTTTTTTTTTTTTTTTAAATAGGGTATCACTGTCGCCCAGGCTGGAGTACGGTGGTGTGATCACAGCTCACTGCAGCCTTGACCTCTTGGGCTCAAGTGATTCCTCCCACCTCAGCCTCCCATGTAGCTGGGACTATAGGCATGTGCCACCACACCCAGCTGATTTTTACATTTTTTGTAGAGATGGGATTTCGCTATGTTTCCCAGGCTAGTCTTGAACTTTTGGGTTCAAGCAATCTGCCCGGCTCAGCATCTGAAAGTGCTGGAATTACAGGTGTGAGCCACAGTGCCTAGCCAGGCTAATTTCTTATCTATTGAAAGCTGGAATCCAATGCAGGAATCCAATGCAGAAACTATGTAAGATTTCAATCTGTTATATATCTACCATCTTCCTGAGACAGGCCATTGAAAGTCAAATTCCACTGTCATTTGTTCCAGGGGAAAAAAGAAACATGAATATATATGTTTGTAAACACAAAGATGATTTCTAAAAAGATAACCAATAAACTGGTGATGGCCCGTGCCTTTGGGTAGGAGAGTTGGGTAACTGGGTTAAAAGGAGGCAGGAAAACTGACACTTTATTTTTTATTTATTTATTTATTTTGAGACAGGGTCTCACTCTGTTGCCCAAGCTGGAGTGCACCGGTGGGATCTCGGCTCACTGCAACCTCCGCCTCCCAGGCTGAAGTGATCCTCCCACCTCGGCTTCTCAAGTAGCTGGGATTACAGGCATGTGCCACCATGCCCAGCTAATTTTTTGTAGTTTTTGTACAGACAGGGTTTTGCCGTGTTGGCCAAGCTGGTTTCGAACTTCTGGGCTCAAGCGATCCTCCTACCTTGGCTTCCCAAAGTTCTGGGATTACAGGCGTGAGCCACCTTATCTGGCCAAGGCTGACACTTAATACCCTTTTGTACCTTTCGAAGGTTGTACCATTTGCATGTATTACTTATTCCAAAAATTAAATGAAAAAACAAATAATAGGTGGAACAAAACTGAAGCTTGGAAACTGTGGGAGCCCTTTATCAGGAAATAACAAACATGATGGTATCACATCTTGACTTTCCAGTGATGGTCAACAACAGAAGCATTTACCAGATAGTGAGCTCCCCACATGCAAGCGGCAACTTTAATTGTACCTTAAATCTTTGCCCTTGTATTAGTTATCTGTTGCTGCCTAACAAAATACCCCCAAATTTAGCAGTTTGAACCACAAGTATTTATAATCTCAGTTTCTTTTTCTTTTTCTTTTTTTTTTTTTTTGAGACGGAGTCTCGCTCTGTCGCCCAGGCTGGAGTGCAGTGGTGCGATCTCGGCTCACTGCAAGCTCCGCCTTCCAGGTTCACGCCATTCTCCTGCCTCAGTCTCGGGAGCAGCTGGGACTACAGGCGCCCGCCGCTACGCCCGGCTAATTTTTTGTATTTTTTTTTTAATAGAGACGGGGTTTCACCATGTTAGCCAGGATGGTCTTGAGCTCCTGACCTCGTGATCCGCCCGCCTCGCCCTCCCAAAGTGCTGGGATTACAGGCATGAGCCACCGCGCCCGGCCTATAATCTCAGTTTCAATGGATCAAGAATCTGGGTATGGCTCAGGGTCTCCTCCCAAGGCTGCAGTCAAGGTGTGAGCCAGAGCTGCAGTCACCTAAAGGTCGGCCTGGGGATGATCCACCTCCAAGCTCACTCACAGGGCTGTTGGCAGGATTCCATCCTCTTGGGCTGTTGGCCAGAGGCCAGCTCCAGTTCTTTGCCATGAATGTCTCTCCATGGGGCAGCTGGCTTCTCTTACAGTAAGTGAGAGCATGAGAGAGCATCAGCAAGAGGGAAGTGGGGTGTTTCTGTGCCCCAGCCTCAGAAGTGACATCCCATCACTGTGGCCATATTTTATTCACTAGAAGGGCATCACCAGGTCTAACCCCTGCTCAAGGGAGAGGATTTCCCAGAAACAGAAGAAATCACAAATTACACTTCACAAGAATCCTGAGATATTTTAGAAAGGTTCCAAATTTGGCCAAAAGTAGCTTAAGAAGGCTTTTATGGACCAAGCATAAGAAGTTTAGCAGGGCTGGGTGTAATGGCTCACACTTGTAATTCCAGAACTTTGGGAGGCTGAGGTGGGCAGATTGTTTGAGCCCAGGAGTTCGAGACCAGCCCAGGCAACATAGCAAAACCCCATCTCTACAAAAAATGCAAAAATTAGCTGGGCATGTGCTTGTGGTCCCAGCTACTCGGGAGGCTGAAGTGAGAGGATTGCTTGAGCCTGGGAGGTCGAGGCTACAGTGAGCTGTTACTGCACCACTGCACTCCAGCCTGGGCGACAGAGTGATACCCTCCCTCAGAAAAAAAAAAGGAAGAAGAAGAAGGAGAAGGAGAAGAAGAAAGAAGTGTAGCAGCAGAGAGAAATTACTTCACTCAAACCAGCATTGAGAGAGGCAGAGAATTAGGAGCACTCACAGGCAGAGCTGAAAGGCTCCCAGAAGGGGCAAAAATAAAATGTAAAATTAACCTTTGAAATCCAAAGTTGGTATCAGGTATAGCCTAATGTTCACTTTTTAATTTTAGCAACACCGAACATGGTATTTCTACCTTATTTTTAGTATAATTATCCATTCTTAACTTGTGTAATGAAAGAAAAAATAGGGGCGGGCATGGCGGCTCACGCCTGTAATCCCAGCACTTTGGGAGGCCGAGGCGGGTAGGTCACGAGGTCAGCACTTCGAGACCAGCCCAACCAACATGGTGAAACCCCGTCTCTACTAAAAACACAAAAAAATTAGCTGGGCGTGGTGGCGGGTGCCTGTAATCCCAGTGACTTGGGAGGCTGAGGCAGAATTGCTTGAAAACTGGAAGACAGAGGTTGCAGTGAGCCGAGATTTCCCACTGCACTCCAGCCTGGGAAATAAGAGCAAAACTCCGTCTCAAAAAAAAAAAAAAGAGAAAGAAAGAAAAAATAACAAAAATAACATAGGTAAATTAACAGTTATAATATTAAACAGTCTCTTTTGGCTAAACCTGTTATAAATCACCACGGCATATAAATGTTAGAGCTTAGATGCTGAATAAACCAACTGGCCTTGAAGCCCACATTTCTAATTCTCATAACAGATTTATTATGAATCTCAAATTTCACAAATTTGTCTGTCTGTGTAAAATTGTTTTGGAAGATGTCAATAAATGTAGAGGAATGTTTAAAATCTGAAGTTGGAAAAAGGTAAAGCAAACATTAGTTTTTAATCTTTTGCTCACTTGAGTAAATCCTTGAAAGGATTAAAAAATATCCAACTTGTGAAATTTGTTTAAAGTCCTTTTAAAATAAAAATGCATAAATGTATAATTACTCTAAACCTAACTGAAGACTTTATAGAATTCACCCAATTTGAAAACAGGTCTTCTGGCCTGTTTCCCAAGTCATTATGCACAGCTGTGGGAAACATCCTGTTGTATGTTTACATATATTAACAGCTTCAGGAATTTCACAATTAAAACTATGGTGGGCTGGTTTCCAATTCAGGCAGCTGGGTGAGGGGGTGTGGAGAGCAGGCAAACCAGAAATAAAAACAAGCTTCTTGAAAGATGGGGGAAAGGAAATCGTAACTACTTAGTAATCAGGAGTCCATATAGTTTGCCAGTTCTACTAAACGCTGGAGGGATTTCATTTAAACCCTAAGAAATACACTTGTTCAATCATTTTGCAGCCTTCAAAATCTCTCAGTTGGCTTCAACCAAGAGGTTGCCTGATGGAGGTAATATTGTACACGATATGTAAAAAACTTTTATTTTTTTCTGTGGACAGTTTCACCCCAACAGAAGGAAGCTGTGGTTTCACCTTTCTCTCTTTTGTTTTTCCAGCATGCCTGCCCCTCGTCCTGACATAACTGATTAGGAAATGATTTCTAAATGGTCAAGAGTCCAGCCTCGATAGCCACTTCTCTGATTCCAACAGAATTTCTACAGAAGACAATTTCCTTGTCTCAGCAAGGTATGTATGATATATGTGGCCTGGCCAGGCCGGCTGCTCAAACAGAGCTGTGTTTGGGTCAGCCCACTGTTTAAAATGTTAAAATCAGACATGAAGACCATTCACATAACCACTGCTGGTCAGATATGAGTCATCTCCAAGAACACCAAAAAAGGAAGCATTAAATGCTGATTGGTCTCCTTCAAAATCACTTGGGAAACTCCAGAAAGGGAAGGGATAAAACACAGGAACTTCTACTTCTTCAAAGTCTCCCGAGGTGATTTTTAATACTCAGAAGTTGGGACTGAGTTCCTGATCTAGGTTGAAGTGTAATGTGAATTCCATTCTTGCCAGTAGGTGCGTTATTTTAATCATTATCTTTATTCTTGAGACTGTTTCACTCCATCTGGAGACAGCTTTGTTGAGTTTTGGCAACACTGCAGAGTTGTTAAAATCATAAAACAGAACCACCTGTTTTTGAGCTATATGGGTTATTAGAAAAAATATCCAAAATTCTTTATTTTTACAAGAGGAATCCAGAGCTCAGAAAGATTAGGGGAGGTGTGAGTGCTGAACTTGTATTTAGTCTCCCTGGGCCTCAGTGTCCCCATCTGTAAAGTGAAAATTAATATATTCATTAATTGATCAGTTATTGAATGCCTACTAGGTTGTGGACTCCAGGGATGAAGAAGATACGTGATCTCTCACTATAACTTAAATCCTAACACAGACTGTTACAGTTCAATATGGGAAACATAGGTGGGTGCAGTGGCTCGCACCAGTAATTCCAGTACTTTGGGAGGCCGAGATGGGAGGATAGCTTGATGTTGATGCCAGGAGTTTGAGACCAGCCTGAACAACATAAGGATACCCCTGTCTCTACAAAAGAAGAAATTTTAATTAGCCAGGCATAGTGGCACACACCTGTAGTCCTAGCCACTCAGGAGGCTGAGGCTGGAGGATGGCCTGAGTCCAGAAGTTTAAAGCTGCAGTGAGCTGTGTATGATCAGGCCACTGCACTCCAACCTGGGCAACAGAGCGAGAACCCATCTCTAAAAACCAGTAATAATAATATTTAAAATACAGTAAATGCCAGGAGAAGACAATATGCTCAGGTTGCAGTGGGAGCTTGGCAAAACCATACCTAACCCAGCCTGGGAAGCACATGGGAGGCCTCTGCCATAGGGCAGAAAGCTGCTGCAGTGAAATCCATTTAATTGGAGAATGGAGCAGAAAGGGCAGAAGATGCAAAGAAGCCCTGCTGTCTATAGAATTTGCGAAAATAAGATGAAGCAATAGTTTGCCAGCAGCAAATAACTACACAGATATGAGCTATGAAATTAAGTAAGACTCATCAAGGCCACCCACAGCTGCTGCGTTGCAGACGCCAATCCAGCATCCTTACGTTACACCATTCATTTATTTCAATCATTTTCCCCATAGGTTTATATCTAGACATTTCCATAAACCCAAGTAAATTTTTTATTATGCGTGTAGGCATCCTATAAAGAGTAGACTCTTACATTGTCTACTTTCCAAGCCATTCTCTGTCTTGACTACGCATGAGAGAATCAGCCAGGTTTATCCCAGACTGGCTAATAAGACTCTGGCAAGGAGAACTCAGGCATCAATGTTTTTGATGCTTCCCAGGTGAACTTGAGAATCTCATTTATCAAAAAGTCAAGAATGAATGGTGCGCACACACACAGACAAAAAATTCTTCAGTCACCTCTGGTTTATGCATTTTTAGAAAGGCTCCAGATAATATGAAATCTATTTGTTTGAGCCTTGACTATAATATGATTCTTTTAGGAAAACAGATTTACTGTCTAAATGATACCTGGCTCAGATTAATTCTAGTTTGTCTCTTTTTTTTTTTTTTTTTTTTTTTTTTTGAGACAGAGTCTCACTCTTGTTGCCTAGGCTAAAGTGCAATGGTGCAATCCTGGCTCACTGCAAACTCGCCTCCTGGGTTCAAGCAATTCTCGTGGCTCAACCTCCCGAGTAGCTGGGATTACAGGCACCCACCACCATGCCCAGCTAATTTTTTTATTTTTAGTAGCGACAGGGTTTCACCATGTTGGTCTGGCTGGTCTCAAACTCCTGAGCTCAAGTGATCTGCCTGCCTCAGCCTCCCAAAGTGCTGGGATTACAGGCGTGAGCCACGGTGCCCGGCCTAGTTTGTCTTTTCTAAAGATGCACTGGCTGAAGGGAGGCGGGGACGTTCCTAGAAGTATGATGGGTGACAGAGAACACACTATTCAGGTTAAGAATGCTCTACAGAGAGACTATAAAGTAGAAACTGTAAAGATTACAGGGGAAAGAGGGCATCTGATGGAACGCAGGCATGGATAAGATAATATTTATATATCTTTATGTTTAACAAAAGTTCTAACATGCTTACTGTGGTCCTTTGAAACTGATGACAGGCACACAACAGGGTGGACACATATGGTTTAACAAACAAGTCTTTTTTATGTATTTATTTCCTTTAATAATATAGAAAGACTGTGGGGAATAAGAACTTTAAAAATATCGAATATGCCTGGTAGATGCTGCCTTAAGTGAAGCAAGACTCCTGATATTCACAAGAAGAGACAATATAAAAGGAAATTGAAGACCGGGCATAGTGGCTCATACCTGCAATCCCAGCAATTTGGGAGGCCAAGGCAGGTGGATCACTTGAGGTCAGGAGTTCAAAACCAGCCTGGCCAACATAGTGAAACCCTATCTCCACTAAAAATACAAAAATTAGCCAGGCATGGTGGCACGCGCTTGTAATCCCAGCTACTCAGGTGGCTGAGGCAGGAAAATTGCTTGAACTGGGAGGCAGAGGTTGCAGTGAGCTGAGATCGCGCCACTGAACTCCAGCCTGGGTGGCAGAGTGAGACCCCGTCTTAAAAAAAAAATAAAAATAATAAAGGAAATTAAGCATTGAAGAAAACACAGAAGCCGTCTCCTCTACCATACATCGAAGGGCGCATGGTGACAGAGCTGTTGTCATTTCAACAGTATTTCTGGGCTTCCCCTGTTCTCTACATCCTTGCTACTTGAAAAAGAAAGAGTGAGCAGAGGACATAACTCAGGAGGGACTCCTACTTTAATTTTTACTGGGGTGGGCAGAGACTACGCTGAAGAAATGACATTTGGGCCAAAAGGCAAAAGATAAGGAGCCTTTCAGAGGAAGAGCTTTTCAAGCGAGAAAGCAGCAAATCTGAAGTTCCTGGGACAGGAAGGGACTCGTCATGCTTCAGAAACTGAAGGAGAAAAAGAATGGAATTTGCAGGGGGAAGCCGGGGTCAGGGCGGGCTGGGCATAGAGAGCTGTGGAGAGAAGGTAGCTGTTGTTAAAACCACAGCATGAGCTACTGCAAGGGTTGGCAGGATCTGAGTGGGTGCTCTGGTTTGGAAGGGGCAGGGTAGAAGTGTAGCCCTCATGTAAGAAGGCTACTGGAATGGTCCAGGAGAGGGAGGATGACAGCTTGAACCTCGCGGATGGCAGCGGAGATAGAGGTTATCAGGTGGAGTCAAGGTCTTCCAGAGGTAGAAGCAACAGGCCTTGGAGACGGATTGGAAATGAAAGCAGGGTGCAGTCTGGAAGAGAAAGGGGTCAGAGATCAAGTCCAGGCTTAAGCCAGAAGGCTTAAGCACCAGCTAGAGGGGTATCATCTTCTCAACTGATGTCAGAGTTCAATGCTCGAGGTGCTGTGTTTAGGGGCATGCAGGAGAGTATTATGAAACGTGCAGGAGAGTATTATGAAACGTGCCTATGACTAAGTCCTGCGAAACCGTAGCATTTTAAGAGGACTCCTACCCGTGGTTTAGGGTAGAATTCCTCAGCCTCAACCCTAGTGACGTTTTGGGTAAGATACTTCTTTGTTGTAGAGGCTGAGCTGCATATTGTAGGATATTTAGAAGTATCCCTGGCCTTGACCACTGGACGCTTGTAGCATCCTGAATTGTGACAACTTAAAATGTTCCCCAGGGAGCAAAAGTCACATCTGGTTGACTAAGTTAAGTATACTTTTACAAAGTCTTTAATAAACTGGTGCCGGTCTTCTGTCTCAAAAAGTTCACGGGCAGGCCAGAGTAAGAGCTTCACAAATCATTTCAATTTTCTCATGTTCCGGCTTTGTTGACAAGCACCTAAAATTGACTTTAAAAAACCAGACCTAGTATTAAGGTGGATGCTGCCTCATCGAATTAGAAAACAATTGGAGTTATACTAACCCCAAAATACACAAGATCTTGAAAAATCTTTATCCTTTGTCTTTTGACAACAACATAAACCCAAAATAGAGCAGTGAGTGGATATAGGTGTTAGCTGGATTTTCCCCTGTATGTAAATATTTCATAGCTCAGAGTTATGGGATGGTGTTTATTTCAAATAACATTTGTAAAAATATCTCTAACCCAAACCAAAATGCCATAAGAGTCCTTTTTTTCCTAAGTAGATGCTTAAAACAAATTCCCGATATTTTTGTTGCATTTCCAAAGTATGGCAGTAAGTATCAAAAGTTAGTGCAAAAATCTTTAAATATCTATTTTTGTTGTTGTTGTTGTTTTGTCTCGTTCTGTTTTGTTTTTTTGAGACGGAGTCTCGCTCTGTTGCCCAGGCTGGAGTGCAGTGGTGCAATCTCAGCTCTCTGCAAGCTCCACCTCCAGGGTTCAAGTGACTCTCCTGCCTCAGCCTCCTGAGTAGCTGGGATTACAGGCGCGTGCCACCATGCCCAGCTAATTTTTGTATTTTTAGTAGAGATGGGGTTTCACCATGTTGGCCAGTCTGGTCTCAAACTCCTCACCTCAAGTGATCCACATGCCTCAGCCTCCCAAAGTGTTGGGATTACAGGCATGAGCCACCGTACCTGGCCGTAAGTATCTATTTGTGTTTGTGACTATTATACTAAGTTATGAAGTCCAAGAAAGAACTTGGTTATTCTCCTCTGGCAGCTTAGTGAAGGAGTAAAAGCCATAAAATTCACTTAATTAGGCCACGGTGGATTCTTTTCATTGTAGAGTCACTATAAAAACAGCCAACAATTATTGGTTCGATGTTGTTCAATGGCCTTCTCTCTCATAAAACATGTGTCTAATAACGGCAGCTAATGCTAGTACCTATCAGTGTGGAAAGGCATGTTTCTGACTTTACTATTTAATGTGTAATTATAGAACAGGTGCTACAATTTAAGAACTGCGCTGGGGGCTGAGCTACAACATGAGTCTTGCCAAGGTGCTATTCTCACCAAGGTGGCCACTAGTGTAAACACAGACAAATAGACCAGCAATGACAATATAGCTCAGGGATGCCACACCCCTAGGCCCACATCTGTCCTGCTTCTCACCTGCTCAAGGTGACAGGACTAAGGAATCCTAACACACCTTTGCTGCCGTGGCTGGACATCACTTCAGAATCCAGCTCGTCAAAAGCCTCTCAGCCAGGGATTCTCAATCTGGAGCAGGCATCAGAATCACCTGGAAGTTTTATTAGGACACTGATTGCTGGGTCTTAACCCCAGAGCTTCTGAGTCAGTGACTCTAGAGTGCAGCCCCCAGTCATGCTGATGTTGCTGGTCCAGGGACCATACTTTGAAAACCAGTGTCTAGGCAACCACCACTGATCAAGCCACATCTGATATAAAAGCTAGCTACCATCTCCGAGATGGTACCACCTATGCTAAGATGAGAATGTACAGGGAACCACTAGAACAAAGGAAGAGTCCCTCACTTTGGTCTGGGAAAGACAAGGAATCAGGAAATCTTCCAGGAGGAGGTAGCACCTCAAGTGATCCACCCATCTCGGCCTCCCAAAGTGCTGGGATTACAGGCGTGAGCCACTGTGCCCAGCCAAGCCCCTTTATTTCAAAAACACAATGTGTTCTTCCAATGGTTCATGAAAACTAGAAACACAAAAAAATGTTAAAGGGTGTTTTTAAAAATTAAGGTTTGCTTGAAAGAGATACTCTTATCTTTTTTACGTCTAGTAAGGGGTATTGAAATACAGCAGATATGGAGAACAACATCGACTTGGAACAGAAGAATGACCCCTAACAACTTAGAGCTTAGACAAATTTGAGAGTTTACAAAGACTGCCAGACAGGATGTTATGTTAGAAATACATTTAAGCGATATTAAAATAAGTATTCAAATACAAAATTTTGAAGACAGGAAACTTCATAATATTCATGTTAAATTCTCAGGATCCTCTGGACCGGAAATCATTGTATAATGCCTAAGATATCGTGGCAAACAAAATTTTACAAGCAAATAAAATGTACTTTAGTTCTCACAACGGTCACCAATCTTTATATACCCTTAGTCCTCTGCCAAGTGCAATTAAAGCCACTTTATGCTTACTGATTTCCTTATGACACACACACAAGAACCTAAAAGACAACATAAATTCGTCTGATAAAAAGTGAGCCTAAAAGCTCCATCTAGAGCACTGCGAGAGGAGCTCCATCTAGAGCACTGCGGGAGGAGCTCCATCTAGAACACTGCGGGAGGAGCTCCATCTAGAACACTGCGGGAGGAGCTCCATCTAGAACACTGCGGGAGGAGCTCCATCTAGAACAATGCGGGTGGAGCTCCATCTAGGACACTGTGGGTGGAGCTCCATCTAGAACACTGTGGGTGGGGAGTGTTGGCTCCGCTATACCATTTCCTCTTGTAATTTTGGCTTCTTTGTCATGAGCTTCTTTTTCAAAGTTGGCTTTTAGAGCCCATTGGTTACTGATATTTACTGATTTTCAGTTTTTAAAAAGTCTATTCCTTTAAAAATGCTCTAAAGTTTGTCAAACCTCAGGGGTTAGATACCTTTTTGAATGTCAGTAGTTTTTCTGAAGGTTTAACATCTATCAAAATAGAGAAAAAACACCTTTAAAATAAATAGGCCTCATTTAAAATTTTATACATCTTCTAAAGGGACCTATATAGTATCCATTGTGTAGACATGACAGTACTGGATAAAAGTGAATATTAGTCCCAGCCACTTGGGAGGCTGAGGCGGGAGGATCCCTTGAGCCCAGGAGTTTGAGGCTGCAGTGAGCCATAATTTGACACTGCACTCCAGCCTGGGCAACAGAGCGAGATCCATCTATAAAACAAGACAAACTGAATACGGAATGAACAAAATAAAACCTATTGTCTATCCCTGCTACTGAAACACATATATTTTATTGTCATCTGGACCTACAAAGCTTGAAATGATTTACAACCTGTACATTTTAAAAATTGGAAGCTTATGACAAATGAGATCACAGAGAGGCATGGAATTACAATGAGAGGGTATCCTATAAAACATCAGGTCCATCATTTGAAGCACGAAAAAATCGGAGCTTAGAAAATTAACTGGCCGTGCATGGTGGCTCCCAGCACTTTGGGAGGCCAAGGCGGGAGGATCACATGAGGCCAGGAGTTTGAGATCAGCTTGGCCAACATGGTGAAACCCCATCTCTACTAAAAATACAAACAATTAGTCGGGCGTGGTGGTGCCCATCTGTAATCCCAGCTACTTGGGAGGCTGGGGCATGAGAATCGCTTGAACCCAGGAGGCAGAGGTCCTGGTGAGCCGTGATTGTGCCACTGCACTCCAGCCTGGGTGACAGAGTGAGACTCTTATCTCAAAAAAAAAAAAGAAAGAAAGGAAAAGAAAAGAAAATTAACTGCTCATCACTGAACTGAAAGTTAGGAAAAGAGTACCCTAACCCAGTTCCTGGCACCACCCACTCCCCCAAACCCTGCTTCCCTTGTGTTTCTCATCTGTCCCATGGGGATAATTCCTGTCTTGCCAACTCCCAAATGAGGAGATTTTAAAACTATAAAGTGCTTTAAAAATGTAAAGAATTGCTATTATTAGCTGAGGTCAGCCAGCCCATTCAGTGACTCACCAGAGCTGACATCTCCTGGGCTTGTTTCCCAAAACCAGGCTGCTGTTTATTACAAATCATAGATATTAAAGATGGAAAAAATATCACAACACAGCCCTTTTAGGAGAATAGGAAAATAAATCCTCCTTCCACTCCCACCCCCAAATAAAACAAAATGCTTGGCAGATCCAGGAGTTTCTATAAGGAGCTTGAATATACAGGAAGTCCACAAATTACAAATGATTTTGTGTTCCAAGAGTTCATTTCTGGGTGGGTTACCAGATGAAATATAGGACACAGAGTTATATCTGACATTAACATAAAGAACACATCATTTTTAGTGTAAGTCAGTCCCAAACATTGCATAGGACACACTTATACTAAAAAAAATTACTCATCATTTATCTGAGATTCAAACTGAACTGTGTCCTGTATTTTTATTTGTTAAATTTGGCAACCCTATCTCTGAGTCATTTGGATCGATTTTCCAACCTTCGGCTGTGAGGTCTCGGAAAGAACCCTCGCCTTGTGAGTCTGGAAACACGACTGCAATTTCTGGTTTTGTCAATTACTAGTTCTGAGACTTCAGGCAAGTTATAATTCCTTTGCTTGCAAAAAGAGACCAGGAAATTAATACACCACGGGACTAAGTGGGTCAATATAACATGTGGAAATACAGTACATTGAGCACAAAAGCAGCACCACTTTGTTATACTACCCTACACACATGAAAAGAGTGATTTGGTTTTTAAGTCAGGCCACACAAGCCAATTTTAAAAGTCGGTTTTCCACAAGAAATTCCCTGGCTTTAGCAAGTTCCTATACCATACAAAGCGCCCCTTTCCCACATCTGAGAACGTTTTGAGCCATGTATGGTGGTCTTGTCCACTAGGCAACCCTGTATCAGCCCTCCACCCTGTCATCTTTGTCCATAAAGCACGGCTTGTGACTTTGCACAAATGCTTTTTTTTGCTCACATGTACATACTTTGTTGCCAAAAAATAGTGGATTATTTTACATAAATTAGTGCAAACTAAAAGGCTGATACCAATGATAGGAAGCACTGGCTTCCGAAGCGTTTCCAGCATCCCCAAACAGCTCCTTAAACCCAATCCTATGTTGCAATTCCCAAAACTGTGTCTCCAACCTAGACTTCTGAATCACCAATGCTTGACCCCCGACCACACCTAGGTGTCCCAGCAACTCAAACTAAACATGATCAAAGCTACATTCATCTTCTAAAACTACTCCTTGGTCTCAGTGATGCCATCACCTTTAGTCGCTTATGTTAGAAATTTGAGAATTGTCAACAATTCTCTTCTTTTACATCTTCAAATCCAACCCATCACCAAGACCAGGATTCCCCTTGTGAAGTGCGGCTCCTACCTTCCAGTTCTCATCCCCACTCCCATCATCGGGCCCAAACCCCCATCCTCTCTCTCTCATGGACACTGCAGCAGCCTCCCAGATTTCCTCTCCTTGCTTCTGGCCTCATTCCCTGCCCCCACCCCCATCCCCCACCAACAACCAACCCATTCCCCATATCGCAGTCTCTGGATTATCAAACAAAACCAGGAATCAAATCACATCACGCCGCTGCTTAAAAATGTTAGTGACTTCCTATCAGGTTCTCTGCAGTTTGGTGCCTGCCTCCCTTATCCCATGGTAGCCCCAGCATCATGTCACACCCAGTATTCTGGCCTCTCACAATTCCTAGAGCACAGCACTAAGCTCTCACCCACCCCAGGGCCTTTGCACATGCGGTTCCCATTGACTGGACCACTCTTCCCCTGACTGGTACTTTCTTATCCTCTAGGTCTCAACTTAAGTATAACCTCCTTCAAGAGACCCCACTCCCTGGGCCATTTTTTAAATTATGGTAAAATGGACAAAGCATAAAATTTACCATTTTAACTACTTTTATTTTATTTATTTTTTTGAGACAGAGTCTTGCTCTGTTGCCTAGGCTGAAGTGCAGTGGTGCGATCTCCACTCACTGCAACCTTTGCCTCCTTGGTTCAAGCAATTCTCCTGCCTCAGTCTCCCGAGTAGCTGGGATTACAGGCACGCACCACCACACCTGGCTAATTTTTGTATTTTTTAGTAGAGATGGGGTTTCACCATGTTGGCCAGGCTGGTGTCGAGCTCCTGACCTTAGGCAATTTGTCCATCTTGGCCTCCCAAAGTGCTGGGATTACAGGCATGAGCCACCGCGTCCGGCCTTATTGCCTTCTAAGTGATATTAAGTGCATCCACATGATTCTGCAATTGCTACCACCACCCATCCCTAGAAATTTTTCATCTTCCCAAACTGAAACTCAGGGTCCATTAAAAACTAACTCTCCATTCCCCACTGGCTCCAGCCCCTGGCAACCACTGCTCAGTTTTCTGTCTCTGAACTTGACTATTCTGGGCACTTCATATAAGTGGAATCACAAAATATTTGTTTGTCCTTTTGCATCTCATTTATTTCATTTAGCATAATGTCTTCAAAGTTCATCCATGTAGCATGTATTAAAATTTCCTTCCTTTTTTCTTTTTCTTTTCTTTTCTTTTTTTTTTTTTTTTTGAGGCAGAGTTTCACTCTGCTGTCCATGGTGGAGTGCAGTGGTACAATTTTGGCTCACTGTAAACTCCGCCTCCTGAGTTCAAGCGATTCTTGTGTCATAGCCTCCCGAGTAGCTAGGATTACAGGTGCCCACCACTGCACCTTTTTGTATTTTTAGTAGAGACGGGGGTTCACCATGTTGGCCAGGCTGGTCTTGAACTTCCGGCCTCAAGTTATCCCCCAGCCTCGGCCTCCCAAAATGCTGGGATTACAGGCATAAGCCACCGTGCTCAGCGAAAATTTCCTTCCTTCGTAAGGCTGAGAAACATCCTAATCATATGGGTACACCAATTTTGTTTATTCATTCATTCGTCGGTGGATGCCTGGGTTACTCCTAGGCCATTTTAAAGTAGGTCTTCATTATTCTCTTAGAAATATCTTATTTTTCTTTAAGGCCTTTATCACAGATTATAATTCTAATATCAAGTTGTTTCATATCTCTTTTGTTCAATATTTTGTTTAGTCTCTATCTCTCATCACACTCTCAACAACCCCATAAGCTCCCTGAGGGGAAGGGCATGTCTGCTTTGCTCCTCACTGTGTTTACTGCCAGCACCTGGCAACGTAGTGGGTATTTAATAAGTAATTGTTGAATCACTGAATGAAAGAAAATCACTAGGCCACCTGAAGGCCCCTTGTCTTTAGAGTCACTGTGGACCATGTAATCAATTGTGAAGGTGAGCCAATGCATACTTACATCCACACACACATATTTGTAGCTCTCTGGGCACAAAACATTCCTTTTATAACATGTCAGTCTATTTGCAACTAGCACACATTTCCATGGCCTGTGCTTTTTTTGAAGGATGTATTACGTGCACCAGTAGCTAGTGTGTTTGGCAATATAAAGAAATTAAGTATTGACAAATAATACAATAAGGATGAAATTTTATTAATTTTTTTTTTTTACAATTAAAAAGAATTGAGACAGGGTCTTGCCACGTTGCCCAGGCTGTTCTCGAACTCCTGAGCTCAAGTAATCTGCCCACCTCAGCCTCCCAAAGCGCTGGGATTACAGGTGTGAGCCACCACACCCGACCGTAATATACATGAAAAACATCATGCTAAGTGTAAAAAGATGATCACAAAAGACCACATATCATACGATTCCATTTACATAAAATGCCCGGAATCGGCAAACCCACAGAAGCAGAGGGTAGATGAGAGGCTGCCAGGGGCTGCGGGGACAAGGCGATAAACCAGGCAGAGCTAAAAGGTACAGGATTTCTGTTAGGGGTGATGAAAAGGTTCTGACGTAGATTGTGGCAACAGTTGCACAGCTATGTAAATATACTAAGAACCATTGAATTGTATATTTTAAAAGGCTGAACTGTATGGTACATGACTTAGATCTCAATATAGTTGTTTAAAACAAAAAAATCCATGTGTATGGAGATGGGGAGTGGCTGGAAAAAGCTTAACCTCCCAATTAGGCAAAAGACAAACAGGATAGGGAGGGGGACTAGGGGCTTGTGAGTGGCAATAGCTGCAGCAGCAGCCCTGGCAGGACAGCCTGTGGGTTACAGACCGCCCTCCTGTCAATGAAGTCAAGTCCTCTGCTTCCTGAAAACCGCCTCTTTTTTCTAACAATGTTCTTTCCCCCAAACTAGGAAGACAGGCTGATGGTAAACACAAAGTTCTCTGAACCAAAGCCTTATATGTATGTTTCTGAGGAGGCTCTTTATAACCTAGTTGCAAGCAATCTGAACACAGCCCAGCGAATTTCCAGCTTTTGAAACTCAGATTTCCTTTTGCGACCCAGGTTCTGCTGAGAAAGTTATCTTTGGCTCCTCTCTCTCTCACACCCCACATCCCATCTGTTCGGAAGTCCTGTTGGCATTTCGATCTATCAAAATAAAAGTTGCACGTATGCCTGTGTCCGATCCCATTCTCTCTGTGTCCTTTCTCCTCTGTCTTTCTCAAGAATCTGACATCTCAGCCCCACAGCTACCATCCTGGCGGACACTACCACCCTGGGAAAAGCTTCCACCCTCACTTGCCTGGCTTTGCCTCCTGCTTGAACTCCCGGATTGGGAGCCTTCTGCCTGGACTGGTCTTCACACAGATCACACCACTCCAAGGAGCAATGTCCTGCACTGAGCCATCTTCCAAGAAATCAAAGCCAAAGTCTTTACATAGCCTGGCAAGCCCTGCAAGACCTGGCTCCCCTTCCTCTCTGCCCTTACCTCCTTCTTCTCCTTCCCTCCCCCACTTACTCTTTGGAGGAACAGCTAGATAAGCCAAGCACTCTTACCCTAGGGCTTCTGCAGCAAGTTATCTGTCCCCTCTGCCTGGGACACTCTTTCCCCAAAACTTCCTGTGCCACCCTCTCTCCTCCTGAGTGTTTGCTCAAATATGACCTTCTCAAGGAGGTTCCACTGGCCACTCTATTTACAATGGCAGCTTGCACCCTTGCCCTCCCATTCTCTCGGTCCCAGTGACCTCAAAGATTCAGGGCATGTTAGCTGCTACTTACATCACCATTCACAGCCTAAGGTTCTCAAATTGACTTTTAAGAATTTTCATGTTGTTCTACAGAAGGAGAGAAAGCCTAAGACTGATAACAAAAGTCTAAATGCTCTTAATGCAGCTGAACTAGACAAATAAAGTATCAGATCGCCAAGAGATTAACCATGTTAACCCCAGTATTCTTTTTGTGGCTGTGGTTGGCATTAAATAGGAAAGTGGGTGGACACGTAGGGATAGTAGTATTTTTGGTTGGCTTCAAGCTTTGATGAGTTTTTGTGTGTTTTGTTTTGTTTTACTTTAAAAACCTGCTTTTTAAACACGTAAATCCTTATTTGGCTAATTTTCAGGGCACAGTGTGAGTATAAACTCATATGAGAGTCTATTGTTCTCTAGAAACTACAGATTAAGGTGTCTTTAACAGACTGATGTCTAATTATTACATAAAGGCATCTGATTTTTATACCAGGACACCTATAAGCACATTATTATAGAGGTGGAACATTTGATAACTCTGCCATGCTACAGTCTGTAACTGACCTTTTGCCTTGCCATGGATTCTACCCTAAGGGGAAAAACAACCTGACATTAAAAAAAAAAAAAAAAAAAAAAGTCAATTCTATGGAATGTCATCTCTGGAAGGTGGCTGTGGTTAGCAGAGATGGCCAGATAGTAGGGCCACAACCCTGGGGCTTTTACACCCACCCTGACACAGAGGAAAGAGTCACCCATAGCACAGACCAGTTGGATGATAGAATGGCATATGACGGTCATGGTGGTGCGTGCCTGTAATCCCAGCTACTTGGGAGGCTGAGGCAGGAGAATCACTTGAACCTGGGAGGCGGAGGTTGAGGTTGCAGTGAGCTGAGATTGCACCATTGCACTCCAGCCTGGGCGACAGAGCGAAACTCCGCCTCAAAAAGAAAGAAAGAAAGAAAGAAAGAAAGAAAGAATGGCATATGACTGCCAGCTCAGTGAGAGCAGCTGCAGGTGAAAAGGAGAGGCACGTGCTGCCTTCAGGTGTCTTCAACAACACCCTCCTCCCACATTCCCTGCATTCTTATTTCCATGCTACTCTGGAGGAAAGCATGGTAATAAATACTATAATACGTGGCCCTGCCCATCTTATTTATGAAGGATACATTTTACCAAACTGAATAAGGGGGGCTCAAAAACTGACATGAACAAACAGATATGTGTATGCCCAGGTCCATGGCAGCATTAGTCACAATAGCCAGAGGTGGGCCAGGCATGGTGACTCACACCTGTCATCTCAACACTAGGAGGCCAAGGCAGGAGGCTAGCTTGAGCCCTGGAGTTCAGCCTGGGCGACATATCGAGACACACAGACACACACACACACATTTTTTTTTTCTTTTATTAGCTGGGTGTGGTGGTGAGTGTCTGTAGTCCCAGACATTTGGGAGGCTGAAGCGGGAGGATGGCTTGAGCCCAGGAGTTCAAAGCTGCAGTAAGCTATGATCACACCACTGCACTCCAGCCTGGGCAACAGAGTGAGACCTTGTCTTAAAAAAAATTTTTTTAATTGAAAAAATTACAGTAGCCAGAGGTGAAAACTACCCAAATATCTATCACAGATGAATGGGTAAACAAAATGTGGTATGTGCATACAATGGAATATTATTCAGCCCTAAAAAAGGAAGGAAATTCTGACTTGTGCTACAACATAGATGAACCTTAAGGACATTACACTAGTGAAATAAGCTAGTCATAAAAGGGCAAATATTGCATGATTCCACTTAACCTGAGGTACTGTAGAATAGTCAAATTCATGGAGAAAGCAGAATAGAGGTTACAGGGACCAGGAAATAGGAAGAAGGGGGTAGTTACTCTTTCATGGGCATAGTTTCTATTTGAGATGATAAAAAGTTCTGAAGGTGGATGGTGGTGATGGTTGCACAACAATGTGAATGTACCTAATGCCACTGAACTGTGCACTGAAAAAGGATCAAGATGGTCAATGTTATGTATATTTTACATTTAAAAAAAAAAAGTCAGGCGCAGTGGCTCACACCTGTAATCCCAACACTTTGGGAGGCTAAGGTGGGCAGATCACTTGAGGTCAGGAGTTCAAGATCAGCCTGGCCAACATGGTGAAACCCTGTCTCTACTAAAAATACAAAAATTAGCCAAGCCTGGTGGCCATGCCTGTAATCCCAGCTACTCAGGAGGCTGAGGCAGGAGAATCACTTGAACCCAGGAGGCAGAGGTTGCAGAGAGCTGAGATCGCACCACTGCATTCCAGCCTGCATGACAGAGCGAGACCCCATCTCAAAAAATAAAAAAATTTAAAAACTCCCATGAAATAAACTTCTACACCAAGAAGACAAGATCATAAGGAACCTCTCCTCCTCTCAAAGTTGTACTGGTACAAATCAGAGCACAGATTTTCTTTTAATTCTTACAATCTTTGTAGCCTGATGAACTTCACACACTTGGAGTCCTTACTGTAACAAAAGTTCTGGAGGTTGCTGGGTGCAGTGGCACATGCCTGTATTCCCAACTACTCGGGAGACTAAGGCGAGAATCACTTGAGCTTAGGAGTTCGAGACCAGCCTGGGTAATATCTTGAGACCCTGCCTCTAAATGAAAAAAACAAAAACAACAACAAAAAACTGGAGGTTGATACAGCAGCTACTAGTGCCTGACTTAGAGGACTCACACTTTAATTTTTCAATATAAAGATAGGGGCATTATTTCCCAGCATGAAATGTACAAAACCTACCCATCTCCCCAAGTGAGTAAATATTTAAACCACCCAAGCCAAAGGGTTACCTATGCTGTTGTTTGTTTGTTTGTTTGTTTGTTTTTGAGACAGAGTCTCGCTCTGTCACCAGGCTAGAGTGCAGTGGTGCAATCTCAGCTCACTGCAACCTCCGCCTCCCGGATTCAAGCGATTCTCCTGCCTCAGCCTCTGGAGTAGCTGAGACTACAGGCGTGTGCCACCAGGGTTTCACCATGTTGGCCAGGATGGTCTCGATCTCTTGACCTCATGATCTGCCTGCCTTGTCTTCCCAAAGTGCTGGGATTACAGGTGTTAGCTATGTTCTTATAGAAAATGTTAAGTGTTCCTTCTGGATCTACAGATCATGCACAGAAATCTCAGAGGATCATGTCAGTAACTCACTAAGTTCCAGGAAGAGAAAATAAGGATGTGTACATGAATCACACCACACTCTATAAAATAAATAGTGCATCCAATCCATGGAAGCTTCCCTGAACAGCAAGAATATACATTCTGATACTAAGTGAAGGACAGTATTTGGTGCCTGAGGGTTTCCAAAGAGGATTTTCTAGTGCAACTCAATTTCAATAAAGGTTAGAAAACTGTTTTCAAAAGCCACCTGCACTAAATCAAACAAACCGCAACTCCAGTAGAACAAAAGCCACTCAGCAACAAAGTAACAAAGCCATAAATGACAGCCCTGTCAATAAAGACCAAGCTACTAGCCAAAGGTCAGGCTCCACAGTACTCATTGCAGAAGTGCCAGGCTTCTCAATCACGCTGTGGGGGATGGTGGCCTTCGCCACTGAAAGGCTGCCCAGGAACAGAGGTGACCCTCCCCTCCAGGAGTCAATGTCAGACTGAGAGCTGGTTTCCCACTCCATCCCCACCACAGCTTCCAGGCCCATTTGTCACCTATTAAATGCAAATATACTAGATTGAAAGACTGATAAAGAACACAGATCTTCAGAGTGGAAGTGGCCTGGGCTATCCCCCAGGACCTAAAGAAACCATCCCTCCATGCAAAGAGGGACAAGGTCCCAAGCAGGAAGAGAGCAGACACCTGATCTGCTTTCTTTCTTTCTTTTTTTTTTTTTTTTTTTTTTGAGATGGAGTCTCACTCTGTCGCCCAGGCTGGAGTACAATGGCAAGGTCTCAGCTCACTACAACCTCACCTCCCAGGCTCAAGCAATTCTCCTGCCTCAGCCTCCTGAGTAGCTGGGACTACGGGCGCATGCCACCACACCTGGCTAATTTTTGTATTTTTAATAAAGATGAGGTTTCACTATGTGGGCAGGCTGGTCTTGAACTCCTGATCTCGTGATCCACCCGCCTTGGTTTCCCAAAGTGTTGGGATTACAGGCATGAGCCACCACGCCAGGCCTCTGATCTGCTTTCTCACCAAAGAAGAAACCCAACTCAGGCCCTCTGTGAACCCCACAGACTTCCATGAAGCAGAGAGGTAATTCCCCCAGCATAGTCTAAAGATGAATGAATGAAAGGAGCTATACCAAGGTTCTCTGTCATTAGCAACGCCTACCCAGGATCCACAACTAAGAAAACCACACAGGGAGCAATGAGCCTTTCAAGAAGCCACAGGGTTCAGAAACTGTTGAGTTTTAAACAGGTAGTAATTAAAAAACAAAACAAACAAACAAAAAAACCAGGAGTGTGGGTCAGAAATGGTGGTTCACACCTATAATCCCAGCATATTGGGAGGCCCAGGCAGGAGAACTGCTTGAGCCTAAGCGTTCAGGAGAAGCCTGGGCAACATAGTGAGACCCTGTCTCTACAAAAAAAAAAATAGAAAAAAGAAAAAAAGAAAAAAAATAGCTGGGTACTATGGCACACCTGTGGTCCCAGCCACTTGAGAGCCTGAGGTGGGAGAATCACCTGAGCCCAAGAGGTCAAGGTTGCAGCAAGCCATGTTCATGCCTCTCCCCTCCAGCCTGGGTGACAGAGCAAGACCCTGTCTAAAATAAATAAATAAATAAAGTTAAAAATAGAAAAACAGGAGCGTGGAGGATGAGGGAGAGAAAAGACCAACTGATGTGATGGGTAAAGGGGGCTCAGGAGCATTCCACGGGCTTCTACTGTGCAGGAAGAGGTAGCAGGTGAGACAGCAACCAGGCCCCCTCACGAGTTCTCCTGCAAGGTTAAGAGGCAAATGAGCACTCTGGTCCTCTGAGCCACCAGGGCTTAAGAACAACAGTGTAGATCGGAGACTTAGAACCTTGCCCCTGCTCTGGGGAACTCTATCTTTCCAGTGCCTGGTGCAAATGGGCACTGATGTTTGCTAAATAAATACTAACTTGTAGAATGATTCCTGTTTCCTACATAGCCCAGGAGAAAGGCAATGGCTGGGTGAGTGATATTTACAAAGTCATAGCAACAACACAACAATGTATTAACGACTACCTTTTACTGAACTGTGTGCTAAGTCCTCTACCTAAGCTATCTCATTTGGAACTCATCACACAGCCTTGTGAGGCCATACTATTATTATCCCATTTACAGATGAGGAAACTGAAGCCTAGAGAGGCAAGGTAACTTGCCCTAGGTTATGCACCTAGGAAGCTATGAGGCCTGCGTTCCAACCCAGGTCAAAAGACTCCAAGGCTGGCAACCTCTGTTTCACTGCTGCCTCTGGACTGCTTGCAGGGACCAGTTATGAAACATATTTCTCATTGTGGAAGGGTTGGGCAACAATTTATTTAAAAGTGCAGTGCATTTATAAGTATCAAAGAAAGTACCAATATGGCCTTAAAGATTCAGATGATAAAAAGTTATCTGTTTTTTAAGAAAATGAGGCCGGGTGCGGTGGCTCACGCCTATAATCCCAGCACTTTGGGAGGCCACTTTGGTGGATTGCTTGAGGCCAGGAGTTTGAGACTAGCCTGGCCAACATGGTGAAACCCGTCTCTACTAAAAATACAAAAATTAGCTGAGCATGGTGGCACACGCCTGTGATCTCAGTTACTCGGGAGGCTGAGACACGAGAATTGCTTGAACCAGCGAAGAGGAGGTTGCAGTGAGATTACACCACTTGCACTCCAGTCTGGGCGACAGAGCAAGACTCTGTCTCAAAAAAAAAAAAAAAAAGAAAATGAGAAACAAGACTAATATATACATATACACACGTATATAGACATGCTCATATCTATATACATACATGCACATATATATGCTTTCAGAATCTTCCTAAACAATACCAGGTCTTCAGTGATAGAGGACCTCAAAAGATCTTAGATTAGGTATTACTTTTAGCTGGGCATGGGAATGGGGATTCAGGAGTAACTTGGTTAACAAAATGAAAAATATAACCTGTCTTCTTTTTATGGTATTAACACTCTTCTGGCAGCAAATTAATTTTTTACTTAATAAGAAACAAAAAACCTACAGGCATGAATACAATTAATCTAACTGAATGTCAACAGACCTGAAAACTCACAAGATACCTAAAGACACCACTAAGAAAAACTTTCCAGGAGACTAAACTAGAACCAAGTGTACAAATAAACTCTAAAATTAAGTGCTTAAGCAATTTAAAAGGCATCTCTTTTTAGAGAGATTTGGGACATAAATTGTTCTGGGGCCAGGCACAGTGGCTCACACCTGTAATCCCAGCACTTTGGGAGGCCAAGGCAGGAGGATTGCTTGAGGCCAGGAGTTTTAGATCAGCCTGGGCAACATAACAAGGCCCTGTCTCTATGTATTTTATTTATAAAAAATTTTAAAAAACAACTTGTTCTGGTACCTAAAAAGCAAGTTCCTCTGCATTCATGAGTGCATCGGTTTCTTTTTCAGTAACCGACACTAAAGAGCAAAGGTAACTAGGAAAAATCTCTCTGGAGTTGTTAGAATTACCTGCATTCTGTGAATGTTGCTTATAAAAAACTAAAATGGAATTTTAATTCATAAGGCAATAAAATCTTAAAAATATACCAGATACCTGCAATAATAGTATTTTTAGATATCAATCTAATAAAGAAAGTAAGAAACCAACATTCAAACACTGACTATATATAAAGAACATTCATATGTTCTCTGATTTAATTCTTTCAACAATCCAAAGAGATTGATAATATCTTTTCCCCTCAACAGAGCAGCAAACAGAGGTTCAGAAAACAAGAATTCATTTAAGGTTATACAATTAATAAGGAAAAGAACTGAAATCTGTGGGCATTTTTATATTTTCCACTACTCCTTGCTTCAAAAGGATGGAAAAGAAAGAGGAAAGAGGAATGGACGGAAGGAAAGGAAAAGAACATTCTACAGCCAGATCTGGTAGTGACTCCATTAGCACTAAGATCCCCTAGACTGAAAATCAGATTAAACATAAAATCAGTCCTGAACTTGCCTTACCACCGAAGACTTCTTTTTGCGAAGCCATTTGCTGTACCACATTATTATTTTTAAACTTCTATTGAACAAAAAACAAAACAAAACCTCTCCCAGTTCTATCACTAGGATGTAATAACATGTGCACACAGGTGTGTGTGTTCCTTAAAATCCATAAGGAAAACTTGAAAGCAGCCAGAGCTGACCTCACACAGGTGGCATCTGTGTTGGACAGTAATAACCAAAAGAGTCTTGCTCGGCCCTTAATAACCCACGCAAAGAATCACTAAAAGTTACTAAAATACAGCCACTGGAAAACGACGAATGAACAAAGTGGTTAATGTTCCTTCCCAAAATTATAGCAAGGAAAACTCCACCACCTAATGAAAATCATTAAGAGAATTCAGAGGAGTTAACTGCAGGCAGGCGTGACTTCTCCCCCAGAAAGTAATCAGCTAATAAGCATTAATCATCTTGTGCACAGTCTGCGCATTTATAATAGGGTTTAATAAAGCCTTCAACAACAGGCCCAGAATTAATGAACGGCATCTTAGGTCTAACACAAAAGTATTCCTTAGCGGACGAAAATTAGCGCTTCTACTTCACATTTGCTGTCGTGTCCCCCATATATACGGGCTCGTATTCACTATCCCTGGAGGCTTTATCACGCGTGGTTTTTTTTAGCTTTTGTTCCTGAAAGCAGTTAACCTTCATCGATAACCTACCGTGTGCCGGGTGATCTCCAAACATCCCACTAGTTTTTTCTTTTTTTAGTTTCCCATGGGTAGTGGCAAAATTTTGAAGGCAATGCAACCAGGAAGATGGGAGCGAATATTTTCTCACGCCAACAGGGAGGCCAGTTTCCGGGAGAGGAACTCGGCGGCGTCTGGAGCTACCCAGGAAGAGCTTGCAGCCCCCAAGGGCAGCGCGTGCAGGCCAAGGGGGTCGGGTAGGGTTGAGCGGGTACTCACCGGGCAGAAGCGCGGCCCAAGTCCTCCTTACTTCTGCGTGTCAATCCCCCTTCCCCAATTTGCATCCTTACTGCAATCCAGTCTCCCCCGTACAACCGTCACGGATCTGCGCTCCGAGCACCGCCCCCCCCCGCAACCAGCCACCAACCCCCGGCAGGGACCACAGGCACACGCCTCCGTCGGAAAAGTTGGGCAGACACTTCAGAACTTTTCTTTCACTTTGGGGAGAAGGAGGGAGTTGGAGAAGTGGGGGCGAGGGGTGTTAAAGCACTGGGCCATTCTCTGCAACATCTCCCCGCGCCCCCCAACAAGTTGCCCCTCCTCGTGCACACAGCGAGGTGACAGCGCAGGGCACCAAACTGCTGAGGGAAGGAGATGCCTGCAGCCATCTCAGCGGGGCTGGCGGACGCGACCCGACAGTCACCGGAAAAACAGTGGTGTCGGTCTTCCCCATCACCTCCCCTCCCCATCCCACAATAAAGCGCACGGAAGATGTCTGGGAGTACCTGGCCCTGCCACAGGAGCTGGGGAGGAGAGCGATCTCACCCCCTCCATCCCTCCCGGCAGGTGGGCCGCGGTCAGATACGTTTGGCCCGCAAGTCCTTTTCGGACACGTTGGCATCTGCTCCCAAAGAGCGCCCCAGCAGGACCCGGTCACCGGGGTCTTCCAGAGGGGCGGTAGCCACCGCACAGGAGCCAGCGGCATCCCCCAAGGAGCCGCAAGCCCTACCTGGCTTAACCCCCGGACATGTGTGTCGCTACCGATCGAAGAACCCAAACACCCCGAGATTTCCCTCCTCTAGGCAGGTGAAAACCCCACGGAACTCTCCGCAGCGCTGCCTGCCCAGCCGGCCGTGTCTCGCCGTCCCCGAGGCCTCGGGGGCTCCCAGCACCTCCACCCAAATCCCACCTGTGCGGGCTCGGGAGTCCGAGGGCGCTGACAGCTGCTGCCGCCGCATCCCGGATCTCCAAAGTGCGGCGGGAGCGGCCAGGGAACCTGCAGGACACCGCCGGGCCAAGGGGCTTGGGAAGGTCTGGGGGCCCCCGGCGCCGCACCCCTGCTTACCTGGCGTTCGCTGGGCCCCGGCTGGGGCATCCGCCTGGTGCGCGCCGCTCGGAGCGCTCGCTGCGCACCTGGCCGCTGCCGCCGCCCGCCCGGCCCCAGCCCTGGCCGCCGCGCTAGCGCTGCATGGCGCACGGGGGCTGGCCGGGGGCCCGGGGAAGCGTGTCTAGTTGGCGGCGGCACCTCCGGCTCTCGCGGCTCGCTAGTGGCTCCCCCGCCTTTCCCCGCCCCGCGTCCGTGCACCCTTCCTCTGCAGCCGCCCTTTTGCCTCCGCTCCGCCGGACCGGCCAAACTGGTTTCTCCGCTCGGGGAGGTGCCTCTGGTTTCCCTCCAGCAGCCGCGGCCGCCGAGCCTCGCTGGGGCTGGGGCTGGGGCTGGAGGCGGGCTCGGCCTTCTCCCCTCCCTTTTTCCCTCCCTAGGGCGGAGAGGGGCTGGACTGCAAGCCCCGGGGCGGCCCGAGGCGGCCCAGGTCCAGCTCCTGCCCCACGCCCTCCGTGCGTCCTGGAGTCAGGTGGGCACCCCTTTCAGTCTTCCGAGCCCAGCCTACGAGCCCTTGCCTCGCCCAGCCTGAGACCCAGTTGCTGCGGCTGCTCTTAGCTCCCCGGGGGCCGCACTCGCCACCACACCTCTCCAGCCCAGCGTCACTTTCCCGCTGCCCTTGGCTGGCTTGGCCGTCACCCCGGGTCGAGGACTGAGCCAGCCTGGAAAGCTGGCGGGGCCGCGGCGCGCCCGGGACCTGAGCTCCCTCGGTAAGGGGAGCTGTGTCCTCTTGATGCCAAGTCATGTTTGGGGACCGGTCACCGAATGCGCGTCAAAGTTCGCCGCGTGGAGGGTGAAGAAAGAGGCTGCGCCTCAAGACTTCCAGAAACGTATCCTGTGATTGCAGCCAGCAGGCTTTCTGCCGAGTCCAAACGCTATCGAGTTTTTTTGGGTTTGGAGTCAAAAGGAGTTAAGGTGCGGCCCGTGAACCACGCGGTGTAGGTGGAAATTTTGGACTCAGCGCCTCGTTGCTGGCTGGTGTCTGAGCGGGTGAATCGTGCCTCCCTGGCAGTATAGACATTACCCTCCTTCTTGAGTAGACTTTTGCCGCTCCCCGACTATGGACCGAGTCGTTGGGATAAGAATGGAGGAAAATCAAAGATCAGAGTTTGCTTAAAATGCAGTAGGGGAGCCAGGACTCCCACACGATTCCCAGTCACCTAGAGGCTCACATCTATGCCCAAGAGTCCAGACTCCCAACTGGGTCATCACAGAGGCTTCCTACAGGAGGCCGTGCTTGATGGGACTCAAAGATCCACAGCTTTAAGGATCAGAGTTGTGTAGAGAGGGTATTCAACGGGTGGCCAACTGGTAGAATCTTGTCTGATACCAACCCCGAGGCTGCTCTAGGCTTCTTTTTCATGAGTCAAACTTGATCTCTGACTAGGTGCTGGTCAGTCACTCAATCTATCCAGGCCTCAGTTTCCTCATTTGTAAAATGAGATTGGACCAGATGGTCTCTTCCAGCACTTATATTCTGAAGCTAACGACAGAACAAAGGTACCGATGCAAGAGAACATAGGGCCTGTTGGTGACACTGGTTGATCTAAGACATTTAGACTTGTTTTTGGTAGCACCTGCAAACCGTTGACAATTTAGGACCGAGCATGAGCATGATCAAGGTTGTGTTTTAGGGAAAATAATAGGGAGATAGTCTAGAGAGGATAAAACTGAAGATGGGAGAATCACTTGAGAGGCTGGGACAGCGACATACGGAGGAGTTGCCAGGGGAAGTAAAAAGGAGGAAATTCAAGGGACACCACAGAAGAGAGATAGGGCACGAAGTGGCCACAACCTGCAACTGACTGGGAGAGGGGAGCAATGGAAGGTGAGCCAGGTTCTCAAGACTGGGTTATGGCATGCAAGGAGCAGCAGACTCCAAAGGAGGGAAGCCGTTTAGGAAGACTCTGCCCCTATCTGGATAAATGCCAGCAAACCTAGGAATCAAGAGGGGATTCCAGACTAAAGGGGGCACCCCCTCCTTGCAGATCCACTACCAAGTGCTCAACCTGTCCAAGAAAATGTTACATAGAAGAGACTAAACAAGGACGCATCCAATCTACACCTGTACCTAGATCTGATCAATACCATTCTGATGTCTGCATTTATTTACTTGTTTATTTATTTATAGAGACAGGGTTGGGTTTCACTATGTTGCCCAGGCTTGTCTTGAACTCCCCAGTTCAAGCGGTCCACCTGCCTCAGCCCCCCAAGGTGCTGGGATTACAGTCATGAGCCACCACCTGTACTAAAAATACAAAAATTAGCCAAGCATGGTGGCGGGCGCCTGTGGTCCCAGCTACTCAAGAGGCTGAAGCAGGAGAATCAATTGAACCTGGGAGACTGAGGTGGCAGGCAGTGAGCCGAGACTGTGCCACTGCGCTTCAGCCTGGGCAACAGAGCGAGGCTCTGTCTCAAAATAAAATAATATTCTTTCATTCAACAAAGATTTGAGTGTGAGTGCCTACTGTGTGTCAGGCAGTTTTCTAGTTGCTTGGGTACATCTATGAGCCAATCAAATATCTTTTTTTTTTTTTTTTTTTAGACAGAGGCTCGCTCTGTTGCACAGGCTGGAGTGCAGTGGTGTGATCTCGGCTCACTGCAACCTCCACCTCCTGGGTTCCAGCAATTCTCCTGCCGCAGCCTCCCGAGTAGCTGGGGTTACAGGCACAGCCACCAGGCCAGGCTAATTTTTGTATTTTTAGTAGAGACAGGTTTCACCATGTTGGTCAGGCTGGTCGTGAACTCGTGACCTCATGATCCACCCACCTCAGCCTCCCAAAGTGCTGGGATTATAGGCGTGAGCCACTGCACTCGGCAAGTATCTTAAAAGGTGGCAAATGCTTTGAAAAAATAGAACAGGCTGGACTGGGAGAAGGCCCCTGAAGGAGCTGCCTTTTGGAGTGCTGTAAAAGTTATATTTCTTGATCTGAATGATAATTATACGAGTAGACGCATATGCAAGAATTCATTGACCTGTATGCTTAAGATTTATACATTAAAAAATAATAGACCAGGCACGATGGCTCACACCTGTAATCCCAGCACTTTGGGAGATCAAGGCAGGTGGATCATGAGGTCAGGAGTTCAAGATCAGCATGGCCAAGATGGTGAAACCCTGTCTCTACTAAAAATACAAAAAATTAGCCAGGCGTGATGGTGGGCATCTGTAATCCCAGCTACTGAGGAGGCTGAGGCAGATAATTGCTTGAACCCTGAAGGCAGAGGTTGCAGTGAGCTGAGATTGCCCCACTGCACTCCAGCCTGGGCAACAGAGCGAATAATAATACTACTACTAATAATAATTGAGCAGGATTAAGAGATTAGGATTTGGAGGATGAGTCACAATTTTAAATAATGTGGTCAGGGTAGGCTTCTTGAAAAGCTGCATTTGAAAAATGACTTGCAAGAAGGTAGAGTTTCATCTTTGATGAGACAAATCCTTTGAAAACCCATTTTGCATGGAACCCACCAGATGGAGGCATGTTAAAACCTTATCCTAGGCGCAGTGCCTCACGCCTATAATCCCAGCACTTTGCGAGGCTGAGGCCAGTGGATTGCTCGAGCCTAGGAGTTCGAGACCAGCCTGGGAAACATGGTGAAATCCCATCTCTACAAAAAATACAAAATAAAATTAGCTGGGTGTGGTGGCCCGCACCTGTAGTCCCAGCTACTCAGGAGGCTGGGGTGGGAGGATCCTTTGAGCCCAGGAAGTGAAGGCTGCAGTGAGCTGTGATTGCACCACTGCACTCAAGCCTGGGTGACAGGGCAAGACACTGTCTCCAAAAAAAAAATTAAAAAAAAAAACAAAACCAAAACAAAACACCCACACCCACACAACTCCACAACCTTATCCTAGAACACTTCCCCTATGTAAGTCTTCCTCATCTTAGGAAGGAGGTTCTCAGAGTGCATCAGCTGGTGTTGCTGATGAAGGAATTAGCTCACCTGGAAACCGACCTTGTCCTTTCTGAAAGAACCATGCCAAATTTTGGGGTGCCTTGTCAGGGCAATCACTGGAAGTGTCTCACATGCAACAATTTTAAAATGCATCTTACATGAGTCACTGAGAGATGACTTCTTTGTCCTGGCAGAGCCCTGATTCCACCAGCCTTGGCAGCCCTTTCTCAGCATTCTCAGATGGGATTGAATAAACACTCTGGTTTTATTTAGAAGTCACTCTCATTTAGTAACCAACGAGCTGCTGGGGGAAATCACGAAATGTAACAGAAATGGCCATTTCTTTTTATGTTTTATTTTTTATTATTTTTTTGAGACAGGGTCTCACTCTGGCACCCAGGCCAGAGTGCAGTGGTGACCATTGCTCACTGCAGCCATTGTGCCCAGAAATAGCCATTTCTAAAAGAGGGTAACAATGATTTTCAACTTTTGTAGTTCATAATTTCCTCTGTTTCTTTTTTCCCCCCTTTTCTTGGCAGCAGTCTTATGTACATTTGCATGATGTGGGTAGGAAAGCCAGGGAGGTTGCCAAGAGAGCTAGCTCAGTTTTACTGAAAATTTATTTCCTGGAATTTTTTTTTTTACAAGATAAGATAAGTGATAAAAGATATGTTTAAATGGAGGTGATACTGCTTGTATTCAGTTCTTTGCTAAGCCCAGTGGTCGTTTAAGCTAAAGCATTTAATGCCAATGGAAAGACTCATGCTGCACTAGGTGCTATTGTAACCCATGCTTGGCAGTCAAGATTAACTCAGTTGAAAGTTCTTCACAGTCATTATCCAGACCAGATCCAGAATTTTAAATCTGATAAGACACCTCTTATGTGAATCTGTCCTAGCAATAAGTGACATTAGAATTTTCAAATATCTGCCCCACATCCTTCGAAATGGCTTTTAAAACAACAAATACAGATGATATATTCTATTTTCTCTGGCACAATGAGTTTTCCAACATTCCTTCTAAGTTACAAGGCTTTCCACTTCCTTTACTACTTAATGACTTCTTTTTTTCTGACTAACATTTTAAAATAAGAAATTAGATTGCAAAAGAAATATTAAACATCAAGTAACTAAATGTGTCTCAATGATTTTGGCAATCACACAGACTTAACATGCATAAAATGTTACAGGAGGAATTATTCATGTTATTAAAATTCACTTCCCTTTCTTTTGTATTCATAAGCATGCAAATGTGTAGGATTGTCTACCATTCTTTTCTACAAGGAAGAGATTTTAATAAACCACTTACTGTATTTCTCTATGGAAATGTAATAAACATTACCTGATGTTGATAATGTAACACCAGTTAAACTTAATGAGTAAAATTAATACAGACAGTTCATGAATAATTTTCCAAAATAACTTGCGATTGTTGTTAGTATATGTCGCCATGTGTTCCTGTAGTTGTAGGAAGTTTGTATGTATTATCTTAGGCTCTGTTCTCATCATTTTCCATTGTGTCATGAAAACACATTTACCTTTTGGACTTTATCCCTCTTCCTTCCTGACCTGCACCCTAAATGTGGCTAATTCCAGGTTGCTGTGAATAGAAGTTTACTAGATTTTTTTTTTTTTTTTGAGACAGTCTCACTCTGTCGACAGGCTGGAGTGCAGTGGCGCGATCTCAGCTTGCTGCAATCTCCACCTCCCAGGCTCAAGTGATTCTCCTGCCTCAGCCTCCCAAGTAGCTGGGATTACAGGCACGCACAACTACGCCCAGCTAGTTTTTGTATTTTTTTGTAGAGATGGGGTTTCACCATGTTGGCCAGGCTGGTCTCGAACTCCTGACCTGAAGTGGTCTGCCCTCCTCAGCCTCCCAAAGTGTTGAGATTACAGGCATGAGCCACTGCTCCTGGCTGAAATTTACTAGATTCTGAAGAGCACGTGCTACTCCTCCTGTTTGAAATGCCCTACCTCATGTGCCTGATCTCATCATCCTTCACATCTCAGTTCCCAAGTGGCTTCCTCTGGGAAAGCTTTGCCCTAGTCTCCCTCAAACTAACTAAAGCTTCTAACATTTAGTTGGTTCTTGCTGTTTCCACAGCATTTTGCAGCTGACTTCTAGGGAAAGCTTCCCATTGTATTTTCACTGTTTACCTGTCTTGTTCCTCACTGCACTGTGAGCCCATTGAGACATAAAACTGAGTCTTATTCTTCTTGATCTCTTTTGGCATACAGCATTAAATAGAGCATTCCAGGTGCTTATTAATTCTTATAGAATGAATGAATGGTTGGCATGGTCATAATTCTCAATAGTTGCATAGTATTTTCTCCTGCTGATGATTTCTTTAATCACTTGCTATTCTTGGATGTTTATGCATTTACCAAATTGGTTTCCAGAAATATCTCATTTATCACAACCCACCACTATGTTAAGGGCTTCTGAAGGTCATATTTCTATCTGGTTCCTGTTATTTTGCAGGCTGTAATCTGTCCCTCTGTATTTCATTCTAGAAACAGTGTGCCTCAGTATACAAAAAATTTTTGTCTTGTTAGAACTAGGATATGAGTAAGCCTTTGTTGCTATCACTGGATGATAAAAAGAAGGTTATTCAAATTCTTCCATAAAATCACAGGAGTGTACCTTGTGTATGAACACAGCCTTCTGTGTTTTCCTAAATTTCCAGTGAGCGTGAGTGGTTGTCCCTCCCAGTTAAAGAAAAGCAAATTAAATGCAAAATAAAACAATGAGAAACAATTTTGTACTTATCACATTAGCAAAGTTTTTTTTTTTTAAGTCTGGTGTTGCAAACACTGGCAACATTTAGGAGGAAACAGGCACTCATACACTGTAGGTAGGGGTACAAATTGTGCAACTTCTTTGAAAGGAAATTCAGAACTATATCAAAATTTTAAGATACATGCCATGTGCCCCAAGAATTTATGTCTAGGAATTTATCTTAGAGATACACTTGAACATTTTATACAAGGGTAAATGTACACATATATTCATGGCTGCATGCCTTTTCTGCAAAAGACCAAAAGTGACCTCAGTGTCCATTCACAGAGGTTACTTCCATACAATAAAATACTAATCTGCCATTTTTAAAAAAATTAAGGAATTCTAGTTTATTTCTGTATACATAAATAAAATTCATGTGTATAATGTTTATAGGTTTCCATTTGTGTAACATATAATATAATGTAATAAATAATATAATGTATAATCTAAATTATAATGTATATTATGTATACAATATAATGTATACATAATCTAAATTATAATGTATATTATGTATACAATATAATGTATATTGTATGCATATAATATAATGTATATGTATATAATGTAATATGTAACTGTTATATATTCTCATATGTGTAATATATGCTAATATATGTCATATATTACACATACATATATGTATATATAGACTGAAAATATACACAAGAAGTTGGTAATGGTGCTCATCTCTATGATGGGAGACTAATTTTCACATATATGTTTGTATAGTTGAAACTATTTTATTGTATTTTTCCCTGCTTTTCTTGACTGTAGAAACTTTGTTTTTTTAACATATTTCTGGATGATTTTTTAATTTAATTTTTTTGGCAAAAAATACGCATACAAACACACATATATATATTTTAAACTCAAATAGTACTGCAAAGTTTCTAAGGGAAGACAACAGTCTTGTCATTCCCCTCTTTTCTCAGGCTCAAATGCTACTCTCCAGAAGCACTCATTTTAAATTTTAGTTGTTCTTACATTCACTTTCTTTTGTTTTCTTTTTTTTTGAGACGGAGTCTCGCTCTTTTGTCCAGGCTGGAGTGCAGTGGCGTGATCTTGGCTCACTGCAAGCTCCACCTCCCAGGTTCAAGCGATTCTCCTGCCTCAGCCTCTGGAGTAGCTTGGACTACAGGAGCCCGTCACCGCGCCTGGCTAATTTTTGTATTTTTAGTAGAGACGGGTTTTCACCATCTTAGTCAGGCTGGTCTCAAACTCCTGACCTGTGATCCACCTGCCTTGGCCTCCCAAAGTGCTGGGAATACAGGCGTGGGCCACCGCGCCGCGGCACATTTCATTTTCTTTCCCGGCCTCCCCCAGATGGAGTCTCGCTGTGTTACCCAAGCAGGAGTGTACAGTGGCGTGATCTCAGTCCACTGCAACTTCCGTCCACCAGGTTCAAGCAATTCTCCTGCCTCAGCCTCCTGAGCAGCTGGGATTACAGGCGACCACCACCATGCCCAGCTAATTTTTATATTTTTTAGTAGAGGCGGTGTTTCACCATGTTGGCCAGGCTCATTCACTTTCATATTACTAATAACAAGCTTGTTTGGCCATGTCTTGATGTTTTCCCCTTTTAGACATTATCTACTGAATTCCTATCAGAGAGGCAGATTTAACTGGCTTACACATCCCACTCCTGACACCCTCCCATACAAACTCTTGCTCTTACTCCAATCTCAAATCATAATTAGATTGCAACTTATAGCCAAATCAATTTTCAGTGGACACCTTATTATGACTATGGAAATACTGTTTGCAGTTAAGCCATGCAGTATAGTAACATTGCACTTCCTTTCTCATAAAGTTTTTTGGATTTGTGTTGAGTTAATAATTGCCTTTCCCCCTCATTTACTTTGTCTTCCATGTGCCTATCATTAATTCAGTTCCAAAATGTCTCACATAACCATAAAGCACCTCTCAGTATGGCCAGACACAAAATTCAACTGTTTGCATTTTTTTCCCATGAGACATTCCCGGCTGTGGACTCTGTCCTCTTGCTTTACGATGAAATGATCACTGTCATCATCCTGAGAATTCCTTTTTTGTTGTACTTGCTAGTTCTGGTGGAGCACATCTGAAAAAGAGAACACTAGAGAAAACTTTTTTGAGGCCTAAGGTATCACCTAGGATGCCTTCAATTATAAATAATAGCATTCTGGAATACAAATAGGATTTTTATTACTATTATTAGGTCATCTCTAACTCTCTGAATAGTTAGCAGCTCAATGATGTCATCAGGACCCAGGCACTTTTTGTACCCTTGCTGTGCCTTCATCACAACAATGATGATGTGTCCGCTTTATGTCACAGGTGGCTACAGCAGCTGGCTAATTTCATTTGTCAGAAACTGAGTCATACCTTAGCTGCACGGAAGTCTCAGAAAATGAATATATATCATTTACATCTTCTATTGTGAGAACAGGTCTCAAGTCAATAGGAAAGAAGGGATTGGGGGAATAGCTGTTGGATAGGCAACCCACAGGGTCTGCACATCATGTGTATTTAAAAATGTGTTTAGTCTGCATTCATAGTTTAGCTGGGTATAGCATTCTAGGTTGGAATGCATTTTTTTTCCTTAGAATTTTGAAGGCCTTGTTTCAATATATCCTAGATTCCAGTGTTGCTGTCAGATGCTTGATATTATTCTGATTCTCAATCCTTTGTATGTAACCAGCTTTCCACTTTCTGGAAGCTTTTCCTCTGATTCTAAAATATCACTGTAGTGTGCCTTAGTGTAGGCATGCATTCCTTTTTCTTTTTCTCTTTTTTTTTTTTTAAGATGGAGTTTCACCCTTGTCACCCAGGCTGGAGTGCAGTGGCACAATCTCAGCTTACTGCAACCTCTGCCTCCCAGGTTCAAGTGGTTCTCCTGCCTCAGCCTCCCGAGTAGCTGGGACTACATGCACACACCACCATGCCCGGCTATTTTTTGCATTTTTAGTAGAGATGGGGTTTCACCATATTGGCCAAGCTGGTCTTGAACTCCTGACCTCAGGTGATCTGCTCGCCTTGGCCTCCCAAAGTGATGGGATTATAGGCGTGAGCCACCGTGCCCGGCCTACTTTCTCAATCAAAAAGTAATGCAGTTTTTTAGGATGCATTTTTTTAAAAACAGCAACAAAAATATTTGAATTTGGATTATCTTTCTCAGTTACACTTACTTTTATCCAACTGCAATTGACCTGGGGTAAGCTTGGCAACAATGAAACATCTTTTCCAGGCTATTCCCTTTGGAGTCTTTCTTGTTCTCTGGATCCCTAGACTTCTCTTCCCACCACTTGATGCCTTGCCCAACCTATCCTCTTCACATTTTCTTTACAATTAAAACTGACCTAAAACCATTGCTTACCTTTTAGAGCTAACGTAGCTAATCTAATAAATTAATTCACAAAATACAATGATGAACCCTCCTTACACAAAACATATAGGCATTTAATCACAATCTTCAATATTTTTATCCCAAATGAAAGAGTAAAAGGTGGGAATTTCACAGCGGTTGATGATGATTAACTGATCCATATTTTCTGTCCTTCAAATCATATTCCCTAATCCAGTTCCTAACAGTTCTGAAACAATGCAGAAGAAAATCTTGGCTTTTTAAGGAATGCTTCATTGGATAGCAATTTAAAAATGCACTTGTATTCAAATCTAAACAATCCATGACATCTGTGGGGCACCTGATCAAGAATTGCTCACATTCCATCTTGTGAGTCAAAGCACAGGATTGCTGTGCTTCTCTGAGTCCCAGCACTGAAGACCTACACAGGCATCTTTCCTATGACTCACCTAAAATACTTAATTTCTCAAAGATGTAGACAATCAAATGCTGGCAGGTGATTCTGTAGGCTAAACTGTCTGGTCCTCAGCTGTGCTGAGTGACAGTGATATGCATAATGGTAGTTTTTAAACTTTTTTATACTGAACTTTCAGTTGTTGTTTTCTTTAACTCTAACACCTCAAAACAGGAGAGTCATGTGTAAAACAGGAGGGACTGGGGCAGCTGACATGATTGGCACAATGGATGGCCCCTGTGTCAGGTTTACCATAAAGCTAATGATACTTAAACTTCAGGGACTCTCCAAAGTCTTATGCCTCATTTTACATTATTAATTTGGTAAAAAAAAATTTTTTTTGAGACAGAATCTCACTCTGTTGCCCAGGGTGGAGTGCGGTAGTGTGATCTTGGCTCACTGCAACCTCCACCTCCTGGGTTGTAGTGATTCTCCTGCCTCAGTCTCCCAAGTATCTTGGACTACAGGCACAAGCCACCATGCCTGGCTAATTTATTTTAGTAGAGACAGGGTTTCACCATGTTGGCCAGGCTGGTCTCAAACTCCGGACCTCAGGTGATCCATCCACCTTGGCCTCCCAAAGTGCTGGGATTACAGGCATGAGCCACCACGCCTGGTCAAATTTTGTAATTTTTTTTTTCTTAAAGAACTCTCCTCTTCCTCAGTTGTATAAACTTCAGGCCCCATGAAACCTGGTTTCACACCTGATAGGACCCAGAGCTTCACCCCTCCTTCCTCTCCTCTTCAGCCCTCTCCAAGGAGCCCTAGTCCTCTGTGGAACAAAAATAAAAGACAACCTGTGACTGGGCACAGTGGCTCATGCCTACAGTCCCAGCACTTTTGGAGGCTCAGGCAGGAGGATCACTTGAGGTCAGGAGTTCAAGAGCAGCCTGGGCAACATAGTGATACCCTGTCTGTACAAAAAAAATTTAATTGGGCATGGTGGCATGTGCCTGTAGTAGTCCCAGCTATTTGGGAGGTTGAAGCAGGAGGATTGCTTGAGCCTAAAAGGTCAAGTCTGCAATGGGCTTTGATGGTGCCACTAGCCTGGGCAACAGAGTAAGACACTGTCAAAAGGAAAGGGAAGGAGAGGGGAGGGGAGGGGAGAGGAAAGGAAGGGAGGGAAGGGGGAAAGGAAAGAAAGGAGAAAGAAAGAAAACAACAACTTGTAACAATTCCTGGACTAGGAATCAGGAGAGAGGGTCTGACACCTGTGCTTGCTACTAGCCCTTTGTGGTCCTCAGTCAGGTCACTTGGCCTTTTTCAGACTCCGTTTCATCATCTGTAAAATGGGTGTGTTTGACCTGATGATCGCCAAGCTCCCTTTGAAAACTAAGTCTTTGATTCTAAGTCTACTGGGGACACTTTCTACATTCCCTTACAATAGCCTCTATTCATGGGTTTGTCTTTCCCCACTGAGGTGCTGGAAAAACTCACCCTCTGATTTTCTGGGTCCTGCCAAGACTTAGCCCAGCCCCTCCCTCTTCAAGCAATGACGTCCGTGATGGTGATAGGACTGCTGTCTCTCCTCTCCCCACAATTCACTGTCTCCACTCCTGCTAGATGAAAGAGGAATGACAGGGTGCAGTTCTATGTGTTAACCCTTCTCAGAATACCTTCATTTAAAATAGAAATTAATATTTCATCTCAATGGCATAACTCTTTAGTGGTGAAATTTTAGGCAGCAGTTGCAGTCAAGTCTGAGGAAGAGAGATCGTCTTGAGCTCTTGCAGCAGGCAGTGTTTAGACCCCCTCAAGCCACAAGGGGACACTGCCCATTATTCTAGAACCAAAAGACTGACCCAGTTAAAAGGCACAGGAGCCCTGTCAACGTGGGTGCAAGGAGACTTTCACTTGGAATATCATTTACACTCACACAGCAGTGGAAGTTAATTGCATGGTGGAGGATGGGGACTTCACCTGCTTCACCATCCATACTCCACTTTCCCCCAGTCACAGATCCTGATATTATTTGGGGGCAGCAGCATGCCCAGCTAAAGGACCATGTGTCCCAGTCTCCCTTCAGCGTCATGTGGTCATGTGATAAGGTTCTGACCCATGAGGTGTAGGCAGAATGTTACATGAGACTTCCAAAAACTCCCTGAAAGTCCAGAAACACACCCTTTTCTTTAGTCTTCAAGTCAGAGATGTGATGATGATGGCTGCTAAGTGGTTGCCATCTTGGATCTGAGGGGACTTTGCAGATGGAAGTCATTTACTGAGGAGGGTGGACCAGAAACATAAAAAGAGCGTGGCTCCCTGATGACATCGTGGTGCCACTTCCTCAGCCCAGACCACCCCCACTCTGGACTTATTTTTAGTAAGAAAATAAAATCTTTATGTGTTTAAGCCACTAGCTCTCAGTTCACTGTCACTCATAGCTGAATATATTCCTGGCTGAAATAAATGAGAAGACTAAACTTTCCACCTTTTAAAGAAAGAATATAGTGAGTAAAAAACAGGGTAAGATCTAGGAGAGATGCAAATAACCTTAAAACTCAACCTTCCTCAGCAGAAGGATATAATATATATATAATATATATAACATAAAACATAACATATATGTTACACATATAACATATATGTTACACATATAACATATATGTTACATATATCATATATTTATATATATAACAAGGATACATTCATTTAAAGCCCGAATCTCAAAAGTTCAGACAATGTATTGAAAGGGAAAATAAAACAAAAGCACTTTAGTATGAGCATTGGCGATTCCTGTTGGTCCCCCACAGGGTAGAAGATGAGAGGTTGGTCAGTCAGGAAGTGTCACCTCTGTGCACAACCTGGAGTTGTTTTGGAAGGAGGAGAGACGCCCAGAGCTTGAGCAATGCAAGCGTGATCCCTGCTCTAGGGAAGCGTGAGGTCATCTGCACATGCTCATTCATGCTCGCTTTGCTCCCCGCAGTAGGGACTCCTAGCACCTCCCTCAGACCCATCTTTGTTTTGGCTGCTGTGGCCATAAGATCTGCACAAGCCTCTGTCACAGTGCTGAGGATAGAACTGGTGAGCAAGCCCCAGTGCTGGCCCTGGAGGAGATGAGAGCTCAGTGAGCCGAGAGCAAGGAAACAAGCCATCAATCCCTGGTAGGACAAGTGTTCACAAGGGGGAAGGCCCGTGAGAAGACTGAGGAGGGGCCCTGACTCATTTTTGGAAGTCCCAGGAGGCTTCTTGGAGAAGGTGACCTTCTCCAAGAATAGAGACCTGGAGGATGAGCAGGAGTTTCTGTCCTCCCCTTAGTCACTGTTCAGTGGCAGCTGCTGTCACATGACAGTTCTTTGCCCCAGATCCATAGAGTGAAGTAGGTAGCAATGAGGTAGTTAGAAGAATACACTGCTGGGCTGGGCATGTTGGTGCACGCCTATAATCTCAGCACTTTGGGAGGCCAAGGCAGGCAGATCACCTGAGGTTGGGAGTTCGAGACCAGCCTGGCCAATATGGCGAAACCCCATCTCTACTAAAAAATACAAAAACAGTCAGCCAGGCATGGTGGCACATGCCTATAATCCCAGCTACTCGGGAGGCTGAGGCAGGAGAATCACTTGAAGCTGGGAGGTGGGGGTCAGAGTGAGCCAAGATCACGCCATTGCCCTCCAGCCTGGGTGACAGAGCGAGACTCTGTCTCAAAAAAAAGAATTAGTTAATTAATTAATTAATTAATTTAAAAAAAAAGAATACACTGTCCTCTCTTTTCCTTTCCTGGAAGTCTGAAGACAGAACCATCTCATTTGCTCTGGAAGGAGTCAGGGCCAACATCAGGGAGTGGGATTAAGGGCCAGGGAGGATGCTGAGTTAGGAAATACCCACCTCACCACCCTGGGGGTCAGGCCCACTGGACTATTCAGGCAGTGAGCAGCAGTACCCATGACCATGAGCCTTCTTCTCACACTCTTCTCCCCATGTGACTTATTTTGGTAACAGTTTCATTGAGATATAATTTATTCCTTCCCGTAGGACATAGCTAAAAAAAGAGAGAAAGAGGTAATTTATATACCACACAATTCACCTATCTAAAATGTGCAATTCAATGGATTTTAGTATATTCGTAGGGTTGCTCAATGATCACCACAATCAATTTTAAAACATTTTCATCGCTTCAGGAGGAAACCCCATACCCTTTGGCTGTCACCCCTCAATTTCCCCAACCCTGGCAACCACTGATTTCCTTTATCTCAATAGTTTTTGCCTATTCTTAACATCTCATAGAAATGGAATCACTTACATGGTCCTTTGTCACTGTCACTGATGTCTTCCACGCAGCAGAATGTTTTTGGGGCTCATTCAAGCTGTGCACACTCCTTCATTCCTGGTTATAGCCAAATTATACACACACCACTTTTCCTGTGTCTCAGACTGATGTCTGGGTCAGTCATCAATCCTATTCGTCAATTTATTCTCCAAATGCGTCTAGAGCAAATACCATGTGAAACCCATGGTTTTATGGCCCCCAAAGCTCCCAATCCATCTTCTTGTCTCCATCTCTATCATCACCATCCCGGTCTGCCACCGTCTGTCTCTGGGACCAAGGAGCTTTCCAAAAGTGAAATGTTAGCCTTCAACAGTGACTGCCCGCCCCCAAGGACTTCCCGTGATCTTAGAATAAAGACAAAGCTACCTGGCATGGCTATCAACACTCTGCCCAGTCTGGCACTTCCCTCCACTCTGTTTCAACTTCTCTCTTTTGGCTTCAGCTATCCTGTCTTCTCTCAAACACTGTCACTTGCCACCTTGAGGCCTTGGCCTGGAACAGGCCTTATCGCTCACCTGGTTAAGGCCAGTTTACCTTCCAGGCTGCAGGTCAGTGGTCTCTTCCAGGAGAAACCTTTGCCAAAGGAGCCTCATCATAGCTCTCATAATTCTCATATCACTCTGTTCCTTTCCCACTCTGTCTCCCTTCTACACTGGAAGCTCTTTGAGGGTGGGCATTGTCTACTTATGCTCATCATTGGTTTCCCTCTACCTAACAGTGCCTGGATTAGAAATACAGAAAGGACATCCATACCAACATTTATAGTGTGCCCTGTAACCAGACACTTTTATTGATTAATTTTTTTAGTTTTTTAAAATTTTATTTTAAATTCCAGGATACATGTGCAGGACGTGCAGGTTTGTTACATAGGTAAATGTGTGCCATGGTGGTTTGCTGCACCTGTTAACGCATCACTTAGGTATTAAGCCCAGCATGCATTCGCTATTTACCATGATGATCTCCTTCCTCCTGCCCCCCCACCCCAAGCCCCAGCACTGCTGCCCCACCACCAGGCCCTGGTGTGTGTTGTTCCCCTCTGTGTCCATGTGTTCTCTTTATTCAGCTCCCACTTATAAGTGAGAACACCCAGTGTTTGGTTTTCTGTTCCTGCGTTAGTTTGCTGAGGATAATGGCTTCCAGCTCCATCCATGTCCCTGCAAAGGACATGATCTCGTTCCTTTTTATGGCTGCATAGTATTCCATGGTGTATATGTACCACATTTTCTTTATCCAGTCTATCATTGATGGGCATTTGGGTTGATTCCATGTCTTTGCTATTGTGAATAGTGCTGCAGTGAACATATGCACACATGTATCTTTATAATAGAATGATTTATATTCCTTTTGGTATATACCCAGTAATGGGATTGCTGGGTCAAATGGTATTTCTAGTTCTAAGTCTTTGAGGACTCACCACACTGTCTTCCACAATGGTTGAACTAATTTACTTCCCCACCAAGAATACAAAAGTGTTCCTATCTCTCCACAGCCTCGCCAGCATCTGTTGTTTCTTGATTTGTTAACAATTACCATTCTGACTGGTGTGAGATGGTATCTCATTGTGGTTTTCTTTTGCGTTTCTCTAATGGTCAGTGATGTTGAGCTGTTTTTCATGTGTTTGTTGGTTGCATAAATGTCTTTTTTTGAAAATTGACCAGACACTTTTATAAAGACTATCTTGTGTCATCGTTATGATAATCCTATGTGGAAGTTATCTTCAGCTTCATTTTACCAATGAGATAAATGAAACTGTGGTAGTATAAATAAATAACTTGTCTAAAGATACTGAGTAGCAGAGGAAGCATTCCATCCCAGACCCATTGAATTCTCAGATCTAAGATCCTGCCAGGCTGTTTCTGGAATACAGAGCAGAAAATTCCCTCCTGTTCAAGCGCTAACTAGATAAGTCCTTCTTCACAAATGCCAAGTAAGCACAGAAAAAGAGCAACAGGGAAAAAGTTTATGCTCCAAGGAAGAAGTCAACCCCAGACTGCAGGGATCGTGGTGAGATTGTATCAGGATTGGACCTTGGGGAAAGCTTCCTTATATTTGAGACTCATAAAAAAAAAAAAAAAACTCCCCACAGGTGGTCAGTTTGGTTCTTACTGGCTTGCTGGAAGTAAGTTCTCATGTTTCTAAATGCAGACCGGGTATTTCCTTTGGAATGTTCTCACATTGTTTTATTTTTGGGTGTCAACCTTTTCATTTTAGTCCAGCAAAGAACTCCTTGTTCGTTTCCTTTGGGGGATTTATTTTTCCTCCTTTTTCTGAGGCGGCAGTACCTCTACCAGGAAAAACTGATTACCAGTGCTGTCCCCAGAGTTGTCACTGAGGTGTTTCCACCGAAAGCTTCTCTGTCACTTTGAGGTCACCTGAGAGCATGAGAGCCAGGCTCACTGGTGACCTCATCCCTCTGGCCCTATTCCAGCAGCTTAGCTTTGAGCTTCATCATCACAGTGCAGCAGCTGACTACTTGCTAACTAACGTGTTATGCCATTGATAACCAGGAACTTCCTGACTGACGTTGAACGGGAAAAGGATGGCGGATCAGAACCCCTAGAAGGAGGTCATCTTCATATTACAAAGGACAGCCCATTTAGGGAAGTGACTTTGGTGTTGTTTAATAGATTCCCTTTGCTCTGAAGCACCCTGGGTATGTTCTTTTATAATCAAAACAGCTGATCACTTTTCTTACAGAGATAAATTTGCTCAAAAATAATGCATCTATGTATACAATGAAATATTATTCAGCCTTAAACAGGTAGGAAATTCTGACATGTGAATGAACCTTGAGAACATGATGCTAAGTAAAACAAGCCAGTCGCAAAAGGATAAATACTGTACAATTCCACTTTTGTGAGGTCCCTAGAATAGTTAAATTCATAGAGACAGAATGTAGAATGGTGTTTGCCAGAGGCTAGAGCAGAGGCCCCCAGCCCCCAGGCCACAGACCAGTACCAGTCTCACTCACATTACTGCCTGAGCTCCGCCTCCTGTCAGATCAGCTGCAGCATTAGATTCTCACAGGACCACAAACCCTACTGTGAACTGCACAGGCAAGGGATCTAGGTTGTTCACTCCTTATGAGAGTGATGATCTGTCACTGTCTCCCATCACCCCCAGATGGGACCATCTAGTTGCAGGAAAACAAGCTCAGGGCTCCCACTGATTCTACATTATGGTGAGCTGTATAATTATTTCATTATATATTACAATGTAATAATAATAGAAACAAAGTGCACAATAAATGTAATGCACTTGAATCATCCCAAAACCATCCCCCACCCTGGTTTGTGGAAAAATTGTCCTCCACAAAACCAGTCCTTGGTGCCAAAAAGACTGGGGACTGCTGGGCTAGAGAGAGGGGTTAGAGGGAGTTCGTGTTTAATGGGGACAGAGTTGTTGTTTGGGAAGATGAAAAATTTCTGGAGGTGGATGGTGGTGATGGTTGCACAATCATGATTGTACTTAATGTCATTGAACTGTATACTTAAAAATGGTTAAGATGAGGCCCAGTGCAGTGGCTCACACCTGTAATCCCAGCACTTTGGGAGGCCAAGGCGAATGGATCACCTGAGGTCAGGAGTTCGAGACCAGCCTGGCCAACATGATGAAACCTCGTCTCTACTAAAAATATAAAAATTAGCTGGGTGTAGTGGTGGGCGCCTGTAATCCCAGCTACTTGGGAGACTGAGGCAGGAGCTTGAACCTGGGAAGTGGAGATTGCAGTGAGCCAAGACTGCACCATTGCACTCCACCCTGGGCAACAAGAGCAAAACTCCATCTCAAATTAAAAAATAATAATAATAATGGTTGTGATGGTAAATTTTGTGTTGTGTATATTTTCCCACAATAAAAAAATAATGTGCTGAAGATGCTTCTCAAAGTCTTGCCTGCTATCCTGCTACTTGTTCATCAATTGCAATTTGGCCTGCCACCTACCTTCTTGAGGCTTGTTCCTCAAAGTATGGTCCCTGGACCAGGAGCAGCAGCAGTTGGAAGCTTGTTAGACATGCGGCATCTTGGCCAGATGCGGGGGCTCATGGCTGCAATCCCAGCACTTTGGGAGGTCGAGGCTGGCAGACTGCTTGAGCTCAGGAGTTCAAGACTAGCCTGGGCAACACAGCGAAACCCCATCTCTACAACAAATATATATATATATATAAAAATTAGCCAGATGTGGTGGCATGTGCCTGTAATCCCAGCTACTTAGGAGGCTGAGGTGGGAAGATGGCTTGAGAGCAGGAGGCAGAGATTGCAGTGAGCTGAGATCAAGCCACTGCACTCCAACCTGGGAGACAGAGCCAGACGCTGTCTCAAAAGAAGGAAGGAAGGAAGGAAAGAAAGAAAGAAATGCAAATGACTTAGGCCAGGTGTGGTGGCTCATGCCACTAATTCCAGCACTTTGGGAGGCCAAGGTGGGAAGAGCATTTGAGGCCAGGAGTTTGAGACCAGCATGGTCAACATGGTGAAATGTTGTCTCTACTAAAAATATCAAAATTAGCTAGATGCGGTGATGCACACCTATAATCCCAGCTACTCAGGAGGCTGAGGCATGAGAATCACTTAAACCCTGGAGGCAGAAGTTGCAGTGAGTCAAGATTGTGCCACGGCCCTCCAGCCTGGGTGATAGAGCAATACTCTGCCTCAAAAAAAAAAAAAATGAAAATGATTTATATGCAGGTTAAGGTTTGTGGAGGGCTGTTCTGGATCAGTGGTGGGCAAGTCTGCAGGCACACTGGAATCACCTGTGGAGTTTTAAAATTACTGATTTGATTGGTTTAGTGTGGCCAGGCATCAGGATTTACAACTGCTCACATTAGAATTCAAGTAATTCTAGTGTGCAGCCAAGGTTGGGATCAACAGATCTGGATTATCTTTTCTTCTAACCCTTCAGTGTTTTCACACTTTTCTCATCTCAGTGAACACTTATTTCCTGGGGCATCATTTCTGCTTGATTCTTTTTAATCATTTCAATTCCTTTGTTAAATTTATCTGATAAGATTCTGAATTCATTCTCTGTGTGATCTTGAATTTCTTTGAGTTTCTTCAAAACAGCTATTTTCAATTATCCGTCTGAAAGGTCACATATTTCTGTCTCTCCAAGATTAGCCCCGGTGCCTTATTTAGTTTGTTTGGTGAGGTCACTTTTTCCTGGATGGTCTTGATGCTTGTGTATGTTTGTTGGTGTCTAGGCATAGAAGAGTTAGATATTTATTGTAGTCTTTGCAGTTTGGGTTTCTTTATATTCATCATTCTTAGGAAGGCTTTACAGGTATTCTAAAGGACTTGGGTGTTGTGATCTACATTTGTGGTCACTGCAGCTGTATCTGCATTAGGTGCTACCCCAAGCCCAGTAACACTACGGTTCTTGCAGAGTTATAGAAGCCTTGGTGTCTTGGATAAGATCCAGAAGAATTCTCTAGATTACCAGACAAAGACTCTTGTTCTCTGCCCTTATTTTCTCCCAAACAAACAGTCTGTCTCTCTGTGCTGAGCTGCTTGGAGCTAGGGGAGGGGTGACACAAGCACCCCTGTGGCCACCACCACTGGGACGGTACTGGGTCAGATCAAAAGCCAGCACAGAACTGGGTCTTGCCCAAGGCTTGCTGTAACCACGACCTACGTTCGCTCAAGGCCCTAGAGTTCTCTAATCAGCTGATGGTGAAGCCAGCCAGCCTTGTATCATTCCCTTCGGGGTGGCAAATCCCCTGAGTGGGTCCAGAGATGCTATCCAGGAGCTAGGGCCTGGAGTTGGAAACCTTAGGAATCTATCTGGTGCTCTATTCTACTGCAGCTAAGCTAGCACTGAAACCACAAAAAAAATAAAAATAAAAAAAAAATAAAAAAGCTCTTCCCACTCTTCCCTCCCCTTTCCCCAGGCAGAGGAGTCTCTCCCCGTGTCCACCACTCACCACTCCCACAGGTGCATAGGGAAGGTGACTGACTGCCAGGACACCACCAATGTGCCCTTAAGGCCCAAGGGCTCTTCAGTCAGCTTGTGGTGAATGCTGCCAGGCCTGGGACTCACCCTTCAGGGCAGTGGGCTTCTCTCTGGGCCAGGTTAGGTCCAGAAGTGCAGTCCAAGAGCCACGGCCTGGAATTGAGGACCCCCAGAGGCTGCCTGGTGCTCTTCTCCACTGTGGCAGGCCTGATACCTAAGCTGCAGGACCAAGTCCCCTTTATTCTTCTTTTCTCAAGCAGAAGGAGTCTCTCCTCAGAGCCACTACAGCTGGGAATATGCTGCGTCACATCTGAAGCCAGCACATCTCAGAGTTTCTCACCCGGGGCCCACAGCATATCCTACCTGGCTACCACTGCTGATTATTCAGGGCTCAAGGGCTCTTTAGTCAGCAGGTGATGGATCCTGCCAGGACTGGGTCCTCCCCTTCAAGGCAGCGGATTCCCTTCTGGCCCAGGTGTGTCTAGAAATGTCATCCAGGAGCTAGTGCCTGGAATAGGGGCCTCCCGACTCTGCCCAGTGCCCTATCCTGCAGCTGAGCTCGTATCCAAGGTGCAAAACAAAGTCATCTTTACTCTTCCCTCTCCTCTATTCAAGCAGAAGGAAGGAGTCACTTTCATTGCTGCAAGCTGTGCTGCCTGGGATTGGGGGAGTACTCCCTTAGCACCCGTGACTAGTGTCTCACTAGGTTGTGTGCCCCCACAGTACCCTGGCTCCAAGCCCAGCGCAGCACTAGGACTTGCCTGGGATTTGCAGCCTTTGTGGCCTAGACAGCCTTTTAAGTTTATTTAGGACCCCAGGGCCATTTAGCCCATGGTGGCAAGGCTTACCAAAACTCAAATTCCAGCCACTGGTATGGGCAATGTCCCTCTGGCTAAGGCTGGTTTAAATGCTCCCTCCATAGGCACCAGCTGAGTTCTGCCCTGTGCTGGCAGCACTGAGTTCTAATGCAAAGCCCCAGCCTCTGCACTCCTCTTCCCACAAGCACACAGTTTCTCTCTCTGCACTAAGTAGCCACTACTAGAGGATGGGAGAGGGGTGGCATCAGAGATTCAAGACTTTCCTTTCTACCCTCTTCAGTGCCTCTGTCAGTGATATGAATTTAAAACTACGTATTGTGATTGCTAACCTGATTTTTGGTTCTTATGAAGGTGCTCTTTAGTGTAGATAGTTGGCAAATGTGGCGTTCCTATGAACAGAACAATTGCTGGAGGCTTCTCTTCGGCCATCTTGCTCTGCATCCCTCCTTGGGGCTTGCTTGCTTCCTTCCTTCCTTCCTTCCTTCCTTCCTTCCTTCCTTCCTTCCTTCCTTCTTTCTTTCTTTTGATGGAGTCTCACTCTGTTGCCAGGCTGAAATGCAGTGGCGCAATCTCAGATCACCACAACCTCCGACTCCCTGGTTCAAGCGATTCTCCTGCCTCAGCCTCCCAAGTAGCTGGGATTACAGGCACGTGCCATCATGCCCAGCTAATTTTTGTATTTTTAGTAGAGACAGGGTTTCACCATGTTGGCCAGGCTGGTCTCGAACTCCTGACTTCAAGGGATCCGCCCGTCTCGGCCTCCCAGAGTGTTGCGATTACAAGCGTGAGCCACCACACCTTGCCATTAGCCACCGCGCCTGGCCAGTTCTGTTTGAAAAGTCTGAAGTTTTGTTTGAAAAGTCTCAGCTAGGAGTGGTGGCTCATGCCTATAATCCCAGAAATTTGGGAGACCAAAGCGAGAGGATCGCTTGAATCCGAGAGTTCCAGACCAGCCTGGGCAACATGGTGAGATCCCATCTCTTAAAATAAAATAAAATAAAATAAATAGCCAGGTGTGGTAGCAAGTGCCTGTAGTCCCAGCTATTTGGGAGGCTGAAGTGGAAGAATCACTTGAGCCCAGGTGATCAAGGCTGCAGTGAGCTGTGATCATGCTACTGCACTCCAGCCTGGGTGTCAGAGAGAGACTGTGTCTCAAAAAAGAAAAGTCTCATCCTCTTGGTTTTTTTCATAATCTAAATGCATGCAAGAGAGAGACTTCTTGTGACCTCATTAATTGAGCCCCTCATCAGGGCATGAAAACATTTATATTGATTCGTTTTCTAGATAACTAAAACTTACCACTTTTGTGACAAAAAAAAAAGTTCAAAATTGTGATCATTTGGATGAAAATATCTAAAATGGGCCTGGCGTGGTGGCTCACGCCTGTAATCCCAGCACTTTGGGAGGCCCAGGTGGGTGGGTCACCTGAGATCAGGAGTTTGAGACAAGCCTGGCCAACAGGATGAAACCCCATCTCTACTAAAAATACAAAAATTAGCTGGACGTGGTGGTGGGTGCCTGTAATCCCAGCTACTTGGAAGTCTGAGGCAGGAGAATCGCTTGAACCCAGGAAGTGGAGGTTGCAGTGAGCCAAAATAATGCCACTGCACTCCAGCCTGGGAGACAGTGAGACTCTATCTCAAAAAAAAAAAAAAAGGAAAATATCTAAAATTTATTTGTGTGTCCCCAATTCTCAATAGCAGGTCCATGGCTCATTCAATGGCTCATTCAATTATTAGTGAGTATGCTTAGGTGTCAGGATTCCTGGGACTCAGAAAATCAGGACAAGTGCTGTGATCACAGAGCTGTATCAACAGTGCTAATTAATAGAGAATATTTGGTAACAGACATGTTTAATATTAGATAAGGAGACTGCATCTGGACACTGAGGAAATCCTGGGCAACTTTAGCCAAGTGAACTCATTCACCTCACTTGTTATGCCTGAGAACTGAGTCCTTTCTCCATGAAAACAAATACAGACCATCTACCATGCGACAGCAACTGCTGAGGATCTAGAAGTATAATGGTGAATGAGGAGGCTCCTATTCCCACTGAGCTGCACCCTAGTCTAAGAGATGGGCAAGAAACAAATGACCAAACAGGCAGAGGTTTATAATCTGAGGTGTTAGTAAAAGCCATGAAGAGAAATAAAGCAGGATCGAGAGCTACTATTTTAAATCAGTGCTTCTCAAATTACCCGAGGTGAGGACCAGTTTTTCTTTTTTCAATCTGTTTTGGACTTTTTTTTTTTTTTTTTTTTTGAGAGATGAAGTCTCACTCTGTCGCCCAGGCTTGAGTGCGATGGTGCAATCTTGGCTCACTGCATCCTCCGCCTCCCTGGTCCAAGCAATTCTCTTGTCTCAGCTTCCCAAGTAGCTGGGACGACAGGTATGCACAGCCATGCCCAGCTAATTTTTGTATTTTTTAGTAGAGATGGGGTTTCACCATGTTGGCCAGGCTGGTTTTGAACTCCTGACCTCTGGGTACAGAGCATAATATGGTTCTAAACTATTTCTGTTTGGCTTTAAAATCATTTATAACAGAGAAACCAAAATCGCAAGGTGATAGAAATAGAAGAAGAAATTTTGAAGCATTGGATTAAGCCCAGGATATTAATTTTTTCACTTTTCTGCAAAAGGAAGCAAGTGATGCTGTATTTTCAAAATGTATCTTTAATCATTCGTCAGTAGGCAGTCCCAACAATTTCTCCTGTAAAATTACAGGTCAATTTAAGCTATTTTGTGATGGAAAAAATAGATTCCAGATCTAAGAATTTCCTATTTGTGTATCTTCTTTTGATGGAAAACAAAATTCAAAACATTTTGTCAAATTCATAAGACATGTGGTGGTAAGTTTTGACAGATGTGCAATATCAAGATTATCACCTATTTTATTGATAATTATGGAACATGTATGACAATCTATAATCATAGCATCTGAAGGAACAGTACTGGCAAGTTTCTAACTTCTACTTTTTCCTTTTAATCTTTTGAAAAATATATTGTACTCCTTCCTTGCATGGAAATATTAAGATTACTCAAAATACTGATGATATCAAACAAATCAGCAAGATTGTTTTTACATTATTTACATCTTTAAAAAGGTGGAACCAAGGCTGGGTGCAGTGGCTCACATCTGTAATCCAAGCACTTTGGGGGGCCGAGGCGAGAGGATCACTTGAGGTCAGGAGTTCGATACCAGCCTGGCCGACATGGTGAAACCCCATCTCTACCAAAAATACAAATTAGCTGGGCATGGTGCTGTGCGCCTGTAATCCCAGCCACTGGGGAAGTGAGTCAGGAGAATTGCCGGAACCTGGGAGTTGGAGGTTGTAGTGATCCGAGATCGCACCACTGCACTCCAGCCTGGAGACAGAGTGAGACTCCGTCTCAAAAAAAAGGTGGAATCAACCTATTTTTTAATCTTTCAGAGGCGCAGAGTTTGTTTCACAGTTCAAACATTCTTGATGGATGGCCTCCTTTTGACAAACATCGTACCTCAACATGCAGTGTTACATATAATCAGCTTTCATATTGTTACATAAATATAATTATCTTAATTTTAACACATTAGCTTTTATTTAATTCACAATTCTTACTATAATGCTCATCACATTGACTTTTTTTTTGTAGTAAGATGTTATGGAGGAAGCAGTATGTTGGTTTATATTCCAGTGTAAAATCCTTAATCTGTGTATCTATTCTAGAAAGCTTTCCTGTCATTGCGGCTACACCATCAGAACTCACCCAGACAGGAAGCTTAAAGTGCAAACTACACTTAAACCAATATAATCCTTCAGAGTTTTAAACAGCTCAGAGCTACTTGTGTCCATAGGCAATTAAGTTGAAAGAAATAATTATTTATTTGATAGCATCATCTTCAAATCACACATATACTTTAAAAACTGCCATTGGCAGCCATATGTGGTGGCTCACTCCTGTAATCCCCTCATTTTGGGAGGCCAAGGCAGGTAGATTGCTTGCGCCCAGGAGTTTGAGACCAGCCTGGACCACATGGCGAAACCCTGTTTCTACAAGAAAAAACAAAAAATACAAAAAATTAGCCAGGTGTGGTGGCACACACCTTAGCCCTGGTTACTCAGGAGGCTGAGGTGGGAGAAGTTGAGGCTGCAGTGAGCCATGAGTGCATTGCTGCATTCCAGCCTGGGCAACAGAGCAAGACCCTGTCTCAAAAAAAAAAAAAAAAAAAAAAAGACTGCCATTGGCAATATGTGTACATTAGTCAAGTTGCAAAGAAAATACTAGCTTAATTTATTCAGTTGGTTGGTTTCTGTAGTTCCTGAATACACTGAGCTATAATATCATAGGAAAATGGTACCTGAGCTACCTTCTCTGTCAAAGATTTACCCATTTCCAAATAAAATTTTTTTTTTTTTTTTTTTTGAGACAGAGTCTTGCTGTCGCCCAGGCTGGAGTGCAGTGGCACGATATTGGCTCACTGCTATCTCTGCCTCCCAGGTTCAAGCAATTCTCCTGCCTCAGCCTCCCAAGTAGTTGGGATTACATGCGCCCACCACCACACCCAGCTAATTTTTGTATTTTTAGTAGACACGGGGTTTCACCATGTTAGCTGAGCTGGTCTCAAACTCCTGACCTCAAGTGATCCGCCCACCTCAGCCTCCCAAAGTGCTGAGATTACAGGCATGAGCCACCGAGCCCGGCCTCAAACATCCTTTCTTCAATCTTTTACTAATGTCTCAGCAACTGTACTTTTCAATCTTAGCAACCCAAAGTGCTGCTTCATAAGATACCTGCAAATTACTAATGTTTGTAAATGAAATATCAAGTGACTGCTTCCATCAGCTTTTTAATTTGTTAGTCTTTCCTTAAGAGGATTTTTTTTTCGTTTTAAAAAGAGATGAGGTCTCATTATGTTTCCCAGGCTGCTCTCAAACTCCTGCGTTCAGGTGATCCTCCCGCTTCTGCCTCCCAAAGTGCTAGGATCACAGGAGTGAGCCACCGCACCCAGCAAAAGGATTATTTTGGTATTGAACTTTTCACGCTTTCTATGTAAATGCTGCTTAAGTTTTGATGGTTTCAAAGCATAATTAGCCAGTACAGCTCTATAAATAACACATCATAGTTTTTAGCAATTTGCCATCAATGATCGCTACAAACCCAACATTAATACATAAGTGAATATATATCTGAGTAAATTAGTATATATGATTTTGCTTTTATGCTATTGGAAATAACATCTGTTGTTACTATTTGGTTGACTATCACTGCTATTTTTGGAAAAAAACAAGTCTTTTCTTGACAAAAATAGTCCAGTAAATCTTGTGTCACCATCAGTAAATTAAGGTAAAAAATACAGAAAACCAGGCACAGTGGCTCACACCTGTAGTCCCAACACTTTGGGAGGCCGAGACGGGCGGATCACCTGATGCCAGGAGTTTGAGACCAGCCTGCTCAACATGGCGAAACCCCGTCTCTACTAAAAACACAAAAATTAGCCGGGCGTGGTGGCCTGTGCCCGTAATCCCAGCTACTCGGGAGGCTGAGGCAGGAGAATCACTTGAACCAGGGAGTCGGAGGTTGCAGTTAGCCAAGATTGTGCCACTGCACTCCAGCCTGGACGAGAGTGAGATTTCATCTCAAAAAAAAAAAAAAAAAGCAAAAACAAAATACAGAATACAAAATTGTCTTTACAACTAATAATGCTAAACTATAAATTGAAAGGCAAGCCTAATTAAGGGCTAAAATTACGATAATGTAATAAATTATGAAAATGTATGTGTGGTCCTAACATGCACGACTAGGATGTAGTGCACTCTACATGACTCAGCACCTGAATTCAAAGCCCCCCAAACTCATCTATACCCCGGTCAGTGAGACAAGTCACTGTCTTGGATATTGCAGCAAATTCTAGATGTGCACCTTCAAAATTTCTGGGCTCAACTCATGGCCAAATGGCAGCAAACTGTTCACAGACAAACTCCGGTCTGTTTGCCTCACTTGGAGTAGCACCGTTTTAAAATGGCAGGGATTGAATCTTGATAGAGGTGACATTTGAGCAGAAACTTGAAAGAAGGGAGGCTACCCGTCTTATTCATATTTGGGGGAAGGCAGTGTAGGTAGTAGGGCCAGCAGGTGTAAACTTCTTCCTCAGGCAGAAACATGCTTGTGTGCTTTAGAAGTAGCCACCGGGGCAGCGTGGTGGCCGCAGAGTGGAGAAGGGGCAGGGCCACGTGGGATGAGGTTGGAGACAGTGGGCAGGGGCTAGATGACACTGGCTTTGTAGTCAAGATAACAACTTTTGGGCCAGGCGCGGTGGCTCACGCCTGTAATCCCAGCACATTGGGAGGCCAAGGTGGGTGGATCACCTGAGGTCAGGAGTTCGAAACCAGCCTGCCCAACATGGTGAAACCCTGTCTCTACTAAAAATACAAAAATTAGCCGGGCATGGTGGCACATGCCTGTAATCCCAGCTACTTGGGAGGCCAAGCCACGAGAATCGCTTGAACCCAGGAGGCAGAGGTTGCAGTGAACCGAGATAGTGCCATTGCACTCTAGCCTGGGCAACAGAGTGAGACTCTCTCTCAAAAACAACAAAAAAACCCCTTTTGATTTTGCTCGGAGTGGGGGATTTGAGATGGGGAGTGACATGTTCAGGTAAGTAATTTACTCCCAAATTAAACTTCCCAGGATTACCCACAATTCCCCTGCATATGGCAAATCTTGCAGTAGATCAGGAGGGTCTAGGGTCAAGAGGATGAAGCAAACGCCACTGAAGCGGCTACGTTGTCTGGGGTATAAACCCGGGGTTCGGCCGGGCATGGTGGCTCACACCTGTAATCCCAGCACTTTGGGAGGCCAAAGCGAGTGGATCACCTAAGGTTGGGAGTTTGAGACCAGCCTGACCAACATGGAGAAACTCCGTCTCTACTAAAAATACAAAATTAGCCTGGTGTGGCGGCGCATGCCTGTATTCCCAGCTACTTGTGAGGCTGAGGCAAGAGAATCACTTGAACTTGGAAGGCTGAGGCTGCGGTGAGCCGAGATTGCACCATTGAACTCCAACCTGGGAAACAAGAGCGAAATTCCATCTCAAACAAAACAAAACAAAACAAAAAAACCCGGGGTTCATTGTCGGGTACCAGAGTAATTTAGGACACAGACACACAGGAGGAGTTTAGGGGTGGAGGTTTAACAGTTAGAAGAGAAGAGAAAGAAAAACAGCTTCCTCTTAAAGGAAGTGTGTCTGGAGTTGGTTCCTGCCAGTGGGTTTGTGGTCTCGCTGACTTCAAGAATGGAGCCATGGACCTTTGCAGTGTTAGAACTCTTGAAGATGGCACGGACCCAAAGAGTGAACAGCAGCAAGATTTATTGTGAAGAGCTAAAGAACAAAGCATCCACAGCGTTGATGGGGACCCGAGGCGGGTTACTGCTGCTGGCTGGGGGGTGGCCAGCTTTTATTCCCTTATTTGTCCCCTCCCATGTTCTGTTTCTGTCCTGTCAGAGTGCCCTTTTTTCAATCCTCCCCGCGATTGCCTACTTTTAGACTCCTGCCGATGGTTGCATTTTACAGAGCACTGATTGGTGCATTTTACAATCCTCTTGCTCACTACAGAGTGCTGATTGGTGCATTTTTACAGAGCACTGATTGGTGTATTTTACAATCCTCTTACTAGCTACAGAATGCTGATTGGTGCATTTTACAATCCTCTTCTAAGACAGAAAAGTTCTCCAAGTCCCCACTCGACCCAGGAAGTCCAGCTGGCTTCACCTCTCAGAAGGAGTCTCTGAGCAGAAAGGACCAGCTGGTGGAGAACGCACCGAGTTTTATAGTCCAGTTTGAGGAGGTGTTGTCTGATTTACTAGGCCTCACAGATTGGTTCCATCATGTATGACATTTACAAAGCTCTCTGGGAAGGCTTGTCGCCCTACCCTAATCTTCTTATGCAAATGGACTTTCCAGTTGATGGGGGCCATATTATCTGCTTCTTACCGTACACGTGGCTGGCAGAGAAGGCAAGATGGAGCCACCATCTTGAAAAGGTCTAGTCCTTAGTTCCTGCTGGCATTCATCTGTGCAGCAAGCTGCCAGCTTGCTTGTCTATGTCTGCAGCTCAACTTTTATCAGCTGCTCTTTGTTAGAAAATTATTTGGGGCTGCTTTTCATTAAAAGGAAAGCCCTACCAAGGACTCCCATGCCCTTGCTATCTCCCTAAGTAATTCCTTTTTACCTCCTATATCACCACAAGCCAGCTTTCCTGGGAGTCCCCTAGTTTCTCTCCAGGCCCTAGGTCACTTCCTATCACCACTGAATCTGTCAGCATCTTTTTGGTGCACTCAGGCCTCCTGGCTCTCCTCCTCAGTATAGCCTTGAATTAATCACCAACTTATCACATAGTGAACAGATGTAGCCTTTTCCAAATCACTCAGGGTCTTCATTCTGAACCCAAATCACCACTCTGTGCTTTAAAATATCTCTCCCTTGCAGTTTGGTGTGGGTGTAGGACTACATTCTGGCCAATGGAGCTTGAGCAGAAGTGATACATGCAACTTTCAAGTCATGCCCCGTGCCCGTTCTTTTCTTTCTGCAGGAGGGAATACAGATGAATTGGCAGGATCAGGAGCAGCCATGTTGCACCAAGAGAAGATGAAAAAAGCATATGTTGCAGATTGCAAAGTAACTAGGTAAGCATTTGAGTCCCTAAAACTATTCCTGGTATGACTGGTAGCGGCATACTAGCTTGGACTTTTTTGTGTCAGAGAAATAAACCTTCATCTCACTTAAATCAGTATTATTTGGGGCCACTCTCTCTGTAGTAGGAGTGAAACTAGTATCCTAACTAATTTAACTGTCAAAAGAAAAAAAAATATGAGGCGAGAAAATAAGGAATCAAGAAACAAAAGTCAAGTTTTACTCACTTCATAGCTTGGCTCAAAAGCAACTTTAAATATGTGAGAAATGCAACAAATGATAATCATGCATACAGAGAAATTCCTCAAGTGACAAATGCTTTTACTTTCATTTCCTTTCTTGAAAATTGACAGAGTAAGATTCAGATGCATGTACTGACACTCACGTCAGTAACATCGGCTCAGGTTAGACTTTGGTCGTCTTATCCTTCGACTACCTAAGGGACTCATGGCCAGTATATTTTACAACCCCCAGTGCCAGTTACTGAATTCTCACCTGAGAATGAATTCCCTAAGTCTGTAATGTTTCATCATCTTGCAACACAGATAAGCCTGTGTTTAGAGCAGGCTTTTCCATATGAGTCCCTCCTCTTTCACACTGGGGCTGAGTAGAAGGTGATTGACCTGCCTGAGACTTTATCAGTTTGGAGTTCATGTTCCATGTGGTGTTGGAGGGAGCAATGGAGGCTGTGAAATCAGACATCCTGCTTTTTGACAGGGTTGTTTGATGACTCACCCAAGCCATTTTTTATTCTCGGTGCATATTCTAGTTTCCCTTCTCCCGACAGTAGCCTGATGCACCTGTGCTTGCACTGTCCTTAAGCCTGTTGCTATTGTTATGTGGTGTCACTGAGCCCAACACTGCGTGCGTGTGTGTGTGTGTGTGTGTGTGTGTGTGTGTTGAAAGGGGTAGGAAAGTGAGGATGATTTTCAACCATTAAACCCTTAAGGGGCCATCTTCTGAAGCCTGGCATCATCATTTTTGTTCTCAAGAACATTTAAGTCAAAAATAACAAGGTTCCTTTTGCTCATCTTCAAATTATTTTACTTGTTTGATCCAACTGCTAACTAGAAGGTGAATTCTTTCTGCTGTCATTTCATAATTCTAGTGTATTAAAAAGAGATGGGGGCTGGGCACGGTGGCTCATGCCTGTAATCCCAGCACTTTGGGAGGTCAAGGTGGGAGGATCACTTGAGGCCAGGAGTTCAAGACCAGCCTGAGCAACATAGCAAGGCCTCCTACAAAAAATTTTAAAAATTAGCTGGGCATGGTGACACCCACCTGTAGTCCCAGCTGCTTGGGAGGCTGAGGCAGGAGGATTGCTTGAGCCCAGGAGTTTAAGGTTGCAATGAGCTTCAAGTTTTTATACCTTCAATCATACCATTTGTGGCTTAGGAACCCCTAATATATTACATGGAGGGTAATGTAGACACCAAGAAAATGATTGAAAACAATTTATGCCTAAATACATTTGTATTCTTCTTTAGAGAAACCTAGTAGACAAACTAAAAGCTACTAAGCAAATAAATCAAGGTACTGTATTTTACAAAATGACTCAATTTATGCATCATTTAAAGAGTGTGGATCCCTTGGGAACTTTAAACATGGTTGCATTAGTTAAACAGTTGCTTCATTCAGATCCCTCTAGGAACTTGGGCAGCACAAGGGAAGGGGGGCCTCTGTTCCTACTGTGTGGTCCTGGTGATCTGTGTAGGTATCTTCTTTTACCGGGTTAAGTGATAAAAACGGTGTCTTGTGCTCTTTTATCCAAGTCCAAGGAGCATCTTTGTGGGTGTGGGGTTGCAATTATACCTTTCCTCCCTGGGCTGAATCCACAAAGAAGAAGAGAAAAATAACATTTCTGGAGACCTGGCCAAGCCCTGGAATAAAATGGTTGCCTGAGAGAAACTGCAAGTTTGGGAGGCGGGGACTCTTTTCATTGTAACCAAGAGTGGAGTCCTCCATTTCTTTTTCTTTTTTCTTTTTCTTTTTTTTTTTTTTTTTTTTTTTTTGAGACGGAGTCTCACTCTGTCGCCTAGGCTGGAGTGCAATGGCTCAATCTCGGCTCTCTGCAACGTCTGCCTCCTGGGTTCAAGCTATTCTCCTGCCTCAGCCTCTCAAGTAGCTGGGATTACAGGCGCTTGCCACCAGGCCCAGCTAATTTTTTGTATTTTTAGTAGAGATAAGGTTTCACCATGTTGGCCAGGCTGGTCTCGAACTCTTGACATCAGGTGACCCACCCACCTTGGCCTCCCAAAGTGCTGGGATTACAGGTGTGAGCCACCGCGCCCGGCCTCCTCCATTTCTTTTACTTTCCTTTAGTCAATAATGGAGACAGTGAAGGCATAAAAGTGTTCATGCTAAAGACCATTTTGAAAATCCAGCCACTTCCTGTCTGTTACACTCCAGCTGCCTATGTCCTCATCGTGTAATGGGAGGGTCACTCTAGAAGAGGAATGGGCCACCGACTGTCTAATGTGACCATCCTCCTGCTGAACTTGGGGAAAATGTCACTTTTTGCTCTGAACCCAGACCTAACCTCTGGATCTTGCTCTATGCCATGCTCCAGAAAGCCACCACTATCAATGTGAGTTGCCACAAAAATTCAATTTTTTGTTTAATAGACTTAGGATCTTCAGTGAAACTTATGGCCATCCCCAGTGGTCACTTCCATCTCTAACATCTCACGACTTTATGAAAATAAAACAACCAGCTATCATCAGGGAGAGAACACAGAGTTAGGAGTTAGTGGATAAGGGTGAGGGTCATGGGTGAGTTACTTCCCTTCTCAAGCCCCCTACTCTCTCCTTCAGATCTACATGTTACTGTCTCAGGCCAGGTTCCCTGACCATCCTGTTTGCAGTGACAACTGTTGCCCCCCACCTCTAAGTACTCCCTACCCCACTTCCCGTTTTATATCTGATCATTAGCATTTGTGATGGTTAATTTTATGTTTCATCTTGACTGGGTCATGGGGTTCCCAGATACTTGGCAAAACGTCATTTCCAATTCTGTCTATGAGTGGATCACCCTCCTCAATGGGCTGTTGAGGGCTTTAAGGCAGAGGAAGGGAGAATTTGGCCTTTTTTTTTTGGAGACAGAGTCTCACTCTGTCACCCGGGCTGGAGTGCAGTGGTGCGATCTTAACTCACTGCAACCTCTGCCTCCCAGGTTCAAGCGATTCTCCCGCCTCAGCCTCCCAAATAGCTGGGATTACAGGCACATGCCACCATGCCCAGCTAATTTTTGTATTTTTAGTAGAGATGGGGTTTCACCATATTGGCCAGGCTGGTCTCAAACTCCTGAGCTCAAGTGATCCACTTGCCTCGGCCCCCTAAAGTGCTGGGATTACAGGCGTGAGCCACCTCGCCCAGCCCTGAATTTGGTCCTTCTTTTCTGCCAGATGACTTGAGCTGGAATATCACTCTCTCCTTCCCTCAGACTGCAGTTTACATCATCAGCTCCCCTGGTTCTCAGGCCTTTGGACTCAGATTGAATGATACCCCTGGCTTTCCCCAGCTGCCAGCTTGCAGATGGCAGATGGTGGGACTTCTCGGCCTCCACAATCACATAAGCCAATTCCTTATGATAACTCTCCTTCTCTTTCTCTCCTCTCCCCTCTCTATTTTGAGCTGATTATTTTGGGAAACTGCAACCACAGGAGAAGCTCTGAAAACAGAGTGGAAGTTACCTTATCATCCACATTACCCCAGGAGGACAGGATGACTCTAAGTCACTGGAGACAGTTATCCTTTATTGATGGAGAAGGCACTGACTTAAATCTCCATAACAAATCTTACTCTTATTTGCCAGTTTTTCCTGAGCATAATCAACTTTCCCTACACCCTTCTTTTTGTTTCAGCAGACATGGCATTTAAGTGTGAGTTCAAAGCCACCTCTTTGAAATTTACCAATTTCTCTGGGTATCTCCCTGTATACTACACGAGGTATACATGTTAATAATCTTCTGTTTATTTGTCTCTTTTTAATCTGTTTTTTGTTACAGTGGCCCATCCCAACTAAGAATTATGAAAGATTGAGAGAAAATTATCTATTTCCCTACATTTATAGTAATGTAAATAGCATAGCCACTCTGGAAAATATCAGTTTCTTAAAAAGCTAAACACTTGGCCAGGCACAGTGGCTCACATCTGTAATCCTAACACCTTGGGAGGCCAAGGCGGGCAGATCACCTGAGGTCAGGGGTTTGAGACCAGGCTGGCCAACATGTCAAAACCCCGTCACTACTAAAAAATACAAAAATTAGCTGGGAGTGATGGCAGGCGCCAATAATCCCAGCCATTCAGGAGGCTGAGGCAGGAGAATGGCTTGAACCTCGGAGGCGGAGGTTGCAGGGGGCAAAGATCGCGTCACTGCACTTCAGCCTGGGCGGCAGAGCAAGACTCTGTCTCAAAAAAAAAAAAAAAAAAAATAGGCCAGGCACAGTGGCTCAAGCCTGTAATCCCAGCACTTTGGGAGGCCGAGGTGGGCAGATCACGAGGTCAGGAGATCGAGACCATCCTGGCTAACACGGTGAAACCCCCTCTCTACTAAAAATACAAAAAATCAGCCGGGCGCAGTGGCAGGCGCCTATAGTCCCAGCTACTTGGGAGGCTGAGGCAGGAGAATGGCATGAACCCGGGAGGCGGAGCTTGCAGTGAGCCGAGATTGCGCCACTGCACTCCAGCCTAGGCGACAGAGCGAGACTCCGTCTCAAAAGAAAAAAAAAAATTCTGATCCCCGAATGCTCAGGGAGACTGATTTGAGTAATAATGAAACTCTGGTCTCCCACACAGACAGCTCTGCATGAATGACTCTTTCTCTGTAGAAATTCCCCTATCTTGATAAAACAGCTCTGTCTAGGCAGTGAGCAGGGTGAACCCGCTGGGCAGTTACAGCATGAGGCAGCCTTGTAGTGATGGCACAGTTGTGTATCTCGATTGTGTTGGTGGTTACAGGAAGCTACACTCGTAATAAGATTGTATAGAAGTACACACGTGTGTGCTTATAAAAACAATGAAATCTGAATCAGCTCTGTGGAGCATTTCAATGTCAATTTCCTGATTTTGATTTTGTACTGTAATTATTCAAGATGTTACCACCACTGAAGGAGGCTAGGTATAGGGTACACTGGGCCTCCCTGTACACTTTCTTTGAACCTTCTGGTGACTCTATCATTATTTCAAAATGAAAAGTCAAAAAAGAAATTGTAGTTGGGCTCTCAAGCTTAGCGTGTGGTCAGTGGGGAACCACACGGGTTCAACATGCGCATCGAGAAGTGTTATTTCTGTTCGGGGCCCATCTACCCTGGCTATGACATGTTGTTCATCCACAACGATTGCAAAGTGTTCGGATTTTGTAAATCTAAATGTCATAAACACTTTAAAAAGAAGTGCAATCCTCGCAAAGTTAGGCGGACCAAACCATTCCAGAAAGCAGCTGGTAAAGAGCTTACAGTAGATAATTCATTTGAATTTGACAAACATAGAAATGAACTTATCAAATACCAGCGAGAGCTATGGAATAAAACTATTGATGCAATGAAGAGAGTTGAAGAGATCAAACAGAAACACCAAGCTAAATTTATAATGAACAGATTGAAGAAAAATAAAGAGCTACAGAAAGTTCAGGATATCAAAGAAGTCAAGCAAAGCATCCATCTTACCCAAGCCCGTCTTGCAGGCAAAGGGAAGGAGTTGGAAGAGAAAATGGTACAGCAGTTACAACAGGATGTGGACATGAAGATGCTTCTTAAACATTTCTGTAACCATTTATTTTATGGACATTTGAAAATGCCCTTTGGAGACTTGGAACTGCTAAATTATTAGTTTATTTTTTACATAAGTTCATTTAAATGAAAAGTGATTAAAATATATCTCTCCTACACTGCCATCTACAAAACACAAGATATTACGGATGTTAGATTGCATCTCAGTATTAAATCTTCACTGATATGTGTACTTATGTAAATCACGAAAATTCTACTTATAACTGTAGAAGTGAATTGTGGACGTAAAATGGTTATGTCATCTGGATAATGGACTAGACAGCATTTGTATAATCACTAATGGCAAAAAATCATGGCTAGTGATGTATAAAATAAAATATTCTTTGCAGTAAAATATTCACTTTATTAATGTTATAGAAGGGGGGAGACAACAAGGAACTAACAATTTGTATGACGGTGTCAAATATTTTGATTTTAGTATTTCCTGTTTTGGTTTATTTGCATCTTAGAAGAGCATAATGACATTGTTTGATGAAGCCTAATTATGCTGGACTGTTTCAACTTGGTTTAACCTTTCTGATAGGTAGTTGTGGATGTTTGGGATGAGAACTGAATAATCTTTGCCTGGAGTGACACTACACTCTAGAATTTCCACTTTGGAGAATACTCAGTTCTAACTTCTGATTCCTGGTAGAAAAAACTTTATTTTTCTAGCCTAGCAATGATCTAGAAGCAGAGGAATCCTAGTGCCTTTTAAAAGTTATTATGTGGTTTTCTGTTAAAAAGCTCCTGTTTTTGGAAAGTAGAATTTATGGATACAACATCTGCTCATTATTTGCACATAAAATAAAACCATTTAAAAAGAAAAAAATTATAGTTGGACATAAAACAATGTTTAAATTTAAAATTACCTCAGGATATAGACATGCATGGAACTAATATTTTATACATAATCTTAACTTGCTTTTGTCAGTGTATCTACTTGTAAATGTGTCTCACCATTCGGTTCCCTGTGTTCTGTTGCTGAATATGGTGTTATAGCACTTCTGGTATGATAGCCGTGGACTGTTCTCTGATTTTCTCCATTTTTTGCTAATGATGTGTAACTATGACATGTGGACAGTACCCGGATTGCCTGGTTTGATCACTATGGCTACTTATGTAAGCATCTCATGGCAAATCTTGTCAGAGCACATATAGATTCTGTGAATCTGCATGGTCAGAGTAAGCTTGCTCTCTTTGGGTGGCTGGAGGGTTATGAATATTTTTCACAACTGTCACTTCCTGAACTTGACCTTTGGTATACTTTCCAGATTTGCTAATGCATCTGCTATGCTTGAGGCATGGCTTTAAAATAATATAACTTTTTCGGCCAGGTGCGGTGGCTCATGCCTCTAATCCCAGCACTTTGGGAGGCTGAGACAGGCGGATCACTTGAGGTCAGGACTTCAACACCAGCCTGGCCAACATGGCGAAACCCTGTCTCTACAAAAAATACAAAAATTAGCCTGGCATGGTGGTGCATGCCTGTAATCCCAGCTACTCGGGAGGCTGAGGCACGAGAATTACTTGAACCCGGGAGATCATGCCACTTCACTCCAGCCTGGGCAACAGAGCAAGACTGTCTCAAAAAAAAAAAAAAAAAATTGGGCCAGGTGCAGTGGCTCACGCCTATAATCTCAACAGTTTGGTGGACTGAGGCAGCTGGTTCATTTGAGCTCAGGAGTTGGAGATCAGCCTGACCAACATGGGTGAAACCCCGTCTCTACTAAAAATACAAAAATTAGCCAGGCGTGGTGGTGCATGCCTATAATCCCAACTACTTGGGAGGCTGAGGCACGAGAATCTCTTGAACCCAGGAGGCGAAGGTTGCAGTGAGCTGAGATCGCACCACTAAACTTCAGCCTGGGTGACAGAGTGAGACTCCATCTCAAAAAAAATTTATATATATATATATAAAGATTATATATATAAAATATTATGTATATAATATATATATAACTTTCTCAAAGCAAACGATACCATTTTGATCTCCTATTATGTACTAGTTGTTACATATGTTATCTTATTTAGAACTTATACTAATCTAGTGAAATATGTGTTTCTTTCCTTGTAGAACATAAACAAGAGAAATTATTTATCTGAATAAATGTTGTTCCTAAGCACCGTTATTCCAGCAATGCTGTTGTGCTTCACAGCCCTGTTAAACGTGTCTTTTAGGCTTGTTTTCTGACTCTGTAGCACATCCTTTTGACTGCACTCAGTTGTGGAAAATTTTGATCTTTTTAAGTGTAGGCATCTGTAGTCCCAGCTATTTGGGAAGCTCTGCTGGGAGGATCCCTTGAGCCCAGGAGGTAGAGGGTACAGTGAGCTATGATCGTGCCATTGCACTCCAGCCTGGGTGACAGAGCATGACCCTGTCTCAACAGCGTCTCAACAAAACAACAACAACAACGAAACCAAACCAGCCAACCAAACAAAAATAATAAAGTTTAGAATTTGTCTACCTACTTACCTACCTACCTGTATCTATCATCAAAAGTAATTCAGCACAAATTAAAATAAGGAAGTATTTTTAACTTACAGGTTATAGAATGCATTTCCAATGCCACCAAAGATGCAGAGAACCCTCTGTATTGCTGGAGAAAGTGTGAATTGCTACTACTTTTTGGAAAGCATGTTGACAATATATTATGTCCACAGCCTTTAAAAATGTTCACACCTTTTAATGAGTCATTCTACTTTTAGGCATGTATGATATATTTTGAAAACTTTGTAACAATTGACATCCACTGCAGCCACAGTCTAATGGAGGGAAACGGAAACCCAGTCCACCACCTACACAATCTATTCCAACCCCAATTTACCATAAGGTTTTACTTCTGTTATGACTTTTTGCATGCATTTTTTTTAACACGTTGGCTTTCTTGGGAGGGTAAAGTTTTTTCAAGAACTAAGTGTATTTTCAAGAACCCAGCACATAATAGATGCTCTGAATAAATTTTATTCACCAATTTTATTCACTGGCTTACCACGAGCCAGTCCTGTACAGACATTAATTTATTTCAAGACAACCCTATAAAGTAGGCTTTTCTTTCATATTTTATAGGTGAGGAAACTTGAGGCAGAGAGAGAATAAGTAATTAGCCCAAGGTCATACAGCTAGTAAGAAGTGGGGTAAGGTGGGAAGCCAGGCAACCTCTCCTGAGCTCTAGGCTCTTAACTGCCTCTCCAGTGTGAGCAGACAGTCACAAAATGTGCCAGGACTGCACCAGTTGATATACATGTTAATTAAATAAACATGAACCCAGGACGACACTGATAAATAATCATGAGAAAATTAGAGCATTCTCTTAGTGAAACATTATATAATCATTGACATCATGCTTTCAAAACTTACACATTAGTCTGGATAAATGTTTTTAACACTAAGCAAAAATCAGGAGACAGAAGTGTATGTGCAGCATGGTTATACCTAACACAAAATGACTGGAAAGAAACACATCAAAAGTGTCAAGAAGCTGCAAATCAGATGGGCATTCATTCATCTCTCCTTTTCACTGTTAATTTCCATTTTCCTTTAATCAGCCTATTAGTTTGCTACTGCTGCTGTAACAAAGTTCCACAAACTGGGTGACTTAAAACAACAGAAATTTATTCTCTCACAGGAGCCCAGAAATCTGAAATTGAAGTTTGGATAGGATTGGTTCCTTCTGGAGGCTGTTGGGGAGAATCTGTTCTTGCCTCTCTTAGCTTCTGGTGGTGGCTGTCATCCTTGGGGTTTCCTGGCTTGTAGTTGTGTTCCTGCAATCTCTGCTGCTGTCTTCACACGCCCTTCTTCCCTGAGCATCTTCATATGGCCTTCTTGTAAGGAGTAAGTCATTGGATTTGGGTTCAAATCTAACCCAGTATAACCTCATCTTAACTCATTATTCTGCAAAGATCCTTTCACCAAATAAGGTCACATTCCGAGGTTCTGGGTACACATAAATTTTGAGGGGATACTACTTACCCCAGTATAATGAGCAATTTTTTTCTATTATTTTATATTGGAAAAATGTAAACATTAAGAAAATAGAAGCTTGAGCCTAACTTCTATGAAGTTAGGTGGATGATTAAACAGAATCAGAATAGTTGTAACTAAGTGATGGTACAGCTAAAACACTTTTTCCAACATGGTCACAGACATAAAGCAGCATGGCAGCTTAGTACAAATACTAGATCTAGAAACTTCAGCCTGGGTTAGATTCCTGCCTCCCCACCTGCCTTGTGTGCCTTTGGGTGAAGGGCTCAAACATTCTGAAACTTGTCTTCCACTCCTGTACAGAAAGAAAGCTATGGGTATTTTAGACTTCAACTGTTTCTAGCCAGACAACTGGACCTTCCAAGAGGTCCAGCATAAATCATTTCCATGGGGAAGTAAACTTTTTCCTGTCTTTTTCCTCTCACTGGGGCTGGAGAGATGGGAGAAAGGAGTAAAAAATATTTTAAAGCCTTGCATGTTCCCCTGGGAGGCCAGGGTGCAAGAAGAGCTCATGAATGGATATTTGGCTGAGGTGTGACCTGGAGTGTTTTGCATAATGAAGCAAGGCTGGTTGAGCTGGCAGAGATCCAAGGAAGGGGGCTGGAGGGATGAGGGAGTCTGTAATGGGAGTGAGGAGCAGGAGGTCACAGCCACGTGGCAGAAGCCTTGCAGCCTGTGGAGGAAAGCCCACCTAGGGGTGAAGGTTTGCCAAGAAATTCTCAGGACTGAAGGAGAAGGTGCGCACTGTTCAGCATTAGGCTGTTTGCCCAGGAGTGCCATCGCATTCCCCAGTGTGAGAACGGCCACCTCTTGGTCGTTTTCTCAACCTTTGGTGAACACTTATGACATCGTGGGGAGAGATGGAGAAAAGGACTTTGTGTTCTCATCTGGGGCGTCATGCTGGGGCACCCGAACACAGAACCCATGAGTGAGCCTTGAAGGGGCCAACTGAGCCAGAGGAGGTTGGAAGAGCTGCGCCACTCCTGTCCCACTGCAGGTGGGATAGAGTTCCCGCTAATTTCATTTACATTTGTACCTCAAAGCACGAAGTGGTTTAGCTGACTTCTGCTCTTCATGAAGGGCCCAGCTCACATCCTTTAGTAATAATTCAAACATTCTGACTTGCACTGGGCAGCATGTTTATCATAAATGCAAGGACTGCTACTTTGGTGTAGGAAATTATTTAAACGTGTAAACTCTCATATACCAATTTGCAAATCAAACTCTTTTCAAGGCTTTATTTCAATGTCGTTGTTAGCTTTTTTGACTTTTCTCATTTTCCCACTAGTTTGCTTGATTGCACATTATAGAAAATTCACCATTCTCATTCATTCTGATCCCACATTTAGACTTCTCTTTCAAGGACTTGAAAGAATTTATAAATATTTGCAATACAGGATGCAAATTAATCCTTATACACACTTGGAAGGTACCCTGCAATATCTTTCCCCATCTATCACTCACCCACTGTTTATTGCCCTCTGAACAATGTCCAGCCTAGTTCCTTTCTTATTTCGTTACATACATAAAATTGCTTCCCATCCACAATCTCTCCTTAGAAATGCTGCCCTTTGGCCGGGCACGATGGCTCATGCCTGTAATCCCTGTGCTTTGGGAGGCCAAGTAGGGCCGATCACCTGAGTTCAGGAGTTCGAGACCAGCCTGACCAACATAGAGAAACCCCATCTCTACAAAAAATACAAAATTACCCAGGCATGGTGGCGCATGCCTGTAATCCCAGCTACTCGGGAGGCTGAGGCAGGGGAATCACTTGAAACCAGGAGGCAGAGGTTGTGGTGAGCCGAGATCGTGCCATTGTACTCCAGCCTGGGAAACAAGAGTGAAACTCCATCTCAAAAAAAAAAAAGAAAAAGAAAAAGAAAAAAAAAGAAATGCCGCCCTTCCCACAGCTACCCTACTTACCACGTTACTGCAGACTGCACCACCAGTGAATGTGACCCAAGTTGCAGTAAATGAAATATCTCCCAGAAATTTGGAGTTGGGACATAGGGACTGAGCAACTTATCATCTCTGAAGGACCAGACTGGAGAGAAAGGGGAGAGAGACAGAGAGAGAGAGAGAGAGAGAGAGAGAGAGAGAGAGAGAAACTGCCTGGAGTTGCTACTCCCAGTTCTCAAGTTCAGTTGGGTTTCTTAAGATTTATCTCTTTATAATAAATCTCCCTTTACATGAATTAGCATGAGTGGGTTTTAGTTAATTAATTATACTAATTTTTTTTTTTTTTGAGACGGAGTTTCACTCTTGTTGCCCAGACTGGAGTGCAATGGCACGATCTCGCCTCACTGCAACCTCCACCTCCCGGGTTCAAGCAAATTCTCCTACCTCAGCCTCCCAAGTAGCTGGGATTATAGGCATGCGCCACCATGCCCAGCTAATTTTTGTATTTTTAGTAGAGATGGGGTTCCATCATGTTGGCCAGGCTGGTCTCAAACTCCTGACATCATGTGATCCACCCGCTTTGGCCTCCCAAAGCGCTGGGATTATAGGCGTGAGCCACTGCGTCCGGCCAACCAAATAATTCTTCAGTCAGATTTTCAGAGTGAGTCTTCAAAACAAAGTTTATAAAATCAGTGAGTACATATTAACCATATTAGGAGCTAATCTCATTCATTTTTCTTTCCTTTTCTATTTCCTCTTTTAAAAATGTGAAATGTATCATCCATACAGAAGAGTGAGCAAAATTTACATATATGGTTTAAAGCAGCCCCTGGTTGAAACCATACGTATGTGTTTTATGCACTCTTCTAGGCCTGATGGTAAATATTTTTAGCTTTGCAGGATATATAGTCTCTGCCAAAACTGCTCTAGACTGCTATTACAGCATGGAAGCAGCTATACGAAATACGTAATGGATGAACATGGCTGTGTTCCAACAGAACTTTATTTATAAAAACAGATACTGGGCTGATTTGGCCCACAGGTCATAATTTGCTGATCCCTGGCTTGAGGAAAAATTTTAAAGCAAAGGTCTGTATAACCACCACTCAAGTTAAGACATAGACACAGACACATCCCTGTGTGTCCCTCCTAGATGAGAACACTTCAGTCCTCTCTAGACTGGGCCCCTATCCTGACACTTGGGATGAACATTTTCTTGAGTCTTTTTATAACTTTGCCGTGTATGTATGCATTTCTAAACAGTATAGCTTATTTTGCCTTATTTTTTGAAAAGAGAACCGTATTTAATGCATGCATCCTTTTTTCTCCTCCTCTTCCTTCTTGGCTTGCTTTTTTATGTTTGTGAAATTCACACACAAGTAGCTGTAATTTGCCTTATTACTGTACAGTTTTTCATTGTATATAAGACACCAGAATGTTTGTTTGTTTCTTAAATATATTCCACTGCTGATTAAAATTTGGGCTGTTTTCAGTTGGGGAGCAATAATGAACAATGTAGCCATGAATGTTTCAAATGTCCTCTGAAACCTAAAACCTATTAGTCACCACCTTGTTATTTGGCAGAATATAGAAGCTAACAGATAAGGGAGCCTTGGTGACACAGTGAATAAAGATTAGCCCCCAGCCATTCAGAGCAGAGAGGAGAGGGTGGAGAGTAACTCTCAAGGGCAGTCCAAGAATATGCAGCACTCATGTCTCAACGACTTTCAAAGGATTGAAAGAAGTCACAGCATCTTCTCTCACCAAATGCAATTTAATAGAAATCAACAATAAATTTATATAGAAAATTCTCAGGCTGGGCGCGATGGCTTATGCCTGTAATCCCAGCACTTTGGGAGGCCAAGGCAGGCAGATCACTTGAGGTCAGGAGTTCGAGACCAGCCTGGCCAACATGGTGAAACCCTGTCTCTACTAAAAATACAAAATTAGCTGGGTGTGGTGGTGCTCACCTGTAGTCCCAGCTACCCAGGAGACCGAGGCAGGAGAACTGCTTGAACCTGGGAGGCAGAGGTTGCAGTGAGCCAAAATTGTGCCATTTTACTCCAGCCTGGGCAACAGAGCGAGACTACATCTCAAAAAAGAAAAAAAAGAGAGAGAAAATTCTCATGGCTGGGCATGGTGGCTCACATCTGTAATCCCAGCACTTTGGGAGGCCGAGGCAGGTGGATCACTTGAGCCCAGGAGTTCAAGACCAGCCTAGGCAACATGGTGAAAACCCATCTCTATTTAAAATTTTTAAAAAAGAAGGAGAAAATTCTCATATGTTCAAAAATCAAGAAATTGTTTTAAGAACCCCACAGATTAAAGAATAAGTCCTACTGAAAATTTAAAAAAAATTTTTGAATGGTAATGAAATACCACATATTTAAATTTGGGGGTACAACTGAAGTAGAAAATAGATGAAAATTTGTAGCTTCATATTTGCATGTAATACACAGTTTAAAATAGACTAAGATAGTGTATTAGTTTGTTTTCATGCTGCTGATAAAGACATACCTGAGACTGGGCAATTTACGAAAGAAAGAGGTTGATTGGACTTACAGTTCCACATGGCTGGGGAGGCCTCAAGATCATGGCAGAAGGCAAGGAGGAGCAAGTCACATCTTATGTGGATGGCAGCAGGCAAAGAGAGAGCTTATGCAGGGAAACTCTCATTTTTAAAACCATCAGATCTTGTGAGACCCATTCACTATCATGAGAACAGCACGAGAAAGTCCCGTCCTCATAATTCAATCATCTCTCACTGGGTCCCTCCCACAACAAGTGGGAATTATGGGAGCTACAAGATGAGATTTGGATGGGGTCACAGAGCCAAACCATATCAGACAGAAATGATGAAAGGCTGAAAATTAATGAGCTGAGTATCTATCTAAAGAACTTAAAGAGCCACAAAATAAGCCCAAAGAATATAAAATAAGTAAATATATAGTAGTAATAAGAAAGTAAGTAGAAAGTAAGTAGTAGAAAGATAAGAATAGAAAACAATGAAATAGAAAACAAATATACTGCTGGGTGCGGTGGCTCACGCCTGTAATCCCAACACTTTGGGAGGCTGAAGGCCAGGAGTTCAAGACCAGCCTGGACAACATAGAGAGACCTCACCTCTATTTAAAAAAAAAAAAAAAAAAATTAGCCTGGTGTGGTGGCATGTGCCTGTAGTCCCAGCTATTTGGGAGGCTGAGGCGAGAGGATTGCTTGAGCCCAGGAGGTGGAGGCTGCAGTGAGCCATGATTGTGCCACTGCACTCCAGCCGAAGTGACAGAGGGAGATCCTCTCTCGAAAAGAAAAGAAAACAAGCATGCAATAGAGAGGAATGACACAATCATAAGGTGATTCCTTCATGAGAATAATAAGATGGCAAAACTCTGGAAAGAGAGTGAGAACACATATAATGTTATGAACGAAGAAAGAACATTACAAGCCAGGCACAGTGGCTCACGCCTGCAATCCCAGTACGTTGGGAAGCCAAAGTGGGCAGATTGCTTGAGGCCAGGAGTTTGAGACAAGCCTGAGCAACATAGCAAGACTCCATCTCTACAAAAAAAATACAAAAATTAGGTGGGTATTGTGGCATGCACCTGTGGTCCTAGCTACTTGGGAGGCTGAGGTGGAAGGATTGCTTAAGCCCAGGAGGTTAAGGCTGCAGTGAGCCATGATCACACCACTGCATTCCAGCCTGGGTGACTGAGCAAGATTCTATCTCAAAAAAAAAAAAAAAAAGAAAAAGGAAAAGGAACATTACTTAAGCGCCACAGACATTAAAAAGATATGAGTAAGTTGTGAACAACTTTTTGCCAGTTCATTTGAAAAATTAAGTTAAATGGACAATTTCATATAGACATATATTATATAGGAATCTCTATCATAATAAGTGAGTACAAAGTGAGTAATTGTAATGCTCAGATCTGGGGAGGATGGAATCTCAGGGAGGGGAGCTGCATTTCCACTGATATTTGGTGATCTAGGAGCGGGTGCCTGAGAGGCTGATCAATGCTTTTGGACAACCTTGCAGGGATTGCAGGGAGAGGTGCACTGGCATCCTGGAGTCCAGGGCTGCCAAGAAGGTAAGGCCCCGATGAGCAACTTTTGCTTTGTGTTAGAACCCTGAAGGGCTACACGCTATGAATAGGGGTGAACTAGAATATAACACACTATTGTTGGGACTGCAGCTCAACCTCAAATCTTCCCAGTCTCTCAAATTGGATTGCTAGTGTTCCAGGCTCCTGGCAGGGGCAAATTTCTCTAGAGAAAGATGGCATCAACCTAGGCATCAAATTATTTCTAAAAATAATTTTGCAAATATAAAGTCCAGCACAGAATAAAAAACAACAAGGCAGCCAGGCACAGTGGCTCATGCCTGTAATCCCAGCGCTTTGGGGGGCCGAGGCAGGTGATCACTTGATGTCAGGAGTTCGAGACCAGCCTGGCCAACATGGTGAAACCCTGCCTCTATTAAAAATACAAAAAATAGGCGTGCTGGCGCAGGCTTATAATCCCAGTTACTCGAGAGACTGAGGCAGGCGAATTGCTTAAACCTGGGAGGTGGAGATTGCAGTGAGCCAAGATCCCACCACTGCACTCCAGCCTGGGCTACAGAGTGAGACTCCATCTAAAAAAAGAAAATAAAAGAGAAGAAAAAAGACAGCCAGGCCACATGTGGAGACAAAATACTATATGAGCAAAAAAGAGCAGAACTAGCAAAAATTGAAACAGACCTAAAGGAACTCCAGATACTGGAGTTAGCAGACAAGACTTGCTTATGATATTCAAGATTAAAAGCAAGACATAATTTCAGCAGAGATCTGAAAACTACAAAAAAGACCCACTACAAGAAAGGATTATTTCAGGCTAATCTCACTCATGAAAATAGTTGTAAAAATCCTATGCAAAATATTTACAAATAGAATCCAACAATATGCAAATAGGCAATAAGTAATGATCAAGTTGGGTGTTTTTTTTTCCCCAGGAAAAGAAGATTTATTTAGCACTCAAAAATCAACCATTGTAATTATCTACATTACCAGAACAGAGGAGAAAAAAATGTAAAATCACGTCAAAAGATGTAGAAAAAAATTTGATTACATTCGGTATCCATTCGGTATCCATTTGTCATCAATGGAAAAAATAAAAAGAAACTTCCTTATCTGATAATGAGCATCTACAAAAAGCCTATTGTGAACACCATAATTAATAGTTAAATGTTGAAAATTTTCTTTTGATTTGGGGAATAGGGCAAGTATGTTGGCTAAGTCCTCTTGGAAGCAGACGTCAAGATGGATTTAGAAGTGCAATGGATTTATTGGAGGCAATTCCCATGAAAGCTCAAGAGGGGAGGCAGCAAGAGAGGGCAGAGAAAGCTTCAGACCTAAATGCTGATCTGACCCCTGTGCAAGGAGAAGGGAAGGAAGAGGATAAGGTAGGAAGAACAGCAAATTACACTGCAGCTCTGAGAATATCTTGACTAGCCGAATGGGGAGCTGTGGCTCAAAGATTTCCCATGGAGGAGTCCCACACCGGCCAAAAAGATGAGTCCTTGCATCACTGCCAAGCCCATTAATTGATTGAAGGCTGCTCTGGAAATCTATGGCCCAGCTCAAAAGCTGAAGAAGATGCTGAAGGTGCCTGCAGCCAGAAGCTGTGAGCCAACTGCACTCTCCAAGGCAGGTTTTTTTTTTTTTTTTTTTTTTTTGAGATGGAGTCTCACTCTCACCCAGGCTGGAGTGCAGTGGCATGATCTCGACTCACTGCAACCTGCACCTCCCAGGTTCAAGCAATTCTTCTGCCTCAGCCTCTCTAGTAGCTGGGACTACAGGCGTGTGCTACCACGCATGGCTAATTTTTGTATTTTTTGTAGAAATGGGGTTTCACCATGTTGGCCAGGCTGGTCTCAAACTCCTGAGCTCAGGTGATCCAACTGCCCCAGCTTCCCAAAATGCTGGAATTACAGGCATGAGCCACCGCACCTGGCTTCTGTTTTGAAGGAAGATATGAGAGACTCACCTCCACATCTGCCACAAGAATATTCAATATCACCACTTCTATTCAATATTGTACTAGAGGTCCCAGTCAGGGAATAAAGAATAGAAAAATACAGAGAATAAATTTAGAAATTTAGAAAGAAACACTACTGATGTTATTTGAAGATTTAGAAAGAAATGTATACATTTAGAAACTCTACTGACGTTATTTGAAAGTTATATGGCTGTGTATATACAATATTCTAAAGGAATATATAAATAAGCATTTAGAATAAGTGAGTTAAGCAATTTTGTTGCATATAATGTCTACGTAAAAAGGCAACTGTGGCCTAGTGCAGTGGCTCACGCCTGTAATCCCAGCACTTTGGGAGGCCAACGTGGGAGGATCACAAGGTCAGGAGTTCGAGACGAGCCTGACCAACATGGTGAAACCCTGTCTCTACTAAAAATAAAAAAATTAACCGGGCATGGTGCCACACACCTGTAATCCCAGCTACTCAGGAGGCTGAGGCAGGAGAATCGCTTGAACCTGGGAGGCGGAGGTTGCAGTGAGCCAAGATGGCACCACTGCACTCCAGCCTGGGCAACAGAGTGAGACTCCGTCAAAAAAAAAAGTCACTTGCATCCTTAAATAGCAGTAGCATAGAAAAATAAGGTATCAGGCCAAGTGCACTGGTTCATGCCTATAATTCCAGCACTTTGGGAGGTTGAGGCAGGAGGATGGCTTGACCCCAGGAGATCAAGACCAACCTAAGCTAGGCAACATAGGTAAGACCCTGTCTCAACAAAAAATAAAAATATCGACCAGGCATGGTGGCACATGCCTGTAGTCCCAGCTACTTAGAAGGCTGAGGTGGAAGGATTGCTTGAGCCCAGGAGGTCGAGGTTGAAATAAGCCATGCTGGTACCACTTCACTCCAGCCTTGGTGACAGAGAGAGACCCTGTCTAAAACAAACAAACAAAAATCAGGTTTCAAGAAATACAATTTAAAAATGATGCGCAAGAGCTTTACACAGAGAACTGTAATGCATTATTAAGAGAAATACACACACCCACTCCCGCAAATAAAAGAAGAAACAAACCATGTTCACAAATTGTTAGAATAAATATTGCAAAAATGTCACTTCTCTGTATTGATCTATGGATTCTATTTACATTTTACAATTTTTTTTTTAGAGACAAGGTGATTTAAAATTAAACAGGTTGTACACATTTTCATGTTTCTTAGCTACTGGATATCACCTTTTATAAAGCGCATGTTCCAATTGCTTGCCTATTTTTCCCTTTATTGTCTGTCTTTTTCTTATTGAATTACAGAAGTTCTATGTATCTTCCAAGTACAAGTCCAAGTCCTTCTCACTATGTGTATTACAAATATCTTTTTCCAGTTTGTGGCTTGTTTTTCACTCTCTTAAGGAAAGATTTTAACTTTTTTCTTTATGTTAAATGCATTGTGTGTCTTGTTGAAGTAATCCTTCCCTATTCCAAGAACATGAGGGTATTATCTTTTATTATCCTCTACAAACTTTATTGTTTCACCTTGCACATTTAAGTCTATGATCAACCTGTTATTAATTTTAGCATACGGTGTGAGGTAAGGTCAAGTTTTATTTTCTTTATATGAGGGTTCAATGTAAACTGGGTATTCTGGGTCAGGTGTGGTGGCTCACACCTGTAATCCCAGCACTTTGGGAGGCTGAGGCGAGTGGATTACTTGAGGTCAGGAGTTCAAGACCAGCCTCGCCAACAGGGTGAAACCCCGTGTCTACAATAATACAAAAATTAGCCTGGCGTGGTGGCACGTGCCTATAATCCCAGCTGCTTGGGAGGCTGAGGCAGGAGAATTGCTTGAACCCAGGAGTTGGAGGTTGCAGTGAGCTGAGATAGCGCCATTGCACTCTGGCCTGGGCAACAGAGTGAGATCTATATCTATGTCTATATCTATATCTATGGCATTCTGTATATGAATGTTGTAATAAGTTCTCTTATCTAGTAAAGTGTGTCTGTCCACTTTATTCCTCAAGAATACCTTGGCTATTCTTGGTCCTTCACATTTCCATATAAAATTTTAGAACCAGTTTATTAAATTCCACTAAGTAAGAGAAAGAAAAAAAAACCTGTTGGAGTTTTTATGAGAATTATATTGGGTGTGGTAGCCTGTGCCTATACTCCTAGCTATTTGGGAGGCTGAGGCAGGAGGATTGCTTGAGCCCAGGAGGTTGAGGCTGCAGTGAGCCATGATCATGCCACTGCACTCCAACCTGGGTGATAGGGAGGTCAAGGCTACAGTGAGCTGTGATTGCCCCACTGCACTCCAGCCTAGAGTGAGTGCCAGAGTGAGAACCGGTCTCAAAAAACAAATTAAAAAAAGTAAAACAACTAAAAAGAATACAACATCACTTGCATAGTAGTCCTTCCATTTTTGCACTACCTGAGCTTAGTCATGAGGAAACATCAGACAAACAGGAATTGGGAGATATTTACAAAGGAACTGTATTTTTCTCAAACGCCCGTATGATGAAAGATAAATAAAAGCTGAGGAATTGTGCCATTATAAAGAAGACTAAAGACACATTAGAATAAAATGCATTGAGTGATCCTGGATTGGATTTCATACCAGAAAACATAAAAATTGCTATAGAGGACATTTTTGAGACAATTGGTAAAATTCAAATACGATCTATACATTGGATAATAGTGTTGTTTCAATGTTAAATTTCCTGATTTTGGTAACTGTACTGTGGTTATATAAATAAATGTCCTTGTTCTTGGGAAATAAACATACCTAATCATTTAGGATTAAGGAACCTGATGTCTGAAATTTAGCCTTAAATGTTCAGAAATATAGAATACGTAATATGAATTACATAAAATAAATATAGATTTATAGATAGATAAAACAAATGAGGCAAATGTTTTTCATAGAGTAGATTGTTTAAAGACACTGTACTAGGCTTTAATGTAACGTATAAATTAACATTGATTTATGCAAAACAAGGCTGTGAAAGCCCACACAGCTTAGCTGTTCAATATACCTGATCTCAGGTATATGAAAGAAAGAAGGCAGACCTCCCTCACTTCCTTTGCAAATTTCCATAGGCCCTTTCTATGGCAGGATACCAACTGCCTTCTTAGACATTCTAGAGGTCCAGAGGTCTCTCCCAATTCATTAGTCTCACTGTGAATTGTAGAAAGCATATTACAGAGGGTCAATAAACTTTGGCCAATGGTAGTGATATTTGTAAGCAATAAAAGAAGGTTGGGTTGATCAGTCCGTTATAGAAATCATATTTGATAACAGTAATCTTGCTTTGTAAATCTGGCTTAATAGTTTCGAGCCACAATTTAAGGCTGTTCATTTATATCATCACCTGAAGTTTAGAAGATACCATGGCCCACATAAAGGTAATCATTAATATCATCTTTCTGTACATGTTCTTGTCAGAGCCTGCCACGTCCATGTCCCATTTAGCCTTCAAACTCACAGATGCAGATTCTCTTTCTCAGCTGAAGCACAAGGAAAAACAGTTCAGAGTTATATTTTAAACTAATGGTCTATTGACTCCTAGTACCAGTTAATAGGCTGGGCTATCTCTACTTTTGCTGGAGAATAAAATAGTATGAAGTTAACTATAATATTTTCTTCTTACAGCAACAACAAAATTCTGTAAGAAAGATCATTCCCACCCAATATGGTGCTCTTTAAATGGTCCACAGCTTAAAATGTATATGAGGTCATATACGCTTATATTTGCCTAAAGAAATTCTGGAGAATAGACCCAAAACTAATAAATAAAAGTAATTAATTACCTGTGAGGGCTGGAGAGATGAAAATTCTAGAGATAAAGGATTTTAAAAAGTATTCCCTGGAAGACATTTTCTATTTTTAAATTCATGAGCTATGTGAATATGTTAACGATTGAGAAAGAAAAATCCCCAGCTATCTAGGCAGACTTCCCAAAGAGGCACCTTTGACTTTGGAATCATTTAGCTGTAGTTTTCTGCCCTGAAAGCCTCTTTTGTTATCCCCGGTCCATCCTGCAGGTGTGGTTGATAACAGATGTCAAAGAATAGGTGAAATTTTATGAGGTTAAGTGCAAATAATGAATATGACCCTCTTTGCGGTTCTTCCTCAATCTTCTATTCAAACATAAACTCAGTTCATGAAGAATGAAGTTTGTGGCATTGCTCAAGAAAGGCAGGATTCAATAAAATCTTTTTAGGGCCAAATGGAATTTTTTCAACTTTAATGATTTTTTCTTTAATTATGTTAAAGGAAGCTCCAGAATCTCTTTTAAAAAAGTATTTGTAGCCTGGGCAACATGGCAAAACCCCATCTCTACAAAGAATATAAAATATTATCCAGCAGTGGTAGCATGCACCTGTAGTCCCAGTTACCCAGGAGGCTGAGGTGGGAGGATCATCTGAGCCCAGGAGGTCAAGGCTGCAGTGAGCCACTGCACTCCAGTCTGGGCGAGAGCGTGAGACCTATCTCAAAAAAGAAATCAAACTATTTTTTGTATCGTTTTGCTGATTACAATGGTAAAATATGTTTGTTGTAGAAACTTTGGAATACATAAAAATTAAAGAGGACTAGTTCGTTAATACATAAGTCATAGTTTAACAGGGTCTAAGTTAGCCTTCCATACTTTGCCCATTTACAAAGTAAGGCATAAATTTCAATTCTTTTGTAATGTGATGGTTTATGTTTTCTTTAGATAGGATGTGATGTACCAAGCTGAGTGTTGGGAGGAACTACAGCCTCTCTTTTGAAATGGAAGATCCTCGGCCCAAGCTATAAACATGTTAGTCCAAAATTCATCTGGAATTTTGTTGTTTGGGATGCAAAACACAATATTCCCATAGAAACAATATAAAAATTATGGCTAGATTCTAAGGCAAGGCAACAGATGTCCATGGAATCCAGCGACTCAGAGCACCAACTGTCCAACTGTGCTTCATTTTCACAGAAAAAGGGAGGCTAGAACATGTCTTTACCTCAAAAAAAGCAAAAACAAAGTTTATGCAAAAAGTATTTTGTTATACTGATATGATAAATATTTAATGAGACAAATTTTTATCAATTATTTACCTAAAGTGACTTTATTTCTTATTTACTCCATTACTAGCAGGTTTATAAGCTTTTCCTCTCGCCTTTATTCACAATTTCTATTCTGCCTTTACTATTTTTAATGGTTTCCCCATTCCCCAGTTAACTCCTTGGCAAAGACAGAGGATGAGTGAAAAGCTTGTGGCCTGTAGACTAGATATCAGAATTGATCCACAGGAAAGAACCTCTTTTCAGAAGCCATCTTTACCTTGGGGTTTGATAAAGAACATAAAAGCCTCAATTGGTGCTATTTAATATTTGTTCCGAGACCGGTATTTGCATTTAGGGTGAAATGACTTGATGCACATTGTTTACAGCTAACTCTGAAGTTCAGGGGAAGGGGAATAATCCACTGAGTCAGAAGGCAAATATACCAGACTGATCATGAGTAAAACAAAGCCCTGGTGATCAGCTCTTCCTCTTATTCACTATCTGTATCTAGTGAAAATGGTCGCATATTTTCAAGTGGATTTTTAAAAGCTATTCTCAATGCTTTTAAAGGTTTTACAACCTCAGGGGAACAATGCATGCAATTGAACCACACAATAAACAGTAAACACCAATTGCCCCCCACAATGAAAAGCTAATGGTCTTTGAGAATACTCTACAACAGAATCCACTTAGCAGCTACTAGTCTCCTGCTAATGGTCAATTCACTTTCGGCAATAAGAACCCAGGCAAACGGCCTCATAAATTTTAAAGAACAAAGGGTACAATAAATGGACTGCAAATCGCCGCATTCTCTGTAAGCAGCACTCTAAGGAGTGAAATTTCCAATTGCTAATGGCCAGTATATTGGACAAGTGGAGATTTTCCTACTGAGGGACCAGAGAAGATGACAAAATATAATGGTTTTCACAAAGAGGACTAGAAGCTGGGGAAATTAAGTCCTTGGGTCTGTAGCACAGTTTGAGCTGTGAAAGTCGTTATGACCAGAAGATTGTCTAGCCTTCTCTGCGGTAGCCTGGGAAGCTGCTATCAGATTGCTTGCTGTTTGCTTTAATAGTGTATCGAGACCAGAAGCACACACACTGCTAGAACCAAAAATCCTGGATAGATTTAACAAAATCCACCAACCTTTCAGGGAGGATACATAAAAACATCCTTTTTTGCATTTTGATCTTGTGGGTACTTCAGAAATGCCATTTGATTCATGATGGTAAGTAGCCTAAACGAATGCAATGATATGTGAATTGATTAAATTCTGTATCAAAAGGGATCTCTAAGAAAGGAATAATAAGAACAGGAAAGTGGAAATATTGTGGAAACATTTTTGCAATAGACTGAATACGTTTTCCCAAAATTCTTTCCTGCCTGCCTGCCTGCCTGCCTGCCTGCCTTCCTTCCTTCCTTCCTTCCTTCCTTCCTTCCTTCCTTCCTTCCTTCCTTCCTTCCTTCCTGTCAGGCCTCTGAGCCCAAGCTAAGCCATCATATCCCCTGTGACCTGCACATACACATCCAGATAGCCGGTTCCTGCCTTAACTGATGACATTCCACCACAAAAGAAGTGAAAATGGCCTGTTCCTGCCTTAACTGATGACATTATCTTGTGAAAGTCCTTCTCCTGGCTCATCCTGGCTCAAAAGCTCCCCTACTGAGCACCTTGTGACCCCCACCCCTGCCCGCCAGAGAACAACCCCCTTTGACTGTAATTTTCCTTTACCTACCCAAATCCTATAAAATGGCCCCACCCCTATCTCCCTTCGCGGACTCAGCCCACCTGCACCCAGGTGAAATAAACAGCCTTGTTGCTCACACGAAGCCTGTTTGGTGGTCTCTTCACACGGACGTGCATGAAACTTCCTTCCTTCCTTCTTTCTTTCTTTCTTTTTTTGACAGTGTCTCACTCTATTGCCCAGGCCGGAGTGCAGTGGCATGACCTTGGCTCACTGCAACCTCTGCCTCCTGAGTTCAAGCAATTCTCATGCCTCAGCCTTCCTAGTAGCTGGGATTACAGGCACCTGCCACCGTGCCCAGCTAATTTTGTATTTTTAGTAGAGATGGGGTTTTACCATGTTGGCCAGGCTGCTCTCAAACTCCTGATCTCAGGCGATCCGCTTGCCTCAGCCTCCCAAAGTGCTGGGATTACAGACCACCATGGCCAGCCTGCCCCCAAATTCATATGTTGAAATCCTTCCCCCTAAGGTGATAAGATTAGGAGATGGGGCCTTTGGGAGGTGATTAGTTCATGAGGGTAGACCCCTCATGAATAGTATTAGTGCCCTTATTATAAAAGGGATCCCAGAGAACTCTCTTGCTTTCTCTCTACCATATGAAGATATAATGAAAAGACTGCAGTCTGTTACCCAGAAGAGCACTCATCAGAACCCAGTCACGCTGGCACCTTGATGTTGAACTTCCAGACTCCAAAACTATGAGAAATAAATGTCTGCTGTTTATCAACCACCCTGTTTATAGTACTTTGTTATAGTAGCCTGAATTGACTAAGACAATTATGGAGCTTGAAAGAACTGTGAGCTCCTCTTATGGTCAAAGGAGCTGAAACTTAGGCTTTGTCCTGAAATTTCCCTCTTTTTTTCCCCCTGAATCATTAATTATTAATTTTCCCTTTCTTTGATCCTCGGTTAAAAAAAAATCCTCTCTTAACCCTATATTCTGCTCCAGCTGTGTCTCATTTTTCTGTTGTCCTTTATATCAAAACTCTCCCCAAAGACTTGTTATGCTTTGTCTTGACTTCCTCTCCTTTTATCTCTCTTGAACCTGCTTCACTCAGACATCTGACCCAAAACTCCACCAAAATCGCCCTTGTCAAATCCACTAGGCAATCTTCAGTCTTCATTTTATTGGCAAGTCAAGAGCATTTCAACCATTGGATCACTGCCTGTTTCCTGAACTGCTTTCTTCACTTGGCTTTCATGATAGCTAATACAGAGTCCAGGTAGATGGCAAGTGCTTTGGTTTGAAAGTATCCCCTGGAAGATGGAGTGTTGCAAACTTCATTGCCACTGTGGTAATGTTAAAAGGTGGGGCTTTCTCGAGGTGATTGGGTCATGAGGGTGGAGCCCTCATGGTGGATTAATGCCATTATTGTGGGTGTTTGGCCCCCTTTTCCTTTCTGTCTCTCTCACACTCTTCCTCTCTCACTCTCACCCTTTCTCACCCTTCCATCTTCTGCCCTGCCAAGGGACGACTCTTCAGATGCCAGTACCACAGTCTTGGACTTACCAGCTTCCAAAACTGTGAGACACAAATTTCTTTTAAAAGTAAATTACCCAGTCTTGAGTATTCTAAGACAACCACTAATGACTCCTGCTTCCTTTTCCATTAAGAAGAGCTCTTTTTGGGGTATAGCAGCAATAGGTCTTGCATTTCCCAAACCTGTTTCTCCCTAGGTAGGGGTAACAGAATTTGAAGTGAGGTGGTTAAGAAGTGTCTTCTTTACTCTTCCCCATCTGGCTCCAAGTGGATGCCCAGGGTGACTTTGGAAGCCTCTGTTAGCCTGGGTACCTGAATAACTGTGTGGAGCAGAGCCCCTTGTGGTGTGTCAGATGAACTTCAGATGTACAGCACAGCATCAGTTTCTCCTGCTCATTGATGAGCATCTGCTTCAGTCTTCCTTATTGGCAAACCAGCTGTCTTTGCTTCTCAGTCCACATAGTAGGCAGCCTACAAGGTAGCTAACTGTAGCACCTGGGGTCACATGTTTCAGCCCCAAAACATTTAATGACTGACTGAATTCCTAATTCTCAGAAAAGAATCTGCTTGGTCCACATAAGTTCAGGTGTCTACCTCTGGTCCAACCAGCTATGACCAGGGAGATGTCCCTGAAATATCATCTTGGTGGTTGGAGATCTGCTCTGTGACCTTGTGCATCAGAACATGGGGAGAGGTTTCAGGAGAGTTTCTGTGTGAGTGGGAAAACTATTAAGTGCCTACTCTACATCCCAATATTTCACTGTTTTTCCCTTTCTCTAGCCCCATCTCCCATCCCTCCACGCTCCACCCCATCCACTCTAAATACTCTTTTACTTTCTTGAATCCTCTTGGTATGTCCTGCAACTCCAGTAGTCTTCTCTGGTCAAGTTTGCATATTTTCCTATATTCAGTGCCTCAGAGTCAGATCTTGGAATCCTCTGACATCTCCAGACCACTTGTTTTCTGTCCTTGTATAAAGTCATCAGCTCCTTTGAGGTCTACATCATTTGGCTATGCCTTTCTCTCTCTTCTCTTTCTGCTATCTAACCACCTCCCAGGTATCCATTTTCATGCATCAAATATTTTACCACCTGTCTCAAAGTTTCCTCTTCAATTTCAGCTCCTGTTCTCTTCCGGGTGACTTCAGCTTTCACATGGCAGGTACATCCCACACCTTGCATTCTCCATGTTTTGAACGCCTCTACTTTATGACCTTCTTGTCCTCTCCATTTTAGTCTACCACATCCATGGCCACACTTAAACTTTATTCTCATCTGAAATTGTACCTTGGAAATCTTGAACATCCCAGTCTCTAATGACAGGTTTCTGATTTTGAAATTCTTGCCCTTGGTTCCTCTCGACAGAACTGTTTTCGGTTTTGCTCTGCTCCACTCTTGATTTCTTTCCTTACCCACTTTAGACTCCATGAACTATCATTTCAACCACTCTCTTTTTCAATACCCTCAGCTCCCTTTCCCCTTCTTCCATTTTACCAGCTTTGAAAATCCCCAAATCTGGATGAATACAAGAAGCTGTCCTCTTCCCACCAACCCAAATATATGACTTTATAGCAGATTTTTTGCCTACTTAATACCCCACAGAGGCTCTCTAATGCCTCAGGATAATGTTCCAATTTAACATGGCAGCAAAGCTCCTGAAGACCTGGCCTCTATTTATGGCTCCAACTTCGTCCCTCACTTCGTTTTCTCCACTCCAACTGTACTGAGCTCTCTCCTGTATCTTCCACACCCAAATCTCTGCACTGGCTTTCATACCTACCTGGAAATCTTTTCTCCCAGCTAATGCTAAGTCTTCCTTCAGTTCTTAACATACACATAATTTTCTCCTTAGTCTTTCTCCTGAGGTTTCTATAACTCTTTCTCAAAAATCTGCCTTTAGTCGCAGTCTCTGCATCATAGAGCTTGTCACTTTTATGCAATGGTTTGGTTTTTTCATAGACTCTTGAGGAACAAAGAGGCACGGTACCTTGTCTGTTCATCATATTCACATTTCCAGCACAGATTCTGGATCAAAGTAATTTTTTTTTTCAGGGTCTCACTCTATCACCCAGGCTGGAGTGCAGTGGCGTGATCTCAGCTCCCTCTGCCCCCCAGGCTCCACCCCCTGGGCTCAAGCGATTCTCTCTCCTCAGCCTCCTGAGTAGCTGGGATTACAGGCATGCACCACAACACCCAGCTAATTTTTGTATTTGTAGTAGAGATGGGGTTTTGCCATGCTGGCCAGATTGTTCTCGAACTCCTGACTTCAAGTGATCCACTCACCTTGGCCTCCCAAAGTGCTGGGATTACAGGTGTGAACCACTGCACCCAGCCCAAAGTGAGTCTTTTTTTTTTTTTTTTTGAGATGGAATCTCGCTCTATTGCCCAGGCTGGAGTGCAATGGCATGATCTTGGCTCACTGCAACCTCTGCCTCCCAGGTTCAAGCAATTCTCCTGCCTCAGCCTCCCGAGTAGCTGGGATTACAGGCATGCACCACCATGCCTGGCTAATTTTGTATTTTTTGTAGAGGTGGGGTTTCTCCATGTTAGCCAGGATGGTCTTGATCTCCTGACCTCGTGATCCACCCACCTTGGCCTCCCAGAGTGCTGGGATTACAGGTGTGAGCCACTGCGCCTGGCCTCCAAAGTAAGTCTTAATGAATATTACATAGTATTCAAATGAATGAATGGGTGTAGAAGGTAGGAAGATAAGGTTCCCTCAATGTTTTTTAAAGCAATATCTGACATTGAAAAAATTGTACATTATTATTTTTTATTTTCTCTTTCCTTTTTTTTTTTTTTTTTTTTTTAATGCAGTCTTACTCTATCACCCAGCCTGGAGTGCAGTGGTGTGATCTCAGCTCACTGCATTCTCAACCTTCCAGGTTCAAGTGATCCTCCCACCTCAGCCTCCCAAGTAGCTGGGTCTACTGGTGTGCACCATCATGCCTGGCTAATTTTTTTTCTTTTTGTCTTTTTAGAAACAGGGGTTTCACCATGTGGTCCAGGCTGGTCTGAAACTCCAGAGCTCAAGTGATCTGCCTGCCTCAGCCTCCCAAAGTGCTGGGATTACAGGCATGAGCCACTGCACCCGGCCATTATTTTCTTCTTCTTTTTTTTTTTTTGAGACAGAGGTTCGCTTTTGTCACCCAGGCTGGAGTGCAATGGTGCGATCTTGGCTCACTGCAACTTCTGCCTCCCAGGTTTAAGCGAATCTCCTGCCTCAGCCTCCCAAGTAGCTGGGATTACAGGTGCTTGTCACCATGCCCAGCTAATTTTTGTATTTTTAGTAGAGACGGGGTTTCACCATGTTGGTCAGGCTGTTGTTGAACTCCTGATCTCCAGTGATCCGCCTGCCTCAGCCTCCCAAAGTGCTGGGATTACAGGCATGGGCCACTGCACCTGGCCCATTATTTTCTTAATATTTATGTTTTGCTTCCTTTCAGTAGAACAGACACACAAGAAGTAATTCTTAGAAAAATGCTGATGAGCACCTGGAGGCTCTGATGTCCACACTAGATGCCTTAGAAAAAAGAACTATAGCCATTGCTATTCCCATCATTGTGCTGCACAGAGGAATGTAGGTATCCCTGGGCTTTACATGTAAGGGCAAACAGGACGTGATAACCCTCCAGGATGTGTTTGAGAAGGGACATGTGCCTTGTGGAGCCAAGCACTCCTTCCTATGCTCCCTCCAACAAGTTTAAGAAATATTTATTTATTTATTTATTTTTTGAGACGGAGTCTTGCTCTGTCACCCAGGCTGGAGTGCAATCGTACAATCTCGGCTCAGTGCAAGCTCTGCCTCCCAGGTTAAATTCTCCTGCCTCAGCCTCCCGAGTAGCTGGGATTACAGGTGCCCACCACCACGCCTGGCTAATTTTTTGTATTTTTTTTAGTAGAGATGGGGGTTTCACTATGTTGGCCAGGTTGGTCTCGAACTCCTGACCTCATGATCCACCCGCCTCAGCCTCCCAAAGTGCTGGGATTACAGGCGTGAGCCACCGCACCTGGCCTTATTGATTTATTAATTTGTTGAGCACAGGCGAGTTGGACGCTAAGAATATCAACATAGAAAAAGCACAGAACCTGCTTCATGGGACTTATTGACTAGAAACAGATGATCAGATGAGAAAATAGGCAATTACAACATGATGTCATGTGCTGTGATAGAGGTAAGCACAGGCTTCCATGGGTGCCAAGGAGGAATCTCTAACCCAGCCTGCAATGGTAAGGGAAAGTTCCCCAGACGTAATGGCACCAGAACTTAGTCTTGAAAGAACAGGAATTACAGAGGAGAAGTGGAGATGGTTGAGGGCATTCCCATCAAAAACCCAGAGAGGGCCGAATGTGGTGGCACCTATATTTTAGGGTATATCATATATGATAAGTTGTAAAGAAAAGCAAGAGAATGATTAGCATAAAATTTAGAGTAGCAGCCTCTTTTTTTTTTTTTTTTTTTTGTAGAGATAAGAGTCTTGCTATGTTATCCAGGCTGGTCTCAAACTCCTGGCTTCAAGTGATCCTCCTGCCTTGGCCTCCCAAAGTGCTGGGATCACAGGTATAAGCCATTGCACCTGGCCCAGTTACTATTTTTAAAGTAAGAAGTTGGTAGAAAACTGGTACAACTTAGGACTTCCATTTCCTGGTGACAATTGTCCTTATCACCTCATAGGTCTTTGAGGAAGGTTAGATGTGATCAACAATGATGTCCTGTTCTGACTAAACGTTAATTGTCTAGCTTCAGAGGCAGAGCCTGAGTTAGGTCCCTTTCTCTGTGGTCATGAGAACCTGACTCAGTGACGTTGACTCACAGAATGTGAGCTTCATCACTAGCTCTTATCACCTTGGGTCTAGAGGGTCAGAAATGGAAGCTCTCCTGCAAAGGGGGGCATTGAGAGTTCAAGTTTCTCACTAGTCCAGGCAGGAGTGGGTACATGTTTACTGCAGAACAGAGTAGGTGTGACCTGGCATAACAGCCTAGGGGTCTTCAAAGAAAGCTGGGTCTTATCTTATCTCGCTAGAGGAAAGCCAGTCTGAGTAAGGGGGTGGAAGAGCGGTGGACCATCTAGGGATCCAACAAAGTCGCATTTCAAAGCCGGATGTGATGCCAGGCACAGTGGCTCACGCCTGTTAATCCCAGCACTTTGGGAGGCCAGGATGAGCAGATCACTTGAGGTCAGGAGTTTGAGACCAGCCTGCCCAACATGGCAAAACCCCATCTCTACTAAAAATACAAAAATTAGCCAGGCATGGTGGCTGGTGCCTGTAACCCCAGCTACTTGGGAGGGTGAGGCAGAAGAATCATTTGAACCCCAGAAGAAGAGGTGGGGGTTGCAGTGAGCCAAGATCGCGCCACTGTTCTCCAGCCTAGGGGACAAAGTGAGACTTTGTCTCAAAAAATAAATAAATAAAAAATAAAAAAGCTGAATGTGTTTTGGCAGGGTCTAATCACTCATTCCTCTAAGAGGCATCAGAGGCCCATTATCAAGACAGGTGGAAAGTGCTTTGAAACATGTTTAATAAATTACTTATCCAGCACTTAGCTAGTCCCTGCTACATGCCAAGGCTCTTTACAAATATTAGCCCGTGTAATCCTCATAACAAACCTATGAGGTGGGTAATATTATTATCCTCATTTCAAGAGGAAGGTATTTGCCTGAGGGGATACAGTGAATATGGGAGATGGAACGTGGGCCCAGAAGCCCAGCTCCAGATCCAGGTTCATCACCACCATGCTGAGCTGCCTGGTTGGTCTCTAGAAGCTCTCACAATACCTGTGGCTGACCCACAGCTCCAGTTTGCATGGGCAGAGGGAAAGGATTAGCCCAGCTTCCTGGGCCAGTGTGTAGGTGCTGGCTTGTCTTTGTAGAATTTAACTATTGGCTAGGAGCCAATGGCAGGATTTGCATGACCCAAAGACCAGCCCAAAATGAATGACGCTGGTGGCCTTTGTGCTAGGAGGACTGTCTCGCCTTCTTAGTACAGACTTTCTACAACAGCGCTGGGGACAAAATCACAGGAAAGTACAAGAAGCAGGGTGGAAACGTGCATTCAAATGATAAACTGGCTGAAGGATCTAGTGAGTCTGCTAGAAGAGCAAGGGTCAAGAACAGCTTGCAGCCTTGACCATCGTGGGCAAGTCTTTCCATGTCCTCGCCTGTGAAATGAAAAGTTACACCAGGAGTTCCCAAGCATGGCTCTGCCTCTGAATTCCCTGGAGAGAGAGAGGAAAAAATATAGGCTTCTCATCCCAACCTGTGCAATTCTGACTTATATAGAAAACTAGACACAATTCTGGAGTAGTTTATTCCCCAATGATTCTAGATTATCAAGTTTTTAGCATGTAGGAGGCTCATAAGAAATATAGAGTTCTGCATTACTGTGAGGTTTGGCTTCATTTCAGAATTTAAAAGAGCAGGACACGGTGGCTCACAACTGTAATCCCAACACTTTGGGAGGCCAAGGCAGGCAGATCGCTAGAGTTCAGGAGTTTGAGGCCAACCTGGGCAATATATCATAACCTCGCCTCTACTAAAAAAAATTAAAAACTAGCTGATTTTGGTGGCTGACGCTTATGGTCCCAGCTACCCAAGAGACTGAGGTGGAAGGACGGCTTGAGCCTGGGAGGTTGAGGCTGCAATAAGCTGTGATCTCACCACTGCACTCTAACATGGGCAACAGAGCAAGGCCCTATCTAAAAAAAAAAAAGAAAAAAGAAAAAGAAAAAGAATTCCTACCAAAATGCCAAAAACTCCAATATGTATAGGAGTCGACGTGACAAAGTTGGTTAGGGACAAATAAAAACCTAGATCCCCCTTCTCTTATAAAAATAAATGATTTAAAATTTTATTTTTTATTTTTTGTATTTTTTTGAGACAGAGTCTTGCTCTGTCGCCCAGGCTGGAGTGCAGTGGTGGAATCTCGGCTCACTGCAACCTCTGCCTCCTGGGTTCCGGTGATTCCCCCGCCTCAGCCTCCCAAGTAGCTGGGATGCCCCTGCCATCCCATCTGGCTAATTTTTTTTGTATTTTTAGTAGAGACAGGATTTCACCATGTTGGCCAGGCTGGTCTTGAACTCCTGACCTCAGGTGATCCACCTGCCTTGGCTTCCCAAAGTGCTGGGATTACAGGCATGAGCCACTGTGCCTGGCCCTGATTTAAAATTTTCAATGTGAAGGAAAAGCCCTTAGAGCAGACAGGATGCCAGACACTGCATCCCCGTCTTTGAACTCTATAACAACTCTGTGTTATGTTCAGCCTCTTCCCATTGTATAGGTGAAAAGTGAAATTCGGAAAAAATGACTATTTGCTAATGATCGCAAAGCTCATAAAGTTCTGCCAGACACTGGATTTATACATTTCCATAAAAGCTATCCATGTGTTCATTCAGGTATTTGCTTATTTGCAAATAAATAAATATTCGTTTATTCAGCAAATATTTACTGAGTCCTATGCTTTTCTTAACACTGAGAACACAAAAATATACAGACTGCACTATATACAAGTATAAGGATATCACATGTACCCCCCAAATATAGACAACTATTATTTATCAATTTAAAAAATTTAGGCAGAATAAAATATTCATGCCAAATAATAAGTTTAGCCTCTTAATCCATCCTTCCTTCCCTTTCTTGCTTGCTTTCTTGCTTTCTTTTATTTCTTTTTATTTATTTATTTATTTTTGAGACAGTTTCGCTCTGTCACCCAGGCTGGAGTGCAGTGGCATGATCTCTGCTTATGTAACCTCTGCCTCCCGGGTTCAAGCAATTCTCCTGTCTCAGCCTCCCAAGTAGCTGGGACTACAGGTGCCCACCACCATGCTCAGCTAATTTTTGTATTTTTAATAGAGACGGGGTTTCATATATTGGCCAGGCTGGTGTTAAACTCCTGACCTTGTGATCCACCCACCTCGGCCTCCCAAAGTGCTGGGATTACAGGTGTGAGCCACAGTGCTCGGCCTATTTCTTTTTTTTTGAGACAGGGTCTCACTCCATTGCCCAGGCTGGAGTGTAGTGGCGCATACTCTGCTCACTGCAACCTCCGCCTCCTGGGCTCAAGCAATCCTCCCACCTCAGCCTCCTGAGTAGCTGGGACTACAGGCTTGTTCCACCATTCCCGGCTAATTTTTGCATTTTTTGTAGAGACAGGGTTTCTCCATGTTGGCCAGGCTGGTCTCAAACTATTGGCCTCAAGCGATCCACCTGCCTCAGCCTCCCAAAGTGCTCGGACTACAGGTGTGAGCCACCATGCCTGGCTAGCTCATTTCAAAATATTCCCAGTCTTTCCAAAATTAGGAAGCCCTGAGGGGTATAGAAAAGATCCAAACTCCCCACAAATTAACTTTGATAAATCCTTGACTGTCTACTACTAATAATCTTATTTTTGCTAAGAACATCTTTTCTCAGTCCACAACCAGAAAACATTCCTTTGACAACTTTTATGGCTATTAATATTGAAGGAAATATTGAAAAAGAGTCCTAGAATAAGTAAAATTCAGTTTTAAGAAAAAGAGAGAGGCAATTATAACGGACATTCATGCTTCATAAAACTTTTCTTTTATTATTATTATTATTATTATTATTATTACTATTATTATTATTTTTGCGACAGAGTCTTGCTCTGTCGCCCAGGCTGTAATGAAAGCATCACAATCTTGGCTCACTGCAAACTCTACCTGCAGGGTTCAAGTGATGATGGTGCTTCAGCCTCCTAAGTAGCTGGAATTTACAGGTGTGTGCCTCCACGCCAGGCTAATTTTTATGTTTTTAGTAGAGACAGGGTTTCACTGTGTTGGCCAGGCTGGTCTCGAACTCCTGACCTCAAGTGATCCCCCTGCCTCCGCCTCCCAAAGTGCTGGGATTACGGGCGTGAGCCACTGTGCCTGTCCCCAGCACAAAAAGTTCTGATAGCTCCATGTTCCTTTATAATCTTGAACGATAATACATAATTTTACAAAACTGTCATTAGTGTGCATACAATTTGGTGATATTTTAAATGAAACACATTTTCACCAGCAGTTTTCTAAGGTGTGGCAGAATACGCAAGTGTTTTGCTTTTGATACTATACAATGTTGTTGGGCACAATCACTTAAAAAACATACTGACCCATGAAGTTTAGCTCTTGGAGTTTCCTTAGAGAATATTCGGACCAAATGTACTATTGTGTGCTTGAGGAAGCTGAAGACTAGAACTTGCCCACACCTCTTGTGGGGCTCATTCCCTGCACACTGCTTCTGAAGAGAGCATGAGAGCCTGGTGAGTTTGACTTCCCTGAACTAGGCCTGAAGCTAAAGGTATGGTATGGAGACAAGGTAAGGAATTTCAGTGGTGAGAGTTCCAGGATCATCCATGCTGTGGCTCTGCAGCTCTTGCTGCAAATTCCCAGTTCATTTAGATAAGAAAACAGGAGTGGAACAGGTGAGATGTCCACACAGGGTCAGGATCCATGGCAGAAGCAGAATATCTTTGTGCACCTTTTCCTGGGTGCCCTTCAAGGTATGTAACAGTTGTTAGATGAAGGGAGAAGTTCTTCGTTGGTCAGGAACTTCATTCTCTCTAACCTCAACTGTATCTGAAGACTCTCAACATCATGGAATTGTAGTTAGAGGAGATGTTGGAATCATGGCGGGAGGAGCAGGTAGCTCTGTGGTTTCCAAAAGCCACTGTAGAGGATCAATCAGCAGGTTTGGGGTGGAGCCCCAGAATCTAGAGTCTAACTTTCAAAAGCTCTTTAAGTGATTCTGATGAGAAACTGGTTAGGAAAACAGTGAAGTAGACCACCCTCTCACCTAGGCAGGGAGTCACTTCCATTCAGTGGAAAGCCCATGAGGATGTGAGGAGGACTTAAATATTTCCAATGACAGAGAACTCAAGTTTCTGAAACTTACTCCCAGTGGGAATTCCCCCACCCCATATGAAAAAAAAAAAATTTCCTTTCATTCCAGTTTATCTATGGCCAGTAGTTGTTTGAAAGGAATTTATACCTCTGCAAAGAAGTCACTAAAAACTGTCTTACAAATACTAAAATCTACTCCTTGAATCAATTTAGCAAAATGCTTTGACCTGATAACTCCATTTTTGGGATATTATCCTAAGGAAATAATCAAAAATATTTTTAAAAAGAAATCCTTTATGAACAGTTTTGTTTATTGCACCATTATTCATACTAGAGCAAAGAACAACAATGACAGCTCAATTAGAGACCTGTTAGGTAATTGGAGAATGGTTAAATAATCTTTGGCATGTCAACTCAATGAAATATTGTGTGACCACTTAAAAGGATTTGACAGAGTTTGAAACTATGTGAAAAATTGCTTCTGTTACCCTAAGTGAGCCATGATTGCATCACTGCACTCCATCCTGAGTGGCAGAGCAAGACCCTGTTTCAAAAAATAAATAAATAAAATAAAATACAATAATTAAAAAGCAAGACATAAATTTGAGACCAGGTCCAGTGGCTCACACCTGCAATCCCAGCACTTTGGGAGCTGAGGTAGGAGGATCATTTGAGGCCAGGAGTTCAAGACCAGCCTGGGAAACATACTAAGACCCCCTCACCGTCTCTATTTAAAAAAAAAAAAAAAACAAAAAAAAAAACGGGTGTGGTGGTTTATGCCTATAGTCCCAGCTACTCAGGAGGCTGAGATGGGAGGATTGCTTGAGACCAAGAGTTACAGGTTACAGTGAGCTCTGGTTGCACCACTGCACTCCAGCCTGGGTGACAAAGTGAGACTCTGTCTCATAAAGAAACTTTAAAAATCACCAAGATGATGAGACTTTAATAGAACTTTAGAGTATTCCATTTAGAAATGATGTCCTAGCTGGGCACAGTGGCTCACGCCTATAATCCCAGCACTTTGGGAGGCAGAGGCGGGCAGATCCAGAGGTCAGGAGTTTGATACCAGCCTGGCCAACATGGTGAAACCCCATCTCTACTAAAAATACAAAAATTAGCAGGGCATGGTGGCACACGCCTATAATCCCAGCTACTCAAGAGGCTGAGGCAGGAGTATTGCTTGAACCTGGGAGGCAGAGGTTGCAGTGAGCCGAGATCGCGCCACTGCACTCCATCCTGGGCGACAGAGTGAGACTCTGTTTCAAAAAAAAAAAACAAAAAACCAGAAATGATGTCCTAGACAATACATGTACACTGAGATGAGAAAATCATGAAAATGCCAAAGTGTTAGAAGAGAAGATAATCTAGATCAGTGGATCCTGATTTGACTGCCCATTGGAATTACCTGGTGAGTGGTTATAAATCTTGATGCCTGGCCACACCTAAACAATCAAATCCATAGAAATTTTTAAATAAAAAAAAAATTTGAACAAAACATATGATAGAAATTTTGTAAAATAAATACAACTCCATAAAGGAAGGAAGTTCTTCCTTCCTTTCTTTCAATTTCTTTCCTTTGAAAAGAAATCAAAATATAAAAGTGGTTGATTTGAATGACAGGGATGTAGGCAATTAATTTTTATCTTCAAGGGCTTTTTTCCCAAGTTTATTTGCTAACCATTGCTCAGATAATAAAAATTATATAACAAGCAGTTAATAAAATGTTTCATTGGCTCAGTATTGCCATGTAGAAAAATTCCAACTTTAATAAAATATACCTTAATTTATTATTTAATTAAGGGTGTGGTATGAGCCCTTCCAGTGACCAGCTTCCGCTGAAACTCACATCCTACCCTCTCAACCTTGCTGATCTGCTCTCTGTGCTTTCTTGCTCCTCTCGTTTCTTTTGTTTTGTTTTGTGTGTTTTGTTGTTGTTGTTGTTGTTGTTTTGCTTGTTTTTTTTTTTTTTTTTTTGAGACAGAGTCTCGCTCTGTTGCCCAGGCTGGAGTGCAGTGGTGCCATCTCAGCTCACTGCAACCTCCGCCTCCCGGGTTAAGCAACTCTTGTGCCTCAGCCTCCCGAGTAGCTGAGACTATAGGCACCTGCCATGACACCCAGCTAATTTAAAAAATATCTTTAGTAAAGACAAGATTTTGCCATGTTGGCCAGGCTGGTCTCGAACTCCTGGCCTCAAGTGATCCACCTGCCTCGGCCTCTCAAAGTGCTGGGATTACAGGTGTGAGCCCCCATGCCTGGCCAGGAACATTGTTAAAAGCCCAGCTTACAGAGCCCAGGATCACAGAGCCAGCCTAAGATTGAAGCTAGACCAGGGCAACAGAGAACCCCTTCCTAACCCCCACCATGAGCCTAACAGCATGTACCAAGCAATAATAGTCTACAACTAGGGGAAGGACAAAGGCAAGCAGAAAGGTCCTCTCTGTGGCTCAGTTGGCAGAGATAGCTACAAGATGAAGGTGGGGCAAGAATATCCCCTCACCTCCCACCTGAATCACAACACAAGCGAGGAGAATTTGAAGCTGGTTTGTGCACTGAAGGAAACCATAGCAACAACAAACCCAAACCTACTCAACTCCTGACTAGACTGATTCAACCCTCCACATTAATGACCTGTCATAAAAGGTGTGCCCATTTCAGACATAAATACCACTTACTTCAGTGTCTACTGTCCTACAAATGATGCCAGGTATTCAATACAAAGTTATGACATATCAAGGAAACATTAAAAACAAAAAGCAACAAACAAAATCCCAAGAGATAAAGCAATCAATAGCAAGAGATTGATCTATGAGCAACATTTTGAAACTATCAAGCAAGGAATTAAAAATAATTAGGATTAATGGATTAAAATATCTGATAATTAAAAATGAACAACAAACATGAACCGATGGGTAATTTCAGCAAAGAGATGGAAATTATAAGAAAGTCAAGAAGGAACATCTTCAAAACAGCAAACAAGGAACTCCAAAAATTCACTACTCCATTAAAGCAATGAGAACATTGTCAAAATAAACTTTTACAACTGTGAAAATTAACTAAAGGCTTGCAACATGCTGAGAACTGAAAATATTGAGAAGCACTTATTTAAGAAAAATGGCTGAGGCTGGGTGCGATGGCTCACGCCTGTAATCCCAGCAGTTTGGGAGGCCAAGGTAGGTGGTTTACTTGAGGCCAGGAGTTTAAGACCAGCTTGGCCAACATGGTGAAACTCAGTCTCTACTAAAAATACAAAAAAGAAAGAGAAGGAAGGAAGGAAAGAAGGAAGGAAGGAAGGGAGGGAAGAGAGAGAGAAAGAAAGAAAGAGAGAAAGAGAGAGAGAAAGAAAGAAAAGAAAAGAAAGGAAAAGAAAAGAAAAGAAAAAAGAAAAGAAAAGAATAGTCGGGCATGGTGGTGCACTCCTATAATCCCAGCTACTTGGGTGGCTGAGGCAGGAGAATAGCTTGAACCTGGGAGGTGCAGGTTGCAGGGACTCGAGATCACATCACTGCACTCAGTGCAATGAGATGTCTGTTTTGGTACCAGTCTGTGCACTACACAAGGCAATGAGATGACATTCAAAATGTTAAAAGAAAGATTGTCAACCAAGAATTCTATATCAGCAAACCTTCAAAAAACAAAGGAGTAATTAAGACATTTACAGATGAACAAAAACTGAGAGAAGTCATCTTTAGCAGACTTGCCCTACAAGAAATTCTGAAAGGAATCCTTCAGCATAAAATGAGAGAACCCTACATGTTAAATCCACATGAAGAAATAAAAAGTATGGTAAAGGTAACTACATAGGTAAATGTAAAAGACAGCAGAAAAGTGTTTTTATTTGTAACCCCTTTCTTTTCCTCTCTTATTTAAAAGACAACTGCATACAGTAATAATTATAAAACTATGTTGATTTGTAATGATTATGAACCAACTATAAACCAACTATGTTGGTTTATAATGTATAGTTAGTATGACAAAAATCGCACAAAAGTGGTATGAGAGAATGAAGTTATATTGCAGCAAAATGTTTGTATACTGTTGAAATTAAGTTGGTATTAATCCAAACTATATTATTTTAAATTAATATATTAATTGTATTCCACAGGGAAACCACCAAAACAATAACTAAAAACATATAGTAAAAGAAACAAAGGGATTAAAATTGTATACTAGATAATAGCCATTAAACAAAAGAAAGCAGTAATGTAGGAATAGGAAATAAAAAATATATAAGACATAGAAAAAGAATAGCAAAATGGCACACAAATTTAAGAATGAAAGACTAAACGTTTTCCCCTTAAGACTAGGAATAACACCAGGATGTCCACTCTCAACACTTCTATTTAACATTGTACTGAAGTTTCTAGTCAGGGCATTTGGTCAAGAAAAATAAATAAAGGAACCTAGATTACAAAGGAAATAAAATGATCTCTATTTACAGATAATAAGATTTTGTATATAGAAAATCCTAAGAAACCTAAAAAAGAACTTATTAGAACTAATAAACAGTTAAGCAGGGTTACAAGATACAGGGTCAATACACAAAAAGAAAATATATTGCTATACATTAATAATAAATAACTCAAAAAAATAAAACTAAGGAAACAATTTAATTTACAATAGCATCAAAAAAGAATAATATACTTAGTGATAAATTTAACAAAAGAAGTGCATAACTTGGACATTGAAAACTGTAACACGTCATAGAAAGAAATTAAAGAAGGCCTAAATAAATGGAAAGAAACCCATATTTGTGGATTGAAAGACTCAATATTGTTAAGACGGCAATCCTCCCTAAATTGATCTACAGATTCAATGCAATGCCTTTCAAAATTCCAGTTGGCTGTTTTTTTCTTTTCCTTGCAGAAAATGACAAGCTGAGTCTAAGATTCATATGAAAATGTGATATGGTTAGGCTTTGTGTCCCCACCCAAATCTTATCTTGAATTGTAATCCCCATAATCCCCACGTGTCAAGGGAGAGACCAGGTGGCAGTAACTGAATCATGGGAGTGGCTTCTCCCCTGCTATTCTTGTGATAGTGAATGAGTTCTCACAAGATTTGATGGTTTTATAATGAGCTCTTCCCCCTTCACTCAGCACTTCTCCTTGCTGCTGCTTTGTGAAGATGTCTTGCTTCCCCTTTGCCTCATGCCATTATTATGAGTTTCTTGAGGCCTCCCCAGCCATGCAGAACTGTGAGTCAATGAAAACTCCTTCCTTTGTATGGGTTCATGTCCTTTGTAGGGAAATGGATGAAGCTGGAAACCATCATTCTCAGCAAACTATAGCAAGGACAAAAAACCAAACACCGCATGTTCTCACTCATAGGTGGGAATTGAACAATGAGAACTCTTGGACACAGGAAGGGGAACATCACACACCAGGGCCTGTCATGAGGTGGGGAGAGTGGGGAGGGATAGCATTAGGAGATATACCTAATGTAAATGACGAGTTAATGGGTGCAGCACACCAACATGGCACATGTATACATATGTAACAAACCTGCACGTTGTGCACATGTACCCTAGAACTTAAAGTATATAAAAAAAAACAAAAAACCTCTTTCCTTTGTAAATTACCCAGTCCCCAGTCTCAGGCAGTTCTTCGTAGCAGTGTGAAAATGGACTAATAAAAAATGCAAAGGATCCAGAATAGCCAAAGCAATCTTGAAAAAGAAACAAAGTTGGAAAACTCACACCTTCAGATTTCAAAGCTTACAAAGTTACAGTTATCAAGACAGTGTGGTACTAGCATAAGGATAGGCATATGGGTCAATGGAATAGAGTTGAGAATTCATAAGCAAATTCATATTTATTTATTTATTGAGATGGAGTTTCATTCTTGTCACCCAGGCTGGAGTGCAATGGTGTGATCTCAGCTCACTGCAACCTCTGCCTCCCAGGTTCAAGCTATTCTCCTGCCTCAGCCTCCCAGGTAGCTGGGATTACAGGGACCCACGACCAAGCCTGGCTAATTGTTGTATTTTTAGTAGAAACAGAGTTTCACCATGTTGGCCAGGCTGGTTTCAAACTCCTGACTTCAGGTGATCCACCTGCCTTGGCCTCCCAAAGTGCTGGGATTACAGGTGAGAGCCAGCATGCCTGGCCAAATTCATACATTTATGAATTTGATTTGTACCAAGACAATCCAGTGGGAAAAGAATAGGCTTTTAACAAATGGTGTTGGGACAACTGGCTATCCACATGCAAAAAGAATCAAGTTGGACTTCTTCCTTATGCCATTTTAAATAAACTCAAAATGAAGCATAGACCTAAATAAAAGAGCTGAAACTACAAAACCTTTTGAAGAAAACAGGTATGAATATTTGTAACCTTGAATTAGGTAATTGCTTCTTAGCTATGACACCTGAAGCATAAGCAACCATGGAAAAAGAAGGACTGCTAGTTTATTTTCTCATTGATTTGTGGGGGGGTCCATGTATCTAGGGAAACAATCCTTTTCTCAGTTTTAGGAATTGCAAATATCTTCGACCGTTCTGTTATCTCTCATTAATTTTGTCCATGATTATCCTTTTTTGATCTTAAATATTTATCTTTGCCTTGTGGCTTATGCTCTTAAAGTTTTGCTAAAAGTGTCTTTTTTCATCCTTAGGTGACAAATATATTTTTCTATATTTCCTTCTGTTAAGTTGGCGGTTTTATCTTTCATGTTCAAGCCAATAATCCATCTAAAATCCACCTTTTCATGTATTTTCATTTAGGGATCCAGATTCATTTTTCTCCATACAGTGAATTTGTTTCCCTCAAAGTGTATACCATATAATCATTTCCCCATTGTTGTATGGACCCCTCTTTATCATAAATTAAGTTTCAATATGTAAATAGGTCTATTCCTGAGTTCCTATACTGTTCCATAGATCTATGTTTGTTCTTACAACAATATTTTAAAAAAATTAATAAGGCTATTAGAAAAGTAGGACTAGAAGGACATTTTCTTTTTCTTTTTTTAATTTTATTTATTTATTTATTTATTTATTTTGAGATGGAGTCTCGCTCTGTCGCCCAGGCTGGAGTGAAGTGGAGTGATCTCGGCCTACTGCAACCTCCACCTCCCAGGGTCAAGCAATTATCTGCCTCAGCCTCCCGAGTAGCTGGACTTACAGGCATGCACCACCAAACCTGGCTAATTTTTTTGTACTATTAGTAGAGATGGGGTTTCACCATGTTTTCCAGGTTGGTCTCGAACTCCTGACTTCAGGTGATCCACCCGTCTCGGTCTTGCAAAGTGTTGGGATTACAGACGTGAGTCATTGTTCCCGGCCAGCTACACTTATTTCAAAACAAAAAAGGTAGCTTTTTTTAAGTCCATGAGCAGCAGAATCAATATCAAGTAGAATGGTGACAGCCTGCCCTTCAAGACATATTTATTTATTCTTGCTAGAAATGAGTATATAAGTTGCTATGGTGATGGTTGTCAACTGGACCACAGAGCTGGACTGGACCTTCAATGGGGTGAAAAGTAGGTAACCCCTGCTGCCTGTGAGAGGTAAGACATCCAGCATCTCATCAAACTGATGCTAAAGAAAGATTTTCTGCTCCCTGTAACATAAAAGGATTTTACTGCATGGGTATATCAGTAAGTGCATTTAGGTCAACAAACAGTTCTACTCAACAACCACACAATATGTAGAGCTTGCTCAAGCAAATTGTGTGATAACCATGTGCTTTTATAGACAATGTAAGTCATTGCTACATATTATTTGTAATGATTGTTGGCTTGTTTAGTGCGGTTCCAGGTCTTTTAATCCCTTCACATATGACCCCAAATTTGAGAAGTCTGTCAGATATCCAAGTGGTGATATCTGGTGGACAGTAGGATGTCAGTCTGGTGCTTGCCAGAGAGGAAACTATGAGTTTGACCGTGGTCAATTCTATATCTTCCTGGGACTGGAAGAGATCACTTAGAGGAGGAGTGTGGATATAGAGAAGGAGAAGGATGAAGACAAAAGTCCTCAAGAACATCAATATTTAGAGGTTGAGGAGCCAAAGAGGAATTAGTCAAGGAAAAAAGGCCAGTGTGGTGGGAGGAGAGTCACAGGGCCTGAAAGTGTTTTGAGAATGAAGGAGAACTCAAGTGTGTCTATCGCTGCTGGCAGATCTAGTTAGGTGAAGATGGAGAACTGTCTTTGACATGGGTCACCCTGTAGTATGATAATAACTCTAAGAAGTGCCATTTTGATTGAATGGTGGACACTGCAAAAGCTCAGTTGGAGAGGGTTCAAGAGCCCATGGGAGGTGGAAAGTGGGCAGGCAAAAGAGGGAGTGGCTGGAGTGAATCAAGAGAGAATACTTTTTAAAGACATATGAAATCAAATCATGTTTATTTGCCAATGGGAATAATTTGGTTGAGGGGACAATCAATATGGCATGAATGAAGGGGATATTTGCAAGGGCAGAGTTCTTGAGAGCAGAAGGAGATTGAAACTCAAAGCACAAGTGGAGGAGTGGCCTTCATCCCTACCAAGAGAGAAGGTGGATTTTGCAGGTACAAGCCCAGGTAAGGTGATAGATGCGATGGTAGGGATGGAATGGTTCTTTTTTGACTGTCCACCTTTCTATGATATATTGGGCAATGCTGTTGGCTGAGATGGGTGGTGGGGGGGGCAGGTGAGGGTGATAAACATGATTAGATTTCATATGTCTTTAAGGAAGTGTGGAATAAGCATCCCAGAAAGTAAGAGGGGAATGTTTTCAGGAATTGTAAGTGGAGTGACAGACATTCCTAGGTGTCATGTGAGAGTTGTGGTCATAATTTTGAAGTAAACCAAGTTGGATTGGTTTGTATGATTTTTTAAAAGTATTCATCTGTTTAGGTGTGGGTAGAGTCAAGAAACAGTAGAGCTAGATCAGGGTTTGGTGTTTCCTAGGTGTATCAATTAGGATGTTTTTCATTGTGAGTAACAGAAAACCTCTCTCAAGCCACCTTCAACAATAAGAAAATGAATTATTGAACTTAAAAGAAGGTTCAGACGTAGGTCAAGCTCCAGGGTTGTTGATTCAGTGGCCCCGTGAGTTCATCAAGGACTCAGGTTCTTTTTCCCTCTACTTGGCTGTCTATGGAATTGGCTGCTTCTCGTGGCTTGCACCCTGCTCTTGTGATGCAGTGGCTGGGGGCAGTCAGTCTACCTCTACCCGCTTCCTCATTCATGTGGAGCAAAAGAGAGGGAAACCCTCTCATGCTCTCACCAGCCAGGGAAGACAGGGCATTTCCTTCAGGCATTAACAGTTACCATGGGAATGCCATGTGCTGGTGGCTTCAGTCTGGTCCTCCTGAATCAGTCATTGGCAAGCACCAAGGGATTTCTAGGATGGATTTAGACCAGTGGTTCTCAAAGTGTGATTTTTGGACCGGCAGCATCCGCCTCACCTGGGAACTTGTTTGTTTAAAATTCAAATTCTTGGGCCTCACTCTAGATCTATTATATCAGAAATTCTGGGGGGTGGGGCCCTACAGTCAGTATTTTAACAAGCCCCCCAAGCAATTCTGATGCACGGCAAAGCTTGAGAACTAATGGCTTAGGATAAGACAGTGAATGCCATGAACAAAATGAGGGATCTTTGAGGAAGGAGGATATGGCAATAAACATCTACTAGTGGCTACTAGACCAGGTGGGCACCTGAGAGAAGGCTCACAGAGTTCAGGGTGCCTGCGATGCAGACATTCTAGGGAAGGGCTCCAAAACAAGGGTTAGAAGAAAAATGAAGACACAGAGGAACAATGGATCCGGTAAAAGTGGTGAAATTAGTAGACTGGTGATCACAATGAAGCTGGAGAATTGCAATGAGTTAGCAGGATAGAAGACGTGATGGCCACACAGATGAACTCACAGAACTCCAACTGCATGTCTGAACCAAGGTCACACTGACTATTCACTGCTCTCAGCCAACAAATGAGGGTGGCAAGAATGCTAAGGCCTAAGCTTCATTCAGGGCCACACGCTCTTCAGATGGTTGACTTTGGCTCAAGGACCACCACCAACTCCCCATCACCTGACTTTGGTGAGCCTTCTTTAGACTGCATGTTCTGTTTCTTTGTTTGTTTGTTTTTGGAAACAGAGTCTCACTCTGTCACCCAGACTGAAGTGCAGTGGCATGATCTCTGCTCACTACAACCTCTACCTCCCAGCTTCAAGCAATTCTTCTGCCTCAGCCTCCTGCTGGGATTACAGGCATCCTCCACCACACCAAGTTACATTTTGTATTTTTAGTAGAGATGGGGTTTCACCATGTTGGCCAGGCTGGTCTCAAACTCCTGACCTCAGGTGATCTGCCTCCCAAAGTGCTGGATTACAGGTGTGAGCCCCCATGCCCGGCCCTGCATGGTGTTCTAAGAATCTTCCATCCAACCTTCTCTCTCATTCTCCTTCACTCATGGTTAGACTTGTATCACAGTTCAGCAGCACTGCCATATTTACCCAACTCCGTCCCTAATTTTTTTCTCACAGAGGCACTTCCCCTTTTAATATTTTTGGCATCTGCTTCTTGGGAGAATGTAGACTAATATGGAAGTTTCCTGAGTAGAGTTTGAAAATGAGATTGTGTGTCAGGTACTGTGCTATGCATGGAGTATGGTAGGGTGGTCTCTGCCTTGCTAGAGCACCACTGAGGAATACAGATGTATAACCAGTCACTGCAGGACAGCATAGTAAGGCATCATGGGGCAGTCCCAGCTGCTGGAGTTGACGTGGGCATGCTTAGGGATGGTGGAAAGATGATGATACTGTTGGTAGGGTGGATATCCTGCCAACTGATAGCACACCCATTAGTTTAGGGAAAGACCTGGTGTTCAGTTGCTAGCCTCTCAAAGAGTTGTCCCCACAAACACGTGTGTAAGTATAGCTCAATGACTACACTGAAAGGATATAGTCTCAATGAATGTCATTGGTTCCTACAGGCATGATAAGACAATTTCTATCATTATTCCTGATATGGTTTGGCTGTGTCCCCACCCAAATCTCCAACTGTAGCTCCCATAATCCCCACGTGTCACAGGAGGGACCCAGTGGGAGGTAATTGAATCATGAGGGCAGTTTTTTCCCATGCTGTTCTCATGATAGTGAATAAGTCTCATGAGATCTGATGGTTTTATAAAGGGAAGTTTCCCTGCACATGCTCTCTCTTTTGCCTGCCACCATGTAAGATGTGACTTTGCTCCTTTCCCTTCCACCATGATTGTGAGGGCTCGTCAACCACATGGAACTGTGAGCCCATTAAACCTCTTTTTCTTTATAAATTACGCAGTCTCAGGTATATCTTTATTAGCAGCATGAGAACAGACTGATACAATTTCCTTTCCCATGGCCTTCAGAAAATAGATGGATGACTTCACGGATGTTGAGGAGAGAGGCAAATACTTTATAACGGTTTGCTTTTTGTGACAAAGTCTTTGTTTTCTGCCTGCCTTTCTCTAACATTTCCCCTAGTGACTGTCAACCCACAATGAGTGGTTCTTTCCCTACTGACTGCACTAGGTAGTTGTGAGGGACCATGAGATAAAGCCCCAAGCTCCCTTAACAACAGTAAGCTGCTCTCCCATGCAGAGTCCTTATTCCATCTCCAACTCAGGCCTGGCTACAGGCACCTGAGGAAAGGAGTGTGCTCCAGTCTCCTGGGCTCCACACACTTCCATTCTGAAGGGAATGTTGGGTCCCTTTTGGATTTTTATCCTGAAATTCAAGATCCATGAATGGATTCGAGGGAGGCTAAATCTCCTGGAATTATGTGTACATTTCTTCACACAATTTTTTTGTATACAATTTGCAACACAGTTTTTTTTTGTCATTTTTGTATGTTTATGACATGTTAGGGGCATAAAAAGGGATGGGGTCCATAGTTTTTTATTATTTCTCAAGTTTGTGACCTCAAAAAATATTGAGTCAGTCTTTTTTTTTTTTTTTCAGATGAGTCTTGCTCTGTTGCCCAGGCTGGAGTGCAGTGGCACAACCTTGGTTCACTGCAACCTCTGCCTGCTGGGTTCAAGCAATTCTCCTGCCTCAGCCTCCTGAGTACCTGGCATTACAGGCACCCACCACCATTCCCGGCTAATTTTTTTTGTATTTTTAGTAGAGACAGGGTTTCACTGTGTTGGTCAGACTGGTTTTGAACTCCTGACCTCAAGTGATCCACCCACCTCGGCCTCCCAAAGTGCTAGGATTACAGATGTGAGCCACCCCACCCGGCCCAGTCACTTTTTTTTTTTAAGAGAAAAATACTCAAGCCTTTATAGGGTGTCTAGATGAAAAACTGCCTTTAAAGGGTATCTGTTGTTGTAGTTATCCATTTTAATTTTAATATTATTATTCTACTTTATTTTATATTTTAGTTTAGACAGGGGCACACTCTGTCACCCAGGCTGGAGTGCAGTGGTGCCATCATGGCTCACTGCAGCCTCAACCTCCCAGGCAGAAGTGATCCTCCCATATCAGCCTCCCAAGTAGCTGGGACCACAGGTGTACACCATCATGCCCAGCTAATTTTTAAATTATTTTCTGTAGAGATGGAATCTCCCTATGTTTCCCAGGCTGGTACGCCTCCATTTTAGATTAAAAGAAAGGTCCCTTTTTCTTTGTGGTGATATAAGAAATACTGTATTATGGAATTTTGTGGGATAATAATAAAAGGGGGCTGGTATATGGAACAAAAGGAAATTAATTTTGTACCTTAATAAATCTATGTCATAAGAGAATTTTAACCTCCATAGAACACTGTCTTGGAAACCGAAAACTAAAAAGAAGAAAAACATCATAATTTTTCTTTTTTAAAAATTCTCTTTTCTTTCTTTGTTCTTTTTTTCCTTCCTTCCTCACTCCCTCCCTCTCTCTTTCTTTCTGGTTAATCTTAGGCCTAGTTATTTCCAGATTAACAGGCAAAAGTCTTCATTAGAGTTATAGTTACAACATGAAAATTACAGGACAAACTTAACTGTGTTACAAAAATGCCAAACGCAGATGGAAGTGTGCAATTCTTGTCTGTCTGAACTTTCCCTCATTCACCACGAGAGGGAGCGCCACACCACAGGGACAGCTCCCTTCACTGCCTGCATAGCTGTCTTAATGGTCTGCTATGTCGTGAACATTTTGCAACGTATGCACAGAGGTCAGCAAAATCATGGAAGAACAGGGCCTTGCTGATTGGTATACATGTCATGAGGGGCCCCAGCAGACCTCAGCTCTGTGTTCAGGTCAAGAAGCTGCAGGTGACCCGAGACACAGCAGCTCCTAACCACGCCCTGATGTGCAGCCTGCGTGCTGCTGCGGGGCAGGTCCTGAGGCCTCCATCAACTCATCTTTTCTAGAATGACAAAGTGAAACTCAGTTCCTTCCTCTACAGGTGACAAAGCAGGTAGAGTAATCGATGAGCTAATAAGTGAGTAGACATGCTAAAGCATTTATGAGATCTATTATGATCTCCTGTGAATGATAGGAAAGATGCTATAGATGAGAAGCTGACATCAGGTTCAGTTATTTTTATTCACAATTTTCTATCACCAGCTCTGTGCTGGTGATTGTATTTGAAGTGTATGGTCTCAGGTATTGATGACAGCTGGAGGGAGATCCTTGGAGGCTGGCCTTCAGGCTCTTTTGGTTTTTATTGTTTTTAATTGTGGTCAAATATACATAAAAATAACCCCTTTTAAACGTGCAGCTCTGTGGCACTGTGTACATTCACGTTATTGTGCAACCATCACTACAGTTTATCTACAAACCCTTTTCATCTTCTCAGATGGAAACACGGTACCCATAAACCAACAACTCCCCATTCTCCTCTCCTCCCAGTCCTTGGTAACTTCTGTTCTACTTTGTGTCTCTGACTCTATGAATTTACCTTTTCTATTCTAGGTACCCCTTATAAAGGGAATCATGCAATATTTGTCTTTTTAAATCTGGGGGATTTCACTCAGCATGTCTTCAAGATTCATCCATGTGGCATATATCAAAATGTCACTCCTAAATGTGGTATATATGTAAGGAGTTATTATTTATATTGTATATATTCCACACAATGGGATATTAGCCATAAAAAAAAGAAATCCTGTCCTTTGCAGCCACATTGAAGGAACTGGAGGTCATTATGTTCAGTGAAATAAGCCAAGCACAGAAAAGCAAGTGTGGCATGTTCTTACACATATATGGGAACTAAAAATCCTGGATGTCATAAAGACAGAGAGTAGATTGGTGGTTACCAAATGCTGGAAAGAGTAGGAGAAAGATGGGGATGAAGAGAAGTTGATTAATTGGTACGAATGTTTAGTTAAATAGAAGAAGTAAGGCTTAGTGTTCAATAGAGCAGTAGGGTGATGATACTTAACAATAATCTGTTGTATATTTCAAAATAGCTGTAAGAGAATAATTCAAGTGTTCCTAGCATAAAGAAAAGATAAGGCCTGTTGCAGTGGCTCACGCCTGTAATCCCAGCACTTTGGGAGGCCGAGGCAGGCAGATCACGAGGTCAAGAGATCGAGGCCATCCTGGCTAACACGGTGAAACCCCGTCTCTACTAAAAATACAAAAAAATTAGCTGGGCCTGGTGGCCGGTGCCTGTAGTCCCAGCTACTCGGGAGGCTGAGGTAGAAGAATGGCATGAACCCGGGAGGTGGAGCTTGCAGTGAGCCAAGATTGCCACTGCACTCCAGCCTAGGTGACAGAACGAGACTCCATCTCAAAAAAAAAAAAAAAAAAAAAGAAAAGATAAATATTTAAAGTGGTGAATGTGCCAATTACCCTGATTTGATCTTTACACATTATATGACTGCATATAATGTGTATATATAATATATAATGTATATAGACATGTACTCCAAAAATATGTACATCTATTATGTATCCATAAACTTAAAAAAAAGTCTCTGTTGTTTAAGCAAAAAAAAAAAATGGTTGTTCATTTTTAAGGCGAATAGTATTCCACTGTATGTATGTCTTAATGTGTTTAGTGTTATAACAGAATACCTGATTCTGGGTAATTTATTCTAAAAAGAGGTTTATTTAGCTCATAGTTCTACAGATCAGGAAGTTCAAGGGCATGGTGCTGATTTTTGGTGATGGCTTCCATGCTGTGTTATAACATGGCAGAAGGTCAAAGCGGGAGCAGGTGTGTTCAATATCACAAGAGCAGTGATATCACTTTATAAGAACTCCCAGGCCGGGCACAGTGGCTCACGCCTGTAATCTCAGCACTTTGCGAGGCTGAAGCATGAGGTCAGGAGTTCAAGAGCAGCCTGGCCAATATGGTGAAACCCTATCTCTACTAAAAATACAAAAAAACAAAAATTAGCCAGGCATGGTGGCACACACCTGTAGTCCCAGCTATTCAGGAGGCTAAGGCAGGAGGATCGCTTGGAGGTTGCAGTGAGCCGAGATCGCACCATTGCACTCCAGCCTAGGTGACAGAGCAAGACTCCATCTAAAAAAAAAAAAAAAAAAAAGAACTCCCACTTCCAGGAGCTAATCCATTCCTGAGCAGGTGAGAGCTCTCTCTCATACCTGTGAGTGAGACAACATTAATCTATTCGTGACGATGGGGACCCATGAACCAAACACCTCCCACTAGGCTCCACCTCCCAACACTGCCATGTTGGGAATCAAATTTCAACATGAGTTTTAGGTAGGGATAAATCACATCAAAATCATAGCAGTATACACCACATTTTGTTTATCCATTCATTCTTTGATGGACATTTGGGTTGCTTCTGGCTTTTGGCTATTGTGAGTAATGCTGCAAAGAATATTAATATACAAATATCTGTTCCAGTCCCTGCTTTCAATTCTTTTGGGTGTATACCCAGAAATATAGCACCTGATAATTCTGTGTTGAATTTTTTTGAGAAACTACCATACTGTTTTCCTCAGTGACTGCACCATTCTGCATTCCCACTAGCAATGCACAAGGGTTCTAATTTTTCCACATCCTTGCCAACACTTATTGTTTTCTTATTTTCTCTTTTTCAGAATAGCCATCCTACTGGGTGTGAAATAGCCATCCTAATGGGTGTGATTTGTCTTGTTCAACAGTTTTATCAGTGATTTAGATGGAAACAAAGAAAAGTTGCTTATCTGATTTGTTGAGCAAAGGAAGGTAGAAGCCGATGTGTTATATGACAGAACTGTGAACCAAAATAAAGTTGCTCACTTACACAGGGGTTGACAAACTATAGCCTATGGGAGAATCTGGCTCGCTGCCTGTTTTTATAAACGAAGTTTTATTGGAACATATCTACCTTCATTTGTTCATGGATGTCTATGGCTGCTTTGCGCTGTAATGGAAGAATTGGTTACTTGAGACAGAGACTGCATGACCTATAAAGCCTAAAACATTTATTATTTGGCCCTTTTCAGAAAAAGTTTGTTGACTTCTGGATTATATGTCTTTTAAAATTCTATTTATTTATTTTTTATTTTATTTTATTTTATTTATCTATTTGAGATGGAGTCTCGCTCTGTTACCCAGGCTGGAGTGCAGTGGCACGATCTCAGCTCACTGCCACCTCTGCCTCCCAGGTTCAAGCAATTCTCCTGCCTCAGCCTCCCAAGTAGATGAGACTACAGGTCACCACCACGCCTACCTAATTTTTGTATTTTTAGTAGAAACGGGGTTTCACCATGTTGGCCAGGCTGGTCTCTAACTCCTGACCTCAGGTGATCCACCCATCTCGGCCTCCCAAAGTGCTAGAATTACAGGCATGAGCCAACATGCTCAGTCTGGGTTATATGAAAGAGACAAATTTAACCAGAAAATATTTAATCTCTATAAGTATAAAATATTTGTATGTAAGTAATTAAAACAACAAAGAATTGGGAACTAGCTGGGCGCAGTGGCTCACGCCTATAATCGTAGCATTTTGGAAGGCTGAGGGAGGAGGATTGCTTGAGCTCAGAAGTTTGAGACCAGCCTGGGCAACGTATTGAGACCTCATCTCTAAAAAAAAAAAAGAGAGTCAATGGCTTTCTATCATGTAAAAAGAGACATGGTGTTTTGTTTTGTTTTTTAACAGTAGACTAAATATGACTCAATATTGACTTTAGTGTTGATTGTAATTTTATACCACATTAACAGGAATAAGCATCTATAACAGTGATTCTCAACTTTGGCTGCACATGGAAATCACCTAGAAGATTTAAAAATACTGATGTCAAATCCCTGGGGAATCTGATGTAAACGGGCTGGGTGTGGCCTGGGTATCAGAGATTTTAAAGCTTCTCAAGTGATTCAGTGTGCAGTTGTGACATTCCCCCTCTGCTGGACTCAGGCCCAGTCTCACCTACAGCTTCATTCCATATGTCCCATTTTATTTATTTTTTATTTTTATTTTTTGAGACAGGGTCTCACACTGTTGCCCAGGCTGGAGTGCAGTGGTGCAATCATAGCTCACTATAGCCTTGACTTCCAGGGCCCACACCTCAGCCTCCCGAGTAGCTGAGACCACAGGTGTGCGCCACCATGCCTGGCTAATTTTTTTGAATTTTTGTAGAGATGAGATCTCACTATGTTGCCCAAGCTGATCTTGAACTCCTGGTCTCGAGCAACCCTCTTGCCTTGGTTTCCCAAAGTGCTGGGATTATAGGCGTGAACCACCATGCATGGCTGTGTCCCATTTTAAAGGAAATAAAGACAAGCTGGTTCCTTTTCAAGGAGGAGGAGTCAGAATTGTTGGGGGGGAAAAAACAGGAATTCATTTTTATAAGAGGAACAATTGCAGAAAGTACAAGTGTGAGGATCCTGGAGTGAGATGTTTCTAGCTGGCATTCTGCGTTTGAGGGCTGCCTCATAGAAGAGGGGCCTGACTGCTTTTGTATGACATGACCCAAGGATACAAGCTGGGAGCGGGGAGTAGAACTGCCCCGCTATTATTATGACTTTTCTTTGAAAACAGTACGATCCAAAGAGGGATAGTGCCAGAGGGTCCACCCATCCCCCAGATCACCAACAGGGGTACCATGGAGCAGGTCCGGGAGTGGAACACCTGATAGTAATGGTCAAGATAGCCCAATCCCAATGGTGCGTATCTATTGGTGCTTTCTCATGCCAGGCACCATGCCCAGACACTGCGTTTTCTGACTTGTGAGTTCACACCATTTCCACGGGGAGGGGGCTATGATTTTTCCAGGTCATATTTGAGGAAGCAGAGGTTCTGAGGCTTGTCCTGGTTCATGTGTGGTGGCAGAGCTAGGACCCATTTGCAAGAATTAAATCTGTCCACAGAGAATGCATATTGCCAACACTGAGGGATTTATGAAGAAGGAACTTTTGCTTCCAAATTGTTTGATGAATGGTTTTCCAGCCTGGGCTCCTCTGATTCTAGAAAATACAATGTGTAAATAACTGAAAATATGAGGCTGAGTTTTCACAAAAATGAGGTTGTATTGAAACCAAATCCTCCAGCAGTGACCTATGCAGATGAGAGGTGGGATTCAAAGCAGTCTCCTTAGAAAACTTGATCCTTAGAATCTGGCATGTCAGGGCTCCAAGGAAGGCAAGGGATGATCTAGTCCACACCCATCTCCCAATTTACAGATGAAGAAACAAGTCCAGAAAGGGTCTGGAGACTTGTCCTGGACTACGTATTTAATATTTAGAAAATGGTGTTCTTCCTTTTGCTGCCTTAATCAAACAGTCCTACCCTTACTCAAAACAGTGCTGGGGCTCGGCTCATCTCAGAGTCCATGCGGCAGGAACCGGAGAGAATCAATCCCTTCACTTAGTGGTACATTTTGACTTTGATTCAAAACAACATTACTGAGCACTCCGCACTCGTTTCATGTTCCAGTCTTAACTCTGAATGACTTGTGACTATCTGCAACAATTAAATCAGCCCAGAAAGAATGCAGATTGTCACCACTGAGGGATTGACAAAGAAAGAACTTTTGCTTCCAAATTGCTTGAAAAGTAATTTCCAAAGAAGAGTTGCCAAGGAGCTGTTGTGCACATCAGTGTCACGGACAGGGCATTCCTGCCCACCAGCCCAGGGCAACTTCACTGGAGAGTCCAGCAGGCCCTGCTGGGTGCATTCTGGTATGCGTGCCACAAATCAGCCACTGAATAGCTTTCACAGAAGCTGCCCCCCAAGAGAGAAGCTCTCCTCTGGGAAGAAGCTGCCAGGCTGGGGTGACATTTCTCAGCACCCCACCCCCATCTACCCACTCAGATCTTGCATCTAGGTTTCCAGCAGTGTAACCAATGAGTAGAAGGGCTGCACGTGACTTCTGGGGCAAAGGTAAGTAGGAGAAAGGTGCACCTTCTCTTCTCCTGCTCATTTCCCATCAAGGAGCTGCATGCAAATACCTCCTATGCCCCAGGGAGCGAGTGCCACAAGAGGGAAAGAACCTGGGTCAGAACCAGTTTTATACTTTAGCTGAACAAGAAATAAACTTTTATCTCTTAAACCTTTGAACTATGGAGGTTTTACAGCAGGTAGCATAGCCCTAATGTGGCCGCCCAAGTCAGATTTTACCAAAACCTAAACAGAGACACAGGCTAACATGGTGCCTGCTACACTAACAGCATTCAATAAATGTGTTGGTGAGTAAATAAATGAATCTCAAGGATGTGATTAATGGTTTATTTAGTCAAAAGGAAGTTAAAGAATGCTAATAAATGACTTTTCGGTTGCAGAGTGTATTTTGCTACATGCTGACCCCTGGTTTTCCCAGCTGCACTCAGGAATAAATGAGGGGAAATTAATTGTAATTTCTATGAAGAGACAGCCACACCCAGGAATGGATTTCTGAATCAAATAAGGTCATTTTAATGCATGGAGAGCTCAGAAAACAGAGTAAGGAGCTCCTCTATTAGGTGAATTTAGGGTTCTTTGCTGGCTTGTGGGTGTGGACATAGAGCCATGTCCATATACTGTGTCATTGCCTTGAAATGCTGTCTCCTGTACATCAGAGCTGGAAGTGGTCATACAGCACCTGGCCTGTTCTTCATGTCACAGATGAGTATGCCAAAGCCTGGGAAATGGACAACTCGCCCAGGGTCCCTTGGTCATCAGCAGGCCCACACTCTAGGCAGGATGGTGTGGATTAAGGGTGGGGACAGTGGAACCCAGTTGCTAAGCTGGATTTTTTTCTAGGTCACTTTGCAAGCCAGGGGTCTTCAGCCAGTGACACACCACTTGGGCCTCACTCAACCACGCTACCTGCTACAGGAGATGGGACCATCTCCAGATGGGACCACCCATTTGGCCCACCTGGGCTGAGTGTGGCTTGCACACTGGTTCCCAAGTTCCTGTCCCATGCCCAAGAAGAATGAGGATGCACTGACAATTAAAAAGAGAGCAAAGTGGGGAGTTTTATTGAGTGATGAAACAGCTTTCAGCAGAAAGGGGATGTGGGAGTGGTCCCCCTACCCAAAGGCAGGAATGTCCCCCCTAATATGGCTAAGTCTGGGGCTTTTATGGGTTCAGAATAGGGGAAGGGCAGGCTGTAGGTAGTATTGAAAAAGGCAATATTCGATTGGTTAAAAGTCATCATTCAGAAAGAATAAATTGGGAAAGGGTGGGCAAACAGGAACAGAAGTTCTCACTCTGGGACGTGGGTTTCATCCAGTCTTTCAACCTTCAGGCTGTTTTTGGCTTGAAGGTGGGGTTTCACCGGGGACCCTCCCCTATCTGCCAAGGCATTTGGCTGCCTCCTGTCACTGTCAGTTGCCTGGAATCAAATCCTATCTCTGCTTCTTGCAAATTACTTAACTCCCCTACACTTGTTTCCTTACCTTTAAAATGGGGATAATTGGAATAGTTCCTACTTCATGGCCATGTCATGAAGATTAAATGAGTTAATATATTTAAGGTGCTCAGGATGGGACCTGGTGTGTAATAAGTACCATGTAAGTGTTAGTGGTTGTGGTTACATTATAGTGATTATTATTAATGAATTCAAATTGCCCCTTTCCTGTGTCACCGTTCTTAAGCTTCAGAATAAAGATATTAAACATCATAGAAAATGGAAAGCCACAGTGAATCAGAGGATGCCAGGAACTCTTATACCAAGTTGTCAGAACACACAGCCTAAGAAACCAGAATTTGTTATAAAATAAAGTGTGAATTGATATTTGGCACACATGGAGTTATTCATTAAGAGTAGAGAATTCAGGCCTTATTCATGTCTCAGGAATGGGCTAAGGACAGTATAAGTGCACCATTGTTCTTAACTGTAGAAAGGAAAAGAAAATATGAGTGTAAAATTAATCCTGGATGAGAGAGAATGGAATATGAGAAGCAGCCCAGAAAACAAACATGGTCAGATATTGCTTTTCTCTGGTAAGATTCCAAAGACATTGATTGTTGTGGATTTAATATTACAAAGAAGTTTATCAGGTTTGGGGAATCCTAGAATGTCAGGCTTTTAGAGAACTGCCTAGAACTCAAGAGGGCTTCATTGAACCAAGCACATATATCCTCTCAAGTTCTCCTGCCCCAACCTTCATTCGATGGCAGATCTCCTTAATATATCCACAGCAGATGGTTGGCTGACTTGTGCTTGGATGCTCTCCTAATGGGAGGCTCAGGGCACCACGGGCCACCCACTGGTTACCAGACAGCTCTAACTGTTAGAGAATTCTTTCCTAGACTGGGCCAGTAATCTGCTTTACTGAATATTGGCCGATTATCCCTACATTTATCTTTTGGTGTAAAAGAAAATAAATCTTGCTTTCTCCTTCTTGATGGTGGAGACTGGCATTAGAACTTCTGGTAGATTGCTGGTCCTGACATTAACTGAGCTATGAGACCTCAAACAAGTTGCTTAAGCTCTCAATGCCTTGCCTTGCTTTACTTTACCTTATTTTCATAAGAGGCTTGTGAAGGTTCAGGTGAATAAGCATGATGTAGATAAAACATGGAGGAGAAAGCCTGTTACTATTTATCCAATAGATGATGGTTAAAATTATCACTATGTGAATTCAGCTCTTGGGACTCCCAAAGCCTTCTCTAAGCTAAATATCCCATTTCCTCTATGATATGGTTTGGCTGTGTCCCCACCCAAATCTCACTTTGAACTGTAGTTCCCACAATTCCTACATCTCATGGGAGGGACCCAGTGGGAGGTAATTGAATCATGGGGGCAGGTCTTTCCCTTATTGTTCTCATGATAGTGAATAAGTCTCACGAGATCTGATGGTTTTATAAAGAGGAATTCCCCTGCACATGGTCTATTGCCTGCCACCATGTAAGACATGACTCTGCTCCTCATTCACCTTCCACCATGATTATGAGGACTCCCCAGCCACGTGGAACTGTGAGTCAATTAAACCTCTTTCCTTTATAGATTACCCAGTCTCGGGTATGTCTTTATTGTGAGAACAGACTAATGCACTCCAGCTGTTCCTACCTGGCCTGGTGGCCAACCCCCACCCCATTCTGGTTGCTCTCTTGGATTGCTTAATTGAAGGTTTCACTTCTCCCTCCACTTGTCCCATCATCATCAGTCCTTGTCCAATAAAAAGAGACCCTCAATGAAGGGGGACTCAAGTCAGAACAGGTGCAGCTGGCTCCTGAAGGAGTGAAAAGATTCTAACTTTAGGGGCTGAGACATTCTAGTGGGGAGGAGGCCTTTGGGGTGCCCCAGGAAGAAGTCAGGTCAAGGCATGAACCCACAGGTGGCTGCTCCAGGGTTGTGGTGTGTGGGCAGAGAGAAAGCTAAAGGGGAGATTTCAGCTTTTCTCCCAGAATGTTCAAGCCATCTCCAAGGAGCAAGAAACCAGTCAGGATTCAGTGAAGATCTGTCCACAAATAAGAAACTATGACATTGGAAGGTACTTGCTTTATCTTGTGACCCTCAAGTCCCTGAGCTCAGTTAACGGGGTGCAAGAGGTAGCCTCTTGCTAAATTAGGTTTATTTATCACCCTTGATCTGGGCACTGCAATATCACAAAAACTGCCTAAATTCATGCCCCATTAGTAACATGCTAATGATGTTATTACTCACTTACTGAGTTTGTGGTCGCTAAAACCTTTAGATTTTTTTTTCATGAGAACCACCTGCAAAGTTTTTTCCATGCTGCATGTGTATAGCTGACTTTGGAAATCAAATAGGGAAATTTATAAGCTGCCAGCACAGTGTCTAGCTTGTTGTAAGCACTAAAAGAATGGTAGCTATTTTATTAGCAGTAGTGGTATTAATATTATCCTTGTTAGGTTTCATTTCCCTGGTTTCAGCAGCTTTGCTCATTGAGGTTATTTTGAGTACCAATTCTGTTTCTCTCTCTCTCTCCCCACCCCCCTCTCTCCTCCCAGCCTCCAGCTAGGCTCCAGTTTGACCAGGGTGCTATCTGAGTCTATCTTGGGGCTTAACTTAATGATAGAATCTGATACAGCCTGAGACACAGAGCATGCACAATTAGAAGCAGTGCTACCACTTCACTCCTTCTTTTCATCCAGAAACAGATCCCTCATCAATGTCCAAAATTTTACAATGAGAAAATTTCTTCCCTGGCTTTAGCATTGTCCTTCTCTCTATTATTCAAATGTAAAATACAAATGTCTGTGGAGGAACTACTTATTAACCACCTAGGAACTTAGACGGAATTAGTTGATAAATATGAGGATCCTGGGTTATGGAGAGACAGTGGAAGTAGAAGGAGGTGTGACATCATAACAAAATTATATGTATATATATATTTTTTGGTCTCTGTCTCTGGTTCCTGGCATAGAGTTCCTAAAACCTGTAAATTCCTGAGCAATGGGGGTGCTAGGTATATCTTTTGTTCTACTATTTTTTTTTTTTTTTTGAGACAGAGTTTTGCTCTGTTGCCCAGGTTGGAGTGCAATGGCACGATCTCAACTCACTGCAACCTCCACCTCACAGGTTCAAGCGATTCTCCCGCCTCAGCCTCCCGAGTAGCTGGGATTACAGGCACCTGCCATCATGCCCAGCTGCTTTTTGTATTTTTGTAGAGACGGGGTTTCACCATGTTGGCCAGGCTGGTCTTGAACTCCTGACCTCAGGTGATCCTCTAGCCTTGGCCTCCGAAAGTGCTGGGATTACAGGTGTGAGCCACCATGCCCGGCCTACTATTTGGCTTTTAACCCTGTCTCCTGACACAGAGCTTCTAGTCCTTGAGGTTTCCTGGGTGATGAGAGCATCTTTTGTTCTAATGAGGTGACTCCTGGTGGCTCCTGGATGGCAGCTGGTCACTAGAAAGACGATACCATGATTAGAAGCATAGAACTTTCAGCCTCATGCCCCCATTTTCTGGGAAGGAGCAAGGGGCTGGAGATGGAGTTGAGTACATAATTGGTCATGTCTATGTGAGAAAGCCTCCCTAAAAATCCCTGAACAACACAGTTCAGAGAGCCTCCAGGTTGCTGAACAGGTGGAGGTGCTGGGAGATTGGTGCACCCCAGAAGGCATGGAAGCTGCATGCCCCTTCTCCCCTATACCTTGCTCTAGGTGTCTCTTCTATCTGGCTTTTCCTGAGTTGAGTTGTATACTTTTGTAATAAACTGGTAATCAAGTAACAAAGTGTTTCCCTGAAGTCTGTAAGACAATCTAGAAAATTATCAAACCCAAGGAGGTGGTTGGGGTCAGAAGCACAGGTGACAACTTGGACTTGCCATTGGCGTCTGAAGAGGGGCCTGTTTTGTGGGACTGAGCTCCTAACCTGTGGGGTCTGCACTGATTTCAGGCAGATAGTGTCAGAATTGAATTGTAGGACACCCAGTTGGTGTCTGCAGAGAACTGGAAAATTGCCTGGTGTGGGAAAAACCCATATACATCTGGTGCCAAACAGAGAGTGTTATGAGTGAGTGTAGAAGGAAAAGCAGTGGCTGGGTGCATGGCTCACGCCTGTAATCCCAGCACCTTGGGAGGCTGAGGCGGGTGGATCACGAGGTCAGGAGTTCAAGACCAGCCTGGCCAAGATGGTGAAACTCTGTCTCTACTAAAACAAAAATTGGCCAGGCGTCGTGATGGGCACCTGTAATCCCAGCTACTTGGGAGGTGGAGGCAGAGAATTGCTTGAACTCAGGAGGCAGAGGTTGCATTGAGCTGAGATCATGCCACTGCACTCCAGCCTAGGTGACAGAGCAAGACTCCATCTCAAAAAAAAAAAAAGAAGGAAAAGCAGTGAGTTTTCCCATACACAGTGTAAAAGGAGATAAACCTGTGAAGAAAGGGATGAACAGGCCAAGCACAGACTTTATTTACATCCCACACTTGTCTTGAGAAGTTTTCATGAAGCTACACACCAAGAGAATGGTAGCTATTTTATTATTGGTATTATTATCCTTGTTAGGTTTCATTTTCCTGGTTTCACCAATTTAGTTTGTTGAGGTTATTTTGCCCTTGCAGAGAAGGGCAAAATTTTACACACAGAGATTGTAGTGAGTTGAATGGTGGCACCCACCCCAAAATATATACCCACATCCTAATCCCTGGAAGCTGTGGATGGGACCTTACTTGGAAAAAGGATCTTTGTAGATGTAAGTAAATTAAGGATCCTGAAATGAGACCATCCTGGATCATCCAAGTGAGCATAAATCCAACAACAAGTGTCTTTTTTTTTTTTTTTTTTTTTTGAGACAAGTTCTTACTCTGTTGTCCAGGCTGAAGGGCAGTGGCACGATCACAGCTCACTCCAGCCTCGACCTCCTGGGCTCAGGTGATCCTCTACTTCAGCCTCCTGGGTAGCTGGGACTATAGGCCCACACCACCACGCCATGGCTAATTTTTGTATTTTTAGTAGAGGTGGGGTCTTGCCGTGTTGCCCGGGCTGGTCTTGAACTCCTGTGCTCAAGGGATCCTCCCGCCTTGGTCTCCCAAAGTGCTGGGATTATCAACGTGATCTGCCCGCCTGACCTTAACAAGTGTCTTTTTAAGAGAAAAGCAGAGGGAGGTTTGAGACGGAGAGGAGAAGCCAAGTGAAGGTGGAGACAGAGTTTAGGGCGATGCAGGGAGGAAAGCCAAGGACTGCCTGGAGCCGCCACCAGAAGCTGGGAGAGGCCAGGAAGGATTCTCCCCTAGCACTCCCAGAGGATGCAGGGCCTTGCTGACACCTTGATGTGGAACTTCTGGCCTCCAGGGAGAATAAACTTTTAAGTCACCAAATTGGTTTGTGATAATTTGTTACAGCAGCCACAGAAACTAACACAGAGGGTATTTTCCTCCTCACAGTCTGAAGGACCTGCCCAGGGGAAGAAGTAAACCACCTCTTACCTTTCCGACCATCTCAGAACCACGAGGAAATAGGAAGTGAGGCCTGGTATGCAGAGGGACGACTCAAACAGGTGATTAAGGAATTAACCAGTCACTTGTTGGAGGATAATGCCTCAGTGAGCAAGAGGCATCCCGAGTTCATAGCAGACAAGGACGCCTGACAGCTCTGGTGGTCCCTGACAAGTCTGACACCCACGGAGAAGCCTGAGGGGACGAAGCTGGCCTGGGTGATGGGCGCCATGTTGGATCCCAGGGAGGCAGGAAGGCACCAGGCAACGCCCCTGACTGGGAGTCATCCCAGGCCAGCGTCTTCCTGTTTGCTCAGGAAGAAACATTCATTTTCTCTGGCCTCAGCCTCCTAAACTGAAAAAAATAATGTTGTTCCACTCTAAGAATACTGCTGCGGGCTAATTTATTCATGGCTGTGACACACATAGCTTTCTTTAAAATAAAGTCCCTGGTGTCATTTTTAATAGGGTCATAAATGCAACTCGAAGAAACTGTCTTTTTGCATCTACCTGTGATTGTTTCTTTGTATCAGTCAGGGTAGTCTGGGTTATTCTGTGGTAACAGGCAGTGCCCAAATCTCACTGTTTTAAAACAATGAAGGTTGTTGTAGGCTGAACTGTGTCTTCAGATGTGGTCACATTCTGAGGTGCATATGGATTTTTGAGGGGACACAGTTTTTTAAGGGGACATTGGTCATTGAGGGAACACAGATCTTTAAGAGGTAATTAAATTCAAATGAGGTCATTAGGGTGGGCTTTTATCCAATATGACTGGTGTTCTTAGAGGAGAAAATGTGGACACAGACACAGAGGGAAGACGATATGAAGATAAAAGGAGACAGTGCCCATCTGTAAGTCAAGGAGAGAGGCCTGGAATGGATCCTTCCCTCATAGCCCTAAGAAGGAACCAATGCTATGGACACTTTGACCTCAGACTTCTAACTTCTACAACTGCCGAGACAAGCAATTTCTGTTGCTTAAGCCACCCAATCTGTGGTACTTAGTTACAGCAGCCCTAGCAAACCAGTTGGCTTAGAATGGGTGTATTAATCCATTCTCACACTGCTCTAAAGAAATACCTGAGACTGGGTAATTAATAAAGAAAAGAGGTTTAATTGGCTCATAGTTCTGCAAGCTGTACAGGAAGCATAGCGGCTTCTGCTTCTGTAGAGGCCTCAGGAAGCTTCCAATCATGGCAGAAGGCGAAGGGGAAGCAGGCACTTCACACGGCTGGAGCAAGAGAAAGAGATAGAGAAGGGGGAGGTGATACACACTTTCAAACGACCAGATCTCATGAGAACTCACTATGGCAAGAACAGCACCAAGGGGGAATCTGCCCTCATGATCCAATCACCTCCCACCAGGCCCCACCTCCAACACTGGGGATAGCAATTTGACATGAAATTTGGGCAGCAACACGGATCAAGCCATATCTATGAGGAATAGAGATTTTTGCACTTTTCAGTCATTGCTTTCTCCCTGGTTCCCAGAACAGGATTATGTTCTAGACACTTAAGAAATATTTGCTAAATTATGTTGAGTTAATCTTATAATAACATAATTAAGGTCAACTTTGGCTATCTGTGTGATGTTAGTTTCTTCAAAATAATGTCTTCAAATAATTTCTCTGAAATAATAATTGCCGATGTGGGAGAAGCTGTACTTACTTGTGTCACTGAGTCCTCAGTGCAATTGCCTGGAGCTGAAAGTGGTGTCCTGGCCCTGGCCCTGTCGTGTAGCAGAAGATCTATGCTCTTGGAGATGCTGTGATATAAATCAACTCAAGCTAGTTTAGAGAATGGAAGGATTTCTTTTTCCCCTAAGGAGTTAACAACAAAGTCATGGTAAGTGTAGGGGGTCCTTCTGGGCCACAGAAACAACTAGAAGCAGAGATATTTATTTTATTTTATTTTATTTTATTTTGAGACAGAGTCTTGATCTGCCACCCAGGCTGGAGTGCATTGGCGTGATCTCAGCTCACTGCAACCTCTGCCTCCTGGGCTCAAGTGATTCTCCTGCCTCAGCCCTCTGAGTAGCTGAGATTACAGGCATCTGCCATCATGCCCAGCTAATTTTTGTATCTTTAGTAGAGAAGGGGTTTCATCATGTTGTTCAGGCTGGTCTCAAACTCCTGACTTCAAGTGATCTGCCTGCCTCAGCCTCCCAAAGTGCTGGAATTACAGGCGTGAGCCACCGTGTCTGGCCTAGAATCAGGGATTAAAATAGCACCACAAATCTCTCTCTCTCTATCTATCTATCTATCTATCTATCTATCTATCTATCTATCTATCTATCTATCTATCTGTCTGTCTATATCTATCTATCTATATCTATCTGTCTGTCTATCTATCTATCTATCTATCTATCTATCTATCTATCTATCTCTGTCTGAATTCTATATGTGCTTCTTTCTTCATAGCAACTTCTTTCTTTCCTACTGTGTCGTGCTGCACAGTGGCGTCCTCTATATGGCTGGGACCTGGCTATTGGATTCTTTCCTTAGCTCCAACTTGGGTGCTACCTGGAGAAACATTTTGATTGGTCTCCCTTGGGATGGGTGCTCTCTCTGGTCCCATCAACTGTAGCCTGATGACCATGTACTCTTGCCCAGTGTAGTCGGGTGTTTACTCTGGCTTTATTAGCTGTGGTCAAGGGGACAGTCTATAGCATAGACATGGCCACCAGTCACCATTGTTTTAATATTCATTGAAAGAAAAGCTAGAAACCCATCACTATTTATGCAGACTCTTCCTTTTTCTTGGGTTCCTGTTCCTGCTTCATAGTTGATTCCTTTGTCACTCATCACAGCCTGCACTCAGGAATTAACCATGTTGTACTTTATACTGATCCCTGCTAAGGAATCTCTCAAACTCTCAGAAATGCCCAATTCTGTGACAAAGCCAGACCACCCTCTACAGGTCGGGGCTTGTGCCCACCACAGGCTAAACAGTCTAGGTTTGGCCAAGAGCAGGGTTTGAAGAAAGAGGCATATCACAGCTGGGCACTCAGTAGGTGTCAGTACATTGTGTTGAATGAAAGGTTCTGAGCCAGAGTCCTGAAGCAGGCACCTGGGCAGGCACGATCACAGGGCTCTCACCTCTCTAGCTGGGACCTGGGCCTGAGCTCAGTCCCCGTGATGGCCCTTGGTGAACTTTCTCAACATATCCCTTTCTTCTCCTTTGGTGACTTCCCATGGCTGAATTCTACCTTTACTGTGTACAGGGTTGCTGTCTATCTCAAGCCCCTCCCTGCCACCTATCATAAGCTCCATAAGGGCAGGCAGTCTTTTTCACACCGCATGCCTGTCATCTAGCTCACTGCCTGGCATATAGTAGGTAGTTGAATACATGAATAGGGTAATGGGTGATCAGGGCCTGGAGGAAGGTAGCAGGGGAATCTGTACTAGACCCAGAGTCAGGAAAGGCATCCCCAAGAAATGGCATTAAAGCTAGGGTGAGAATAGCCTGGGAGGAGGATAAGCACAGAGCTCCAGGGACTCTCCTCTCTCCTTCTCTGCCCAGGGACCTGCTGCAAGCTGGCAGCACAGACACAGCCAGTGGGGAACAGCTTGCAGCAGGCCCCTGGACAGGGAAGGAAATTAGTGGCAGAGCCAGGCCTAGACTTTGACTCTCCACACTCGCTGTCACAGCCAGAAGAGTCCCTGGTTTGGTTCCATTCCAGAAGGATTATAGTAGGTTGATGCTTTCTTGAACTCCAATGTGGTTAAAATCATCACCAAACACTTGGGCCCAGTCAGAGGACTCCAACTGTTTGATATTCCATAGACTCTCAAGAGGAAACCATAATTGCCTATTAGTCATTTTGCAGCTGGTACCAAATTACGAAAGACAGCACACTCGTGTGTGTGTGTGTGTGTGAGAGAGAGAGAGAGAGTCAAAAAGTGGATACTAAGATAATGCAGAATGGCTTAGAATAGTTGAGAAAATAAACACGTAAAAAGATTAGTAAATAAGAAAACCATTGAGTCATTTATTTGAATTATATAATTGATTCAGAATAGATTAAACACCACAAATGGATAGAGCTGATGCTCTTAAAACCCAAAAGAAAACACTTTATCCATAGTGTTGGCAGTGTTGGTTCAGTGTTAATCCAAATACGATATGAAGCTACCCAAATTCGAATTAAAGGGTTCTTAGTACAGCAAACGCCAGGACAGAATAACAAGAATCCACCATCCACCCAAAGCTAAAAAAATGCTGTGCATGCATGACTGAAACCCTTCTTTCCCAAGTGGAAACACCAACGCATTAACAAATATTTAATGGGACTTACCATGTGCGAGGTACTCAGAGAAGCTTCCAAACTTAGCAACCCCTTTTGTGGCTGTCCTGAGAGATCCTTTCACATTTACTAATTGCACCTCAGATCCATTTGTTGATGAAAAGCACCATGCAGCTGGAGATCTTTTATCAAGATTTTACATCCCCTCCCTCTTGCTATTTGGCTTTCTTTTCCAACGGCATCCAAAAATGGGGCATGAGCTCATGTTCCCCTGTGCTGCCCCTTGTTCACTTCTTCCCTCTTTCCTACCACCATTCAAGGGGCAGGTTTAGGTGATCTGGCTACAGATTGTTCAGCCCAGTTGGACCCCTTTAAGAGTTCTTCTCACCTTTTTACACCGTTGGTGGGAAAGTAAATTAGTTCAACCATTGTGGAAGACAGTGTGGTGATTCCTCAAAGACCTAGAACCGGAAAAATACAATTTGACCCAGCAATCCCATTACTGGGTATATACCAAAAGAAATATAAATCATTCTATTACAAAGATACATGCACACATGTGTTCATTACAGCACTATTCACAATAGCAAAGACATGGAATCAACCCAAATGCCCATCAGTGACAGACTGGATAAAGAAAATGTGGTACATATACACCATGGAATACTATGTGGCCATGAAAAGGAAAAAGATCATGTCCTTTGCAGGGACATGGATGGAGCTGGAAGCCATTATCCTCAGCAAACTAACGCAGGAACAGAAAACCAAACACTGCATATTCTCACTTATAAGTAGGAGCTGAACAGTGAGAACACATGGACACGGGGACGGAAACAACGCACACTGGGGCCTCTCAGTGGGTGGGAGAACATTAGGAAAAATGGCTGATGCACGCTGGACTTAATACCTAGGTAATGGGTTGATAGGTGCAGCAAACCACCATGGCACACGTTTGCCTATATAACAAGCTTGCCCGTGGACCCCAGAAATTAAAATAAAATAAAAATTTTTTAAAAAAGAGTTGTCCTCTGCCTGAGCAACATAGGAGACCCCATCTCTAAAACACATTTCAAAAATTAGCTGGGCATGGTGGCATGCACCTGTAGTCTCAGCAACTCAGGAATCTGAGGCAGGAGGATTGCTTAAGCCTGGGAGTTTGAGGTCACAGTGAGCTTTGATTGCACCACTGCACGCCATCCTGGGCAACAGAGTGAGACCCTGTCTCTAAAAAAAAAAAAAAAAAAAAAAAAAAAAAGTTGTCAAGCCGGGCATGTTGGCTTTCGCCTATAATCCTAGCACTTTAGGAGGCCAAGGTGAGTGGATCACCTGAGGTCAGGAGTTCGAGACCAGCCTGGCCAACACGGTGAAACCGCATCTCTACTAAAAATACAAAAATTAGCCGGGTGTGGTGGCACACGCCTGTAATCCCAGGCTACTCAGGAGGCTGAGGAAGGAGAATCGCTGGAACCTGGGAAACAGAGGTTACAGTGAGCCAAGATCGTGCCACTGTACTCCAGCCTGGGTGACAGAGCAAGACTCCGTCTCAAAAAAAAAAAGTTGTCTTGTGGCCTAGAAAGTTGTCCCTCCACTACACAGAGTCCCTGGAGGACATCTAGGACTCAAGGACTCCCTTACCATAAAATGACACATCTGCACAGAGCAGTAATTTGATGAATGAGTCTCTGTGACTCCCCTGTAGACTCACAGCATTGCTTCTCAGGCCAAGTTCTGGAACATATCATCCTATTCCCCCATCCATACTGCCCTCTGACAACAAGTATCTGAAATATTTTGGCCTAGATTCCTATCTCAGGCAGACACCTAGAATTTTAGAAAACATCAAGTTGAGTATTGTTGTTAGAGGTGGCACTAGACATTTAGCAACCCAGAAGCCAAACCCACAAGGGAAAGGTGTGACCAGGGACCACGCAGTGGACAAGTTTCAGTGACTGATGGAAAGCTCGTTATAACCAAATGACATCTCTTCACCAGGTGTAGTGGACTGAATAATGGCTTTCAAAGATATCAGGTCCTAATCTCTGAAACCTGTAAATATTACATCATTTGGAAAAAATATCTTTGCAGATGAGATTACATTAATTATACTGAGATGAGGGAGATTATCTGGATTAGCCAGGCCCTCAATGCAATCACATTTATCCCTGAAAGAGAAGACCGAGGTAGATTTTACACACACACACACACACACACACACACACACACACACACAGAGGAGAGGGTGATATGAAGATGGAGGCAGAGATTAGAGTGATGTGTCCACAAGTCAAGGAATGCTTGCAGCTCCTAGAAACCAAAGGAGGCAAGAACAGATTCTCTCTGGAACCTCCAGAGACAGCATGGCCCTGCCAACCCTTGATTGTGGCCCAGTGATAATGATTTCAGACTGCTGCCTTCTGGAATTGAAAGGGAATAAATTTTTGTTGTTTTAACTCACCTGGTTTGTGGTGCTTTGTTAGGGCAGGCACAGGAAACTAACACACCAGGTACAGAACATAAAGAGAGGCGTCATGTGTGAGAGACATGCCTTTCTCATTTGGCCTTTCCCAGAATTAGGTGTGGCTGGTAAATCTCAGTGCTTGATGTCGGATATTGATTGCATAAGACATGCGAGAATGACGTGAGAGGCTTTATAAATCCAATGAGTCAACCAGGGACGGGTGGTTGGCTGTGGAGACGTCTAGGTAAGCTGCGACCATGACCGGGTTAAGCTAACACTTCTGTGAGAACACGTGCTTCATACAAACAGTCCAGACAGACCTAGAAGATGTGATCTCCTAGGTCTACAAACTCCTACAAAGCAGGAGACCACTGAGATATTAGGTTGGTGCAAAAGTAATTACAGTTACTGCCATTTAAAAGTTATGGCAAAATCACAATTACTTTTGCACCAATCTAATGTAATCACAGAGCTGCAACAGAGGTTAGTGCTCACTTCCTTCTGCCCATCTGTGTGACAAAGTCCCAGGGTTACACAGCCAGCCAGGAGGGAGCCTCCCCTGGCACCCATGAGTCTCATGACTCCTAGTTTCCTGTTGGCTTTCTTTCTGGCTCTGCCTATCTGCTATGGACCTGTCATTCATGCAAATTGGGTGCCTCTGTTTCTCGGGAGCTGTGTAGAGCCTAGACAAGTTCAAATCATCCCAAAGGACTTAGAGTAGGTCGGAATCAACATAATCAATGCCCCTGACACTGCCCCTCCACATGCCCTACAGGAGTTGGGAGCGCGCACCTCCACCCTATATTGTTGTCTCCAAATTCTTCTCTCCCTTCCCTTCTCTCTTCTTCCCTGAGGTCAGCCTCACATTCTGCAGGTCTAGCGAAAGGGTGTCTCACCTCAATCATGAGAAAGAGGAGTCCCAGCTCCAGGAGAAGCAGGAGCAGCCCAGGAAGGGGCTTCTCAGACCCTGAGAACTGAGCCATGGAGTGGCCATGTGCTGTTTTAGAACACAGCTGACAGGACACCTTGGCTCTTCTTCACCAGAGACTAAAATCAAGAGAAGCATCAGAAGTTTTGGAGTTCTCACTGTTCTTGCCCCAGGGCCACAGAGCTTCAGCTACCTGCTCCTCCCACAAGATCCAGATAACTCTCAGCCACCCTAGAGGAGTCCTTATTCTTCTAGGCCCCCAAGGGTTCTCAAGCCTAGACACATTAAAAATACCTGAGTATTTTTAAATAATCCCAATGCCTGAGTCCCTCTCCTACAGACTCTGATTTATTTGGTCTGGAGTGGGGCCCAGGAATCCATATATTTTTGAAAAATCACTCCAGGATATTCTCTCTCTCTCTTTTTTTTTTTGTACTTTATTTATTATTTATTTATTTATTTATTTATTTCCAGAGAGGGTCTCGCTCTGTCACCCAGGCTGGAGTGCAGTGGCGTGATCTTGGCTCACTGCAACCTCCACCTCTGATGTTCAAGCGATTCTCCTGCCTCAGTCTCCCGAGTAGCTGGGATTACAGGTGCCTGCAACTATGGCCAGCTAATTTTTTTGTATTTTTGGTAGATACGGGGTTTCGCCATGTTGGCCAGGCTGGTCTCGAACTCCTGACCCCAAGTGATCTATCCACCTCAGCCTCCCAAAGTGCTGGGATTACAGGCCACTCCAGGAGATTCTAATGTGCAAGCAAGATTGAGAACTCTTGAGCTGCCTGGCCTTCAGACTTTTTATTTTGCATCCCCTCTCAGCAAATCATGAAAAGCCTTGTCCCCTGGCATCACAGCTTAAATAAGTTAAAGTAGTTGCATGGAATATTATTTCTGACCTATTATACATAACTATGAACATTTTTAAACAAAGCCATTTTAAATGTATTAATAAACATATCCAATGATATCTAAACATCATAGTGATTTGATATCTATTATCCATTTGAAAATACATAAACAAGCCGGGTGCGGTGGCTCATGCCTGTGCTTCCAGCACTTTGGGAGGCTGAGGCAAGTGGATTACTTGAGGTCAGGAGTTCGAGACCAGCCTGGCCAACATGGTGAAACCGCATCTCTATTAAAAATACAAAAATTAGCTGGGCATGGTGGCGGGTGCCTGTAATCCCAAATACTTGGGAGGCTGAGGCAGGAGAATCGTTTGAACCCAGGGGACGTTTGAACCCAGGTTGCAGTGAGCCGAGATCAGGCCACTGTGTTCCAGCCTGGGTGACAGAGCGAGACTTCATCTCAAAAAAAAAAAAAAGAAAGAAAGAAAAAATACATAAACAAGCTCCTTTATAGTAGTCTAAAATTTTACACTACTTTTTTTTCTCCTTGAGCTCATATTTTCATTGCCTTTCCCTAATGTATTTTTCTAATGTAATATATTTTTATACTCCAATGCCTGTTGATCATCCTGTTTTATTTCTCTGCCACAAAAATATCTACATAAATTGAAAATTTTATACATAAGACTTTTATTCTGCATTCTTAAGCCCTAAGTGTTAAAATATTTCTTCTTGGTTATCATGAATGTCACTAGTAGTACCCATTAATCAGCATTATATAAAAATATCACGTTATTAAACATGAATACAATTTTTAAATAGGAAAGGTAAAATTGCATTTTAAATGAATTTCTCAGTGAGCTAGATGAGTATTTGTTCGTGTTTTCCAATGAGCTCATGTATGTGGGAATGAATGAGACAGAGTTAGCAACAGTTTTATTTTCATCCTTAGTTTTATAGATTCAGGTGCTGGTAAACATTGGCTTACACAAATAAGTAGGAGGAAAGAGAAAAATTTCTCTTATATTAGTAGCACTCAATTCTCTAAGCTCCTTCCAAGGTATCTGCCAAAAATCATATTTTCCATCTGTCAGTTGACAGCTCAATTAAGTACTCCTTCAATTTTGCTCAAGGCAAGGAACTAGAAACCATTTGACTTGCAGAAGGATTTGTTACTCAGTCATTAGAACCACTAATTTCTCTTACTCTCTAGGAAGTACACCAAAAAGCTTTACCAAGACTTACCAAGTGATTCTTAATTATAAGTTTCTTTGGAAGCATATTTTCATACCTGGTATATTCAGAAAAGGTTGAAAAGCCTGAAATATCATTAATTTCAATTCTTGTTTATCAACGTAATTTAAAAATCTATACTTTTTAAACTACGTGCTTTGTGGGCTCGCCCCACCCTGCCCCCCAGTTTCAGTCATTCAACATACAGAAAATGTCTGCCGTGTAATCAAAATAGCAAGGCCAGGTCTCACTGTCAAAACAGGCTTACTTTCTGTTAGAAAATGTCCAGCTTTGCCAGGCACAGTTGCTCATCTCTGTAGTCCCAGCACTTTGGGAGGTTGAAGTGAGCTGATTGTTTGAGCCCAGGAGTTTGAGACCAGCCTGGGCAACATAGTAAGACCCCATTTCTTTCTTTCTTTCTTTCTTTTTTTTTTTTTGAGACAGAATCTTGCTGTGTCACTCAGGCTGGTGTGCAGTGGCACAATCTTGGTTCACTGCAAGTTCCACTTCCTGGGTTCAAGCAATTCTCCTGCCTCTGCCTCCAAGTAGCTAGGATTACAGGCACCTGCCACCACACCCAGCTAATTTTTGTATTTTTAGTAGGGACGGGGTTTCACCATGTTGGCCAGTCTGGTCTCCAACTCCTGACCTCGTGATCTGCCCACCTCGGCCTCCCAATTTCTACAAAAATAACATTTAGCCAGGTGTGGTGGTGTGTGCTTGTAGTCCCAGCTACTCAGGAGGCTGAGGTGGGAGGATCCCTTGAGCCCAGGAGGTCAAGGCTGTAGTGAGCTGAGATCTTGCCACTGCACTCCAGCCTGGGTGACAAAGTGAGACCCTGTCTCAAAAAAGAAAAAAAAAATGTTCAACTTTATTTTTTAATGCAAATCTTTCTGTTGACTTGCGTCCTCCATGATGGCATCCTTGCATTCCTGACTGAGACATGGACAGCTGGGCCATGGAGCTCCACCCACCATGAATGTCTGGGTGACAATGTAATGGGGTCCAGGTGAAGAAAGGCTCAGCTCTGTCAGGGCATCTGCTTTGTGCCCATGGGCTCCACCTTAGGAGGGCTGCCATCTTTGACAGCCAGGGCAGGGGGTGGCTTATGGTGGAAGAAGGGACCCGTGTTTGGGTGGGTTCTCCAAGAAACAGACCCACGATGAGCTTACACATGCAGAGACTTGGCATGCAAAGATTTTGTTAGAGGAATCAAGGATGAGAGAAAGCAAAGGTGGGGTGGTGGTGCTGAGGAAGGCCGGGACCGGTCAGATGGCAGTGTGAGTGCGAGGCTGCATGAAGGAGAGAGGGTGGAAGCATCCCAGGCTGCTGTGCACCCTCAGGAAGTTTCAGCAAGGCCACCAGGGAATTCGCGAGTCAAGTCTGGCCATCGGAGGAGTCCCGAGTCTCCCAGGAGCAGATCTGCCTCAGTTTCCCAGTCGCATTCAGTGGTTGGCTGAGAGCAGCTCACGGTGATGGAATCATGCACATTTGTGCCAGTGGATTTCAGAAGGCAGGAACTGGGGCCCCTGAGTCAATTTAGCCCCCTGGAGCTGGAATTCTGTGAGGAGCCTTCTCATGGCCACTCCAGGAAATGTTTGAATGAAACTTGTCACCACTTCTGCCACCCTGGTCTTTAACAGATGTGAAACAAGAGCATGACGACATGGACAAAACACCGTGGTTTGTCCATTAGCCACAATGTACTTAAGATGGAACCAATCATGGGCTCGTAGTATCTTGATTAAAGAAGGCTAATGCCAATGTTTCACATTGTTATTGTTTGGCACCTGGGATGTTTTTAACACCCCTGGGGCAATGTTCATACTCAGACGCTGGAGAGGTGAAAGGGATCTCTTCATTTTGCACGGTGGGACAGGAGAGATTATAAATGGGCAGAAGGGAAAGGACTCCTTGTACATAAACTAGGACATCCCTGTGTAGAGGTTCCCATGGACATCCCCGAGGGGCAGTGTCAGTTTGGGTCAGTCTACTTCTTAAGAAGCAGACACTAAGATGGAATTAGACACGCAAGAGATTGATTGACTGGGGGACACATCTGTGAAAGGTAAAGAGAACGCCTTCAGAGTACAGCTCAGACCTGATACCTGTGGGAGGAGTGAGGGGAGGAAGGAGGCCTGGGGAGGAGCAATCTCAGGGAAGCCCAGCAGATGGAGATCTTCAAGGCAAAGGAGCATTCACTCTGCTCAGTGATGGACTGGGAGCAGCTTGAGGAGTGCAGTGGGGGTGCTGGGGGCTCCCTGTGAGGGCTGAAACAGATCAGAATATGCAGAACGCAGTGCACCAGTTTCTCTCTATGCGGCAGGTTGCCTTGAAGGGAGATCAGAGCAGCGTACTTTGTAGCTGCACAGTATTCCCTCTTGGGGACATCTCTTTCCTCCCATTGCCTCCTTCTCCCTCTCCCCACACTGTGTAGCTCCTTAGTCTCTTCTCCTTCAGGCCTCAGCATCCCCTCTCCCTGGTCTGTCCGACTCTCCCCCACCTCAGTCTCCATTTGTGTCATGAAAAATCTATGGGCCCCATCCAGGTGCACAAAAGTCACAGCCAGGCTCTCTCCTGCCCACTCTGCTGTGGAGGTGGAGGGGAGAGCCCTGAGCCCTGAGGATGGAGGCATGGAGAAAAGAAATTAGGATGGTCTTGACTCAAAGTGACAGCTCACTTTTCTTTTCTCTTTCTGATTTTCCTTTGTCAGCCTTGGACATCTGAAAATAAACTGGTCCTCTGGCACCATGAGGGTTAATCTCTGCCATTAACTTCCCCTGGCCTGCAAGAGATGTCCTTCCTGCAGGCACAACAGTGGGACAACATGTTGCTAATAGAGAGTCAGTAACCTGAATTGCATTACAAAACAGCTCCGGTAAATTAGCCTTGGGAAGTGCCCTGCCCACTTGCTGGGTATATTTTTGCTTGTATGTAGCAGGCAGAAGAGGGAAGGGCTGTCCAGCTCCCAAGCAACTCCCGAAACTCTGTCTTCCATTCGGAAGGCTGGACTTTGCATCACTCAACTTTGTTTCTTTTCACACATTCCCGATTCTAACCCTAAATAGATTTAATACAAAATAAACCCCACCCCAGATTAAAATAGTATATTATTTGTGCTTTATATGAGTCTCAGAAATTACTTTCAATAATCTCTGTATAAAGTTTTAAAACCCTAAACTAGAGTTAAACTTGTGGAAAAGAAAGGAAGAAGTGAATGGTTAACACCAATTCACAGTAGGTATTTTACTTTGTAATAATACTGCTGAATTTCTTTCTTTACAAAAAAAAGCATGCATTTATAATCCTTGATGATCACAACAACCCCTTGATAATAAAATTAAGTTTATGACATGCATTACTGAAAACTTTAAAATGAGGCATCTAGAGCCCAGAGTGATTAAGCAACTTACTCAAGGTCACACAGGAAGTGATTAGGAAAGCTGGAACAACTCTTTGGCCTTTTGGATCAGACCTCTATGCTGAAAAAGAATCCTGAGTTTCAAGTCTGGAAGATGAGGAAGGAAGCCGTGATGTTTGGAGACAGAGTGTGCCTTCTATAGCTCAAGATAAAATTCTGTTATAGGAAGAAGCTCAGATTTCTTAAATACCAAGATTTGATCCCAAGTCAATGACCAATAAAAGCTTATTATCTGCAACCATGTCAGACTCTGGCCCAAGAGTTTAATCTTTCTAATCACATATTCTATACATTATTCGAGAAAGAAAGGTCCGGAAAAGCATCCCTAAAGACTCAAATATTCCAAGGAGCAAAAAATATAGATAAGACAAAGCTCCAAAGACTCCTAACAGTGGAAATAGCTGTCAGATGTTATAGAGAAGGGAGCTGATGGGTTCCCACATGCTATTAACAAACCATGAAGAAGTCCCTTAGCCTTTGGACCTGGAGTTCTCAACCCTGGCTGCACATTAGAATCACCTGGGAAGCTTCTGAAACTCCCAATACCCAAGACATACCCAGGACCATTTATATCAGAATCTTCCAGCGATGGAAGCCTGGTGTTGGGAAGTCTTTAAGGCTCCCCAGCTGACTCCAATGTGTAGCCAAGGTTAAGAACCATGGCTCTAGGACCTAACACATAAGTTGAATGAATAGACGGATGAATGAATATCAGCAACAGAATTGAAAAAAGAAGAAACAATTAAGAAACTAAATTTGATGTTATTTACTCAGATGGAAGACCCTGAGGTCCTCACTCAAAATGCGTATGCTGTTCACGCAGAAGCAGTTCTATGAAGTTTGGATGTCAAGATTCTCAGCTCACAACAGGGATGAGAAGAGAAGATGGTTCTCTGTGGAGCAGAGTCACCAACAATAGCAGGAAGGACAAATGTGACAGCCTGAAAGACAAGTAAGAAATGCAAATCCTACTTCTATGGTTGAATGTGTCCCCCTAAATTCATGTGTTGGCAACTGAATCCCCAATGCTAGTTTTGAGAGGTGGGTGGTGTTAATCACCTTTAAGAGGTGATTAGGTCATGAGGCTCTGCCCTTATAAATGGATTAATGTCGTTAGGGTGGGAGAGGGTTAGTTATCGCAAGAGTGGGTTCCTGATAAAAAAGGATGAATTTGGCATCCTTCCCCTTTCTCTTTCTCACATGTACTCTATTGTCCTTCCACCTTCCACCATGGGATGACCAGTAAGGCCCTCACTAGATTGTAGCCACCTTGACCTGGGACTTCCCAGCCTCCAGAATGTAAGAGATAAATCTTTGTTCTTTATAAATTACCGAGTCTTTGGTATTCTATTATAACAACACAGACTAAGACACCTATAAAGCAGGAGACAGAACTCAGCGAAGAGTTGTCTGGGGCCCTTTAATACCAGGGTAAACTGACCTGCCCAGCCCAGTTTCCCTGGAGGCGTCATTGTATTAGCAGAACAGTGCAGTTAATTGGTGTTCGGGTGCCTGAGTCACCCAGCGGAGGCGAAGTTCTGTTCTCTCTACACTGTGTAAGAACTCACAGGAGGATGGGCAGAGCACTCGACTTCCTCAGCACTGGCTATCACAGACTGCCCTTACTAGAACTGCGTCTGTTTTTGAAAGCCTGGGTGGGTTTAATAGTTGGTAAAAGCAGCATGTTAAAGTTGGCAGCAGAAACTGCCTCCTAAGAGAATCACTTCCTAAGAGGGGAATATGAAATTTCTCATTGAGGCAGGCTGTCCCCTTCTGTCCCTTTGTCAGGGAAAGCCTCTCTCTGGGGGAAAGCAAAGGTGGAGCTGGGGTGCATAGACCTCTGTGGAGAGAAAACCTGAATTTGGCAAAGTGGTCCTCTTACAGATTTCTTAGTCTGAGGAGTTAAGCTTTTTCTTGGTTTTGCAAATTCAGTGTCTCTTTTGGCAGACATTTGTTATTAGAAGAGATCTGTACTTTCTCAGCAGGGAGTGACATTGCTCTGTGTCCTTAAGATATTGCCTGTTCTAGGGAGTTGGGTATGTTCTCCAACAAGCTGGAGACCTAGATCTGTATTTCCGTGGGAACAGGAGGCCTCTGCAGACTTGAACTTGACCTCACACTAAAGGAAAGCCTGTGCGAAGGAAGAGGACAATCTTAGAGGCAGTCATTTAAGTCTGAGTGCCCCAGAACACAGGGATGTTGGGTGGCTACTTTCTGGTGCCATTTCATTTGTCCCACTCAAGGCCATAATGCAAGCTTGGGGAGGAGGAACTCCCCTGAGAAAAGAGACCATCCCTGCTGATAATCCTACTAACCTGATTCTAGGTCAGTAAATGAAAACTTGAAAGGTGAATTTCAGACTGGAGAAGGCAGCGGGGAAAGGGACTCAAGTCCGTTTTTCTCGGACCAATGGCAGTGTATGGTAATGTGGGGCTAGCCCTGACATCGGGAAGACAGTTAAGAGCCAAACATGGTGAGGAACTCTGGGGCTGGGTCAAGGCTGGGTCAAGGCTGGAAGCTCAGAGCCACATCTATTTGGAAGTATCAGCTGTTCTTTGGGTTGTATTTTCTTTTTTCTGTCCCCTGAACAATATATCAAGGAAGTTTGGCTGCAAGTAACTGCCTGGTCCCTGAGATGCTTTGGGGAGAATGGGGAAGGCAGGTCTGGAAGGGAGCACAAAAGATGGCAAGAGAGTTGCTATGAGCAGGGGTCACCAGCAGAGGGCAGAGGGCAGAGGTGCCCAACGGAGCAGAGAGTGCTCAATGGCCATGGGCGGCAAAGGGTGCAGTGGGGTCGCAGTCAAAATGCAGGCTGAGGGGGACCTGGGCATGTGGGCAACGGCATCATGGCGCTCACAGAACTCTTTAGAGGATACACTGAAGGGCACCAATCCCTGACAATTAGCAAGTCAGGATCGAAGCCAACATAATTCGAGTATTTCATGGAAACAATATCTAACTACAAACAGCTGGGTCTTCAACAGGTGGGAAACACTGGGAATTGAAGACTTGTGTTCAGAAATTCTATCTACCAGCTCCCAGCCATGGGACTTCAGGCAGTTCCCCTGCGCCACCCAGTCTCGGTGCCTCATACGACAAACAGGTGCCTGACATTTACCCTACAGACCTCTTGAGGTTGTTGTTTTAAGTAGCAAAGGCAATAAAGCTCACGTATATTTTGTAAATGGTAAAATACTTTGCAGACTTAACACACTATTTTATCTTGGAAAGTTTTTCCAACTGAAATGATGAACCAGGTTAAACATTTTTTGACTTTTACCTGTGATCCTAACAGGCACTCTGGGGGATTCTATCTGGCAAGTGTGGGAAACACAGCTGGCATCTCTCCTGGTCCACTGGCCTCCCATGGGGGGAAGGACAGTCCCTAGGAAGCAGCCCATGGATATAGGGAGGAGGTGTGGGGTGGCACACTCATCTCTGACTTACAGGAAAAACAGAAACTTTCTCTAAAGCAAATAAAATGCAGAAAATGCAGCTCAGCATATAACCAAGATAACCAAGCAGAGAAAAATATTTAAGTCACAAATTGGCAGTTTAAGGAGTATCAGCATTCTGAGGGAAAATTCAGGAGACAGCTGATGAATCCACAAGTTCTTACTCAATTAACTTTAATTGGCTAGTATCTGATAGGCAGCTGTTTTAGGCAGGGCATGATGGAAGTTATAATGTTAAACAGAAATAGATGTCAGCTTTGCCCTTAGGGAACCATATATATATATATTTGTTTTTGTTTTTGTTTTTGTTTTAAGAGACTGGTCTTGCTCCGTCATCCAGGCTGGAGTGCAATGGCATCATTATAGCTCACTGCAGCCTCGAACTTGTGGGCTCAAGCACACTGCAGCCTCGAACTTGTGGGCTCAAGCAATCTTCCTACCTCAGCCTCCCAAGTAGCTGTGACTACAGGTGTGTACCATCACCCCCAATTAATTTTTAAAATTTTTGTAGAGACAGAGTCTTGCTATGTTGCCCAGATTGGTCTCGAACTCCTGGCCTCAAATGATCCTCCTGCCTCAGCCTCCCAAAGCACTGGGATTACAGGAGGAGCTGCAATTTTTGAGAGAGAAAAATTGACATGTGCAAGAGCAGCAACAGGCCAAACATGAGCCATGAGATCCTACACCTATACCATCCAATATGGGAGCAGGCCATGAGCCACATATGGGCAGTGAACTCTAGAAATTCAGGCCACTTTGAGAGGTGCTGCACATGTAAAATACACTCCAGAGTCCAAAAGCTTGGTACAAAAAAAGAGAATGTAAAATGTCTCATTAATCAATTTCACACTGATTACATGTTGGAGTGATATTTTTAGTATATTGGGTTAGATAAAAAATATTAGTAAGTTTTTTTTAAAAAATGCTTTTCATTAAACATCAGTTATCTGATACATTTATTTATGTGGGATCCTCCTACCCAAATAAGCTTTAATTAGATGTTGTTGTGCTCCTGTTAAATTCAATTCTGTGGAGTTTAGCACCACTGCCAAGAGCCTCCTTCTTAGCACGTCTCTTCTTCCTCTTTAGCGGCAGTTCTCAAAATGTAGTTAGAAGGCAGAGACTCTGTTTTCACCTGAATTTAATCTAAATCTGATTCCAATCAAGATCCAGATAAAATGCTTGTTACTTATCTCAGCAGCTAGTTTCCCAGATTCAGGGAGTAACATAAAACACCTGCCTAGCAATAGCAGAATTCTAATGTTTTGAATGCCTTGGGCCAGGGACACTTTTGTCACTATTCAGTTTCAGCCATCAATGAAAACTCCTTCTTCTTAGCTACCTGGTATGGACGGTTGACTAACTGGTTGAAAAACAGTCAACAGTCTGGTTAGCGTCTTTGAAGCTTCCTGAGGATGTGTACCACTCAGTCATACCTTCACCGTGCTTACAAGAGCATCTGTTGTGTATGTAGTGGCTGCCCCACAAGTAGTTGTATTGATAAATTCTAAATGTTGCTATTCTTTTTTTTTTTTTTTAAAGAGTCTCCTTTTTTTTTTTTTTTTTTTTTTTTTTTTTTTTTTTTTTGAGATGGAGTCTTGCTCTGTCGCCCAGGCTGGAGTGCAGTGGCGTGATCTTGGCTCACTGCAAGCTCCGCCTCCTGGGTTCACGCCATTCTCCTGGCTCAACCTCCCAAGTAGCTGGGACTACAGGCGCCCGCCACCAAGCCCGGCTAATTTTTTGTATTTTTAGTAGAGACGGGGTTTCACCGTGTTAGCCAGGATGGTCTCGATCTCCTGACCTCGTGATCGCCCGCCTCAGCCTCCCAAAGTGCTGGGATTACAGGCGTGAGCCACCGCGCCCGGCCTAAACGTTGCTATTCTTTAGAAAGGCTAAAGTCCAGCCCCTGAAAGAAGCCTGGAGGCTAATGTTTTCTCTTTCAAATGGTTAGTGATGAAAACTGAACCCTTTGGAGATTCTGATTTTATTCTGCTTATAAAAGCTAAACTTGAACTTCACTGGATAGGGTGGATTGTATGCAGGTCCTGATAAAATCCCTACACAATTTCCCTCCCTTCTAGGCTGACCTGCCGTGCCTGCAGCCCACAAGCCACCCCCTTCTTTTCCCACGCATGGCCCAAAGCTACGAGCTCTCAGAGTTTTTCCTTCTTGCAGCACGAGATGACACAAAGATAGGTTCTGGCAGTTGCAGGTACGTTCACCTCAGCAATTCTAGAAAATGCCTTGTAATTACTAAGCAGAAAGCACACAATCTGAGGGGGCTGGAGAACTAAGTCTTCACATAACAAAATCTGCTTCTATATGGCATTTTATATCTTCCAGTGTGATGGGGAAATGGGAACGCTTTGAACAGCTGACCAGATGAATTTTAAACAAGAATTGGTAAAAATTGGACTATTAGAGATTTTGAGCATTTTCTTGTGGATTTATTGGCCATTTGTGCATCTTTGTGAAGTGTCTGTTGAGGTTTTTTTCTGCCATTTTAAATTGGGTTGTTTGTCTTTTTATTGTTGGCATGTATGCATTCTTTAAAAATTGAGATGTAATTAAAGCCTAAAAGCATTCTTTATATATTTTAGATACAAGTCATTTGCGAAATATATGTGTTCCAAGCATTTTTTTCCCAGCCAGTGGTTTGTCATCTCTTTTCATGAGCTGAAATTTTACATTTTGATAAAATCCAATTTTTTTTATGGTTAGTGCTTTTTGTGTTCTGTCCAAGGACTCTGCCCACCCCAAGGTCATGAAGTTATTATGCTTTATTTGAGTAATTTTGTGGCTGTGGTTATTACATTTAGGTGTATGATCTATTTTGAATTAACTTTGATAAATGGAGTGAGATAGGGATTGGAGCTCATTTTTTTCCACACATATATCCAGTTGTTCCAGCAATATTGTTAAAAAGACTTTCCTTTCCCCATTGAATTAGCACCAACAACTGGAAATAATCCAAATGTCCAGATATAGGTAAATGGATAAACACATTTTAGTCTATTCAGTGGAATAATGGAATAATAAAATACATTCCATCATTGGATTCTAATTCCAGTAATAGAATACATTCATGGAACAATGAAATATATTCAGCAAATTTTTTTAAAAAGCAAACTATAAATACATGCAACAAGCTGAATGAATCTCAAAGACATTATTTGAATGAAAGGAGCTAAAAGCAAAAGAGTTCTTACTGTATGCTTCTACATACATGAAATTCTAAAACAGACACAACTGATTCTATAGTAACAGAAAGAAAATCAGCAGTTTCCCGGTTGAGGGTAGGGATGGAAACTTTTCTGGCACGATGAAAATGTTCTATATCTTGTTTTGAGTGTTGGTTACATGGACATTTACAATTGTCAAAGTTTATTTGTCTGAAACATCTAAGGGCTACACGTTTCACTGTGTGTTAATTACACCTCCATTTAAAATATATTAAAGAAAAAAAAGGATTAGAATGTGAACCTTCCTGGACTGTACCTTACAATAAATAGCGAAATTCCTCTCTCTCCGCAGATGCCTTGCTGTTGGAGGCTGGGAAAGGAAGATGAAATGTGCAGAGCCCTTGACTTCTCCCTTTTCTTAAGACTGTGGGATAAATTTTTCAAAACATTGGCTAGGAGACTTGCATTCAAAACCAGCTGAGTAAATAATGGGGCTTTGGTGAGTTGTTTTTTCCCTTCTGTGTTTGGAAATTTGAGCCTGGTGTATCTTTTTCAAGCACATCTCATTTAGAGGATAATTTACATTTGCACAAAATCATGGCTACAGCCCATCTGCTCAACGATTATGTAAGATCCAACACTCATTAGAGTGTGACATGCATTGATCTTAGTGAGCATATGAACTTGTGTGCTTGGGATTCAAGTTCTTCTAAAATAACTTCCAGCACCAACCAGCTACCATAGCCTGTTGTTTCTGACATTTTCCTTGGAACATGACAGTTAATATCCATTTGAAAGAAACTAAATTATTGGGGGGCTTTAAATTCCTAATGGCTATAGCAGATTTTCTGGTAGAGTTAAGCAAGATTGAGTTGGCAGTTGTGAAAGGGCGGAGGCTAGAAGGAGAGCTGTTTGTTTTTTGTACCTGATGGTTTTATCACCAAAGAGTATTTGTAATAATGAAACAGCTGGAGCAGTAACATGATTCATATTAATATATGCATGTAAATGGGTTAGGAATGGAATTAACATAATTTCTGTGCTCTGGTTTTCCCTTAGAAGTGGAGACTACTGGTTTATTTACAGTCTGCAATGAGCACAGCCAGGCAGTTCTGCTGCTGGACAGATGGCAGGGAAGGCCAGGCCATGTGCTGTGGATCAGGGGGTGAATGTGAACATGACGGTGGATGGCACAGCTCTGCAAAGGGGCTGGCCAGAAGCAGAGAGCAGATGAAAACAAAGGTTCCTTTTGTCTCCCAGAGTTCTTAGCCCTTCCCATTTAGTCCCTTTGTCCTAGTTCCTCCTGCCAGGGCTTTGCAGAGAAGGGGAGTGGGGAGATACAGGGAGAGGCCAGGACCAGGGGTTCCAAGGCAGAACCTCGTGGGAGGAAGTGACCAGAGGAGGGGCTGCAGTCACTAGACTCAGGGCACTGGCAGGAAGCAGGAACTGTGACCAGGTGAGAAGGTGGGCTCAGAGACACTGGAGAGGAAGGACAGGTCGAGGAAATGGTCCACAGGCCAGTCAGCCTCTCAAAGCTGAGGGAGGCAGGCAGTGAGAGGGCCCAGGAAACACCCTGCTATCAGGACAGAAATCTGGCCGGGGGACAGGAAGTTGAGTGTGACGCACCAGGAGACTTTGAAGCCTGTGATACCAAGAGGAAATCCTAGGCCATTTAGCAAAGAACAGAATTTGGCCCCACGACACAGAGGCCCTTGGGAGGAAAGTGAATGCCTAAATAGAAAACAGGCCTGGGGAGGCCACTATAGGGTGGTCTTCTGTATTTTTTCCCTCTCCGTTTTCCATTATAATTCATCTCCTTCCAAGGCCAGGTTCACTCCCACGATAAGAGAGGCAAAGCCCCTGGTCAGAAGGGAAGAAGCCTCCATCCCCAGCCCATGTCTGTCTGTCTCATTTGTGTGTGTGTGTGTCTTGGGGGGAAGTGAATGGAGAAAGATACCGGAAGTATTACAGTGATGGTTGTCCCCCATGTGGGAACATGGAGTAAGAGGGAAAGTCATTTGAGGAACTGCCCAGCTGTTCTCCACCATGGCTGCACCATTTACATTCCCACTAGCAATGTATAAGAGTTACAATTTATCCCCATCCTCACCAATACTTTTTATTTTCTGTCTTTTTCATCTTAGCTATCCTCATGAGTGTAAAATTGTGAGTTTAATTTATATTTTTCTAATGACTAATGATGCTGAGCATCTTTTCATGTGCTTACAGGCTATTTATATATCTTCTTAGAAGAAATGTCTGTTTAAATCCCTTGCTCATTTTTAAATTGTTTTTTAAAAATTGTTAAATTGTAAGAATTCCATGTATATTCTGGATACAAATTCCTAGTCAGTAGACAATGTGCAAATATTTTCTTCCATTCTGTGGGGTGTCCTTTCACTTTCTTGGTAGTGTTCTTTGAAGCACACACATTTTTAATTTTGAAGGAGTCCAACTTAACTATTTTTCTTTGGTTGCTTGTGCTTTAGGCATCACATCTAAGAAACCATTGGCTACTCCAAGGTCATGAAGATTTATGCTCATGTTTTCTTCTAAGTGTTTTATAGTTTTATCTTTTACATACAGGTCTATGATCCATTTTGTGTTAATTTTTGTATACAGCGTGAGATGGAGTTGAAAATTCATTCTTTAGCATGTGGTTATGCAGTTGTCCTAGCACCATTTGTTGCAAAGACTCTTCTTTCTCCATTGAATTGTCTTTGTGACCTTGTCAAAAATTAATTAACCATAAATATAAAGATTTGTTTCTGGACTCTCAATCCTATTCCATTGATCTATATATCTATCCTTAGGCCAGTATCTTCCAGAGGCAAAAGATCATCAGGGTGGCTTTTAGCAGTGGGAATCCCAGAAGAGCCCACAAGGCACCCAATAGACACAGTCGTTTCAGAGAGTGCAAAGCCAGCTCACATGGTACCAGTGAAGGACCCTACAGGTGCTAGAGGATTTCTGGATGCACCATGAAAAGGGGACAGGACCCTTAGAGGGGAATAGAGTAGACTTTTTTCTTTACTCCCCATTACCAACAAGGTGGGGGCAAGCCTTTGCACTCAGCAGTAACTTGAGCACATGAGTTTTGCCCTAGACATTCTAAAGTGTTGTTTAGTGACATAGAGGATATGTATAGGACTTGATTACAGTTTTGCTTTGACTCTGGCCATAAGTACTTTTCTGGCTACATCTTACTCTTGCACTTGTCCTGCCTTGTCTTCCCAGCAGATCTCAGACTCTCTATGCCTGCCTCTCCCTGGCTCCATGTTGCACTGGGGTCCACAGTTCAGCTCAGCCAGGGTGTGTGATGGCCAACTCTCCTCATGCCTCCAGCCCTCCCTTGACCATCTCCACTCTGATATTCCCAGAGGCACTGGTTTCCTGGGGCTGCTGTTAGAAATTACCACAAACTTAGTGCCTTAAAACAACACAAATTTATTCTCTCACAGTTCTGGAAGTCAGAGTTTGAAATTAGTTTTATTGGATGAAAGTCAAAGTGTTGGTAGGGCTGGTTCCTTCTGGAAGCTCTAAGGGAGAATCTATTTCCTTGCCTTTTTTACTTCTAGATGCCACCTACATCCCTTGGCTCAGGTCCCCTTCCTCCATATTCAAAGCGGCCATGAAGCATCTTGCTTCTATAGTTGTATGTCTTCTGTCTTATATGGTCAAATCTCCCTCTGCCCTCCTCTTGTAAGGACACTTATGATTACATTTAAGACTTGGATAATCCAGGATGATGTCTTGATCTCCAGCTCAACTTAATCACACCTGCAAAGTCCCTTTGCTATATAAGGTAACACTCACAGCTTCTGGGGACTAGGACAACAGGGCATTAGTCAGCTTTCCACACCAGGTGGGATGCGTGCAGCTGTACTGGCTAATCAGAGCTGATGCCTGTTCTGACTGGTTGGGTTCTGTGCCAGGTGTCTATATTTTACTTCGCTCTGAGCAGTTATCAAATATTTTGAATATGATCCTTGTTGTCAGCCTTCTTTGTTAAAGAGATGAGTAGACATGAATCTGTAGAAGCCTGGGGAAACAAAGTGTGAAACCGATTGGTGTCCTCCTGTAAAAAAGGCAAGCGTGAGTCAAGAAAAGGAAAATCATACAATAGAAAAGTCCAGGGACAGGTCAGTCATATGGATCTGAAATATCTGAGATGGTTAAGAGAAAAGCCACAGAAAAGTGAAGAGCAAAGTGTCTTGGCCTGCTGAGCGGGTAATAAACAACAGAGAGCTTCCTGCAGTTTCAATTTAACCTGAATCCCACGTGGAGAGACAGCCTGGAGCCAACCAAGAAGGGCTTGTTTCTGTGCAAGAAAGATATGGTAGAGCCTAGGGCCAGCCTGGAAGCTGGACTCCGGATGAGACTGAACAGAATGAGCTAGAACTGAGATGCAAATGTAGGACATTTATTTCCCACACAGGTCCCTGAACCTGTACAGCAACTCCTGCCTTCCTTTGGTGGCATTGCCTCCCAGAGAGTAATCACTGGATCCATCAGTCACACAGAATCATTCCGGAGAATGGAGGTTCTGGGCCTCTTCCCATAATCATCAGACTCTCCAGGGGTGGGATTCTGGAATCTACATTTTAATAAGAACAGATAATTCTTAACATGCTAAAGTTCCCAGGCAGGAGCACTTTAACTGTTATATTTAGGAGACTTAGGAGCATAATCTTTTCATAGGATTCTGTACAAATGGTTTGGAGTCAGCCATGAATGCAAGTGAAATAGTCATAACCGTCATGGGGAGAGACCCCATAGTCATGTGAGACGTGAAGGTTTCTACCGCACTGGCCAACTGTGATTGATTGATGGTGGATACCTGGATCATGGTGTTGAGATAAATGATGAGGCTTTGCCTGAGCTGGGACAGGAAGAGAGCAGCAATTAATTAGTAATGTCTGCCATGGCTATAGGTTGGAGATGGTGGTTGGTGGTGAACAAGTGCCTCCTATCTGCCATTTTCTCCTAGAAAGACCTCACTGTACCTTCTCATTTTATGATGAGATGAAATGTACATACAAAACACTGGATAGAAACATACATGTACAGTTTGAAGAACAAAAATAAAACAATTCTTTAAAAATTGTCTCTAGTGAGCTGGTTCCAACATCTCCTTGGGTAACACGTTGCATTGTCTCACAACTTGCTTAATGTCTAATTTAAATAAATCCCTTTTGGCACAGTTTAAGTCCAGTCCCTTTCATTCTATCCTCAGAGAAAAACAGAACAGCTGCTCCTGCTCTCCTATTCAATATGCTTCCCTATTTTAAAGAATTCAGTTCTTCAGAAAAAAATTAATGAGACTCTTCTATTTTAATGAGTTACTTGTTTGGTGGATTGGCACTTTTCCTCCCCCAAGCTCAACATTCTTGGTTACAGAAATGAATTAGAATAGAACATTGAGAGTAGAAGGAATTTAGATGTCATTCAATTCTCTGTTTTCACAGATGGGACAAGAGGCCCAGGGAAATGGAGGACCTGACTTGCTCACACAGCAGAATCAGAACTAAGACCCAACCATCCTACCTTTCAGCTGAGAGTAACTTCTACCAGATCACGATATTTGGATACGCAGTGTGTTTTGAAGTTGGAGAAGAAATCCAAGACCAAACACGTATTGAGGTTTATTTTCCATCACCTCAGTGGCTTCCATTCTCCAGCTTCTGAGTCTTTTTGTTTGTTTTTGTTTTTTTGAGACATGGTCTCACTTTGTCACCAAGGCTGAAGTGCAGTGGTGCGATCTCCACTCACTGTAGCCTTGACCTCCCAGGTTCAAGTGATCCTCCTGCATCGGCCCCCCAAGTAGCATGGACTACAGGCACATGCCACCATGCCTGGCTAATTTTTGTATTTTTAGTAGAGATGAGGTTTCACCATGTTGCCTAGGCTGTTCTTGAACTCCTGGACTCGAACGATCTGCTTGTTTTGGTCTCTTAAAGTGCTAGGATTACAGGCATGAGCCACTGTGCTGGGCCTGGCTTCTGAGACTTTTTGCCAGAGGGCTTCAGACCCACACCTGGGGCAGGCCAAAAGCACTGGGGGCTTCATTCCCCAGGAGCAATGCTTAAGGAGTGTGGGTCGGGAATGGGTGGATAAATGCTCCTGATTCTTCACCGCTTCCTTGATGTCGTGATTCTGGGGTATGTGTTCCCTGGTGACTCAGAGGCTCCTCAGCAGATCTGATCCCCAGTTGCCCACCCCAGTGACTCTCTCGTTAATGTACCCTTCATGAACTTCCCTCCTGCCCTCTATCCTTTCCCTACTTCCTCATTATGCTTTCTGAGATTATCTCCCAAATAAATTATTTATACCCCCATCCTTCCTTCCGGACCTTCTTTTGGGGAAATGAGAACATTTCCATACTTATAAGACCATACTTATAAGAAAAGAGCATACCAGGAAGCTCGACCAGAGCTGTGAAGCCGGAAGTTTGCCTGCGAATGGATTTCCAATGCTGTAATCCTCAGGATCAGCTTTGCCACTCACAGAGCCAAGTACAAAGTGAAAATGGGGAGTCCCTGGTTGGGAAAGCACTAAGACTTTCAAGATGATGACAGCAGAGCATTAAACCATGGGCAGAGGCCAGGCATGAGGGCTCACGCCTGTTATCCCAGGACTTTGGGAGGCTGAAGCGGGCAGATGACTTGAGGCTAGGAGTTTGAGACCAGCCTGACCAACATGGTGAAACCCCGTCTCTACTAAAAATACAAAAAATTAGCCGGTCGTGGTGGCATGTGCTTGTAGTCCCAGCTACTGGGAGGCTGAAGCAGGAGAACTGCTTGAACCAGGGAGGCGGGGGTTTCAGTGAGCCAAGATCACACCACTACACACCAGCCTGGGTGACAGAGCAAGACTCTCTTTCAAAACAAACAAAAAAACAAACCCACAGCAGTGCTCTCCTGAGTATGCAGCCTGCAGCGTGAGTGACTACACAGGTTGCACAGCCATGAAGCTGGCCCCGCTAATCTCTCTGTAAGAATTACTGTAACACTGATGACACCATTTGCTGAGTCATTACTGTGTGCCAGGCAATGTGTTGGACTCTAGATTGCATCATGAATACTGTAGGGGAGGAAAAGATTTTTTTCCTCGCTCACCACAAGGTTTATGGCTGAGGCCTTTATAACAAGACAGATTAAACCATACACATTTGTTTAGTATAAGTTTCACATGACACAGAAGCCTTTAAAACTGAAGACCCAGCCGGGTATCCTGGTGTATGCCTGTGGTCCCAGCTAGTTGGGAGGCTGAGGTGAGAGGACCCTTTGAGCCTGGGAGGTCGAGGCTGCAGTGAGCCGAGATCGCACACCTGCACTCCAGTCTGGGTGACAGAGTGAGACCCTCAGTCAAAAAAATAAAAGAAAAAAAAAAGAAAAGAAAAGTCATCAGTACCCAATGATAGTCACTGTAAATATTGTGTTTCCTTTCAGTCTTTGTTGTTGTTGTTGTTACTGTGTACTCTTTTACATCTACCTTTATCAAAGCTAAGATGATAGGCAGCCTTTTTCATTTAACAGCAGTGTTAAATTAGTATATTCCCATTTTATTGAAGTTTTTTGAAGACCTTTTCAAATAGCAGCTTATTATGCAACGTGTGAACAGTAATTTAACAATTCTCCCATTCAGAGATGTGTAAATTTGTTTCTGTTTTTTCAATTTATCAATAATTTACTGGCACAGCCTTGCACCCCTGCTGCAGTGTAAGACAGTACCCTGTGACCTTGTCTCTTTTAGCATTGGTATAAAATTTTAAAAATTTTTTTGGATAATTTTATAAGCAATTTATAATTTATAATTTTTATTTATTTATTTTGAGAAAGGGTTTCACTCCTGTCACCCAGGCTGGAGTGCAGAGGTAAGATCACAGCTCACTGCAGCCTCCACCTCCTGGGACCAAGTGATCCTCCCACCTCGGCCTCCTGAGTAATTGAAACCACCTGGTGTGTACCACCTCACCAGGCTAATTTTTCTTTTTTGATTTTTTTGTAGAGATGAAGTCTCGCTATGTTGCTCAGGCTGGTCTTAAACTCCTGGACTCAAGCGACCCTCCCACCTCAGCCTCCCAAAGTGCTAGGATTACAGGTGGAAGCCACCTTGCCTTGCCTGAAGGCAATTTTTTAAAGGCATGTCTCAGAGAGGAGTTTTGAGTAATGGCCTAATGTGTTGGAACTGAGAGTATGTAACTTCACCAGGTGGCTATTTTAAAGAAAACCACAGACACCTGGATATAAAAGTTTTGAAATATGGATTTTTAAAAACCCATCTATGACTTTGCCATCATCCCCGTAGTTAATACTGTAAATGATCAATGACAGAAGAAATCAGGATGTTATGAGCAGGATCTTCAGTGTTTGTAAGGAAACCTGCAGGATGTGTGGCTGGGCTGAACTGTGCCCAAGCACACTTTGTTCAGTGCAGTTTAGAAATGGCTTGTGATGGTTGGGTACTGTGTTGCCTTTGCTTTATGAACACTTTAGAAAGCTTTGCACTGTGTGGTAATAAGTAGGTTTTTCTTCTTTTTCTCTTTCTTTCTTTCTTTTCTTTTTTTCTTTTTTCTTTTTTTTCTTTTTTTTTTTTTTGCAGTTGCATTTTGTTGTTGTTGTTCCCTCATTTGTTTTTGTTATCTTGCATCCAAATACCCTTCCTCCTCAGCAGCAATGTTGAAATATCAGGCAAGTAGGTGTTACACCCCATGATGTGAGGAGAAGGGAGGCAGAGGTTCCCTCTCACTACTCCTTGGTGATGAGAGATGAGCTTAGACCTGGCCAATCGTGTTCTCCACCCGGGACTCTGACTCTCAAGAAGTGATACAAAGATACAGTGAAGATTGACCCCTGCCAAGGCAGCAGGTGTTCAGTGGCCCGTGGGGGAACGTCTGGGGGTGGGGCTGTGAGGCAGTGGCAGTGGCCTAGCAGATGGTCCCTCTCTGTGGATTTTGGCAGTGTTCTTGGCTGCTGGTGCTCCTTTTATTCTCAACCCATTTCCAAGCCATGCTCTTCAATGTTCCCATTAATTTCATACACCCTTTCCATACATCGTGTTTCCTACTTCAGTTTGCCAGAGTTGACTTGTGTTTGTTGTCACCAAGAAACCCGGACTCTGCTCCTTGTCAATTATGGTGTTTATTTTAATTTGTTTCTAAAACTAAGTATGAAGAATTGGTCAGGACCTGTATTTCTTTTTGTGTGTGTGTGAGACAGAGTCTCACTCTGTTGCCCAGGCTGGAGTGCAGTGGTACAATCTCAGCTCACTGCAACCTCCACCTCCCAGGTTCAAGTGATTCTCGTGCCTCAGCCTCCTGAGTAGCTGGGACTACAGGTTTGTGCCATCATGCCCCATTAATTTTTGTATTTTTAGTAGAGACGGGGTTTTGCCATTTTGGCCAGGCTGGTCTCGAACGCCTGACCTCAGGTGATCTACTCAGCCTCCCAAAGTGCTGGGATTACAGGTGTGAGCCACCGCGCCCAGCTGCAAATACCATTTTTATGGGAAAATAAGATGGGCCCCAAAGCACCTTGTTAAGGATCATAATCTGGCATAAACACAGCCCATTTGTGAACTGGAAGCACTTGTCTTCACTGCCTTTTGTCAATACTAAATCCCATTGTGTCTTCATGTTTTTTTACACAGCCCACATTTCGAGATTTACTCTTTAAAAAAAACCCAAACCTTGTGACATCTTTGTGTCCACATCCTTTGCCAAGAACTCTATGCTCATGTTCTTCACTTCTATAAACTTAGCTTCCTGACTCCGCTACCAGACCCTCGCCCAGGACTTTGAACATAGAACTCCTATTCTTTCCAGCCCATGATGATTTCTCAGAGAAACCATCAAATGCAGAACTGATCTCCTTCCACCAAGTGTCCTCCCCATCTGCATGCCAGGTCTTAGGCCTGACCTTGTCAGCCATGAACTAGTTTTGCCCAAGCCTAGCACAGCAGCATTGACCAAAGAGTCCTTTGTGTTCCAGAGCTTACAAGTCTATTACCAACCAAATATAGATGTTTCCTGTGTCCTCCAGGGAAAAGTTCTCCAAGTATTGCTTTTACACTAGGGTATATCTGGAAGAGCAAACATGCAAGAACAAAACATTCAGGAATATTCTGAAAAAAGGGTAATGGAAAGGACTTGCCCTACTAGCAATTACAATTTATTAGAAAGCAAACTCATATAAAAATATGGGTATTGTGGTAATAAACAGGCCAATGGAATAGAGCTTCAGAATGGGAATTAGAACCAGGAGGGAAAGATATCTTCTTTAATACATGGCATCAATGGACAGTTAACTAGCTATTTGGAGAAAAAATTTCAGCGGGCTCCAACATGGGAGGGTGATATGCTTGATGTAAAGATGCCAACAAATGTAGCCAAGGATATAAAGTTTCTTTAATGGCAGGGGATACTGAAAAGTGTCTGAAAATCATGCCCACACAAAGTGGATTGAGGGCGCCCAGGTGGAGGCTCCCAGGCCCCTGCACGTCCCATGAGAACACAGGTGCCTGGAATACCAATCTCCTAGTAAGAGAAGCGTGCACCCGCCTGTTCTTGGGGGACTTTGTGCCCTACCTGGACTCTCCTACCTGTTCTGGAGACCCTGGCTATGTGCCTAGTATTCATCAGGTCTAAGCAACTTGTTCAAAACAGCTCCAGGACTTTCTTAAATGTTTGCTGCAAGGCAAGGTAAATTGAAGCTCAACTTCTCAGGATGTGACTGTCTTCTGGCAGGACCAGGCCTCAGGCCTGCTGGAGAGTGCTTCCTCTATTCTCCTATCTCACCCCTTATATCAGAATATCTTCCAGCCAGACCAAAGATTTATATATATATAATGAATATTGGCAATAATAGTACTAATGTAGAGAAAGCTCTGAGAAAAGCATGAGTAACACTTCTGAAAAATGGGCAAAGGATATGAAAAATTCAAAGAGGGCAAAATACAAGTGCGAGTACATGCATGAAGAGATACTGTCATTCTCAAATGATTATGTAAATGCATTTCTAAACAGTGACTCAGCATGTTTCAATGATTAGATTGGCAAAGATTAAAAACATTGAGAATCTACAATGTTAGTGAGAGTGTGGTATGTAGAAATTCTTATTTACTTTTGGAGAATGTTAGTAAAGTTATCTTGAAGAGGAATTTGGTTGAAACTATCAGAAGTTTCAGGGTACATTGCTGGTAGGAATTAAAAAATGGTACAACCATTTTGGGAACTAGATACTTTCTTATAAAGTTAAATATACACCTACTGTATGAACCAACCAGTCATTACACTTATAGGTGCTCAAGGTCCATGGAAACAAATATCCACACAATACCATGTACAAAGATATTTGTAGCAGCTTTATTCACTGTAGCTTAAAACTGAAAACAACCCAGAAATCTGTCCACCAAAAAATGCATAAACAAATTGTGGCCTACCTATACTGTCCATTCCATCCACCGGATACTACTCATCAGTGAAAATGAAGGAAGTACTAATATGTACAACAACACATGAATCTCAAGGGAAGCCAGAAGCCAGAGCCCATGCTGGGTGTAGAACTCTTCTTTATAGAAGATCTAGAAAATGGGCCAGGCACACTGGCTCATACCTGTAATCCCAGTGCTTTAGGAGACCAGCCTGGGCAACATAGCAAGACCTCATCTCCACTATAAACTTAAAAAATTTAGCCAGGTGATTTGGCATGCACCTGTAGTCCCAGCTACTTGGGAGACTGAGGCGGGAGGATGGCTTGAGCCCAGGAAGTTAAGGCTACAGTGAGCCGTAATTGCACCACTGCACTCCAGCTTGGGCAACAGAGCAAGACCCTGCCTCATAAAAATAAAAATAAAAATCTAGAAAATGTAGGCCAATGTATAGTGGCAGAAAGCAGATCAGTGTTTGCCTGGAGCAGGATATAAATGGGGGGATAGACTACGAATGGAAAAGAAGAATGGAAATATTCTGTATGTTGATAATGCTAGTGGCCTTACAGGTGTATATATTAATATATATTCACAAATGTGTATACATAAACACAGGTATTATATATATGTTAAGACTCATTAAATTGTACATTTTATATAGGCCCATTTCTGTAAATTATATCTCAACAAAATTGATTTTATAATTACATCAAAAAGATACCTGTATTGCTATGTTTATTGCAGCACTGTTCACAATAGCAAAGAGATGGAATCAACCTAAGTGTCGATCAATGGATGATTGGATAAAGAAAATATGGTGCATATACACCCTGGAATACTACTCAGCCATAAAAAAGAATGAAATCATGTATTTTACAGCAACATGTGTGGAACTGAAGGCCATTATCTTACATGAAATATCTCAGAAATGGAAAGTCAAATACCACATGTTCTCACATATAAGTGGGAGCTAAATAATGTGTATATATGGACACAGAGTTTGGAATAATAGACATTGGAGACTTGAAAGGGTGGGAGGGTGGGAGGGGGTGAGGGATGAGAAATTACATAATGAATACAATGTAAATACACTATTCAGGTGATGGTTACACTAGAAGCCCAGATTTTACCACTATGCAATATATCCAGGTAACAAAATTGCACTTGTACCCCTCAATCTATACAAAATTTTTAAAAATGGAAAAAAATGATTTAAAAAGTTAAAGAATGCATTCTCTTTGATCCAGCGATTCCACTTCCAGGAATTTACCGTACATAGATATTCACACAACTGTGCAAATATGCAGGCATAAGGGTGTGCATTGCATGATAGTTTGTAGTTGTGCAACCATTGAAAATGGCCAAACTATCCACCAAGAGGGCAGTAGATAAACAACCAAAGGTGAAAGAGCTGCTATAGCCTGTCCTGTAAACTCCAAGAGGGCTGTGTCTCCAGACCTCACACAGTGCTGGGCATACTTTATGCAGGGATGTGGAAAGGGAGTCAAGGTATATTAGGTAAAAAAAAAAAATCAACTTTTAACTTTTAGGAATAGATGAACCCACTAGAATGGAACTATTTATGTTAGAGCCAGAATTAATTTGGTGTCTTTAGGATTATGTGAGAAGACTGAGGGTCTTGTAGGAAGACTTTGTTCTTGGGTGAGGCTGAGACATCCCTGGGAGAGTTGAAACAGGATGAGCTGCTGTTTGCTGCAGGGAGATCAAAGGAAGAGTTCAGATGCAGACAAGTGAGGGCTAAGTGTCCCGCCATAGAGGGGTTTAGTCCACTGCAGTGCCCTGTGACAGGGGCCTCAGAGAACCACAGCAACACAGGGCTGTCAGAAAGGGAAAAGGGTCCATGCCCTACTCACTGGGACCTGGGACCTGTGCAGGTGGAGCCAAACAAGGTTGGTTCAGGTGAAGGCAATGAGCACCAGGGGTTTGGCCTGCTTGGTTCCTATCCAGGTTGTCATCGGCTCCAGCAGGTCTCATCCAAGGGGCAGACCTCCAAGACCTCAGCATTTCAGCAGCAGTCGGAGAGGTGGGAAAGAGCAAAGGAAGCAAAAGCAGAACTAACATGCTGGATGAAGGAATCCATTTCCCAAGTCCCCAGGGTCAGAATGTCTTCATCTCTTGAGGGATAGATTCCCTGCAACAGAAACAGGACTGGGGCCAGACTCATCTCCCCTCTCTCCATCTCCCCTCTCTCCATCTCCCCTCTCTTCCCCATCTCCTCTTGATGGGAAAGGCCCAGGCTGAGTGCAGAGCAAGCAACGAATCATTGCATGATGAGGAAGGATGGTGCAGTCTCTTCCAGGCCTCGTGCTCTGGGCTTCCAGGCCTGGTCCTATAGTCATGAGGCTCTGGAACCGGGGAGGGGAGGAAGTCTGTATTTCAAAGTCCTCTGTGCCCTTCCTTTGCATGGAAGGTGACGGTTTGTGTTGTTGGGATCAAGTTGACATCACTAGGAAGGTGTCCTTAGTCATAAGGGTCATGGAGAAGCAGTAACACGTGCCACTGGATTAATGGTCTTGGTGCTGGAAGACAGTCCAGAAATTTTTTGGAAGGAAAAGTAGAAAAGTGATATCAAGCCAATGCTTATCCTTGGTCTGTGACTTTCAGAGATTTCCAGGAGCTGCTGTTTCTTGATTTGAGTTCTAGAGGCTGCTCTGGCCTGTAGGTAGGACAGACACTGTAATTTGACCCCAGAGACCATGGGATGTTCCTAAAAGTAGTTATCCTTGGCTGGAGCACTAACTGGTGTCAGGAGAGCTGGCAAACTTCTTGGATGGTGTACTACGTTGAATAGTGACTCCCTCAAAATTCACGTTCATCTAGAACCTCAGAATGTGACTTTATTTGGAAACATCTTTGCAGATGTGGTCAAGTTAAGGTAACATCATATTGGATTAGTGTGGGCCCTAAAGCCAAGGTCTGGTGTCCTTATGAGGAAAGAGAGATTTGGAGACACAAACACAGAGACACACAGAGAAGGCAACGGGACAACAGAGGCAGAGATTGGAGTGATGTGTCTGCAAGACAAGGAAGTCCATGGATGGTTCGTTCCAGCAGACATTGAAAGGGGCAAGGAAGGATCCATTCCAAGTGTCTTAAGAGAGTGCCTGGACTGGTTGGCCCCTTGAGTTCAGATTTCTAGCCTTCAGAACAGTGAGGAAATATGGCTGGGTGTGGTGGCTCACTCTTGCAATCCCAGCACTTTGGGAGGCTGAGGTGGGTGTATCACTTCAGGCCAGGAGTACAAGACCAGCCTGGCCAACATGGTGAAACTCTGTCTCTACTAAAAATACAAAAATTAGCCGGGCATGGTGGTGCACACCTGTAATCCCAGCTACTCAGGAGGCTGAGGCACAAGAATCACTTGAATCCGGGAGACAGAGACTGCAGTTAAGCGCCACTGCACTCCAGCCTGGGTGACAGAGCAAGACTCTGTCTCAAAAAAAAAAAAAAAAAGAAAAGAAAGAAAAGAAAAAGGAAAATAAACTAAACTGCTGTTATTTTAAGCCACCCACCTTCTTGTGCCACTTAATGGCAAACCAAGGAAACGAATATATAATACATAATACTACTAATATATAATTCTGATACTACTAATTCTAATATATAATGATAACCTTAGTTCTTGTGGAAGGAGGTATGAAGGAGTACATCACATTATTTTCAAGGGCAAACAGTGGTGGAAAAAAAGCTGAATTTTAAGTTACTAAATTTAGAGAATTAGTAGGAATTTGCATCACACGAGGGTGTCTTTTACTGTCAGATCAGCAATTAGAGCAGAGGCTTGGATCTGGTAGACTTGGGGTCAGGTGCCAGCTCCCTCACTTACCGTCTGTGTGACCTTGGGGACACTGCTTCTCTGGGGGTCAGTTTTCTCATCTTTAAACCTAGAACAATAATAGTTTCATCTCAAAGTGTTGCTGCGAGAATTATATAAAACCAAGGTGTGGCGCATCATGGAGGGGTCTGGCCCCTCAAAAATGCTTACACGTAGCGTTGCTATTATTGTTTTTAAGTTACAGACACAATGATTTTTTTTTTCAATAAACTTGATTCAGTTGGCACACATGCACACAAAATACATAGATCTTGACCAGGCCAGCATGTGGACACAGTCTTTCCAGAGCTCGTGAGATGACAAATCTCTTTATTGGGGTATTAATGTCAGGTCCAGGAGATTCAATATTCAATCCACTCATCAAGGTCGTCTGTGTAGACAGCCATTCACTACCTATAGACGCTCCTCAAGAAACAGATGCTTTCTGGTTTTCTGCCAAGAATGTCAACATCAGATTACTCCTAAGTATCACTCATTTCCACGTGAATTAGACAGAACAGTGTTAAGTGGTTTGGAGCCACAGCTGGCTCTCAATACTGCTTCAACTCACACTCTGAGAAGAACGACAGTTGACTGAGCCAGCTTCCACACCTCTCAAGAGAGTTTGCTGTTTTATTCCAAGGGGCAGTAACAGGAACATTTCTGCTTGCTGCGGCCCCTAAATGTGCAGCATTCTTTAGACCATTATATGGTGCTTTCCCCTTCTCAGCGTTCAGAAACGTTGAGAAGGAAAGAGCCTCATCCTATTTTTTAGCTTCTTGGAGGTTGCAGTTGCTTATCTTTTTTCTCCACTGGGATATATTTTTCTCTTGCCCATTTTTTATGCTGAATTTTCTAAACTCCTTTATAATGCTTTTGCTGGTGAGTTACCTTTGGAATGAATCAAGTACTTTCACTTTCTCTATCCAGAAGGGTGGTTCACATTTGCTACCAGTCTATTGGGAAGATCTGGGCTCAGGACACCCCCCACAGATTACTGCAATACTTTCCAAACATGTGCATTTATCCTGTAACCACCGATTACTGTAACACTTTCTAAAGATTTGCATTTATCCTGTACCTATATATAACTTAAGGTCTGCTTACACTCTGAAGACTATAAATAGATTCCCACCTGTTGGGCTGGTTTCCAGGAAAGATGCAGGGCCCAGGCACCTAGTTCTCTCATTGGTTAAAATGTAAGTATTAGTACCTTCTTTCTTCTTCTTTTTTTTTTTTTTTTTTGAGAAGAGGTCTCGCCTTGTCACCCAGGCTGGAGTGCATGGTGTGATCATAGCTCACTGCAGCATTGGACTCCTGGGCTCAAGCGATCCTCCTACGTCAGTCTCCTAAGTAGCTGGAACTATAGGCACCTGCCACCACGCCCATCTAATTGTTTTATGTTTTTGTTTGTTTGTTTTTTGTTTTTGTAGTGATGGGGTCTTGCTATATTGCCTAGGCTGGTCTTGAACTCCTGGGCTCAAGTGATCTCACCTCGGCCTCCCAAAGTGCTGAGATTATAGTTGTGAGTCACCATGTCCAGTCCCCTTCTCCCTCTTTCTTTTCTTCTTAATTAAAAGTAATTTACATGACAGCAATTCTTGTACACACTACCCAGATTTAATGTGTTAACACTTCACCTTATTGCTTCAAACATTGTAGATACAACTTAAGAACCCCTGCCCTCCTCTTTCTTGTACCCTCAGAGGTAATTATCATCATTTATATTTTCCCAGAAATGTTTTTGTATTTTTGCTCCACTTAATGGCTGAGGGGCTGGGGAAATGGTATTATATTCATTGCCATTTCCTTCTTTCCATTTCTTTTGGGGACTCTGTGCTTTTTGAATGAAAGGAAATACAAAGGGACTTCACAAAGTTCATGGAAAAATGGAATTAAAAGCTAAAAGTAAAAAAATATATAAACTTTATTTCTCAACATTTGCTCCATCAAGTTGAAGACACTTGTAAGCGATGATACTAACCATTTAGTTCGTCCCTAAAAAACTGAGGGTCAGTGCCAGGCATGGTGGGTCCTGCCTGTAATTCCAGTACTTTGGAAGGCTGAGGCAATATTGCTTGAAGCCAGGACTTCAAGACCAACCTGAACTACATAGCAAGACCCCCATCTCTAAAAACAATAAAATAAATAGCCAGATGAGTTGGTGCGTACCTATAGTCCCAGCTACTTGGGAAGCTAAGACAGGAAGATCACTTGAGCCTAGGAGTTTGAGGGTGCAGTGAGCTATGATCATGTCACTGCTCTCCAGCCTGGGTGATAGAGTGAGACTTCATCTCAAAAAAAAAAAAAAAAAAAAAAAAAACTGAGGGAATTTAAGCATGTCAGTATAGTCTTTTTTACATTAGTAATTGAAGAAAAATGGTTGTCTTTTAACAAAAAAGGCAGAAGAAGCCAAATCAGGACAGTAAGGTGGATGCCTAATGGTTTCCCACCAAAACTCTCACAAAATTATCTTTGTTTGATGAGAGGAATGAACAGGAGCACTGTCATGATGGGGAAGGGCTCTCTGGTGAAGCTCTCCCAGGTGTTTTTCTGCTAAAGCTTTGGCTAACCTTCTCAAAACATCTCCTAACAAGCAGATGTCATCATTCTTTGGCCCTCCAGAAAGTCAACAGGAGAAATGGCTTGAGCATTCCAAGAAACTCTTGCTGTGACATTTGCTTTTGATGGATCCATTTTGGCTTTGACTGGGCCACTTCCACCTCTTGGTAGCCATTGGTTTGACTGTGCTTTATCTTCAGGATTGTACTGACAAAGCCATGTTTCATCTCTTGCTACAATTCTTCAAATAAATGCTTCAGGATCTGGATCTCACTCATTTCATATGTCCATTGAGAGCTCTGCCCTTGTCTGCGGCTGATCTGGGCACAATGGTTTTTGGCACTTATGGAATAGAAAGTTAGCTCAACTTTAACTTTTCAGTCATAATTGTGTAAGCTGAACCAGTCCAGATATCTGTGGTGTTGGCTATTGTTTGTACTCTTAATCATCAATCCTCTTCAATTAGGGCATGAACAAGATGAATTTTTTCCTTGCAAATTGATGTGGATGGCCTGCCACTATGGACTTCATCTTCAATATTGTCTCATCCCTTCCTAAAGTGAGTTATCCATTTGTAAACTGCTGATTTCTTCAGGACGCTGTCCCCATACACTTCTCATAAAGCATCAGTGATTTCACCATTCTTCCACCCAAGCTCCACCATAAACTCAATGTTTATTCTTGCTTCAATTATAGCAGGATTCATGTTGCTGTGATAGGAACTCTTTTCAAACTGATGCGCCTCAAACCAGATCCTGTCCAGCCATGTTACAACAAGTTAGTGTGTGTTTATTTTGGTGCAAAAAAAAAATTGAAATCCATGCATTGCTTTTTCAGAATACACATTTTCTATGAACTTCTTAAAGACCCCCTATGGACCCTGAGAGTCAGTTATTCAAGATGTGGCTTATTAGGGTCTCTGATCAAGTTGCAAATAGTCTAAATTTAATTTAAAAAGAAACAACAACTTGGGTTATAGTTGAAGGGTCCTTTTGACGGGTCCGTCGAGCCCCCAAGTATTGCCCATTTTGCTTAAGGTCAAAGACTGAATTTATAACCCTAAATTAGCCTCTGAAAGGAGAGTGAAGTCAATTTAAGCCCACAAGATTTTTCCAGTGTGAATTGTTTGCTCAATGCTGGTTCAAGTGCCTAGGGGGGATACAAGAAAATGGCAAAGTGCCACGTAAAAATTTTTTTTTTTTTTTTGAGACAGAGTCTCGCTCTGTGCCCAAGCTAGAGTGCAGTGGCGAGATCTCGGCTCACTGCAAGCTCCACCTCCCGGGTTCACACGATTCTCCTGCCTCAGCCTCCCGAGTAGCTGGGACTGCAGGCGCCCGCCACCACACCTGGCTAATTTTTTTTTTTTTTGTATTTTTAGTAGAGATGGGGTTTCACCGTGTTAGCCAGGATGGTCTCGATCTCTTGACCTCATGACCCACCCGCCTTGGCCTCCCAAAGTGCTGGGATTACAAGCGTAAGCCACCGCGCCCAGCCTAAAAAAAATTTTTTTTTATTACTTTATTTTACATTCCAGGGTACATGTGCAGGATGGGCAGGTTTGTTACATAGGTAAATGTGTGTGGCATGGTGGTGTGCTGCACCTATCGACCCATCACCTAAGTATTAAGCCCAGCATGCATTAGCTATTTTCCTGATGCTCTTCCTCCCCTTAACCCCTCCCAGTCCCCAGAGTGTGCTGTTCCCCTCCCTGTGTCCATGTATTCTCATTGTTCAGCTCCCACTTGCAAGTGAGAACATGTGATGTTTGGTTTTCTGTTCCTGCATTAGTTTACTGAGGATAATGGCTTCCAGCTCCATCCATGTCCCTGCAAAGGACATAATCTCATTCCTTTTTATGGCTGTATAGTATTCCATGGTGAATATTTACCACATTTTCTTTATCCAGTCTATCATTAAATGGGCATTTGGGTATTTGCTCTTGTGAATAGTGCTGCAGTGAACATGCATGTATCTTTATAATAGAATTATTCATATTCCTTTGGGTATATACCCAGTAATGGGATTGCTGGGTCAAACGTTATTATTTCTGGTTCTAGGTCTTTAAGGAATTGCCACACTCTCTTCCACAATGGTTGAACTAATTTACATTACCACCAACAGTGTAAAAGTGCTCCTATTTCTCTGCAGCCTCACCAGCATCTGTTGTTTCTTGACTTTTTAAAAATTGCCATTCTGACTGGCATGAGATGGTATCTCATTGTGGTTTTGATTTGCATTTCTCTAATGATCAGTGATGTTGAGCTTTTTTTCATGTTTCTTGGGCGCATGAATGTCTTCTTTCGAGAAGTGTCTGTTCATATCCTTTGCCCGCTTTTTAATGGGTTGGGTTTTTTTTCTTAAAAATTTGTTTAAGCTCCTTGTAGACTCTACATATTAGACCTTTGTCACATGGATAGTTTGCAAAAATTTTCTCCCATTCTGTAGGTTGTCTGTTCACTCTGATGATACTTTATTTTGCTGAAAGCACCAGTTTTCGGAGGATTGACATATCAATTAAAATGAAAATATTTTTAAAAGAGAATAATAAGAGATAGACCATAATCAAACTTGAAATTGCATGGGGGAATATCTGAGAGCCAAAGGAAGTAAGAAAAGAGTGAATTGGGGTGACATCAGGATACGAGAGAATAACGGCAGAGCAGAAATGCGGCAAAGTGAGAGGAAGACAGTAAAGAATGATGAAAGTCATCCTCTAGGCTGGGTTTCACTTTTCTAAAAACTTTCCTTTGAATAATTCACACAGCACTCGACAGAGTGTCATTTTCGTTTTTAGACCACTTAATAAATATCGATTGTAATGGCAGAAAATGTAATTAAAAATTAAAATGCTATTATTCTTGAGATACTGAGCCTGGCTTCCAAATATTATTTGGTAAAATGTTCTCACAGTCTTGGACACAACTTCAGCATGACAGAGTGAAGCCTTCAATATCACTTGAATAAATGCTGAACAGAATTGTAAAGTAGAGTCACTAAAAGAACAAATTTCTCTCCATAGTGCATTTGCTTCTTTTACATGTATACTTTCAAGTAGGTATCAGAAGCCATCTTTTATATTTTAAAAGGCTCTCCTAGGAAATTTTCAGAAGAATCCAAATATCAACATATCCTCTAATTTTAATTCTTCCCCATTAGCAGCTTCTTTTGCTGTGATGGAAGCAAAGTTTTATGTATAGCTATTTTTTGTTTATGTTCTCAATTTGACTGTAAAGTAAATTTCAGTAAATTCGATATTTTTTATTACTTCTCTTGATGAAATTGGAGGAGCATTTATTTGGGAAAATGCTATCAATATATAGATTTGCAAACTTTATGTGTAGCATGACAAGCTAAGGAGCTACAGGCTGTTGCAAGCCAATGTCTTTTAAATTAGCATTTTATTTATTTATTTATTTATTTATTTGAGACAAGGTCGCACTCTGTCACCCAGGCTGGCATGCAGTGGCGCCATCTTGGCTCACTGTAACCTTGACATTCTGGGCTCAAACGATCCTCACACCTCAGCCTCCCAGCTGGCTGGGACTACAGGCATGCACCATCATGCCTGACTAATTTTTTAAATTTTTTGTAGAGATGGGATTTCGCCATGTTGCCTAGGTTGGTCTCAAACTCCTGGGCTCAAGTGACCCGCCCACCCCAGCCTCCCAAAGTGCTGGGATTACAGATGTGAGCCACCAAATTTTTTTTTGTATTAAAAATGATACATGGTGATTCTAGAAAAATTGACAATGTGGAAGTTTTTTAAAAAGAAAACAGAAATCACCCACAATGAATATGGATAACCACTGGTAGCATTTTAGTTTATTTCCTTTTAGTTCTTCCTATTATATATGTAAATTTTTAATAAAATTGGGATCCTATTGCAGGTGCAGCTTTGTTTCCTGCTTTTTCCACTTTTTATTATGTCCTAATCATTACCTATATTATTAAATATTATTTAGAAGTGTGATTTTTCAGTGTCTGTATAATATTTTCTAGTATGGACTTATAATTAATTTAAATATAACTGTATTATTGGATATTTAGGTTGTTCCTAACTATTTACTAAACAGATAAGGCGTTTCCTTTACATAAATATCTTTGCAGCACCTCTGAATATTTCTATAACATACATGTCTAGAAGTGGGATTATAGAGGCAGACACTGTGGACATTTTAAAGACTTGTTAAACCAAATTTAGCCTAATGCTGCTTCCTTATATGTTTTAAGTTCCACCTAAAGGTTCTTCTGTACCTCGTGAACTATAACCTAAGTGGAGTTATAAACAAACTGTAGCCTACTCTTGTGTCAATCACTGAGTTTTGGCTAATGAAATGTGGCCAACTGTTCAAAACGTGTTCAAATACAGCAAATGCCAATCTGTAACTAATCTGGCTGTTTCTGTACCTCACTTCTGCCTTCTGAACATCATTTTCTTTTTTCTGTTCATAAATCTTCTTCCACCACGTGGCTGTGCAGGGGTCTCTGAGCCTCCTCTAGCTCGGGAGACTGCCTGATTCATGAATTGTTCTTTGCTCAATTAAACTGTTTTACATTTAATTCAGCTAAAGCTTTTCTTTTAACATACTCTTAACAGTTATGGCCAAATTGAATTCTATACAAGATGTCCTAATTGACTTTCCTACCAGCAGTTGATAAGGTGTCTATTTTACTGCACCCTTGCCATCAACACATATGATTTTTAAAATATTTTTCAAGCCAGAGCCTCGAGATGGATCCAAGAATCAGAGCTTCAGAGATTCAGTGCCCATATCAGTGGGTCCAAATGAGGTTGTGAAGGGCACCTGAGAGAGCAAAACAGGCTGCAGACACAGAAAGATTTGAAATCATTCCCACAGGTACTATAATATCCCGCATGTCCACTGAGTTGTTTCATGGGCCAGCAGGCTGATGTGTGCCTAGGTGTGCTGGGCTAGCCTAAAGGTGCAGAGCAGAGGTAGGCGCCTGTAGGAAAACAGCCTGCTGCATAGCAAGAGTGACGCCATCTTGAAGCGAAAGCACCATAATGACCCATGTTTGACTCCAGCACACCAAGGCGTTCCTGCGGCTAGGTCAAGAAACAATACCTGTAGCATAGATAACTCCTCACGAAGATGCTTATCTCACTTCCCCAGTGGTCTTAATTTTCGCAGGAGGATCTGAGACATGACCAGCTGCATGCTTTGCCCTAAAAACTTGCCATGGAAAGAATACTTCTTGGAGGGCCAGGGCAGGGATCCACTCTCTCAGGGCCACCAGAGACATGGCTTCTACCATAAGTCCCTATTAAGTGTTTCTTTCGAAAAAAGTGGATTTATCGGCCTCCTTCTTTGGCCTCCTTCTTCAGCCTCCCAGCTCCCTCAGCCTTTTGGAGTAGGTTTGCACAGACCTGCTCCCTGCAGAACAGCACCACAGGCGTCTTTCTGACAGCTCTGCCTGATTTCTCTTTCCTCTTCCTTTTCTATAGGTCCTGTTGGCACAACCTACTGACAACCCTACAACAACCAAGGGCCTAGTCTCCCTTCTGTTTTAAGCCCATCAAGCAAGAACAAAAGGGATATAAACACTTCCTGTTCCATTGGAAGTAAGCCTGGAATGAAGTCCCAATTCCATGCCGAGGAACCAGTGAGCCCCAAAATAAAGCGATGTCTCCATATCACATCTTGAATCACCTCCATTTCCAACCAGATTCAGAATCCAATGCTCAGGGATAAGGGAGAGCGTCCAGTAGTTTCCACTGGCCTCCCTTCCGTTTCTCCCTTATTGTCTGTCCCTCCACCAGGGGTATGGCCTATACCAGCTTGTGAAGAGCTGGTGGCTAAACGTTCAGGAATTTTCAGAGGCGATTGTTAAATATAGTTATTAAACAATTAAATGATGTAACCCTTCCACTACATAAACTATATTAAAACAAAGGTAATAAATACCCAAAACTCACCACTTTGTGATCTTACTGCACTTTACTGTCATTGACATCTGTCAAATCTGTACGGGGGAAATACGTAATGCTGTGCTACTGTTCAACTCCAAGTTCAGTGATGTCAGGGTGGTAGCTTGAAATCGATGGAAGTGAAAGTATTTACACTGTAGAAATTGGCCAATGATATAAAATGGGCCTTGATTTACTGTTTTGTTGATTGTGTAGACTTAAGAAAATGATAAAATGTCAAGAATGTGGATTAAAATTAAAAGTGTAGCACAAATGCAGCTGTTCCATTCTGAATAGCATTAAAAATTTGAGGAAATAATATTCCAGTATTGAAAACTATTATCTAATTCGGGAAAGCGGTTGCTCCTGTCATGATGAATTAGTGACATTCCAACATTCATCTTCATTGTTTCACTTTCATCTTACATGTTAAAGTACATGAAAACATCAACCAACATTCATATCTTAACCACACTCATCCGTCAATGATATGAGCAACTTCTTTACCGAATTGGAAAGTTATTAAGCATTTATTCATAGTCTGATTTTATGACACTGTTGTCGATGACAGAATTATTATAACTGATAGTGGATTTTGAGGAAGTTGCAAGTCAGAGTAATATAGACGTATAAATTGAAAACTAAGGTAAATATGTTAGCTTGAAAATTTTTTCTATAATTACATAAAGAAATTAACAAAATTTTACATTAATGCTCACTCAGTCTTGTGACTTTTACTGATGTAACATACAATTATTTTTTAGATTCAGATCCCTAAAATGCCAAAATGATAGAGTGATCTTGTGGTAAAGCTGAAAGAGATTTCAGTTTAATGAATATAATGTATATGAGAGTGCGAAAGTCTAATGGTAGATCACATATTCAATTTAATGAAAGCAATTTATTGGGGAAATAGGTATCAGATTGGGATACAACTCCACTTACTCCCTTTTCAAATGATCATTGACACAACCATAGGTTGACTATGGATATAAGAATTTGACAAAAAGAGCAAAACTTTCTGTGAGGATCAAATGGCTATATGGAATTTATAATAAAGAGCATTGTATATGTTACTATTACTTGTAAACTGTCTGATACACACTCTTTTTTAAAATTTTTTTTTATTTTTTTGAGACAGAGTCTCACTCTGTCACCCAGGCTGGAGTGCAATGGCGTGATCTCAGCTCATTGCAGCATTCTCCTCCTGGGTTCAAGTGGTTCTCATGCCTCAGCCTCCTGAATAGCTGGGATTACAGGCATGAGCCACCAAGCTCGGCTAAGTTTTTGTATTTTTAGTAAAGATGGGGTTTTGCTATGTTGGCCAGGCTGGTCTCGAACTCCTGTCCTCAAGTGATCCACGTGCCTCGACCTCCCAAAGTGCTGGGATTACAGGCGTGAGCCACTGCACCTGGCCTACACATCCTTTATATCAGAAAAATGTATAACAAACACATATACTTTTTTCCAGAGAGCTGGCTGTTAAACATTTACCGGCACCCCACAGCTCCCCATCCACCTTCACCTTACGTTGACTGCCCTATCAGTTTGAATTTCTGTCTAGGTTCCCTCTCCTCAGTTCTGATCACATTTCATATTCCAGGCCATTGCCTTTACAGCAACACTTCAATGTCAATGCGATTGCACTTGGCAAAAGATCATGTGCATGTCTTGGCTCTGCACAGCATCCTTCCCCGGGCTTGACTAGGCTGCAGTGACCCCCAGGTCTCTGGCTGAGTTCCTATCACTACAGAGAGCTCTTCCAAGACTCAGCCATTGCTTCCAAGTGTTGGGCTCTAGAATTTTTGACTAAATTTTAAAATAGTTGTACAAATGTCATATCATATTTTTTCCCCAGAAGGAGCTGCCAACTGTATATTCTCTAGCCTTGGGAAATCTTACGTTTGATGCTTTAAATTTTTGAGAATGCTGAGTTCTGAACAGTGCATGATGAATTTGCCTTATATGAGTGTTTTTGAGATTGAGCAGAGTCTGCTTAGCCCACATATGCAAATACATGCTGGTGTGAAGTGGTAATTTATAAGACCGTTTTTTTGTTCCACTGGGCCAATATGGCTTTGTCAAATTATTCCAACTGTGAAGTCTCATGGGTCATGGTAAGAAATAATTTCTCTACTGACCACAGTTGAGAAATCCTAAAGAAATGAGGAAGATGGGCAGGAATAATCAGAGTTATCTCAATAGCCTCCTCCTCTGCATTAAATTTAGCAAAGATCATTGCTTTAGACAACCCAACCCTCTTTATTTGATTCTTTTTACACGGATTGATTTCCAAGATCATACATCCTCATGCTCAGCCCCAGAAAACTGATTGCATTGGTGTTTTTAGAATTAATTTATGGGCCTCTAGGGGCCTTCAACACTGTCTCCTTTGCTCAGGTAACACAGGAACTGGCTGAGATTTTGCAGCAGACAGATGTTGTCTGGAACGTAAAACAAAATGCCTATGCTACCAAACAAACGCAAGGTTTGAACAAACAGAACATACATTATTTTTACCATATGCATAGCAAGGGGGAACGAGGTAGCTTCGTCTAGCTTTGGGACCAGAAGCATTTTATTTTTTATTTTTATTTTCATTTTTATTTTTTTGAGACAGAGTCTTACTCTGTCGTCTAGGCTGGAGTGCAGTGGTGCGATCTCGGCTCACTGCAACCTCCCCTCCTGGGTTCAAGCAATTCTCCCTGCCTCAGCCTCCTGAGTAGCTGGGATTATAGGCATGCGCCACCATGCCTGGATAATTTTTGTATTTTTAGTAGAGACGGGCTTTCGCCATGTTGGCCAGGCTGATCTCGAACTCCTGACCTTAGGTGATCCACCTGCCTCAGCCTCCCAAAGTGTTGGGATAACAGATGTGAACCACTGTGCCCAGCCAGCATTTTATTTTTGTTTGAAATTACTATATTAGCTCAGAATCATTTACTTTTTAAGAATAGTGTATATGAATCACCTTAGAGATCAATTTGGAGCATAATTGAACATTTTGAATACATTTATGCCCCTTAGAGATACTTGGTAGATACAAATTTAACTTCCTTTTTCCCTCAATCTAAAACTTCATAGAGAACCTGAAGACCAGAAGGAGGGTAAAGTGTTGCTAATTTTTATCTTGTCTTAGTAATTGAATTAAGATGAACAAATCTCAAAATGCACCACAAGCTGTAAGATAAATACCTAGGAGAATAGAGTTTCAAAAAGAGAATTCTTGCAACAGCGTCGTTAAGAAAATTAGCCTGATTGTAAATATTACCTATTGAATCCGTCCTTATGTAACTTTGTTAATCACACAAACAGCCACACATCCATATTCAGAAGCTAAAAAGAGAAAACAGCATATGGCTGACAAAAGGCGTGTACCCAGTGCAAGATTTTTCAAAGAGCACGTTCCCAGCAAACACAATGTCCTGCTAGCAGTTCCAAAAGGCTTAAAGTAAGGCATCCTGGGGTCCAGGGCCAGGGAGCTGCAGGGATGGGCCCTCCACCTGCCTTGGCTGTCCAGGGTGGGAGGCCACTGGCCTCTTTCCAACTTGCCCTGAATTCTTGCATCTTCCCTGGTTGCTCAGCTCCACTCAGCGTAGAGGTGGCTAACCCCAGGACCTGCTGACACTTGTCAAATACGTCACTACCTATTATTCATTCTCATAAGGGAGAAATTTCCAGCACTTATTGCAGGGATAGGAAGTTAACAAACTGGCAGGTGAATGAACCTGCTGATTACGTGCTAAAAATCAGTATTTTTTGTTCCTCTTCTCGCATTTCTCATCTTATACTGACATGATACAAGGGTATGTCAGGGAATGGGTTTTCCGCCACTTCTCTGCCAGTTACAAACTGTGATTCAGAACCTGTCCCCTACACATATGAGAGCTTAGTTTCCTCTTTTGTGAAATGAAGAGGCAGGATTAAAGGATCCCTGGGGACCATCACAGCTCTAACAACTCAGGAACTGGGGCTGCACTTCACACCTTAGAGGAGAATTCCTTTAGGGGGATTAAAAGCAGCCCAGACATGTGGTCTCTACAGTAAGAACAATGAAAATGCTTATTTCAGAACCCAAACCCCCCTCCTGATGAATTGTCACTCTCCTGTCAGGCCAGCACACAGCATTTTCATAGGGCTCCTTCCTCCTTAGAGCACCTTCACTCCCTCATCCAATTACCTTTGCTTCATATCTAAGTTCAATTAAAATAATTAAAGCAGCTAGCAGATAGTTGATGGGGAGGAAAGACATGGACAATTTCCTGGAAGAATTCTTTAAGGGGCAATATAAAAGACCAAGGACTGTGAAAAGTAGAATTTTTCTTACTGGAATTCCCCCGTCTGGGAGCCCATGCACTTCCCAGATGTTTCCCATGATTTTTATGGGTGCCACAAGGAAATTAACCAAGCAAGAATGCCCAGTTACTTCTCTATGCAAACGAAGAGCAGCTCATGCAAAAATAGCCATACCCCACTGTTCCAGTTATCTATGGCTGCCTAGAAAGCTAACCCAAAATATACTGGCTTCCAACAGCAACCTTTTATTTTATTTCCCAATTACGTGTATCAAGAATTCAGTCTGAGTGTGGCTGGGCGATTTGTCCATTCTACACGTCAGCCACAGAGGTCATTTAGTAACTGCTGGATGAACTGGTCTGGAGACCCCAAGATAGCTCATCCTGTGTGTCTGCTGCCTTGCCAGGGATGGCTGAAAGGCTGAGCTCACCTGGAGCACCCGGGCTCTGGTGGCTTAACTCTAATAGTCAAATCCTATTTGAATTTTCTCTTTGCTACTTACCCCAACCTCTCCCTCCTTCTCCTCATTTTTCTTTTTGTATTTATAATGAATATTATGATGTCTATCCTAGTCTGCTTGGGCTGTATAACAAAAGTAGTATACCATGGGGGATGTAAGAGCAAACATCTATTTCTCACAGTACTGGTGGTTGAGAAGTCCAAGATCAAGGTGCCAGCAGATTCGGTGTTTAATTTGAGCTTACCTCCAGATTTGCATCCTCACATATTTCAGAGAAAGGTCATCTCTCTAGTCTCTTCTTTATAAGGGCACTAATGTCATCAGAAGACTCTGCTCTTATGCCCAAAGGCCCCAGCTCCTAATACCATCACACTGGGGATTAGGCTCCAACATGTGAATGAGGGGCAGATGGTACAAACATTCAGGCCACAGCAGGTGTTCTTTTTATCACAAAGTACTACATGCTTACTGTAGAGAATTAAAAATAAAGAAAATACAAGGAAGAAAATGACTCATACTGCCACAATCTAGAAATAACCACAAGTAACGTCTTTCCATTCTTTCTTCTGTGTCATGTACTTAGATTTCAAGTTTAGATGATATTTAGTTCATGTCTTGCTTTTAAAATAAACAATCAATGACTATTTTCTTAAGTGATCAAATATCCCTTGCAAACACTGTCATTACTATTATTATTATTATTTTGAGATAGGATCTTGCTGTGCCACCCAGGCTGGAGTGCAGTGGCACCAGCATGGCTCACCACAGCCTTGAACTCCTGGACTCAAGTGTTTTCTCCACCTCAGCCTCCTGAGTAGCTGGAACTTTATAGGTGCATGTCACCATGCCCAATTAGTTATTTAAATTTTTACTAGAGACAAGGTCTTGCTACATTGCTGGTGCTGAACTCCTGGACTGGTGCTGAACTCCTGGACTCAAGCGATCCTCCTGCCTCAACCTCCCAAAATGCTGGGATTACAGGCATGAGCCATCATGCCCAGCTGCAAATGTTATTTTTTAATGCTCACATACTACTTCATTACATGGAATGCCATAATTTATTTATCAATTTCCTAATTGTAGTACACTTAGATTGTTTTCAAGTTCTGGCTTGGGTAAGTAATACTCTGAACACTTACACATCAACTTTTGTTCGCATTTTAAATTATTTCTTTAAGGGAGATTCTGACAAGTAGAATTCCTGGATGAATCCTCTCACCTTGAAAGTCTTCCTTCCTTTGACTTGTGAGTCACTTTTCCTCCAGGATCCCATTATCTCAGATAAATGCTTCCTAACATAAGCCTTCATGTTTTCTTCTGCATATGGCTGGTTGTTAAAGCCATGGAACCTGGTAAGATGTGCCAAGAGGGTTTAAAACTCTAAAAAAGGCAAGAAAAAGATGGTTTTCAAATGGCAAAAATGTGTTTATAATAAACCCAAAGAAGTAAATACAAAAGTTAGTAAAGACTAAAAGTTCAATAAAATGTCTGGTTATGAGAGCTATCTCCAAATTTCAGTTCCATACCAAAAAAAAGAAAATATAATTAAAATATGATGATGTTTTTAAAAGCAGGCAAAAATATAAAATGCTTGGGAACTGACCTAATGCAACTGGAGCAAAGTACCATGTTCCTTAAAGGAGAGAGAAATACAGTAAACATGATAATTCTCTCCAGTTACATGTCAGAGTTTTAACACTATTCCAGTTAAAATTCTAATCGCTTACTTTATCGAACTTAATATAATAAATCTAAAATTCATTCAGAAAAATAAGGAGAATATTGATGCAAAGAACAGTGAGATACAACTAGCTTTACCTGAAATTGATTTTATTATAATACTGAAGTTGGCAAAATGATATGATTGGTGAACATTTTGTAAGTAATGGAAGTACTTGCAAAGAAAAGCTCTCGGGGGTCATTTTTAACAAACTCAGATCTGGAGAGAGCCTATTCTATTTGTCCCTCTTAAATAAGAAAACATGTTATTTCATGATCTGGAAAGTTCTGGATATTGTCATACCTCTGGGTCCTGGGGAGGCATAGCTACTCACTTTCAGGCAAGTGGGGTATATACAAAATGGATAAAAACCTTCCTGTGGACCTTCCCTCTGGTGGTGGGAAATCCTGTTTAACTCAGGTAGCAGCATCTAAAGCAGTGTTGGTGACTAGCTCAGTGTTCGAGGCTTTGAGTTCCAAGACAAAGTGGCCGCTATCCCCCAGGAAAAGGTGGAGATTAGCAAAGAGGTTGTAGAACATTTCTTAGGAGCTCAGGAAGGTAGAAAACAGGGATCTGTCTGTGGATAACAAGGTGGGCCTCAGAGGAAAGTCATGCAACTGGAGTTCAAGTTTACAATGTTTCTACATTATGCCTCTTAAGAGATTTCAGGGGTAACCATGAACCTCAAGGACAGCTCTGGTGGTAGAGCTATGGCTGGAAGAGGAGCTGGCCATCACTAACCAAGACCGTCAAAGAAGCCACAGGCCTACCGGTTGTCTTCCTGGAGAATTTGAGGGCAGGTGAGTGCCAGGTTTTTGGGAACCAGGTTGGATCACACCTAGGTTGATCCCAGCAATAACCTGTGCCTACCAGAGGGCAGAACATCACTCTTTACCTATTTTCTTTACTGTTTCAAAAGGGAGAGAAAAGGGGAGAAAACACACTCTATACCCTTCCCCATCACAACAGACATCTTTAAAAAAGGAACAGCTTCACCTGTAAGCATAGCACATATTTTAGGAGACCTACATTTCTTCACGTGTCAGATGCATTCTTAACACTGTGTGTGCAAACACATTTTTATAAGAGGGCATTTTCTTTTAAATACACACAGAAGAGCTGACTATATAAGGGAACGCTATGGTGAAACCATTTGTAAAGCAAATAATCACTTCCTGAATAAATCTGTCTCTAAGTCTGGATTTTCATATTTTATATCAGATTTGACTAAAGGAAGTGCTCTCTACAAATGTATCCTCTGTCCAAATTAGAATTTATCTGTATCCATGCAACCTTCAGAATATAATTTCCATAATAAGTCACCAAATGCACATGACAGTCCAACTCCATCAATAACTTTACCTCTTTTTTGCCTTTTATTCATACTTTAGAATATACAGGTATCTGTCTTGGTTAGTCCAGGCTGCTATAACAAAGTACCACAGTCTGGGTGGCTTATAAACAACAGAAAATTATTTCTTACAGTGCCAGAGGCTAGGAAGTCCAAAACCAGGTGCCAGCATGGTTGGTTTCTTGTGACAGCCACTTTTCAAGTTACAGACTGCCAATTTCTTGTTGGATCCTCACGTGGCAAGAAAGAGAGTTAACAGAGCTCTCGGGGGTCATTTTCATAAGGGCACTAATCCCATTCATGAGGGTTTTACCCTCATGTCCTAATCACCTCCCAAAGGCCCCACCTCCTAATACCATCACCTTGGCAGTCAGGACTTCAACATATGAGTTATAGGAATGCAAGCATTCGGTCTATAGTAATATCTTATTATACAGAGAGTTATGTTTTGCTTCTTTGTAAAACCTTAGGACTTCATCCACAAAAGAAGGATGCAAATGGCCATTAATATGTGAAAAGAAGCTCAGTCTCACTAGTAATCAGAAAATGCAAATTAGCCAAAACCATGTACGAGTTTTACTCATCATACTAGCAAGATATTCATAATATCAAATATTGAACAAGCTATGCAGAAAATGTATAAATTGTAACAGACTTTTTTGAAGGACAGTTTGACAGTATTGGTAAATGTTTTAAATACACATACCTTCTGACCCAGCAATTTCACTTCTATGAATTTTCCCTACAAACATGCTTGTGCAGGTGCACAAAGATGCAAGTATAAGCTTGCTCATTCTGGCACAGTTTGCAAAAACAAAAAAGCTGGGCAACAAATATGTCTCATAGTAGAAAACTGGTTAAGGAAATAATGTCCAGGCTGGGCACGGTGGCTCATGCTTGCAATCCCAGCACTTTGGTAGGCCGAGGTGGGCGTATCACTTGAGGCCAGAAGTTTGAGACCAGCCTGCCCAACATGACAAAACCCTATCTCTACTAAAAACACAAAAATTAGCTGGGCATGGTGGCACATGCCTGTAGTCCCAGCTACTTGAGAGGCTGAGGCACAAGAATCACTTGAACCCGGGAGGCAGAGGTTGCAGTGAGCCAAGATTATGCCACTGCACTGCAGCCTGGGTGACAGAGTGAGCCTCTGTCTCAAATAATAATAATAATAAATTATATCCATGCTACAGAATACTATCCAAAAGTTATAAAGAACATGATAAAGGCAAATGTACTGATATGCCAAGATTTTCAGGACACAGTTTTTTTTAAAAAGCAGGTTGCAAAGCAATGTTTACAGTCTATCTGGTTTATCAAAAAAAATGAAAAATCAAAACACTAAAATTATATAAGAAATACAGGCGGGGCGCAGTGGCTCACGCCTGTAATCCTAGCACTTTGAGAGGCTGAGGCCAGTGGATCACTTGAAGTCAGGAGTTCGAGACCAGCCTGGCCAACATGGCAAAACCCCATCTCTACTAAAAATACAAAAATTAACCAGGTGTGGTGGCATGTGCCTGTAATCCCAGCAACTCAGGAGGCTGAGGCATGAGAATCACTTGAACCTGGGAGGTGAAGGTTGCAGTGAGCTGAGATCATGCCACTGCATTCTAACCTGGGCAACAGAGTGAGACTCCATCTCAAAAAAAAAAAAATTAAAAAAAAAAAGAAATACAGGTGATAGACAGATAGATTTAGTTAAATGTAAACACATATTAAGAGGCTGATAGGAATATGTCTTAAAATGCTAAGTGGTTAATCTTTGAAGACTGAGTGGAATGAAAGAAGTAGAACTATACTTTTTAATTCCATCTTTTATATTGCTTGATTTCTCATAAAGGGCCTATATTTATGTCACAGTATATAATTGCATAAATTTTAATTTATACAAAATTTAGGACATTTGTTATATAATATGTAAAAGGGGAAAAATCACTACTAAAATACATGCTTAGTGATATACATACTAGGTGGAAAATACTAGAAACCCTCTCCTTGCACCTGATTCTTTCTCATTATTGTAGGAAAGCTAATCTTCAGTTCTGGGAACCTTGCAGGAATTCTGTGCACTAAAGTTCCCAGGGAAAGAGAATGCTCTTTTTCATCTTTACTGTTCCACTACCTTAAGAAAAATGAGCCCCAGAGGATTGTACTCTTGCATACCTGGGGAGGCTTCCTGCCAACTGAGCAGGGTTTCCAGGTAAGAAAGGGCATTGGCTGGATGTAGGAGAGGGCAGAGAGCTTGTCTCTACTAGAACCCTCAAATGGTGTTGGGGAAACTGTTCAGTAGGCTGGACATGGGTTAAAGAGAGAATCATTGGCTTTTTTACTTCTTCATCCCCCTTTCCAATTTCCTTCCTACTTTGCAGTCCATCGATTTCCAACTTCTCCCTGTTCTTTCCCATGCCCAGTTTTCTCACAAACTCAAAGTGAAAGCCTTGCCCAGCCAAGCCTTGTGCTCGAGGACCTACCTTCCCCACCCTCCCCTCCATCATTTTTCTTCCCTCATTTACTACTAGTGTAAAGGGATTTCCTATAAGGGTGCTCTAGCTAATCTAACAAGCCAATTCATGCTTAGATGTACTGATTTGAGCAGAGACAGCCTCCCATACCTCCACCTCCATATTTACTTAAGAATCACCTTTGGCTGCCCATCAACGGTAGATTGAATAAAGAAAATGTGGTACATATACAACATGGAATACTATGCAGCCATAAAAAGAACAAAATCATGTTCTTTGCAGCAACATGAATACAGCTGAAGGACATTATCCTAAGAGAATTAATGTAGAAGAAGAAAACCTGGCTGGACATGGTGGCTCAAGCCTGTAATCCCAGCACTGTGGGAGGCCAAGGCAGGCAGATCACTTGAGGTCAGGAGTTCGAGACTAGCCTGGCCGACTTGGTGAAACCCCTTCTCTACTAAAAATACAAAAATTAGCCAGTTGTGGTGGCACACATCTGTAATCCCAGCTACTAGGGAGGCTGAGGAAGGAGAATCGCTTGAACCCGGGAGGTGGAGGTTGCAGTGAGCCAAGATTGCGCAACTGCACTCCACTTGGGTGACAGAGTGAGGCTCTATCTCAAAAACAAACAAACAAAAAAGAAACAGGAAACCAAATATTGCATGTTCTCACTTATAAGTGGGAGGTAAACATTGGGTACACATGGGCATAAATATGGGAACGATAGACCCTGGGGACTACCAGAGGGAGGAAAGAAAGGCGGGTGGGGGAAAAGGTTGAAAAACTATTAGATACTATGCTCCCTACCTGGGCAATGGGATCAACCGTACCCTAAACTTCAGCATCATGCAATATACCCATGTAACAAACCTGCACATGCACCCTCGAATCTAAAATAAATTGAAATTATTAAAAAAAAAAAAGACAGCCTTGGCATTAAGGTATTAGAAACATGGAGAGTGAGAATCTAAAGCAATAGACCTGCCCCACATGCTGGAATTGGGGTGTTCTCTGGGATGACCTGGCTATCCCTGAGATCCTATCAGAGAAGGAGAGAATCTGCTCCACCTTTCAAGTCATGTGATAGCAGAAAGACCACTTTCCAAGGACCAAACTCACAACCAAGTTCCTACATTTCAAGGTCAAGTCTTTTTTCTTGGGGCATATCAGTCTCATCACTTCTTCAATGAAGAGGATTAGGCCAGATAATCACTTCTAGCTCTGATGTCCCATCATTTTATTATTTTTTTTTAATCTGTTTTCTTCCTGACAGCATAGGAAGGATCATTTAGCCATTAGACCATTTAGCATAGGAAAGACCATTTGCTGTGGGAGGGAGTATAGTGTAATGGTTAACTACCTAGGTTCAAATCCCATGCCTTCCCTTACTAGCTATGTGTCTTGGGCAGGTTCTTTGACCTCTCTGAATTTCAGCTGCCCCATCTATATAATGCAGCTGAGAAAGTCATCCACTTCCTGAAACTGTGGAGAGCTGAAAGACAGAAGGAACGTATCGCAGCATCTAGAACCAAAGAAAATCTCTGTGCTCTTGGATACAGCAGTAAGGATACACATCTCAGGGTTGAATCACTTTAAATAGTTATACTTAGATAATATTTCACCACTTATAAAAGTAGGCACACAAGCCCAAGTTCATTAGATTCCTTAAATAACACTTTGAGGATGTGGGCAGGCATGAGCATCTCCATGACATGAGTAAGATAACCAAAGCCTAGGGTGTTAGCTAGGGTCAAATACTGGGAGGTTGTGAAGCCAGAACACAGAAATGTCATTCATTGTTCATTTATTCAAAACATGTGAGGGCCCGCTTTCTGTTGGACACTGTGCTACGTATAGGAGTAGAAAGATGAGTAAGGCCAGGTTAGAGGAGGAGGTAACAGTTTCCCATGGCAGAGCTACAAGGGTAAGCCTGTTACAGTGCAAGAGCTAGACTTTGGAGTCACCTGTCCCCTACCTGAATCCTGGATCCAGCACTTAGTAGGGTATTACTGGGGCAAGTTACTAACAGCTCACTGCCTCAGTTTCCCCATCTTTAAGGTGCAGACATGATGTTTACTTGAGGCTCAGCAATGCAGGAGTGTTGTGAGACAATTTTTCTTGCTGACATGCAAAAGTACTTCCCAACAATATCATCGTGATGAATTCACCATCGTCCAGGTTAGAGTCTTCAGCATGGAAATCTTCAATCCCTGGTTTTCTCGGTAGCGTGAGGTCCAGTTCTTAGGGGAGTCCTTATAATTAGCCAATCCTATGGAGACTGATGGTGAACTTCCTTGGTAACTCATAATTCATGATGACAAATAAAATGACTTATGTCTAAAAATACTCAAGTCATGATGAAGAGTGCATGGTCCGTGACAGGCAAACCAAAACTAAAAACAAATGAGCTACGGGAACTGAGTGCTTAATGGCATCAGATCTTTTTACTAAATATGTTTATTTCCACAACAGAGAAGTTGCTTCCCAGTGGCACACCCAGATGCTTCATGGAAGGGCACACCTCTGGGGTGGTGCTGGGTTCAGACTGGCATGGTATCCACACTTCTCCTGATGCTAGCTTTCTCTAGGCCCTCTGTTAGCTCGTCCCGCTTCTGATGGACACATTTTTTTTTCCCTTTGCTATGTCAACACCATCACTATGATCTCATCCATCAGGTATATTACTAAGCAAGAAAAGAGGCTCTGTCTTCTAAACAATTCAAATAAGACCTGGTACCTCTTCCACACAACAGTTCCTTAGGTGTTTCTGCAAACTCTAAGAGTGCCTTCAGATGACACCCTTTCCCCATCACCCCCCTAGGAGGCAGAAACACCAAACAGAAGCTACCAAAGTGGCCAGACATGGTCCAAAGCTTTCACAGCTGGGAGTTCTGAGAGTTGGAGCAGAGACTTTGCAGCCAGGGGAGATGATATATTAACATATATCTGAGTATTGATATATTTGAATTTTTCAAATCCCAGAACGTAAAGGGTCCACTATGAATTTGCGTTCCCTCTTCCATGTATAAAACCAGATCTGCCCAAGATAATATTTATTTTCACACATCATTTGGAAGTATCTGTTTCATTTCATTATCTATGTTGAATGAAAAGGTTATGTCATTTGGACTTGAGCCTGAGCAGAGAGTGCCCTGTCATTATAAGGCTGTAAAAACAACCTCCTCTTCCTCCTCTCCACGCTGTGTTCCCTGGACATCTACCTGTTCCAGGTTTAAGTTCTGGGCTAGGTCAGTGACGTCTGAGAAGAGAGACTTCAGGGTGCCTCTTGCCCTCTTGTTAAGCAGAGCATGGTATAAATACCTCAGCAGCATTCTGGACTAAAGCTCTGTCAAAACAACTGCTACTGAGTCGTTTAATTTGTGGAAAGGAAATCTTATTTGGAAAAATAAAGTTCTTAGTTCCTTGCAACATTCTTACACTGCGGTAGGGCTCAGAATGCTGGAGAAAGCACTTCGAGACCTGAAACCCAGCCCTGTTATTAGTAATTCATTTGCTTTAGGACATGTGGGAGAAAATGCATTCCTTGGCTTTTGGGTCCAGGTAGGCAGCTCTGCCAGCAACAACTTGGAAACACTTTGGAGCTGAGTGCTTTGTGGGCTGCGGCAGCGTGGTAAGGAGGCTGCCCTCCTGCCGAAGCTGCGAGGGCAGTTGGAAAGGCGCTTATTTTGTCTGGTAAAAGCAAATTTCCAGGCTTAGCTAAGCATGTTGTGCAACCTAGCCCCACTGAATGCCTATGGGAATGCTCTAAGATGCCCAGTGAGCATTTCTTTATGCAACAGTGCATTTTCATTTTCAACGTAAGACTCTTTTGAGCCCAGTTCTTGTATCTAAAGGTCTTATGGTGTCAGGGCCACGAGATTGTGTGGGGCCTATGGGTCACAGGTTAAAATCTAGAGTGGGTTCCTGTGCATTCTCAGTATATTCTATGCCAGACTATGGAAATGAACCCTCTACAACAGGAGACACCATTACTCAGTAAATGCACATGTAAAATAATCAGATAATCCGTGAGTCATCAATATTTATTCAATTGTTAGTGGTAATAGAGAAGAACAATACCATAACTCACCTATTTTGGACACTTAGGTATCCAACAAACACTTTTCATTAGTCGATTATTATACAAATCAGTGGCTGATAATAGAAATTCACTCATCATTTATCTTTAGGCTAGGATTGCATGATGTGATAGCCTCCCACAGTTCACGTGCCTTCTTTTTTTTGAGACAAAGTTTCACTCTGTTGCCCAGGCTGGAGTGCAATGGCACAATCTTGGCTCACTGCAACCTCTGCCTCCTGGGTTCTCCTGCCTCAGCCTCCCGAGTAGCTGGGATTACAGGCAAGTGCCACCATGCCTGGCTAATTTTTTGTATTTTTAGTGCAGATGGGATTTCACCATGTTGGCCAGGCTGGTCTCAAACTCCTGACCTCAAGTGATCCACCTGCTTCAGCCTCCCAAAATGTTGGGATTACAGGCATGAGCCACCGTGCCCTGCTGGTATGCTCTTTTAAAAAAAAAATTTTTATTTTTAATTTTTGCAGGTACATGGTAGGTGTATATATTTATGGGGTGCATAGATGTTTTGATACAGGCATGCAATGCATAATAACCTCATCATGGAAGATGGGGCATACATCCCCTCAAGCATTTATCCTTTGTGTTGTCCAGGCTGGAGTGCAGTGGCGTGATCTTGGCTCACTGCAACCTCCGCCTCCCAGGTTCAGGCGATTCTCCTGCCTCAGCCTCCTGAGTAGCTGGGATTACAGGCGTGTGCCACCAGGCCTGGCTAACTTTTTGTATTTCTAGTAGAGACAGGGTTTCACCGTGTTAGCCAGGATAGTCTCTATCTCCTGACTTCATGATCTGCCTGCCTTGGCCTCCCGAAGTGCTGGGATTACAGGCATGAGCCACTGCACCCGGCTGGTGTGCCCTTTTAAAAAATATTTTGCTCAGGCTGTTGCTGAATGAGCTTGCATTTCTCAGGATGGTACACACAAATTAATAGCATAGAAAAGTGGCCAGGAAGTGTGCTGCATCTGAAGAGGAATCGAGTTTGAGAGTAACCCTTCTACAGCACGTGTTGTACAAAGTCCTCATGGCTCCACCCGCGGGATGCTCAGAGAGCCCTTCTCTGCACAACATTTCTTACACTGCCTTCCTGCCAATACCCCAGGGCACAAGCACCTGGTTTTTTCACCCATTCAGCTTGCATTATTGTAGCACTTTGATTCCAAAACACAAAAAAAGTCTTTCATATATTTCTTTTTATTGATTCCCCCAACAAGCAAGTAAAAGATGTGAAGTCACATATCACTTTCCATCAAGAGACAGTGGTCACTGATTAGTGGATCAGTCCAAGGCCAGTGCTGTTCACGTGTCTATCCGTGCTCCCCTTGAAGGGCAGGATTGAAATCATGCTCCTCTAGTTTTTAGACATCTAGCCAGAGGAGGGAAGAGTGCCCAGAACCTTAACATTCAACTCAGAATTCACCAGGACCATGGGAAGCCCAAGCCCTTCCAGGAAGATTCCCTGAGCCCTTTGACCTCCCTGATGTCTCCCTTTCGTGGTCTCCTACTGCACTTAGTGCTCTGCACCCCTTCTCAGATGGTGACTTCAGTCTCATCCTGTCCTGTAACGTTTTCATGAGTGTTTGTCTTCATTCAGCCATGGGATACAATGTTATATTGGGTGGTCAGCCCTTTTTGAAGGGTTAACATTGGACTGAACCTTCAGTGATTAATATCACCAATTGGGATCCTTAGGAAACAGACTCTGGAATGAAGATTAGCACACAGGAGGTTCTCAGGGAGTGCTTGTGGGATCAGCGCCCATGGAATGGAGAGGAAGGAAGTGGCATTGGGCAGAGGGAGAAGCTGAGCTATGAAGGCCTCAGCCGACCCCGCAGGGGGCTCTGGAGCTGAGATAGCTTTTTAGAGTTGCCCTGAGTTGGGGCAAGGGGACAGGCACCTGCTCATGAGATAATCAGTCATTGGATGGTGGCTCCTCCAAAAAGGAAGCATGACCTTGGGAGGGGCATCTCTCTTTGGCAGAGGCAATGCCAGAAGGCGGCTCACAGCTGAGGGCTATCTGCCGGCAACACTTTGAGCACCTAGGGGAACAAGTTCTTCATTTCTGCAGAGGAATCTCAGCACTGTGATATAGCAACCATAGCAACGAAACACAAACATAGAAAGGAAAAGTATTCCAGGTAGAGGAAACAGCAAATACAAAAGCCCTATGTTGGGACAAAAGGAACTTTCTATCCACCCTCTGAAGGTTTGCTCTCTGAAATAGACTTGATTTTAGACAGACGAACAGGAGAAAAGGCATACAAATTTATTAACATGCAAGTGCACATAAGCCACACAACGTGTGAAACTCAAAGAATGGCCAGATGGTTGAAGTTTAAATATCTTCTTCATAGGGGAGAGGGAAGGGAGGATATAGGCAATTTTAGAGGAAGAGCAAATGATTTTTAGGGGAGATGAATGGGCTTGAATAATAGGCAATAGCGTGGGCTCTGGCTATGGAGTCTACTCTAGTCCTTCTTCCTGCAAAGATATCCGGTTGATGAGATATCTGGGGAAGGAATTCCCAATAATTGGATATCTTCTGGAGGATCTGGCATTTAGGTAGATAGGGGAACTTTAGGGAGACCCTCCTCTCCCCACCATATTTGCTGCTTCCCAGATGCACTCAATTTGAAGTCCAAAGTGGCATATTTGACACATTTTGGGGTATCTATTTTTTTCTTTTTTTTTTTCATTTAGGAAGAGGGTCTTGCTCTGTTGCCCAGGCTGGAGTGCAGTGGCCCCATAACAACTCACTGCAGCTTCAAATTCCCAGGCTCAAGCAATCCTCCCATCTCAGCCTCCCAAAGTGCTGGGATTACAGGCATGAGCCACTGCACCTGGCCTGGGGTATCATTTTCTAAACCCCAACAGTACAACAAGAGTTAGCTTGGCATGTGCAAGCAATGGGAAGAAAAAATACAAATCCATCACTAGGAATGTCACAAAAGACAGGGAGCGAAGAGAAGGCAGGAGCTGATTGTCCATGAGTTCAGTATTTATTCTAGTAGCAGTGGGGAGTTTTTTGAGGGTTTTAAGCAGAAGAGTAACAGGATTTATTTATACTTTCAAAGATTGCCCTGGCTGCTGTATGTGGGCCATAGGGGTGAGTGTACAGCGGGGAGACAGCAGGGCACAGTTGTAGCAGTCAGGGTATGAGGCTACAGTAACTTGGATGAGGGTTATGGCGGTGAAGCTGATGAGGAGTGGCTGAATTCAGGATTTATCTTAGGGGATAGAGCCAATAGGACTTGCTGATAGGTCGAATGTAGGATATGAGAGGGAAAGAGAACTAAAGATGACTCCTAGGTTTGTAGCCTGCCCAACTGGGGAGCTGGCTGGAGCATTAGCTAAGATGGGGAAAACTGGGAAAGAAAGAGTTAGGGTGTGGGTATGTGTGGAACGGAAGGAAGATAGAGGGGCAAAGAAGGGCTCAGGATTGTTTTGAATATGGTAAGTCTGAGATTCCTGTCTTAGTTTTTGTTCCCAGAGAAAAATTCTGAGATAAGAGTTTGAATGCAAGTTTATTTCGATAGTTTATTGCATTTATTGTTATGCAAACAATATTGCAATAAACTTGGATCCTTGGAGGCGAGCCAAGGAAACACAGATTGGGTGATGTGGAAGTAAGACAGGGAAGAGAGGGCAGGCAACAAGGGGTGAGTTTATTTAAAAAGACACCAGTGTATATACCAGTGGAGCTTAATACTGCTGGAGAACTCTGGGAAACAGTACAGAGCATGTGCCTAACAGTGGTTCCCTGGGAAAGGTAAGGAGGCTGGGGTAATTATCAACCACTCCCGTCAGTGCTCTGGGATTAATTGATTCCTTGGGGTGATTGATTCCTTGGCACTTGTGCCATGTAGGCTGGAGCACAGCAGGCTCTGACAGCCAGAGGACATCCCAGGCAAAGAGGCAGGGGCTGGCAACTGGAAGCCAGGCTGGTGGGCACTGAGATGGCAAGGGCTGAAGGGATACTGGTGGGCAAGAAGAGTTTCATAGTCAAGGCCTGATTAGGACACCAGATAACACAAGGAGAGGGGCTGGTATTCGGGGAGGTCAAGTGCAAGGGCCAGTATCACAGTTCAGTCTGGAGTCACAAAGAGAAGACAAGCAGTAGGTGAGGCAGCAGTTAGATCAGAATGACGCCCATGGACAGAGCTTATGGGCACTGGCACATCTTTTGAAGACCCTGAGTCAATATTAAGAGTGGACATCTCCAGTTCTAGAATCTCAGTGGATTGATTGAGATTGGGTGCATCATCCAAGGATGTCAGAGTTGCTTCTGCGGGGAACTTGCCTAAAGACTGATTAGGTGACTTTTCAAGGCTGCCTACAAACCTGAGCTTCTATGAGTTCCTCTTTTACAAATGCAGAAATCGTGGTGCAAGAAAGATAAGAAAAACCCTTAGACTCTAAAAGTGTGCTGATGCCCCTAGCTAAAGAACACTGCACACATGAAAGCTCATCGCAGTGACTTTTTCCACAAAGGAGGTGTGAATATTTTATCAATATTCATGAAAAATAATTTTGTAAGGTAAGCATGTCAAAATATGTCAAACCCGAAGGTCACATTTTCCAGAATTCTTTTTGTCCCATATTATGTTTCAATGCAGCATCATCTTTCTGTCCAGCATAAGTGCCCCAGGCAATGGTAATCATTTCATTACTTAATTGAAGTCCTAATTATATTAGGATCTATTGTCAAATGTGGTCCTGTCTTCATTACAACACTTCATTACAACAACCATAAGTAAATGGAAGTGTTGGACTTTTCCTGTAAGAATAGTTGAATTTAACTTCTCAATCTTGCTCTCTTTCTTTCTTTCTCTCTTTCTTTCTTTTTTTTGAGATACAGTCTTGCTCTGTCGCCTAGGCTGGGATGCAGTGGCGTTATCTCAGCTCACTGCAACCTCTGCCTCCTGGATTAAAGTGATTCTCCTGCCTCAGCCTTCTGAGTAGCTGGGACTACAGGCATGTGCCACCACACCTGGCTAATTTTTGTGTTTTTAGTAGAGACGGGGCTTTTCCATGTTGGCCAGGCTGATCTTGAACTCCTGAGGTCAGGCGATCTGCCCACATTGGCCTCCCAAAGCGTTGGGATTACAGGTGTGAGCCACCGTGCTCGGCCAAACTTCTCAATGTTTCATTTCCCACCCCAGCTCATCCTACCTTTCTGAGCTGGTAACCAAATTCAAGGCATGAAGTTTTTTTAACCAAAAAGAGCAAAACCTTTGTAATTTAAATATAATCAGCCTCCCATTTGGGAGATACTCTGCAAACATCTTCATGACACTCTGGGACAGCTGCTATTGTCCTCTTGGCTGCAATCCCTACATTAAAAATTCATGTTTGTGTCCTTTCTCGGTTGTTTGGCTTAGCTTTACTCTTAAAAAGTGTTTATGGGCCAGGCACGGTGGCTCATGCCTATAATCCCAGCAGCTTGGGAGGCCAAGGCAGGAGGACCACTTGAGCCCAGGAGTTTGAGACCAGCCTGGGCAATATAGTGAGACCCTATATCTACAAAAAAAATTAAAAATAATTAGCTAGGCATGGTGGTGTATGCATGTAATCTAACTACTTGGGAGGCTGAGGCAGGAGACTCACTTGAGCTCAGGAGGTGAGGCTACAGTGAACTATGATCATGCCACTGCACTCCAGCCTGGGCAACAGAGAAAGACCCTGTCTTTGAAAGAAAAAAAAAAGTGTTTATGATCCTCCCCAAATAGACTCCATCCTTTTATTTCTCACTGAACTCCCAGACAGAGGTTCTTAACCTGAAGCTCATGAGTCCTGTGAATTTATAAAACAGCTCCAAAGACGCCACAGATACCTCGAAATTATAGAAAATTTGATCTAGCTTTGCATTTGAGCCTCTCCAGGGTAAAAATCTTTCTACAGCTTCTAAAAGGAATAGGTAACCTAAAACCAGGCAAAACAAAACAAACAAACAAAAAACACCCCAAAACTTTGCTGTTTTAAAATCCCCATTTTAAAAAAAGATTATGTAAAAATAATTTTTCTTTTTTCATTTTGTTTTCATCTTTAAACCAGCTCTCCAGAGCCTCAGCCAGGCTGCCTCATCATCGAATCATTCTGAAATATCTTCCACAAACCTTCCCCTTGTATTCATACCAAATAGCTCTCAGCTATACTCCAAACCCATGCAATGAGGTAGAAAATTACTTCCCTCCCCCTCCGATTCTTAAAGTGGTTAATTTTTTTTTCCTGGAATGGACATTATTAATATTTCAAATTTGTTCTCATTGCTTTATAAACTGTAACCATGGATCCAGCTCTAATAAAGATGTCCCAGTGAGTTAATCATGCTAGGGAACAGAAAAACTCAGGGACATTCAGAATCACAGCCAGAAGGGGGCAATCCTTCTCACATCATACCTAAGACTGCAGCTCCTGTCAGGCTGCGTGTTCATGTGTAAGGCACCACAGGCCCCGTGGTGCCAGCTCACCAGCTCATCTTGGTGCCAGCTCACCAGGTCACGTGCTGACTTTACCAGTACATGTATGCTAATTAGTTATCATCCAATTGTTTGCCTTCCTAAAGGAATGAGGGCATCATCTCCTAGAATTTGTCTTCTAAGCTCTTCTCTTGACCCCGGAAAGAAATAGTGGACTTCATTGTTTTAGGGTGTTTCATTTTTGGAACACGAATTGCAGATGGGTTCGTGGTTGGCCGAGAGGAGCCAGGCCGAGAAGTTTGGCTATTTTGTCAAAGGCAATGAGAAGCCACTGAAGGTTTTAAGCAGAAAAGAATTACAGATTTGCATTTGAGAAGTATCAGTTTGGAGAATAAATTAGGGAGGCGTAAGATTTGGAGGCACAGAAGCCAGGTGGAAGGCTGTTTTTCAGGCTAGAAAAGTGGTAGTCTGTTGTAGGTTATATGCAATAGATTTGGAGAGAATGGGTTAGATGCAGGGATGTTTATGAAATGGGAATTGACTGGCTTACTCTGGAGGGGATGGGAAGGGAGGCAGAAAGGAGTCACAGATGACATCTTTATTTGTAGATTGGGTTGGAGTAGATGGTGGTGTCAATTAATGAGATAGGAAACCTAGAGAAGGAGTAGTTTATTTATGGGGGAAAAAAGATATGAGGAATTGAACTTGGGACATGCTGATCTGGAGGTGCCTACAAACCATTCAAGAAAAAGTGTCCTACAGACAATTGGAGATGCAAAGCTTGGAGCTAGGGGAGAGGTCTGGGCTAGAAACACAGGCCCATTCCCTCCATGGAGATGGTAACTGACACCATGAGAGTGAAGATTACCCAGGGGTAGGGATGATGAAGACAGAACAGGGTCCGGGAGGGAACGCTGAGGAAGACCAATATGAAGACATGGATGAACAAAGAGGGGACTAGAAAGAAGTCAGCAGGGGGACTGGAAAGAAGTCAGTAGAAAGATGTGTTATCACACAGGTGAGCCTTGAGGACATTACACTAAGTGAAAAGCCAGTCACAAAAGGACAAATACTGTATAAGTCCACTCATAGGAGACATCTAGAATAGTCAAACTCACAGAAAGTAGACACCAGTTGCGGTGGCTCATGCCTGTAATCCCAGCACTTTGGGAGATCAAGGTTGAGAATCACTTGAGGCCAAGAGTTCAAGACCAGCCTAGGCAACATAGTGAGACCCCCATCTCTGCCAAAAAAAAAAAACTAAAAACCTTAGCCAGGTGTAGTAGTGCATGCCTGTAGTCTCAGCTACTCAGGAAGCTGAGGCAGAAGGATTGCTTGAGGCAGGAGGATTGTTCGAGGTTGCAGTGAGCTGTGATCACACCACTGCACTTCAGCATGAGCAACAGAGGGAGACCCAGTCTTGGAAAAAAGAAACAGAAAGTAGAATGGTGGCTGCCAGAGGCAGGGGGCAGCAGGGAATGGGGAATTGTGGTTTAACAGGTATTGAGTTTCAATTTTGCAAGATAAAAAGAGTTCTGGAGACACATGGTGGTGATGGGTTATGGCCACACAGCAGTGGGGATGTACGGAATGCCACTGGTCTGTGCACTTAAAGATGGTTATGATAATAAGTTTTATGTTTTGTGTATTTTACAACCTTTTAAAAATAAAAAGTGTGTGCTATTGTGGGAGCCAAGATAACAGAGCATTTGGGGGGATGCAGTGTAGTCAGGAAGCATGCCAAAAGCCAAGTATGATTAGAACTAAAACATGTTTATTTATTAATACTTTACCAACGTGGTGACCACTAATGTTCTTTTTAAAAGTAGTTTTCTAGGCATGGGGGGCACAGAAGTCAGGTTTCTATGGATTAAAGACTAGAGGGTTTCCAGTCAAGTTGGCCTTGGAAGTTCAGGTCCTCCTCTTTGCTGCAATATAACAAAACATAAAAACATATAAAAACACATGAAAATATAAAAACAAAACAAAAATATAAAAATAGGCCAGTATAAATAGCACATACACACTTGCTGCAATAAAGCCAAGCTACAAAGGGTTTCCTGACTGCTCTTAAATATTCTCAACAGCATTATGGGGCAGTATTTCCTTGTCCTCAATACAAGACCTGGGCCTGTGGTGAAGTCAACTGTGAAAGGGGAGTGAGGGGAAATGAGAGAGGGAGAGGGAGAGGGAGAGAGAGAGAGAGAGAGAGAGAGAGAGGGAGAAATAAGCCAAAATTCTAAAACATACAAAAACAATTAAGAAAGGCATCCAACAAAATCAACAGTCAAAAGATAAATTCATTCTACATGATTGCAGTAATAAAATATTAAACTATTTAATATATATATATATTTAAGATCTACAGAGTAATAAATGAAGAACTTACATACCTAATAGAAATTTTATCAGGCAATAAAGGGAATAATGAAGAGAATTGTGAAAAGAAATAACAAGAAATATTTGAGGAGAAGATGGCTGAGAATGTTCCATCACCACAAATATGTCCTTAGATCAAAAGTATTCTCCCCATGCCAGAAGGTTAAATAAAAATAAAACCACACCTAGAAATAACATAATGAAACAGCTGAATAAAAATTCCAGAGAGAAAATCTTAGAAGCTACCAGAGAGAAATAGCAGTCAGATTAGCTAAAAGGGAATAGGAATTAAACAGCCCCATATATTTCTCATCAGCAATAACAGAAGCTAGAAGACCATGAGGTGGTATCTTCACAGTGTTGAGGGTAATATAAATGATTTTTCAAGTTATTATTCAAGAAGGAAGACAAAACTAAGACAGCAGGAATGCACCAGCCACCAATATTCCCTATTAAAGGAGACACGTCAGCAGAGAATAATGTGAACCCAAAACAACAGTGTGGGACACAACACACAATTGTGTAGACAGACATCAATAAAATAGTTCAGAAAATCATTGTTTTAAAAATTATCTTTCAGGTTTTAAAAAGGTGGAATTAAAACTCTAGAAACAATTACAAATATGTATGAGAAGGTTCACAGCAGTTTTATTCATAGTGGCTAAAACCCAGAAACAAGACAGGTGTAATATTAATAGGTGAATGGAAAAATAACTTGTGATATATTCATACAATAAAATATTACTTAGCAAAAAGTACACAAAAAGACTGATAGGTGAATTAATATGAACAAATTTTGCAGAAATGCTGAATGAAAAAGCCAGACCCAAAAGTGCACATCAATACTCCATTATTTCATTTATACAAAGTTCAAGAACAGACAAAATGAATTCATGGTGTCAACACAGGGGTTATACTTAGAAGGGAAATATTTGTTGGGATGGATTACAGGAAGTCTGTGGAGTAATGTAAATGTTGTATATCCTGGATTACAGGAAATCTGTGGAATAATGTAAATGTTGTATATCCTTTTATTTTTATTTTATTTTTTTCTTTTTGGGAGACAGGGTCTCATTTAGGATGGAGAGCAGTGGCACGATCACAGCTTACTGCAACCTCGATCTCCTGAGTTCAAGCGACTCTCTGGCTTCAGCCTCCCAAGTAGTTGGGACTACAGGCATGCACCACATCATCTGGCTAATTATTATTATTTTTAAATTTTTTGTAGAGACAGGGTCTTGCTATGTTGCCCAGGCTGGCTTCAAACTCTTGGACTCAAGTGATCCTCCCACTTTGGCCTTCCAACTTGCTGGGATTACAGGCGTGCCCAGCCTATACCTTGATTTTTACAATTCATTGAGCTATATGCTGAATATTTATGCGCTTTATTTTATGTAAATTGTAGCTGACTTTTTAAAAAACCTGCCAGCATTATAAAAATTGTGGGAGAAATAATGGGTACAGTCAGTAAAAGTTGTACAATTGATCATTTTAAACTCATGATCCCTAATAACCAAATAGTGGGAAGTAATTATAATGAAAGAGATGATGTAAGGAGCAGAAGAAAATGCAAACAAACAAATAAAACAAACCTTTCACTTTCATTCATATCTTCAGAAGATAAGAAAGGATGTTGTGTATATGAAGCAAGGTCAGGGACGCTAAACATAAGGAACATTTTGAAAACAACAAAAAAAGAATTGTTAGAAATTAAAAATATAATTTTAAAAACTTCAAGCAAAGTATTGGAGAATAAAATAAAAGTCATTTCCTGGAAATCAGAAAAAAAAGGACAAAGACAAAAATAGGGAAAAATGTAACAAAATTAGAGGATCCATTTAAGAGATCTAACATCTGAATTAGGCATTCTTAACCTGGGGTCCCCAGACTCCTAAAAGGTCTGTGGAATGAGTTCGTTCATAAACCCATATGGTAAAATAATACATCTTTATTTTCCCTAACCTCTAACAAATATACAACATTTCCTCTTTTAAATGTCCAGGCAGCCATGTGTGGCAGCTCATGCTTATAATACCAACACTTTGGGAGGCTGAGGTGGAAGGATCCCTTGAGCCCAGGAGTTCAAGACCACCCTGGGCAACATAGCAAGACCTCATCTCTACAAAACATAAAAACATTAGTCAGGCGTGGTGCTGTCCTTGTAGTCCCAGGTACTTGGGAGCCTGAGGCGGAAGGGTCACTTGAGCCCAGGAGTTCAAGGCTGCAGTGAGCTAAAATGCCACCACTGCACTTCAGCCTGGGAGACAGAACAAGACCCTGTCTCTAAACAATAAATAAAAATAAGTAAGCTGGGCGCGGTGGGTCATGCGTGTAATCCCAGCACATTGGGAGGCCAAGGTGTGTAGATCACTTGAGGTCAGAAGTTTGAAACCAGCCTGGCCAACGTGGTGAAACCCCATCTCTACTAAAAATAAGCCAGGTTTGGTGGCATATGCCAGTAATCCCAGCTACTTGGGAGACTGAGGCAGAAGAATCACTTGAACCCGGGGCAGGGGAGGTTGCAGTGAACCGAGATCTCACCATTGCACTCCAGCCTAGGCGACAGAATGAGACTCCATCTTAAAAAACAAAAACAAACAAACAAACAAAACAGTAAGTAAATATGTAAGCAACAAAGCACAACTTTACTGCAACTTTGTCACCAATAGAAATCATAGGTATTTTACAATCCTATTGCGGTTGTTACAGATATCTTAAAATTAGTTTGCATTCAACTTTATTTAAAAATGGTAGTTTATTAAATTTGCTATTGTCTTATTATTTAAAAACATATATAACTCTATAATGAATTTATTTCTTTTTTATTTTTATTTTTAAAAATTTATTTCTTAATGTTGTGTCAACTGTACCTCAAAAGAAAGTGTTTGTCTTTGTAATCCTATGCATTTTATTTTGTGCATCTAAGAATATTATTGTGAGAAGGGGCTCATGATACAAAAACAAGAGTATTTGATCTGAAAAATATAAGTTCCAGAAGGAAAGTAAGCTATCAGAGACAACTAATTTAAAAAATGGAAGAAGAAAAATATTTTTAGACTGAAGAATATGAATTTCCAGATTGAATGGGGCTGCCCTGTGCTCAGCACAATAAATGAGAAAGATCCACTTCAAGAGCTAGAATAGTGAACTTGCAGTACCTGTGTGATCAAGTAAAGACCCCAGAAATCTTCCAAAGAGGAAACAAAGTGATATATAAAGCACTGGGAAACATGAGGCCATCAGACTTCTCCTCAGCAGTACTGGAAGTCAGAAGACAATGAAGCAAAGCCTCTGAAATTCTAAAGGAAATCATTCCCAATTCAGAATTTTATATGCAGCCAAATTATCTATCTTAATTGATAGTGAGTGTTGTTAACAGAAAAACTTCAGCAGAATAAAATTTAAAAGAGTTTAATTGAGCAAAGAACAATTCGCAAATTGGGCAGCCTCCGGAGCCAGGGTGGGCTCAGAGACTCCAGCACAGCCACGTAGTGGAAGAGGATTTATAGACAGAAAAAAGGAAAGTGAATTACAGAAAACGGAAGTGAGGTACAGAAACAGCCAAGCTGGTTACAGCTCTATGTTTGTCTTACTTGAACACAGTTTGAATAGTTGGCCACAGTTGATTGGCCAAAACTCAGTGATTGGCACAAGAGTAGATTACAGTCTGTTTATACTTACAGTTAGGCTATAGATCACCACGTATGGAGAAACCTTTAGGCTGAATTTAAAATACGTAAGAAGGCAGTTTTAGTCTAAACTTGATTTAACACTGTAGAATAAAAAAATTTCAGATAATCCAGGAGTCAGGAAATATGTCTCTTGTGAAAACATTGAAGCTTCTGCCCCAGCAAAATGAAAGAAGAAATCACCAAAGTGCAGACATGGGATTCAGCAAATGGGTAATCCAACATGGGGAAGAAGAGAAACAAATTCCCGGGGTTATGGTGAAGGTTTGTCCCAGATCAACATCTCTACAGCAGACCTAGAGCGCAGGCAAGAGGATGGAGGATGTGTACAAAACAAATGCAAATGATCATTTATTTGATGTGTTTCAACATATTGGGAGATTTCATCCCTGGCAGAAATTTGAGGATAAACAGCTACTTTTAAAATAAAACAAGGCTGGGTGTGGTGGCTCATGCCTGTAATCCCAGCACTTTGGGAGGCCGAGGCAGGTGGATCACAAGGTCAGGAGGAGTTCAAGACCAGCCTGGCCAAGATGGTGAAACCCTGTCTCTACTAAAAATACTAAAATTAGCTGGGCTTGGTGGCAGGTGCCTGTAATCCCAGGTACTCAGGAGGCTGAGGCAGAGAATTACTTGAACCCAGGAGGTGGAGGTTGCAGTGAGCCAAGATCACTCCACTGCACTCCAGCCTGAGCGACAGAGTGAGACTCCATCTCTAAATAAATAAATAAATCAAACAAACCAAAAAAAAAAATGAGAAAAAATTGAAAGTTGTAGTTTTAAAAATAATTTAGAAATATGGAGGTTAAATACCCAAAGAAAAAGCTAGAAGAGTGATTGATTATTACCTTTGGGAGAATGGAATAGAACAAGATTTCTCAACTTTGCTGCTATCAATATTTTAAAGTGGATAAATCTTTGTAGTGGGGGGGCTGTCCTATCTTTGGCCTCTGTCAATTATATGGCAGTATGTCCCCTACTCCCAGTCGTGACAATCAAAAATGTCTCCAGACATTACAAATGTCCGGGCAGGGGATTGGGGAAGGCAAAATCACCCCTGGTTGAGAACTATTAGAAAAGGAGATAAGGAAGAGGAGTGTTTTGGTTATAAGCCTACTTGATTCTTTAAGTTATGTTCATGTACCACTGTGATAAAACTAAAAATTAAATTTAAAGTTAATAGGATTCACAGAGATTAATGGTAATTGATTAGAAAATATAATTTTAAGATAATGCTGTTGACAATAGCAACAAAACTGTAAGGTACCTCGGAATAAATCTCAAACAAAAATGAACAAGACCATAATGAAAAGAATTATGCCCATCATTAACTGAAACAAGAAAGCCTGAATCAGTGAAGATGTGGTTTGTTCATGTATGAGACAACAGAACTTCATAAAGAAGGATACTCTTCCAAACTCAATTGTATATTAAATTGAGTTCTAATAATAATTTCCACAGGATTTTTGCTGGATTTGACAAGCCAAATTTAAAAATTCATAAGAAAGAGAAAAGCGTCAGGAATATAGAACTAATGAAAGAGAATAGAGAGATGATTTCACTCATATGGGGAACTTGGTCAGCAGCAGAGATGGAATTACAAATCCTTAGAGAACGGATGGCCTGTTCAATAAATGGCCTGGGAGAATCAGCTATCCATATGAAAAAGTAAAGTGGGGTCCCTATCACATACAGAAATCAATTCCAGCTATATTAAAAGCCTAAATCTGAAAAGCAAACTGTAGATAAAGATACAGGAGAATACCTTAAGAGACAAAAACACCCAGCCTGGCCAACATGGTGGAACCCCATGTCTACTAAAAATACAAAAATTAGCTGGGCAAGGTGGCACATGCCTGTAGTCCCAGATACTCAGGAGGCTGAGGCACGAGAATCGCTTGAACCCAGGAGGCTAAGGTTGTGGTGAGCTGAGATCGCACCACCGCACTCCAGCCTGGGTGACAGAGTGAGACTCAGTCTCAAAAAAAAAAAAAAAGAAAAGAAAAGAAAAAAGAAACAAAAACACAAATTTTAATGGAAAATATCTATAAATTTGACTACTTTGAAATTAAAATTTCTTATAACCAAGGACACCAAACATAACATAGAAAAGACAAGGTGCAGCCAGGAGAGGTGGCTCACGCCTGTAATTCCAGCACTTTGGGAGGCTGAGGCAGGCGGATCACCTGAGGTCAGGAGTTCGAGACCAGTCTGGCCAACATGGTGAAACCTTGTCTCTACTAAAAAAAAGAAAAACAAAATACAAAAATTAGCTGGGCATGGTGGCGGGCGCCTGTAATCCCAACTACTCCAGAGGCTGAGGCAGGGGAATCGCTTGAACCCAGGAGGCAGAGGTTGCAGTGAGCTGAGACTGAGTCACTACACTCAGTCTGGGCGACAGAGTGAGACTAGTCTGAGAAAAAAGAAAAAGAAAAGACAAGGTGCTCTGAAAGAAGACACCTGAATGCACAGAAGTGACACAGGGTTAGTATTCAGGGTATTTAAGAACTTTTACCCATCAATAAGATAAGGATAAACTTAATTGAAAAGAAGGTAAAGGAGTAAGCAAGTAATTCTAAAAAGGGGAAATGTACGTAGTCAGTAAGCATAAGGAATGGTGCTTATTCTCATTGGTCAACAGGAAAAAGCAAATTAAAATACCAATAATCTACCATTTCATACTTATCAGAGCCTTGATTTTGTTCTGATATTAATTATCTCCCCTAGTCTCAGATAAATCATGGTTCTGGGAAAGATTTTCTCATGCTAAAAAAAAAAAAAGATATCTAGGCTGGGGTTTCATGCTAAAAAAACATGAATAAATAAATAAATAAGATATCCAGGCCGGGCTCAGTGGCTCATGCCTATTATCCCAGCACTTTGGAAGGCTGAGGCGGGTGGATCACCTGAAGTCAGGAGTTCGAGACCAGCCTGGCCAACATGGTGAAACCCTGTCTCTACTAAAAATACAAAAATTAGCCGGGTGTCGTGGTGGGCACCTGTAATCCCAGCTACTCGGGAGGCTGAGGTGGGAGAATTGCTTGAGCCTGGGAGGCGGAGGTTGCAGTGAGCCAAGATTGTGCCACTGTACTCCAGCCCAGGCAACAGAGCAAGACTCCCTCTAAAAAAAAACAACAAAACAAAACGCACAGATATCTAGTGATATGGTATGGCTCTGTGTTCCTGCCCAAATCTCATGTCAAATTGTGTTCCCCAGTGTTGGAGGTGGGGCCTGGTGGGAGGTGACTGGATCATGGGGGCAGATTTCCCCCTTGCTGTTCTCGTGAGAGTGAGTGAGTTCTCACAAGATCTGGTTGTTTAAAAGTGTGTAGCACCTCCTTGCTTTCTCTTTCCCTCCTGCTCCAGCTGTGTAGGATGTGCCAGCTTCCCCTCAACTTCCGGAATGATTGTAAGTTTCCTGAGGCCTCCCCAGTCATGCTTCCTGGTGGGCCTGTGGAATCATGAGCCAATTAAACCTCTTTTCTCCAAAAATTGTCCAGTCTCAGGTATTTCTGTATAGCAGTGCAAGAGCAAACTAATACGTACAGGGATGTAACAGTTTTATATATGTTCAGGTCTCACAGTGTTGCCTGGAACTATGGCAGCCATCTTATGAGTGTGGGTGGAGTGGGTTTGAAGTGAAGACACTGACGATGAGATAGAAGAACTGTGGAAGAAACGTGGTCCTTAATGACATCGTTCAGCTTCGGAATTAACCAGCCCTGGGACTGCCCAACAAGACTGCATGTGTTGCAGGTGTGTGTATGTGTGTGTGAGAGAGAGAGAGAGAAAGAGAGAAACAAGAAACAATTTCCTCTTTGTTGAAGACATTTTGAGTTGGGTTTTCTAATACCACAAGGCATTATTTAAAGCAACATTTCTTTTTCTTTTTTTTTTTTTTTTTTTTTTATTTTCTGAGACAGAGTCTCGCTCTGTCGCCCAGGCTGGAGTGCAGTGGCGCGATCTCCGCTCACTGCAAGCTCCGCCTCCTGGGTTCGCGCCATTCTCCTGCCTCAGCCTCCCGAGTAGATGGGACTACAGGCGCCCGCCGCCACGCCCGGCTAATTTTTTGTATTTTTAGTAGAGACGGGGTTTCACTGTGTTAGCCAGGATGGTCTCGATCTTCTGAACTTGTGATCCGCCCACCTCGGCCTCCCAAAGTGCTGGGATTACAGGCATGAGCCACCGCGCCCAGCCCCCTAAATCAACATTTCTAATACCACACGTCAACGTTTAAATCATCCTAAGTGTCCCTGATGCTACACTGTGAACTGCTCAAGATAAGGAAAGTACCTTGTTCATCATTATTCTCTGCACTTCACACGGTGCTCAGCAGATGCTAAAAAATTATTTACTGAATAAAGGAGAGAATGCTCAGACTGGCTCTAGAAAATATTGTAAAGTAAGTGAATTTTCTTGGTATTTCTTTCTTGGTCCCCTCTTCTCCTTCATCACTCCACACCCACATCCTCCCACCACAACCACAAGGGCCCCGCAAATTCTTCTCATGCAAAATGACAAGAGAAAAAAATCTTCCTTCTTTCTCTATGCCCCTTATTAAAAACACACCTCTTTTATTCCCATTCCCTTAGCCCCATTCATTGCAAAGTTAATATTGCTAATTTAATTACACCAAAATTAATTTCTTAGATTCCCTGTGAGATCACATTTCCATTTTTACAGCTACCTGCAAAACCCCTCAACCAAACAAGAAGCCCATGATGGGCAGATGGAGCTCAATGGCAAAGTGAGTGGGTGAGATGTTGAGGGGTTTCAGGGTCTTCTTCTAGCACCTCCTAGCATCCACCATAGAGGCAATCTTGCCTCTCACTGGCCGCCTTCCTATAGAACCCATCCCAGCTGAAGCTCATGAACCAGGGAGTGACACAGGCATCTCCACCAGATCCAGGTGGAGGAGGGAGTAGGCAGCACTCACACTGCACCCGGGGGTGGAACAGTAGTGTGTGAAGAGAGGAACATGAAATTCATTATTCACCGGAACTGGGCCAGCATTTGAACTGTGGCTAGCCTGTTGCCCAACTCCAGGTGGCGCCACTCACGGGGAGTTTTATTTCCAGAAAAGCCCTTCCCAGAAAACAGGGCATGTACGGTGCCCCCTGGAGTTGTGTGAGGATACCCTACTAGTTTGGATTCAACAAACAATTGAGATGAGCATGGTGGCCTAGAGACGATCTCTCTTCTGTTGGTGAGTGGGCGAACTCTCCAGAACCTTCCAATGCGGCCTCTTGCTCAACAGTCTTTTTGTGGTGAGGCAGTAGAGAAATGAAAGCCATACAGGTGGAGAGCAGAGACCGGAGGCAGGAAACATCCCTTTAAGGCGGTGTTCTCAGCCTGGCTGCATACTGGAATCACCTGGGAAGCCTTCAAAAATACTGGTGCCTGCATGTGATGTAATTGGTCTGGGGTGGGGTTGGGGGCAGCCTGGCCAGCCAGGATCTTGACACACTCTCAGGTGCACCAGTGAGCGGCTAGCATTACCTCCACTGTTCCAAGTCTGCTTTAGCAGGCACCACAACTCCCACCTACCCCAAACCTTGTCTTGCACCAGAAGTGTTTTTACTGTCACCTGAGTTTATGCTTTTTAATACTTCATGCTCATTAGTGAATCTAGTAGCTAATGAGCACTCCTGTAGCACAAGTTAATGCTGTTTGTCCATTTTTTGATAGGAAGAAACCCAGCACTGAGAATGTAGGTGTTTATGTTTGAGATTTACAGCGTGCCTTTCTTCTTTGGTGGTTATTTTGATTCTTAAAGTGAAAATGTTCTTTCTGCCTATTCCCTGAGGACAGAGCAAGAAGATAAGAATTTGAGTACTGTAAAATGATATGGTAAACACTGAAAAGGACTTTGAAAGTTGAAATTGTTAAACATTGAAATGGATTATCTTAGGAAAGTGTGGATCTTATTTTGTAGGGACCTTTATTTGGTATAGTTTAAGTTGTGCATATTTAAGGCAAGAGAATTAACAAAACAATCGCGTAGATTTTTCCAAATCTGTGACTTGAAGGATGCTACATACAGCTTCCACTGCCCTTCGCGTTTCTCTCCGAAACACATTTAGTAAGCAGAAGTCCGTATGCACGTGTGTGTGTATTCATATAGGCCTGGATGTGCTTTTAATCCCGCAAGTATAGCCATCTACAGTGAATTCAGCATCTTTTCATCAGGATGATGCCTTTACATCATGGGTGTCCAACCTTTTATATTTCAAAACAGATTGACAAAATCCTAGCAGGGCACAGTGGTTCATACCTGTAATCCCAGCACTTTGGGAGGCCGAGGCAGGCAGCTCACTTGAGCTCAGGAGTTCGAGACTAGCCTGGGCAACATGGCAAAACAGTCTCTATCAAAAATACAAAAAATTAGCTGGGCATGGTGGCATGTGCCTATGGTCCCAGCTACTCGGGAGGCTGAGGTGGAAGGATCGCTTGAGCCTGGGAGGTGGAGGTTGCAGTGAGCAGAGATCGTGCAACTGCACTTCAGCCTGGGTGACAGAGTGAGACCCCATCTCAAGGAAAAAAAAAAAAGGAAAAGAAAAACAACCAAAATCTTGTACAAACTGCACACAACAGATACATTTGAGTTAATTTTTATGTATAATAAAGGCAACCAGTAAATAGATTAAGGCTGGTTTGATGAACATAAAACACCTTAGCTTTTGCTTCGAAAATAGTGACAAACTTACTAAAAGTTGCAAAAAGTAAAATAGCATAGAGAATTCTGGTATATCCTTTACTCAGATTTGCCTATTGTAAACATTTTACTCACTTGCTTTAGCATTTGTGTGCACTGCGTGTGTGTGTCTTTCTCTATACACACAAACAGTATTTTTCGAAGGATTTGTAACTAGGTTACATATGTCATGACTGTTTACCCCTAAATACTTCAGTGTGTATTTCCTAAAGGTACAGATATTTTATTATGTGACTATAGTACAGTCACTAACTTGATAAATTTACATTGATTTAATAGTCTACCATCCTTGTTCCAATTCTGTCAGTTAACCTAATATGTCCTTTATGACATTTCCCCCCTCCACTATAGGATCCATTCTGGAGCCAGTTATTTCATTTCATTTTTATGTCTCTTCAGCCTCCTTTAGTCTGGAGCATTTCCATAGTTTGTCTGTCTCTTATGCCATTAACATCTTTAAAGAATACGGTCCTCCCTCTGCCTCTCTCTTTCTTTTTTTTTGTTAAAAAAAGAACATTCAATTTTTATTTTATTATTTAGTTAATTTATGTATTATTATTTATTTATTTTGAGATAGGATATTGCTCTCTCCCAGGCTGGAGCACAGTGGCATGAACATGGCTTACTGTAGCCATGACCTTCCCGGCTCAAGTGATCCTCCCACCTCGGCCTCCCAAGTCACTGGGACTGCAGGCATGTTCCACCACACCCAGCTACTTTTTCTGTTTTCTGTAGAGATGGGGTCTCAGTATGTTGCCCAGGCTGATTTCAAACTCCTGGGCTCAAGTGATCCTCTTGCCTCAGTCTCCCAAAGTGCTGGGATTACAGGTGCAAGCCACCAAGCCCGGCTGACTTTTTTTCTGCAATAGGACAGTCTTCATTGTGTGTTTGTCTGATGTTTGCTTCAGTGTGAAGAGATTAAGGTTCTGCACCCTCAGCCAGAATGCACAGGTGCTGTGGGGTCCTTCTCAGAGCATCACATCTCGAGGTACATCTGATGCCCTCATCGGATGCCTGTCTGCCCCTTGTTGGGAATGTTAATTTTGAGCACTCGGTCTAGGTGTTGCCTAATTTTTCCATTATAGAATGACTGCTTTCTTCCTCCCCTTGTAACTAAGATGCTATCTCTGGGGAGAAACTTTAAGACTGTACAAACACTCTGCTCCTCATCAAAATGTCCACCTAGACTTAGCATCCATTCATGATTCTCGCCTGTTCCAATTTTTACCTAATGTTTGCAAAGTGAGGATGTTTTAGCTTCAGCACCCTTTCCACACTTATCAGTTCATCTGTAGCCCTGGTAAACAAGACAGCCCTCCCTCATCTCCTCTCTGTCTCCCTATCTATCTATCTATCTATCTATCTATCTATCTATCTATCTATCTATCTATCTAAATTCATGAATTCCTGTTTTTAAATCGTTTGTACATGGTTTTCATGCTAAATCATTTTGGTGCTCAGATTGTACCAGCTTTGGCTAGGGGAGCCCCTTCAAGGTGGCTCACATGTCCCCCTGCTCTGCCCCATCCTTGATTGGAGCATTTCCTTACATTCTGGCCTAGAGGACTATCCCAGGCCAGTACTGCCCTTAAACCCAGGCGAGCTCCTGGTCCAGCATCTCAGGACACTGAGTGCTTTAAAACCACCATCCTCATAATTTTCAAAGTCCTCCTCTGGCTCCTGGCACTCACCAGGGCCAGCAGTATCACCTGGCTAGGGTGCCCTGTCTCCCCTTTGGGGTACTTCTCCGACTTCACTCTCTCCTCTCCTTATTTCTTTCATGGGGTCACTCAAGATTGGGCTACCAGAATGTGCTGACACGCTTATTTGGGGTGATTCTCATTCATTTGGACCCATGATTCATTCAGAGCTTTGGGCTATCTGCTGTCTTGGCTCTCGCACTTGAGTCCCTGTGTGCCTCGGGATCAGGACCCAACCGTCCGTGTTCTGCTCTACAGCACGTGGGCCTCACCATTTCAGCCAAGGGCTGGTGAGACCCTTGCTCTGTTCTCAGAGTTGGCCAAACTGCAAGGCCTAGGGGAAAAGTCTTAAAAGGCTGCCCTCACTTCTGACACTATTTGCAAGTTTAGGGTGTCCTAAAACCACCCTCAGTTCTAATGATTCACTAAAAGGGCTCACTGAACTTATTGAAAGCTGTTATACTTGGTCGTGGTTTATAAAGAGGAAAAGGCACAGATTATCATCAGCCAAGGGGAGCGACATGCAGGCATCATCTGGGAGGGGTTTGAATGCAGAGCCCTGGCTGTCCTCTCCCCATGGAGTCATGGACAGTGCTGCCTTCCCTTGGCCACAGTGTGTGCCAATACAGACTGAGGATTTCCAGCCATGGAGGCTCGCCCTGAGCCTTGGGTGCCCACAGCTTTTACTGGGGCTTGTGCCTGTAAGACTGACCTTTAGTCTCCAACTTTTCCCAGAGGTCAGGCTAATACGTTTAGTCTACTTTTAGTCTCTAGTCCCTCCAGAGGTTAGGACTGATATGGAGAGGCCCAAAGTCTCTCTCATAAATTACATATTTGGACTGTCTGGCAGTCAAAGCACCCAGGCAAACACAAATACTCCCTTCTGGCAGGACGTACCAGGGTTATCCTGGATATCACTTCCCAGTAGCTGACGGCAAAGGCCAGATCTCAACTTGGGTAAGGTAAATTCTCCTTCCATTCTGTCCTCTCTTGCCCTCTGGTAAGTCTGAAGCTATCATAGAAGAGAGATCAGCATTTCCTGCCTAAGTGACACTGCCCTTCTCACACCACCCATGAGCCTCTCATGTTTCCTTCGTGCTGTTGGTGGTCTCTGCAAGGCAAGGGTGTAGCCAATACTGAAAGAGTGCAAAGTCCAGGAATGCAGTGATTCAGGCCTAAGGAGGTCAAGAAAAGACATGGTTGGAAGACACGCCATTCTACTTTTAGGCTATAAAATTCAGATGGTAAATTTAACATGTGCAGAATGCAAGTAGTAGTTTACATTTTTCTGCATCCTTTAGGCATTTGAGAACATCATCAACAAAGCACAGAACAACATTTGATTGAGTCACCAGAAGCCAGCATTCACAGGTGGCTCAGTGGATGATACAACATCCAATGTGAGTAAATGGTACCAGGGAACTGCAGAGGCAAGAGCTCTATCGTTTCAATACTAACAGGATATGAAGAACCATGGCATTATGAGTAGCAAGAGTTGCTCCCTTTTCTCTGATACAAATTTAGCCAGGGATGGCACTTTTGACAATAAAGAACCCGAAGAGACAGTGCCTGGACCCTAGGAAGGATCTTCATGGGTACAGTTTGAACAATGAACGTAGGTAGGAAGCTCTTCTCTATCAGTCTAAAGACATTGCTATCCCTTACCTGATCTCATGAATTTTGCAATACATTTTTAATCAAATATTTTATATGGACAGAGAGTTTACAGAAACTATTTGTCTGGTGTCCCACACATGTGGGGGTAGCTGCATTCTTGACCCATCTTGTACCCCAGTCCTGCAATCAGGCTTTTCTCCATGAAGCCTGGTTCGTGCTATCAGAGACCAAGCTCTAGGTATTAGGTGAACTTGGTGAACACAAAACTTTGAACTTAGGAGTCATAGGTAATATGACCACATGATCATTGTGGTCTTATATCATTGTCTGTAATGAATAATTGTCATTTTGGGCAGTCTAGCATGTGACCTTCTCTTCCTCCTGCTAGTACTCCAGCTGCTGTGGGGTATCCCTGTTGTGTACAGTCAGAGGGAAGTGGTGACTCTATCACTATGGGAATGAACGGGGCTACATGCTCCTTCTCCTTACTCTAACAGACTGTCTAACAGACTCTCCTCACTCTAACAGCCACAGCCAGTTGGAAGCTTTCCCCTAGGAATTTCAGTGTTGAGCCAGTATCACAGAAATGTGGGTAACAGGAGGTGAACCCAGTGGCAATCGTGTGCAGTAGAATTGTTGCTTGTGTTCCTACTGCCTCACCCTCTGAGCCCTTTTGGTTTCTGACCATTTCCCAAGATTCTTTTCATCTATTACCTGTTGATTTTCTAAGCCCCCAGTATTAATGCAATAAATGTCCAAAATCTTTTTGTGTAAGACAGTACTGGTTTTGTTCCTTAAAACAATGAATCCTATCTGAATCAGCATAGTATTTATTTCTGGGTTTTGGTTTTGGTTTTAGTTTTGGTTCTGTCTTTGCTTGTTTGGTATCAAGAATATCTCTATTCACTTAGTTAAATGTTCGCAAGTGGTAATAATTTAACAGCTTGTCTTGCAATCTCAGGATGTACTTCAAGTCCTCCCGAAGCTTAAGAGTAGAGTTACAGGAAATTTCCATTTCAAAGTCAAAGCATGTAGAGTATCTACCAACAGCTCAGAATCCTTAACTGGTGATTGTTTAATTTTGAGGGTGTTAATAAACAGCTTTCCCAGCCACTTAAAATTTTTTCTGTTTTTAGAAAATACTTTCCAAATACATCTTATAACAATATGAAATGTTCAGTGGCATAAATAAAAATAAGTTCAAAAATCTCATTGCTCATTTCTGACACATGTATTCAAAGTTTCAAAACAGCCAAGTTTATTTTGCTTTGCAAAAGAAACTTTAATTAAGTTAATTTAAAGCAAAAGAAGTTTTAAACAAAGTGAAGGGATAAACTTCATGTCATTTTCCTCATTGGTGCATTATCTGCATTTATAAGCATAGTAATAAAGAGACTGAGGTCAGCACCAAACAGATTAGCCTTTTGGCACAGGTAACACATTGCAGTCTCCATTATTATGTACATTTGTATGCGTCGCATTGTCGTGTATATAAGTATGTGTTTTTACAGTTCTAAAAAATAGTTATTAAAAAAATGGAAAAGGCCGGGTGCGGTGGTTCACACCTGTAATCCCAGCACTTTGGGAGACCGAGGCGGGCAGATCACCTGAGGTCAAGAGTTTGAGACCAGCCTGGCCAACTTGGTGAAACCCTGTCTCTACTAAAAATACAAAAATTAGCCAGGCATGGTTGTGGGTGCCTGTAATCCCAGCTACTCAGGAGGCTGAGGCAGGAGAATCACTTGAGCCTGGGAGGCAGAGGTTGCAGTGAGCAGAGATTGCGCCATTGCACTCCAGCCTGGGTGACAAGAGTGAAACTCCGTCTCAAAAAAAAAAAAAAAAAAAAGGCAGAAAACCAAACTAACAACAACCAAAAAAACAAATAAAATTAAATTAAAATTAAAATAAATTATAAAATGGAAAAAATAATATTTGAATTATTGGCCTCTATGCAGAATCCTTAAAAATCTGCTGGAAACCACATCCCTGCTGGTAATGTTCTGCTTCTCCTGTTTAATTTTTAAAATTGTGCTATTCTAGGCTTGGAGAAAGTCCCACTTCCTTGCTGACATCTTCTCTATGCCCAGGCTAGAGGGAACCTTCTCTCTTTAATAATCTCTTAAAGTGATTATTTTCCTTTCATGGCAGAAAAAGAGGCAAGACATGCCCTTCTTTGACTGTTCATCATTTTGACTTGTGATGTATTTATTTTAGTTTATTGTCAACTATGTATAAGCCTTGTTTTCCCAAATTAAAATGCATTTTATGCTCCTCAAAGGCGTGAGCCAGACCCTATACAAATATTTGCCACTTGATCAGTATCAAATTCTACTTTTGCCCTTCAGACCCATTTTTATCTACTTAGTACTGTGTTTTCCAAACATGTCACCTGCTACCTTTTACCAATTTTGCCTTATCTTCATACCACGTGTGCTATTTTTACTAGACACCTTTTTATTGCAAATAAACTCATTTTTTAATCTAAATTAATTCCTTTAAAAGGAAGCTTTCAATAAATGGAAAACCAGTATTGTTTGCCACAAATGGAAAGTAACATAAAAATAAATATATTAAATACATTAAAAAAATAAGCACAACAACACTGTTACTTATTGGCCTTTATAAAGCCAGCTACTATTGCCTTTGGGTTTTGAGCCTAAGGAAAAAAGGGAGATCAGAGAGTGTTACAGAAATTCTTCCTTAGCTAATCAGAGAGGTTTGGAAAGAGCGTTCGAAAGGGAATACCTTTCTTTCTCAGCATGGGATTCAATGTTATCTGCATTATCCATACCTAACTCAGACCGCCCTGGTATTATGGGTGGCAGATACTCGATGAAAAGCACTCATAGAATATGAGCTCTCGGAGCCTGAGAAACATGTCCTGTACTCAGCATTCTTGCTCTGTGCATCTACACAACTCATTCTCCAAGAGCTTCCCTGCTCTCCCTTGCATATCTCTTCATGATCTGGGCCTTATTTTTCTTTTCTTTTCTTTTTTTTTTTCTCAGCTCACTGCAACCTCCAACTCCCTGGTTCAAGCCATTCTCCTGCCTCAGCCTCCCGAGTAGGTGAGACTACACGTGCACACCAACATGCCCGGCTAATTTTTGTATTTTTAGTAGAAATGGGGTTTCACCATGTCGGCCAGGATGGTCTCCATCTCCTGACCTTGTGATCCACCCACCTCGGCCTCCCAAAGTGCTAGGATTACAGGCGTGGGCCACTGTACCCAGTCACTTCTCTTATCTATAAAATAAGAGAATTCTACTGGATGCCTTTTCCAGTGGCTTCCAGCCCTGACCTTATCAGGGTCTGTAATCACAAGATCACTGGGGTTAAGCATTCCAGACCCCTGTTTACCACTAACCATCCAGCATTAGATCACTTGCCAGTGTTCACCACGGAAGCTGGATTGGTGGCTCATTCTTCTAATCCCAGCTACTCAGGAGGCTGAGGCAGGAGGATCACTTGATCCTAGGAGTTTGAAGCTGCAGTGAGCTATGATCATAAATGTCACCCTCCAGCCTGGGTAACAGAAACAGTATTCAGCACTGGCTCACTCATCTTCACCGTGGAAGATGACACTACCCTGTCCCTTCCCAAAGGACCAAAGTTAAGCACTGGAAAGATCCTTTTTCCTTATGACAGGCAAAGTGCTCAGGGAATATAGTGGGGTTTGAGCTTGGTTCTACCCCCAGAATTGCCACTGTTCTCCCAAGTGCCAATGACTTCTGATACTCTGCACATTTAATTTCCATAAAGGGAAGGGAATCACAGACAAGCTAAATGTATTTTAGCGTGTAATCCCAGTTTAAGTTAGTTAAACGGCAACTGAGCTATAAAATTTGCTGAAATCATTTTTTATATATATATATATATATATATATATATATTTTTTTTTTTTTTTAGACAGATTCTCACTCTGTTGCTCAGGTTGGAGTGCAGTGGCACGATCACAGCTCACTGCCACCTCCACCTACCATGCTCAAGTGATCCTCCCACCTCAGCCTCCTGAGTAGCTGGGACTACAGGTGAGTGCCACCAATTCCAGCTAGTTTGTCTTTTTCTGTATTTTTTGTAGCAACAGGGTTTCACCATGTTGCCCAGGTTGATCTTGAACTCCTGGAACTCCTGGGCTCAAGAGATTTGTCGGCCTTGGCCTGCCAAAGTGCTAGCATTACAGGTGAGAGCCACCACACCTGTCCACCAGAAATAATTTTTTAAAAACAGAATGTCAGGGACCAGTAGGACGAGTGGGAGTAAGAATAGGCGGATTGTATTGCTGCGGGTCCTCCCCACTTCCGGCAACATGAACTTCTTGAAGTGCCAGCTTCCTTATCCTTCCTTGAGGGATTTGGGCTTTGCTAGATTTTCATTTTCTCTCCTAGCAATTACCTTAAATATTTACAGAAACTCTTGGATCTGAGAAAAAAACTTAGGAATCAAATTTGTATTTGGTCTTGAAACCACTAAGTAATACAAAATGCAAATAGGAGTTAAGATTTGGAAACTGGCCTTTATAGAGCAGTTCAAAAAAGTCTTATGGGATTTACATTTTAAAAATGAGAATTTCTTATAAAATGAGAGAATAGTTGGGCACAGTGGCTCACACCTATCATCCCAGCACTTTGGGAAGCCAAAGGGGGGAGGATCACTTGAGCCCAGGTGTTCAAGACCAGCCTAAGCAACATAGACCCTGTCTCTATAATTTAAAAAAAAAAAAAAAAGAAAAATGAGAGAACATATACTTCTTCAACATGATTCATATTAATATATAAAGTTATCATTTTAATGTAATGTTATCTCCAAACAAATATCTCATATTTCATTCCAAGCAATATTAATAAGAATGTTTGCCTGCAAATATATATTGAAAAACCATTGACTGACAAAATATTGACAACACATAATACTTAATTAAGCCTGTAAGCTTGTTTGAGAATGTGTCATATTTCAAAACTGAACAGTTAGGCCAAGTCACCTGGTGAGTCTTTTGTTTCTTTAAAATTCAGCCATGATACAAGGGTTACCTACAGAATTTAGAGACAAACTCCAAAACTAACATGCTCATCATCCTAGGAACATTGTCATGTTTCAGCAAGAAGCAAACCCCTGGAACTCTTACACTAAACAAGCTTCTGGTGACAGGTGAAGCTGGGGTTTCTCTTTAGCCACTCCTACCATTATGGGACCTGCAAGTCCAGGCTTGTACTGGCGAATCTCATGTTACAATCACTATTCAAGAAGGTGGTTAGAAAAGAGCAGAGGGTATGGTTTTATCTAAGTAAAATTTATTCCTGCACAGGAACAAGCTCAGGTCCACCTAAGAAATGAAACAGCCATTTTTTTTCAACAGACTTCTTTTTTGTGTGAACTCAAACTAAGACAATCCTCTGTTCTTTCTTGTAGCCATCAAGCCAATTAATTAGAGCCAAAAAACTGATAAGAACTCTGTGTACTTTCTCTCCACTTGAAGGAAACCATACAAAAATATGTACAATCTCGTTCACTCAGACCAGCGTTGGGTAGAAATTTCTTTGCTCTATCTATACCAACAAGGTTTGCTAAGCAAACTAATAAGGTAAACAGCACAGAGGAAGGGGAGGGGGAAGAAATATTAACTACTAAGAGAAGCAACTTTTAACCACTTTAAAGCACGTTCAAACAATCTACTTCCTTAAGAAATCATTAGCACACCAATGTCTTTGTTCATTAAAGGAGATGAATTATGGAATTATTATTCTAATTACTAAAGAACTCTTCCCTTTACCAAAAATTTATGCAAAGTTCCTAGAGAGACATGACATTTGAATGGAATTCAAGTTATCAACTTTGAGCTACACACAATGGATGATGAATCTAGTTTAGATACTGAGTGACAGGCTCATGCATTTTAGATGAGATGGCAAATTGCCATTCGGGATATTAAAAAGCTTCTAGAAATGATACAATGTCTGGGATTTCCTTCAAAGTAATCTGGTGGGAAGGAGAGGTGGAAAGAAGGGGATATTTAAAGATAAATAAGATTGGCCATGAGTTGATCAACACTGAAGCTGATGATGAATACTTGAGGGCTCATTATACTATACTCTATATTTCTAAAAATTGTCCACAAGAAAACATTTAGAAATTTAGAAATGAAAGAATGAAAGAAAGAAAGAAAGAAAAAGAAAAGAAGGAAGGAAGAAAGCAAAAGAAAGAAAGAAAGAAAAAGAAAGAAAGAAAGAAAGAGAAAGAAAGAAAGAAAAAGAAAGAAAGAGACTGAGAACCATGGCTCACGCCCGTAATCCCAGCACTTTGGGAAGCCAAGGTGGGAGGATCCCTTGAAGCCAAGAGTTTGAGACCAGCCTCAGCAATGTAGTGAGACCCTGTCTCTATCAAAAAAATAAATAAATAAAATTAAAAATTAGGCCAGTGTGGTGGTGTGCACCTTTAGTGCCAGCTAGTTGGGAGGCGAGGTAGAAGGATCACTTTTCCAGGCTGCAGTGAGCTGTGATTGTGCTATTGCTCTTCAGCCTGGGTGACAGAGCAAGACCTTGTCTCTAAAAAGGAAAGGAAAGAAAATAATCCACAGACGGCAAATAGACAAGTGGTCAGGAAACTGGTAGGGATTGCAGGGATGCAGACAGTGCTATGGCTGAAGGGAAAGCTCGGGGAAGAGGGAGTAGAAGGCCAGCAGGGCAGGTGTGGGCCTGTCTGGGGTCCTCTCCTTGTGTTGTGGCTTGCATTTTTGTCCCTCCATAGCAGCAGGAAGGAACAGAAAATGCCTGCCAGAGCCTGCCCTGGGTCCAATTCTGATGAAGGCAAAAGCTGCCTGCAGTGCTCCGAATATGCTCAGCCTCTGCCTCTACCTCCCCACCAGCAAGGCCGTGTTTTCCTCCACGCACACCTCGAGCACACCGCTTTATCAAACCCCATTCAGAAACACTCTGTGTTCCCAGCACTGATGTTTTTTAAAAATGGTGACAGTGACTTCCTCATTTGCATTTCGTGTTTATGACCTTCTCCTGTTGGCTTGACATATAGACGTGGGGCAGGGCAGGAGTGCAGATTAGAGCAGTGCTGATATTACAATGAGAGAGCAAAGACAGAAGAAGAGATCGCGTTCAGCTTCTGGCATTTAAAAGAGGATTTTGCCCAGGGATCTAGTGTGACAAGCCAGCTTTGTTGAGATTTAAAAGCTATGTAATCATGATTCACAGTTTCTTTTTATCTCCTCCCAGAGACTACCAAGAGCCAGGCCTGGCCACCTGCACTGTGGAGTTTTAGGTTAGAGATGGCCCCATCCAGCCCAGGGGAATGCAGGAGAACAAGGGAGCCAGGCGAATGCAGAGGGGAAGGCAGGCGCTCAGCTTCTCATCTTCCCTCCCTGCCCCCTCAAGGAGTCAGTTGGAGGCAGCTTTGGAAATACCTACAAATGTGCTAAAAAGCTGGAAGGCAGAGAGGCATCTGTCCTGCCTCCTGTCCATGGCTCTAGGCTGCCTCTCTCCACCAAGCTGGAGGTAGCTCCATCAAAGTGGAAGCAGCAGTACAATAGGACTAAGCCGATGGAGGAAGGATGGCGTTCCACGTGGTGAACCTGGAAGGTCCCACCTGAATCTGAGGCTTTAGGGAACTGAGAAGACAGCTGGCATGAGGCTCAGTGGCTGGCCATAGGCCTTGCAATGGCCAGGGGTGAGGGGACCTCCTAGCCAAGGGCAGGTGGAGGAGGCAGCAGAAACTCAGCCAGGTCCATGGTGAAGGTAAAAGGAGAAGTTAGGCTTGGCTGAAGCATAGGCATCAAGCAACCAGCCTGGATGAAGCTGAGACAGCAGTGGGTCAGTTCCTAGAGCTGTGATGGCCAGCAGACAGGCAGAAGCAGGGGAGCAAGGAGCAGAGGCTGGGGGAGTTGGGGGGTTCCACCCAGATCCACCTCCTTTCCCCAGCACCTCAAGGGTTTCTGATCCAAACACGAAGTACCTTCCTGGAAAGAAAAAGAAGGGAGAGGGAGGAGAGCAAGGGGGATGGAAGAGAAGACAAAGGAGGAAAGGGAAATGGAAGAGAGAAAGGAATGTTTCTGTGATGCTCATCATTTTTATATAAAGAAGCTGTTACAATTATTGCATCATACTTAGATCAACAGATTAATCTGGAGCTGTTAATATTTTTTGTTATGCAGTAAGTGGGTCTCTTGAGGAAGGCCGTACATTTTACATTTTATCTGAACATCCGGGTGTAGCATCAGTGACTGGGATCCTGCACATAGATTTTCTGTGAATTTGACTGCAGTTGTTGCCCCTTGCAGACATTTCAGCTTTATAACTGAGGAAAGAACAGCTGTGACCACTGGGGCCCCAGACACCCTGCTCTTGCTAACTATCTCCTCTGGGGTGCAGGGTGCTGTGTCTCACAGTTACAGCCCCCCAGGAATAGACTGACTACCCACCACACATGCCACTGATGCGACTCTAGCATCCGCTTTGTCTGGATCTCACCTACTGCCCCTTCATCCTCAATGGATCTAAAGGCTCCCCTTACCATGACCATGTCACAGCTAACATGGACTGCCACCTGCAAAGTGTCAGTCATAGGACCAAATGCTTTGCAACATCATCGTCATCATCATCACCATCATCATCATCATTTTTAATCCTCACATTTACCTTAGATACCAATAATATCAACATTTTCCAAATGGGGAAATTAAGGCTTAGAGAGTTTAAACAGCTTGACCCCAAGTAGGAAGTGACAGAGCTGGGCTTTGAATCCAGGTCATTCAGCTTTAGATCCCATAAATGTTAGCAGCTTCCACAGGCTATGCTGCCACTAGGCAATTTGGGGCTTAGGTCGGCCAGTGGCTCTGTCTTCCTGTGCTTGGAACCCGGGCTCGGGCAGCCCCTTTGTCCAGGAACGTGACCTGCTGCCCACCCAGCTGCTCTCTTGTCCCACAGCACTCGTTGTAGAGGTCCCTGCACGGCCTTCCATGATACCCCTTCTTCTTCACCTCACATGCATCACTCAGACCTCTGACATCACCTCCTTGTTGGTAGAGCTTTCTGTGACTCCTTATGGCAGCAAGTCATTCCCTCCTGCATGTTCCCTTGCCACTGAGCCTGTAGGCAGTGCATTTCCCATGGAAACATAATGGCATATTTATAGGCCAGTCACCTGAGCTGAACTAGGAGCTCCTCGCAGACAGGTGAATGCCATCTTCATCTGTGAGTTTCTAGACTGGAGAGGATGCGGCAGAGACCATGGGCTGCTTTGCTTAAGGCTCATCCAACCCCTGACCAGCTTGTCTTTCAGTACAGCAGAGGCCAAGAAGCAGAAAATGACAGGTGAAGCCAGGTCCCATGTGTAGTTTAGTTCCTGCCAATCAAAAGCATTCATGCGAGACTGATTACAGACTGAGCTATGAAGGGCAAAAGGCAAGGGCCAAGGCATTCATTTTGCTGGAGTGGATCTTGGTTTTTAAACTGTCACAGCAATCTCCTCAGTCAGACAGATCTATATAGTGTGTAGTCTATTTATATTTGTAATGAAAAAAAAAGAATAAATGTAACAAAACTGCCCTCTTAAAGGTTGTTTGTTAATAACCTCCAAGACTCAATTTCAATTTCCATCCACTTGGTCTGTTAACCATGACTCTCTCACTTTTTCAAAGATACCAGGCTTTGCATTGCCTCATATTTAGATCAGAAATTCTTTTAAATTTGTCAAGGATTCCAGCTGTTAGAAAGAGAGTGGGAAATAGCAATGGAGAAAGACAATGTAATCAAAAGGAAGGATTACTGCTGGGCAGCAAAATCCAAAAATGTCCACTGAAAGGTTGGGCATTGTTGCTCATGCCTGTAATCCCAGCATTTCAGAGGCCGAGGTGGGAGGATCACTTGAGGCCAGAAGTTTGAGACCAGCATGGGCAACATAGGGAGACATTGTCTCTACAACAAAAGCTAAAGAGCTAGCTGGACATAGTGGCACACGCCTGTAGTCCCAGCTACATGGGAGGCTGAGACAGAAGGATTGCTTGAGCCCAACAGGTCAAGACTACAGTGAGCTATGATCTTGCCACTTGCATTCCAGCCTGGAAGACTGAATGATATCAAGAAAGAAAGAAAAGAAAAAGAAAAAGAAAAAGAAAAAGAAATCAACTGAATCCCTCAAATCAAACCAAAGAGGCAGGAATCCAGGCTTGCATGCAGCACTCGGCCTTATCTTTTACTTGTATATTCTTTATTACGTATCTCTCCACTTCTAGGATTCTGCGCACCTACAATATCTCTGATGTACCAGAAAACTGTAAAATGCACAGGAAAGCCCCTTTGGGGAGCAGAGTGAAGAGTGAGTAGGAAGTCCTGGTAGAATTTTACCAGCGAGGCAAAGGGAGGCTCAGTGATTGATTGGAGATCTAGTGAGCTGGCAGCCAAACCTCAGGCAAGTCTCCTGACACCTGCTCCATTGTTCCTTTACTGTGTTCTTTATAATTGACTTCTCAGTAAGAGTTGACAATGGCCATAGCAGGTACCCTAGAACCAAAAAGCTGAGTCTCATGAAATCCTGCCCAGCTCCAGGGGCAGTCAGATGGGGACTGGGAATGATAGAGGATGGAAAGTTTTTCATCTCAAGGGTTTTGGTGCATCGTGATGGGCAGTGGTGCGGAGGACGCATCAACAGTTGAACGAAACTTTGTTTAAGAATTGTGTAGGCTGAAAGTGATTGGTGCTTGACAGTGCTTTACCCACTGCTAAAAACAAAGTCTTAATTTTGAGGTGGTGCCAACAGTTTGCTCCACTAGGATGGCAGGGAGCTTCCTTCGGTTTAAATATTTACATTGCATTTTCAGCACCACTCTCAGCCTTACTGTAGCAGGCAACCACTTAGTGGGTGTTTGAAGATGACAATGCCCCACGCTCAGCCCTTCTTTAGCGTTAATGGACAAGAGCAAGCTGTATGTCTTCTTAAATAAAACAGCAGCCTTTTGTGACCTCCCTTTTCTCAGGCAACACCAACTCAATTATTCACTCAGAACTGCAAGGAACACTTCAGACGTTACTCAAGCATTCATCATCCACCCCCACCCCCACAAATCATATAAAGGGAAAATAATCAAAGACATTTAAATAATCACAATTTTTAAAAGTATAAAGCAGAACAGACAGTTTTATTTTAGATCTTAAGTGAAAGTGGATTAAGGTTTTCCTTAGAAAACATTTATTGGAGAATTTCAGATGAATTTCAGTTTTGCCGCCTGGTGTCGAATCCTGCTTTTTAAACCTTGTCTCTGCAGAGTCACCCCTTTTTCTCCAGTCCCACTCTCACTGCTGTTGGTCTGACCCTGTATGTCTGTGATTGGATAGACAGCAACTGTCCCTAGGAAAGGCATAGCATGGGAAAGTGTGGATGTCTCAGTGTCCCTCCTGAGATTCACTCTATGACAATGACTGCATAGCCACCATCATGGCCAAACCACACCCATCCTGCAACACCCAGCCTCTTCCCAGGCCCTCCCGTTAGCACTTGGTGCTACCCATTCTCCGTTCATGGCTTCCCCATTGCCTGGGTCTTTGCTCCAAGGTCTTTGCTTTTCTCACCAAGGGCTTTGCTTTTCTTAGGTGCATCCACATTTTAAAAGCAGGATTCTTATCCAAAGGAATAAAAGGGAACTATCCAGAAATGTATTGAATTATAGAAGTAATGAGTTGGTATAAAAACAAAAGTTCAAATGTTGTAAGAGCTCTTGTATAAAAATAAAATGCCCTCCTCCCTTTGCCCCTCCCAGTCTCACTCCTTAGGCAGCTATTAATACTTTTGACCATTCTTTTTTTTTTGACCTGCCCCTGGAGCTGGGCAGAATTTCATGAGACTCAGCTTTTTGGTTCTGGGGCACCTGCTATGGCCATTGTCAACTCTTACTGAGAAGTCAGTTATAAAGAACACAGTAAAGGAACAATGGTGTTCCTTTGCAGGTGTCAGGAGACTTGTCTGAGGTTTGGCTGCCAACTCACTAGATCTCCAAACAATCACTGAGCCTCCCTTTATACATATCCCTCATACAATATCATAATTGTATAATATAAATACAAGTAATAACTCTAAATAATATGATATGCCCTATTTCTTGATTTCTCTCTTTAAATAGTATCTATCCACTTTTTACCATGAAACTGAAGAGTTTGGTTCATCTTCTCCCTTTTCCCTCCCTCGTCAAATTTTTGTTTATTATATTTTTATCTCTTGGTCCTTCTATGAGTCAACTATAAAAATAAATAAAGACCAATCACATGAGAAAAGCAAAGGCTATTTATTCTGAGCTTGCTGTAGCAAGGGAGTCAGCCACCCACCGTCACTTACATTTTGGCAGAGACTCAAAGGCAGGCAGAGGAGTAGGAAAGCTTTAGATTAGAGAACAAGGAAGGCTTCAGCTATGGTCGGATTGAAGGCTGCTGGCATGCGGAAGCTATAGGTGGACTAAGTAGAAGTAGGGTATCCTATGTGATTAGTTAGGGGTGCGTATTTGGCTTCCTCTGGTTGGTCCTAAGTTGGAAGCAGGGATAAAAATTTAGGAAGCTGTCAGTTATTAAACAAGTCCTGGCCATTTGGGGCTGACTTAGGCTGGCTGGATTGTTTATGGTAGAAAAGGGCATTGGTTTCCTGGGCAGGTTGCTGCCGATCGTGGGTCAAAGTTCATCTACATATATATGGCCTGGCCATTGCCTGCTTGGCTATTCAGTCTCTCACGACTTCATAACTTTAAACAATAGAGTTAAACTTCTATTTCGTGATCTTCCAAATGTAAACAGTGTTTCTTTCTCCCCATTCTGTAAGATACCCACCCCCACCACCAGCTAATCTCCCTCCCTCTACCTCCCAGCTTCTTCCAGCTATACCATTATTTTTATATATGAAAAGTTGTAATCATACTATCCCTTTGGCATGTGTAAATATTCCATGATGTGTCTATAGGTCAATTTTGAAAATCAAGAGCCAGTAAGCAGCATTTACAATATCATAATTGTATACTATAAATATAAGTAATAACAATTTTTTAAATTTTATTTTATTTTAAGTTCTGGGACACATGTGCAGGATGTGTGGGTTTGTTACGTAGGTAAATGTTTCACGGTGGCTTGCTGCACCTGCCAACCCATCACCTAGGCATTAAGCCCCGCATGTGTTAGTAATAAGATAATTAAATGATATAAGTATGATTTACTAGTTGAAAAAAGTAATGAGATTTCATCCATAATTGAACTTAGTGAAAGAAATTTTATATCTGTAAGCCTGTACCACTGGAAGCATAATATTTTAAACATCAATGTAAAGTTGGTTCTCCTTTATTATACATTTTTTTTTCTCAAAGGCCTACATGTCAGATAAACTTTCTTGGTCTTGAATATCTGAAAATGTCAGCGTTTCTATTTCACATCTGATTGATAGTCTGGCTGGATACTTAATTCTAAGTTCCAGGTGTAGGACTTTGAAGACATTGCTTGGTTGACATCTACTATCCAACATTGTGGATCAAGTCATCTGATATCAATCTCATTTTCATTTTTTTATAAGTAATTCATGTTTTTCTTTCTAGAAGCTCTCAGGATTGTCTTTTTATCCTGTTGTTCTAGAATTTCAAGTGGATGTATCCTATGGGCTAAATATTTGTGTCCACCCACCTCACCCCAAGTTCATATGTGGAAACCCTAATGCCCAATGGGACACAATTTGGACATAGTATTTGGGAGGTAATTAGGTCTTTCAGGTTAAGTCCTCCTTAGGGGATTAAGGCCCTTATTAGAAAAGACATCGGAGAGCTTGCTCCCCTGCTCTCTGCCGTCTGCCATGTGAGGAATCAGCGAGAAGGCAGCTGTCTATGAACTAGAAGGAAGACCTTCACCAGGAGCTGACCATGCTGGCACCCTAAGCTCAGACTTCATGAACTGTGAGAAATACATGTTTGTTTTTTAAGCCACCCAGTCTTTGGTATTCAATTATAGCATCCCAAATTGGCAAAGACAAGGTGTCTAGAAAATTATTTTGGATAAAGCCCTGAAATCCTCCCACCAGTTATTCCACCTGTGACTGAGGTTGGCTCTCTCACCAGCATTGCTATAATCTCTTCCCCTCAGACAAGGAATCTTCAGGTATTAATTGGCAAGCTTGTCTTCCAACCCCACGCTTCGACTATGCCAATCCTATTTTAAGTAACTCTTTGAGAGACAGCTTGTTATATCAGAAGGAGAACCCCATGTGATCTCGAGGGAAGGTTATTCAACCTCCCAAAACCTCAATTTTATTATCCATTGGATCAGCGGTCCCCAACCTTTTTGGCACCAGGGAGTGGTTTTGCGGAAGACGATTTTTCCACCGATGGGATGGCGAGGGAATGATGGTTCATGGATGAAACTGTTCCAACTCAGATCATCAGGCATTAGTTAGATTCTCATGAGGAGCACATAACCTAGATTCCTCACATGTGCAGTTCACAATAGAGTTCGAGCTCCTGAGACTCTAATGCTGCTGCTGATCTCTCAGGAGGCAGAGCTCAGGCAGTAATGCTCACTCACCCCACTGCTCACCTCCTGCTATGCAGACAGGTTCGTAACGGACCACGGGCCAGTACTGGTCCATGGCTCAGGGGCTGGGACTCCTGTGTTAGATGGACATAACAGTACTACCTCTTAAGATGTTTGTGAAGCATAAATTAGAGTAAAATGTGAATACAACTCACCTGCCACAAATGATAGGAGTTATTAGGAGCTAACGAAGTGAGACAACATATATATATATAATGATTGTAACTGTGGCGTGTGTGTGTGTGTGTGTAATAAATGTTTGTAAACTACCATCATATAATCATTCCCCAAAACAATGTACTTATAAGAAGAAAACCTGGCCTTGTCCCTACATAAATGGAAGAAAACAAATACAGCATTTTTAAAGTGTAGAAGAAGCTTATTAGAGTGGTTTTCAAAAACATAAATGAGGCCAGGCATGGTGGCTCATGCTTGAAATCCCAGCATTTTGGGAGGCCAAGTTGGGAGGATTGCTTGAGCCCAGGAGGTCAAGGCGGCAGTGAGCCATGATAGCACCACCGCACTCCAGCCTGGGTAATGAAGCAAGACTGTCTCAAACACACACACAAACACACACACAGACACATGAAGATTGTGGAGCTCCAAAGTAGATATAAATGGACAACAGAACCACATACAGGCTAAGCCACAGAAACTACTATCTGGGCCAAGTGTGAGCAGGTAGTGTCTGGGAGGGTGTGTGGACCCTCTCTGGGAAAAAACAAGTGCAAGAAGATGAGGGAATGGGGCGTTGAGAAAGAAAGTGACCTGGGAGAGCAATAACAACTTCTAAGCTGACAACAGCTAAGATAGGGAACATAGCATGTTTGTGTATGCACGTGTGTGTGTGTTTATCAGTATGTCATAGGCCATGTCAAGGAAGGAGAGAAAGAAAATAGCAATAAAAGTAGAATGCAGTAAAATAAATGATGGCAGATAAAATATGAAATAGATTTGGTGTTTTTGAAACATCATCAACAAAAAAAAATGACTAGTAGCCTCTAAACATTTTGTGTAAAGGAACATTTTCAGGCCAGGCACAGTGGTCCAAGCCTGTAATCTCAACACTTTGAGAGGCTGAGGTGGGCAGATCACCTCAGGTCAGGAGTTCGAGACCAACCTGGCCAACATGGTGAAACCCCATCTCTACTAAAAATACAAAATTAGCCAGGCATGGTGGCACATGCCTGTAATCCTAGCTGCTTGGGAGGCTGAGGCAGGAGAATCGCTTGAATCTGGGAGGTGGAGTTTACAATGAACCAAGATCGCACCACTGCACTCCAGCCTGGGCAACAGAGTGAGACTGTCAAAAAAAAAAAAGAAAAAAGGAACATTTTCAGCATATACAGAATTATAGAGAACAGTTCACCACATATATTCACCGCTCAGCTTCAAAAACTATCAACTCATGTCCTGTGTCAGCCATCATCCAATATTTGGTCTTTTGTGACTGGTTTCTTTTACTTAATTTAATGTTATTGAGGTTCATCCATATCGTAGCCTGTATCTGCATTTTATTCCATTTTAATTGGTGAATAGTATTCCATTGTATGGAGCTACCAAATTCTGTTTATCCATTCATCACTTGATAGATCTTTGGGCTGTGCCTGGTGTTTGGCTATTATGAATAATGCTGCTATGCACATTCATGTCTAAGTCTTTCCTGTGGACATATGTTTTCATTTCTCTTGGGTGGATTTTTTGGGTGGATTCTTGGGTAGATTTGTTGAGTATGTTTGTGTTTAACATTTCAACAAGCTGTCATGCTGTTTTCCAAAGTGACTGTACTCTTCAATATTCCTGCCAGCCATCTATGAGGGTTGTAGTTTCTCTCTGCGCACTTTGCATTCTCTCTTTTATTGTAGCCATCCTAGAGCGTGCAAAGTGGTATCTCAATGTGGTTTTAACTTTCATGTTTCTAATAACCAATGATGTTGAGCATATCTTAATGTGCTGATTAGCCATTCCTAGGCTGTCCTTGGTGAAATGTTCACTCAAGGATTTGGGCCATTTTTAATTGAGTTGATTGTCTTCTTATTGAGTTATGGAAGTTCTTTTTAGACTCTTGATACAAGTCCTTTATCAGATATATGATGTGCAAATATTTTCTCCCAGCCAGTGGTCCATTTTCTTCATATTTTTTGAAGTCAAAGTTTTTAAATTAATTCAACTTCAATTTATCAATTTTTTTATGGCTCATGCTTTTAATGCTGAATCCAAGGATCCTTTGCCTAAAGCAAGGTCACAAAGATTTCCTATGCTTTTTTCTAGAATTTTTTACTTTTAGCTTTTACGTTTTGGGCTATTATCCTTTGTGTATGATGGAGGTACTTTTTTGTCGTTGTTGTTGGCATATGGATATATAATTGTGCCATTTGCTGAAAAGAAATCCCATGGAAATGTTTTGACACCTTTGTCAAAAATCAATCAACCATAAATGCCATGAATGCAAGGATTTATTTCCAGACTCTAATCTGTTTCATTGACCTATTTGTCTGTCTTTACATAAATACCACACTGTCTTAATTAACAGGGCTTTGTAGTAACTTTTGAAATGGGGCAGTATGGCTGGGCACGGTGGGTCAAGCCTGTAATCCCAGCACTTTGGGAGGCCGAGGCGGGCAGATCATGAGGTCAGGAGTTCGAGATCAGCCTGGCCAATATGGTGAAACCCTGTCTCTACTAAAAATACAAAAATTAGCCAGGCGTGGTGGCAGAAACCTGTAATCTCAGCTACTCGGGAGGCTGAGGCAGGAGAATTGTTTGAACCCGGGAGGCAGAGGTTGCAATGAGCCGAGATCGCGCCATTGCACTCCAGCCTGGGCGACAGAGCAAGATTCTGACTCAAAAAAAAAGAAAAAAGAAATGGAGTACTAGAAGTCCTCTAATATTTTTTTTTCCAAAATTGTTTTGTGATAAAGTGATCATTTATACCAGAATTTCAACTTGCTTTTAAAACGTGGATGCCTTCTCTGAGACAAGCACTGTGTCTATCATGATTGTAATTCAGTCTATTACCTCAGGCAGAGACATGCATGTTCACAAATAGCACAGCCCTGGTTCAGCCCTAAATTTCAATTGCACACAAGTCATACATACAAGATGCCATGGCAGACAGGGCTAAGAACAACTCAATTTGCTGGAGTTCATTTCAGGAGACTTCACGTAGGAGATGGTGGCTGAGAGGGGCCTTGAAAAATGGGTCAGCTTCATTAAGATGAGCTGAAGAAACTGATCCAGGGCTGGGAAGGAAATGGGTAGAGGTAGCAGGGCTTGAAAGCAGATCAGAGAGGGGTAATTTTGGAGAAGTGGCTAGAGGGAGAACGCAAGGCTGGAAAAGTGAGGTGTGCACCTCAGGCTCAGAAACCTCAGGCAATATTTGGAGCAGCTGAGGGAAGCAGGGGCCCAAGGGGGTAAAAAGGCAGCCAGGCCATTTTCCTGCTCTATGCAAAGGATACAGTCTTGCCAGGTGCAGTGGCTCATGCTTATAATCCCAGCACTTTGGAAGACTGAGGTGGGAGGATTGCTTGAGCCCAGGAGTTCAAGACCAGCCTGGGCAACGTAGTAAGACTCCATCTCTAAAAAAAATACGAAAATTCGCCAGGTATGGTGGCACACGCCTGTAGTCCCAGCTACTCGGGAGGCTGAGGCAGGAGGATCTCTTGAGCCCAGGAGTTGGAGGCTGCAGCGAGCTATGATCGCCTCACTGTACTCCAGCCTGGGTGACAGGGTGAGACACTGTCAAACAAAACAAAACAAAACAAAACCCACAGTCTTTCCCCGAATCCTGTTCAATCCTCTCAAAGAACACTCTATTCTGGTAGGAAAGGTACGAGGAGGGAGCGTGAGCCACCCACACAAATCTTCTGCTCCTACAGGAAGAATAAATAAAACCCTACCGATGTGAGTCGCCAATACCATCTTCAGCCATAAATGACGAAGCATTTTTATTGTTCTTTACCCTGTATGCTTGAAACCTGGCAGGTCTGAGGATTAACATGAGCCACTGTCCTGCCGGAGCAGAGGATGATCTTTGCACCACCCTGGCAACTCCTATTAAAGGCTCAAAGCTTATGCCCTTTTCTTGCTCCTTTTCCAAGTTGGCTGGGTGTTTTTAAAAACTTGCCTTTGCCTCTAGAGCCTTCCTATCAGCCACTGGTATGGGCCAAAATGACCACCATAAGTGTGATGTCCCCTTTTTGCTAAATTTTCAGACTCTAATCTAAAATGGAATTGATTTGTGTAATGTCTGAACCCTTGAGACTATTTCTGCTTGGAATGGAAATTGACTCCATTCATGTTTCAGGAGTGGCAGGCTCCCAGAAATCCAACAGTGTCTTCATCATAGATTCCTGCCAACATGGTTCTGCCTAATAAATATGAACCCAGGTACTGGAGACCATTGATCCCCATTTCAGCCTTCTGAGAGTCTCAGAACATATGCACAAGCAAAGCACCCACATTCTGGTGGCTCTGGGTGCATTGTGTTGAGAAGGGATTTGAGTGAGATGTGTAGGGAGAGGAAGCGGGGCAATGCCAGAGAAATCCTTTCTCCATTTTTATCAGATCTGCTACCTTTTGCTCCCTTGGAGATTCTGAGTAGATATAGTTAAGAATTTTTGAGTGACAAGAGTTATTGATACACATGGTCAATTGGCCAACACACAGCCATGCCAACCTCTTTCTCTCATGAGTGACATCCTGTAGCAAAGCTGAAGAAGTGAGATTCTTCCTTACCCAGCCTTCCTTGCAGCTAAAGACAGCTATGTGACCCAGTTCTAGCCAATGACATATAAGAGGAAGGGTGACAGAATCTTTTGCAAAAATGTTTTCTTTACAAATGAAAGAAAAGAGGCATTTGAGGACAAGTTATTTTATTGTTAGTTTGTGCCCCTCTCCCACTACTTCCTGTCTCGGAATTCTGTTGCAATGTCTGAAGCTGTAGTAGCCATTCTGTAATCATGAGGCCTCAAGCACAAAGATGAAAAACCAGCACACAGAAGATGGTGGAGAAGGAAAGATAGAAAGAGCCCCGCTCTTTGATGCCATCCCTGACCTGCTAGTCCAGCGCTAGTCTGGATTCCTCCAGACTTCTTGTTTGGTCAAATAACAAGATGCCATCATTGTTTAAGCCATGGTTAACAGAGTTTTCTATGGCTGGCAGCCAAATATATTCAAGATAGTGTAGATTCTACTACTTTCTCTCCCCTAACCTCTGGAAGTTGCCTTTACTTACACTAAAATGTACAGAACTCTCCTGGTTCCTGCCCAGAAAATCAATTTATTAAAAAGAGTAGCTGGACTTCCAGTAAAATGCTGTAGCAATAGATGACTATTAGATGGAGGATGATATAGTGATGGTAGTGGGAAGGGCAGGTGCATGGCTCAGGGCCTCTGTGTGATAAGCAGCCCTTGCCTTGCCCTGACTGTTTCATGAGAGATACAGGAAGACCAGTGTTTTCTTTTTTCTTTTTTTTTTTTTTTTGGTCCCTCTCTGGTTAATGAGTGGGTTTAATAGTGACTACCCGGAAATATATACCCCATGCAGAGCTGAAGATCAATATTACTAGAGGGAAGGGAAGAGGAGTGAGGAAGGAAGGGAGGAGACAAGGAAAGGAGGAAGGACAGGAGGAGGGAGGGAGGAAGGTGATAGGTTCAATACAAACTTGAAGATATGGGGGATAGCAGGGGATAGAAGAGTTCTGGAGCAACAAACAATACCAGGATTAAAATCAGAAGCTGAGGAGCAAAATTTGGCTGATGTGGTAGTTGAAAGCAGCCACATGAAGGGGCAGGAGGGCTGTCTGAAGTGAAATTTGTCCCGCGGGGTTTGAGGATGAGAATAAAACAATGTCTTTTTTTCTTTTTTTGAAACAGAGTCTTGCTCTGTCACCCAGGCTGGAGGGCAGTGACATAATCACAGCTCATTGCAACCTCTGCCTCCCAGGCTCAAGGGATTCTCATGCCTCAGCCTCCCGAGTAGCTGGGACTACAGGCACCCACAACCATGCCCAGCTAATTTTGGTATTTTTAGTAGAGATGGGGTTTTGCCATGTTAGCCAGGCTGGTCTCAAACTCCTGATCTCAGGTGATCCGCCCGCCTCGGTCTCCCAAAGTCCTGTGATTACAGGCACGAGCCACCATGCCCGGCCACTTTATTTTGATATGGACAGTTGACTGATGTCTCACATCATGTAAGATGATCTATATATTCAGCGTCCAACCTTCAGGCACAGCTGGTTTTCTTGGAGCAACCTGTATTCCAACCTGTATGCCAGAGCTTCCATAACAAAACTCCACAGACTGGGTGGCTTAAACAACAGAAATAAACTTTCTCACTGCTCTGGAGGCTGCAAGTTCAAGAGTAAGGTATCAGCCAGTTTGGTTTCTTCTGAGGTCACTCTCCTTGGCTTGCAGATGACCACTTTCTTGCTGTGTCCTCACATGCTCTTTCCTCTGTGCACACACATGTCTGTGTCCTAATTTTTGCTTCTTACAAGGTCACCAGTTGTGTTGGATGAGTTGAGGTCACCATGTGACCTCATTTTACCTTAATGACCTCTGGAAAGGCCCTATCTACAAATCTAGTCACATTCTGAGGTAGTGGGGGTCAGGACTTAAACATGTGAACTGGGGCAGGACACAGTTCAACCCGTAACACCCCTGTAACAAATCGCCACAGTGTCTTAAAGCAACACAAATTATTCTCTTACAGTCCTGGAGAACTGTATTAGTCTGTTTTCATGCTGCTGATAAAGACATACCCAAGACTGGGCAATTTACGAAAGAAAGAGGTTTATTGGACTTACAGTTCCATATTGCTGGGGAGGCCTTACAATCACGGTGGAAGGCAAGAAGGAGCAAGTCACATCTTACGTGGATGGTGGCAGGGAAAGAAAGAGAGCTTATGCAGGGAAACTCCCATTTTTAAAACCATCAGATCTTGTGAGACTTACTCACTATCAGGAGAACAGCACAGGAAAGACCCACCCTCATGATTCATTTATCTCTCACTGCATCCTTCCCACAATTATGGAATTATGGGAGCTACAAGATGAGATTTGGGTGGGGACACAGAGCTGAACCATATCAAGGACAGAAGTCCAAAATTGGTTTCACCAAGCCAAAATCAAGGTGTCAGCAGGGCTGCATTGCTTCTGCAGGCTCTCAGGGAGATCTGCTTCCTGGATTTTTCCAGCTTTGAGAAGTCTCCTGCATTATTTGGCCTGGGATCCTTCCTCCATTTCTTAAGCCAGCAGTGGTTGGTCAAGTTTTTCTCACTCCGTGTTACTCTAACACTCCAATTCTGTAGTCAAATCTCCCTCTGCCTCTCTCATTTAAGGACACTTGTAAATACATTTAAGGCCCACCCACAGAACCCAACGTAATCTGCCCACCTCAAAATCCATAATTTAATCCCATCAGCAAAGTCATTTTGCCGTAAAATAATATATTCACAAATTCTGGGGATTCAGAAATGAATACTTTTGGAGGCCATTATTCAGCCTATCATGTGTCATAAATCCACATCTGTACTGTGCACACTGTGCACACTGTAGCTGTACCCCTGAGCTGGTCGGGTGACACCAGAGTTGGTGTCACTGGTGCTTTCCCAATCACAAAGAGAAGAATCTGATGAGTGTGTGTCATGTTCTGGGGGAGTGGGGCTGAGACTAGTTAATAAACTCGATTCCTCTAGTTCTGTAATCCCCATATGCCTTGCAAATTAAGTGGTTTAAGGAACTCCTTTAGGTCCCTAGAGCCCACCAAATGGAACTCTCCTGAGGACCCCAGTTTAAAAAGTAATGAGGAAAAACAGTGAGGACAGGGGGGTTTGCTTGTCCCTAAAGAATCAGTCACACAGCTCAGCAGTCGAGCAGTCACAATGGAACACCAAGAATGTAGCACTTTGCTGAGTCAGCATCTGCAAATCTGAGCTGAGCTGCTTCTCCAGCAAAGACCAGTTCCCAGGGTCCACCATCCACACACTTGTTTCAGGCCCTCATTCCTAGGTGTGCCCCGGACCAAGGGCAAGCCACATGGAATGATCCTATATGCATTTTTATGTTGATGAAATTGGGTGAAAATGAGAGAAGACTGGGAGATGCTGAAGGTAGAGGAATAGGCCCGTTTGCTTTTCTTTGATGATAGAGAACTTTTGAAACCAAATGTATATATATCACCCCCATGTATTTTTTTTAAAGTCTCACCTAAGAGATACCTATGATCTTTTCCTATTTTAAAATATTTTAAGCATTAAGAAAATTTTAGAGAATTGATTATTAAACACAAGTACATTCAGTCCAGCTGTCAGACTTTAACATTTTGCCATATATAATTCATATCTCTCTTTTTTAATAAATAAAATACAACAGAAGATTTTTAGAGTAGTTACACTATTCTATATGATCCTATACTAATGGATACATGTCATGATGCATTTGCCAAAACCCATTGAATGTATGACACTAAGACTGAATGCTAATGTAAATTATGGACTTTGGATGATAATGATGAGTCAATGTAGATTCATCAGTTACAACAAATGTACTACTCTGGGGCAGGATGTAGATAGTAGAGAAGGCTGTGAGTACATGGGGGCAGGGAATATATGGGAAATCTCTGTACCTTCTACTCAATTGTTCTGTGAACCTAAAAATACTCAAAAATAAACTTTATTTAAAATATATATATAGACTGGTCATGGTGGGTCACACCTATAATTCGAGCACTTTGGGAGGCCAAGGCAGGTGGATCACTTGAGCTCAGGAGGTGGAGGCTGCAGTAAGCTAAGATCACGCCACGGCACTCCAGCCTGGGCAACAGAGTGAGACCCTCTTTCAAAAAAAATAAGATAAAATAAAATTATATATATTTTTTTATATAGTGCACACAAACACATATAAGACAGTTGAAGTACCTTATGTACCTTTCTGTAATATCATATTCCCCCAGAAGTATTTGAATTTGAGGTTTATTATCCCATTTTTGTCTTTATAATTTTACCTTATGTATAAATATCTGTAAAGAATTAACTGTATATATAGTTTTGCATATTGTTAACTTTGTTTCAATGGTACACTGTGTGTATTCCTCTAAAACTCACTTTTATTGTTCAGAATTTGAAATGTATTCATGTTGATTTATTCATTTATCTTTAACAGTGATACAGCAAACAGTGATACAGTACTTCAGCTTATTTATCCACTTACCTATTGAGAGAAATCTAGCTTGTTTCTAGCTTTTGTGCTATCGCCAACCATGCTGCAAAGAACAATGTTGTACGTTTCTGCTTATGCTCTTAGGTGCTAGCTTCTCTGACATAGACTCTTAGGAGTGGAAATGCTGGGTTGTAGAAAATGCACATCTTCATCATTAAAGATGTGACCAAATTCCTTTCCAAAGTGATTGTACCAATTTACAGTCCCACTACCAGTACATGATAATCACCATTGCTCCACCAATTCACCAGCACTTGCTGTTGGCACTCATTTTAATATTTACCAATCTGTTCAAAATAGAATGGCAGTTGGTTTTAACAACCATTACATTGGGTATTAGTGAGAGTGAGCATCATTGCATGTATGCATTGGTCATTCATGTTTCTTCTGTAAATTTCCTGTTCTTGTCCTTTGACCATTTTTCCCCATTGGGTTGTTTTCCTTTTTCTCATTGATTTGTGAGAGTTCTTTATATAATTTGGACATTAATCCTGTATTAATTACATTCATTTTAAATATTGGATTCTATTTTAAGGCTTGTCTCTTAATTTTATTGGTCCTTTGTTGCACAGAAGCTTTATCTTTTTATGCATTGAATTTTATCAGCATTTTAAATGTTTATTTATTTATTTATTTTTAATAATAGAGGTGGGGGTCTTACTCTATTGCCCAGGCTGATCTTGAACGTCTGGCCTCAAGTGATCATCTTGCCTCAGCCTCCCAAAGGGCTGGGATTACAAGCATGAGCCACCTTGCCCAGCCATGTTTATATTTTTTAAGGATTATTTAAGAAAGCCCTCTTGGCTAGCATATCTCAATGATGTCCTTTTAATTTTGAAATGATTTTTACTTTTTTCATTTAGATGTTAATCTCCTTGGATTGATTTTAGTGTAGGGTTAGGGACCTAATTGTGTTATTTTCCTTAAGGAAAACCAACTGTCTCAGCATCATTTATTAATTTAAAAAAAATATTTCTCCAGTACTCTTTATTAATTTTTTGAAATCTCCCAATTACTTTAATGCACTGTCTCTGCCATTTGTCAAGTGGTCAGAGGGAGCCTATTTCCATGCTGATTCTGTTCCATTGGTCTATTTGCCTGTCCCTGCCATCACGTCTTCTATTTATTACTGTGGCTTTTTAATGTCTTAGCTGATAGAGCAAATCTCTCTACCTTGTTCTTCTACATTTGTCTTTCTTTTTTTGACCCTTGCTTTTCCAAATAAATTTTGGAGTTGGTTTGTTAAGTTCCAGAGACAGAAAGATTCTCTGCTCGGATTTTAAAATTAATTTGGGGAAATTTATCAATAAATTAGGGGAAATGTGATACCTGTACAATACTGAGTCTTTGCCATACTATCTTACTCTTTAATTTTAAATTTTCTTTTTATTAACATGAGTCCATAATCCTTATCTGAAACTCTTAGGGTAAGCATGTTTCAGAATTCAGAAATTTTCAGATTTAAAAAAGGCAAAAGGCAATATTATCTCTGTATAATATGTTACATATTATCTCCCAGTGTCAATGCTATTTACGATTTTCCTCTTATTTTGGTTGAGCACATTCTCAGGTATAGTGCTGTGCAATAGAAGTTCTGCAGTGATAGAAATGTTCTATATCTGCGCAATCAAATCAATGCTCGGGCTGGGCTCAGTGCTCGCACCTGTAATCCCAACACTCTGGGAGGCCGAGGTGGGTGAATCATTTGAGCTTAGAAGTTCGAGATCAGCCTGACCAAAATGGTGAAACTCCATCTCTGCTAAAAATACAAAAATTAGCTGGGCATGGTGGCATGCACCTGTAATCCCAGCTACTCGGGAGACTGAGGCACGAGAATCTCTTGAACCCAGGAGGTGGAGGCTGCAGTGAGCCAAGATCTCACCACTACACTCCAGCCTGGGCAACAGAGCAAGGCTGTCTCAAAGCATAAATATAAAAATAAAAATAAAAATTGATGCTCACTAGCCACATGTGGCTATGGAGCATTTGAAATGTGGGTAATGTAACTAAGGAATAAAATTTTAAATTGTGTTGAACTGTAATAAATGTAAATTTAAATAAGCATCTGTGGCAAATGCCTACCATATTAGACGGCACAGCACTAGTAGTTTCCAGAGAAAGGGTTCATGGGAGGGAATGTTTTGAGTCCTTACACTCCAAAAATACATTTATTCTACCCTCACACTTAATTGATGGTTTGGCTGAGAATAAAATTCTAGGTTAAAAAATAATTTTACCTTAAAATTGTGAAGGTATTGCTTCATATCTCCCTAGCTTCCAGTATTGCTTTTTGCTTTTTTTTTTTTTTTTTTGACAGGGTCTCTATCACTCCCAGGCTGGAGTACAATGGTGTGATCATAGCTGGCTGCAGCCAGGAACTCCTGGGCTCAAGTGATCCTCCTGCCTCAGCCACTGGAGTACCTAGGACCACACCACAGGTGCATGCCACCACACTCAGCTAATTTTTCTAATTTTTCTGTAGAGATGGGGATCTTGCTATGTTGCCCAGGCTGGTCTCAAACTCCTGGGCTCAAATATATCTCTCACCTTGGCCTCCTAGAGTGCTGGGATTACAAGCATGAGCCACTGTGCCCCACCTAGTATTACTTTTGAGAAGTCAAAAGAACATCTTAATTCCCTGTTTGAGGATTGTGATCTGCTTTTGCCCTCTGAAAGTTTTAAGGTTTTATCTTTGTCCCAAGCATTTTTGGGCTTCCTGATGCCATGCTTTGTTGTGGGTTTATTCTCATTCAGTGTCCAGGGCATTTGGTGGGCCTTTTCAATCTGGAAATTCATATCCTTCAGTTCTGAGAAATTTCCTTGAATTATCTCATTGATTATTTCTTTCCTTTGTTATTTTCTGTTCTCTTTCTCTAGAACTTCTGTTATTCAAATGGTGGACATTCTGTACCAGTCTTCTAATTTTCTTATATTTTTCTCCTCTTTCCATCTATTTGTTTTTACTGTGCTTCCTGGGAAATTTTTCAGGTATATTTTCCCAGACTTTCTATTGAGTCTTAAATTTGTGTCTTCATATTTTTAATTTCTAACTGGTATTATTTTTGTTCCCCAAGAGCTCTCTTTTTATAACATTTTTTCTTGTTTCATGGTTGCAATATTTTCTTACCTCTCTAAGAATATTGGTAGATTTTTAAATGTTTTCTTCTACCTGTTTCCTCTTTTTCTGTTCATCTGCATTGGTTTCTACACAACTAGCTTGAGGCTTTCCTTGACAGCTGGTAATCCTTGGTTGTCAACTCATATACATAAGAGTTGGGGAAGGAAATGTTCTTAGAAAGCTCTGAGTATATGTCTGGGGTTTGGCACCCATTAACCTCACTGTGGAATGATCTGGCTAAACCATTTAGTTGGGAAACCTGATGTCATCTGTATCTTTAGGTGTTTCCTCCTTGCCTGTTGAGATTCTTCACAGCCGATGGTTCCAATCTCCTGCCAGGGAGGCATTGGCCTGGCTGCTATTTTTCTGTTATTCCAGAGAAGAACGTGGACAGAAGGCTTCAGCATCCAGTGTATATGGCTTACTAAGTCCTCCCTCCCCTTTCCAGTTCGATACTTCTGTACTTACTCCAGAAACTATCTTCAGTGGAAAAACCTTGAATCTTCTGCCAGTGTGAGGGGATTGTAGGGGAAGATCTATGGATCTGATTTTTTTTTCTTTTCTTTTTGAGACAGGCTGTCACCTTGTTGCCCAGGCTGGAGTGTAGTGATGCAAACATGGCTCACTGCAGCCTCCACCTCCTAGGCTCAAGCAATCCTCCCATCTCACCCTCTTGAGTTCCTAGGACCACAGGCATATGCCATCATGCCTGGATAATTTTTTAAACTTTTTTGTAGAGATGGAGTCTCACCAAGTTGCCCAGGCTGGTCTCAAGCTGCTGGGCTCAAGCGATCCTGCCACCTCAGCCTCTCAAAGTGCTGGGATTACAGGTGTGAGCCACCATGCCTGGACACTGATTTTTAAACAGCCTTTCAGATAAACCTCCTTACTTTAGCAATCTTTTTTTATTCCATATTCTCAAAGGTGCCTGATGCCACCAATTTTGGGGTTATTGGGTCATTTCTTCTGTGTTACAGATCAGGTCTCAATTTTCTCCACTGCCAGCTTTGAATTCAGTTTTTTGTTTTGTTTTGTTTTGTTTTGAGACAGTCTTTCTCTGTTGCCCAGGCTGGAGGGCAGTGGCACGATCTTGGCTCACTGCAACCTCCACCTCCCAGGTTCAAGAGTGAATTCAGTTTTTTTGGCTCTGCTAAGCCGCTTTATAAGCATTTCTCCAATTTTCAAAATTTGGAAATTTTTATCTTCTATTGTTATCTGTTATCTTCTCTTCAATGCTCTTCATCCTTATGGGTTTATGTCTTCAGAAAACAGTCTCTTTATTGCCATTTTTGTGAAGTTTTGAGAGGAAGAAAAAGTCAATGCATTTGTTTCCCATTTTGTAAATGCCAGATGGCAAACCAGTTTCCTTTCTTCCTCCGCCCTGCAAAATTGGCTGATTCCAAAGCACAGCGTCTTTAAATGCACAAACATTATTATTTTTTTTTTTTTGAGACGGAGTCTCGCTCTGTCGCCCAGGCTGGAGTGCAGTGGCGGGATCTCGGCTCACTGCAAGCTCCGCCTCCCGGGTTCACGCCATTCTCCTGCCTCAGCCTCCCAAGTAGCTGGGACTACAGGCGCCCGCCACTACGCCCGGCTAATTTTTTGTATTTTTAGTAGAGACGGGGTTTCACCGTTTTAGCCGGGATGGTCTCGATCTCCTGACCTCGTGATCCGCCCGCCTCGGCCTCCCAAAGTGCTGGGATTACAGGCGTGAGCCACCGCGCCCGGCCCAAACATTATTATTAAACAGCTACAATGGGTCAGTCCTGTGCTTGTCACTAATCAGGGACAAATGAATAGACATTGAATAAAAGGTTGCTGCCACATGAAAGTTCTAAAGCAAGACATTTAAGCTGACTGTCTGGAGTCTCCTGGCTCCTGAGGTCCCCCTGACTCTTGTCCACTATCCTATGTGGCCATGATTAGCTCTCCTGGGATAGTAGCCTGTTCCAGGTTCTGGGCTGGTAGGGATCAAACACATTTGATCTAAATCTTATGAGCACTCTGCTCTGACCAAGTGCTCCAATGAAAAAGTATAGACTTTTAATTCTAGCTCACCACAAATATTTCCCACAAACATCAAATGAAAGAAAAGGGCAGAAGCAAAGTATGTTAAATATAAGTCTATTGAGTCACTCTCATTAGTCACCCTGTTTTGTTTGTTTTTTTCATTTCAAACCCTATCGAAGTGAATGGAGTCGTTCTTAACCAAGGTAAGCCATAGGGTCCTAAGGACCCATCGTGTGTAATTAATATGAAATGTTGACGATTCACTTGTTGAAATGGCATATTCAATGTGACATAAAATATAAATGAACCTGAAACTACATGGATTGCTGCAGACTGTAGGCCACTCTGAATGGGTGCTTTTTGTCTGAAGTCTATTTTTAATATATTTTACTATATATCAAGCAATATTTAAGCACTTTACAAGTATTGTACTACCTGATTCAATCTCTGTAACATTATGAGAGAAGTACAACCAGTATCCTCATTTTACATATTTAAAAAACCAGGCCCAGAAAGGTTAAGTAACTGCTCAAGGTCACACAATTAGTAAAAGAAAGAGCTGGCTGGGTGCAGTGGCTCATGCCTGTAATCCCAGCACTTTAGGAGGCTGTGAGGTGTGAGGCTTACTTGAAGCCAGGAGCTTGAGACCAGGCTGGGCAACGTAGAGAGACCCTGTCTCTACAAAATAATTTAAAAATCAGCTGGGTGTGGTCGCACATGTGTGTAGTCTCAGCTCCTCAGGAGTCTGAGGTGGGAGGATCACTTGAGCCCAGGAATTGGAAGCTGCAGTGAGTCATGATCATGCCACCACACTCCAGCCAGATGATAGAGACCCTGTGTCTAAAAAATAAAATAAAATAAAATAAAAGAGCTGAGATTCAAACCTTAGCAGTCTAACTCCAAAGCCTAGAAATGTATGGACTCTTATGTGCATTACTCTAAGCTAATAGTTCTCAACTGGGGACAATTTTGTCACCCAGGGAACCTTTGGCAATGTCTGGAGAAATTTTCGGTTGTCACAACTTGGGGGAGGGGATTCTACTTGCGTCTAGTGGGTAGATACCAGAAATGCTGCTAAACATCCTATAATGCCCAGGATAGTTCCCCACAACAAAGTGTCTGGCCCAAATGTCAGTAGTGCCAAGGATGGGAGAGCATGCTGGTGTGCTAGTCACTGATGCTCTTCTCCCAGTTTTACAAGTTCTTCCTCCAGGCATATGGTATAATTTGCATTTCTTAAAGTTGGTGTAGGCATATATCTTGCTTGGGCCAATGTAAAGTTGCTGCACTTCTAGACAAAAATTTTAAAAGCCAGGGCATAACACCATGTATCCTTTTTTATACTTTGGTCACCTTGGAAGTCTTAGAAACACAGAGATGGGACTTCCCTCTGCCTTCGTCCTTATGTGAGGATAAAGCAGAAGAGAACCTTAAGAATGACCCATGACAGAAGCTTCCTGAACTATAAATACTGTTTGTACTAATAGTTTTAAGCCGTTGAGATTTGGAATTGTTTCTGCAGCATAACTCAGGCTACCCCAACTGATGAGGACTCCATCCTCACATAAGTACATATGTCCCTGTCTCATGTAACCTGACTCAGGTCTTTCTACTCATTTCCCAGGTTCCTCACAAAGGTGAATGATTTCCTGCTGCAAAGACTGTGAGGCATCATTTTTCCAATTAGAAGTGTTGCTTTGTCATTGGACTACATATATCTGGATACCATAATGATAATGGACTTGCTTCCCTTTTAATTTCATGGTAAGCCTCTGACAGAAGTTGCATAGTAGTTGTTGTCATAACAACCATGCAACTCAGATTTTCCAAATTAAAGCACATACTTGCTAGTCTCACTATACCTCAACTAGCTCTAGTGAGGTCAGAATGACTAACATCATCAAACCTAGGATTACACGAACCTTAAATCCCAGGAGGTGTGGGCAGCCATTAGTCAGAGTATTCAACTTTATTCACAAATTTTCTTGATGCTTAAGAAATCTAAGTGTTCTGGCTGGTTGCAGTAGCTCACGCTTGTAATCCCAGCACTTTGGGAGGCCAAGGCGGGTGGATTGCCTGAGGTCAGGAGTTCGAGACCAGCCTGGCCAACATGGTAAAACCCTGTCTCTATTAAAAATACAAAAAAATTAACCAGGTATGGTGGCACACACCTGTAATCCCAGCTACTCGGGAGGCTGAGGCAGAGGAATGGCTTGAACCCGGGAGGTGGAGGTTGCAGTGAGCCAAGATTGCACCACTGCACTCCAGCCTGGGTGACAGAGCAAGACTCCATCTCAAAAAAAAAAAAAAAGAAAGAAAGACAGACAGAAAGAAAGGAAACCTAAGTGTTCTGAGTTTACGATTTGTAGACCTTACCTCATATATCAAATTATTCTACCTGGTGATGAATTGGAATTTCACTGGAGTTTCACCCAGTATGATTGATGAGATATGAATTTATGGCAAGCTGACAACATAAATTAATAAATAATCCACATAACAGTTTATTGTTTCAACTAATGAAAAATCTGGATACTCAATGTAAAACGTATCTAGATTATAAAATTGATATCAAATGGATATACAAGATTTGTGGAATCCAGTAGCCATGGAGAGATGGTAGAAGAAAAAGACCATTGCTACTACTTCTCCGTGGAAAAAAAAGCTTCTGCCAGGAGTATCTCATTAAGGTCCTTAAAATGCCAGTCTTCTCCTCCCTCCAACCTCTACATAATTTTGTCATACTGTTCTTCTAGTTTGAAATGCCATCTTATCTCCTCTCCTCTCACCCAAATCCAGCAAATCCCTCCTTAATATCAAGTTCACGTTTCTCCTCTTCTGTGAAGCCTTCTAAGCCAATACTACAACCTTTCCTTTCTTAGCATTTATAATATGGACCATGTATTTTAGTACTGGACTGTAAGTTCTTTAAGGGAAGAGGTCTTTGCATATAAATCTTTAATTTCTACACAGCAAGATAACTTATATTCATTCATTCAACAGATTGAGCATTTATATCCTGAGTTAGACCCAGTCTGACAAAGGCACTGACATGGAGGAGCTCATGGTCTGATGGGGATAACAGGTATGGAGATGCATAAATACATTATGGCAAGTATATAAAAGAGCTAAGGCTGTCCTGTGGCTGCCTGAATTTTACTTGTGTTCCATGCATGGTTCTGTTGGATCAAGGTGGGAACAGCATACAAAGTATGGGACACACAGGGAAGCCTGACACACATAACCAAGGGGTCCTGAAGCCAAAAAGCGAGAGCTGATCAGTGTCAAGAGGATAAAAGCCATCATCAAAAGTTACAGAAAGTCAAGGAAATACACCAAGAAAGGCAGGTCAAGGTGGAAGCAGGTCTGGGAGCTTACCTATACCTGTTCCAGTTACTGTGGCTGCATAACAAATTACTTTCAAAATTTAGTGACTTCAAACAATAAATTTAATTTTGCTTATGAGTCTGAAATTCAGACATGGCTTAGTGGGGATAGCTTGTCTCTGCTCTGCTCAACGTCATATGAGAGGGTTTGAAGGCTGGGAACTGGAATTATCTGAAGGTCCATTTACAAGCCTAGTGGCTGATGCTGCAGAGACTGAAACAGCTGGGGGCTGGAACAGCTTGGACTCCTGGAACTGTCTCTTTGTCGCAATGTGGCCTTTCCAGTGTGGTCTCTCCAGCATGGCACCATCAGGGTAGCCAGGTGTTTTGGTTCCCTACCGCTGCACAGCAAATCACCATAAACTGTGGCTTAAACCATGCACACTCATGTCACAGGTCCCATGGGTCAAGCATAAGCCATATCTTTTTTTTTTTTTTTGAGACAGAGTCTCGCTCTGTCGCCCAGGCTGGAGTGCAGTAGCACGATCTCGGCTCACTGCAAGCTCCACCTCCTGGGTTCAGGCCATTCTCCTGACTCAGCCTCCCAAGTAGCTGGGACTACAGGCACCCGCCACCATGCCCAGCTAATTTTTGTGTATTTTTTAGTAGAGACAGGGTTTCACCGTGTTAGCCAGGATGGTCTCAATCTCCTGACCTCGTGATCCGCCCGCCTCGGCCTCCCAAAGTGCTGGGATTACAGGCATGAGCCACTGTGCCCGGCCAGCTTAAGCCATATCTTTTAACTGGATCTTCTGCTTAGGGTCTCACAAGGCTGCCATTAAGGTATTGGCTGGGCTGCATTCTCATTTGGAGACTCAAATGGGGGAAACCTGCTCCTAAGCTTTTTCAGGTGTTTGGCAGAATTCATTTCCTTGTGTTGTAAGAGTGAAAGACCCAGCTTTGGCTGGTTGTCAGCATGCTCAGCTTCTGCCCAGATTCAAGGGAATGGGCTATAGATCTCACCTTTCATGGAAGGCGTATCCATCATGTTACAGGAAAAGCATATGGGAGTGGGAATCTACTGGTTTAGTTACCTCTGGAAAAGACAATCAGTCACCGTTTGCCGTTTGGCCACAACAATTCACATCACTCCCACATGCAAAATACATTTATTTCCTCTCCCTCCATCTTTGATTTGTCTACCAAGATATGGTTCAAGGGAGTGCTGCTATAAGTTAAGAGTCAAGTGGAAAACTTTTACTACTACAATCTGGGAGAAAATATTTCAAAAAGAGGATTTTTCACCTGAGTTGAATTCAGTTAGTGCTATATAGGAAGGAGTTTGTTAAATGAGTGATATTCACTTTAATACCATTGTTTGTAAGGTCTGGTATTGCTCTCTGCTTTATTTGTGTCTGTTTTATCTCCCTGACAAGACTATACACTTTTTGAAAATAGAGACACTGTATTTTGTGTCTTCTGTACTCCTTGAGTAGTGCTAGTCCCAAGGGAGAGACTCAGCTCATTCCTACAAAATACATGAATTCCTCAATTCCCTGAGGCCCCAGTGTATAAATTACTGCCAATCCTTGGAAAAGTCTAACTTGAAAAGGCCTCTATTTACCAAGTCCATGAATCACAACAGCCCTGTACATCAAGAAATGCAGTGTGATTTTTGAGGTGTCTGTATGTCCAGTGAAATTTCTTCCTTTTGGAATGTCTCCACAAGGAGTAGAAGGAAAAAAGACAAACATAACAAGGAATTTGACTGTGCTCACACAACATTTGGATAGCTGAGGGGAAGGTTTAGTCTTGCAAAATGTCTTCAAGGGCCTCCTTCCTCCCATCCCACCCCATCCCCAGTGGAGATAATTTGTAGTTTGAGGCGTTGAGCTGGTGAGGTGACTTAAAGAACAATTCCATTTCTTCATTGTATAGAAACATCTTAAAAGAGATGTTCAGAGTCTTAGATATTGTTAAAGAAGATTTCAAATAAAAGCTAACCAACCCTGAGCAGAGCTTTGATGAAAAAATTTTCCCAGCTGCCTTAGTGGCTTATGCCTGTAATCCCAGCACTTTAGGAGGCTGAGACAGGAGGATTGCTTGAACCCAGGAGTTTGATATAAGCCTGGGCAACATGGCAAAACCCCATTTTTGTACCAAAAATACAAAAATTAACAAGGTGTGGTAGTGTGCATCTATAGTCCCAGCTACTCAGGAGGCTGAGGTGGGAGGATCACTTGAGCCCAGGAGGTCAAGGCTGCAGTGAGCCAAGGTAGCACCGCTGCACTCCATCCAGCCTGGGTGACGGAGCAAGATCTTGTCTCAAAAAAAAGTTTTTTTCCTCAATGCATCCTACCTTCTCACTTGTGTTATTTTTTTAAAACTCACCTCTCCCCAGAGTCACCTCTTCCCAGACTATTACAAAATACCCTTCTGGCTGGACACAGTGGCTCACACCTGTAATCCCAGAATTTCGGAATTTCGAGGTGGGAGGATTGCTTGAGGCCAGGAGCCTGGCCAACATAGTGAGATCCTGTCTCTACAAAGAAAAAAAAATGAAGTTAGCCAGGCTTGGTGGTGCACACCTGTGGTCCTAGCTACTCCTGAGGCTGAGACAAGAGGATTGCTTCATCCCAGGAGTTAAAGGCTGCAGTGAGCTATGATTGCACCACTGCACGCCAGCTGGGGCAACAGAGTAAGATTCCATCTCTAAAACAAAAACCAAAACAATCAAAACACTCTCCTGTATTTAACCATAAGTTCTCTTCTTTCTTTCTCTTAAATACGTACAATCTACTTGAATTTTATTCAGGTGAAAGTGGGAATGACTGCAAATTGCCCAAAGCTAGATTCTCAAACTCAAAAGTGTCTAAGAATCATCTAGGCAGCTTGGTAAAAATCACAGGTCCCTGGCCCTACCCCAAACCCCTGAAGGAGAATGTGTGCATGAAGGAGCTGAGGAATATGTGTTTGTTGTTGTTGTTGTTGTTTTTGAGATGGAGTCTCGCTCTGTCGCCCAGGCTGGAGTGCAGTGGCACGATATCGGCTCACTGCAACCTCCGCCTCCTTGGTTCAAGTGATTCTCCTGCCTCAGCCCCCCAAGTAGCTTGGATTACAGGTGCGTGCCACCACATTCAGATAATTTTTGTATTTTTAGTAGAAACAGGGTTTCACCATGTTGGCCAGGCTGGTTTCAAACTCCTGACCTCAAATGATCTGCCTGCCTTGGCCTCCCAAAGTGCAGGGATTACAGGCGTGAGCCACAGCACCCAACGAGGAAAATGTGTTTTTAATGAACACTGATCTAGAGGTGGTCTTGTTCTCTGTGTTTTCTCAGGGTCACCACTAAGTCTGAGGGGAGCAGCTTCCAATGCTCGCATAGCTAATTTTCTTTTCCCTCCTCCACACCCCAAGTTTGCCTATGAGAAGAACAGAAAACAAAGGGTAGAACTAATTGACAAAGATCCTTCCTGCTCTAACATCTATGATTCTTTTAATTATATCTGCCCACAATTCCCAGATGTTCATAGTCTCCCCAAAAGAAGGGATTTTTCTCTTGAAACCAAGCTAGACAGCTACAAATATGTTCTAAATTTCACAGGCCCTGTTCCCTATGGAAACACTTATGATTAAACCCAATTCCCAATTCAAATTAAAATTTAGCATTAGAGATTGAAATGAAAACTAAAGAGGATGATCTCAAAGTTGCTAATTTTTCTTCCCTCCCAGGGTCCTTAACACCATTGCAGTTTTGCTAATAACATAAGGATGTAGTAGCATCCTTTGCTAATAACATCATCTTGCATCCTGGATAATCTTGGCCCTATAAGCATCCGGGGGATAAAAACACTTTTCACTGCCCCTGTGGTCAATAGCTTCTGTGCTGTCCACTATAGACCCATGATTATAGCTCCTGGACAATCTCATTGACAGCACTGACCTCAATGGATCTGACTGTTTCCTATTAGTCCTGTGGTACAACAGCTCATTCATTCATTCATTGTGCCAACTATTCAAAGGATGATGAGGGAAGGCTGGAATAGCAGATATGTCTCTGTTCTTCAGGAGTTCACGAGTTCTCTATCCATAAGGATAGGGGGCATGGTTGGGGACCCACTCCTTTCATCATGGGTAAAGATTGGGGACAAACGAGAAAAGAAAACCAGGTTCAAGAAATTCATTAACTGTTTCCATTTATTATATGGATCATTACTACTAAAATAGACTTAGAGCATCAATCCTATCATTTTGCAGATGATGAAACTGAGACTCAGAGAGATGGAGTAATTTGCCCAATATTACACAGCACGTATCTGCAGCCTCCTAATTCAGGACTCCTTCTGCTATAGCAACAGGCTAAGAGAAGCCAATAATTGGCTTATATTTGCCAGCTGTTTTCATCAAAATCTTCCTGGTTACCCAAAGGGAAAAATGGCTTTCTACATTTTGTGGTAGGTCATTCTAGAAAAGAAAGATGCTAATCATCACCAACCATAAAACAAGAAAGTAATAAGCCTTCCAGATTATCTCTTCCAACCATTCTCCTATAGATCTGGACCATGAGGCCTAGAGGGCTGGAGCTTCAGCTCTCAAGGCTATGTGGGAGAGGCAGAGAGATTGGAATCCAGAATCCCAATCCCTGGCAAATGACCACTACCACACTGCTGCATCTCTGAAAAATATATCTTGGTGTTGACCCAAAATATATTTAAAAGCTTTGTCACATTTTTTTAAATGTCTATATGTGTACGCCAATGATTGCACAATCAATGCTGTGCTTTGATCTGTCACACTTTGGTCCTTAGTGCTGGTACATATCTCAATGGTGACAGGAGTGACATTCAAGGAAAAATGACTCAAAGATGCTTTAAAGTTTCCTAAGAAGATGCTCTATATATGAATCCCTTTAGCATTATTTCAGAACTCAAGAACCTTTAGCAGATTTCATATTTAATATAATGTCACCACTAGTTCAAAATCTATATATAATAAGATAGAAAAGGGCACCACTGGTGCTGAAAATGTCACGTTGAAGAGAACAACGAAGAACACACAATCATCTACAGCCTTCTCACTCAGCGCTGTCAGGAACCAACAGCACTGGCACCACCAGGAGCTTGTTGGAAATGCAAAATCTTGGGTTCACCCCAGACCTGCTGAATCAAATCTTTATTTTCACAAGATCCCTGGGGACTTGCATGCAGGTAAGATTTGAGAAGCACAGGTCTAAGGTATTTCTCTATCAATGAACAGAGCAATGGGTAGAGCAGAGGAGAGGCCCAGAAACTCAGAGTTCTGGTGTTCCTTGCATGGCCGTTGAAAACTGTCCCTAACCTCTCTGGGTAGCAGCTTCCTCAAGTATAAACTGAGGCTCTGGTTGAAAAGGCTGTTGTCATAAGCTGCTGACACAGAGCTTTTTTCAGTCCCAATTGTGTAGGACAGCTTGTGTGATGAGAATTGAATGACATGCATATCACACATTTGGTATGCTCAATGAATGCTATTAATAAAATTGTGAATCACAAATGTTACTCCCATTTCCTTCCCAGCTCAGGGAAGAAACGGTATGCATGACATGATGCATTGAATGGGGCAGCCTACATCTACTTTGCCTCCTGAGAATATCCTGAGCATCAGGCCAGTGTTGGCTTCGCCAGGAATCCTAACTCAGGTCTTGAAAGCAAGATTGTTGCTGTTAAAAAGGTGACATGGGATTTTTCTGTTTCCTCATTACATTGCTTTAGTTTCTCCCTGCCTGAAGCTTCTTTAATCTGTAGGCTGTGGGCACCACCTTTAAAGTTTTGACTCACATTATCTATCCCAAAGTAAATAATGACTAAAGTGGTGGCAAAGTCAACACATTCTTTGAAAGACAATGAATCTGGGTGTTGAATGAAATCAGATGCCAGGAATATATACATTGTTGTTACAACGCTATTACACAACAGGCCTTAGAAGAATTCCTTTTCTCCAGGTAAAAACTACCCCCGTACCAGTTACTCTGGGTGAAGAAAGGCGTCTATGTTTGGCAAGGACTAAGGAATATTTGACTTCATGAATCAATAACTATTCTCAAAGCTGCTATTGACCTCTGATCTGCAAATCTGTCAGCAAAGAGAGATTATGGTAACTATACTGCTAGTAAAATGCAAACCTGTTGGTTAAACATTTGCTGAAAGCCCTGCTAGTGACCCCTGTTAAAGTGAACCAAATTTGGCCACGTGTTCTTGCAATGTTCTGGAACATCAGAGAAAAATAACTGCCTGACCCAACACAGCTTAGCTCCTAGAGAGCTAAGAGATTTCTCTGGGCCAGAAGCGTTGGCAGGGATCATTCCTTTCTCAGTCTCTCTCTTCTACCACTGGGCCCGAGTTAGTGGGATCTGTTAGGAGGTTTTTGAATAATAATGACTGTTCTCAATCCTTCTGAAGATTCTCAAAATTAATTTCTTCTCAAGAGTGCTTCTACCCCACACAAAGAAAAGGTGCAAGAATGTTTTTTCTTATTCCTTCATCTCCCTCAATGCCTATCATAGTGTTTGGCACACAATAGGTCTTAAATACTTTAAAAATGAACAAAGTGTTCTTTCCACTGTGCTCCACCTATACATTGTACAACCATCTACTTGAACACTTACCATGCTGAATTTCGTGGTTTATTTATATGGCTATTTCACTTTTTTATTTTTATTTTTTGAAATAGATTCTTGCTCTGTCACCCACACTGGAGTGCAGTGGCACGATTATAGATCACTGTAATTGCAAACTCCTGGGCTTAAGTGATCCTCCCACCTCAGCCTCCCAAAGTGTTGGGATTACAGGTATGAGCCACCATGTCCAGCCAGCTATTAACCTTTCTGTGTTATGTCTTTCAAAAGAAAGATTCTTTGTCCTATTCATCATTGTTTCTCCATCACTTGTTACAGAACCCAAGGGTTATGGGCTTGGTTCATCCTTTCTGAGGAAGTGGGGTAGCAGATGATAGCAAGATAACCCTCGTTTGTAAATACCTTAGTGATGGACTTAACAATCTCTTCTTTAAAAATATAAGTGCAATAAGACCTTGACTAAAAGAGTAAGGTTCAGAATTTCCTCATAAAAGGTTCAGCTACACGTTAAAAGGAGAATTGGATTCCAAAGTTTAAAGTGATTCTATGAAAGCCTTTATTAATATTTTCTGTGTTCACTGAAGGAAAATGAGCAGCTGAGAGCATACTAAATAAGAAGATACCAATGATGCATTACACATCTTTAATTAGTACTAATGCGTGCTATGTAATTAATCCAATTTAGCATCCCTTCTCCACTAGAAACATCTCTCTTCCCTGCAGTCTCCACAGAATGGTATAAATGTGTCCTGATTTACTGCAAATAAGGTGCTTTCACTTCCTCACAGTGGTTCCCTGTCATGCAAATGCTCTCCACTTTCTGTTCTTGTGAGCTGGGGCTGGTCCCCTGGGTAACCTACAGAAGACCCAGACGATTTGGGGTAACTTTGGTTTCCTCTAGTTGGCCTAGCTCAGAAGACATTTCTCAAGTTCCTTTTCCAAGATTACGCAGATTCGACTCCATCCCTGCTAACTTAAAAGTCCAACTACAGAGGCCACCCGTTCCCCACTCGTATCTCAGCTCCTACCTCGTAACAGACACCAGAGTACGCTCCAACTTCTGGCCTCATTTTCCTTCAATATAATTAGCCGCACATAAATGCCCTTCTTTATTTTCTACCACTAGTTCCCATTCTGAGAGTTGTAAATCATCTCAGCTCGAATTGCCCCTCTTTCGTAATATTTCAAGTTGGGCTATTAACCAACCACCATCCCTTATTCTCTAAAACCCAGGCAATATAACATGACAGTTGATGATATAGCGAATTGCTCGTTTGACCAGGGACTTGAGATAATACAGTATACAAAGTTGAGCAGTGACTATCTTTTTGATATAGTAGCTTAAAAAATCACTTCCATGCTTCAGAATGCAAAGCAATGTGCATATTGCATTACATACTCTGCTAAGTCAAAAAAGAAGATGAGATTCCCTTTTCCACCCCAAAATGTATTCAGGAAGGATAAGAAAAGAACAAAAATGACTATAGAAGAAGACAATAGCAGAGTCTAGATCAAGGACTAAAACTGGCTATAATCAATCTCACAAGAAACAAAAACGAATGTATGTTCATTGTTTCTTAGGAGCATGACCTTTTGGAGAAAAGTCTGGAAATCTGACCTTTGGCAGAAAAGATGAAAAACTGATCTAACACCATTTTTCTTTGAGAAAAGCTCTTCTCTACACTATATCTGAAGAGCAAAACTTGAACTCATCTATGTCAGGGCCAGGGCTGTGACTAGCCATATAATATTTCTGTGGGAATTTTTTTTTTTTAATTGCTTTCTTTCCTCCAGCCAGATGCAACCCCTCACCAGGCACGTGGCCTGCTAAATTGAATACAAGCCACATTTTAGCCCCTTTATCCCCTCAGCCAAAAACCTTTGAGCAGTGACTAAACTGCACCATCTTTCATAACAACCCTCATTAACACCCTACTCAAATTCTTTCAATGGTTTGTTACTGCTCTCAAGGTAAAATTCAGGTTTCATATTGCAGCCCCAATCTCACTCTCCTCTCTTCTGGAACTGTGATAGACAAATGTGAGACTTTTTAATTCTGTCTTTTGTATCTTGTTATGCCCCTTTTATATTTTTCATCTCATGTGCTGCATTCTGCATAATTTCTCCAGCCCTGTCTTCCAGTTCATTAATTCTCTCATTAACCATGCCTAATGCTTAATATACCCACTAAGTTTTAAATTTCAATCACTTAATTTTTTGTCTCTGTAAATTCAAATTTTAAAATCTGCTGTATCATTTTTATTATTTTCTATACCCTGAAAATATTTTCCAGCTTGTCTATTTGTTTGTTTATCTGTTTCTGAAGTAGTAGGCTTAGTATTGTAAGAAATCCTTTTTTTCTTTTTTCCTTTGAGACAGGATCTTGCTCTGTCGCTCAGGCTGGAGTGCAGTGGCATGAACACAACTCACTGCAGCCTCAACCTCCCTGGACTCAAGTGATCCTCCCACCTCAGCCTCCTGAGTAGCTGGGACTACAGGGGAGCAGCTAATTTTTTAGTGTTTTATAGAGAGAGGGTTTCACCAATGTTGCCCAGGCTGGTATCAAACTTCTGGGCTCAAGCAATCCACTCGCCTTGGACTTCCAAAGTGCTGGAATTACAGGTATGAGTCACCATGGCTGGCCTTAGGTAATTTCAATATCTAAAATTTTGTGGGTCTGTTCTGCTGTGGGTTGTTTGTTTTTCTTTTTAGTGTTTATTCATTCATTAATTTATTACTGTGAGCTATGCATTTTCCTTAGAAAATTATTTGAGGGAATTGCTTGAGGCCTCAGATGAAGGTGGGGTTCTCTGATATTTACATTTGCTTCTGTCAGGTTCCTGAAACTATTACCAGTCTGGAACAATTCTAAAATGAGTTTATAGCTTGAGGTTTTCTGGACTGCCTGGGTGATGTGAATTTGGGCTGCAAACCCATGAGAAGACTTGTTTTCCATTATAGTGTCCTTGGGCCAGAGGATTGATTCCTCCTGATGTGCTCAGGTCCAAGAAGACTTTCCTGGAAGGCAAGGCTATTTCTGGTTCATCATTAAACATGAAAGGTATAGTCCTTTAGGGCCTCAAGGTTGTGTGTGGAAGATCTTACATTAGATTATTTGCTTGAGCAAGCCCTGGGCTTTGTTTTTTGTGCTCCTTCATCCAAGGGACCTTGACAACTGAAGTCCAATTTCAGAAAGCACTCTCCATGTTCTATATATTTTGGAGGGTTTCTCCCTTTATGTAGATTTTTTTTTATTTTCATAATTGAGATTTTATTGGTTGAGGATCAGTACAGACATTTCAATTTGTACACAATTCTTAACATATGTAATGAAATTCTAAAAAGCCATGTATTGTAATTAATTCTTTTTTAAAGTTATTCCAGTGACTTTCCAGCTTAAAATTTGGAAGCAAATTTTCCTTAAGAGGCTATCAAGTACTGGTATCTTCACACGTTGGTCAGCTGTTACATACAGCCCACCTGAATAGCACATACGGCCACAACTGAATAGCACGTACACTGCATATTCATATTTGTAATCTTTCACAGCACAGTAACAATGTTATTAGGAAAACAGGACTACCAAAACCAAAGATGTTACAGAGTGCACACAATTCTGACAGGGAGAGCCATGATCAGAGTGGTTTTCTTTAGGAAACAATTCTACTAAAAAACAACATGGGAATAGAAGTAATTTAAAATGTTCAAGACATTAAACACAGGACTGACTCCATATTGCCATTTAATATGCTTTGTATTATAGGATATAAAAACTAACCCCCCATCTATGGAATATTAAGCTGACACCCGAGATAGTCAGAGCCTCCCGTAATTCAATATCCCACACTATTTTCTGGTTGTACCAAAAAAGAAACAGCCAGCAAATGATTTCACCTCTTAAAAAAAAGCATTTACATTTAAAAAAAAGGGATGAGGTGGGATTCCTTCCTTCTTAAAAATGTTTCAGCCGGGCGCGGTGGCTCACGCCTGTAATCCCAGCACTCTGGGAGGCCGAGGCAGGCGGATCACCTGAGGTCCGGAGTTCGAGACCAGCCTGACCAACATGGAGAAATCCCGTCTCTACTAAAAATACAAAATTAGCTGGGCATGGTGGTGCATGCCTGTAATCCCAGCTACTCTGGAGGCTGAGGCCGGAGAATGGCTTGAACCCGGGAGGCGGAGGTTGCTGTGAGCCGAGATCACGCCATTGCACTCCAGCCTGGGCAACAAGAGCGAAACTCCGTCTCAAAAAAAAAAAAAAAAAATGTTTCTAGAGCTACTAAAAAATTTGCATTTACAGAATAGCTGATAAAAATATTCCTCTGGATTGTACAAGAAGGGAGACAGGGACCACTGATAAGACATGGTATATGGTATTAATCAGACTTGGCTTCTTTCTCTCCTGCTTCATCAGAGGCTGGACTCTCCTCAGTTTTCGTTTCCCCATTTTCTGCAGGTAAATCTTCTTTAGTTTCTTGGTTAGCCACTTCAGTCTGTTTTCCCTTTGCTCCCCTTTTCCCTTTTGTTTGCACTTTTTTGTCTGAAGATTTATCCTTCGCTGCTGCCTTTTTCGGCTTTGCTTCCACTTTTGCAGGAGGTTTAGCTGACAACCGTGCTGATCTCCTCTTGGGCTCTTCCTTGGCGCCCCCCACCCCACCTTTATGTAGATTTTTAAACTAACTCAATAATGCTAGCTGGGCCTGGCACAGTGGCTCATGGCTGTAATCCCAGCAGTTTGGGAGGCCGAGGTGGGCGGATCACCTGAAGTCGGGAGTTTGAGACCAACCTGGCCAACATGGTGAAACCCCATCTCTACTAAAAATACAAAAATTAGCCAGGTGTGGTGGTGGATGCCTGTAATCCCAGCTACTCGGGAGGCTGAGGCAGGAGAAACGCTTGAACCCAGGAGGCAGTGATTGCAGTGAGCCAAGATCATGCCGCTATACTCCAGCCTGGGCGACAGAGTGATTCTCCTTCTCAAAAAGAAAGAAAGAAAAAGAAAAGAAAATAATAAAATAAGTGCTAGCTGCAATTATTTCTACTATCTTTTTTTGGTTACTCATGAAAACAGTCTACTTTTAAAAAGCATGGGCTAAAAAAAGAGGGGGCTAGAAACTATCTGGAACAGTAAAGTATGTCGATGTTTTAGCTTTTCTTTTTTCTGAAAATATGTGTGATGTGTTTAGATGAGAACCAGAAAAAGGCTTTTCACTGTGTCTGTACTGTTATTCTTTTCATTCCATGGGGTGTTACTTTAGCACTTAACTAGAGAAGATGTACACACAGTTATAGAAAGAGCTCGGGGCTCCTCATAGCCCATCAGATTCCACCATTTGATTTACACTGAGTGAAATGGATTATAAACATTTATAAAAGTCACCAGAGCAAAGGAATAAAGTGTCCTGAGGAGCACCAGGAAAAGAATCAACATTTTAGACTAGAAATATGCTCACCAAGTATCTGGGGAGTAAAATGCAAACCACAGTATGTGCAGTTTGGAAATATTGTATTTGTTTTACATATCAGCCTTTACACAGGTCTTCCAAACTTGCAGACCTGGGCTTTAGTTGATTTCCACTCATGCAGGCCTTACTCATCATCATTTCAAATGTTGCCATCACTATATATTACCATCTTCCACTGTGGCTTATATATCATGCTGCCTGGATCAGGGATGTTGTAGAAGTGAGTTTGCTCCTCCAGTGGATTTCAGGCCAACTTTTCCTATGTCATGTCTAAAGCCAAAAAAAAAGAAAGAATGTTATAAAATGGGTAACACTTCCCTATACTGATGCTGCAGTATGGTGGTTATATACGTGAAAGAAAAAAAACTGCAACAAAACAAAACAAAACAAATGAAAACCTGTTTTGTTCCTAGTGGGATAATGCCCCTGTGCTTTGTCAGCCAGCCATGGCATAACTGCCAATGTGCTGTCAGTCACATCTGCAGGGAGAAAGAGCATGCCTGTGTTTATTTGCATGACTTGGTTATTTTTTAAGTCTCCCCAGGTTATTGTAACATGTTGGAAAGGCTGAGAATTGCTAACTCTCATTATTGTGGAGTAAATTTTAATAGCCCTTAGGCTTGACAAATCATGTTTCTAGCTGATAATAGGAGAGATATTATTATCCCCAACTTACAGATGTCGAAGGCAAGGCTCAAATTATTTAAAGGCCTATTAGGGCTTAAGATTAATCACTGCTTAAGTACCAAATGAAATAAATGCCTTTGAGGAGAGCACACTTCCTTAACTTTTCCTTCATCTTAAATAAAGGACCCTGGAATCAGATATGCCTAGAATAGGGAAGGACTTCAGCTGTAATGAGGAAACTGGGAATCAGAGAGCCAGAGCTTATCTTGCCCATCTTTATGTTCCCTGCACTGTCTCATCCCATGAGCTCAATAAATATTTGATAAACTAAATGAAATGAGGTGACCAAGGTCACACAGCCCCCACACCTAGCTTCCAGCCTCCAATGGCGCTATACCTGCTCCATACCTGCTCCCCCTACAGAGGTTATCTGTCCCTGTGTAGCTGTGGAGACCACACCTCCTACCTTGTGTGGGTGAGTCAAGGTTTCAAATGGTCTGTCTCTTTCTTCCCAAAGTACACTTGTTTTGCTTTTCCAGCATGTGCAATGATTTTTTTATTCTAAAACTATGGTAGCTGTCCACGACAGAAATACCCGTCACTAAGTCAGGGTCTAGAGTCCCCAAACATCGCCCTCTCCTTCCATTATAACACTTTTTAAATGTATAAGAAAAGCAAGCTGGCTCATGCCTGTAATCCCAGAACTTTGGGAGGCTAAGGTGAGAGGATCGCTTGAGCCCAGGAGTTCGAGGCCAGCCTGGGCAACATAGCAAGACCTCATCTCTACAAAAATATCAAAAAATTAGCTGGGCATGATGGTGCATGCCTGTAGTCCCAGCTACTCAGGAGGCTGGGTGGGAGAATAGCTTGAGCCCAGGAGATTGAGGCTGCAGGGAGCCAGGATTGCACCGCTGCTCTCCAGCCTGGGCAACAGAGTGAGACCCTGGCTCTAAAATAAACAAATAAATGAAAATTAAAAAAAAAAAAAGAAAAGCAAGTTCATAAATGCTCTTGGTTTTGTGCAGGAATTGTTTACTCATTCACACAGGGGCCTGTCTCTGTACCAGTTACAAAGAGCCATGACCGGGAATATCTCTGAGGTTTTCTCTTGCACCGTCAACTTTCTGGTTTCTTATGAGTTGTGCTTCTCCTCAGGTTTCACATGTTATTCTGTTTCTCCAGCCCTGTCTGTGGACAATGTTATCTCTCATTCACACTTTTGGGCCCTTAGGCACTGTGCAACCTCAACCACTGCCTCCTCCCATAACTGCCACTGCATTCATCCCCAACCCGGTCCACCTAGTTCACCTCCGAAGGTGGTGGGAGTGAAGCTGGCCTGGGGTTTTCACTGTGGTAGACTGTGGGGGTCTCTGCAATTTGGGCCACAGGGAGAGTGAGGGGTGGGGCAGACGGAGACCAAAGATGAGGAGAGAGATGGAAATTGTTTCCTGAGCTGTGAGGAGCTGCCTGGACTTTGGGAATGTAAGGAGAGCTAGAATATTCTGTTGCTGTTGTCCTTGAGTGCAGCGCCCTGGGTCGGGGAGCCATGGGGAGGGAGGTAATAGGTCTGGATGACATGCCACCATCAACTAGAGAAGAGCCAGCCTATCAAGGAACCCAAAAGAAAGTGGATTAGCAGGCTGTGCTGACAGACCAGTCTTGAAGAGAGGGAGGTCTCTCAACACTGAGATGGCATTCACGGACGGTGCGTGTCCCGTCACTCACCCTCCAACGCAAACTCCCAGAAGACGACCACTGCCTTGGTGCTGGGCACATGAGCTCAGAATGTATGGGGGTGTATGTGGCATGGAGTGCAGACACTCTGTTGTATAGACTCGGAGACAAAAATAATCACGGTGTGGACTGCATTAGGAGTAGGGAGTCAGGCTTGCTTGGGTTCTAATCCTGGCCATGTGACCTCGAGCTAGCTCCTAAATTTCTCCAGGCCTCAGCGTCCTTCTCTGTAAAATACTGCCTACTGTAGGCCGGGCGCGGTGGCTCATGCCTGTAATTCCAGCACTTTGGGAGACCGAGGCAGGCGGATCATGAGGTCAGGAGTTTGAGACCAGCCTGGCCAACATAGTGGAACCCCGTCTCTACTAAAAATACAAAAAATTAGCTAGGCATGGTGGCGGGCACCTGTAATCCCAGCTACTTGGGAGGCTGAGGCAGGAGAATCACTTGAAGCCGGGAGGCGGAGGTTGCAGTGAGCCGAGATCGTGCCTCTGCACTCCAGCCCCGGGGACAGTGTGAGACTTCATCTCAAAAAACAAAAACAAAAACAAAAACAAAAACTGCCTACTGTAGAGGGTGATTGCTGCTGCTATGATTTTATACAAAAATATATTAAATTCCCCAGGTATAGATTTTTGTATTTGGTACTAAGATAAACAAAAGAGATTTACCAAAAAAATCACATTCTGTGCATGTAACAAATACTCACATGTACCCCATAAATAAGTAAAATATTATATATCAATTAAAAAAAGACAAAGTACGTGTTCTTCCACTGTGCATTTTGTTATCTGGAAATCCATAATAGAATATGAAGATATTTACTATTAACTATAACCCTTAAGGATACTTTCTGCCAGGTGTGTTGGCTCATGCCTGTAATCCCAGCACTTTGGGAGGCCAAGGTAAGAGGATCACTTGAGATCAGGAGTTCAAGAGCAGCCTGGTCAACATAGTGAGACCCCATCTCCACAAAAAATTTAAAAAATTAGCCAGGCACAATGGTACATGCCTGTAGTCTCAGCTACTCAGGAGGCTAAGGTGGGAGGACCGCTTGAGTCCAGGAGGTCAAGGCTGCAGTGAGGCATAATTGCACGACTGCATGCCAGCCTGGGTGACAGAGCAAAGCCCTATCTCAAAAACAAAACAAAACAAAACAAAAAAAATTTTCTGAATTGTCAATATAAAGAATACTGTATTCAGTATAATTTACTAATTGTTATATTTCTACTGAATTCTCATTTTTAGAAAATTAATAATTTTAATATGTTATCTAATGTCTTTCTGCTTATCTAAGTGTTTAATTAACCAGAAAGTCAAATTTTGGAGCTGTGCTGAAGCATTCATAGTTGCACATGTGATATTATGTCCTAAATAAGTAAAAAATTGAGTGGGAGCAAGAAATGGTATCAGACCAGGGATTCTGGTCATCTCCCTGGAAGACTTACTGTGTGCTGTGGCTTTGTGACTGACGGGTTGTGTGTATGTATGTGTGTGTTGCTTAAGCTACAATTCAGGAGATACTAATAAAATCCATTCAAAATGAACTTACAGCTACTAAATTTTAGAAGTAAGAGCTAAAACCCATAAATCTCAGGCACAATGGAGACTAATAAAATTTTGTAATATATTTTATTTTACTACTTCAAAACACCCTTTACTAACATGAGCTAATTAATCCTAAAATGACTCCTACATGAAGTTTACTATTATGATCTCTATTTCCTGCTGGGAGAATGGAAGATAGAGTGATTAAATGATATATTTAATTAGGATTCAGGAATTTTTTATATTAGTCCACAATTTTAACTAATAATCAGAAAATTATTTCGGTTTAAAAAAAGTTGTTGAATAACCTTTTTGACCATTATTTATCTCAGAATGGCCTGATCATAAAAAGAATTCTAGCGTTTTCTTGTCTTAATAAAAAACTGTTGTCATGGAAATATTTCAGATCCCTCCATCCTCCAATTGGCTGAATCTGAACAGTACATAAACAAGCAGATTAACTGAGGCTCAGTGAAGTCTTTTACGGTGGAAGTAACGTCTGGAACCAGCTGTATTACAAGCCTTTCCAAAGTCCATCTCCCAGGACAGGGAAGAGAGAATAAAAGAACTCTGTTGGAGGCTCAGCTGTACTCTCTAACAATGGCTTCTTATCCCAACTGACTAAGTTCTCTCACTCTATCTAAATCAAATACACTAAATCAATTACTGCTTCTTGTGCAGAAGTCTTATCTATTTTGATTGGCAAATAAAAATGAAGTTGTTTACTAGGAAAGCTGTGGTATGACAATATTTTCCAGGCAGTTTGGGCCTGGGGTTTGCATTTAATTTAATCAAGTGAATTTGTGAACTGATAGTGCCATTCATTTCAGTCAGGTTGGGGGACCTGACCAATGCATGATTTTATATTCACAACAAAAATATTCTCCTTCCTTCCCTCAATACAGGAACTCTGCATCAAATCGCTTTCCGTGAATTTGTTTCCATGCAGTGGTGTGGAAGAGCAATTATAAAATTAATTCAGAGCAGGAATGTTTTATATCCTGAATGAAGAAGAAAGGGGAGATTGGAGGTGCTACCTTAATGTGTGCCTGGATCCATCATTCCTGAACATGCTGCTGTTTTATTTCATTCTGATGTGGTGTTTCTCCCAGCTCCTAAGCTCCTTTTGGCATATATCTTTTTGCAGAACTGGAAAAAATTTGAAATGAGAAAAAATGAGTTGTGGCTGTTTTTTGTTTTGGGTTTTGTTTTGGTAGAAATGGGGTTTTAGCATATTTCCCAAGCTGGTCTGGAGCTCCTGAGCTCAAGGGAGCCGCTGGCCTCAGCCTCCCAAAGTGCTGGGATTACAGGCATGAGCCGCCACACCCAGCCTAAGAAATGGGTTTTGTTTTGAGATTTCCACAACCACACTAGAAGTGGCTGACATCCTGGGAGTGAGTGTGGAAACTTCAAGACTGGCTTTTGAGAACCTGAGTCTAGGGCGTGTATCGGGTGCTTCTTATGTTTTCGTGCTCACTTGTGTGGGAAGACAAGATATGAGACAAAAAGACACACATAGCTGCAGGCACACACGTACATGTGTATACATATTGCTGGTTTAGAAGGCCTTGAGCCTTTGGGATACTGAGGCCAGAGGATCACTTGAGCCTGGGAGTTTGAAACCAGCTTGCGCAACATAGTGAGATCCTATCTTTACAAAAAATCTTTTAAAAATTAGCTGGGCAAAGTGGTGCACAGCTGTGGTCCCAGCTATTCGTGAGGCTAAGGTAGGGGGATCTCTTGAGCCTGGGAGATGGAGGCTGCAGTGATCTATGGTCACGCCACTGCACTACAGCCTAGGCAAGATCTTGTTTTTTTGTTTGTTTGTTTTTGTGTGTTTTTTCTTAAAAAAAGAAGAAAGCAGCCTGGAGTAACATAGGAAAAGGATTATATTAATTCTTCAAGAGAGAGACAAGGACAGTTTGTCTAAACTTGGAGCACTTATAACGAATATGATAAATCATTCATATAATTTCCTTTATAATGCTGGAGTTGAAGAACTAGAACAAATTGCTCATCTTATGAGGCCAGGCTGGTGGTGAATCAAGCCAGTATTCTGCCAGCAGCATGAAGGGGGTATGTCATGGGACGTCATAATTACCCTCATGCTAAAACCTCAAAAGGTTAAAGGGCCCTGAGTGAAATCCCCAACACCTTGTGGCTCTTAATGAGTGTTTACTGTAATGATAAATGATAAAAGCTCTCTCTAAATCTGTTGCTCACTGACTTAACTAAACTTTTCCTGATTTATTTTTATGCTGAGGCTTTTATCTGGGACTAAGTTTCATAAGCTTGCAGTCCATGGTGTAAAGTATAAAATGACTTATTTTAAGCTTCAAAGGATGTTCTCAAATTTGGGCATTCCAGAATTTAATGAACAGACAGCCTGTCCCTCATGTGTGTTTATGATTGGATAGGCTTGCTTTATTTTAACCTGATAAACCCGGAGACTCATCATTTTCAAGGGTTAGTCTCATGTGAAAACACATCTATATCAAGCTTTTACACAATGCAGTTATTACATTTTGGGGAATGTGGTTGTATGTGCGTTACTAAGTATATCCTAAAGTCTACTGAGTATTTGGAATTTATAGATACAGTCAGCCTTCAGAAATATCATCTAATTTATTCACATATCCACTTTGTGAGGCAGGAAAGGGTAGGCTTATGTGAGTATCCTCATTTTCCTTACTGAAGTGGGAAATTCATCCTGGAGGAAGGATCTACATGAGAGAGACATTCATTGCCTCCAAGTGAGTATCTTTGAGTCGTAGAAGAGTTATTTGCCTTGAGGGGCCTTATATTGACTGAGAAAGGGGGGTGGGGGGATGAGGCATGCTGACTTGAAGCAAGACAAAGACAAAAAGCTCATTTACTTTCGTGATCTTCAGGCCTGTTTTGCTGCCGAGAGAGTACATCAGAATACTGTTTGGAAGCCCCCTTAATAAATGCAAACTGGATCAGAATTTCAGAATGACATTTGCACACATCAGTTGCCAACATAATATTCACTTATTGCATGATTATTTAATTGGTGACTCCTATGTACAAGGCAGAAGCTTTAAGCCGGGGCAGCAGTGGGAAACTTAATGTCCACAGTCCCTGCCTCCTGGAGCTTACACACTGGTGTTCCAGGGCAAAACAAAAACTAGTATATATATGCAGCTTAATCTCTACACAAAGAGGTTCTTCTTTAACAACTGCCAGTTCGCCCCTGTAATCCCAGCAATTTGGGAAGCCAAGCCAGGAGGATCACTAAGGCCAGCAGTTTGAGACCAGCCTGGGCAACATAGTGAGACCCCTGCCTCTACAAAATACTTATATTTTTTAAATTAGCCAAGTATGTTGGCTCATGCCTGTTGTCCCGGCTACTCAGGAGATTGAGGTAGGAGGATTGCTTGAATCCAGGAGTTTGAGAGCAGCTTTGTCAACATAGTGAGACTCTAGCTCTACAAAAAATTTAAAAAATTAGCCAGGCATGGTGGTGCACACTTGTAGTCTCAGGTGGGAGGATCGCTTGAGCCCAGGAGGTTGAGGCTGCAGTGAACTGAGATCATGCCACTACACTCAAGCCTGGGTGACATAGTGAGATCCTGTCTCATAAAAGGACAGGAAAAAAAAAAAAAACCCTGCCCCTCTGTGGTCTGATCTAAGGCCAACCCATTCCCTTAACAATCTCAATTGGGAGATCCTGGGAGAAAAGAGGAGGTGGGGCCAGCAGGGCATGTGTTTATACCATGTGGCTAAATGCTGCCTCTCCCACGCTCTCTCCTCGAACTCTACTCTTCATTTTTCTACTGGCAAACAAGACCAAGGACATCTCAAGTAACTCCTTGAGTCCATTAGAGCAGGCCAGAAGAGCTCAGAATCCAGGATTCCACGAGCACATGATCATGGAGGGTGGGTGGGGATGCTATATCTGTGTTTCCTCTTTTGAGAAACTAAAGGAATTGTGATAAGAGGTGAAGAACTAGGACAGTGTCAATAGAGCAAGGGAGAAGGGTACAAAGAGAAGATAAAAATCACAGGAATTTTTGTGGGGGATAAGGAAGGAGAAGTATCTAGAAGGATTCCTTGCTTTCCATGCAACTATAAAATAATGGAACTGATTCATAAGGAAACAGGTTTTGAGTACGGAAAATGCTTGATTTATTCTGACTTTGTTTGCATTCACATGGAAATGTCTAGTGAATGTAGATATATGAGTCTGGAGCTTCTAAGAAAACTTGGGCTGGAGATTACAAATTGGAGATCTCATACTTCTTGCTTCTCCCTACCGAACTTCTGTGATACCAGCCATTTATGGTTTTTTTTCTATCTCACTGGCCACTGCTTTTCATTTTCTTTCATGAATGCATCTTCTAACACCTTCATTTACATATTCTTCAGGCACCAAAACCCTTCAAACCCCTCTATCCAAAAGTAAACCAAATCATCCTCCACACCACTCCCAGGCTACTGCTACTAGCCATCTACTGCTTCCGTGCTCCCTGTCTCAAGAATGACATAATTATCTGCTTAGCCAGCAGATCCAGAAAACTGGAAAGGGTCCTCATTCTTCCTTCTCTCTTGTCTCCAACTAGCTCTTTACTCTTGAGAGGCTACCACTCAGATTACCTTTCAGATATTTCCTCCTCTTTCTGGATCTTTTATAGCAATCTTAGTTCAAAGTCCTTACCTGGGTCACTGCATCAGTCTATTGCTTTCACTGTCTTCAGCGGTGATCTTTCTAAAATGCAAACAGAATCTTATCACACTGACATTGCCTTCTTAGGTAGGTCATTTCCATGTGGTGGTAAAGATGACCACCAGTAACACTAGACTTGCAAACTATGTCATCATCTTTGGAACCTCAGTGGAAAAACCAAGCCATTTAAAGCGTATTCCAGTAAAAAGTCCAGCGTATGACTCTTACTGACCCACTTGGGTCATGTGCCCATTCCTGAACCCATCACTGTGGCTGGGGGTCTGGAGCTCTGATTGGCCATCCTTGGGTCCAGTACCTTTCTTCAGGGAATGGAGCCAGCCCCATCCAAATCAAATGGATGGAGAGAGAGGAAGGGTTGACTACCTCTAAATAAAGAGCAATCTGGCTATAGAAGGAATAATGAATGAAGGGTGGGCCCAAATCACAGATGTTTCAAAAATCTTTTATTTCACTTTTAAGAAAACCATTTCCTACATGTCTACCCTAATAGAGTCACATATGGCTCCTAAATTAGGCTTCTCACTCAGACTCTGTGTCTCTGATTATACTACTTGTTCTGTCTGGAGTTCATTTGGGGGATAGGTGGGTGGGAGAGAGAGGATAGTTTCAGTTGAGGACATACTGAATTTGAGATGTCCAGGAGTGGCTGTGTGGTCAGTTAGATAGATACATACACACTGACTTGGAGGTCTGGGACAGAGATATATATTTCAGAGTCTTTGGTGAAGAGATAGTGGTTAAAGGCAGAAGAGAGAAGATTCTCACAGGAGATATATAAAAGGTAGGAAGAGAGAAGAATCTAGCAATGAGGTCCTCAGAGTTCATTGGACAGAGGAGAAGAGTCTATGATGGAAACTGAATAGAAGAAGCCAAAAGGGTAGAAGGGAAAGCAGGCAAGTGTGGCATCAGTGAGTGTAGGGAATACAATAGAAAGTTTCCAGAGAAAAGAGATCTCTGTGGTGGATACCATTAAGAAAACAAATCAAATAAATAGTAAAAAGCATCCCCTGGCTGAAGTGGCATATATATCTTCATTGAAGTTAATGAAAAAAATGTCAGTGGAGTATGAGAACCAGACTGGAAGCCTGAGGGGATAAATGGTAGTGAAGAAGTGTAGACAGCAAGTGTAGACATTCGATCATGAAGAGAAGAAGCAAAATAAGGTGATTATTAGAAGAGGATGTGAAGTCCAAAGAGGGCTTTTTACAATTTATTTTTTTAGGTTGGAAGTACATATCTTTGTTTTTACTTTTTTAAAACTTAATCTTTGCAAATTAGGGAGGCACAGCCTTCCGTGTGAAATTAAGGTGAGTTCCCAGGTTAGAAGAACATTTGAATGCTGATGGAAAGGATCCAGTGGGCAAGAGAGAGGATGCCTGGGAGAGAATGCATTCTAGGCTTCCTTGGAATGACTGATCTCTAATAGGAAAAGGACAAAAAAGGAAAGAGGAGGACACGGTGTGGATGAGGATGCTTTCTGGGTGTGTCTGTGGAGATCTGTGTGATGATTTCTGTTTTCTCCTGGAACTAGGAAGCAGAGTGAGCTGTTGAGAGTGCAGAGAAGGGGAGGGAGCTAAGGACGATGGAAGCCCAGGTGAAGTTGGTAGCTGGGAACTCAAAGTGAGTGGAAACTGCTGAAATCCTTTACTTTCTTCAGTGAGTCTCAGCTACGCAGATTCAAGCTTGAATAAAGCAGAAACAGCAGAGGACAGAGGAAAGGGCTGTTTGGGAGTAATTTCAAAAGAAAGACTGGAACGTGAGACTGTGTTGTGAAAGCTGGACAAGAAAGGTGGTGAAGTTAAAACCAAAAGGTCTCAAAATTAGGAGAAAATGGAGGGGATCGTGCTTTTGGTGAAGTCAAAGACCATGTAACACTGGTTGGGGCATGAGAAGTCTGTGGTGAGTAAGCTGAGTTTGAGCCGGGCACAGTGGCTCATGCCTGTAATCCCAGCACTTTGGGAGGCCGAGGCAGGCAGATCACAAGGTGAGAAGTTTGAGACCAGTCTGGCCAACATAGTGAAACTCCGTTTCTACTAAAAATACAAAAAATTAGCCAGATGTGGTGGTGTGCACCTGTAATCCCAGCTACTCAGGAGGCTGAGACAGAAGAATCGCATGAATGGGGGAGGCGGAGGTTGCAGTGAGCCAAGATCGTGCCATTGCACTCCAGCCTGGGCAACAGTGTGAGACTCCATCTCTAAATAAATAAATAAATAAATAAATAAATAAATAAATAAATCCCTGAGTTTGAAGGTAGAGCAGTTTGGAGTGTTGATAAGGTCCAGGGCATAGAGAGAGAAGGTCACTAGATATGAGGAGGTCAAGGACCTGAGAAGCCAGGAGGGTGGGTGGGAATCTGGGCACCTGTTCGTTATACCATAGGTGGATTCTATGCCAGAAGTTGAGGTCGATAGAACCTCATGGTGAACCAAGTACCAGTCTTCACTCAGTATATCTGTGTTGAGGGAGGGGGATCTGTGGATGCCAGTGGCAAGAAAGAAAAAGCGTACATGACATGAGTCTCCAAGAAGTACTTTACAGTGTCAAACAAACTTTAATGATAAAATTAAAGAAAGTAAATGAATTTTCAATGTGCTGCAGTTTTAATATAGGGTAATTAATGCTATAAAATAACAGACAATTTCTGATTAAAAACATTTTTTTAGAAAGAAGTGTTCTAGCCTGGAGTGCAGTGGCTATTCACAGGCTAAATCATAGCACTCTACAGCCTGGAACTCCTGGGCTCAAGCGACCCTTCTACTTCAGCCTCCCAACTAGCTGGGACTACAGGTGCACACCACCACACTTGGACAAGATATCTGAGTTTTTAAAAAGTATGTGAGTATGCATGATTATGAGAAAGTTCTGCTATCAAAAAGCATAGGAGTTTTGCCAGCCACAGTTGTTCACACCTGCAATCCCACCACTTTTTGAGGCTGAGGCAGGTGGATCACTTGAGCTCAGGAGTTCGAGACCAGCCTGGGCAACATTGTGAGACCCCATCTCTACTAAAACACAAAAAAATTAGCCAGACATGGTGGCATGCACCTGTAGTCCCAGCTACTCAGGAGGCTGAGGCAGGAGAATCTCTTGAACTCAGGAGGAGGAGGTTCCAGTGAGCCAAGATGGCGCCACTGTACTCCAGCCTGGGTGACAGAGGGTGACTCCGTCTCAAAAAACAAGCAAACAAAAAATAGGAGTTTTGTTTGTTGCATACTAATTGGAGTTGAGGCTTCGATTAGCAGATCTTGGGGACCATACAGAATAAGAGGCCATTAGCTAGCAGGGCTTCCTGGAATGATCTATGAAAAGGTAACAAGGCCATTTCCCCAGGCTCAGTTTCAACCGTGGGAGACAGAAGATGTCTCTAGCCATGATCCAAAGATGTCTGGTTTTAGGATAAAGGGAAAGAGAGGAGGAGGTATTATATTTGTAACAATTTATAACAGTAGTTGGTCTTAGAAGTCTTCATGCTGAAACAGGCAGGGAGAATGTATTATTATAGAAGCCTTCATATTGGCTGGGCATGATGGCTCATACCTGTAATCCCAGTGCTTCGGGAGGCCAAGGCCAGAGGATCATTTGAGGCCAGGAGTTCAAGACCAGCTTGAGCAACATAGTGAGACCCTGTCTCTCTCTCTTTTTTTTTTTTAAAAAAAGAAGAAGTTTTCATACTGAAACAGGTGGGACCCTCCAGAAAAATCAGACTTTCTTAGCCATCACAGCCTTTCGGTGCCCAGAAATTTGCTTTCATTTGGATGCTTTTGCCCATCTTCGAAAATTCTAAGATTGAGCAGGTGGCCTGGGTGGACAAGGCCAATGGAAGCATCTCTGCCTCTCCCAAAATGCTTCTAAGGCCATTTCTCTCCTTCCAATAAGCAATACTCGCTGCTTCCTGGCAGATCTTCATTACAGCTGGCCCCAGGGAATTCCAGAGGCAACCATGCTCGGGGAAGCAAAGGCTGAGCTCTCTGGGCATGAAACAACACTGAAAGCTTTTTGTCCTAGTACAGGCGTGAGTCCTGATGTTTTTATTGCACCTTCACAGTTCAGAATTCACTTTCTAAAACTCCTGCTTTGTTTCCTGAGGATGGACTTCAGATTCCCTTAAAAATCTAGTAGGTACACTGGAAAACCCAAAAGAAATTATAATGCAGCCCCTAAATTAATTCAATATATTGCTATGAGTCATTGGATATGAAGGATTAAGAAACGTTGACAGCTTTTCCATCTGATACCCTGAGATAAGGAGGCTCATGGTGCCTAATATCTTACATATTTTATGTAGAAATGTGATGTCTGGACAAATGCAATAATCTCTTCCTATTGTCTCATTCTCAGAGGTCTCATCCTGGACTGGGCATCTGTTGCCCTTGTGTGTTCAGTGCCCTCATTTTATCTGGAGACCTTTTCTTTCCTCATGCTATATGGTCCCTGTGGGGCTGTCAGCTACTCTTCCCTGTTCTCTTCTCCCCCATGCACAGGGGTGGGACAGTGACCCAGTCTACACCTTCCTTGTTTGGTAGAATAGTTTGGGAGGAAGCAGTTCTTCCCAGCACCCCCAGCTTTATTAAGGTGTAATTGACAAAAACTAGGTTTTGTTTATGTTTTTTTTTCAGGGAGGGGGTGTAGCTTGGGATGCAAGCAGTCTCCTTATTTACTACATGGAAAGAACCAGACTGCAGAATGAAGCCAAGCAGAAACACACAGAGCTGAGAGATAGAGCCCTGATGATATCAGCTGTACTTCTAGACTCAGCCATGCTTTTCCACTTGTATACAAATGGTAGCCCAGGATAAACATGGTTCTGCACTTTGCTTTTTAAAAATTATTATTTAACTTGATATACCCTCAAGATTACTCCACATCAGTGTAGAGGGAGCGTCCTCATGGAGTTACACAGCGCTTCACTGGCTGGCTATACCAATAATTGATTCAACTACTTCTTTATTGGTGGGCATTTAGGATTGTTTCCAGTCTTTTGATATTTCAAATGCACATGTCACTTCATATTTTGCCAGTGCAGATAGTCTTAGACGTGGGATTGCTGGATTAATGAGGAAATACCAGTGTAATTTGCTAGACACAGACAAATGTCTCCTCACAGGGGTTGCTTTGCATTCTCACCAGTGATATGTCTTGTTTCCCCCGTGAATTTGCCAACTAAGTATGTTGTCAAACCTTTGGCTTTTTTTAATCTCCTGTATTTTAATCCTGTTCTCTTAAGTTTTGCCCTTCTTGAAAAGGCAGAGAAGTGGCTCAGCTCCAGCCATAGTACCACCGTGATAAGATGGGAGCACTCCCCAGGAATATGTTCAAGAGACATCGGTGAACAGAATCTAGAGTCTATGGAGGAATAATCTCTGTTGGGATCAAATTTTGACATAGTCGGTGATACTGAAAGAATAGTTCATAGAACTAGAAGATTATTATTCCAAAAGGGGTAGGAGTGGAGGGCGGACAGTGAGCATGATGGGGGTTGCATTGGGGGATGAGCGCTGGAAAAATTGTAAGGAAAAACATAGGATGTTTGTTTGCCACTATTAGCTGAAGGAGTTGGTTTTGTTATCTCAACTGCAAACTCATAAATTGTGAAGGCGCTACTGATCATTAAAGAGAATTTCCACTATGTGAATCCCCTTTCTCTTTTCCAATATGCACCCCCACCCACCCCTGACACACACAGCAGAAAGCAAATTCAACATTGTTGGAGACATCTTTGGAATTGCTAGTTGAGTCATTTAATAACTTTTTCTGGGTCTTCCTGCTTTTAAACAAACCATAAATGTAGAGAAAATCATCTAGAAGCATGCTTTGAAATTTCATTAGTGGAGTACTAAAAGAGTTCTAAAATGAGAAGACACATTGGTCACTTTTTAAATTACGTAGAGATTTTTCAGACTACTAAAGACATTGTTATTTTAAAAATAAATAATCACTAAACTTGTCAACATTGTTTATTAAAGCCGATGTTTTAGAATGCCTACCCTAGAGTTGAAGGACATCATTTATTTTGCTTTTTGGAAAATAAAAATGCAAAGAAAGTAGAAAAAAACCCAAATCATTTCCCTTATCTTGCAAAAATTGAACTCAAATAATTGAGCATTTCTGTGGCATCTAGAAAAGTATAGACTAAAATTTGCCATCACACTTCTTGTAATTGGTTGAATAATGGCCTCCAAAGATATCCAGGTCTTCATCCTTGGAACCTGTGAATGTTATTATGTGGCAAAAGAGAGTTTGTATATGTAATTAAAGATCTTGAGGTGAGAGGGTATCCTAGATTATGTGGGTGGATTCCAAATATAATCACGTGTCCTTATTAGAGGGAGGCAGAAAGAGATTTGACTGTAGACAGAAGAAAGAAGGTGGTATCATGACCTCAGCAGAGAGAGGGCTCTGAAGATGGTACCAGCTTTAAGGTGCAGGGAGGGGCTGTTAGCCAGGGAATACAAGGAATCCAGCTCTAGAAGGCAAGGACACTGATTCTCCCCCTCAGAGAGGGCCTTGTACCTTGGCCTGGTGACATTAATTTTGACCTTCTGGGCTCCGGATGTGCAAAAGAAAAAAATTCTGCTCTTTTATGCCACCAAATGTGTGGTAATATGTTACAGGGGCCAGCCATATCAACCAATTAATGCTTTTCCCAATTTCTAGGAAACAGGAACTTGATGTTTGATTTTAAAGTTCAGTACATGTGTTAATGGGGATGAAGTAGAATGTAAAGGTATGATAAAAATAATAATAAGAAGAACAAAAAAAAACAAATTTTAGGCCAGGCACTGTGGCTAATACCTGTAATCCCAGCACTTTGGGAGGCCGAGGCGGGTGGATCACTTGATGTCAGGAGTTGGAGGCCAGCCTGGCCAACATGGTCAAAACCCATCTCTACTAAAAATACAACAATTAGCCAGGCATGGTGGTGCATGCCTGTAGTCTCAGCTACTTGGGAGGCTGAGGCGGGAGAATCGCTTGAATCCAGGAGGCAGAGGTTGCAGTGAGCCAAGATCATGCCACTGCACTCCAGCCGGGGTGACAGAGTGAGACTCTGTCTAAAAAAAAAACAATCAACCAACAAACAAAAAACAAATTTGGCTGTGCTTCTTTTAGGAAAAAAGACTTAATTGCATTAAATCTCAAATGCATCATTAGTAAAGAGCGGCAACTGAGTTTCCTCGGCTGGCATTGTGGTGGTCTAGCTATACTGAAGGGTCTCCCTGTTATAAGTCAACCTAATTTTTTAAATGTGTTGCTAGGCTTGCAGTTCATAAGGGAATTCATCCTTTAAGGTCCCATATATTAGTCAGCTTTGGCTGTGATAATGATGTACAGCAAAAATCTCAAAATCTCAATGTCTACAACAGTAAGCATTTATTTCTAATTTGCATTGCATGTTGGCAGCTGTTAAGCTGGATAACCCTGCTCCAGGCTCCAGGTCAGGTTCAGGTCTGTTTCATGGTTCTTCTCATTGATACTTAAGGAGCAAAGCTCATCTAGGATGTGATGTTCTCATGGTGGAGGGCAGGAGCACAAAAGAGGTCCCAGAATCTTGCAAACCTCTTATGATGTCTGTTTTGAAGTGGCCACACTGCCATTTCTGCTAAGATTTCATTGGCCAAAGTAGGTGCAATAACACTGGGACAGGGACATTTACTGGGGGTGAGGAAGTAAATATTTGCCAAATACTAATATGGTCTATCATACTCCTCTATTAGCTAAAACCAAACAATGATGCAGTAAGCAGCAAGTAAATGCTATTAATATATCAATATTGCAGTTGAAGGGAGACTAACCCTTTGGCTGGTGGCTGAACCTGAGACTTCTGCACTAAATTGAGACTCTCAAATGGGGCTAAAGTGGCCCTAGAGTGGTAGGGTCCCCTGCTTCTTAGTAGAAAGAAACACAAATCCATTTTGGATTCCCATAGACTAAGACTAACCAAATAAAATCGCAACCAAATGAATTTCCAATCAACACACATGGAATGAAGTTACTATGAGTAAGAGTCAGCGGAAACAATGGAAGACACACCCCAAGCTTTAGATATGAGAATTAACAAAATAGAAAATAATTAGTTATGAAATGTTTAATGAAATAAAATTTGGAGACATAAAATAAGAAACTCAAGAATTGAGAGGCTGATTTGAAAAAGAATTAAATAAAACTTTTATTTATTTATAATTCATTAATTAAATTTTTTGAGACACTCAGGCTAGAGGGTAGTGGTGTGATCACAGCTCAGACAACCTCAAACTCCCGGGCTCAAATGATCCTCCTGCCTCAGCCTTCTGAGTAGCTGGGACTATAGGCATGCACCACCACACCTGGCTAAAAACCTTTAGATACAATTACTGAGTCTAATTGTTGTATTAAAAAAACTCAACTGATGGGCCAAACAGAAGATTAGACTAAACTAAATATTGATTTAGCAAAGTAGACTAGAGGTTTGAAGAAATCACCCAGAGTGTAGCAGACAGGGAAACAGAATACGAAAAAGGTTAAGAGATACAGAGAATAGAATGAGAATGTCTAACATATAATTAATTGGAGCCCTAGAAGAACAGAATATAGACAATGGAGAAAACAGAATATATGAATAGATTAGTAGCTGAGCATTTTCCAGAAATAAGATTTAAATGGGAGATAGAAAAAACGCAAAGTACATTAGGCAGGATGGAGAAAAGGAAAGCCACATGTAGACAAATTACAGAAAGTTTAGAACACTGAAAACAAAAAGCAGCTAAAGATAAGGCAAATGACTTAAAAGGGACAATAATTAGACTAAGAGCTTACTGTTCATCATCATCAATGGAAGCCAGAAATCAGAGAGATAACATCTTCAGAGTGCTGAGAATGAAACAACATTATACCTGGGATAAGACTACCCTTTTATTTTTTTCTGAAGGGTTGTTCTGTCCCCAAGAACCCTCCCAAAATAAACTGATTATAAACCTGAGACTTCAGAGTAATAGGGATTGGGTAAAACCAATCAAGGACACTAATCACATTAAGAACATCTATTTACATCCAGCCATGTTCCACAACAGCTTTGAGTCTATTTCTAGTATATAATTTCACCCTCTCTCATGGATGTGGATAGACATTTTTGGATAAACAAAAACTGCAAGTTTATTACCCATGGACCTTTACTAAAGGAATTTAAAAGGATGTTCCTAGGAAGAAGGAAAATGATCCCAAAGGAACATCTAAGAAGCAACAAGGAATCCTTAGAAAAGAAACTGCAAAACATATTGGTAATGCTAGAAGAACTTGTATAATATAATAATAATATCTAATTTGGTGGTTTCAAAAAAAAGACAGGAGCCAGGCATGGTGGCTCACACCTGTAATCCCAAAATTTTGGGAGGCTGAGGCAGGAGGATCGCTTGAAGCCAGGAGTTTGAGACCAGCCTGGACAACATAGCAAGACCTTGTCTCTAAAAAATTTTTCTTAAAAATAAAGAAAAAACTAAAAAAAAAAAAAAAAAAAAGCCAGAGCAAGACTGGTCCTTGATCAAAATAGTTTTTTAAGCTTCATGTTCAGATAGGGGATTAAGATACGAACTTTTGGTTTGTTACATTAGGCATTGTTAAAAAAAAAATTTCAGGCATATTAAATTTAACAGATTTTAATTGAGCAAAGAACAGTTTGAGAATCCAGCAACATTGCGCTTCCCTGGAATGAGAATAGGTTCAGAGACCCTGATGCTGCTGTGTGGCCAAAGACGGTTTATGGACAGAAAATGGGAAGTGACTTACAGAAAACAGAAGTTAGGTACAGAAATAGCTGAATTGGTTACTGCTCAGTGTTTGCCTTATTTGAACACAATTTGAAGAGTTGGCCTCTTTGATTGGCCGAAAGTCAGTGATTGATACAAGAGTAAGTTACAGTCTGTTTACACATCTAGTTAGGTTATAGCTCATTATGTATGAAGAAACCTTTAGGCTGTTAAACTTAATTTAACAGCATGCATGTAAAATGTCAAGCGTAACCGGTAAAAGAACAGAAATGCAGTGATTAACATCCCAACCCATCCCAAGTGAGGAAATAAATGCAGTAAGAAAACAAAGAACACTATCATTACTCAATCAGACGACTAATTAAAAGGCATGAAAAAGTACGTAGTAAAAATGTGAAAACAAAGCCAGGTATTTTAGAAATGATGATTTTTAAAAGGTAAATCGCTATCAGTAATAAACTAATAAACTATATTTTATTAATTTTAGAGCTCTAGAATAAATAGCACATAGTTATTCAAAAATGTATTTCTTTAAAAGCTTAGCTATTGATATGATTTGGATGTTTGTTCCCTCCAAATCTCTTGTTGAAATGTGATTTGCAATGTTGGAAGTGGGGCCTGGTGGAAGGTGACTGGATCATGACGGCGGGTCCCTCATGAACGGCTTAGCACCATCACCTTGGTGATAAGTGAGTTCTAGCTCAGTTAGTTCATGTGAGATCTGGTTGTTTAAAAGTGTGTGGCACCTCCCAACCCACTCTTGCTCTTGCTCTCACCATGTGACGTGATGGCTGCCCATCGCCTTCCACCAATGATTGTGAGCTTCCTGAGGCCTCCCCAGAAGCAAATGCCAGCACCATGCTTCCTGTACAGCCCACAGAACCGTGAGCCCATTAAACCTCTTTTCTTTATAAATTACCCAGCCTCAGGTGTTTCTTTTCTTTCTTTCCTTTCTTTCTTCCTTTCTTTCTCTTTCTTTCTTTTTTCAGGGTCTGGCTCTTTTGCCCAGACTGGAGTGCAGTGGTGTGATCTCGGCACACCTCAGCCTCAACCTCCCAGGCTCAAGGGACCCTCCTGCCTCAGCTCCTTGAGTAGCTGAGACTACAGGCGCAAGCCACCAGGCCCAGCGAATTCTTGTATTTTTTGTTTTTAGAGATGAGGTCTCACTTTGTTGCCCAGCTGGTCTCGAACTCCTGGACTCAAGGGATCTGTCCACTTCAGCCTCCCAAAGTGTTGGGATTACAGGTGTGAGCCACTGTGCTTGGCCTCAGGCATTTCTTCATTAATAGCATTGCAAGAATGGCCTAATGTAGCTATTTTTATACAAAAAGATGAGCTATTTACAAGTCATTCTTTGCTACCCACCTCTATATTTGTCAAAAATTTGAAGCATAATATAGATTTCTTATATGATCATAAACGGCTTAAATTTGTTACATTTCTGTGTGTCAAGGAATGGTGCTGAGTTCCAAGATGATACCAGTTTTTACAGGTTTGTGGCCATCTTCGAAATGTCTGCTTAATAGGCCTTCTTTTTAAAGAAGACAAATCATCACTGAAAATTGAAGAGAAAAATCGAGTGTTATTTATATGAAACTTAAACATGTGACATTATGTATTCTTCTTCTTTGGGTACTTCCCAGATGTGATTATGATCTACATAGTTTTGCTAAGACAACTCAATAATTTGTAAAGAGGCTTAGCATTAAAATGTTCCCTATTTGTGATTACCCATTGTACTTTAAAATTGTTCCTGCTAATTTTTCATTTCTGATGATCCAAGTGAAGAGTATTTGCCAAACACCCACAGTATCAAATCTAAGATGCTAAAGGCAGCCTGCAAAGGGAACAAAGGGAAACGAATTCTAGAGGAGACTCTACAAGTTAAGGTTCTATGTAATTGTTGGGTAGATGCAAAACGGACTGGAGGAAACATTGCTTTTGATACACCTGCTGAATAGTTCCCTTTAAGGGTTGTCCTCCCTCACCCCCAAAGAAATTGGATTACTAGGTTGGGCTAGGTGGCTCATGTCTGTAATCCCAGCACTTTGGGAGGCCGAGGCAGGTGGATCACGAGGTCAGGAGATCGAGACCATCCTGACTAACAAGGTGAAACCCCGTCTCTACTAAAAATACAAAAAATTAGCCGGGCGTGGTGGCGGGCGCCTGTAGTCCCAGCTGCTTGGGAGGCTGAGGCAGGAGAATGCCGTGAACCCAGGAGGCGGAGCTTGCAGTGAGCCGAGATCACGCCACTGCACTCCAGCCTGGGCAGCAGAGCGAGACTCCATCTCAAAAAAAAAAAAAAAAAAAAAGAAAGAAAGAAAAGAAATTGGATTACTAATCTGAGACTTCAGAGTAGATGATGGGTAAACTGATTGATGATGCTAGTCTTCTAAGTATGTTTGTTTATATTCTACCTCACTCCACAAAAGATTTGAGTGTGTTTATAACATGCAATTTCCTCTAAGTTGAAAAAAAACGAATGAAAAAACAGAGTGGTGGAAAATATATAAAGAAAAGGCATATAGGCTGGGCTCAGTAGCTCATGCCTGTAATCCTAACACTTTGGGAGGCCAAGGTGGGAGGATCACTTGAAGCCTAGAATTCGAGACCAGCCTGGGCAAGGGAGACCCCATCTCTACAAAAAACAAAAAACCTTAGCCGGTACAATGGTGTGCTCCTGTAGTCCCAGCTACTTGGGAGGCTGAGGTGGGAGGATCACTTGAGTCCTGGAGTTTGAGGGTACAGTGTGCTGTGATCATGCCACTGTTCTCCAGTCTGGACAACAGAGCAAGAACTTGTCTCTCGGGGAAAAGGAAAAGAAAAAGAAAAAAAAAAAGAATAGTAATATAAATCTAGGCCAGATGTCTCTAAACTTGGCAGTGGTGCATTAGGATCACCTGGGGAACTTTTAAAGCTCCTGATGCCCATGTGGCACCCTGTACTAATTAAATCATAACGCCTGGGAGTGGGAGGCAGAGAGGAGCAGTAGTAAAAATTCCCAAATGTTTCTATGTATAGCAAAATTTGGAAACTAAGCTGATGTTCTCAGCCTTAAATGCACATTAGCATCACCTGGGAGGCTGTTGAAACTACTGATGTCAGAATCCATTAAATCATAGCCTCTGATGCTGGTTACCGGGCACTTAGTCTATTTGAAAGCTCCCCAGGTGATTGCAATGTACATGCTGAGTAGAGAACCACAGCACTGGGGGAAAGTTGGTATATAGTTACAAAAGGGATTTTTTTTAATGGGTTCTTTTATGGCTTAAGACCATGAAACTGGTTCTGAGCTTCCTGGTGGCCAAAGTAGATAGAAAAACACAGTCGGTTTTAATAATTTTGGTCATCTGCCATGCAAAAGCTTACCAGTTTCTTGAAAGCAAAAGAGCTTTTCTTCATAGATCTGAAATAAATGTCTAGTTTATTAGTCTTCTCACAGAGGATGTTGATGTCATGGATCACGATTTTATAAACACCCCACAATAAGTGACATATGGCAAGTTTCATATTATAGTTCCTAATAACCATCCCTCAGGGAAAGACAAGGACATGACCCTGAGTGCAGGGCTATAGGCTGTTGCGGTGGGTGTGTGGGAGTAGATGATAAAAGACAGGAAGAGAAACTGCCACACCCCTCTACAGTTTCCAGATAACATAGCCTTACCCAAAGGCGAAGCCTGGAATTGTGTACCTCCAGGATGTGGAAGGCGTGTCCTGTGTAATTAGAAATTATAATTTTCTATCAGCACATTTTAAGAATTATTTATTTATGTATTTATTTATTTAGAGACACAGGGTCTTTCTCTGTCATCCAGGCTGGAGTGCAATGGCACGATCATAGCTCACTGTAACCTTGAACTTCTGGGCTCAAGTGAACCTCTAGTCTTAGCCTCCTGAGTAGCTAGGACTATGGGCCCATGCCACCACACCTGGCAAATTTTTAATTTTTTTTTTTTTTTGTAGGGACAGGGGTCTCTCTATATTGCCCAGGCTGGTCTCGAACTCCTGGCCTCAAATGATCCTCCTGCCTCTGCCTCCCAAAATGCTAGCATTATTATTCAATTACTTTTCTTCCTTTATAATATAAACTGTACAAATTTTACAAAGGTTTGGCTAGTGAGGGTAGGTAGAGAAGCACTGACTCCCATCCATGAGGGTCACAGGCTAGGGCAAGGGCATCTGAGAATGCGTGTGTGTGTGTGTGTGTGTGTGTGAGAGAGAGAGAGAGAAAGACAGAGTGTGCACGTGTACCTTTTGTTTATCAAAAGACTTTAGGGTTGTTTTTTTTTGTTTTTGTTTTTTTTGAGACGGAGTCTCGCTCTGTGGTCCAGGCTGGAGTGCAGTGGCGCAGTCTCGGCTCACTGCAACCTCCGCCTCCCAGGTTCAAGGGATCCTCATGCCTCAGCCTCCCCGAGTAGCTGGGATTACAGGCGCCCGCCACCACGCCTGGGTAATTTTTGTATTTTTAGTAGAGATGGAGTTTCACCACATTGGCCAGCTGGTCTTGAACTACCGATCTTATGATCCGCCCGCCTCAGCCTCCCAAAGTGCTGGGATTACAGGTTTGAGCCACCGTGCCCGGTCTAAAGACTCGAGGTTTGAAAGGGTTGAAAAACCTCAGTATTGAAAGAATGGACAGAAATCTGACTTTTAAATAGTCCTCCATAAATAGTTCTCATTGGGGGTTTTGTGGCCTGTAAGTACTGTGGACTTGACGGCTCAAGACTTCTAGAGAAGGCTTCTGAGTAGGATGTTGACTCCATGGGGCTAAGTCGTCAAAGGAAACCCATTCTACGGCACAGGTTTTAAGCCAGTCATGCTGCAGGAAGGCAAAGGAGAGCTTAAGGTAGCATGGGTGGGCTCTTTTGAAAACGAACTAGCAGGGCGAACAGCAGATATTTAGTTATGTAGCTGGCAACGAGGAATATGATTCCTTCGGGTCACGCGAGTTCTCTCTGAACTTCCTTGAATGAAAATCCTAAATGCATCCTGGTAATACCCAAGTAGGCACTTTGACGTTTCCTTTTCAAAGGCAAATGGAATGTTCTGCGTCTGTTTTCTTTTTGAACTCCCAACTGCACTTAACATCTAAATTTAAGGAAAGGCTTCCGAAAAAGTCGACTGACGAATTTCTTTCACTTATTTAAAGTAGTCTCTTGCAGTCCTATAAATCGGAAGGATTAAATGAACTGCTTGCTAGAGAAACGGTAGCTGGGTGGTGGGAAGAATCCTACGGTGGCTAATAAGACGTCTCGATCATTTGCATATGCAAAGGATAACCTTAAGCTTGAGTTTGATATTTCACGTTGCGGCTCACAAATGAACTGCTTTTTATTCAAAGAACCATGCTGTCTGTTTTCGCGTGGGTGGGTGTGTAACCGGGGCGGGCGCTATGTTGGTTTTGTTCCCTGCAAGGTTGACACAGGCAATGGCGACTTGCGGCCACACTGGGGCAGCCTCTCCTCGGCTGGCAGCCGGGCCGGGCGGCTCGCTCCCGGGAGCTGACAATGTAGCCAAGTCCTGCTCGTCGGGGCCGCAAAGAATTTAAAGGGGTCTAGAAACATCCATCTTTTCCCCTTTTCACAGTTAACAGCGAGCTCAGGGCTCTCGGTAAAAAGACCACCGGGAGGAAGAAACGCTCAGGGCGTTTTTGTTATTGTTCGCAAAATCCTCTATCGCCCCCAAACGTCCAGCCCGCCCCCTCCCTAAAGCGGAGGGAAACCGGGAGAGGAGGGAGGGTCGGCGGCGCCGGCCAAGCGCGCCAGTACACGCCCCTGCGGATCCGCCCCGCGGCCGGGTGACCCCCGCCGCGCCGCGCTGGAGGCCCCGGGCCGGGGTGGGCGTGGGGCTGAACTCCGCCACCCCCGCAGCCCGCGGCCCGCTCGCCAGCCCGGCCTGTGATTGGCTTGGGGGGCGCGTGTGCCCGCCCCGGCGAACGGGGAGGGTACCCTCGCGGCGCCGGTGGGAGGAGGCGGAGGAGGGGGCGGAGAGAGCGGGGGCCCGGACGGCGCTAGCGAGGAGGCGGGCGAGCCGGGTCCCCGGGAGCGCAGAGGAGGCTCGGAGGGGGGCGGAGAGCGGCGGGGCGGGAGGGAGGCGCGGGTCGCGGGGAGGGAAAGCCCGGCCGGGTCTGCGCCGCCGCCGCGCGCAGTGAGAGGCGCCGGGGCTGCCGCCCGGTGCTCGGCGCGCTCTCGGGAGCCGCCCGCCCGCTGGTCCCGCAGCCTTCCGGGAGGAAGCGGTGCCGGCAGCGTCCAGGGCGCGCTCTCGGGCACCCTCACCTGCCGGCGCCCGGCCGCTTACCCGGCAGGGCGTGCGCAGGGTAGGGTGCGGGACCGGGGGGACCTGGAGGCAGAGGGGAGAACCGGCCGTCCGCGCCGCAGCACAGCCGCTGGGAGCGCCTCAGACCCCGCGCGGGGCGCCGGCTCCATGGCGACCGGGCTCGGGGAGCCGGTCTATGGACTTTCCGAAGACGAGGTGAGTGGCACCCCCTTCCTGCTCGGGACTCCCCGGGGAGTTCCTATCCCGCGCCGGCAGGGGGAGGGGAAAGGGGCCGTCCCCGGGGTGCTCGTGCCCAGCGTCTGCAGGGGAGCCCCAAAGCGGGAGCGCCCCGGAGCGGGATCCAGGGGAGCTTGGGTCCTTCCGCACCCCCCACCCTCCGCAAGCCGAGCTCATTGTTTGTAAATAAAGCGGCGCGACGCCCTTGGAGCTGGGGGTTCACTCCGCAGCTCCTCGCTTTCGGGAGGAGAGGGAGGGGGCATGCGTGCCTCTCTTCCCTCTTCCTCTCCAAGCAGCGTCTCCCGGGGCTGTTGGGCAACTTTCCGCCTCTCGCCCCTGCAGCCCGGGAGTCCATGATGCATGTCACGTCTGGGTCGCGCGGCTGGAGACCCGGGACTGCGGAGAAGCCGGATCGTTTCCCCCTGGAACTTTCTCTCTCATGATTGTGTGGATCAGCAGGCGCTCAGAAGCCTGTGCGTGCTTATCCCGGCGGGAATGGGGGACACGCTGCGTGTGTCCCTCCCCTCGTTTTGCAAAGTCTACGGCCAGGATTGTGGATTTCGGAGCCTCGGTGGGGGAGGTGTTCAAGGCTGGTGGCAGGTGCTCCTGGAAACTTGGGGAGGAAGCTTGCAGCCCTGCCATTTTTTCCTCCCGAGGATTCAAAGCCCGGCACCTCCAGGGTGGGTGGGGAGAGGAAAGCTTAATTGATCTCTTTTATTAATAAAGCGACTGAATAAGCCACGCCTCCCAGGCGGTCGGTTTCACTGGAAAGGGCTTTGTTTTTACCTTCATTCTCTCTTCCGTGTCTCCCACTCCCCCCTTTTGAAACAATCCTGCTAAATCACTGCCTAGTCCTCTCTCGACCAGCCACGCTCGGCTCTTATTGGTATGTTGCTCTGCCAAAAAGGGGGGTGGGACGCTTGTCGCGGGCGCGGCGTGACAGGCAGGCTGGATGGAGCAGGTAGGAGTGGTTTGCCATCTGGCGGGGTGCGCGCTCAGGTCTGGCTCCCCTTTCGAGAGGTGAATTTTACAACCCAAGAAGCATTACTCAGCAGGGAGGTATTTCCTATCCTGGTTGTGCATTTCATGAAAAGTTGATGCCTGGAAATTCAGGCGTTCTCGATTTCTCTTTCTTCCCCTCCCTCCTTTCTTTTCAGAGGTTCCCTCTTTCTCTCGTGTTGGGGGTGGGGTTGGAAGAAAGGCTATTATCTGAGACAGGCTCGCGTTATGGCTCCGCTTTCTGCGGCTCTCCTACCCTGGCATGGTGTGTGTGTGTGCCTGTGTGCTACGTAAGTGTGGAATGAAAGGTATTTTGGGGTGGGAAGGGTGTTTAGGGTATGAATTTTTTTCTTAGCGGTGCTAGGCAAAGCTTGATGTATTTATTTGATCAAAGAATGATCACAGTGCAAATAATGTGTGATTTGTGTGTTTATTTTGCCTCGCTGTGCTTTTGTAAAATAATTTCCCGTTTTGTGTAACTACCTGGGGATAGGTGACAGTAGCATTGTTTCATTGACCCGGGGGGCTTCTCCTCTCCCTCCTGGCTTCTCTCTTTGAGGAGCTTTCCCTTGCATCCTCTACTTCTCCATTTAATTAGTGGCAGTAGAGGGCAGGCCCTGAGTTGCAGAGACGCAGACATTCCTAAACAAAGGGGCTGCTTGGGTTGACGTATTGTGGGGGGTGGGGGTGAGGACAGCTGCATTTCATCCTAGGTTCTTTTAAAAAATGTTTTAATAACATGATTATTTGTAAAAACTCCCCCGAAAAAACGATTTTAAGAGTGTTTTGGGAAGTGCAGCTGGATAAATGAAACACGTTAATGTCACTGTTGTTTGTGCTTTATTTACATTGGCAGTGAGTGTCAGAATCTACCTAGAGCACATCTTGCCACTTTTGTCCACAGGAGTCACTACTAATCATCATAACTGATGTCTAGTGTGAAAGTGAAGCTTGGAATGTAAACAGAGTCCGAGTGTGTGTTGGCATGTGACTGGATTCACTCCTGCATGTTGCTAGAAGGGAATTTGGGGCTGTATAGGAAATAGCAAGAGGTGATGAAGACACCTTTTATTATCTATTTATTGCCATGTCGCTGGTAGTATTTAGTTCCACACACATTGTATTTCACAAGATGAGTCTCAGCCGTCTTCCTTTTTCAACTTTCTCCTACCAGTGAAAAAATAAGCCAGGGCAGTTCTGATGACTTCACATTTCATTGGTATTTGTTTTTCATGGGCAGTTTCATGCTGTCACGTTGCCCTTCAGAGAATCAGGGAATGCCTTCGTAGAATATTAACGACAAATTGTTGAATTTGCACAGCTTGTTTTGTCTCCCTGAATTAGTATGTGTAAGAAAAACCAATGGAAGATTTTAGCAGGCTCTGAAAGTAGAATGCCCGCTGAAGCAAACGGCAGGGTTGTTCTTCCAAGGCGTATTAAATATGGGTACACTTAGTTTGCAGACTTGGTGTGCTGCAGAATATCACATATGAAGATATTTTGACCGCTATTTAGAAGAGTGACCTCATAAATCTTTTAGCAAAGTAGACACACATACCTACCACATTTCTTAAAAGTAGATTCGTATTTTGATTTGAGATTGTTGAAAAGCATGGTATGTTTGGAGTGCACTTAGTTATGTCCCATCTCATAAAGACTGTTGAGCTCTCTGCACTGCTGATGATGAAGCATTGCATGAACCCAGAAAACGGGGATGCCAAAGCACAGGGCTTAGGTGCTGTTCCTTGCGTCATCAGCAGAGGTCTGTCCACTTTGTAGAAGGTAAGGGGTTGAGATGTGGGCTTTGCTTGTGTGAATGTATGTGCTGTTTAATTTTTTCTGTGTGTTTCGGGCGGAGGTTTCTCTGGTGAGTTATAATTCATATTTACCCTGATTTAAGTCATGTCACTTTAGGTAGCCAGATTCAAAACCATCAGATGAAGGACTTTTGGTGTTAGAGGGATTAGCAGTTTAACAAAACTTCTGATTCATGGCCCAAGATCAGATTTGGTTTGGAATCAGAACACTTTGGACTAGTTTCTGCATCTGGCTTGAGTCCTTGTGGATTTCTTGTTTTATTTCTTTATTTTTGGCAATCTGTAGTGCATTTTGGCATAGTTTACTTATGAATGTTACCGCTAACTTTCTGAAATCTTTTATTCCATTTTAGAAAGGTATCATTTATTGAAAAGATTTTTCTACTGAACAAAATACTGGGATTGAATGGCAGCTTCTTATCACATTAGATATGACATTAAGTAATTTCGTTAGTAGTTAAAATGAAGCAAATGGCATAGAAATGAAGGCCAGGCTGACATAGGATAAATGGCACCTTCTCTCCTTATCCTGTACAAACACGGATAGTTGGCTACTTTTGAATGCCTCTTCTATACCAATGGTAAAAATCCGGCTTAATTGGGGCCACATTCTAGCCTAGTCACAATCAGTGGCTTGCATTATGTCCTTTGAGATGTGGCAGATCTGCTTATAGGTGCCAGTCACCACGGCTCCCTGCTGGCTTGGGGGTCTTTCTACTCATTTACATATAATTATCTACTTCTTAATCAACCATTAAGGTTAACTTTTGGCATGGATCCTGTATGCTTTTCAGTTTAAGATGCTGTCACTTTTAAGATGCGCCATGAGAGCAAAGTGCTAAGCCTTGTGCACATACTATGTCATTTAGTTCTCATGAGAACTGTGTGAGGTAGGCTGTGATTTACAGATGAGGAATGAAAGCTCAAAGAGGTTACGTGACCTGCATAAGGACACAAAACAAGTTAAGTTATGGAGCCAGCTATTTTGAATAGAAAGGCCTAGTTTTTAACATGCTGAATATCCTCCCCTTCTGACAAATGCCTTGAAAGGTCTTACTATCTAGATTATTTAAGATAATGTAAGAGAAATAAACACCACTGGTTGCAAACTGATGGCTGCTGGGCCCGATTTGACCAGGAACCCTGCTTAATGTGGTCTCTAGAGTGTTTTAAAGCTTGGAAATTTCATGAAAATGGTAAAAATCTGGCTTAATTGGGGCCACATTCTAACCTAGTTACAGTCAGTGGCTGGCATTATGTCCTTTGAGATGTGGCAGCTAGTTGTGCTATGGTTGCAGTCACCACTACTTTCTGTTGTCTTAGGGGTCTTTCTACTTGTTTACATATAATTATCCACTTCATAACAAACCTTTAAGGCTAACCTTTGGCGTGGATGCCATATTTCTTTCACTTTAGTGTGCTGTCACTTTTAAGATATGCCATTATTTCATGTACCACGAAGAAAAAATTGCTGTCAAGTTATGACATACTGTCCATCTTATGAAGCATCCTTATTTCAGAGAAGTTGAAATATGAGAAAAAGGATATTTTAGAATTGATGAATTACAGTGACTAGAAACCTGGGAAAACTCCATGCCATCAGTTTCAATATCCCCAATCATTCAGTACTTTTAAGTCAACGAGTAGTCAGATTTCTGCTTTTCTGTGTTTGAGGAAAGTGCTAGAAAAAGAGAAGTGCTCTTAAATAGGCATTAGCACAGAAGGAACTGGGGGCCTAGATCATAGCCAACTGGATGGCCGTCTGTAAGTGATTAAGAATAGTTGTTAGTTTTTAAAAAGTGGCCTGTGTGTATTTTCAAGAGATTACTTGGGAAACCCTATGTGCCATCTTTGCAGCTGTGCAAAACGGTGAGGACAAGATTGCTTTCAAAAATTGTGGTTTAGATTTTGCTTGGATCTCAAGGTGAATGCTGACAGGCCGTTTTCTGAAGAGAGAGAAGGCTTGCCCAGTCATGCCAAGTCCAAGTGCCTGTGTCGGGCCTAGATGCTGGATGGTAGACTGTATACCCAGGACATATAGGTAATGTTTGAGAAACAAATGTTAAAAGGACCTAGTTTTCATGGTGACATTTAAAATCAGTTTTTAAAATTCATGAATATAACATGTTGTTTTAAAATTTGATTATAGGGACCGGGTGCAGTGATCACTCCTGTAATCCTAGCATTTTGGGAGGCCGAGGCAGGAGAATCACTTGAGTTCAGGAGTTTGAGGCCAGGCTGGGCAACGTGGTGAAACCCCGTCTCTACAAAAAATAGAAAAGTTAGCCAAACATGGCGGCACGTGCCTGTAGTCCCAGCTACTTGGGAGGCTGAGGTGGAAGGATCACTTAAACCTGGAGGCAGAGGTTGCAGTGAGCCAAGATCATGCCACTGCACTCTAGCCTGGGCGACAGAGTGAGACCCTGTCTCCAAAAAAAAAAAAAAAAAAAAAAAGACTAATGAATAGAATTTATTTTCTTCAATGATGTAGTGTCTGTGGAATTTGTAGACATTGACATTTGAATTTTCATTATATTTAGTTTTATTAAATCAGAATGTTATGATTGTTTATTTCATTATTGAACATCAGTTTCCTTAATTTAAGGAATAAAAATAATTTTGCTCAGGCCAGACATAGTGGCTCACATCTGTAATCCCAGCACGTTGGAGGCCAAGGCTGGTGGATCACTTGAGGTCAGGAGTTTGAGACCAGCCCAGCCAACATGGTGAAACCCTGTCTCTACAAAATAAATAAATAAATAAATGAAAAAAAAATCAGCTGGGTGTGGTGGTGGACACCTGTAATCCCAGCTACTCTGGAGGCTGAGGCAGGAGAATAGCTTGAACCCTGAAGGCAGAGATTGCAGTGAGCCGAGATCGCACCACTGCACTCCAGACTGGGTGACAGAGTGAGACTCTGTCACAATAATAACAGGCTGGGGCAGTGGCTCATGCCCGTAATCCCAGCACTTTGGGAGGCCGAGGCTGGAGGATCACCTGAGGTCAGGAGTTTGAGACCAGCCTGGCCAACATGGTGAAACTCCGTCTTTACTAAAAATACAAAAATTAGCTGGGCTTGGTGGCAGGCAACTGTAATCCCAGTTACTCGGGAGGCTGAGGCAGGAGAATTGCTTGAACCTGGGAGGCAGAGGTTGCAGTGAGACAAGTTCGGGCCATTGTGCTCCAGCCTGGGCAACAAGAGCAAAACTAAAAATAAAAAATAAAAAAAGAATAGTAATAGTTTTGCTTAAAGGGTGAGGACAGTGACAAATGGTGATCCTCAGATGACTGTAGTTTCTTTACCATTACAGAATGCAATTCAAATGAAAACCATTGCATGGTACTCAGGCATTTCTTCAATGCAGTGTGTGCCCACATCACCAGGAAGCTTACTTGGGAAAGTTTGTTTTGGGATTCTGGAGTACCTCAATATATCTGGTATATTTTCCCAAGAAAAGTGAATAATCTTGGGGGGCCGAGGTGGACAGATTGCTTGAGCCCAGGAGTTTGACACCAGCCTGGGCAATGTGGTGAAACCCCACCTCTACAAAAAATACAAAAACTTAGTTGCGTGTTGTGGCACGCACCTGTGGTCCTGGCTGCTGGGGAGGCTGAGGTGGGAGGATGGCTTGAGCCTGGGAGGTTGAGGCTGCAGTGAGCCATGATCATGCCACTGCACTCCAGCCTGGGTGACAGAGCAAGACACTGTCTCAGAAAACAAAGGCAAACAAACAAAGATCACCCCAAAGAAGAACTCCCAACATATTAAAAGTCATTGAGTTTTGTACCCTTCAAATGGATGAATTGTGTTGTGTATGAATTACATCTGAATAAAACTGTTTAAAAATATTAAGAATGATTGAGTGTGACATTATTGCAGCAGTACATTGGAGTTTCTGCTAAATTACTTTTGCATTCATTTCAAAAGGAAGCAACTATGCCCATTGCTAATTTAATAACCTGTTTGCTTGTGCGGTGTTTAAAATGGCATCATGAAAACATGGCAATGTGTGATAGATTAAGAGCCAATTAAATTTTTTATTTTGAGTTACAAGATCTGCATTAAACAGATTTTATTGTTGCCCTTGAATTTCCAGTCTTAGATGAGTAGCAGCAGTGAAAAAAAGAGATCCTAACTTAAGAGTTTTCAAGCTTTTTGATGTTGCAGGTATTTGAATAAGTGGGTCTGTCTTACTGAAATATTTGTTAATTAGCGATAAAGCAAACTATATGTTGATCTTTTGGTAGTCCATGCTAAGGAGGATTAGAATAATATATAAATAATATAATGGTAATAAGTATCAGGGCAGGAGGATTAAAGAAGGGTGGAAGAAGTGTGACAAAATGTTACTTTCTGTTTTTACATTGTTTCTCTTCCAGGTCACAACTGTATTTCAAATGTATTTCATTTTCAGACTATAGGTGGCAATGTTTGTGCTGTTCACTGTTTAATGTTACTGTTGGCTCGGGTGTTGCTTGTTGCTGGAATATGGAAATGATAGCATAATTTAGAGTTGAGAATAAAAAAAACTAGATTTAGAAAACTAGAAACTAGATTTAGATTTAGTAGAGACTTTCTAAATAGTCCTAGTTCTGCTGTGTGGACCCTTCTGTAACTTTCTGTTACTCTGAGAAGGAGCTGATAATTATCACAACTACTGGTGTTTGATTAGCAGAGACATTCTTGATTCCTGATGCAAGACCGTGGCTGAAGTTGTAGCAGGGCGTTTGGTGGTTGGCGATGTAAAGATCTGGGCCTCTTGTTTCATGAATAATAGAATCTCACTATGATTGTAATATTTTGTTTTGAACTGGAGTGCTGATTATTGTAATCCCTTTAGGTGAGAAAAGCCTTATTATATAAGTGTATCTGGGGTAACTAGCTTAAATTTGACACTCCAGTCAACTTTTTGTCCCTGACTTCAGTCCTGCATTGATTCAAAACGCACCAAGTTAAATGTCAAGGCTCTCAGATTCCCTTGCTGTCATCAAATTCAGTGTTTGGTGACTTCTTGGCAGGCAGACATCTACCAAGAGATTTTGTATTCTTTTTATACCTCCTATTCACCAAAAGAAAAGGGCCATTCAAAAGTGAGTTTTTCTTTTTTTTTTTTTTTAAGTTTAAAAAGCTATGATGTGGCCACCCATGGTGGCTCATGCCTATAATCCTAGCACTTTGGGAGGCCAGGGCAGGCAGATCACTTCAGGCCAGGAGTTCAAGACCAGCCTGACCAACATGGCAAAACCCCGTTTCTACTAAAAATACAAAAATTAGCTGGGCGTCGTGGCGTGCCCCTGTAATCCCAGCTACTTGGGAGGCTGAAGCAGGAGAATCGCTTGAACCTGGGAGATGGAGGTTGTGGTGAGCTGAGATTGCAACTCTGCACTCCACCCTGGGTGACAGAGTGAGACTTTGTCTCAAAAAAAAGCTGTGATGTGAAACCTGTTCTGTGAAGGTGGAACTTGGAAAGGCTTGTAAGGATGGTGGTCCCATGAAGAGGATGAACAAACCAAGGGAACTGTCCTCTTGCTGGTTTGGGTGATGTCCCATCACCTGTCACTTTGTTTGTTTGGGCTGCAGTGGACCAATGGTTTCCCAGGCACACTGAAGTGACATGTAGATGGATTGCTTGAGTGGCTCCGGCATGTTTCCATCTCCTGTCTACCAGGCAGAGACCGTGTTCCCTGTTTTGAGGGGATCCAGAAGTGCAGTGACAAGGGCCTGATTTGCATCTCCAGCTCCTGGTCTTGCCTGTGTTAACAATTTTTTTTTTTTCTTTCCAGATGGAGTCTCACTCTGTCGCCCAGGCTGGAGTGCAGTGGTGCAATCTCGGCTCACTGCAAGCTCTGCCTCCCGGGTTCACGCCATTCGCCTGCCTCAGCCTCCCAAGTAGCTGGGACTACAGGTGCCCACCACCACGCCCGGCTAATTTTTTTGTATTTTTAGTAGAGACGGGGTTTCACCATGTTAGGCAGGATGGTCTCGAACTCCTGACCTTGTGATCCACCTGCCTCGGCCTCCCAAAGTGCTGGGATTACAGGCATGAGCCACCGTGCCCGGCCAACAATTTTTACATTCTAATTAATTTCCAGTTTCCAACCTGACTCAAGGTTTAGCTCTTCGTCTCTTGGGTGCAGTTTTGGATCATGTCTTATAATGTATATTTAAAAGTGTGTTGTAAAGCTGGAATTCCCATTGTGGGTAAATGCTGAGATTGTTGTAATACTGAGAAGTGCACTTGGGAACCATGGCCAACACTGCCCTAGCTGACCGGAGGTTGCACTGAGTTGTCCCCTTTGAACATCTGTTATGAATGAATGTTGGAAAATGCAAAGCCAATCATTTCTTTTACCTGACCTATGTGATGTTAAGTTTTAGTTTTATGTTTTGGCAAGTGAGTGTTGGATGTCACTAATGTGAGGAGGCCGGTGAGGGCAGACTTTGGGTCAGAGGTAATGTAGGAGATGAAGACCCTTTCTATTAATTTTTCTTGTTTAATTGAAGATGTTCGTGTTGAATGGGTTTTATTTACATGTATAAGTTCTTTTTTTCTTAATGCTGGAAGTTACTTTGGTTTTTCAGAAAATGCAAGTAACCCTAATCTATTTAGAGAATTACTTTGCTTAGTAAGCACTCAGTACTATTTAGTAATGGGGAAAAAATGTGTTTGTGTCCCACAGCGTGACAGGCTCCACAAACTTACTTACGAATCTCCTAACTACCCTGAGAACCTGAAGAATGGGACTTTGTGGAGAATCTTCTGCTTTCTTTGCTAGTCTCTATTTTTCCTTCTCAGTTATTAAGTGAGTTGTCTTTGGGTGTCCTCATCATGCTGACTTCATCTTGCCCAGTTTGTTTTGGGTAGAGGAAGGAGTGCAAGGTTTAAAGGAAAAGCAAAGCCTGTACAACATGGTGAGACCCCATGCCTGTGGTCCCAGCTACTTGAGAGGCCCAGGTGGAAAGATAATTTGAGCACCGGGGTTCAGGAATGCGCTGAGTAATGATTGCACCACCGCACTCGAGTCTGGGCAACAGAATGAGACCTCATTTCAAAAGAAAAAGAAAAAGCAAGACTGAATCATTTCACTTTGTATTCTCCTCCTTGCTCTCATTCCTTTTGTGCTTCATGCATTGTGTGTGACAATTGGATGCAGCCGTAATTATTGTCAGTAACTTGGTTTTTAAGCTTCAGACTGTATTTCCTCCTCACTTGTTAACACCAGAAGATAAATGAATGTGGCTCTTGGATTGAACTACATCTACAGGGAGCTGAACTTCCCATGTTGACGTTGAATTCTAGAGTATGCTTATGCTGATTCTTGAGAAATTGGTATGTGCCGTGCCTTTGGAATTGATACCTTAATTTTCAGTGAATATTATTGGTATTATTATTAAAGAGAACACTTTAAGCCAGGAGTAAGAGCTTTTCCTCCTTTTGAGAAGTGAGGTACAGAAGAGTATACTGCAGCTGTGGGAGTGATGGGTGGGGTGGGGCAGTGTTGAAGAATATTTAATACCACGAAGATGTCACCAGTATAATATTAAATAGAAAAAGTAGGTTATAAGACAGTGGATCCAGTAGAATCCTATTGTGGTTAAGTGTTTATATGTAGAGAAAATGACTAGGGGCTAGGCACAGTGGCTCACGCCTGTAATCTGAACCACTTTGGGAGATAGAGGTGGGAGGATCACTTGAACCCAGGAGTTCAAGACCAGCCTGGGCAACATAGTGAGACTCTGTCTCTATAAAACAAGAAAAAAGAAAAACTAACTAGGGATATATTCCAGCATGTTAGTGGAGGTTATCTTTGAGCAAAGGGGATTATAGGTAATTTTTTATTGTCTTGTGTTTTGCTTACATGTGTTTTCTATATTTCTACAATAAACCTTTTTTTCTTAATATAAAAGTAAGTTTAAAAGTGAGTTTAAAAATCCCTGAAAGGCATGTACTTCAAGCTTCAAGTGAAAGTTATAGTACTTGTTCAGCACAAATACTGATATAGTGTTTGTTCAGTGGAACACTTATTTAGGGTCTGCCTTGTGTTTTGTGTCTAAGGATTACCAGGTCATTTTCATATTAGGAGCTCACCACTACGTTGGGAGTTGGAGAGATAGAGCAAGGACTATTTTAAGGAAAAAATGACTGGTAAATTGTATTTCTTTTTCCCCACTTGCAGTTTGCAAAATAGATGTTTCATTTCTCTCCACTGTGGACACTTAAAGTTTGAATTTCCATCCTTCTGTGCACTCCAGTTGCGTGAAAGTAATTTACATTGCTAGTAGTGGTTTGGGTTCTCTGAAATTTTTTGTGTGTGCTATGGAAATTGTCTCCTGTGATCAGACTCAAATCCATTTCTCCTTATTATTGTTTTCTTAGGTTTTGAGTTAGAGACCTTTTCATGACCGTATAAGGTGTTGAATAGGTTTAGATATCAAAGTGATAGCTATGCATAGCTATACTCACCTGTGAGCGGTCAGCTCTTCAGTGTTTCTTTCAACTGACTTGTAATATCCAGCCACTGTTGGGTGTGACCTAAAGTGTATCTCTTCCCAAACAGAAGGGAGGAGTTGACAAACACCATGTTACTTTTAATCAGAGACTTGTCCTTGTCCCCCTTCCCCCAGCCTTTTAATAATTCTGAATTCATGTTGCAGTCGATATGTGTTTAAAGTGTTGGTAGGTTTCTTGTACTCACACCATCCTCCTCCACTCCTCTCACCCCCAAAAAGTGACAGCTGACAGTTGATGGCATCTTAGAATTGTGAGGCTTGAGTTGGTCTGTCTCAATTCGTGTTTTATGGTGGCCCATAAATTGTGAAAGATAATTGATAGTTGTCATGGGAACTAGTTATGTTGTTCAGCTATGATGTCTCAATTAGGAAATGTTCACCTAGACAGTAGGGAAATGGGCCAGCTCAGGGATGTCTTCAGGAACCAGGTTCATTGTTTTTTCTGCTTTCCCTTCTACAGCCTGGCTCTTTCCAGGGCTTCTTGGTCCTAGGCTGGCTGCCACTGACAGAGCTATGCCTTTTTTTATTTTTTTACTTTTTTTCAAGACAGTCTCACTCTGTAGCCCAAGCAAGAGTGCAGTGACACCATCTTGGTTCACTGCAACCTCCACCTCCTGGGTTTAAGCGATTCTCCTGCCCCATCCTCCCGAGTAGCTGGGACTACAGGCATGTACCACCACACCCAGCTAATTTTTGTATTTTTAATGGAGATGGGGTTTCACCATGTTGGCCAGGCTGGTCTTGAGCTCCTGACCTCAAGTGATCCACCTGCCTCGGCCTACCAAAGTGCTGGGATTACAGGTGTGAGCCACCATGCCCAGCCAGAGCTATGCCCTCTTTTTTTTTTTTTTTTGTTTGTTTGTTTATAACTGTGTACTTGTAAAGGAAAGAGAACGGCCTCCTGTGCCTTAAATCTTCTGTTGTGTCTCAGGGCCCACAGAGGCTGAGATCTGTTCATCCTGCAACCAGTCACCGTGGCAAGGAGGAGATAGAATTACCTTTTTTTCTTACCTTTTGAGCCAGGGGTAAAGTCAGGCACGGTGACCCTGCATTCCACACCTTGGATAATCCATCCACCTTCAGAAATGCCCCTGGCTTCGTGAAATGCACATGCTCCCTTTCTCCAGGGAGGTGACCCGAATATGCAGCTAAGTATTGCAAGGATTTCTGGGTAATATTACACCTGAAAGGAGGTTTTTTTTTTTTTTAATTATCTGGTGATTTATGACTAAATAGGCTATGTCTCTCAAAACATTGAACCTGCAATGGGCAAGAAAGAACAGGATGACTACAATGAACCTTCTATTTGGAAAAGGGGAAAATAAGACACTCACAGTGGGGTAGCTGGCTGAACAGGAACAGCTGGGAGCGTTTGCTTTGGTCAGCCGGTCTGGCAGCTTGCCTCTGCTGAAGTCCGTCCAGGGTGAGAATCTCGCTTGGTCATTGTCCTCTGCAGCTGCACCTGGATGGGGTAGGCACTGGCAAAGCTCCTTTTCTTGGGTGCTGCTTGGCATTAGTCTGGGGCTTCAGGATTGGTTGTCTTGGGGTTGAATAGCCACAGGCTTGTTCCAGCCTTACTGAGAATGTCTTTGGCAAAACTGCTCCCAGGAAAACTCAGGCTCTGAGTTTTGTGTCTAGTCAATTCCATGGGCTGGTAATGGCAGCCAGTGATCTCACCTAGATGAGGTCTGTGGTTCTGGGAATTCCTGGGTCTTAACAGTAAGTCCCACAGCCCTGCTAATCCCCACCACATCTGCCTTGAGGCAATTTTAAAATAGCCTAGAATGAAGAGGCACACAGTTTTGGGTCTAACAGACAACAGGGGCAGTTTAACCCACTCTGCTTTTGCTCTCTGGTGTATCAAGAATGAGCAACTTCCCCACACTGGGATTGTGGGACTCTGAGTACCCACTTCCCTTCACTCAGCCATTCCAATTTCTTAAAGCAATTTTTAAAAAATGGTGGTAAGGCCGGCCGCGGTGGCTCACGCCTGTAATCCCAGCACTTTGGGAGGCTGAGGCAGGTGGATCACGAGGTCAGGAGGTAGAGACCATCCTGGCCAATATGGTGAAACCCCGTCTCTACTAAAAATACAAAAATTAGCTGGGTGTGGTGGCACGCACCTGTAATCCCAGCCTCTCGGGAGGCTGAGGCAGGAGAATCGCTTGAACCTGAGAGGCGGAGATTGCAGTGAGCCAAGATGGTGCCACTGCACTCTAGCCTGGCGACAGAGCGAGACTCCATCTCAAAAAGGTGGTAAAATACACATGACAAAATGGACTCTCTTAGCCACATTAAAGTGTATGGTTTGGTGGCATTACATGCATGCACACTGTTGGCAGCCATCACCCCTGTCTAGCCATGGAACTCTTTCATCTTGCAAAACTGGAAATGCCTTACTCGTGAACCAGTACCTCCCCATTCCCAGCCATTCCAGTTTCTTGTAGCGCATCTTCTCTTTGATACAAAATCTTTGATAGGGTTTTGATTGCAGGCAACAGCAATTGAATCTGATGAATTCAACAGAGAAAGAATTAACTGAAGGAATTTGGGGTAGCACTGGAGTACTTGTCACACTGGAGAGACAGGCCTGGACAGGGGTCAGGGACCAATGAAGCCTGGGCATCCAGAATCACAGCTGTTAGTGTGTTTTATTATTTAAGAGTGAGCTCAGAGGTCACTGTTCAAAGCTGGGCACTCTGTCTCCAACTATCCCTCTTCACATCCCAGACTCAATAGCACCTTTCTGCATAGTTACTTCTACTGAATACTTCACTGACAGCAATGAAGGATTGTTGGTTTATGTGTCTGTCTCGTATAGATTAGGCACCTCTTCAGAGCCACAGCCACATCCCAATGATTTATCTCCAGTCCCAAGCACCGAATCAGACCCCTTGACCGTTTACTCCATTCAAGTGATGATCTCAGGTTAGATAATCATGAGGTCAGTTGGTCAAAGCAAAAACATCTTTTTAAATGTCTTTTTGAATTCTAATTTGTTTATGCAATATAGATTACTCCTCCTATTTTCTTCTTCTTTCTTTTTTTTCCTTAAGAGATGGGATCTCAGTATGTTGGCCAGGCTGGCCTCTAACTCCTGGGCTCAGCGGTTTCTCCCACCTTGGTTTCCTAAAGTTCAGGGATGACACGTGTGAGCCACCGTGCTCAGCCCCTCCTCCTATTTTCTAGTCTGTGTCATTACTGAGAATTTTACTCTTTATTCTCTTTCCTCAAATTCTAAGTGAAAAGACCTCTCCTCTCTAGGCCCCAAGAAAGGCAAATGTGTTCCACGGAAGAAGGTTGCAGACCCATGTTTGATTGCTTTATACCATATTTCCCCCCCAGAGGCTCTTAAAAGGGCAAAGAAGGTGTTGAAACTGCCACTGTCAATACCAGAGCATCTGCTTGAAACCAATGTTTCTTTTGTGACTCCAGGATCCATGCTGCCTGGCTAAGAAGGGCAGTGTCCTCCTTGCCCAGGTGTTAAACCACAACAGACCTAGAAAACTGAGATGTCACTCCTCCCCTGGAGTGACAGCAGTGTTAGGAAGTTTGGAATCTGCCAACCCACCTCATCCTGTCCATGAAGTTGTCACTTGGCTAGGTGTTGATGTAAATGTGCTACAGAAACAAACTCACCTCTTGTGGGACATGGTGACTCTGGTTAGTAACAATGTATTCTTCAAAATTGCCAAGACAGTAGATTTTAAATGTTCTTCGTATGCAAACTTGGTAAGTATGTGGGGTAATGCATAGGTTAACTAGCTTGAATTAACCATTCCGCAGTGTGTATGTATTTCGAAATAACATGTACATGACAAACAGATACAATTTTCATCAATTAAAATAAACATTTAGAAAAATAACATAAATCCTCACAATAGCCCTTTGAGGTAGGTGCTGTCATTTTATAGGTGGGGAAACTGAGGTTCAAGGAGGTTAAATAACTTGCCCAGGGTCACAGAACTACTTAGTAAGTGGCTGAGCCAGGACTTGAACAAGCAGTCCGGTTGTAGACACCCGGAGTGGAACCATCACGCTGTGGTGTGTCCGGGAGTGCTTCAAGCAGGGGTTGGTTGGGGGTGGGGTTGGGGTGGGGAAGGCACAGCTGAGGCCTGAGTGGCCAGACTGTAAAAGCCAAAGGAAGAAGTGGCTGGATGTGAACAGCTTTGTGGACCTCATCAAGGAGCTGGGACTATATTGTTTGAGGCACCTTGAGAAACCTGTTGAGATCTGGGCTTTTCTTATTAGTAAGTATGTTGCCCAGACTGGTCTCGAACCCCTGGCCTCAGGTAATCCTCCCATCTCAGCCTTCTGAGTCGCTGGGATTACAGGTGCAAGTCGTTGGGCCCGGCAATCTGGGCTTTTCTAAAGCTCACCATGCAGCTTTGGGGAGATTGGATTTGAGTTGGACAACCCTAGGCAGTTGCAGAGCTGTCCAGGCAGAAATGGTGATGACGGTGAAAATGAGCCAGGGGATAAGGCAGGAGGTATTTAGGAGGCAGATTCCATTGGATTTGGTCACTGATTGATTAGGTACAAAAAAAGGGAGGTGTCTAGAATAATCCCTAGGTTTCTTCAGAGGACTAGGTAGATGGGAGGAGGGGAAGAAGCCTATCTCTATTAAATACTTAGTACAGTGGCTCTAAACTGGGGCCTGTCTTGCACCCTTCCTTCTCCCCTAGGGGACATTTGGCAATGCCTGGAGACTTTTTTTTGAGACGGAGTTTTGCTCTTGTTGCGCAGGCTGGAGTGCAATGGCGTGATCTCAGCTCACTACAACCTCCGCCTCCTGGGTTCAAGCGATTCTCCTGCCTCAGCCTCACGAGTAGCTGGGGTTACAGGTGCCTGCCACCACACCCAGCTAATTGTTGTATTTTTTAGTAGAAATGGGGTTTCACCATGTTGGTCAGGCTGGTCTCAAACTCCTGACCTCAAGTGATGTACCGGTCTCGGCCTCCCAAAGTGCTGGGATTACAGGCGTGAGCCACTGTGCCCGGCCGCCTGGAGACATTTTTGATTGTCACAGCTTAGGAGATGCCTCTGACATCTAGAAGGTGGAGGCCAGAGATGCAGCAGAACATCTTACACGGCACAGTACAGCTCCCACAACGATCATCTCGCCCCAAATGCTGCCGAGGTTGAGAAACCCTGCTGTAGTGTAGTATCAGTTTTACGTGGTTATCTAATTGGATCCGTGAGCCAGTCATGTTAGATCATAAATATGATTTTTCCTGTTTTTCAGATAAAAAACTGAGGCATAGACAGGATGGGTCACTTGGCCAAAGCTCTGCAGCTAGTAAGTGTTAGAGCCAGAATTTGAACGCAAGTCTTCCAGATGTCAGAATCTACTCCTTCTGCTTACCCTGCTGCTTCATATCTCACAGTGATGCCAAGGAAGATGCACATTGGACTGTGGGTTGTTTTTTTTTTTTTTCTTTCTGTCATGGTGGCTCCAGACTAGAGGAGGCAGGAAGGAAGGTGGTTATTTATAGTCAGCTGTGCATAGGATCGATTTTTTTCAATCCTGAAGGACTTGCAGCAGGTAGTTCAAAGAAACCTCCTTTAGACGTTGACTTTCCCTTGCAGTTGTAAATATGGGAACATTTACCATCTTTTGCTTTAAAATATACTGTTATAATTAAGGTAAAATGTAAAACTTATAACTTAAAAACTTTACTCCCTGTGCATATGAACTATGGCAAGCTTCTCAAATTAATTACTATCCCTTTGGGATAAATTAAAATATTTTGATTTGCTAGAGGTAAGGAGCCCTTTTGAGAATTAGTTTGTTTTAGTTGAGAATGATTAGAGGGCTAGAATGATATATAGCTCTAAATAGGAAGGTTTCTGATTCTTTTGGCTACTCTCCACTTTTACTGGTTATTTTCCAGTTCTGGGAAGATTCTGCATGTATGTAGCAGCCTCCCTTGGCTATCCATGGTATTAGAGCTCTAGGGACAGAGTTCTCCTAGTTGAACTCTTCATAATATCTCATTATTGGTATTTTCAAAGTTATATGTGTATTTTAAGATAGTCTTTGGATGATGTTCCAAAGAAGGCTGCTTTGTTGAGATTGAGATAGTTGTTTTGCAGTTGTGATTTCTCTTTGTAAAAAGAAGTCTTTGTGTCGGTCCCAGGTCTTATTTTTTGCTTGATCACCCAGTACGTGGGTGCACTTGGGCTGTTGGGACCATCTGGTGAGTGTGAGGTCTCTGTACTTCACCTGTGGAGTCTGTTGTCCTGAAAGGTGCCGGCTCAGGTGGTGGTGCTTTGAGGGGAGCTTGTTTGCTGCACCTTCCAGTCTGCTAGAAAATAGATGCTTAGAGGGGCATTTCGGGGTGGAATCTGATCATGGAGTTTGGTGAGCAAACAGGGCCTCAAGTTTTATGTTGTGAGAAATAAATACTGAGTTTATGTTTTAATTATGGCACAGATTAATACAAAATCTGGTGAAAAATGGAGAAAAGGAGAGCTTAAAACTTAGCTGTTTGTTGCTGTCATCTAAATGTAGTTGGTAGCCAGCCTAGATGGGACCACAGCATGGCACTAAAGCGCGGCTGCTGCTTTTCAGATCCCATGTTCATATTCGCATGTGTGGAGCATGAAAGTACCAATAGAAAATTTTGACAAAGAAATTGAAGGGTTGGGCCAGGGACGGTGGCTCACGCCTATAATCCCAGCACTTTGAGAGGCTGAGGCAGGCAGATCACGAGGTCAGGAAATTGAGACCATCTTGGCTAACACGGTGAAACCCCGTCTCTGCTAAAAATATAAAAAATTAGCCGGGCCTTGTGACAGGCGCCTGTAGTCCCAGCTACTCGGGAGTCTGAGGCAGGAAAATGGCATGAACCCGGGAGGCAGAGCTTGCAGTTAGCCGAGATTGTGCCACTGCACTCCAGCCTGGGCGACAGAGCGAAACTCCATCTCAAAAAAAAAAAAAAAAAGAAATCGAAGGGTCGATAATTTCATTTATTTGTTCTTTTTTTTTTTTTTTTTTTTTTTTGAGACAGTATCTCACTCTGTTGCCCAGGCTGGAGTGCAGTGGCGTTATCACGGTTCACTGTAGCCTTGACCTCCGAAGTCCACACGATCCTCCTACCACAGCCTCCCAAGCAGCTGGGACTACAGGCACTCGCCACCATGCCTGGCTAATTTTTTATTTTTATTTTTATTTTTTGTAGAGACAAGTTCGTGCTGTGTTGCCCAGGCTGGTCTCGAACTCCTGGGCTCAGGCAGTCATCCTGCCTCAGCTTCCCAAATTGCTGGATTTATTGTCATGAGCCACCACACCTGGCCAGGGTCAGTAAGTTAAAAGATACCTTCTAAACTCAGCCCAATATTGAAGAGTAAACATAAAAATACATGTTTTGTCTATTATACTATTACTGTTACTCAATGCTTAACTAATTGTGCTTATGTTTTTTTCTTTGCCAAAATTTCTCTTCAAGGAGCAAGTTTTTCTAATATTGCTTTTCTTGGGAAGAACAATTAGTCACGAGATAGTACAGCTTTTTTTTTTTTTTGAGACAGATTCTCACTCTGTCATCCAGGCTGGAGTGCAGTGGTGCGATCTCGGCTCACTGTAACCTCCACCTGCCGGGTTCAAGTGATTCTCCTGCCTCAGCCTCCCGAGTAGCTGGGACTACAGGCACTCGCCACCATGCCCGGCTAATTTTTGTATTTTTTGTAGAGACGGGGTTTCACCATATTGTCTCGAACTCCTGACCTTGTGATCCACCCGCCTCGGCCTCCCAAAGTGCTGGGATTACAGGCGTGAGCCACTGTGCCCAGCCGTAGTGCAGTATTTTTAAGCTTCGGTAAGGTAGAACCCCTTTAGAGAAAAAACATCAGTGAGAAGCCATGTTGCCTTATTTTTACTATAATGTTTCTTTTTTTTTTTTTTTTTTTTTTTTTTTTTTTTTGAGACGGAGTCTTGTTCTGTTGCCCAGGCTGGAGTGCAGTGGCGTGATCTCGGCTCACTGCAAGCTCCGCCTTCCGGGTTCATGCCATTCTCCTGCCTCAGCCTCTCAAGTAGCTGGGACTACAGGCACCCGCCACCACGCCCGGCTAACTTTTTATATTTTTAGTAGAGACGGGGTTTCACCGTGTTAGCCAGGATGGTCTTGATCTCCTGACTTCGTGATCTGCCCGTCTCGGCTTCCCAAAGTGCTGGGATTACAGGCGTGAGCCACCGCGCCTGACCCAATGTTTCTTAAAATACATCCAAACATAAAAAGAACAAGGATGTTTATAGCTGGTATATCACCATAGCCATCACTATAACACCGTAACAAACATGCAAATTTGTTACAAATCTAATTCTCAAATGAATACCATTCAAATTAATAGCATGATTTTAATGTGACAGGTGATGCTATTTTATTAAAACTCTATCATCTGTGCTCAGGAAGTCATGGCTGCTAGGGTAAGTTTTCCTTTCCTAACCAATTATGTGCCAGTTGGTGGTAACATAACACCGTTTTCCTTTGTTTCCTTTATTCAAACTTCTCTTGTACTATGTACTAGAGCATGAAAACGTCTTTGACCTACAGTTATGTTAGCTGGAGACACAGCAGAACTACTGTTGTCATCTTGATCCTGAATACAAGGGCCGATTGAAGCCCCAGAAATCATGGGGAAGTACTCGTTTACATAAAGTGGTCATGTAGATAATCTAAAATATGCCCGTTAGTGTATTAAGATCATAACTGCCTAAAGCTTCCTGTGCCAGGAGTGGTCTTAGCTCTCAAAGAAGTCATAGTCTGGCCAGGCGTGATGACTCATCCCTCTCATCTCAGCACTTTGGGAGGCGAAAGGATTGCGTGAGGCCAGGAGTTTGAGACCAGCCCGGGCAACATAGCTTGATCCCGTTTCTTAAAAAATGGAAGTGATATCCAGGTGGGGAAACCTTCCTGCTGTAGTGGAGCCTCTTGAGATGGCACACGTATTTTGCTCACAGGTGCTATCAATATATAGCTCTGGTTCTTCAGAATATAAATAACTATCACCTGACCCCAATACCTTATCTATATTGAGATTGTTCATTAGATCCAAAACATCTTGTGCATTTCTTGCTTTTTAGTCATGCACAGACCTTGTCTTTACTTTCAAAGACAGTTTGGTACTGAAAATTGCTCTGGTAAATTAACACAATTTATTTAATCCCTGCTCTTTCCAATCTTTAGCAACGTTTTTTTCATTGTCACCATCAGATGACCTTGCTGAGCTTCCAAGTGGCAATTGCTTTTGTTGTATTGTTTAAAGGCAAACAAAAATCAATTATTATTGGCTCTAGAGTGCCTGGCGAGGTGGAGCTCAGTTCTTTGTGCATTGCGCACTATGCTGCTGGTGTCTCAGCTGCCATGCTTATGGTTGCATTACTTTCCTGTCTAGCTTTGGTATTCTTGCCTTTAAAAATTTCTTTTTCCATTTGCTTTTCTTAGCCAGTGATGACAGTAAAATAAGGAACGACCTATTTATTGTTTTAAGAGATACGCTGGATGGTGCCCAGGCAGATGAGCATTGCCATTCAAGGTGGCTTCTTGGTAGACTGCATTTACTCTTAATCGGGTGCCTGTGGGTCAGTGCATTTCTTGGTCATCCTTACTCTGTCAAAGCTGCCTTGTTAGCCAGGTTACTAGCCATACTAGTCTCATTACCTTACGATAACACCTCATTCAAATGGCCTTAACGAAGTTGAACACTTATCTTAGTCACTATGGTTGGCTTTGAACCTTTTCTAGAAGTTAAGTTTATTCCCTGGGAAAAAACGTGTTTGCCACCACACAGAGTGCTGGGTGTACTGGGAACCCGGCTTCAAAGGCAACTACTCCAGTAGGGAAGGTTGAGGAGGGTATTGAATGATAGCTCACTGCTTAAATAAGTGTTTAGAGTCCCAAGGTATATGTAATGGCATATGAAATGCCTAGTGTTTAAAGAATATTCAGAAATAATCAGTCATACTCTTTAATATTCATATCTCATAGAGTTAGCATCAGGAAGGAAACTTGGTAGATTAAATAAAATAGCAGAAATTACTGCTGGATTTTTGTACAGTAGAAATGTATGCACATTTTTCTCCCCTAGTAGTCACTTAAGTTGCATATCCATTTCCTGTTACATCTCATGACATGTTTTGGGTAAACCGTTTTTGGAAGCGTCCATTTGTGTAGAAGTTAGGTGGTTCTGAGTTTAACTTTGTACACATTTCTAGGCACAAGGAAATTAAATAACTGGCTGAGTGAGAGTGATCTCGTTGAATGCTGAGGCTTGTTTGGGAATTGGGTTTATTTTGGTGAAATGTAAATTTAGATCCACTCTGTATTAGTTTTTTTTTTTTTTTTTTTTTTTAACGGAGTCTCTCTCTTTCACCCAGGCTGAAGTGCAGTGGCATGATCTCAGCTTACTGCCACCATGCCAGGCTAACTTTTGTATTTTTAGTAGAGACGGGGTTTCAACCATGTTGGCCAGGCTGGTCTTGAACGCCTGACCTCGTGTTCCACTCACCTTGGCCTCCCAAACTGCTAGGATTACAAGCATGAGCCATCGCGCCCGGCCAAGTCCGTTTTTACACTCCTATAACGACATACATGAGACTGCGTAATTTATAAAGAAAAGAGGTTTAATTGGCTCACGATTCTGCAGGTTGTACAGGCTTCTGCTTCTGGGGAGGCCTCAGGAAACTTACAGTCATAAGGGAAGGTGAAGAGGAAGCAAGCATGTCTTACATGGAAGAATCAGGAGGAAGAGGGGTGGGGTGCCACATATTTTTAAATAACCAAGCACAGACTCACTATCACGAGAGCAACACTGAGGGGCAAAATCCACTCCCATCATCTCATCTCCTTGTACCAGGCCCCTCCTACAACACTGGGGATTGCAATTCCACATGAGATTTGAGTTGGGACACAAATCTAAACCATATAACCCTCATACACATGTATTGTAATTCAGAATTTGTCATTTTAAAAAAAAATTTTTAAGATTAGCTTATCAATTTAAATGTTTCCAGCCCTGAACTCTCAAAGTCAACTTTAATGAGTTTTGATTTTTGCCGAGAAAGATCAACAGCAGAAGAAAGAGAAGTATAACAAAACTTAGCTCCACAGGAGCAAACTGGAGAATTGGAGTACTGGTTTATGATTTTGGTCAGTTAAGCAGAATGCAGTCCTAGTTTAAACAAGACTGGATAAAAGTCCAAATTCAAATACCATTCTTACAAGTGTTTGAATTTAATTTTGTCAGTGTACATACATATATCTAGTACCATAGTGATCTCAGGCTTTGAAGAATGAAAAGCAAAAGAAATGATTTAGAGTCCTGGTCCAACCACTCAGCTATCTGATATCCTTTTGCTATTTTCGTTTAAGGGGTTATCAGGGAATGAGCTAATTTGACATTTTCTGCTTAAAGCAATGGTTGGGGCTGGGTTGGGGTGGAGAGAGCTGCTCTGAGGAGGTGGTGTGGGGGGCCTGCGAGGACACACTTGGGTTACCTGGTACATCTGCAGTTCCCATGGAATTGGGTCTCAAAACTGAGAAATGGAAGTGTGAGCTAGGAAGAGGAGTAGCTTAATGGGGACTTTGCCACACTTTTAGTGCTCCTGTAGCTGCACACATGTTGTTCTTTGTAATGTATGATTTGTGTCCCAGTGGAACACTTGAGGAGTGGGAGCTGGAGAAAGGAATGTTGTACAGTGTTGTGCAGATGTGGGTGAGATGAGGTGATCTGGGAAGCTGGCAGTCTTAGTTGGCCCAGGAATGCCAGGACCTGAGATGACAGCTGCTGGTGGCAGCGGGGAATGCAGGTGTATCTGTGTCGAGGTTGGGAATTGGACTTTGAAGGGCTGGGACTTCCAGAAGGTAAAATGGGATTGCACTGTTTGGGAGAAGGGGTACAGATTTTTTTGTTTGCTTTTGAGATAAGGTCTCCCTCTGTCACCCAGGCTGGAGTGCAGCTGTGTGATCATAGCTCATTGCAGCCTCAACCTCCTAGGCTCAAGCAATCCTCCTTCCTCAGCCTCCTGAGTAGCTGGGACTACAGACATGTGCCACTACACCCAGTGAATTTTTTTTTCTTAAAGATGAGGTATTGCTATGTTGCCCAGACTGATCTTGAACTCCTAGAATTCTTTTTTTTTTTTTTTTTGTTTTGTTTTGAGACGGAGTCTCGCTCTGTTGCCCAGGCTGGAGTGCAGTGGCATGATCTTGGCTCATTGCAAACTCCGCCTCCCAGGTTCACCCCATTCTCCTGCCTCAGCCTCCTGAGCAGCTGAGACTACAGGCGCCTGCCACCACGCCTGACTAATTTTTTGTATTTTTAGTAGAGACGGGGTTTCACCATGTTAGCCAGGATGGTCTTGATCTCCTGACCTTGTGATCCACCTGCCTCGGCCTCCCAAAGTGCTGGGATTACAGGCATGAGCCACCGCTCACAGCCGAACTCCTAGAATTCTTAAACATTAAGGACAGAAACATCTCTGTTCTTAATCATGATTTGCTTTTAGTCTCAGCAGATGGAAAAATGATTTACTTGCAAAGTGAGAGAGCTAGATGAGGAAGGAAAGAATATGATTTTGTACCACTCAGAGAAAAATGTGAGCATTTCTCTACTGTCTTGGGTTGGTTATTTTCCGTTGATTCAAAATTGCTCTGCAGGAGACATAGGAGAGGCTTGAGAGATGTCAGTGGGTGGCCATGGCTCAGCCTTGATCCTGAGTGGGTGGGAATACTCTGTTAATGGGGCAAAGTGGACCCTCCAGGTCCTTCATGCTCCTTTTGGAAAGAAGCGTTCCTGGCCAGACACAGTGGCTTACGCCTGTAATCCCAGCACTTTGGGAGGCTGAGGCAGGCAGATCATTTGAGGTCAGGAGTTCAAGATCAGCCTGGCCAACATGGCAAAACCCCGTCTCTACTAAAAATATAAAAATTAGCTGGGTGTGATGATGTGCACCTGTAGTCCCAGCTACTTCAGAGCTGAGGCACAAGAATCGCTTGAACCTGGGAGGTGGAGGTTGCAGTGAGCCAAGATCGTACCCCTGTGCTCCAGCCTGTGTGATAGAGTGAGAATCTGTCTCCAAAAAAAAAAAAAAAAAAAAAAATAGGAAAGAAAATATATGTTCCCCTGTGGTTCCCTGTTATACCCTCTTCTCTTGAATAGTTTATCAGAAGGGACAACCAGCTCCTCATGCCCTTCCTCAGCAAGTGTCAACAGTGTGGGAGTGCAGTTGATAAAGCTTGATTTTCACAACTCTGCAAGTAGCTGAGCTCCACCAGTGTTAGAACTGAAATTGAGGTTATCTCACCAGGAACCAACTTTCAGATGTTGAAGCCAGTAGAAATTTAGTAATGTGGGAAACTGATAACTAAAAGTATTCCAGGTTCTAATTATTTTGTCAGCTCAGTTTTAGGAAGCAGTCCTAGGGATTCCCCTGGAAGAAAGTTTGGCTGGATAGAGGGCAGTGATTGTGAATTTTCTAGATCTTTTGTGGACTGCTTCTGTTGTTAAAAAAGCAGCAGTCTCTCAGCACACGAATGGGAAGTGTTAATGCTGTAACTGAGTAACACTGATACTGAGTTTAAAATAATGGTAAATATCCCACTGAAATTTCACCCCCAGTACAGATTAGGGCCTTGGAATGCTGGATAGTGGATTAAGGACATCTGAAAATCTACTTCATAAAAGCAGTGAGAACATTGGCAAAACCTATTAATTTCAAGTTTTTCAGAACCATGGAAATTAGTTAAAGATTTCTAGCAATCTGAGGAATGATTGTTCAAGAAAACACTGGGATCTCAGTAGGAACAGTGAACCTTGTGTTTTAACCTGCTGCAATCCCATTCCCGGCCCCTGACCACCTCCTTGGTGGCCTTGAAAACCAGCAGCCTCACAGCCATGGCAGCTGTGAAACTCAGAAGTCTGTTAAACCACTGGAAGGGACAGAACAGAACTGGAGCTCTTGAAGGACCATCCTCAAAGAAATGTCACAATTCGACCATTTGGCAGCTTGCTTGAAAGGGCCTTTCTGAGGGCTTTGTCTTTGTTTCACCCAACACAGGTCAGCTCACATTGTGCAAACAGCTCTACCTGCTGAGCATTTGTTGAAAACAATCGGTGGTAGTTGTTTAATCACAGCTGTCTGAGGTGGTGTTGCTAATTGAGGCCAAGTGGCTGACCAAAAAATTTTTTATTTTTATTTTATTTATTTATTTATTTATTTTTTTGAGACAGGGTCTCTCTCTGTCACCTAGCCTGGAGTGCAGTGGTGTAATCGTGACTCACTGCAGCCTCAACCTCCTGAATTTAAGTGATTGGTCCTCCCACCTCAGCTTCCCAAGTAGGTGGGAACACAGATATGTGCCACCATGCCCAGCTAATCTTTTAATTTTTTTTGTAGAGATGGAGTCTCCCTATGTTACCCAGGCTCAAACAGTTTTTTTAAAATGGAGAAGTAAATGTTCCTTGACGACTTCAAAAAGCTCCAACATATTCCTGGGAATCTAGAAGGCTCTGAGCATTCTGAGAAGGCTCTACCTTCTCTGCTGTGGCGATCTTGAGGCTTTATGCAAGCCTCAAGGAAGACTAAGGTAGAATTATAAACCATTCAGCAGAGTGTTGAAGGCATGCCCCAATACCCACACCCACACGCCCTCTCACCTACCCACCCACCCACCCTTAGTAAAGGCTGGAAAATTTATTAATTCAAGGCATGTAAGGAAATCTCTGTGTAGTTACTAGCGAACCACTAAACTAAGAGTCTTCAGTGGCCATACATGGCAAACAAAAAACAAAACAAACAGACTTTATAGAATTAGTTCCTGAAAATCACTAATCAGATAGCAACAAAACAAACCCTGGGATGGGGGAAGAATTTGATTTTTAGAATTGACACATTGTATTAGATAAAATTTCTAGTCTTTGACAAAAATTAGAAGCTATCTCAAGAAACAGGAAGATATGTCCCATATACAGGTTAAAAAAACACACACACACACACACCTCGGTTTCTGCCTAGTTTCTAGGATAGAAACTGTCCTTGATGAAGCGCAGATGTTGGGCATACTTAAAACTTAAGTCACTATGAAAGTTATGTTCAAATAACTATAGGAAAGCATGTCTAAAGAATCACATGAAAATATGCTTGTGAGGTTGAAGCCAGGAGGATTGCTTGAGCCCAGGAGTTTGAGGCTGCAGTGAGCCATGGTCATGATCAGGCCACTGTACTCCAGTCTGGGTGACAGAGCAAGACTCTGCCTCTTAAAAAAAATATTGGGTGACCAAACAGAGAATGGGAATAAAGAAGTAGAGATTATAAAAAAAAGAACCAATAGAAATTCTGGAGTCATAAACTCTAGTAACTGAAATGAAGAATTCACTGGAGGGGCTTAGCAGGTATGAACTGGCAGAAGAATCAGTGAACTGGAAGACAGGTCATTTGAGATAGTTCAGTCTGAACAGCAAAAATAAAAGAATAGAAAAATGAACAAAGCCTTAGAGACCTGTGTAACATCATCAACCATACCCATAATGGGAGTCCCAGAAGAGGGAAGATGTAAAGGGAAAAAGAAGGTATACTGTGAATAGTTGTGTGTTTGTTCTCATGCCGCTAATAAAGACATACCTGGGACTGAGTAATTTATAAAGGAAAGAGGTTTAATTGACTTACAGTTCCACATGGCTGGGGAGGCCTCACAATCATGGCAGAAGGCGAATGAGGTGCAAAGTCATGTCTTACATGGCACCAGGCAAGAATAGGAGTTGTGCCGGGGAACTCCCATTTATAAAACCATCAGATCTCATGAGACTTATTCAGTACCATGAGAACAGTATGGGAGAAACTTCCCTTATGATTCAGTTATCTCCACCTTATCCTGCCCTTGACATGTGGGGATTACAATTCAAGGTGAGATTTGGGTGGGGACACAGAGCCAAACCATATCAAGTTGTATGCCAACAAATTAGGTAACCTAAATGGAATTTATACAAATTCATGTAGATGCAAATGGCCATAACTGACTAAAGAATTTGAAAATCTGAATAGGCCAATAACAGGTAAAGAGATTGAAATAGCAATCAGGAAACCTTCCACCAAAAAATACTGGGTCACATGGTTTACTGGGTAAATTCACTGGGTGAATTCTACCGAGTATTATTATAAACTCTTTCAAAATTTTATAATTAACCTGATACCAAACTAAAGACATCACAAGAAAACTATGGAACAATATCCCTTATAAATACAGAGGCCAAAATCCTCAGTGCAATGCTAGCTTTCCTCCCATTCTCACTACTTGTATTCTGTCATAAAAAAAGGATTGTACACCGTGACAAAGTGGAATTTATCCCAGGAACAAAAACTTGGTTCACCATACCAAAACCACTCAATGTAATCTGTCATGTTAATAGAATAAAAGACAAAAACCACATGATCATCTCAGTAAATGCAGGAAAATCATTTGATAATATTCAGTACTTTTTCTTGATGAAAACTATCAACTAGTAATAGAAGGAAAATTCTACAATTTGATAAAGACTGTCTATGAAAAACTCACAGTTAACATCATACTTCATGGTGAGAAATTGCATGCTTTCTCCTAAGATTATGAGTGAGACAAGGATAGTCATTCTCACCACTTCTATGTAGCATTGTACTGGAGATTCTATCTAGGACAATTAGTAAAAATAAAATAGTAATATAAATAAAAGCATTGAGATTGTAATGGAGATTGGAATAGAACTATAACTAGAAAAGTATCTGTAGTTACAGTTGACATGATCTTGTATATAGAAAATCCTAAGGCGCGCGCGCGCGCGCACACACACACACACACACACACACACACACACAAATCTTGAACTAATAATTGAGTTTACAAGCTTGTACATACAAGAACATTGAAGCATCCAGAAATGAAATTAATAAAACAATTCCATGATACAGTAGTATCAAAAAGAATAAAATACTTGGGAATAAGTTTAATAAGTTTATGATTTGTACACAAACTATAAAACATTCTTGAAGGAAAGTAAAGAAGACCTAAAAAACAAAAGAAAGGACATTCCATGTTCACGGATTAGAAGACTTACATTGTTAATACGGCCAATACTCCCCAGATTGAGCTGCAGATGGAGTGCAATACCTACAAAATCCCAGCTGGCTTTTTTTTTTCTCAGAAATTAACAAGTTTATTTTAAAAATCACATGGAAATGTAAGGGACCCAGAATAACCAAAACAACCTTGAAAAAGAACAAAGCTGGAAGACTCACACTTCTCAATTTCAAAGCTTTGCTACAAATCTACAGTTATCAAGACAGTGTGGTACTACTGTGTGGACAGCCATAGAGATCCATGGAATTGAATTGAGAGTCCAGAAATAGACCCTTAACTTTACAGTCAGTTGTGTTTTTGACAGGGGTGTTAGGACATGAATGGATAAAGAAGATGTGGTATATCCATACAATGGGATATTATTCAGCCATTAAACCACTAAGCTCAGATAAATGCATGGATGAACCTTGAAAACGTATGGTAGGTGAAAGAAGTCAGACACAAAAGGCCACACGTTTATTTGAAAATTCTGGAATAAGCAAATTCAGAGACAAGAAATAGATGAGTGTTAATATGTGCTGGAGGCTGGTGGGAGGGGAGAATAGGGTGTGATGGTAGTGGGTATAGAGTTTCCTTTGGGATGATGAAATTTTCTGTGATTAGCTAATGGTGATAGATGCATAGTTTTGGAGACACATTAAAATCAATGAATTATACATTTGAGAGGGGCAGACTTTATGGTATATGAAATCTCAATAAAACGTATTTAAAAACAATATACAGTTAAGAGCGCATCCAGATACACCTAAGGTATTAGTAAAGCGGTGCATTAAGCTGAAATATCTGGCTTGTGCAAACTTGGGGCATTTGTACCTTATGTAGAATTCCAAAATCTGCTTAGGATTTTCCCTGTCCACTGGACTGCCACTGGCAGGGTCTGCTTCCCTGTTCCTGGGTTGAGGGAGCAGCATTGGAGCATCCCTCAATTCCTGAATGAGGAAGTTAGTTAAAAGGGCAATGTGAGCTGTAGGGCCACACTCATCTAACAGGTGAGCTTAAGTTTCCATTGATGGCAGACCTATCAGATGTTTCCTCCCATTCTCACTACTTGTATTCTGTCATTTTGCTCTTATCCTCCCAAAATCATGCTAAGATTTTTTTTTTTTTTTTAAGACAGAGTCTCACTCTGTCCCAGGTTGGAGTGCAGTGATGCCATCTCGGCTCACTGCAACCTCTGCCTCCCGGGTTCAAGCAATTCTCCTGCCTCAGCTTCCTGAGTAGCTGGGATTACAGTTGCGTGCCACCATGCCTGGCTAATTTTTTGTATTTTTTTTTTTTTTTTTTTTAATAGAGTTGGGGTTTCACCATGTGAGCCAGGATAGTCTCCATCTCCTGACCTTGTGATCCGCTCACCTCGGCCTCCCAAAGTGCTGGGATTACAGGCGTGAGGCAGTGTGTCTGGCCACTAAGAATTTTTAAAATAAGTGACACAATGAAGAACAAGGCCATAGAGATGATCTTGGGTAATTTGAGGGTATCAAAAAGTATCTGCCTGATGGATGGCTTGAGACACTAAAAATGAGTAAATGATTACAAAGTAAGGAATGATAATTTGTTTTGAAGAATAAAACAGATTCTTGTCTCTGGTGGTTGAGGGATACGACTGATGCTGTATATTAAGACAAGAAGATGAAGCCCAAATGGCAGGGAAATTGAAGAGAAGATACAGGGGTATCTAGGCACAGGGTTGGCTGTGAAAGTTTCAATATGTAAAAGATGATAGGCTGAAAGGAAGAGGATGGTGGAAAATACAAAAGAGGCATTGATAATTCAGGAGTGTGGAGTGTGAGAGAAGCTTCTCCATAGGTGAAGAGTTGGATGGACAGTGGTTGTTAGGTCAAAATAACAATAATAATAACCTAGCACATATGTCAGATATCTGTTTGGGTTCATCTTACGCACCATTCTCTTGGGAGGGAGCATGCTTTGAACAGATCCAATTTATGATGGAGTTTTAGGACCAGAAAGCGTCGTAGTAGCAGAGACTTCTCGTCCTAGAGAGCAAAGGGGAAGTCATTTTTTAGTTAGTTAGTTTGTGTTTTAGACAGTCTTGCTCTGTCGCCTTCGCCTCCTGGATGTTCAAACAGTTCTCCCGCCTCAGCCTCCTGAGTAGCTGGGATTACAGGCGCACACCACCATGCCCGACTACTTTTTCTACTTTTTTAGTAAAGATGGGGTTTCTCCATGTTGTCCAGGCTGGTCTCGAACTCCTGACCTTGTGATCCACCCTCCTCAGCCCCACAAAGTACTGGGATTACAGGCGTGAGCCACCGCATCCAGCCTTAGTTTGTTTCTGAGATAGAGTTTTGCTCGTTTCATCACCCAAGCTGGAGTGCAGTGGTGTGATCATAGCTCACTGCATCCTCAAACTTGTGGGGTCAAGGGATCCCCTCACTTCAGCATCCCAAAATGCTGGGATTACAGGTGTGAGCCACTGCATCTAGCTGGGAAGTACTTTTAAGAGTATTTTTTTCAGGCTGGGTGTGGCGCCTCATGATTGTAATCCAAGAGGTTTGGAAGGCTGAGGCGGGAGGGTCACTTGAGAAAAGGAGTTCGAGACCAGCCTGGGCTAACATAGCAAGACCCCCATCCCTACAAAATTTTTTTTTTAAATTAGCTGGTGGTGGTGGTGTGCACTGGTAGTCCCAGCTACTCGGGAGTGAGGCAGGAAGATTGCTTGAATCCAGGAAATTGAGGCTGCAGTGAACCATGATTGCACCACGGCACTCCAGCGTGAGTGACAGGGCGAGACCCCTCCAGATGATAGCTGGAGATCATGTTATTTTCTTACTGATTTTCCCCCGGTTTAGCAATACAAAGTGATCGTTAGGTTGGCACAAAGCACGATGGAAAATAACCATTGTTGGCATCAAGAGAAATCTCACACCACTTGATAAATATAGTGAACTAGATTACTAAAGAGTGATTTCCCTGGATTGCTTGAACCAGGGCTCAGTGAAAATGTTGCTGTTTGCTTTTTTTGTGGTCAGGATTTTTTGATTAAATGAGAAGCCTACAAATATGCAAGCTAGAAGGTGTTGTATTTTGGGATTAAGCCAGACTGTAGCAGGATGTTAGTAATTTGAGTTGCATAAACTAATCTGGGGAGGCAGAGTGAGTAGCTGATGTCACATGAAGAGCAAACCCTTGATTCCATTCGTAATACATAATAGAACACCTTCGTTTCTAAAACTGGGTGCAGTAAAGCATAAAAAAACCTTTAGTAGCTGATGAAAGATTCTGCCCCAGGCTTGAGTCTATTAACCAGAAAAACTGAAACAAAATTAGGCAAGGTGGTAAGTTTTGCTTTCTTTTAGTGGAATATTAGGATATACAGCAAATGGTAGCAGGACCACGTTGGGAAAAGGGCCAAAAGACTTTTTAAAAATCCTGTTTGAGGTTTGGATCCATTTTCTTTCATTTTTGGACATACCTTTGAGTAGTGGGTAAACTGAGAGCTCAGTGAGGTGAGCCTGTGTCTTTCAGCGGGCGGGCGGGCTGGAGTTGGAACTCCTGTTTCAGTGGTTTTCAGATCCTGCTGATCTCCAGAATGGCTCCAGTTCCCCCACCCCTAATGCTTTATTATGAAAAATTTCAAGCCTGCAGAAAAGGTAAAGAATGTACAGTGAGCACCCATATACCAACCACATGGATTCTGCAATGAACATTTTAATATACCTGCTTTTTTTTTTTTTTTTTTGAGATGGAGTCTTGCTGTGTCACCCAGGCTGGAGTGCAGTGGTATGATCTCAGCTCACTGCAACCACTGCCTCCTGGATTCAAGCAATTCTTCTGCCTCAGCCTTCTGAGTAGCTGGGACTACAGGTGCGCGCCACTATACCCGGCTAATTTTTTGTATTTTTAGTAGAGATGGGGTTTTGCTAACAGGCCAGTCTGGTCTTGAACTCCTGACCTCAGGTAATCTGCCCGCCTCAGCCTCCCAAAGTGCTGGGATTACAGGCGTGAGCCACCATACCCAGCCTCATAACGGCTTTTTTTTTTTTTTTTTTTTTTTTTTTTTTTGAGACAGGGTCCCACTTTGTCACTCAGTTTGGAGTGCAGTGGTGTGATCTCTGCAGCCTTGACCTCCTGGACTCAAGTGATCCTCTGGCCTCAGCTTCCTGAGTAGCTGGAGCTACAGGCATGTACTACCATGCCCAGCTAATTTTTGTATTTTTTATAGAGATAGGCTTTTGCCATGTTGCCCAGGCTGGCCTGGAATTCCTGAGTTCAAGCAATCTACCCACCTCGGCCTCCCAAAGTACTGGAATCTCTTTTTTTGGAATACGTTTCAAAGCATGTGATAGACATCGGTACAGTACAGTCCTAAACACTGAGTGTGCACGTCGTTAACTACAGTTTAATATTTGTTTTGTTTCTGGATCTTTTCCAGGGATTTTTTTCAAGATTAAATTCCAAGCGCCATGATAGTTTCTGAGTTAGAAGGATGGGGCAGGCCCAGGAATCAGTACTTTGAAAAGCTCCCAAGTGCTTCTTGTGATGCATCGGGTTTGGGATCTTCTGCCCCAGGGAGCGCTTCCCGATTACTTCATAGCTAATCCTCACCTAAAATGCAGAGGTGGGCAGTTATCTTTAACCTGACCATAGAGCTCCATTTTTGGTTTTCTTGGAATCTTTTGTTTAAAACAGTGGTTCTCAACCAGGGGCAGTTTTGTGCCTCGAGAGACATTGGACAATGTCTGGGATGGTTTGGTTATCACACCAGGGGGCATCTAGTGATGAGAGATCAGGGATGCTGCCGAGCATCCTGTAATGCACCGGACAGCCCCACAGGATGGGGAGTTATCTGGACCAAAATGCCAATAGTGCTGAGGCTGAGAAACGTATTTTTTTTTTTTTTTTTGCCTAAAAGAAAATTGCTTGCTCCAGATGACTCCAGACAAACCAAAATAAAAATAAAAAGTAAAAACTAAAATGACAACATGAAATGAATTTTTAAGAGCCAAATGAGACCTTTAGAGACAATCTCATCACTGCCTACCTGGTTTCCGTCAAATACAGATTTATGCTCCAGAAAGTACCTAATTTATTAAAATAAGCTGATTTCTAAAAGCTTGTTAGATGGTCAGTAATCTCAAACTTTGAGTGAATTTACTTGAAAAGGTAATGTTGCTGGTGGCCTTTAGTTTCTTTTAATATATCTTAAATATGATATCAAAGAAAAACAGAACATGATGCTTTGGGATGAATGTAATGAATGAAAAGCAGGATTCTTTGGCAGGTAACTGTGTCCCAGGCCCTGTCCTGCAGGGTGGCAGGGATGTGCTGAGCTGGGTGAGGGGGGACCGCTGAGGGCTTCTCTCAGTAGTTGCTCTGTGTAGAATTTTCTGAGTGTCTTGGGAGAATGGGGGCATTTTTCCTGAAGGTCTCACTTGACTCCACAGTGAATGGCTTTACCTGTCTCTTGAGTAAGATGCATTTCTAGTAATGCTCTGACTACTTAGTCCACGTTTGACTAGTTTTTAGGAAAACAATATGTACAATGGAACAGAAAGCTTACAGAAATAAAGGGCAGTTCTTTTCTTGAGGTGAAAGTGATGTGGGGAGCCAGTAGGTGACAGGATTTGCTCTGGCCCCTCCGAGGGAGGAGGAAGATGAAGGTGAAACGTGGTATTGGTCAGTCCGTTTCCTGCTTGGTTGATTTCAGGGACCTGATGAGACAATATGGTGGTGAAAACAGACTGCTGGATTGCAATGGGCGGAACTGGGCTTAGTCTCTGGATAGGTGTCAGTTCATTTCACACCTGTCATTGAGGGAAAATAATACCTGTATGGCTGTTGGAAGATTAAATGAGACTATGAACGGGAGCTGTGTGGATAAAATGTACCAGGCACTCCCAGTGCCAGAAGGTGTTCTTGTTAGTTCTGGGTGTGGCGATGTGCGAAGACACCCGTGTCTGCGGGGTGTGTGTGAGCTGCAGATAACCAGCAGGTCCTGCTGATGAGGCAACCTTCTTGGGAGTCTTGGCTCAGTTCCGGGGTTTAATTACGATGTATCCTTGGGCAAGTGGCTTAATGTCTCTGATTGTAATTTCCTTCATTTTTTCATATCTAAAATGAAAGAGGTGCTTGGATATTCCTAAGGGTTCATCTTTAGGAGTCTGTACTTCTGGTGTGGAGCTTTCTGGAAAAAGGCTTCTGGGAATCTGAAATGGCAGTAGTGATGGGCGTGGTAACAGCAGTGTTCATACGCTTCCTCAGTAATTTTATGTAACAAACACTCACAGTGTACTTACTGCCCCTGAGATCTTAAAAACTCTCACTTTCAACTTTCACGACACCCTATAACTTAGGTAACTGCTATTATCCCTGGTATACAGATGGGGAAACTGAGCCTCAGAGAGGTTGGTGATTTGCCCCAAGTCATAGCTGGGAAGTGGCAGACCTCGATGGGATGCAGGCACCCTGCCCTCTGGGCTCCGATCACTTGGCCACCTCCCCGCATGCACCACATGGGCTGTGGAGTTGGAGGCATTTGTGGGCTTCAAGAATGAGAGTTGGTGGGGAGTATGTGTGAGGAACCGGAGGGGTCATTTCCCTGGGACTGGGATTGTGGAGGTTTTGATTTTGCTTTTCCCTTTTTAAACTGGGTGAGGTATGAGCATGGGAACTCTGTACGGAATGTGTCATTGGAGAGGGACAGCAGGGACAATGAAGGTAGTCCCCAGAGAAGTATGAGAAACTGGCATTCAGTGCTCATGCAGAATTCTCTTTGTTTTAATAATAATACAAATAATAACATTAATATTATTTTTAGAGGCAGAGCCTCACTCTGTTGCCCAGGCTGGGGGGCAGTGGCACGATCATGGCTCACTGTAGCCTTGAACTCCTGGGCTCGAGCCATCCTCTCACCTCCCTCAGCCTCCTGAGTAGTTGCCATGCGTAACACCGTGCCTTGCTAAGTTTTAAATTTTTTGTAGAGACCGGGTCTCACTGTCTTGCCCAGGCTGGTCTCGAACTCCTGGCCTCAAGCAGTCCTCCACCACAGCCTCCCAGAGTGCTGGGATTAAAGGTGTGAGCCACTGCACCCTGCCTAGGATTCTCTGTAGATGGGGAGCCCACCTGGGTGAGATGCCAGACACCTGGCTCCGGCATATGCACAGCAGTTTCACACGAGCGTCTCTTACTCAGGTTTCAGAGTTCTGGTAAAAGATTTAGGTTTGACATCCACCCTTTGAGGTTTTTGGTTCTCACATGTTTGATAACCTGAAGCTTGTGGGTTTGATATGGGCAGTAAAGTGGGATTATTTCTGTTAGAGATCCTTATTCCCTAGAGACTTTCTGGTCTGGAAAGGTGAGAGGCTATATATTCATTAGCTGGAACCACCATGTGGATCATTTGTTGGAAGAACTGTTAGGAAGAAGACAGATATTGCTATAGAGAGCAGGGCCAGATGAGCGAGAAGGCAAATGTACTTCATTCCTGTACCTGCAGGCTTATTAGGGACAGATGCCCTCAGGCGGGGATGTGTAGCTTCACTTGACTGCTCTAAATAAGGAGCGAGAGGGTGGTGTGTGTGTTAACCATCAAGATTAAGCAAGCAAGAAAAAGACAAAAGAAAGCCATCATTTAGTAACTGGTGGAGTGAGTTGGAGCCTGGGAGCTGCCCCAGGACAACTGTTATTTCCCTTGATCTTCCTCAAACCCTACCAGGAAGTGAGGGCAACAGTTCCCTAAAGCAGCCCCATCAAGCTCTTAAGAAAGCAGTTTCACTGGGAGTGGGGAGAGGTAGAATTGGGAGGTGGTAGAGGGCTGGGGGGTATGAAATGTGAGGGCCGGAGTCCTCAGCATCGGAACTCCAGAAATAAAAAGTTGTCTGGGTCTTTGAAAGCCTCCTATATGATAATGTTACAGTAACAGTGTTCTCTGCTACTTTCAATGAATAAAAAACCTAGGGTTTCTCAGCTACAGTGTGCATTAAGAGACATTTGTGGTCTAGTTTTGGCACTTCATTTCTATTTGGGAACATGCATTCTGAGTTTTAGACAACTAGCTTCCAAATGAAATTTTGGAACACCACCCTTTTTTTTTTTTTTTTTTTTTGAGATGGAGTCACGCTCTGTCGTCTGGGCTGGAGTGCAGTGGCGCGATCTCGGCTCACTGCAAGCTCTGCCTCCTGGGTTCACGCCATGCTCCTGCCTCAGCCTCCCGTGTAGCTGGGACTACAGGTGCCTACCACCGCGCCCGGCTAATTTTTTATATTTTTAGTAGAGACGGGGTTTCACCGTGTTAGCCAGGAAGGTCTCGATCTCCTGACCTCCTGATCCACCCGCCTTGGCCTCCCAAAGTGCTACGATTACAGGTGTGAGCCACCGCACCCAGCTGGAACACCACCCATTTTTTAAAGCAGAGAATTTATTGTTATTTGCACAAAAGGACGTTTGAACACTTTAGGAAATCTGGATGCTGGAATTAACTCGGTCAAAACAAAGCAAAACACACAGAATCTCGTATCTTTTCCTGCCCTGATGCTGAACTGCAGCCTTGATTTATGTTTTGTTTTTCCACTTTTGTTTCTGAACCTATGTGGTACAGGCTGAACCCTTGTCCCTGCTTCGGAGCACTTACCTTAATTATTATAGAAAAAAATTAAGAGTTGGCTGACTCTGTGCTGAACTTTCTGGTTTTTTTCCAGGCAGTTTCTCCATAACAAATGCGTTTTGCATAGAATTGAAATTGCCTATTTACCTCAATGACACCATCCTAATAGTTGGTGGTAACTACCTAATCTAATAATCTCTCATTGTGTGTGATAGGGCTATTTATTGTATTTTAGAGTGAAATAATGCATTTTGTTTGCATTTTAAAAAGGAATGGTACAGGAAATGATTGTAATCCAGGACTAAATATACAGTTTGCAGTCTTTTTATTCTAATTGCTTTCTGATGAATATATATATATATATATATATATTTTTTTTTTTTTTTTTTTCTTGAGATGGAGTCTTGCTCTTGTCGCCCAGACTGGAGTGCAATGGCATGATCTCAGCTCACTTCAACCCCTGCCTCCCGGGTTCAAGCAATTCTCCTGCCTCAGCCTCCCAAGTAGCTGGGATTACAGGAGCCTGCCACAACGCCCGGCTAATTTTTGTATTTTTAGTAGAGACGGGGTTTCACCATGTTGGCCAGGCTGGGCTCGAACTTCTGACCTCGTGATCCACCCGCCTCTGCCTCCCAAAGTGCTGGGATTACAGGCCTTCTAATAAATATTATTTTACACATCGAGATAGTACTGTTTATGCATTTTGTATGCTGCCTCTTAAATCTATAAGCATTTTCTTTTCTTAAAAAAAAGCTTTGGGCTGGGTGCATTGGCTCATGCCTGTAATCCCAGCACTTTGGGGGGCTGAGGCAGGTGGATCACCTGCGGTCAGGAGTTCAAGACCAGCCCGGCCAACATGGTGAAACCCCGTCTCTGCTAAGAACACAAAAATTAGTCGGGCATGGTGGTGCATACATGTAGTCCCATCTACTTGAGCGTCTGAGGCAGGAGAATTGCTTGAACCTGGGAAGCGGAGGTTGCAGTGAGTGGAGGTTGCAGTGAGCTGAGATCACACCACTGCACTCTGGCCTGGGTGACAAGAGCAAGACTCCATCTCAAAAAAAAAAAAAAAAAGCTTTGATAAATATTGTACATGATTGCAAAGCGTCCCATCGTGTGGATGTTCACTTAGTTATTTGATACATATTTTTGTGTTCTTGGGCTGTTTCTAATATTTCTGTATTACAAATAAGGTGATGGGAAGCAGTTTCATTCATCAATCATTCTTTTTAAATGTCCCTTCCTATCAGTTTCTGTTAATCAGTCAAAAGCGTATACATTCTTAGCAGGAACTTAAATTCTTAGTAGGAATCTTAACAGGTTAAGATTTCTAAGGGTAGAGAGGGTACCTGTTTTGTTAACCGGTGGCTTAATACCATTTAATACCAGTAAAGGCTCAATAAATGTTTATTGACTGAATGAACAGAAAAGATCAGTGATCATGAAGAATGGCCCAGTTAGTGGTATATATACGAGAAGTGCTGCAGTGGTTCACAGTAACATGATAATAACTAATTGTGTAATGATTTGGCACGAGGTACTGATCTAAATGATTTATACATTGTTGCATGGGATTTTGGAAGGGGAGGGAGTATACCTCTAAATTAGTTCATGCTATGGGATGGAAGTAAGACTTTAAATTTAGGTGGGCTCAAAAAACAGAAACAAACCAGGGGCCGGGTGCGGTGGCTCACGCCTGTAATCCCAGCACTTTGGGAGTCTGAAGCGGGTGGATCACGAGGTCAGGAGATCGAGACCATCCTGGCTAACACAGTGAAACCCTGTCTCTACTAAAAATACAAAAAAATTAGCCGGGCGTGGTGGCGGGTGCCTGTAGTTCCAGCTACTCAGGAGGCTGAGGCAGGAGAATGGCATGAACTCGGGAGGCAGAGCTTGCAGTCAGCAGAGGTTGCACCACTGCACTCCAGCCTGGGCGACAGAGCGAGACTCCATCTCAAAAAACAAAAAAAACAAAACAACAACAACAGAAAAAAATCAAATGTTCGTCAGCTGATGAGTGGATAAACAAAATGTGGTATATCCATACAATGAATGCTATGCTATGCTGCCATAAAATGGAGTGAAACATTCATACATGTTGCAATATGGATGAACCTGCCACTCAAGTAGCTGGTACTACAGGCATGTTCCACCATGCCTGGCTAATTTTTGTATTCTTAGTAGAGACAGGGTTTCACCATGTTGGCCGGCCTGGTCTTGAACTCCTGACCTCAGGTGATCCACCTGCCTCAGCCCCTCAAAGTGCTGGGATTACAGGCGTGAGCCAGTGCGCCCGGCCCAAAGCTTTTTTTTAAGAAAAGAAAATGCTTATAGATTTAAGAGGCAGCATACAAAATGCATAAACCTGGAAAACATTATGGGAACTGAACGAATCCAGGCACAAAAGACCACATATTGTGTGATTCCACATATTCCACATATTGTGTGATTATATGGAATGTTTGGAACAGGCAAATCCACAGAGACGGAAAGTAGATTAGTGGTGGCATAGGGCTGGAAGAGGAAGGAAACAAGGACTAACTGCTAATGGGTACAGGATTTTTTTTCCTCAAGTGATGAAATATTCTTAGATTATGAGGATGCTTGTACGACTCTGTGGATATACTCAAAACGATTTAATTGTATACTCTAAATGGGTAAATTGTGTATAAATTATGTCTAAATAAAACCATGAAAAATTGGATGAGGTTTAGCATTGTAGAAGGAAAGATGGGGGTGGTGGTGTGTTAGTTTTTGAGGGCTGCCATAGCAAAACACCACACACTGGGTGGCTTAAACAGTAACCATTTATTTTCTCACAGTTCTGGAGGCTAGAAGTCCAAAATCAAGATGTCAGCAGGTTTGGTTTTCCCTGAAGCCTCTCTCCTTGGCTTGCAGATGGCCACCTGGCCACCTTCTCACTATATCTTGTGGGGTTTTTGTGTGTGTGTGTGTGTGTGTGTGTGTGTGTGTGTGTGTTTGAGACAGGGTCTTCCTCTGTCACCTAGGCTGGAATGCAGTGGTATGATCATGGCTCATTGCAGCCTCAACTTCCTGGGCTCAAGAGATCCTCCCACCCCAGCCTCCAGAGTAGCTGGGACTACAGGTGTGTGCCGCAATGCCCAGCTAAGTTTCGTAATTTTGGTAGAGACTGGGTCTTCCTATGTTGCCCAGCCTGGTCTTGAATTCCTGGGCTCAAGTGATCCTCCCACCTCAGCCCCCCAACATGCTAGGATTGCAGGTGTGAGCCACTGCGCCCAGCCTGGTCTTGTCTTTGGGCACAAATATCCGCTAGTGTCTCATTGCGTGTCCACATTTCCTCATCAGCTCTACTGGATTAGAGCCCAGCGTAATGGCCTCATTTTAACTTAATCACTTCTTTAAAGTCCCAGTCTCCAAATACAGTCCCATTCTGAGGTAGTGAAGGTTAAGGCTCCAATGTGAATTCTGGGGGAACATGGTTCAACCCAATGAGAACAATGGTTATCTGTTGGGAGTGAGGACTGATATGAGTGGAGATGCATCGGTAAAGATGCGCGGACCACAGATGTGACGCAGCAGGTGTGCACAGAGGTATGGGATGGGGTCAGTGTGGAGGGCCGTGTGCCAGGCAGCAGTGTGGACTTGGTCCTCTACCCAGCGTAGGGGGGTCATTCTGGGGGCTGAACCGAGGGTGACACTGTAAAACCATGCTTCAGGAAAATTCATCTCTGCGCCCTGGAGGATGGACTGAGGAGGGAAGAGGCTGAGGGAAATGAGTGTGCAAGATAATGAGGCGATCCCAAGGGAAGTAAAAGGATTGGAGGCCTTGCAAAAGCAAAGCGAACCCAAGCTTCAGAACGGAGGCATCTGAGATGATGTCACAGTTTTGAACCTTATTTATAGAAGAAAGAGGGTGAAATGGGGAATTAGGTAAATGAAAATATAGGTCCCATTGTTGGTAAGATACATGGAGTGTCATTGATTCAGTATTTAGTGTGCTTTTCCTTATTTTAAACAGCTTTCATAGCTCACTTCCAAACTGTATTTTTGCAACCAACTCTTTTTCTCTCTCTATTAAAAGGAGAATCTTTTATTTTACACTAATTAACAGCTGATTCTCCTAAGAGAGTTTTCAGGAACCTAAACCTCAGAGTTAGATGGAGACAAGTGTCTTTGTTAATCATTTATGTGAGGTCAGATTGTACAATTTGTAACAGATTTTACAGCTGGTTCCTTTATTAAGGGATGGGTAGGATTCCTACTAATTATTATTTTGAGTTTTACTTTGTTTTTAACCATTGAAACTTGGGGGATGTACTCTTTGGTTTGGGTAGATTTTGCTTATAGATATTGAAGTTTGAGTTGTTGAATTTCATACATATTTTATTTTGACTTTTAATCCTTTAAAACATTTGACTCTGACTCCATTGAGCTCTGTAGAACATCTGTCATCCAGATCTTTTGCCAGAATATAGAGCCTTGATTGGACACCTTGCCAGCTAATTTAAAGCTTCCCAAGATGCAGAATACTGTGTAAAATGTCCTACCTGTTGTGTCAGAAGGGAGAAAATAAGACGAGATTTTCATATTTGCTTGTAGATCCATAAGAAACTTGGGAAGAATTCCTAAGAAACTAGCAGTAGTGGTTCCCTGCAGGGTGGGGGCTCTGGATGTGGGTGTGGCAGGGGATGGGAGAGACTGGCAGGTTGAGGAGCAGGGTGAGAGGGATGTTTTTATGATGTACATTCTCATATATTTATTTTGAACTATTTGAATGTATTACTCATGTAGGAAGACAAACCTTTACTTTCCAAAAATATTAGGGAAAAACTTTCAAGTCTCTCATTTTTAGCCTTTTTGTTGTTCTGATATTTCCACACAGGACAGACGGTAACATGCCCGATACATTTTAAGTACAAACAAGGCTGTAAGTTGCCTTACTTGACTTTCTTCACTATTTTCTATTCAAAAAAGTATTTTTGAATCCAAGGGAATTAGAGGAATAATCTTGAAATGATTATGTTTTGGGGGAAAAGTATATTATTAATATGATAGTTATCTAATGTTGTGTAACAAATTGCCTCCAAATTTAGCATATGAAAACAATAAGCATTCATTGTGTCACACATTCATTCTTTCTTTTCAGTGAAAGTTAACCTGTTTCCATCTGAATAGATTTCTCACTCTGTATCCTGCCAGTAATCATTTTGTACTGTTTCTGTGCCTTTCAATCCAAGAGTCCAACCTGATGAGGTTCTGCTGGTGTAATTCTTTTAAAAGCATTGTGGATGTCCTGTGAATCTCACTGGAGTTCACTTTTTAAACATTAGACTTCTGTGGAGACTGCTGAAGGACAACACCCTTACTTCTTAGGGCCTTTGGTTTGCCAGAATTGTTCTCTGAGCCATTGCCTTGGATTTTTTCCTGACTTCTTAACAAAGGATTTTATAGGTGGGACCTTCAACACTCTGGAAATTGCCTTAGCTACATTCAGCCATCTCCTTAGGTACATTTTCCATCTCCCACATTGTAGCAGGCAATGGCGTTGCTAAACTTTCCATCAGGAAATAACAAAGATCTCCTTTTCCAGTTTCCAGTAACATTTTCCTCTCTACACCATCATCCACAGTCTCCTGAAAGGCCCTCCAGGTTCTAGCTTTTCCAGGGCTCTTCAGGGGTTTTCGAACTCTCTTTTTACAGTCTTTCCAGTTCCTGCCCATTGCCACGTTCCAAAGTCACTCACACATTTTAGGAATTTTTCTTTTTTTCTTTTTAGCAAGCATACCAATTCCAGTTACCAGAATCTGTTAGTTTTTGTTATGTGTTGCCGCAGTACAGATTGCCTCAAAGCTTAGTGGCTGAAAACAAGGAACATTACTGGCCAGGCACAGTGGCTCATGCCTGTAATCCCAGCACTTTGAGAGGCCGAGGCGGGCGGATCACCTGAGGTTGGGAGTTTGAGACCATCCTGACCAACATGGAGAAACCCCATCTCTACTAAAAATACAAAATTAGCTGGGTGTGGTGGTGCATGCCTGTAATCCCAGCTACTCGGGAGGCTGAGGCAGGAGAATCTCTTGAACCTGGGAGGCGGAGGTTACGGTGAGCTGAGATCGCACCATTGCACTCCAGCCTGGACAGCAAGAGTGAAACTCCATCTCAAAACAAACAAACCAAACAAAAATGAACATTTACTGCCATACACACTTCCTGGGGGTCAGGGATCCCAGAGTGTCTCCGCTGTGTCAGTATGTCTCAGGGTTTCCTGAGGCTGCAGTCATTATGCCCGCTAGGGCTTGGGTGGGACTGAAGCACCTGCTTCCAAGTTGCCTCACTCACATACCTGGCAAGTTGGTGCCGTTGCTGGCAGGAAGCCTGCTTTTCTTGCCAGGTGGACTTCTCTGAGGGGTGCGTGAATGCCTTCACTACAGGGCAGCTGACTTCCCTCAGGACACATGATTCAGGAGACCAGGGGAAAGCTGCAGTGTCATTTTATCACATAATCCCAGAAGTAACACTCTGTCATTTCTGCAATATCCTGTGGGTTACACGTCAGCATTATTCATTGTGAGAGGTGACTACATGAGGGTGAGTCCAGGAGGCAAGAATTATTGGGGGCTATCATGGAGGTTTGATAACATAATTGGTAAGAAATTCAGATACACCTCAGACTTGATTGTGGCATACCAGTGTGTTGTAAAACTTGTGAGAATGGCTTGCCTTAGAAAGACAAGTAGTCCATCCAGTGTCTTATTCTTATGTTAAGTTGGGATTGCTATTTTGTTACCCTTGGGCCTCTATATACAAAGCCTCTCATAGTAATAGATCTAATTGGGTTGAAGTTTAGTATTATGTATATGCCCTCTGCTTTTATTAGTAGATTTTACTTTCGTGAAAGGAACATATAAACTTCATTATTGCATTTTTGTATAAATGCAGCTGGGGACATGGTTTTATTACCCAATGTCCATTTTGTAAATATTTAGAGAACTTTTTTTTTGCATCATAAATCAGTATAAATAGAAGCTTGGTTTCCATTGTTGCCCTGGCTATGAGGAAGCTGAGAGTGAAATTTGTCGTTCAAGTGTGGCAGTTATGTTACTGACTGGCGTATTTATATTCTCCTTTATTTGATATTTTGCTATGAGATGTTCCAGTTTACTTGTGGGAAAAAAAGCCAGGTGTTCTTGAACTCAACAAATATTTATTGAATTCCACTTGCTGGCCAGACAGCATTCCATGTGCCCCAGATATGGCACTGGACAGATAGATAAGGTCCCCACTCGCCTACAGCTTCCAACCTGGTCGTAAGAAAATACCTTAGCTTTTGCTCCATAATGTGGAAGAATTGGCCTCAGAGAAAACCTAATTCATATGTACCACGTTTCTACCCATTCAAGTTTTATTTCATAATTTTTTTTTTTTTTTTTTTTTTTTTGAGATGGAGTCTTGCTCTGTCACCCAGGCTGGAGTACAGTGGCACAATCTCAGTTCAGTGCAACCTTTGCCTCCTGGGTTCAAGCGATTCTCCTGCCTCAGCCTCCCGAGTAGGTGGGATTACAGGTGCATGCCACCATGCCTGACTAATCTTTTGTATTTTTAGTAGAGATGGGCTTTCACCATATTGGCCAGCCTGGTCTTGAACTCCTGACCTCAGGTGATCCACCTGCCTCAGACTTCCAAAGAGCTGGGATTACAGGCGTGAACCACGATGCCTGGCCGTATTTCATAATTCTATCTTTCCATAGAAAGAATTGGCTGGGGCACGTATAACTAATGTGAGTTACTGATTTCAGAGGAAGCTTTTGGAAGTGGTTGATAGGCACTGAATGGGATGGGGTGGTGAGTGGTTTAAAATAACACTTGAACCTTTGGATTCAAATGGTTTTAAATGCATCTCAGAAAAGTGAAAGGTGAATGGGAGAGCTACATCCATTGAGAGCAAGGGTTCATCAGCTAGGGCTGTGGCTTAAACTAAGCAGATATTCTTTCCTGGCAGTTCTACAGGCCAGAAGCCTAAGATCAAGGCGTCATGAGGGTTGGTTTCTCTGAGGCTCCCAGACAGTCATCTTCTCCCTGTGTCTTCACGGGGTCTTTATTCTGTGTCTGTGTCCAAACTTCCTTTTCCTTTTTTTTTTTTTTTTGAGACAGAGTCTTACTCTGTTTCCCAGGCTGGAGTGCAGTGGCACTATCTCAGCTCACTGCAACCTCCATCTCCCAAGCTCAAGTGACTCTCCTGCCTCAGCCTCCTGAGTAGCTGGGATTACAGGTATGTGCCACCACGCCCGGCTAATTTTTGTAATTTTAGTAGAGACGGGGTTTCACCATGTTGGTCAGGCTGGTCTCGAACTCCTGACCTCGTGATCTGCTCACCTCGTCCTCCCAAAGTGCTGGGATTACCGGCATAAGCCACCATGCCCAGCCCAAACTTCCTTTTCTTAGAGGGTGGGCTTTATCTGTGGTTCTTAGTTAGCCTCACCTTCATTCTTCCTTTTGGTGTTACGGTCTTGCTTACTGCTTTGGGAATGGATTTGTTGAAACTACATGTGACTAGTTTAGGGACCCAGTAGGAGGTTTTACTATAAGTGTAAATTAACATGTGCCTTTGGGGGACCTTAAAAGTTTTTGTCATTGGGCCATGAGATCTGAGTGCAGCTGGTAGAACCTCCTTGTTTTCTTTGGTATGAGAACTCCTGGGCTTTTGTTGGTTCCTTCCGTTTTCTCCGGTGTATTACCATTTCACATCACAGTGATATTATCCAGATAACACCCATGATTTGTTTTTAACGGAGTTTCACTCTGTTGCCCAGGCTGGAATGCAGCGGTGCGATCTTGGCTCACTGCAACCTTCACCTCCTGGTTCAAGCGATTCTCCTGCCTCAGCCTCCCAAATAGCTGGGACTGCAGGTGTGCACCACCACGCCTGGCTAATTTTTGTATTTTTAGTAGAGGCGGGGATTCGCCATGTTGGCCAGACTGGACTTGAATTCCTGACCTCAATTGATCCACCCACCTTGGCCTCCCAAAGTGCTGGGATTACAGGCACGAGCCAATGCACCTGGCCACACCTGTGATTTATTTTATTTCATTTGAGATTTCAGACTTTGTCGCTTGTTCTTTCTGTAGAAGTTTTTTCATAGAAGTATGTTGTTTCAAAAGCAACCTTCAAATAGTAGACTTAGCTTGGATGAGAATCTAAAAGTCTTTGAGTCCAACAACCAAGCAGGTCCCCTGTCCAGGAAGTACCTTATAGCTGATGTTTGAGTATCCCTGCAGATGGGAACTCACTACCTCCTGAAGCACCTTACTTCTACCCTTGGAATAGTAACAGAGATTAAAATGTCCTTCCTTAATTTGAGGTGAAATCTGCCTTCTTGTCCATTTTACACACACTAACCTTCCTTCCACCATGCAAGCTGAGAGAGAGCCAGGTTGAGCCTGTGTTTCCACAACAACTCTTCTCAGACCTCCTGCTGCCACCTACCATGCACTTGCTCTTCACTGGCTAGGTTCCAGTTGCTCTGTACCTTTCCTAAAGTGTGGTGACCAGAATTTGGCACAGTGAGGGAAGGTTCCAGAGCCCTTTAGTGTTATCGGGGGCACAGAGCTTGGGCTTTGGAGTCGCTCAGATCTTGAGTTGATATGCACTTCTTTGTCCTTGAGCAAATGATTGAACCTTCTTGGACTCTCAGTTCCTCATTAATAAAATGAAGATGAAACAAGATGAGATGGACTGTGCACATTTCCTGATGGGGGCTGGTATGTGCTGGTGCCCAGTGCAAAGTGGCTGCTGGCAGAATGGTGAGTCACCAGTACCTGCTCCCTTCACTGAGTGCTTCCTGTGTGCCTGGCACCATTGCTCAGGGCTTTACATGGACTTACTCATTTCATTTTCACTGCAGCCTAGAGCGTAAGTAAGTATTTGCTTTATCCCCATCTTATAGATGAGGCATTTGATTCTCAAAAAGGTTTCATAGCTTGCCCATGTTCTAGCAGCTAGTAAAAGGAGAAGCCAGAGTTTTCATTTAGGTGGGAGTCCTCAACCTGCTTTCTTAACTGCTGTGATCTGCACTGTGGCATGAGAGTTTGTCTTAATGTAAATGCACATGTAATAGCATTATTCACATTGCCTGAGACTGTGGAAGCTCCTTTGGCAACCAGATGCCACAGGGGACTCATTTCATGCTTTTAGAAGACTTGAGCCACTACATGCCCTGGGAACTGTGTTGCTTCCCCACTGGCCATCACTCTTGCTTTTGTAAGGGATGTCACATTGAGCCATTAAGTGTCATCTCTGGAACTCATGACTCTGTTATTCCACATATTAGGTTTTCTTTGTAGCTTTGTGTCAACTCCAAGCCAGGTAAATAAATCTTGGAAGAACCAAGTTACAGATGTGAGTAAAAGAGGGGATGGCAGGGGGCAGAAGTCAGGGCAGGCCCTGTGACTTGCCACCAGCATCCTCCCTTCGGGGGAGGTCCTTTCATCTGGGTGCTAGCTGGAGGAATTGGCAACGTCGGAGATAAAGGTGTAGATGCACCAGCTGAACGTCTTGCTCTGTTTCCCATTTTACGTATAAGATGGGTGATGGCATGCTGCATTCAGATCCCCATGGGTGTATTTGGGATTTGGGGTGGGGGATTGTGTGTAGAAGGCAGGAAAGATTGCCCAGCAACTCTCATTTGAATTGAGGGTGGAAGCGGTTCTCGGGCACAGTATGCCAAGGCCCAGGGCGTCCAAGGGACAGAGCAGAGATCACAGATGCTGAACGGGTGGGGAAGGAGCACTAGGCAGGGCATTTCTGATGAGACTTTGATTTGGGAGGTACGAAAGTTGTATGAGGAATCTTGATAAACTGCTTAGAGTGAATGGAGATGAGTAGGAATCACCACCATTCACATACTGGCTCTGCAAGCCACTCAGCACAGCTCTGCACCTGCTCTTATGGAGGAGAAGACAAGCAGAAGAGAATGTTCTGATCTAGAAGAGTTCGTGTAAGAGCATGAAGGCAACAGCACTTGAGATGTGGTGCACATGAGCAAAATTTCAGTTTATGTGGAATTTAAGATTAACAGATTAAAAGGTAAAATTCTCTCCCTGGTACCAAAAAAAAAAAAAAAATCCATGTACTCCCTCTCTCTCTTTTTTTTTTGTTTTTTTTTTTGGAGATGGAGTCTCGCTCTGTCCCCCAGGCTGGAGTGCAGTGGCATGATCTCGGCTCACTGCAAGCTCCGCCTCCCAAGTTCACGCCATTCTCCTGCCTCAGCCTTCCGAGTAGCTGGGACTACAGGTGCCCGCCACCACACCTGGCTAATTTTTTTTTGTATTTTTAGTAGGGACGGAGTATTCCCTCTCTTGACTGATGTTTCAGCAGTATGTGGACAGATTCTTTTTTAAGGTAAATGACCAGGGGCTTGTAATATGAGTGTCACTTAGGCAACAGGACATTTCAATGAAATGGTGATGGAAATAGGTTCTTTTTGTAGATTGTGAGCTCTTGGGAGCATGGATTTTGCTAAATATACTGATTTTTAAATTTTTTTGACATCTAGCATGGTGCATTTCACATAGGAGTTTTTCAAGAAGTACTCATTTCACAGGCATCTTGAATGATAGATGTTTGGTAAGAACTGCGCAAGACAGTGTACTAATCACTCATTCTCATTCAGCCTCTCAAGCTATCATGGTTGGTTAGTAATAACATTTCAAAATTATATTTGTCCCTTAGGCTAGCAGAGAATACTGTTTAACAGGTTTTTCTTGAAAAGTAGGAGTAGCGAGCTAGAGTTGTCTCTAGGTGGGGTAAATAAAACATCTCCCACCCCACCCAAATTGAAGCTGAATACCTTCAATTCACTACTGTGCGCATATTCATGTTTCATGCTGAGCAGTTCACTTGAGACTTTCTCACGGAAAGAAGTGCGATACAGTTGGTGGTAGTCTTATATTTGCTACGTGCTCATGTGTTGTCTGATGATAGAATGCAGTGGTCAAATATTGCACAATTTACGCCAGAGGAGGAGAATTCCCATCAACTCTCCAACCATCATAAATACTTTATTCCACACAATAAGGAAATTGAACTTTTCAGAAGAATGATATAGAACATCTAAAATAGGTTAAACTTGGAGGAATTATACTGTCCATTGTAAAATTGGAGCCACTCTTGAAAAATTGCTGCATGCCCCACTGAATGCTAGAGCAAGACATGCAGTCCCAGCTCCAGGGGCTTCCAGAGTGATTGAGGCAGGGCTGTGGGCTGCTTTCCTGAAGCCTGACTCCTTTCTTTCCTCATTACACTGCCACAGATGGTGGCAGATACAGCATGGATTGGCATAAGTCACTCTCTACTACCTGCAGAATAAAGGCCCAATTTCCTAGTGCAGCTTGCAAAGTCCTTCTCATCTGCCACCTTCCTGCCTTTGTGATTTCTCCTCCTGGGACTCCTGCACCCCCTTTTTTTTTTTTAATTTTTCTTTTCTTTTTTTTGAGATAGGGTCTCCATCTGTTGCCCAGGCTGGAGTGTGGTGGCGCGATCATAGCTTATTGCAGGCTTGACCTCCTGGGCTCATATGATCCTCTTGCCACAGCCTCCCAGATAGCTGGGACCACAGGCACATGCCACCCCGCCTGGCTAATTTTTTGTATTTTTTTATAGAGACGGGATTTCTCCATGTTGCCCAGGCTGGTCTCGAGCTCCCGGGCTCAAGCGATCTGCCCGCCTCAGCCTCCTACAGTGTTGGGATTACAGACGTGAGCCACTGCACCCAGCCACTCCTGCACCCTTACCTTTTCGCCGCCCTGGCCGGCTGGACGACTGCACCCATTTCACCCGGCATTCTTGTGCCTGACTGTGCTCTGGCCATTTCCTGTGTCTGGAATACCCCCATTCTCCCATGCTCAGCCCCGTGGACTGTGTTTATTCGTAATCACACCTCAGAGCCCTTCCCCTTCTCCATGGACTCCACCCCTGCTGTGTAGATGGCCCCAACATCATTTTGCTGAGTGGAGTGCCACTGCAAGGCATGGCATGGAGGAGCCTGACTGCATAGGTGGCGGCACCTTGAGGGCCTTACAGACCTGGCAGTTGAAGGTATGGGCTAGAAGACAGATGATTCCAAATTACGGCTAAGAAATAGGTAGGCTGTAAGGCTTGATTGCCGTGAATGCCTCTAGAAAGAGCACTTAAAAAAAAAAAAAAAAAAGAAGGGATTTCCCTGTTCATGGCCTATGAGTTTAAAAACAAGCACCCCATGTCATTAGCCCTTTGCTCACCACAGAGTTGCTGACACATTAGACGATCTAGATATGTGTCTGAGATTTTGGATGCCTATTGATTGTGTATTCACTTAGACTTTGGTGCTTTTCTAGATGTTTCACAAGTTAAGATGTTGTTAAGAGGTTCTCATTGTTTTATTCCTATGTTCTTTCCTTCCACTCCCAACTCACTCCGATGTCACTCATCTGGGTTCTTCTGCTCCTGCCTGGGCTGCTTAGTATTTATTGAGCTACACACTGTGCTTGGCACCCAGGGCCATGGAGGCAGGCAAAGAGGGGGGACATTTATTCAGCAGCTTCTTACTGAGGGTATGGGTGCCAGGTGCTCGCTCTGGGAAGGTGCAAATGAAATGGATGATGGCTGAGCCTGAAGAATTCCCAGGGTGAACAGATGGGGGGAAGCCAGTTCGGGCAGAGGGAGTGGCAAAAGCTGCTGCTTAAAGTCGTTGCTCCCACCGCGTGGGGAGTAATTGGATCTGTCTGCAGCACTGAGGCCTGGACAGGAAGATGGGACTGGAATGCAGAGGGGCCTTGCAGGGCTCAGTCGGGGCCAAAGGGCAGAGAGGCAGGGCACAGAGAGAAGCTGTGGCCGCCTTGGTTGGTCCCATGGAATCCTCGCCCATTGGGGCCATGGGCATTGATCGACACTGTGGAGCTTGAAATCTCACCAGGTGGAAACATCTCTGCCAGCCCTGTAATCATTTCCATAGTTTCTTCTGGTTCTTTTCATGAACATTTTCCAATATTTTTATTTGAGCATTAATAAAAGGTTTGCCTATATACTTAAATTTCTGCCAGAAAGCTTTGACTTCCGTGATCTAGAGCAAGCTTGTGCAACCACAAGCAGGTCACATGCAGCCCAAGATGGCCTTGAATGTGACCCAACACAAATTCGTAAGCATTCTTAAAACATTATGAGCCTTTTGTGTGATTTTTTTTTTTTTAAACTCATCAGCTGTCATTGGTGTTAGTGTATTTTATGTGTGGCCCAAGACAATTCTTCTTCTTCCAGTGTGGCCCAGGGAAGCCAAAAGATTGGACACCCCTGATTTAGAGTTTTAGGACTTAGGTTTTGGGAATGCCAAATGTTTACATGGAAAGGCTCATCCATTAGGATGAGCATGGTTTTCCTCATGAACTCCTTGGTAGAACCTAATGTTAGTGTGTGGCTCTTTTCCTTTATTATTTTCTTCTGTACAGGGTACTTTATAACCAATAGCTGTTTCTGAAAATATGGGAAAACTATTTTTGAATATTGAATCAATTACATTTTCAGGGTAGTTTGATAAAAGGCATTCTGTGGTCATCTTTATCTAAAACGAATCCTCCTGGCCTTAGTGTGATTATTTTATTTTATTTATTTTATTTTATTTTATTTTATTTTATTTTATTTTATTTTATTTTATTTTATTTTATTTTATTTTATTTATTTGACAGAGTCTTGCTCTGTCACCCAGGCTGGAGCGCAGTGGCGCAGTCTTGGCTCGCTGCAACCTGCACCTCCCAGATTCAAGCAATTCTCCTGCCTCAGCCTCCCGAGTAGCTGGGATTACAGGCATGCACCACAATGCCTGGCTAATTTTTGTATTTTTAGTAGAGATGGGGTTTTGCCATGTTGGCCAGGCTGATCTTGACCTTAGATGATCCACCCACCTTAGCCTCCCAAAGTGCTGGGATTACAGGCATGAGCCACCCCACCTGGCCTTAGTGTGATTTTGTATTTTATGTTGTGAGTTTTGTTTTTAAAAAAGAACATCAGTAAGTTCAGAAACCAACTCCATGCTTATTTGCTGTAATGAATTTTTCCCTTACATTGGAAAAACACAGTTCCATCTGTCCTGAAGGCCCATAAGTCACAGAATGCGGTGTGTTGGAATGTGAAATCCTTTCAGCCTTGCAGAATCTTTATCATTGTGCTAAATTGCCATGTGGAAGAATGGCAGGTGGCAGTTAGAACTTAGGGCTTTCTATTTATTCTCTTTCTATTTTGCATTAGTCAGTTAAGGTTCTGATCTTCAGAACTTTGTATGAAAGTCAGTGCTTCATACAATTTCACATCAAACTGTGGCATTGCAAGAGGCAAACCATTTGGAATTCTTCCTTAAATTACAAAAAGAAAAAAAAAAGTGAATGCACGAAGATTGTTTTGTTCGCAAGACTTATGACACAGCCCTCCAGCTCTGTGGCTTTTCATTCTGATGGGAAGGAAATGAGACCATTGTAAATGACTGTTCAGAATATTAGTGCCAGCTCCATGCCAAGTGCTGTTAAGAACATGGAGAGAGCATTCGAGTGTTTGCCTCTGAATTTTTGCCCAGGCCATAGTTCGCAGTTGGCCGGCAGGCTGCAAGGGCCATTCCAAGTGGGAGAAGCATTCCATCCCTGGGACAAGTAAACAGAACCTAAAACAAACACATGTTTAGTTGAAGTGATACAGCACCAGGCAAAGTGTTCTACTTTTAATGAGTGAAGGACATCAGAAACAAAGGATCAGAGCCCCCCACGTTGCATTCTCAACTAATTATAGCACTAAGGCAGGAATCCTTGGCCCTTTATCTGGAGTGAGTCAGAGAGTATATCATGCCTTATCTAAAGTCTAAAGTTAATTGAGCCCAAGGCCCTTCTGAATAGACACACACTGTAATCAGATATACAGATGGAGTGGGAAGAGGTAAATGGTTTCAGATGCCAGCCTGGTGTAGTTGCATGCCGGAGGGGACTTAAAGGAAACAGTGAGAAGTATTAGAAAACTGTAGTTGACCAGGTATGGTGGCTTATGCTTATAATCCCAGCACTTTGGGAGACTCAGGCTGGAGGATCGCTTGAACCCAGGAGTTCAAGACCAGCCTGGACAACATAGCTAGACCCCATCTCTACAAAAAATAAAAAATTAGCTGGATGTGGTAGTGAACCTATAGTCCCAGCAACTTGGGAGGCGGATGTGGGAGGATCGCTTGAGCCTGGGAGGTCAAGGCTACAGTGAGCCATGATCACGCCATTGCACTGCAGCCTGCGCGACAGAGTGAGATTCTGTCTCAAAATAGCAACAAAAACAAAAACCAAAAGTATAGTTGCAGAGAATGGCTTTCCCTGCTTAGTTTTATCCAGATGACTGTTAGAATAGTGGTGAAGAATCTGACAAGTGGCAGAATGCAGGGCCATGGGAAGGGGGAGAGTTCATGCCTAAGGTCAGCTGAGCAGAGGAGACTTGGAGAACTGAGAGGGGATCCCTCTCCTGTGTTTGTTGGGAGGGACAGAGCCTGTTGCCCAGCCTGCAGGTGTGGGAGGGACCCTGCAAGAAGTCCCTTTGGTCACCCTCTTCAGGCCCCACATTGCCTGATGAGGTTCAGACTCCTAGGCCTATGAAGGGTAATAAGGCCCGTCTGTTCCTGCCTTTACTTTTCTTCTATCAGTTTCTAAGCACTCTCAGCCTCCGGGCCTTTGATCGTGGAGCGCCATGATACAGTGGCGTTGTCCTGAGTGGTTAGAGGTGTGAATTCTCGAGGCCGACTGCCTGGGTTTGAATCCTTGCTTGGCCATCTTCCAGCTGTGTGACCACTCTATGCCTCAGTTTCCTCATCCGTATGATAGGAATAGTGGCAGTACCTATTTCATGGTGTTATTGAGCTGTACAGTTGCTAGCTGCTGCCATCATCATTGTCATTTCCTCATTTCTTTTAGACCCAAACTCTCACACTTTCCGGAATTATTTCTGGAGCCCCCCAGAAGGAATTGGTCTCTTTTATTCTAGATTCCCTAAGAGGCACAGAGGGATACTAGGGTGAGAAGATAGTGGTGGCTCACAGTCATCACTCTGTACTTACTAGTTTTGAAAATGTATCAAATTGCTGACGTCTCTGAGCACCAGTTTCCCAATGTGTTAAAGAAGGATGGTGATACCCAACCCATGTCACAGGGTTTCGTCAGTAAATGCTAAACCATGTGGTAAGCAGATGTTCTCAGTGAGCACCAGGTCACTATTATTATGTTACTTGTCATGACGAGTTTTACTTGCCACCTTGTATTATAGTTGTGATGACTATCTTTTTTCTAGCTCCACATTGGGACACATGAAATTATAGAGTTAAATGAACTCATTTGTAGATACTTGAAAATTGTAATAATCTTTGAATATCTGTACCTGTTTGTGTCCAGATTCTTCTGGTTATTTTGACTTCCTTATACCCCAGTGTCCTTTTTTTTTTGGAGACAAGTTTTTTTCTCTTGCACAGGCTGAAGTGCAGTGGTGCCGTCGTAGCTCACTGCAACCCTGAAGTCCTGGGCTCAAGCAAATCCCAGTGCCTTATAAGCAGGCTTCCTCAAGGCCTGTTGTCTTACTCATCTGTATTTTCCTTATAGCATCTAGGTCAGTGCCTTGCTTATAATGGGCATTTGGCAAATGTTTGTTGAATGCATTTATCATTACTTAGTAATAAATACTAAACTATTTTTTAATGGGAAAATAGGCAGGTTTGGGTTCTCATGCACATGACCCACATTTGTCGAATGTCTGCTGTGTACCAGCCAGCAGCTTTCTTCCTTTAGTGCTATTTCCTGTTAGAGTGGGATAGTGGTATTTCAGTCCACCTGATGACCATTTAGGCCAATCACATGTTAATGGGAATTGAATGCATGCATTAAACACAACACCAGCGGGTGCTGTCCACATTAAAACCAGGAGGTCTGCTTCATTGGTTCTTGACTATATTGAAAGAGTTGGAAATCTGACCTGGGCATTTGAGGTAGACTCTAAGGGGTGTAAGACGGCCCTTTGTTTTAGAGACTTAGGATTGGTGTGAGTGACTGGCAGGGACTGCTTTAGTGCCCAGACCTTTAGTAGCACAGACACAATATAGGAAAACTCTTCAAGGAAAACCAGCCCCAAATAAGAGAGTAGGTAATGTTCTGCTTCTCTTGCTTTATATTCTGCTTGCTTTACAGAATAATCTGAGATAGCTAATAATCAAAGTGCAGGTCCCCCAAAATGAAAGTGATCATCATAGAACCAGAAAAGAAGGGATAAAATACTGATTTCAAGGACTCCTGAAGCCAATGGCAGCTCTGAGTTTCCTGGCAGCCAAGACAAAGACAGAAGCATGCTGGGATGATGCATCCTCGGGCTCGGTAAAGGAAGCACAGGACCTGCCTGCTGCTGTGGGCTCAGGGAAGTGAGTACTATTTTCCCTGTCTGGAGTGGGGAGGAGCACTTGTCTGTGGTAGGGTGAGGAGGACCACTTCCTTGGGCTATCAGTCATTAAGGCCCCTTAACATCATGGCCGATTCTGAAATTACCTCTGAAAGTTGAGATTTATGTTAGACTGTAGCTCTCAAGCCAGTTCCCTTAGAGGCCAGAGTAATGACAGTGTAATTTACTTGCCACCTGCTTGAGAGAGACAATTGGTGGTTAAGGGACTTTCCCAAGGTGATAAATTGTTTTAGCAAACAGATCCAGAGGACAGCTCCTTTCCCCTGGTCTATGTATGCCTTTTGAACGCCAAGACCTTATCCTAAACTCAAGTTTCACGAATAGGATTAAAATACCCTTTGGGGACCTTTCTTACATTGAGAACAGAGGCTGGGCCACAGCTTGGCTAAAGCATTCCAGATCTCTCTTCTGAGCAAGAGATTTTGACTTGTTCATAAACCAGGCTCTCTCTCATAGTGGGCAAGGCCTTAAAAACAAACAAACCTGCAAAACCTGAGGAAACATCTTCCTCCTACGTACTTAGCTGATGTAGGCATTAATGGAAATGGATATTGGAGTGGGAGGCTCCTTTTAGGGGGCAGAAAAGAAAGAATGTTTTTATTTTTAATTAAAAAAATATTTTCTTTTGAGACAGGGTCTTGCTCTGCCATCCAGGCTGGAGTGCAGTGGTGCGAATATGGCTCACTGCAGCCTTGACCTCCTTGCTCAAGTGACCCTCTAGCCTTGGCCTCCCGAGTAGCTGGGATGACAGGCGCACACCACCATGTCTGGCTAATTTTTGTATTTTTTGTAGAGATGAGGTCTCACTGGCTTGCCCAGGCTGGTTTCAAGGTCCTGGGCTCAAGGGATCCTCCCTCCTTTGCCTTCCAAAGTGCTGGGATTATAGGTGTGAGCCACCGTGCCTGGATGAAAAAGAAATAACTTGATTATGGGTTATGGAAGTTTAGCAATGGCTTCAAAAAATGTCAGCAGGGAATGGATGTCTTTTTCTATCAGATGAAATTTCAGTAGTCATCTGATACAGCCAACCAGGAGAAGGAAAACTACTAAGTAGAAAGACTTAGATAAGTGGAGTCGAACATCTCTGGGCTTAAAAGGAGCATCACTCCTGGCATATTCAGCGTGGCCCAGCTGTGTTTCTCTGAGGGCGATGTCCTCCTCAGGGTCTGTGAATGGCTGAACTCAGAACAAGGCTTTTGCAATCTGCGCCTTCTGAATACAGTTTTTGTTCTGTTGGTTTAATTTGCATTTGGTGTCTGGAGTGCCTGGTCATGGAAAGAGCCCGTTCTTTGTTTTGGGTAATGAGGGCTGAGGTTTCCAATAAGTATTTCTCGGTTCCGTCCGTGTCGAGTGTCATTTGAGTAGCAAGTGACTGTTGCTCATTGCACTGGGCCTGCGAGCCTCCATTTGCACATTAGATTTTTGCATACCCTGCAATTAGTAAATTACAGAATGACATCATGAAATAGAAAACTGTATTCCCAGATGGAAATGCTTTCCGTATTCTATGCATTTTTATTCAAAGGCAGATGCATTTGTAAACCTCTTTGGATGGTTGTTCTGCCTTTGTCAGTTACTTCATAGCAAATGTCAACTGTAAACCAAGAGAGAGAATGAGCCAGGATGGAGAACTTTTTTTTGTTTAATTGTGTCATGTTGGGTGCTTTTTGGAAAGTGGGTGAATTATTCATGATGACATGAATGGGGGTATTATTTTAAATTAGTATAGAAGCAAATGGTTCACAACCCATTTATTAAGACCCTAATGTTGATGTGGCTACCAAGAAGCTTTACCAGCAAGGGCCAGTGTGTTGCCTTCCTTGGTTGGTTAGTTTTTCTACATCCACTTAACTCCTAGCCTAATTTTATCTTTTTTTTCCTCTGTTTTTCTTTCCCTGAATGTTTATTTAAGCTCTGATAAATCATTTTGAATTAAGGTCGGGTATGTATTTCCTTTCTTCTCATCTTCTTCCCCCTCCATGACTGCCTGCATTTGAATACATTTCCATTGTGTGAGAGGCAGTAATGGTACAGAGGGGTGGGGGGTGGTGACTGCTTGGTGAGCTGTGGCTCACATGTCTCCAGAGACACAGGGCCTAGGAAGACTGATTAAAAATCAACTTTTAACTACTATAACGGCTCACTTTCCTGAAACTTGTTATGCTGTAACCCCACCTATTGAAGACATAATCAGAACCAGAAAGTGAACAAAATTGACCCTGGAAATATGTGGCAAAAATTCTGTGCAATAAGTATGATAACACTTTTCTTTCAGTGAATTCTCTCTCAGGGCCCACTCACAGAACCAATTTTGACATCAAATTTTCTTCCTTTTAAAAATACAGTTAACCCCCACCCCCATCTGCAGGTTCTCCCTCTGCAGATTCAACCAACTGCAGATTGAAGATATTCAGAAATTTAGAAAAATGAAAAATAACAATATAACAAAAAGTAATGCAAATAACGCAGTATCACATCTATTTATGTAGCACTTGTGTTGTATTAGGTATTATATGTAATCTAGAGATGATTTAAAGTATATGAGAGGGTGTGTGTAGGTTATATGCAAATCCTATACCATTTTATGTCAGAGACTTGAGGATCTGTGAATTTTAGTATCCTCAGGTGTCCTGGAACTACTCCACCATCAATGCTGAGGGACAACTGTATATAATATAAAATAAATAAAATATGTACTGTAAAATTGTAATCTTGAAAGTTTGATCCTGTGGCAGCTGCTATTTTCAGGCAGCTCAGCCTTTGTTTGCATGCTCAAAACCAGCTTGTGATTTGGTTTCTAAGATCACGGCTGGCTTATTATCTGTGCTGGCTTATCATGACAGTGGCTCGGTGTTATGGACACAGTGAGCATTTGGTGTCGATACTCCCAGAATGAACTGAGTAGAATGGACAGGAGACTGACCTTTGTCTATTTGTCTATGTAGCAGTAATGCCACTAACTTGTTGCAGTGCTCTTTATCCTCAAACTATTTGCTATATATAGTAATGCTTAAATTACATATATTATATATATTACATATACATATTATATATGTGGATATATTATATATTATAATTATATATAATATATATAATTATATATTATATAGATGGTTCTGACTTTGCACAGTTCTGATATGCATGAGTTGCAATTACCATGATTTAAATAATACCAGTTCCCCAACAACTCTAGTCAAATCTCAGTTACCCCCGTGTGTTAATTGAGTAATTGCATGAAGTACACAAGCTTGCTGCTAGTGCTTCAGTATACAACTCACCATGTAAATAACAGATGCATGTCAGAATCCGTGGCCAATCACAGCACTTCTTTCAAAGCCCATGGGTGATTGGTCAGTGCACATGTTCCTTAGTTCATGCACAGACAGCAGAGTGTGTAGTTCTGTGGCCTTCTTGGCTATTGGGGATAAACCAGTGTGACATTTTACAAAAATACCAAAAATCGAGAGGGAATTGGTGAACGAAGATAAAAGTGCAGCAAAGAAGCTGAAAGTGATAATGCTAGAAGTGAAACCAAAACCTACATGGAATTATAGAAGAAATAGCTGACTGTGGGAATATTGGCAGTACAGCTGTTGGAGAGACTGCCTGCGCAGCCCGAGGAGGAGAATGCAGGTTTACCACATAAACAAGGAAAGTGGTTGTGAAGAAAAGAATAAAGCTGTCCTAGAGGACATGACCTTGGCAAAACAAACAAATTTCACATTAAAGGATCTCTCAGAACCATTTCCCAGCATAGAAAATGCAAAGGATGAAATGTATGCTTATTCAAACTTACGGCTCCTAGCAGCACTGTTCACAATAGTGGAAAGGTAGAAACAGCCCAGTTATCCATCAGTGGGTGAATAGATTAACAAATGGATGAATAGATTAAAAAACAGATTGTGATATATCCACGCACTGGAATATTGATTTAAAAAGGGACGAAGTACTGATACCTGCTACAATGCGGATGAACCTGAAAGATACCATGCTAAGTGAAAGAAGCCAGATACAAAGGTCACATATGATAAGGTTCTATTTATATGAACGATCTTGGTAAATCTGTAGAGAAAGAACACAGATTTGTGGTTTGGTTTCTAAGATCACAGCAAGCTTATCTCTAAGATCGGGGCTGGGGCGCGGTAGGGAAATGAGGAACAACTGCTTAATGGATGTGGAGATTCCTTCTGGGGCGACAGAAAATGTTTTGCAACCACGCGGACGTGGTGGTTGTATGACATTGTGAATGTACTAAATGCGCTTAATTGTTTACTTTAAAATGGTGATGTTATATGAATTTCACCTCGATTTTAAAAACGTGACATTTCACCAAGTCATAGAAAAGATGCTTCGCTTGTATAAGTTATGCGACAAAAAGATAAGCACTTTTAAATATTTCTTGATAAGTTTTTTGTTTCCAGGGTTTTAAATGGCAACGTGCTGAATATTTCACTATTTTTCACTTCCTTGTACATTTATAACTGACAGTAATAGAGTTTTTAATGCTTTGACAAAATTTTTAAGAAGTCACAGAACAATTGCATTTTTTCCTTTTCATCACTAACATTGTTTTGCACCGTTTCAGCTTCTATGGACATTCTTATGGTTTCATACTGAGTACTGCCTGTGCACATGTATTTCACTACACCCCCGCCCCCCAACCAACCCCTCCACCCCCCAAACACATCCCATACCCATTACAGCACGTTGTTGCAGGGAGGATTCTGAGATGCGTCTTCTACAATAGAAAAAGATGTGCTGGGCTTGCTGTGAAAAAGCAGAGGAAGTTAGAGGTGGGATATTAGTGGTGAAGTTGGTAGAACCTCAGCTGCTTCTAGGGAAGAGGGAAGGTAAAGTCAGCAGGTATTAGGGACCAGGGGAAGCCTGTAACTTATAAGGTATGGTAACTATCAGAGCAGTTTGTGGGATTGGCTAGCAGCTGTGTGGCCAGTAGCTGGAAGAACCAGTGGTCTGGACATGTCCTAGTTTTGAGAAATCTGTCGGCAAGGAGAGCGCTAGGACTGAAGGTATGATGCCTGAAGCCCAGAAACGCATAATGGGCTGTGACAATGCTGTTTCACTTGAGCTCATCGGATGCTTTCGAGGATTCAATCCATATCTCCCTGTTCTCCCTGCATTTTGACACAGGCCGTGCTTGCATGACAGTTGGGTTAGTGTATTCCCCTCTCCACCAGAGACTTGGGAGGGTAGGGGAGTGTGCCTTAGTCATTCTCGAGACTCCTGTGCCTGGCAGTGCCTAGCAACGGCTTAATAAATACTTGCTAATGAACCTAATTATTATGACATTAAGATTTTAATCTAAATCTTCTAAATGACTATGGGAATCTGTTTATTTTTGCTTAGGATCATTGGTAATGTTTTCTGGCCAAAGCTGCTTTTTTGTCTGAGCTGTGTGTTTATTTTTCATTCCTGTCTCTTATTTATATTGTGAAAATGATTAAGAAAAATAGGTGGTATGGCTCATGGTCTGATATCACGAGTCAATGTGTTGTTTTGAAGCCAACTCCACACATAATGGTTCAAGCCCTCTGACTACATCTTAGTTTTACTCCAGATTTTCTCCATCAATGTTGCTTGCATTTTTCAGTGGTACTTTTTGGAAGGAAAGAATACGAAAGCCAGCCCGCAAAAGATCACTGGGTGGGGGTCATAGTCTGTGATGGTGACTGAATTATCTGGTAAAGCATATTTTTGCCGTTTTCAGGGTCAGGCTTCAGCATAATGAGATTCCAGAAATTGTTATGAAAAAAGAAACCTTAGGTTACCCAGCAGCTAAATGATTACTGCATCAGCTAGCAGCTCCGGAATGGCCATTTGGCCCTGTAGAAAGATCATTCTTGGGCAGGCTGTTGATGTGGAGAGTGAGAGGAGCAGCTGTTCTTTCACCTGAGGCCCCATCTGGGTAGCAGATGGTCCCCAGCTAGGCACAAGCCCTGTGTAGGGACATCCGTGCTGCCCAGGATCCTGGGACACTGCCCAAATCAACTGTCAGGCTGGGAGCCTGTGTCCAGAACTGTGGATGGCATTCACTTTGGGTTGTGGAAGTTGGTTTGTACCTACTCTTAAGTCTTGCCCCTTCAACTCCAGCTCAGGCTTTTTAACCCTAGTAGAAGCTTTCTTATCTGTAGGTATTTAAGATAAGTTTGAACCTACTGGTCTGTGGGAAGGTACCGAAAAAGCCAAAAGCTGCAGCTCCTGGGGAGCTTACAGGCTCCCCCTTGTTGAGAGTCTCCCGAGTGCTAGGTACTGTGGGTTTAAGGGAGACCCTGCAGTGGTCAAAAGGCTGCCTGGTGAAGGGGGGCCGGTTCCCATACTTCTCAGATGTGCCTTTGGGCAAGCCACTTGCCTCCTGGTGCTTCTCTTTTGTCATCTGTTAAAGGGGTTAGTGAAGGACCCTTCTCATAGGGTTGTTATGAAGATTAAATGATTTAAAGTATGCAGAGTGCTAAGAACAGTGCCTGGCAGATGATTAAAAAAATTGTTACAGAAATACAGTACAATAACATTTTTGGTCACATTTAATCCTCAAAGCAATCATGCAGAAAGGGCAATTGTCATACCTATTTTGCATGAGAGACTCAACCACTCGCCCAAAGTCACAGTGCTAGAAAGGACTTGAGCCAGGATCTGAACCTGTCCCCTGAAATCTTCACCTGCTTTGCTTCTTGACACGGCAGGAGAATGATGAGGAAGTGGGTTAGTCTGCTAGGGCTGCTGTAACAACTGCAGATGGGGTGGCCAAAACCTCAGACATTTATTTATTTTTTTAATATAATCTTGGATGTTGGAAGTCGAAGATCAAAGTGTTGACAGGCATGGGTTCTTCTGAGACATCCCTCCTTGGCTTGCAATTGGTCACCTTCTTGCTTCTTCACATGGTCCTCCTTCTGTGTGTGACTGTGTCCAAATTTCCTTTCTGTAAGGACACAGCCATATTGGATTAGGCCCACCCTATTGACCTCATCTTAACTTATTTACTCCTTTAAAAACCCTGACTCCTTATACAGTCACACTCCGAGGTACTGGGGATTAGGATTTCAATGTATGAATTTTGGAGGTGAGAGGACACAATTCAGCCAATACCAGTAAATGATTAGTAATCAAACACAGGGATTGAATACGCAGATATTAAGGATTGGAATGAAGCCAGAATTTGGAAGGATTAGAACTGATGGAGGCAGGTGCTTGGTCTGGGTGATTTTTGAAAATGATTTTCAGGCCAGGTGAGGTGGCTGATTCCTGTAATCCCAGCACTTTTGGAGGCCGAGGCTGGCAGATCACTTGAGGCCAGGAGTTTGAGACCAGTCTGGGTAACATGGCAAAACCCTGTCTCTACAAAAATTACAAAATATCAGCCAGAAGTGGTGGCTTGTGCCTGTAGGCCCAGCTCCTCTGGAGGCTGAGGTGGGAGGATCACTGGAGCCTGGGAAGTCAAGTCTGCAGTGAGCAAAGATCTGTGCCTCTGCACCCCAAGCTGGACAACAGAGCAAGACCCTGTCTCCAGAAAAAAAAAAAAAGGCTTTCAACAGAGTCAGTCGTGGACAAAGAGGAAAGGACTTTTTTCCTCCCCTGCAGCTTTAACCTCCCAGGCTCATATGATCCTCCCATTCCGGCCTCCCAAGTAATTGGGACTACAGGTACGCATGCCACTATGCCCAGCTAATTTTTTTTTTGTATTTTTAGTAAAGATGGGGTTTTGCCATCTTGCTTCTGCTGGTCGTGAACTCCTGGGCTCAAGCAATCCTCCTGCCTTAGCCTCCCAAAGTACTGGGATTACAGGCATGAGCCACTGCACCCAGCTGGAAAGGACTTTTTGTGCGGTGAGAGGAGGATCCTCAGAATACGGAGATCTGGGGTCCGCAGACCCATTGTGGGATGCACATTGATTTAGTTAGATCTTGAGTGAAGAGATACTGTGTTAGCTGACTGCGTGATAAACGTTAGCCTGAGAAATTAGTTTGTTATTTTGATAGGCATTTGAGTCATTTATTGAACTAAAAGCTTTGGGGTGCCTCATGTACTAGGCACGAAATCACAGTACAGTTCTTATCAGGGGAGAGATCATTTGGGTCTCAGTTTCCTAAAAGTAGCTTTTAACTCCAAAATTGTTTTAATCTATGTTTGTAGAGGAACATCATGAAAATATTTTGAAATTAAACTTCTTAAGTATACCTTAATTTTATACTGTTATTATTTTATTTCATTTTTATGTTTATTTTTTGAGACAAGTTTCACTGTGTCGCCCAGGCTGGAGTGCAGTGGTGCGATCTCAGCTCACTGCAACCTCCGCCTCCTGGGTTCAAGTGATTCTCGTGTCTCAGCCTCCCGAGTAGCTGGGATTTTAGGCATCCGCCACCACGCCCAGCTAATTTTTGTATTTTTAGTAGAGACAGGGTTTCATCATGTTGGCCAGGCTGGTCTCAAACTCCTGAGCTCAGGTGATCCACCCACCTCGGCCCCCCAAAGTGTTGCGATTACAGGCATGAGCCACCGTGCCCAGCCTACTGTTATTATTTTAATTAGTAAATTTTGGTATAATAGAGACTGGATTTTGACTTAAGGCTATCTGGGTTTAAATCCTGGCTCTGTCACTTAATAGCTTTGTCAGATATACCATATGACATAAATAGGCAGAGTTTCCATCTTATCACCTGTGAAAAGTGGATAACTGTACACATCACATTGGATTGCCACATGCAGTAATGGATGTGGAGGTTCTGTCCAGCATTGTGTCTTTCCCATGATAGGCACTTGTGCTAATGCTATGCAAGAAGGTAGAAAGTTGAAAGTGGATAGCTAAAAGTGGAGGCAAATTAAGGGACTTCTTAAAATATTTTTATTTAATAGAAAACAATATATAGCAAGAAAATTTGGATCAATTCTTTCATGCATTCAACAATTGAAGTCTGAGAACCAGCCGTGATTAGGTGCTCCAAATTAGAATAAGGCAAGGCTCCTGCCCTCATTGAGCTTCCAGGCAGGCGGGAAGCCCAGGAGGGCGTGATAAGTGCTACAATTCAGGTGTGTTCAGGTTGTCATGCAGGTATTGAAGAGGGCTACTTTTGGATTTATGCCCACAGAAGAGTTTCACAGTTTCTGAATTTTTGCCCCAGGATGGGAGCAGGCACTTGCATTAACATTTGAATTAATCACCCAGAGAAGAGTGGAAAAGTTATTTCAGGCAATGGTAACAGCATGTGCAGAAGTCTAGAGGGATGGGAGAGGCCACATGGCATGGTTGGAAAATAGCAGCTCAGGAATCCATTTGCTGTGGGGGTGGTAAGTGGAGGACTAGATTTGTGAAAGGGGACAGATCACACAGGCTTTGGGAACAACTAGGAGGTTTTTTTTTTGTTTTTTTTTTTTTTTTTGAGACGGAGTCTCACTCCATCACCCAGGCTGGAGTGCAGTGGCATGATCTCGGCTCACTCAACCTCTGCCTCCTGGGTACAAGCAACCCTCCTGCCTCAGCCTCCCAAGTAGCTGGGATTACAGGTGCCCCCCACCACACCTGGCTAATTTTGTATTTTTAGTAGAGACGGGGTTTCGCCATGTTGGCCAGGCTGGTCTCTAACTCCTGACCTCGTGACCCACCTGCCTTGGCCTCCCAAAGTGCTAGGATTACAGGCATGAGCCACCAAACCCGGCTGACTAGGAGATTTTTAAGCAGGGAAGCAATTTGATGATATTTACAGTTTTAGGAAGACCAAACTGACAGCAGCTTGGAGGCTGATTTGGAAAGGAGGCAGAGTGGAAGGCAGGGTTGTTGAGGGGGGATGTTTTAGAAAGATTTTGTGATGATTCTGCTGAGACTGAGGTTCTGAACTTGGGCTGCCCTAGGGCTGCCCTACAGCAGCCCAGGAGGACAGATTGCAGAGCTTTGAGATAGTTGGCATCAAGATGGGTGTGTCTGGGGTGGGCATGACTGGGTTTCTAGCTTGGGTGTCCAAGTGGATAAATAGCCTTTCATGTGGAGGCTGAGGGCATGGGCAGGTTGAGTACTGTCCTTCTTCCCCAAAGGTAGCTGGCCAGCCATGGGAGTCAATCCACATGGGATGGAAGGATGGAGAATGCCAGCTCCTCTTTAAAGACTTGGCCCTGAAGAATAGAGCTTGCAATTTTGTATCTAGGGTAGTCATTAAGATCCGTTCACACAGGTTTGGATCTTTAATCTCCAGAATAGAGGGTGGGATGCTCCCTGCTCCATTGAGCCCAGGTCATCATGTGACAACCTGTGACTAATTAGGCAGTGAGCTGATGAGATTCGTGTGGCTCTTGAGCTAAGCTTTTGAAGCCAGGGTGAGACTCTCTGGCCCTCATTATCTCAGCTGTGGTGCTTGGCATGTCCCAGAAGGTAGCCGTGCTGTGGACCTCAGTCCCCGAGGGAGCGCTGTGCCACCGCCACCCACGATGGACCTGCCCTGAGAGAGAAGCCTTTGTTTTAGGCTCTTTAAGATGACATGGGGATTTTGGTGGTGTTTTTCTAGCCTAATCTAGCCCTTCCTGACTCAAGTTTTTGTGTAAGAGACCAAACCTTGCTCATTTTCTTTTCCTTAGCTACAAATCAGTTTTGAACTTACCCTTTTTCAGTATATGCCTGTGCATGTGTATGCCTTTGTGCGCAGGCAGACAAATATAGCTAGGACCAAAAGCATTTCTGCTGTTACCATTATCCTTTTGTCCAAGGTATTTTTCAATGAACTAAATGTCAGAAACACACACGCTTTCTTAAAAAAGCAGCTTTATTGAGATATGATTCACATACCTTACAATTCACCCATTTACAGTGTATAATTCAATTACTTTTATTATATTCAACGTTGTGCAACCATCATTATGATGTTAATTTTTTTGTTTGTTCCTCTTGTTGAGACAGAGTCTCACTGTCGCCCAGGCTGGAGTGGAGTGGCACAATCTCGGCTTACTGCAACCTCTGCCTCCTGCGTTCAAGCAATTCTCCTGGCTCAGCCTCCCAGGTAGCTAGGACTACAAGCTCATGCCACTACACCCAGCTAGTTTTTGTATTTTTAGTAGAGACAGGGTTTCATCATATTGGTCAGGCTGGTCTTGAACTCCTGACCTCAGGTGATCCACCTGCCTTGGCCTCCCAAAGTGCTGGGATTACAGGTGTGAGCCACTGTGCCTGGCTGATGTTAATATTTTTATTACCCATAAAAGGAAGCCTGTACGATATAACCATCACCCCCCAGTTCTCCCACACATCCCTCTCCCCATCCCTAGGCAGCCTCTAAACTACTTTGTATCTCTACATTTTGCCTATTCTGGACATTTCATATAAACTGAGTCATGCCATGTATGGTTGTTTGTGACTGGCTTCTTTCAATTAGTGGAGTGTTTTCCAGGGTCATCAATGTTATAGCAGGTATCAGCACTTCATTCCTTTTTATTGGTCAAATACTAGTCTGTTGTATGGGATACATTGTGTTATAAAACCATATGGTTTCTAGAGATGGAAGCCATGCTGACCCCTGTAGAGTTTTGTTTATCCATTTATCAGTTGATGAACATTTGGATTGTTTCTGCTTTTTGCTTCTATGAACCTCTATGTAGTACATTCTTGTACAGGTTTTGGATGAATATGTTTTCATTTCTCTTGGGTTTATACCTAGGAATGGAACTGCCAGACTGTTTTCCAAAGCAGCTCACCATTTGACATTCCCCCCCAGCAGTGTCTGAGGGTTCCAGTGTATCTGCATCCTCAACAACACGTGTTGTCTGTCCAGTGATAGCCATCCTACTGGGTGTCCCTGTTGTTTTATGTCATTTAACACCAAACTTAGATCACATTTCTGCATTACTGACTTTGCACATACCGTCCCCAACTTGCAACTTATGCTGTCATTAACTTGTGTAGATTTATCCATGTTTGGCTGTTTATGAGGATTTGTCCGTGTCAACATGTATGTTTCATAAGGACATTCTTACCTTCCATTACCAGACCTACATTCTCAATTTAAGATTTGATATTTTTTCAGTGTTTAGGTTTTCAATTGAATCAACTGACAAGTTTAGTGGCTTAAACTTTCAAGCTTAAACTGAAATGCCAATCTTGTTTTAGACCAAAAATTACATCCTATCTCTTCTCTTAATTGAGGAACTTAGGTGGTGGTTCCTATTTGTCTTTATTTATTTATTTATTTATTTATTTATTTATTTATTTATTTATTTATTTTTGCCTACTTCAGTTTGGTCGGTAAACTATCAATTGTATTTTCAGTATGTATATATATATAGAGAGAGATTTTTAAAATTTTATTATTATTTTTTGAGACAGAGTCTCACTCTGATGCCTAGGCTGGAGTGCAGTGGTGTGATCTTGGTTCACTGCAACCTCCACCTCCTGGGTTCAAGTGATTCTCTTGCCTCTGCCTCCCAAGTAGCTGGGATTACAGGCATGTGCCACCATGCCCAGCTGATTTTTTGTATTTTTAGTAGAGATGGGGTTTCTCCATGTTGGCCAGGCTCATCTCGAGCTCCTGAGCTTAGGTGATCTGCCTGCCTTGGCCTCCCAAAGTGCTGGGATTACAGGCATGAGCCACCATGCCTGGCCCATTATATATACATTTTTAATATAATGTGAAATCATGTGGTCTCTACTATAGACTGAATATTTGCATCCTAAACCCCAATGGGATGGTATTAGGAGGTGGGGCCTTTGGGACGTGATTAGGTCCTGAGGGTAGAGCCCTCATGAATGGGATTAGTGCCCTTATAAGAAGAGGCCAAGTGAGCTTGTTTGCTCCTTCTACCATGTGAGGATACAGCAAAGAACGTGCTTTCTGTGAACCAGGAAGTGGCCCTAGTCAGACACTGAATTTGCCAGCACCTTGATCTTGGACTTCCCAGCCTCCAAACCTGTGAGAAATAAGTTTCGGTTATTTATAAACCACGCAGTCTGTGATAGTTTGTTAGAGGAACCCAAACTTAAAGGCAGCTTCTAAAGGGGAGCAATGCTGACCACTCTGTAGTTTGTATATTTGGTCAACACACTTTATTGAGTGATGAGTCTGAATTTCATGCTTGATTGATGATGATTGGTGACAGAGTAGACAAGGTCCCTGCTTCATGGAGTCTATGGTCTAGTTGGGGAAATATACCTTTATTGAATCAAGGCAGATGTGATTACAGATTGAACAATGGCTGTAGAAGGAAAGGGATTTCCAAGAGAGAATTAGAGGGGCTTCTCAAATTGAGTTTGACTTTCTCTTTGGTGGGGGTTGAGTCAGGAAGAACCTTTTTGAAGCAGGAAAAATCTTTAGCTGAGACCTAAAGGAAGGGGAGGAGCTTGCCTGGGAAGGACACTGTGGTGGCTGGAGGGGGTTTCCCAGGCAGGGACACTCTGGCAGGTTAGAGTAACTGAAATAAAGTCTGTATTGGAGTGCAGAGACTGCCAGAAGAGGGGCTCATAGAGGCCAAAGTGGGACGGCCTTACGGACGAGCTGATAATTTGGGCATTATTCAAGGTGGGGTGCTATGTCATTGAAGGGTTTTAGCAGAGGGGAGGCATTATCCAAGTTAAAGAACAAAACAAAACAAAACAAAACCCACTCTAGTTGCTGTGTGGCAGATGGATTGGGATTGGGGGTGTGGGGTTGGTGGCAAGAATAGATGCAGGGGGACAAGTTATGAACTGAGACTGGGACCTCATGGGTCTTCCTGCCCAAGACCGAGATGGCTGGGGGTGGGGGCTGCGGCTAGGGACATGGGGCCTCAGTGCCCACGTTTTCTGTCCTCTGTCCCCTGTGAGGGTATGTGCGCTCTCATACCAGCCGCAGGGCACTTTGGCTCGCTTGTGTTGCTGGGAGAGATCTCCTTTAATGTTTTTTTGTGTTTTTAAAATATGAACGTAGGCCCTGGCAGAGACAAGGCAGAAACCACTTTTGAGTTTTTAGGGCTGTGCATTCTTAAACAACTCTGAGTGACCCTTCCATCATTACAATTTATCAACTAAATTAGAAAACGTGCTTTCACAGATTTCTAGTACTTGGGCAAATTTGTTATTTACGCTCAAGATGAAGTGTTGCTTCTAGTGACAGTTTTGCTGTTGGGCAGCATTTGTAGGGTAAAGGTGTTTTTGCTTTTGGAATCCATTGGGAGATTTAAAAAAAATATATATATATATACACACACACACACACATACACACATATAAAGTAAAAAGCAGGAAGTCTATGTGTGTGCCAGGGGATCCCAAACTCTTGGCCTCCAGCAGTCAAGAGATTTTTTAAAACCTTTATCTTTTACCGTCTTGCTTTTTAAAATCCATTATGTCTTTGTATAGTACTTGACATACATGGGCAGAAGTCATGCTGGAACGTGAAGATGGGAGCATGGACTTTCTGGAGCATCCCAGGTGGGGTTCCTGTGGCTGCTGTAAGGCAGGACCGCAGAGCGGTGGCTGCAGACAGCACGGATTTGCTATTATATCTCATAGTCATAGTCCTGTAGGGTAGAGTCTAACATGGGCTAAACTCAAGGTGTCGCCAGGGCTGTGTTCCTCCCGGAGGCTCTAGGAGAGGATCCCCTTGCCTTTCCCAGTTTCTGCAGGACATCTAGCAGCCTCAGCTCATTGTCCCCTCCCTGCGTTTGCAAAGCCAGCAGAGTAGCATCTCTGTGGCCATTCCCACATGGTCACATCTCCTCCTGGGATGCTCTCCTTCTGCCTCCCTTTGCACTTTCAGGAGCCCTTGTGATTCCATTGTGTCCATCTGGATAATCCAGGATAATCTCCCTATTTTAAGGTCTGCTGATTAGCAACTTTAATTCCATCTGCAGCCTTAATCCCCCTTTTCTGTGTAAGCTGACCTAGTCACAGGTTCTGGGGATTAGGACTCGCGCATCTTGGGGGACCGTCATTCCACCTGCGGCAGTGGTAGGCTAAACCTTAGGCGTCTGATATTGTGAACCTGGCTCACTGGCCTTTGTCTTCTTGCCGACTCCTATTGGTATTTGCCTGAGATGTTTTTCTTTTCTTTTTCATTCTTTTTTCTTTTCTTTCTTTCTTTCTTTTTTTTTTTTTTTTCTGGTTCTGGGCCCACAGTAGGTGCCTTAGAATCATGCAGTCCAGTTGCCTTCTGGGAATCCATTGTAGTAAGTGGTAGAGGTTTTTAAAGCAGTCCTAGGGGAGATGCAATTCCCTGCTTACATTCAAGTTTTTCGGGAAGACAAGTCTGTTTAGGAAACATAGGAGGTTAGTTGCATTTTCCTCATTAATGCAGGATATTAAAATATTCAGAGGGAACCCAGGAGTCCTCTCAAGATGAGTTTAAATTTCTCATACTTGTAGAAGTTGTTGAGAAATACTGGATTCTAATTTCCAGAACTCTGGTGGGGAAGGAGACTGTGAACCTGGTCTGAATTGAGAATGGGGATTGAGGATTTTTGGACTTTTGAAAGATTGACTTACTCTCTCCCGTTAGTTCTGTTGAACTGCTGCCTAAATGGAGGGAATGTGCATCCTCTCTTGTGTTGCGTGGCAATGCCGTGGGGACACTTGGGACATGAGCAAAACGTTGACAGAGGGGAGCACTTCCCGGAATATTATTAATACAGAGTTAGTTTTAACTTCACCTTTTGGGCAAACTTGACATTATAGATCTTGAAATAGGATTATTTTTCCCTTGCTAAGAGGTTAGCAAAATCAGTACAGTGTGTCTCTTTGACAGGCCCTAGAAAGCACTCTACGTTTGTTAACTTTAAATTTGGGTTGGAAATTGATGTTATTGGAGGAGCAAGGCGTGTTTAGGCCTGATGATTTTTGGATAGCTTGACCAAACCCGGTACAGCCAACTTTCCCCCAAAACTACTGTGTCCTTCTCAGTGGTTCCTGTGCCTGCACAGGGACCCAGCGCACACCCCAGTGTGCCTCTTTGGGCTCTGGCTAACTTAGGCTGACATCCTGATAGAACGCAGTGACCACCTGGTCATTTGATTACAGCGCTTCTTCCAGACAGCACGCTCAGAATTGCGTTTCTTACTTCCAGTCTTCTTGCCCTGTAAGCATTTTCTGTGAGTCACCAAATCAACCACAAAATCATTTAATTTTATGGAAGTGGAAAATCAGACTTATTAAAATACTGTGTTTTTGTTTTAAAGCTCAGAGGTATAGAGATCCATGAATTTTTTTCCATGCCTTCTCATAATGTGGTTTTGGTTTAGCTGCGGTTCTTCCAGGCGCAGATGTCAGCCCTCTGCAGATCTGCTGCATCAGAGTTTATGGCCTGGGTCTTAGGAATTTGCAATTTAAAATAACCCCTTCAGGTGCATCTAATGCAGCCTAAATTTGGGGCCAGCTCATGGGTTGTAAACTGTACTGCCCTATACAATAGTAGCACAGTTCTAAGCTCAAGGGACTCAAGGGGGTCCAGTAAGTACAGTTCACCAGAGAAATAACAAAAGCATTTGCAGAGGGAGACCAGAGCATCACCTTTGTTAGGGCAAAGGCTTAACATAGAGGAATGTGGCTTCTATGTCCAGGCCAGTGGGCTTCCTAACACAGAACATGGAATTAGGCAGACTTAACATCCCCCATGCCCACCCTGGTGAGTGCCAGCATGGGCTTGAGCTGCTCTTCACACTGATGGTCCATCCTTTGGACTGATCTCCTTGTGAAGGATACAATACAGCAAGGAGCGGGGGCTTGGCTTGGCACAGCCAGTTCTTTACCCAAACTCCTGCCAACGCTGGCCCTTCTTTCTTACCCTGGTTGGAGTGTGTGAGGGTGGGAGAGGCAGGAGGAATATGCTGGACAGAGCTTCTTCCATCTAGAAGGGAATTTCAGGAGTAAGAAAGCGGCAGCTCTTAACATACCTGGGAGAAAGCAAGTGCTTAGTAAACAGTTGAGGAATGAACTAAGAATTTTCAGACAGATTTTCCTCTTCTGGAGCATTTGCAGAACCGCCTCTTTGCTCAAGTGCTTTGTTTTTTACAGATTCATTTAAGGTCATGGTTCCAGACACTAATGTAAATCAGCACATATATTATTGAAGAAGTAGAATACCTCCAGGCCCAGTTGCCTTGGAGCAGGAAAAACAGTTCATCCTCATTACCATCCAGAATAATTTATGTTCAAGATAATACACAATCAATTTACTTTTTATCATATTCGAATTTGATTTGTGTACACTTTTGAGTTTGGATGTCAGCCACATTGCTTCTGTGTGTTAATCTTTATTTACGGGAATAAATGGGAAGCAGTCAGCCATTTTTTATTCTTTATTGGGGAACTGCATTATAGTGGAAAAGGTAAAATTATAAGCTAATGAGACCAGAGGTCTGTATGTATGAAAACCATCCTCATCGCTTCACAGTTGTCTTTGAACCAGTTTCCCTGGGATTGTTCGAAATGTAGCAAACGTGGCTCACGGTTACCCTGACGGGGCCAGAGCAATAGGGGGAGGTGTGGGCACCTGTATACATTTGCGTTGAAAAACGTACCCGGGCTATTCTGAGGTCCTTTCCTGCCCCCAGCCTGGTTTCTGGGCCTCTCTGGAGTCTCTCTTTCTGGCACTTGTGTTCTGGAATCGCTTATCAGCCTGGACTCCTTCAGCAGCAGCTGCCACAGTGTCTTTGTAGTCACACTACACACCTATATACTCCATGACATGGAGTGTATAGAATGTTTCCCGTCTTCCTCGTCAGTGCTGCCAGGAGAAGCTTCCCCTCTCCTAACCTCTGGATAGTGGCTGGCTCTGCTTTATTCAGGCATTGCTTTCATTTTTTAGAACAGCTGCTCCAGTATGCTTAGTGTGAATGACAGCCCAGCAGAAAGAATGGACTTGACACTGGAGACTGCACCACTCCACATTTCTTTGTCCCCTCAAGATGACTTAACTAGCTCCCTTCCCTTTTCCTTCATGCAATAGCCTCAGAAGTTCGGCTGGCATTGCCAAGTTGTTAGAGTGAACCTTAACCTGTGTATGACTCAGAATTCACATCTGCTGTGTCAGTGAACACACAGATCTCTTTGTGAACACATGGTTATCAAGAGGCACATGCTCTTACGTATCCTGCCGGATTCTGGTAAGGCGCTGCTTGCGCAGTAAGCACTTGTCAGGTGCTTATGATGCCTGTGACGTGAGGCTGTGGATGCAGAATTTGTGGTCTGAACATTTTTGAGTAGATAAAAATGGAAACTGAAATTGGTGAAGCAGACTTGTGGCTTTTCCTACTTTCTCATCTCTTTTATGGATATAACTAGAAGCTCTGCTTCATCAATGAGTGTGTTAAAACAATTTGTTTACAAAATCCTATTTATTAAAATAAAAATCTGAAAGAACTGCGCTGCTGCTTTTCAGTGCTCGCCACTCTAGGAACCTGTATTCCTCCTCTTGTTCATCCTCCCTTTTCTTCTTTTTTGTTTTGTTGTTGTTTGTGTGTATGTATGTGTCTGTGTGTGTGTGGCGGGGTGGTGGGGGCGGTGTTGCCAAATCTTTTGCACTGAATCTTTGAAGATGTCCTGAAATACTTACCAAATCACTAGAGCGAAGAGAAGCCCATCTGATTTCTTCATCTCCCAGCTGAGGAAGGACACACTTTCTCCCACTCTCCAGTGAAGGCCCCTGTGTCCTGTGGGTGGGGGAGCTGACATCACACTCAGTGCTGACATTTCTTGTTCCCTGGGTGGGCGCTGATTCCAGATCCTCTTCAGCCCCCCAAGCGGAACTGGGTTTCTCTTGAAGGTCCTAACCTCAGCTCACACCACCTGCTACTACCTTTCTGGGTCTTGGATTTTGTTGTTACCCAGGCCCGGGGTCATCCCAAAGGCTCTTGATAGCCCTGTGGCTGTGCTTGCTAATACACTGTCCTCATCTTTTGTCAGCGAAGTAAATCCAATAATGTTTCCTTCTCTTTAATCCAAGCCAGTCTTCATTGAAAACACTTCACCTCTAAGCTCTCAGGCTCTGCAGTCTGCCCTCTCCAACCTTACCCCTCATGCCCCACCTTCCCTTTGTCCCCATCTTTCCCTTCTGTTCCAGTCATTCTCATGGGCCATGGAGAGTGGAAGCCTGGGAGGGCTTTGCCAAAGTCCAGTTGCCTGCTCACTTTCCTAAGGGCCAGAGCAATGGGGGAGGTGGGGGAGGTGTGGGCACCTGTATACATTTGTGTTGAAAAAGGTACCCAGGCTATTCTGAGGTCCTTTTCTGCCCCCAGCCTGGTTTCTGGGCCTCCCTGGAGTCTCTCTTTCTGGCATTTGTGTTCTGGAATCGCTTATCAGCCTGGACTCCTTCATCAGCAGCTGCCACAGTGTCTTTGCAGTCACACTACACACCTTTACCCCGATCCACTGACCTGCTGTCCCGGATGGCCCTGGTGTGTTCTCTCTGTTCCTAGCCGCAGAAATTGCTGGTGAATGTCACCAAGCTAAGCGGTGTAGCTTTATAACAAGTGGATTCAGCCAGCTGGGACTGGACGACTGAGAGTTTGCAGCCCCTGCTGGACCCTGTGTAACTGTCCAGTTCGCCTAGCTATTGGTTTGGCCCAGTGGTTTTCAATTTTGGCTGCACATCAGAATCACCTGGGGGAGGTTTAAAACCCTACCTCTGCCCCCATGCCCTGGGGTTCACACCCAGAAATGCTGACTTCATTGGTCGGGGGCTGGCAGGCCTGGACATTGGCGGTTTGCTTAGAAGCTGCCCGGGTGGTTCTCATAGCAGCCAGGGTCAAGCACCACGGCCTGTTCTTACCTGGCTCCCCAGGCCCCCTTTAATCTCCCTCTGCAGCAGATTGGCACACATCGCATTGTGGAGCAAGCCATCTGATAATTTTCCTTAATCGTCTTTGAAGATCTTCCCTCTGCCTGTTGATCCTTTAAGGAAGAAGTCTCCTTGCCAGGATCGGCCTCTCCAGTCTCTGGATCCCTTCTTGCTTGCTCTCTTCAGAACCCATGAAACCTCTCTGGCTGCCTTGACGTCAGCCAGATTGGACTGCCCAAATAGAAAGGCAGAAATCCCTGTCGAGGCCAGACAGCAAGGATGGAGAGAGGCAGGGGGTGAAATGAAACACACCAGGAGGAGTAAAGACAAGGCCTTCTGATGTCAGCCAAGAGCAGGTGTGGATTAGGCAGTCCTAAGTTTGAGTCCTGGTTCTGCTATTCATTGGCCAATTGTATTCTCCCTCCCTCTACGATGAGGTTAATTACAGTTACCTCACTGGGATTTGTGAGGATGGAATGAGGTAACAAAACATAAAATACTATCAGTACAATGCCCAGCTCATAATGAGTATGCAGCAAATGTTCACCCTTTAAAAAATGCCACGGCCGGGCGTGGTGGCTCGCGCCTGTAATCCCAGCACGTTGGGAGGCTGAGGCGGGCGGATCACGAGGTCAGGAGATCGAGACCATCCTGGCTAACACAGTGAAACCCCGTCTCTACTAAAAATACAAAAAAATTAGCCAGGCGTGGTGGCGGGAGCCTGTAGTCCCAGCTACTCGGGAGGTTGAGGCAGGAGAATGGCATGAACCTGGGAGGCGGAGCTTGCGGTGAGCCGAGATCACGCCACTGCACTCCAACCTGGGTGACAGAGCAAGACTCCATCTCAAAAAAAAGAAAAAAAGTCCCTTTCTACCTTCAAATTCAGGAAAATTTTCTTTAGTCCAACAGATGTAATCCCCCCCTCACTCCCCCATCCCCACTGGTATCTTTATGTACTCAGGTGACTATTACCATATTCTGCTTGGACTGTTTTTATACATTGCAGATAATTTGAAGATATGGACTTAGGTAGGTTTTTAGATTTATAATAATTAAGTGATGTTTTTCTATCAAGTGATGAAAGTTTCAACAGATATTTGTTAAAATTTAATTTAGCCAAAGGAAGACATGCCATTTCAGCAATGTGATCTAAGTAAAAGTGTCTTCTCTTTTTTTTGGTGGGGAGAACAGAGTGTAGAATGATATTAGTAAGATAGAGAATTGATGACCAAACCATAACTGCTAGCATTTTAGTAGAGGACACAACAGAGAAAGGATTCTCACGTGTGTTATTAGGATCTTGGATGAGAGTGGGCTGTTATTTTAACTTTGGCCCCTGTTGGAGCAAATTACTCTTTGGGGGCCCGGTTTTCCTCAGGAACTACCTACAGAATTCAGTGAGATAGATTTTAGAACCCTTCTGAATGCTGCTGGTTTGGAGATTCTGTCTGTAGCAAGTTTTGTTCAGTTGTTAATCTTTCTTTCTTTTCTTTCATTCTTTTTTTTTTTGACAGGGTCTCTCTATCACCCAGGCTGGAGCAGTGGTGTGGCCCTGGCTCACTGCAGGCTCAAGCGCTCCTTCCACTTCAACTGCCCAAGTAGTTAGAACCACAGGCGAGTTCCACTACAGCTGGCTAATTAACAAAAATTTTTTTTGTAGAGATGAGGTCTCACTGTGTTGCCCAGGCTGGTCTCAAACTCCTGGGCTCAAGTCATCATCCTGTGTTGGCTTTCGAAAGTGCTGGGATTGCAGGCATGAGCCACCACACCTGGCCAACTATATGTTTTCTATGTTTATTATATTTTCTGATTTGTAATGTATTTTAAAATTATCCCAATAATATATGAATGCAATCTTGAAAAATACTCAGCATAGCCTTTAGGCTAAAAAGTGGAGGTCTGCCATTTCTCTGCCTTGCCCCATTCCCTTCCCATGTCTTATTTTCCCTGTTACCAGGTTGGTGTGAAGCCTTTGAGACCTTTTTCTCTGCACACCCATATATGTGTTTTTTCTATGTTTTTATAGTATTGTTTCATTTAAAAAATAAACTAGGTTTTTGAACTTGAGAAATTTCAACTCGTTCTGCTCAGAGCTTTGTTTTATTAAAATCAGTGCCTGGGAGTTGCTCAAGTCTTTGGGCTGTGTCGCCCTCTAGTGGTAGCCCTTTGGCTTACAGCTGCCATTCAGCCCTAGGGCTGGGGTGGAAGTGATGGTTTTGTGCCCACAACCTGATGGCAGGGTTGGCAGTGTTTAGTTGCTGACAAGTGTCTAAAACTCAATCTAGGCCGGGTGCTGTGGCTCACGCCTGTAATCCCAGCACTTTGGGAGGCCAAGGCGGGTGGATCACCTGAGGTCAGGAGTTCGAGACCAGTCTGGCCAACACGGTGAAACCCCGTCTCTACTAAAAATACAAAAATTAGCCGGGTGTGGTGGCGGGCGCCTGTAATTCCAGCTACTCAGGAGGCTGAGGCAGGAGAATAGCTTGAACCCAGGAGGAGGTTCCAGTGAGCCGAAATTGCGCCATTGCACTCCAGCCTGGGCAACAAGAGCAAAATTCTGTCTAAAATAAAATAAAATAAAATAAAATATAAAAGTCTAGTGAGCCCTGGAGTGGTGTTTGCCTTGCTACCTCCAACTTGCCCTTTTTAAGAGACTTAAAATTTGTGGTAACTTTTCACATGATGTGTATTTAGATACTGCTGAGTTAATGAGGCTGCTATACCTGGCTGATTTATTGTTTGCTTTCAAAGCAGTTGTCAAGTGGTGTCCACCCATCCCACTGATGGATTTTTTTTCTTTTTTCTTTTTCTTTTTTTTTTGAGACAGAGTCTTGCTCTGTTGCCCAGACTGGAGTGCAATGGCATGATCTCGGCTCACTGCAGTGTCTGCCTCCCAAGTTCAAGCAATTCTCCTGCCTCAGCCCCCTGAGTAGGGATTACAGGTGTGTGCCACCACGCCTGGCTCATTTTTGTATTTTTAGCAGAGATGGAGTTTCACCATGATGGCCAGGCTAGTCTCGAACTCCTGACCTCAAGTGATCCACCCACTTCAGCCCCCCAGAGTGCTGGGATTACAGGTGTGAGCCACTGCACCTGGCCCCACTGACTGTTTATATCTGTTATACTGTTCTTGCCTCTGTGCCTTTTGGGTTCCCTGTCATGGCAGCATCCTTACATCCTCCACCACCTCTGAATGTTCCCGCACCTTCTCTTTCTAATGGAAGCCTGGCTGGCCCTTGAAGACACCGCCAACCCTGCTGGTCTCTTCACAGAGTATCCACCCAGCAACCTGGCCTGTCCATTCTTGACTTCTTCTGGTCCAGCTGCCTTTCTGTACCTCATTTTAGTGACCCTTTTTAGATCTCGTCCAGGTTAGCCTCTAGAACCCTGATCTCAGGCACCCCACTCTGCGATCTTCCGTTCCCAGCCTTCCCACTTGAAATCGTCTTGGAAATCCCGGGCTTTGCCAATCTGTGGACCCACCACCTTTTCACCCCCTTTCCGGTGCCCTCAGGGGACTTTGCTGTAGCCTGAACCTCATGGTCCCTTCCTGTAAACAGCCAAACTGCTTTGTACTCCCTGAGGAGACCCCCGCCCCGGTTGGACACCCCACCCTGGTTAAACCCACTTTCACAATTATTCCAAAACTGCCAACTGGACTTGCATCTCTTCAGATCGGCTGTCATCACTCATTGTATCAGGAATCTTATTACACTTTTGCAGCAGTTTCATCGGTTCAGAGAAAACTCTTTCATACCTTCTGCTCATCAGTTCTCCACACCTCCCATCATTCTCCTAGCTGATGACTTTGCTGCTTGTCTCATTGAGGAAAGAAGCCGTTCAGTCAGTGAGACCCCCTGTCTCGCCTCCACCTTTCCACCTGCTGCCGCGGAGGCTTCCCCAGCTCCTGTCTCACTCAGGCCCCTTGCCACTCTCAAGGCATCTTCTTCCTGCTTCCCAAGGATGTCACTCCTGCAGTTAACCCTTTTTCCTCCTGCATTATTCGTTTCTTCCTTTCTTCCGCATCCTTCCAAATAGCGTAAAAACAGGCCTTATGACGTTTCTCTTTAAAAATGTCCTTACCAGTGCCACGTCCCTCTTGGCCACTGCCCCTGTTGTGCCTCACTCCGTAGAAAGAAGTGACCTGTAGAGACTATATCCTGCCCTCTCCAGCGCCTGCCTTCCGATTGCCCCTTCCAGTCTAGTAACTGTGTCCATTCCTTCTCCAATGACCGGGTGACAAGCTGTCCCTTCTGAGAGTGCCAGAGGGTGTTCCCCGGGTGGGAGGCCGGATGTCAGTGCCAGCTGTGCTGTCCTGGGTGAGCCTGTGAGGGACCACATCTGGTCAGACTCGTGCATGGCCTGCCCTCATCTTCCTCCGCCTGCGGTGCCTTTGAGAGCATTGACTCCACTAAGCCCGATTTCTGTGTGGCATGTTGTCTGTTCCTCCCCGGCCTCCTCGATGGCTCCTCCTTGGTCTCCCTCTGGCTACTCCTCTGCTTCTCCGCCTCCAAGTGCTGCTCCAAGTGCCTTCTGTGCTCTGTCTCCATCCATCCCAAACCTTCCAACACTCTCTGTAAGTGGAATCTCACCTTGAGGCTGCCAGCCCAGCCTCCTCACCTCTGTGCTCCATCTTTAGAGAGTCACCTCTCTGTCTGGCATTCCCACTTGAGGACCAAGATGATTCTCAACCTTAACGTGGCCCACATGGAGCCGCTGCTCTTCCTGCCCAGATCTGCCTTCACCACCACATCCTGCCCACTGTCACTAAACGGCACCAGCTCTTACCTGGTTTCTCAGTAAAAAAACAAGTTTATCATCTTCCCTCACATACTTTATTCAATAATAATCACTAACATTTATTGAGTGCTTCCTATGTGCCTGACACCATTCTAAGCATTTGAAGAAGAGTGTATTAACCTGCATGAGGAAGGCTATTAAAACCTATGTAATTAATTAATTAATGGATGGATGTGTGGATGAATGAATGGCAGGGTCTTACACTGTCACCCAAGCTGGAGTGCAGTGGTCCAATCATAGCTCACTGCAGCGTCAGACTCCTGGGTTCAGGCAGTCCTCCCACCTCACCCTTTTGAGTAGCTGGGACTACAGGTGCTTGCCACCAGCTAATTTATTAAAAAACATTTTGAGAGATGGGGTTTCATGATGTTGCCAAAGCTGGTCTCGAACTCATGGCCTCAAGCGATCCTCCCACTTTGACTTATAGATTGTGGGGATTAGAGGTGTGAGGCATCGCGCCTGGCCTGTAATAACCTATTTGTGAATGAGAAAGGTCAGGCACAGAGAAGTTAAATAATTTGCTCACAGAAATTTCCTGTGTTGCAGCTGAGATTTAAATCCAAGCAATGTGTTTCTAAGCCTGGGCTCTTAACTGTAACACTGTCCTCTTCCCCCCACCAGGAGGGTGTGTGTGTGTGTGTGTGTGTGTGTGTGTTTCTGAATCTGACCAGTTGAGGCAGGCTTTCATGTCATTCTCTCTGGCCACCCCCTTCTTTGTTCACCTCCAGTCTTTGGAATAGTCAGAGCGATGTGTTCATGGTAGAAATGAAATCACATCAGGTCCTCAGTGGCCCATCACATTTAGAACTAAAGCTCACTCTTGCCTCATGCCTCTGAGCCCTTATATGATCTCGAGTCACCACCCCACTGCCAGCCTCTCCACTCTCTTCTCTGTGCCTCATGCAGCCCAGGAAATATAATTTGGACCGCAAATGCCAGCCACCTATGTACGGTAACTTTTCTAGTAGTCACATTAAAAAGAAAACAGGTGAAATGAATTTTAATGCATTTTAGTTAACTCATGATATCAAAAATATTTCAACATGTAATCAGTATTCACACAAAGATTAATCAAGTATTTAACAGTCTTTTCTTTTGATCCGGGGTCTTGGAAGTTTGACCTACCACCTCTCAATTTAGCCAGCCACATCTCCAGTACTTGGCAGCTGTTTGTGGCTACCTCATGGACAGGGCAGGTCCCGCCACCCGGGCATCCGTCTGCCTGGCGCACGCACCAAACGGGTTCCAGTCTGGGGAAGTTGGCATCTGCTGTTGTTACTTTTGGTCAGAACGCCCTTCGCCTGCATCCTCACGGGGCTGACTCCCTTTAGCCTTGAAGGGGACCGTTGCTCCGAGAGGCCTGAACACTCCAGCTGCAGCTTTCTCCCCAGTCATTATTGAGATCAAATTCACATCTCTTACAATTCACCCATTTAATGGGTGATGCAATGCGGTGGCTTTTAGTATATTCACACACATGTGCAGACATCACCATAGCCAATTTTAGAAAATTTTCATCAGCTGAAAGAGAAACCTTGTATCCTTTAGCTATGACTTTGTGATTCCCTGTTCCCCTGAGCCCCTGGAGAACCCTATCTTTCTGTCTCTGTAGGTGTGCTGATTCTGAATATTTTGCATAAACGGAATCATACTAGGGGGTCTTTTGCTTGGGACCCCTTTCACGTGGCGTGTTTCCACGGCCCATCCCGTGTGATAGCATGCATCAGTACTTCATTCCTTTTTATGGCAGATAATAGCCCATTGTATGGATATACCACCTGTTTTTTTAAAAAGTCCATTCATCAATTCATGAGCATTTGGTTTGTTTCTACTTTTTGGTAGAATGATGCTGCCATGAACACTTGTGTGCAGGTTTTTGTGTGGACATAGACTTAGGAATGGAATAACCATGGAGTTACGGTAACTCTACATTTAAGCATTTGAGAAGCTGCTGGCCTGTTTTTCATCTGCACCATTTGCATTCCCACCAGCATCAAGTGGGAGCTCCAGTCTCTCCATATCCTCCCCAGCAGTCGGTTACCCTTTTCTGTTGCCTCTGTAGCACTTTCTAAACATAAAATTAGCTTATTTCTTTGCAGGTGTCTATTGCACCCCCCAGGAATGTCAGTTCCCTGCAGACTCTCACTCTGCCTTGGCACCCGCACCCCAGCACCCAGGGGTGAGGTGCCTGCCTGGGCAGCCCTGTCCTCACCTGGGGTTGACTGACCAGAGAACCCTTGCGATTCTCTCTCTGGGTTTCTGTCTGCATTCCTGTCGGGATAGGTGAGACTGGGGTGACGGCTGCTCGCGGCTTGGTCACCTTCTTCTCTGCTTACCTGTTCATGCTCTCTTGCTTTTCTCTGATAGCAAACCCCGTCTCCTGTCATCCTCCCTCCTGGCGGACCAGAGCTATACTGGCCCATAAAGGAGTGCTGGCCACACCAGGCTAGATTCCAGTTGAGCTTAAATAAAACAAATAGAAAGGTCCTCCGTGGTATTAGCCATATTGTAGGTGCTCCGTAGACACATGCGGCTAGTGGCTGCCCACAGGACGCTGCAGATGTGGACGTCCCCGTCATCACAGGACGACATTCTGTGGGCAGCGCTGTATTTGTTTACAAACACAATTCTTTGGCTGTGTGAAGGTTCAGGATGATACCTTTGCCATTATGATTCATTTATTCATTTCAGGCTGGACACGGTGGCCCACACCTGTAATCTCCACACTGGGAGGCCGAGGCGGGAAGATCGCTTGAGGCCAGGAGTTTGGGACCAGCCTGGGCAACATGGCGAAACCTCACCTTTATTTAAAAAAAAAAAAATCGGCCGGGTGCGGTGGCTCACACCTGTGATCCCAGCACTTTGGGAGGCCGAGGCAGGCGGATCACGAGGTCAGGAGATTGAGACCATCCTGGCCTAACACAGTGAAACCCCATCTCTACTAAAAAATACCAAAAATTAGCTGGGCGTGGTGGCAGGTGCTTGTAGTCCCAGCTACTCAGGAGGCTGAGGCAGGAGAATGGTGTGAACACGGGAGGCGGAGTTTGCAGTGAGCGGACATAGTGCCACTGCACTCCAGCCTGGGCCACAGAGTGAGACTCCGTCTCAAAAAAAAAAAAAAAAAAAGAATCAACATTTATTTATTTATTATTTATTTTTTTGAGACAGAGTCCTGCTTTGTCACCGAGGCTGGCACGATCTTGGCTCACTGCAAACCCCACCTCCCAGTTCAAGTGATTCTTGTGCCTCAGCCCAGTGCCACCATGCCCGGCTAATTTTTTTGTTTTGTTTTGTTTTGTTTTGCTTTGCTTTCCTTTGTTTTGTTTTGTTTGAGACAGGGTCTCACTCTGTCGCCCAGGCTGGAGTGCGATGGCACGATCTCGGCTCACTGCAACCTCCACCTCCTGGGTTCTAGTGATTCTCCTGCCTCAGCCTCCCAAGTGGCTGGGACTACAGGCTCCCGCCACTGCACCCGGCTCATTTTTGTATTTTTAGTAGAGATGGGGTTTCACCACATTGGCCAGGCTGGTCTCTAACTCCTGGCCTCAGGTGATCCACCCGCCTCGGCCTCCCAGCGTGCTCATTTATTTATTTTAGCATCCCTTCTTGTGCCTGGTTGTAAAGTTCTTCTTATCCCAGGAAACTTAATAGGTCAAAGAACCCTCCCCTTGAGGCAGTTTGGATGGGGCTGGCTGGGAATTGGTATGTCCAGCTGCCCATATCGTGGCCTCTGAGTCAATTATACAGGCATCTCGGCAACTTGAAGTTTTGAGTCCCAAAACAACAGATTCCATAGCATAAACAGTGCAACGTAAATCCTGTCCCTTGTCCCTCTTCCATTGGATACCCTTGTTTATGTTCTCTCTGGCAACTGCCTGTAGCAGGGACGGATGCTGGAAATCCTGGCGGGGCCACGTCTTCTGTGCTTTGTAGGCAGCTATGGCTGGATGGTGCTTGCTGTTTCTGTGTGTAAATGTTGGGATTTTTAAAAGCCCTTCCCCGCTTAATGCGTTGTGGTTGAGCAGCACATTTAAATGCCTGAAGTGTAAGATGAAGTCTCTTGGATGTAGAGGGCAGTGGTGGTTTTTATTTTTCCTGGTTGAACTTGGCCTTTGGATTGCTGACTGCGAGCTCACGGTACTGTTAATGATTTTCTACCTACAGTCACCTGCTGTGCTGAGCACATCAAATACAGTGCGGTTAGTTCCAAGCTATGAAGCGCCTGTCACGCATGTATAACAGGCAGACCTCATTAGGAGGGGGCCTTGCATAGGGGTCACATTTTCCAGCATTTGTTTTCAAAATGGAAATCCAGATCACGCATTTGAGATTAAAATAAAAAAAGCGGCCTGTGCTTTATCATTTTCTTTAACTTACATGCCTGCTGGTCCAGCCCAGATTGCTGATAGAGGAAGCCCTGAGAAAGTTGCCCAGCCAGTTGCCCGTGCTTCAAGACACAAAGGGCTGACTGAGGCATCCGTGCCTACCCTTGGCTGCTGCTGCTCAGCCTGCTTGCATCTCGTCTGTTTTCAGTTATCAGTGGTGTGAGAAAAACACAACGGTGGATTCAGAAGGAGAAACCAAGTCATCTGCATTTGGCCTCAGTGTGTGGACTGTCCTGAAATTTGAGTACAGATGTGTTCATGTCCTGGGATTAGATAAAAAGAGAGGAAACACACAGTGAATTCTTATGGTCTGTCATTTCAGTTGGCCATCTTCTGCCCCTCTGTTCTGGAAGCTTCTCCACTAAAATAGAGCACCCAACTTGGTTTTCTACTTGCTTTCTGGCCCATCTTGAGTTGGAGGAATCATGTGTTTCAGAACTCTTGCTGGTGGTGGGTGGGAGATCAACAAATGATTTCATTAAGCTGTGTGTTCTTAATAAACTTTGGGAAGATTTGTCGCAGAGAAACTCAGATAGGGACCTTGTGATCTCAGCAGTCATGGGTTTATCTTGTCCACACGCGTGGCTTCATTGGGATTTGGTTGGTTGCGATCCAGCAGAACTGTGGCGGTGTTGGGCTCTGTTGGGGTTTGGTTGTGAGCGGAACTGTGGTGTTGGGCTCTGTTGGGGTTTGGTTGACTGTGATCTAGTGGAACTGTGGTGGTGTTGGGCTCTGTTGGGGTTTGGTTGACTGTGATCTAGTGGAACTGTGGCTGTGTTGGGCTCTGGAGTTTGGTTGTGATCTAGTGGAACTGTGGCGGTGTTGGGCTCTGTTGGGGTTTGGTTGACTGTGATCTAGTGGAACTGTGGCGGTGTTGGGCTCTGTTGGGGTTTGGTTGACTGTGATCTAGTTGAACTGTGGCTATGTTGGGCTCTGTTGGAATATGGCTGTGATCTAGTGGAACTGTGGCGGTGTTGGGCTCTGTTGGGGTTTGGTTGACTGTGATCTAGCGGAACTGTGGCTGTGTTGGGCTCTGTTGGAATTTGGCTGTGATCTAGCGGAACTGTGGCGGTGTTGGGCTCTGTTGGGGTTTGGTTGACTGTGATCTAGTGGAACTGTGGCTGTGTTGGGCTCTGGAGTTTGGTTGTGATCTAGTGGAACTGTGGCAGTGTTGGGCTCTGTTGGGGTTTGGTTGTGAGTGGAACTGTGGTGTCGGGCTCTGTTGGGGTTTGGTTGACTGTGATCTAGCGGAACTGTGGCTGTGTTGGGCTCTGTTGGGGTTTGGTTGACTGTGATCTAGCGGAACTGTGGCTGTGTTGGGCTCTGTTGGGGTTTGGTTGTGATCTAGCGGAACTGTGGCGGTGTTGGGCTCTGTTGGGGTTTGGTTGTGATCTAGCGGAACTGTGGCGGTGTTGGGCTCTGTTGGGGTTTGGTTGTGATCTAGCGGAACTGTGGCGGTGTTGGGCTCTGTTGGGGTTTGGTTGACTGTGATCTAGCAGAACTGTGGCGGTGTTGGGCTCTGTTGGGGTTTGGTTGACTGTGATCTAGCAGAACAGTGGCGGTGTTGGGCTCTGTTGGGGTTTGGCTGTGATCTAGTGGAACTGTGGCAGTGTTGGGCTCTGGATTTGGTTGGTTGTGATCTAGCGGAACTGTGGCAGTGTTGGGCTCTGGATTTGGTTGGTTGTGATCTAGCAGAACTGTGGTAGTGTTGGCCTTTGTTGGGATTTGGTTGGTTGTGATCTAGTGGAACTGTGGTGGTGTTGGGCTCTGTTGGGGTTTGGTTGTGATCTAGCGGAACTGTGGTGGTGTTGGGCTCTGTTGGGGTTTGGTTGTGATCTAGCAGAACTGTGGTGGTGTTGGGCTCTGTTGGGGTTTGGTTGACTGTGATCTAGCAGAACAGTGGCGGTGTTGGGCTCTGTTGGGGTTTGGCTGTGATCTAGTGGAACTGTGGCAGTGTTGGGCTCTGGATTTGGTTGGTTGTGATCTAGCGGAACTGTGGCAGTGTTGGGCTCTGGATTTGGTTGGTTGTGATCTAGCGGAACTGTGGTAGTGTTGGCCTTTGTTGGGATTTGGTTGGTTGTGATCTAGCGGAACTGTGGTGGTGTTGGGCTCTGTTGGGGTTTGGTTGTGATCTAGTGGAACTGTGGCGGTGTTGGGCTCTGTGGGTTTGGTTGTGATCTAGCAGAACAGTGGCGGTTTTGGGCTCTGTTGGGATTTGCCTCTGATCTAGCAGAACTGTGGTGGTGTTGGGCTCTGTTGGGGTTTGGTTGTGATCTAGCGGAACTGTGGTGGTGTTGGGCTCTCTTGGGGTTTGGTTGTGATCTAGCAGAACTGTGGTGGTGTTGGGCTCTGTTGGGGTTTGGCTGTGATCTAGTGGAACTGTGGTGGTGTTGGGCTCTGTTGGGGTTTGGTTGTGATCTAGCAGAACTGTGGCGGTTTTGGGCTCTGTTGGATTTGGTTGGTTGTGATCTAGTGGAACTGTGGCAGTGTTGGCCTTTGTTGGAATTTGGTTGGTTGTGATCTAGCTGAACTGTGATGGTGTTGAGCTCTGTTGGGGTTTGGTTGTGATCTAGTGGAACTGTGGCAGTGTTGGGCTCTGTTGGGGTTTGGTTGTGATCTAGTTGAACTGTGGTGGTGGATCCCAGGAGCTGCTGCTGCTTGTGCGCTTCAAAGTTGGATTTTGTGTTTTTTTGTGTGCAGATGCTTCTTGGAATCTTGCGTTGCTGTATGCCTGTATACCTGGAAAGTTGTGGGAAGAACAGTTTAGGATTTTGAACCAATTTTCTCAACAAGTTTGATTATTTCATTTGAGACATGTTCTGATGTAAATATATTCTGAAAAGGTGAGATCAAACATCCACTTTTTACTCTAAAGCAGGTCCCCTTGCTCCTCTCTGCTAGTGCATTCTCTTTCCTTTACAGCTCCTTCTCCTTTCTGAAGCAGGAATTAAGCTGAAGTAACTCAGAAAGTGCCAGCGTTAACCCCAGGGGACAGAAACCACAGACCCAGGGCTGAGGGATTGAGTTTTTAATTTCCATTATTCTCCATCAGTGCGTTCAGTCTTTTGAACTTACCCTGACTGGTATTATCACTTGAAAGTTGTTGTTATTGTTGTTTTGATGGTAGTGGTGGTGGTTTTTTGCCACCCACAGGAGAGAGGGGATTAGAAGAAAAAGACCAATGGAGTTTCCTTGGGATTAATTAAATGTGGGGCTGCCACACAGGAATGGGTCCAAGGGCTGCTGTATTTAAATAACTTACTTATTTTGCAGAGGTGAATTTAACCTAACATGTACTACAGTGATGGAGTAAACCTTTTCCTGTTTGGAATATCACAAAAGGTACTTCAATAATTGCGGATCTTCCTTTGAACCCTCCTATTGTCAGATGGGGTAGTGGTACAGTTCCTTGTTCCAGAATGCTCTTAGCAAGTTGATTAATCTGTCACATACCCCAGTTTCCTCATTCACAAGGTGGCATAATAATAGGACATAGAGTTGCCGTGAAGTTTAATGAGTTAATGAATGTATGATGCTTGGCAAATGGTAGGGGCTCAAGCCAACCCTCGTTGTCTTACTGAGCTTAGTGGGCCTTGGACCTGCTGAGGACTTTGAACTGAGCATTCCGTGTTATTCTCTTTTTTGTTTTTTTAAGGGGATGAGAGTGTGTGTGATAGAGTTCATGACAATATTTTGTTTAAGAAAATTGTCAAAACAAAGTTCAAATGCAATGGATGGAAAGTGATTTTTAACATGTAGGGTAACTAGAGATTTGAGATCAGACAAATCGATTAGGAGATCACCAAACCCAAACAGAGAATGTGAGTTAACTCATACTTAGGAGATGAATGCTGGCTTTGAAGACCATAGCGTGCATTTTCAAACCAGATGGAGAGGCCACTTTTCTCTGCAGATTTCAGTTATTCGTGATGTTAAATGACTCGTCTTCTCTTACTTGCCTGGCATGTGGAACTGAGTAAATTCTGTCAAAAGAACTCACTGAAGGAATGTGTAACAGCTGGGAATTGGATGTCTTTTCAGATTTGGGAGAGCCTGTGTTTTGACTGTGATGGAATTCTTATGGTTTAATATGCTTAAATATTACTGTTTAACATTTTGACGTTTTTGAGGACAGGGATAATTAGGAGAATGCACTTATAAGTTTCTATGCCAACTGTTTCCACTGCTCCCCTGTTTACATGGTCCCAGGGTTTATACAGGGCTCTCTGTAGCCCCACAATGAATCTTGCCCCAGTGAGCGGGCTCTCACCTCCCTTCTATAGATGAGGTTGGAGCTCAGAAGAACGTAGAGAAACTTGTGCATAGTTATTATGCCAGATTTAGCAGCTGGAACAGGACTGGAACCTAAATCTTTTTTCTTTAGATAATATGTTCTTTGCATTAATGAGTTTGTGGGTTTTTTGGGAGGCGAGAAATATGTGTAAATAAGAAGTAAAAATCCTAAATTGCAAGTTGATTTTTTTTCTTAATATAGTAATACGTATAATGCAGCAAACATATCATTTCCCCTCCATGCTTGCTAGACTGGCTTATGCACACATCATGATGATAATGAAGGAGCTAACATAGCAAGCACTCACTCTGTGCTCATTCATAAGGTGGCATAATAATAGGACACAGAGTTGCCATGAAGTTTAGTGAGTTAATGAATGTATGGGGCTTGGCAAATGGTAGATGCTCAAGCCAGTCCTAGTTGCCTTTCTGAGCTTAGGAATCATGGAATCATGCTCTAAAAACTTCATGAGTATGAGCTCGCTTCATCCTCATAACAACTCTAGGAGATAGACGTTACTTTATGTCCATTGTAGGGATGAGAGTGTGAGGTATGAAAGGAAGTGAGCTTAATATTCTTTATTTTTATTTTTTATTTTTATTTTTTGAGATGGAGTCTTGTTCACTGGCCCAGGCTGGAGTGCAGAGGCATGATCCTGGCTCACCGCAACCTCCATCTCCTGGGTTTAAGTGATTCTCCTGCCTCAGCCTCTTGAGTAGCTGGGACTACAGGCGCGTGCCACAATGCCCAGCTATTTTTTGTATTTTTAGTAGAGACGGGGTTTCACCATGTTGGCCAGGCTGGTCTCAAACTCCTGGCCTCAGGTGATCCATCCGCCTCGGGCTCCCAAAGTGCTGGCATTACAGGCATGAGCTACCGCACCTGGCCTAATATTCTTAATTTGGCTGTCGGTTGTCACCCAAATCAGTTAAAGCAATTCCATTTCTTTTTTTTTTTTTTTTTTTTTTTTTTTTTTTTGAGACGGAGTCTCGCTCTGTCGCCCAGGCTGGAGTGCAGTGGCGCAATCTCGGCTCACTGCAAGCTCCGCCTCCCGGGTTCACGCCATTCTCCTGCCTCAGCCTCCCAAGTAGCTGGGACTACAGGCGCCCGCCACTACGCCCGGCTAATTTTTTGTATTTTTAGTAGAGACGGGGTTTCACCGTTTTAGCCGGGATGGTCTCGATCTCCTGACCTCGTGATCCGCCCGCCTCGGCCTCCCAAAGTGCTGGGATTACAGGCGTGAGCCACCGCGCCCGGCCGCAATTCCATTTCTTAAGTGAAAATCAGAATTTCTTTTCTTTTTTCCCCTTCTATTTTTTCTTTTAATCTTTTTTCTTTTGTCTTCAAGCAATTTTCATTTTTTTTTTTTTTTTTGATATTCAGGGAACCTGAGGCGAATGAAGGGGAGGAACCTGGGAGCTACTGACTGTGATTACAGTGGATATTCACAAAGGAAGACCTTTAGTACAGTGTGAAGTAGTGAGGGAAAGGGTGATGGAGTAGGAGGGATTTAAGTAAAACCTTTCAGGTTTAAGGTCAATGGAAAGCGAAGGAACATTCTAGAAGGACATTAGATTTTCCTTAGAGTGACATTAGAGTTTCTATAATTGGACTATACCCTTTAGTGCCTCAAATCAAGGGTTTCACATTTTCTTTTTTTTTTTGGAATTGCCTGCTCATGTATTTCCATCTCCTTAAAGGCAAGGGCTGGCCGCCTTATTTGGCTGATACTAGCCTCCATGGCATCAGCCTGTCCAGTGGAAGTCCTGAAACAGTACACGATGAATGGATAAATGAATGAATGAATGAATGAAATGAATGAGGGAAGAAATGAATATTGTGCTTCCAGAACGAGGAGAGAAGGGACGATGATGTGGCAAATTGGCCCAGCATCTTAAGATCTGTATTGACTTTAGCCTCATGTGGTAGTTTAATGATACTCTCTCTTACTCAGGGAATGTGCCTTTTAAGCTGTGGTCTGTGGTCAATGTGTGTGCACATCTCTGAGAGTCCCGGCTGTGTTGTGTTTGTGATGGCTCCCATATGTGGTTTGCCTTTGTATCTGATTGTAAATTAACCTTGACATGTAGGTCACCTGACCGTGTATGGAGAGAGAAAAATCACTTTCTTCTTCTCTACAAGCTATGTGAGTGCAGACTGAAGTTCCGAGTTGTGATCTCAAGCAGTCTGCAGAAACTAACCTTTGGCATACTTGGCCACAGCCGACTTCTTTCTAGTAAATTCCCACTGGTTCTTGGCTTTTCTTGTAGAATTAACACATTTGCAAAGTTTTCTTCATTGGTATTCCTGGTACGTGGACTGGAATATTCTTCATCCCTTGATTTGTGGGATCGTTTTGTCTTTGGGCCACACTTGTCATGGGAGGAAAGTCACAGCTAGACTGGGTATGGAAAGAATGGAAGTGTGTCTCCTGCAGGGAGAGCCCAGGTTATTGAGACAGTCTTGGCCCGTGTTTCTTGAAGAAGACGTTGGGTTTTGTTTTGCTCATTGATGGCCATACCCCTTGTGTGGTTGGCCAGGAAGCTGAACGCTTGCTCCCCCTTGTGGCTAAATACAGGTGGTTCTGCTGGCAAACCCAGTGGTCAATTACTGCATCTACTAAGGATTAAGAAGATTATAAATGTAAACTCAGCTTGAAACTTTTTGTGGCTTAGAGGTAAAGCAAGAAAATAATTAAGATAACAACTCACATGCTGAGGGTGTTTCATGTGTTATTATTGTGGATGTTAATAACAATTTTGGCTCTCTGTGGGAAGCCATTTCCTTCACTTAATCAGTTGGCAAAGAAAGTACATCAGGGAAGATTGTTCACCCTGAGCCGAGAAAGTGGAGTTTCAAGTAAGAACCCTGCTCCGCATCCTGCCACTGAGTTGAGATCATCTATTTGATTTAGCTACTGATAAAGTGTTTTTAATTACAAATTGTCTGCTTGCTTGGGGACTGACACAAACACTTGTTTTGTTTTCAAAGTGCCTTCTCTCCCCAGTGTTGGGTTTGGAGTAGAGCAAGAGTAACACAGAGGTTGCAGTCAGTGTCTTCCAGCGATTTTCATTTTGTTTGATATGCGGGGAACCTGATGCTGATGAAAGGGAGGAACCCAGGAGCTACTGACTGTGACTACAGTGGATATTCACAAAAGAAGGACCTCAGTACAGTTCCAAGTAGTGAGAGGTTGATGGATTAGGACAGATTTAAGTAAAACTTAACAGGTTTAAGGTCAAAGAAAAGTGAAGCAACATTCCAGAAGGACCCAGAAAAGCCGAGCAAGTCAGGCACTGAGATCTTGGGATTGAGAGGAGTTGCTGGTTCAGACCCAGCACTGTTCTGGAACTTTCTTTTGGGTACTCTTTTTTTGTTTCATCGATTCCTTTAAAAGGTACAATCCAGAACTGAACATGTCATTCCACAAGTGGCCCAACCAGTGTTGTATACACTGACTGGACAGGTTTTGCCACTAAAATGGAATAATAGTCTGGTTTTCCTAATTCCAGGAAAGGAAAATCAAGGAATAGATACATTTTTTAAAAAAGCATTTAAAGAATTTCTCCTGTAGACATTATCTTAAACTTTTGGTCCCTGCCATTGTATGTGTATCTTGAATCCAAGGGTAATACGATACGCAGTCTGGCAAAAGCAGTCATTTTAAATGATTGAGCAATATTTAGTGACTTTCAAAGAGCAGAGAGCACAACTTGGCTACCATAGAAGCTCCACCATGATGGGCGCAGGGTTTCCTCTAGGCTGGAAGTTGTGTTCTGGTTATCTTGTGAGAGAAATGCATCCTGTGTGATTTATGTGGATTCATTTATTCTTAGAGGAAATCAGACAAAAACCATATTGTAAGGCCCAACCCATCTAAAAAGACAATAGAAATGAGTTCTGTGTGTTTTTCAGCAGGGCCTCATGGGCACCACTCGTAAGTCCAGAATCTCTTCCAAGAACAGGAAGTTTCTGGAGGGCAGTGGAGAAGGGGAGTGAGGGCTCAGCTCTGTGAGGTCGAGGTGGGTGTGAGGACCAGCACCAGTGGGGAGTGGGTTTATTAGCTGGGAAAGGCCATAAGGATGAGGAAGAGAAGCTTGTGTTTGAGAGGATAACAGGGAGGAAAAGTCGCCGAGCCCAGAGTGTGTATTCACTGCCTGTCCTTTGGAGGCAGCCGCTTCCACCTCTTTTGACTGATTCTTCCAACTCGTATCCTCCAGTCTCCAAAACATGATTGTGGTGCAGCTGCTTGAATTTTCAAACTTGATTTCCATTTTAGAAGTTAAGGATTTGTTTTTTTTTCCAACCACATACCCTGTCGCTACCACATCAAATACAGGTCTCTCATACTGTTGGTCAGCTCCGTTTTCCGTGTTGACCTCTGATACTCTGTAAACACTCTTGACACGTAAGCTGGGTGGTTTATATACCACCATTACTTTTCCTGCCCAGCTTTGTCTTTTTCTTCCTTGTATTTTATTTGTAAAGATTCCCCAGCTCGTCCCCAGTTGTGTCAGCCTCTTTTCAGTGTGCTCAGACCCATTAGGTATAAGGCCTATCCATGTTCCTGAGGAAGTCTGGCCCAGAGCCGTCCAGGTGGTCTGACCTGGGCAGGGCCCCGGGTCTGCCATCACCCAGCCCATGCTCTCCTGCCGCCCCACTGAAGACTTCCTTCACCTCTCTTGGACGTTAGGGTTTCTCTTTGATGGCTCCTCTCTTTTTCTGGGTTTCTGATATTTTCTGGTTGAGTGGTGCTACTTTCTTCTAACCTATTTTTATTTCATTAAATAAATAGGATTCACTAAATGGATTTCATACCCATGGGTTGTATGATTTGCACTTTGAAAGGCACTGGGCTAGATGACCACTTTGAGTGATGCTGAGGCATTGCTGGGTGACTTCCTTCTTTCCTTCTTCCCTCCCCTCCTCCTCTTCCCTCCCCTCCTCCTCTTCCCTCCCCTCCTCCTCTTTCCTCCCCTCCTCCTCTTTCCTCATGAAGCATGTGCACAGGTGCATCCCTGATGCTTTGATCAGGTATGGCCTGAAAGACAAGCCATTTTAGTTAGTTTTTGGATACATTACGAAGTAATGTGGGAAGTAAGCATCTTCACCTGTCCCTCTTCCCTCCTTGGCTGAGGGACAGTGTCCTAGTCAGTTCCATGTGCTGTGACAGAGTACCATAGGCTGGGTGGCTTAAACAAAAAACACTTAATGCTCACAGTTTTGGAGGCTGGGAAGTCCATGATCAAAGTACTGGCATATCTGGTCTGGTGGGGACCTGCTTCCTGGTCTGCAGATGGCCGTCACCTTGTTATATCCTTACATGATGAGAGAGAGAGAAAGCAAGCTCTGTTGTGCCTTTTATAAGAGTACTAATTTCATTCACAAGGGCGCCATCCTCATGACCTGATCACCTCGTAAAGGCTCCACCTTCCAATACCGCCATCTTGGGGATTAGGATTTCAACACATGAATTTTAGGGGGACGCAAACATTCAGTCCCTGACAGGGTTAGGCACTGTGTGGCTGGCAATCACCAGGATGCCTGGAGCCCTGCCGGGACCACGCTGGCTCATTTCAGCCACCCTGGATGAATCATCCAGCCTAAGGCCCATGCCTGGACATTCTGGGTCCTCAGTGCCTTGCCTTTATTTTACCTGATATAATCCTTCAAACGAAAATGCTTGTACTTATTTTTGATCACTTAATATACTTGGCCATTTAACAATACAGATTAAACTTGTGTTATTCTGTTAGAAAACTGAGAGATTGTTTTCTGTAGTCTTTGACTGCATGCATAGTCTAGGGCTGGACTTGGGAGGAGAGGATAATTTGGCCACAATAGGATTCCTTATTATCTGTCTCTTCCCTCCCAACCCCTCCCCCGACCCCCGCCCCATACAGGAGACCCTCAGATACATTTCTGTCAGTACCCTCAGTTACATATTTTGGGAGACGTAATACTTAATGAACCAAAACTCTGTTTTGCTGGCAGGGAAAAAAATTGGGCTGATACAATCAAGATAATCCTATCAACTTTAGGATTATTAGGAATGTTGATAATCCTATCAACATTCTATCAACTCTGTAATCAGAAAAATATATTTAAAATAATGCGTGTTTGTTAAAAATAACCAAACAAAATACAGAAAAAAGCAAAGTAAAAATTGACAATCCCCTAACTCCAGTGTTGGTAGTTAGGGACAGAAGAAGGGTGGAGGATGTCTTTTGTCTGTGTTACATGATTACAGCAAAAGTCACTCTTCATTCTGGTAGAGCCATAGAAATCTGGCCGAGCAGAGGCAGCTGTGCCTGAGGAGCCTGACTTCGAATCAGCTGTGTTCATCTTTGCTAACCTCCCAAAGGGAGGAAGCTCAGGAAACCACCGTAGAACCCCCTAAAAGGGGAGGGTGGCTACAGCTGAGCAGGTGGGGGCAGGCAGGAGTGGAGAGAGGCGAGGATGATGAGTCAGGCAGGTGAGATGGAGGCTTTGTAGGTTATGTTAAGGCTCCTAGACTTAGCATTTCAAGCAGGGATGTGACCTGATCAGATTTATATTTTGCTTGCATTGCTGATGGACATTGGTTCAGTGCTCATTGTACTGGAAGGGTCAAGAATAGAGGCAGGGACCCAAATTTAGGGGGCTTCCCAGGGAATCCAGGGGAGAGGTGTTGTGGCCTGGACTAGATTTGGAACATCCAGAAGGGGACTGGAGCAATGACATACCTATACCTAGTCCCAGAGGGCCCCGATCTAGCTAAGGACAGAGCGTGCAGTCTTGCAGCTGCTGGGCTGATGACATGCTGGGGAGTGTATACCTGGGAAATTCTGGTACAGAGATAAAGGAAATGCTCAAGCCTCCACCTATGAATTTGCCCGGTGATTAAAATCATACTTCCTAAGCTTTATAGAAGCCCTCTGTTTGTCCCACAAAGGGCCACTAGCACAAGGAAATACATAATGTGTTCCCTTGTCATTTTATAAAAATGTAGACTGGTGCTGCCTGCTGTGAAAATGCCAGTCAGGTTGCTTCCTTCATAGTAATCAGTGGATTCTTTTGTCCATTTCTGAGTGGAGGATTAGCCCTCTGTTTGCCCCACAAAGGGCCACCAGCACGAGGAAATACATAGTGTGTCCCCTTGTCATTTTATAAAAATGTAGACTGGTGCTGCCTGCTGTGAAAATGCCAATCAGGTTGCTTCCTTTATAGTAATGAGTGGATTCTTTTGTCCATTTCTGAGTGGAGGATTCCTTTCCATAACGTGGTGTATTTGCAGTGTTTCTCTCAGAGGAGGAGTGCCTTTCTGGTGTCATCTGTCCTGTTGGTGGCAGAGTTCTGCTGCTGAATTAAACCTTTGTGTCGGCCTTGGCCACTCTTATGGCTCTGCTGGAGGTAAAGCCAGTGGAGTGGCCTTGTGGCATTTGCTCCGAGTTGTTGCTCATTTTTCTGAGATTATCAGAGGCCTTAGAGGGAAGCATTGAGGATTTCATTATGCTCCGATAACTATCACGTTGTCAATAATATGGTTCTGATAAGAGTGATGGGGGATGGTGGGGTTTTGTGAGTTGACAGACGTGGGTTTGAGACCCAGCTCTCCAGTCAGAAGCCAGCGCCAGGCCTGTTTCTCTTCTCTGAGTTTTAGTGTCCTCAGGTGGAGGGGAGGATAATATTAATAACACCTTCCTGATGTGGCTCCACTGGGCTGGCCACGCCATGGGCACCCAGCACGGGGTGGCTGCCCTGGTTCGTGTTAACCATCAGCAGGGTTGGAGAGCTCCCTCCTTACTGGTGTTGGAGGTCATTACCTGGCGGGGGATGTGGTAGATAAAGCACCTTTTATTGTCCCTACACAAGGCAACTATGGGGTAACACAATATAAGTTATTCAGATTAGAGAAAATATGAACTCTTGCTACAGTGTTACTGCAGACAGGCACATATGGTTTGTTAGGATGACATTTAAAAAAAGTCATTTTGAGTTACAGAATAAAATCAAACAAAATTCCTTTAATCACCAGGGCTGGGATGGAAATAAGGCAAAATGTTGATTCCTTTGAAAGACAATTTTTGGGTTTTTTTTGTTTTTTTTAAAAAAACTTTATGTGTTGATGGTTTACTCTGGTCTAGTCGTTCCTACTCCTATTCTGAAAGCAGGCCTTGAATTCCTGATTGTGTACAGGATTGTGTACAAACAATCAGGAATTCATCATTCATATGAAGAAGTTCTGTTTTTCCCTCTAGTGTCATGAATATTTTCATGTACGTATATGTTATGTGACTAGTGTTAAGAATGCATGTATTATATATGTGCATGCGTCTCATTTACATTGAATGTAGCTAAAAGGAATATTTGAAAAGTATACCTTGCCTGTCTCCAATTTCTACATTTCAAGTTAAAAATGGGAAATAATCTTAGAATCCATGCCTGTGGTTCATAAGCCTGGCTCAGCTCTTGCATTCCCAGCTACTGTCTGACGAAACTCACAGGAGCTGTGAAAACAACGCTGTTTTGTGAAAGCCAAGTAGGAGCTTAGGGTCATGGCAAACTTCAGAGAAATGTAAAGGAGCAGGCACTGTGGGTTTTGTCTACCCCACCCCCCCGACCCCACTGCCTTCCAAAATTTCTTTCTTTTTTTTTTTTTTTTTTTTTTTTGAGACAGAGTCTCGCTCTGTCACCCAGGCTGGAGTGCAGTGGCGTGATCTGGGGTCACTGCAAGCTCCACCTCCTGGGTTCACGCCATTCTCCTGCCTCAGCCTCCCGAGTAGCTGGGACTACAGGCACCCGCCACCACGCCCGGCTAATTTTTTTTTTATTTTTTGTAGAGACGGGATTTCACTGTGTTAGCCCGTACGGTCTCGATCTTTTGACATCGTGATCCACCTGCCTCGACCTCCCAAAGTGCTGGGATTACAGGCGTGAACCACACCGCGCCCAGCCCCAAAATTTCTAATTGAATTTTAACCTTCCACTTTTAAGTTCTGATCCTGATTTATAAAAACCTATGTAATTTTCTTCAGCTTTCAGAAGGAATGTCTTGTATCTTCCTATGGGGGTGTTGGGGGAACTGATATTGACAGAGGTCCTCTGACATTTCATAGCCTGGCAAATAGGGTCAAACATGTTCCAGACCTCAGAGGATTGCTGAGGATAGCTTTCTACTTAAGCTAGATAAAAGAAGTTTTGGGAATCTTACCTTGCACTCTGTTTTGTAGAAACAACTGTGTTTAATATATTTCTCATTACTGGCTGAATGACCTGTATGTGTTCAGGAGATCTCTCTATTTACCATTTTAATGCCACATATTTAATGAGCATTCAGGCCCAGACTGTGAAGACTCTGGAAATGAGAATTTTGTTTCCTATCTCCTGTGCTGTAACAAAAGCAGCTTAAAAATTGCAGTGTATAGACCTCACCTTTTATCATTTTTTTTTCAGATTTTTAAATATTAATATTAAGGGTCTTTATCTCAGATGTTTGTTGTTTACCAGGTCATCAGTATCTGGACGCTGGCAGGGTCCTTAGCAATGGAGGGAGGGAGAGGGGGTCCAGCCTGCATGATTGGATCAGTGTTGAACCTGTCCCACCTGTGGGGAAGAGGCAGCATGCGGAGCAGACAGGTGCCTGCTGCAGGTCAGGAGAGCTGGCCCCAAGTCCTGACTTGGAGGGAAATGGTACATATTAATATCCTTTAGTGCCAGGTACTGGCGTAGCTAGTTTATATGCATCACTTGAGCCCCCTTGCATCACTGGCATCACTTCAAGATAGACAACAAGGGGAATGCACATCATATCCCTGTTCACTGGCGTTCACTGGTAGGGAAACTGAGGCTTAATAATGTGCCCAGGTACACACAGCTGATAAGTAACCCTGCACCCTCGATCTCACAGCATGACATTGGAATCCACCTCATTAGACAGAGCTCAGCTGCCTATTCTGTCAAAAATGTTGAGTTGTATCAGCTGCAGTGTCTGTAGTATTCCTAGACATTTCTGTGATTCTCATAAGTATCTTTGAAAGGGGGCCATTTAGTTTATTTCTGCATTTCTCCCTTATCTGCCGAAATGCCCGCAGGCTCTGGGACAAGCTATAAAGCTCTCCGTGTTATGCTGTGTTGCAAACCCAGTGCCAGTAATGATGCAGTGCTATTTAAAGATAAGAAAGCAAGCTCACAGAGGGAGAGCGCAGCAGGATGTTTATGTTCCAGAAGCATAAACACATGACCTGTGCCCGTCCCGTGTTCTTCGTCCATGTCCCCAGAGAGGCCGTGGATGGGATGGTGCAAGAAACCCATCAGGAAGCAGAATTAATCCTTCCTGCGGGTGGTCCCTGTGAAGAAGACACAGCGGCCGGTGGTGTGACAGCCCACAGCTGTCGAAGGAAGGGAGAAGAGAGGGACCGAGGGCCAGCAATAGGGTTTTACAGCTACGTGCTAGGTTGTCTCACATCTAGGAAAGAGAATGTTCATATTATATAGAAATGGGCATTTTCCCTGTGGCCTGATATGAGGTATCCAGAATATTCCTTTAGGTATTATTAAGTCATAGGTTTCTGTTTTGATAGAAACAGCAGGTGGTTCAGTTAGTATTTTTGTTGTTGTAATAGTAGCTTAGATCTCTTGTTTTTGTTTTCTTTGGCCAAGACAGAAAACATTCTGCCACACACATTACTTCATGACTCTGGTTATATATTGAGAGCAGCATTAAAAAAAAAAAAAAGTCCAATTTAGTCCATTAGGCCATTCTTGCATTGGTATAAAGAAACACCTGAGACTAGGTAATTTATAAAGAAAAGAAGTTTAATTGGTTCTTGGCTCTGCACGCTGTACTGGATGATACAGGATGCATGATGCTGACATCTGCTCGGCTACTGGGGAGGCCTCAGGAAGCTTCTAATCATGGTGGAAGATGAAGGGGGAGCAGGCATCTCACGTGGCCAGAGCAGGAGCAAGGGGTTGGGTCACACACTTTTAAACAACCAGATCTCATGAGAACTCACCATTGCCAGAACAGCACCAAGCCATGAGGGATCCACCCCCATGACCCAAACACTTCCCACCAAGCCCCACCTCCAACACCGGGGATTATTGTCAACATGAGATTTCGGGGACAAACATCCACACTATGTCGTAGCCTTAAGGGGATCTTACCTCTTTGAAGCATTGTAGAGTTCAGAGAGTAGGACATTTTGTCTACTGTATTTTAAAATACTAAATGTTCTGATTATGAAAGTCAGTCCTGGAAAAAAAAAACAAACAAACCTGAAACCATAGATGAAGATAAGGAACAAAATAAAAATTACCCACAGTCTCCCTCGCGTGTACCGCACAGTTCATGTTTTAGTGTGTCTACACACCATTTAATGCAGGTGGACAGACTCAGGGGCAGGTGTGCCTTGCTACTGCTATGTCCACAGCACCTGGCAGAGTCCCTGGTACAGCATAACTGCTCAGCAGTTGGGTGCTGAGTAAATATTAATACATGTGCATGTGGTACCAGTCAGGGCCCAACAGAGGGACCTCATGCGAGGAGTTGCTCCACAGGTGTGGAGGATGAAAGAACAAGTTGGGGCGACCCTGAGAGAGCCCAGAGACAAGCTCTGCAGGAAGCAGGCACCACCACTGGGCCAGGTGACCTGAGCCCAGGAGCCAAGAGGATGCCCTCCACTGCTGATACTACCTCTGCAGTGGGACGACATCGGACCCCACTGCCGATGCTGGGACGGTGCTTCCCCTCCCCCTGAGGCTCTCCTACCAGGGCCCCCTCTCATCAGGCCCCAGCTGGAAGCCAACTGGAAAGGGAGTCGGGGAAGTTTCATTTGTGGGGGTCCAAGTGCCAAGGGACAGACAAGGGAAGGGTGGATTTGCAGCTAAGAAGATAGTAAATAACCAGACTACGTGACAGTCTGAAGAATCAAATCTGGAATCAAATTCTACTCTGCTCTAATGTAACCCTGTATTTTACTGTGAATAATATACCGTGGGTATCTTCCTTGCTTGATAGATACAGCTCCACATAATTTTTCTCAATGAAACAGATTCTGGAGTAGGCAACGTTTTCCTCTTTTGTAAAATACACCAAATTGTGAGGATTGAATGAGATAATGTCAAAGTATTAGTACTTTACCCTAGCTGATTGACAGTATCCAGTGATAGTGATAATAAGGGTAATTACTACTCTAGCCAATTTTATCAAACCTATGGATGTTTAAGGAATTGGGTTTTTTTTTTTTCTCCTTTGATGAATACTCCTGTAAATACATCGTTGCCTGCTTGTCTGAGTCTTTCTGTGGGTTTTTAGAAGTGGATTACTTGCAGCAAAGTCTCCTCTACTTAAGGCTCTTTGTATATTTTGCCTAATTGTGCTCTAGAAATACATCAATTTCCAGTCCTCCTTCTCTCAGACCACCTGTCCCTCACATTTTCACCAGTTCTGGGTCTTGTTATTCTTTTTACTCTTTGTCAGTCAGGTGATTGAAAAATGTACATTTTTTTAAAATTGGCATTTATTAGTGAGCTTGAGGATGTTTTTCACAGTCATATGGAAACAGTTCTGCTTCATGAACAAGACCTTGGGGCCACATACTGGCTTGTTCACCTGGATGCATTTTCTCAGTCTCCCTCAGAATCATTTTTCTCCCTGAAAAATGGGATTAAAAGTATTAATAGTAGTGCCCATCTCACAGAGTCATTGCGAGGATTAAAGAGAGGATGCATAGACGTATTGAATCAGTGCTGGGTTCTGGTAGATGTTCAGCTAGCCCTAGAGATTATTAGCCATTTGATGTGCTGATCCTCAGGAAGGTGGGCGGGAGAGACCTAGACGCAGAAAAGGAGCTCTGGAGTTGAGGTTTCTAGAGATGAGGTGGTGCGTGGTGGCCCAGTCCAGCATGGCTCTGGGTGTGAGCACAACATAGGCAGATGTGTCTGGGGCTCAGGGAGTCATTTGTGGATTGAGGGTGCTATGTGGGTGTGGACCACGGTGATCCAGGATGATGCAGGATTTGGGCCGGGGAGGAAGATGGCAACCCAGGTTCCATGCCATCTTTAAAGAGGGGATGGTTACTAGGGTGTCCAGCGACCAGCCAAGTGGCCTATAGATAATAAGGAGGACTCTTCATGACATGGAGGCTGAGGTGGAAAGTCCCAGAGTAGGGTTCAGCCCTGGCCCTAAAAAGTGCCGGAGAACCTGTAGCCTCCTGGAAGCTGTGCTGTGTGCAGAGCCAAGCTTCAGTGTGACAAGGAATGGTGGGAGCAATTTGGAGAAGAATGAAGACTTGGTGCAGTGGCTAGGGAGGCAGGCAGGGTGAGGATGTGGAAGGGTGCAGAGCTGCTCAAGGTCAGCTTCCTGAGCCTGCGGTGTGGTCCCTTGCTCCACACTCAGAAGGGCCCTGTGTTTGATTTAATGCTCTTTTCTTGCCATCTTGAAATTCTTGATAGTTTTTGAACAAGGGATCCATGTTTTCATTTTGCGCTGGGCCTGGAAATTACGTTGCTGGTGCTGAGGGGATGTGCAGAGCAGAGGTGGGCAGAGAACTGACGAGAAGGACACGTGGGTAAGGGTGGGATGAGCTGGCCTCAGGACTCCGAGCAGAGCTCATGTAAAGGTGTCGGGCCCAGGATGCGTTCTCAGGCTGGGGTGGGAGGCCTGATGATGGCAGATTTCTCTGGATTACAAATAGAATATGTAGCAGGGTGGTTCATAGCTTTGTGTGTCTGTGTGTGCATTGGTAAATTTTTATTTTGAAACTAAAATTATTTCAAAATTAGAGAAAGGCTGTGAGAGTGCGGTTGAGCTGGTGTTGGCTCTGGAACAGGGTTTCCCAATGCAGGCGGCACTGGTAACTATGTGCCTTGGGTCATTCTTTGTTGTGGGGGCTGTCCTGTGCCCCATGGGATGTTCCCTGCACCCCTGGCCTCTGCCTTCTAGATGCTGGGGGGCACTTTCCCTGGTGTAATATTAAAAAAAACTCTCCACGTTGCCACATTTGGGGGGCAGAATCACCCCCTCCCCGAATTGAGAAGCTATGTTATTGGAACACAGTGTCCTGTATTTTGTCTAGCCTCTGCTGCTTAGAGCTGCCTGAGCTTGGAGAAGATACTTGTTCTCTTTCCAAAGCTTCACTGTCCCTTTCTGTACATTGTCAGGACGGCTGTTAATACCACTGCTCTAAATGTGCTCAGTTTTGCATAAACATCAGCTAATGTTAAAATTTTAATCTCTGCTAATATAAGAGGCATCGAAGTACACGCGAGTTCAGTTTGCATATGGTGAGGAGGGAGACGGCCTCATATCGTATGTGTGTATTTGCCGATTCTATATTTTGAGGTTGATTCCTGTTGTCTTTTGTTCAGTTGTCTCATTCTGTTTTCTTTTGGGGCTTTGAATGCCCTTTTCATGCCTGTGACCTCTCTTTACTATGCCTTTTCTTCTCTGCCAGCAAATCTCATCCATTCTTCCAGGGCACCTTACTGTCCCCCAAAGCCCCAGTGACTGCTCTGTCCACAGGGCTTGGTTTCTGTGCTCTGGCTCTGCAATGCAATGCAGAAGGGGCTGGGCTCGGAATGGGGTTGCTGGTCAGGCCATGTGCCCAGGGGAAGGACACAGGACTCAAGGAGTCCACCCCTCTCTCCCCCCCTTTTTTTTTTGGTCACTGAAATATTTTCTTTCCAATTCTACTAGTCCTGCTAGAGCTGCCATAACAAAATACCCAATTGGTGACTTCAACAACAGAAATTGATTCCACACTGTTCTTTTTTTTTTTTTTCTTTTTGAGATGGAGTCTTGCTCTGTCTCCCAGGCAGGAATGCAGTGGTGTGATCTTGGCTCACTGCAACCTCTGTTTCCCAGGTTTGAGCAGTTCTCCTGCCTCAGCCTCCCGAGTAGCTGGGACTACAGGCACATGCACTGTGTCTGGCTACTTTTTATATTTTTTAGTAGAGATGGGGTTTCACCATGTTGGTCAGGCCGGTCTCGAACTCCTGACCTCAAGTTATCTGCCTGCCTCAGCCTCCCAAAGTGCTGGGATTACAGACGTGAGCCACTTCGCCTGGCCATGATCCCGCACAGTTCTGAAGGCCAGAAGCCAAGATCAGGAGACCAGTGGATTGTTTCTCCCGAGGCCTCTGTTCTTGGCTTGCAGGTGGCCCCTTGCTGTGCCCTCACATGGCCTTTGCCCTGCATACATCCGAAGCCCCAGTGTCTCTCTGTGTGTCCAAATTTCCTCTTCTTAGAAGGATGCCGGTCATATTGGATTAGGGCCCACCCGTGTGACCTCATTTTACCTTAATAACCTCTTTCAAGTTTCTGTCTCCAAATACAGTCACATTCCAGGGGCTAGAGCCTCAACATGGAAGTTTTGGAGGGAGACACACTTCTACCCATAACACCAATGTCATATTAAGCTTTATGGAAGAATAGACCAATATGTGGTGGGTTCAAGAATCTTTTCTTAGAAGAAAAGTGAATCTGTATATTTGATACTTTATGATTTCCTTATTTGCTCTAAGCAGTTGGTAAGAATCTCAGTGTCACTTGGCTGAATGATACACTACTGGTGCCTCCAGACCTATGAGGAGCCTAATATTTTTGTCTTGGTTGAAACAATGCAAATCCTGGGTTTTGGAGATGCTCACAGCCAGCTGTCTGATTACGTAAACTGAAAGTGGCAGAGAGGAAGCTTTTGCGTGGGGAAAACATGAAATATACAAGGGTTCCTTTAAAACAGAGTGTACTTCTGAACATTTACTGAAGGTGGAGGGCCCTGGACACCTGATGTTATCTTATGTGGCGTTATCTGGGTCAGATTTCATTGCATTTCCTGAAGAGGTAACTTGGCAGTCCTGGGAGAGGCTGGACCTTGGTGTCCAGGTGGCAGGTTCATAAGACACCTGTGATTTGATGTGAGCCAGTCACAGAGGAAGCCATTTCCAGAGAGGAACAACCGTGTAGACTGCTTTCCTGGGAGTCAAGTTAAAACTTCTCTCCTGTGACCTTGTCACCCGGCAGTGGAAAGTTACCCTTGGCTGCAGCCACGACTTCCGCATACTCTTCAGAACTTGCTCTGCCCTTGAGTTTTCCAGCTTTCCTTTAATGCACTAAACCTTTAATATTGTATTCTCCTAAATGAGACGTCTCGCATTTGAGCAGGTAACACTCGGTAAGACTTTGCTTGGTGGGGGAGGAGGTTTTACCTTCCTGTGGCATTCTGAAGCTCTCCACATCCACCCATAGTCATGATTGTGTTATATGACCTCAAGATGCTGGAGCTGTTAATTCATCTTTAACATAATTGACCTGATTACTTCTTTCTTGAAGGATTTTGTTCAAACCTCAGGGTTTATTTAGGAACAAGTCTAACCAGGCCTGATTGGTTTTCCTAAGTGGAGATACAGCTTTGGGAAACAAATTAAGAAAATGAATGGATTGAAAATGTAGGAACACCGTGACAGTTGTGAATTTTTCTTATTGAGGGAAAAAATGGGTATCTGTGAATATTTCTCTTACACTATATAGTGAGAAATGACACTCTGCTGTGGATGGTAATTTATTTCTGTGTAATTGCCTGAGTAAGGCTTTCTCTGATATTGAATACTGAGTAGAACTCTTAGGTTATTTTTGGAAGAATTATGGATTTTCTCTTAGGTTTTAGAATATTTTTTGTTTGCCTGTTAAGAGAATTTGATGAAGATTTCAATGTAATTAACCAAATAAAATGGCATTCTGTATCCTGGGAAGGGACGATGTCTTTCAGTTCTAAATCAATGCATCATTTACCTCCTATCTCTCTTGCTGGCCGAGCCATCAATCCTGTTTTTATTAAATGTTGTTGTTATTGTTTTGAGACGGAGTTTCACTCTTGTTGCCTAGGCTGGAGTGCAATGGCATAATCTCGGCCCACTGCAACCTCCGCCTCCTGGGTTCAAGCAATTCTCCTGCCTCAGCCTCCTGAGTAGCTGGGACTACAGGCATGCGCCACCACACCTGACTAATTTTAGTAGTTACAGGGTTTCTCCATGTTGGTCAGGCTGGTCTCGAGCTCCCGACCTCAGGTGATCCGCCTGCCTTGGCCTCCCAAAGTGCTGGGATTACAGGCGTGAGCCACTGCACCCGGCCGTTTTTTGATAAATTTTAAACTTCTGGTTTGAAACTTTTGTTTCCTGTGCTTAAAAGGAGACAGTTAAAAGCACTCTGATTTGGACTGACAGAATGTTTTTTAGATGTTAGATAGATCTAGCTTTGAATATTTATTTGCAGAGAAGTAGCAGGGAGGACTAGGAATGACTTTTTCTTAGGAGGTGCTATGCATTCCATCAGGTGACTGACCCCTTTGTGAGCTGTAGTGGTCAGTCCCAGCATGGCCCACACTTGTTGGCTGTCTTAGCCATGGTGGCTGTGGTTGGCGGGTACCCAGCCAAGGGTTTTCCATACTGGGGGCCTTGGTCCAGTGGGGGCGGGTCGTACCATGACCCCCTTCTCCTGTGATCTTGCCTCACTGGCCCAGGTAAATTGGTGGACGTCCTTGACTCCTCCACCTCCAAAAGGACTTTGAACTTTGGCACTGTTGGGAGTTTAGGCTACACCTCAACCAGGCAGAGATTGGGATCTAACCTACTTTTAAAAGCCCTCTACAGGGAATTTCATAACTTTCCTGAGTGTTAGGTTTTGGTGATTAACAGCCTTGACTTTTTGGAGCCCTTCCTTTGCCAAACATGCATTCCTCAGGTGCTCACTTAAAATGATTCTTCACAATATGCCTATAGACGGGTCTGTCTGGTACAGCATCCTGGAGTGGTGTCAAGGGAAAGAAACATGCTGCTTCTGCCACAGACGGACCATGCATGGGAAGAAACTATTTGAGAATGGCTCTCCAAGGGGCTGGTCGGCCTTGTCTGCCCACTCCCTCTACCTTTCTTTGTTCTGTTTCTTTCTCTTCAGTGTTGGTCCATTTTCCTTTTTTCACTGTTGCGTGTTAGCACATCATTACTCTTATCTCCATATATTTGGATGTTTCCTGCATTATGGTGAGCTTCAGTAGGTCTTGGATGAGTTAGTTGTTCTCATTCCAAAATGTAAATTTCTGGTGTTTAGTAGGTGCTCAGTAAAGCTTGAGAAAGATGAAAGTGAGAGCCCAGAACTAGTATAAAAATACGGATACCACCATAGCATGGTAATTAAAGGGGTGATTGTGAAGATGAGGTAGCTGTGCCTGGATATGTGTGTGTGTGTGTGTGTGTGTGTGTGTGTGTTGGCTGGAGAAGGCTTACCAGTGGTGCTGGACATGTCGGGTAGAGTGTTAATAGTAACTTAATTGACTGAATTTGGAAATAATCTATGGGGTTAGAGAGCAAGGAGGTAGCTGTGTAAGAGGATGGGGTCGGTGAGGTGGGGTGGTGTGAGCAATGGAGCTCAAGGGCTCAAGGTGCAGGCCTGGACTGATGGCCACTAGGACCACCCCAATGGCTTCAGGGTCAGGACAGGAAGGGAATGTGATTATTGCAGCAGGTAGTAGGGCAGTATGAGTGTATTATTCATATATGTGTGATGAAATGGAGCATCAAATAATATATCCCATAGGATAGAAAGGCACAGTGAGTGAGTTTGGGTTAAAAATTCGATGAGATAAAGTGGTTGTACCTCCTATGAAAACAATTTAATTTCTTATTATGAAGGCATTACTCATGTTCTTCAGAAAAATTAAAAAAAAAAACTCAGTCATTATAGACAATTGTACTCAAGATGAAAACACCCTGTACTGTCGCAACCCTGAAGCACCTCTGTTAATATGTGTGTGTCTTCTCACGGGGTGATTCTTGATCAGAGTTACTGAAACAGCAAGGCTTGGGAACAAGAGGCATGAGAGCAACACTCAGGACCTGTTCAGTTTTCTGCACAGTTCCAGGTGCTCTTCCAGCATTGCTGGCTCCGAGAGAGTCAAATATTCAGAGCTTGCAAGCTGGGGAGGAAAGGGGTTAGGGTGGAGATAAAGATCTGGGAGATCTACAGATACGGATCATCTGCATTTGGAAATTTTGTTTGCCCTTCTCACACATTTCCATCCAAGTTTTCTTTGGGGAAGAGGGGATCCCTGCAGAGGAGTCCAGTTGCAAATGTGAAATCTTAAAAATGTATGTAAATAGCATCTTTCATTCCGTGATACTTGTTTGTTTGAATAGAACATTGTTAAATTTTATTGTGCTTCAGAATCATCTGGGTGCTTACAAACATAGATTGCTGGACTCTGGTTCTGGAGATTCGGATTCTGGAAGTCTGAAGTGGGGCTTGGGAATCTCCATTTCTTCCAAGTTGCCAGGTGATGCTGATGCTGGTAGTCGGGAGTCCGTACTTTGAGAACCACTCTTCTACCTACCAAGACTTCCAAAAAATTGGTACTCTGGGAAGATGCCCTGTGCCAGTCCTGTGGCTTCTTAGGCACGTCTTCCAGCATAGACTCCTGCAGAGAACCTGGTACCTGCAAGTACCTAGTACCTGCAAGTACCTGCAAGTCCAGTGTGGGAAATCTCATGACAGGCATCAACATTCCGTGACGGTTGACAGCCACCTATGGGGTGGCTGATGCCTTTTCTGTGTCTTCAGGGTTTTAGGGGAAGGAGAGTCTAAATGAGTGGTTCTAGGTTGTGGGAAGAGCCTGGCTTTGATGTTCAGACACCTGGCCTCAGGCTGCATCGCCCATACTTCCTGTGGAATGGTTATCATGAGTCCTGTTGTCCTGTAGGTGAATCATTGATTCCTGTCTTTGCATAACCTCTCACTTGATGATAATTTTTTTTTAAAAAAATGACTCTTGGAAACAGAACACACAGTTGTAGAGGGACCTACAGTACAGCAGAAGCTTTGTGGAAGGATACAAAATGTGAGGGACTGTAGTCGAAGAGATTTAAATTGGAAGTGGGAAGAGATTGACTTTTTTTTTTTTTTTTTTTTTTAAAGACAGAGTCTTGCCCTGTGGTCCAGGCTAGAGTGCAGTGGCACAATCTTGGCTCACTGCAACCTCCGCCTCCCAGGTTCCAGCGGTTCTCCTGCCTCAGCCTCCCGAGTAGCTGGGATTACATGCATGAGCCACCAGGCCCAGCTAATTTTTCTATTTTTAGTAGATATGGGGTTTCACCATGTTGGCCAGGCTGGTCTCGCAAACTCCTGACTTCAGGTGATCTGCTTTGTGTCTCTTAGGGAGCATGTTTGAAGAGTCAAAGGAAAACCAAGTCTGTTAGCTTTGCGAAACGTTTTTTTTTTTGAGATGGAGTCTCGCTCTGTCCCCCAGGCTGGAGTGCCGTGGCGCAATCTCGGCTCACTGCAAGCTCTGCCTCATGGGTTCACGCTGTTCTCCTGACTCAGCCTCCTGAGTAGCTGGGAGTACAGGCGCCCGCCACCACGCCTGGCAAGTTTTTCTGGAATTTTTAGTAGAGACGGGGTTTCACCATGTTAGCCAGGATGGTCTCTATCTCCTGACCTTGTGATCTGCCCTACTTGGCCTCCAAAATGCTGGGATTACAGGCGTGAGTCACCGCACCCGGCCCGAAATATTGTTAAAACCAAGTACCTTTGTGAAACATTGTTACAAAAACCAAGTACCAAGTGTGTGGCATTAAAGTCAAACATTAATTTCAAGTTACAGAAAGAAATAGCACTGAGTAGAGGTTGATCGATAAAAAATGAATAAAATATTCAACAGAAACTCCTTAAAAATAATGTGAGAAATGGACATGTGACATGGGCGTTTAAAAAGTCTGTAAGGCCAAGAAAAGTTTCCTGAAAGGAACACTGTGCCCAGGCAGTCCTGGCTTTGCAGGATTCCCTGATAACCGAGCTCAGGCATCCTGCAGAGTGAGTACTGCCCAGATAGAACCTTCTGCCTCTTTGGGGTAAAATTCGATTTCAAAGAGAGAGAACTGTGGGGTGAGAAAGGAAGACTGGGACCCAAGGGGCCAAACTAGTGACAATGACTGCTGTCATGAAGGGTGACAAGGACAATACCTGCTGAGCTCAAACCACCCTTTGGACCCAGTGAAGCTCAGATGTTGCTTCCAGTGCAGGAGTAGTTAAGCTCAACTGTTTTACAATATCCAGTTATTTGGCTGGGTGTGATGGCTCACACCCACACTCCTAGCACTTTGGGAGGCCAAGGTGGGTGGATTGCCTGAGCTCAGGAGTTCGAGACCAGCCTGGGCAACATGGCAAAACCCCATCTCTACTAAAAATACAAAAAATTAGCCAGACGTGATGGCAGGCGCCTGTAATCCCAGCTACTTGGGAGGCTGAGGCACGAGAATCGCTTGAACCCAGGGAGGCGGAGGTTGTAGTGATCCAAGATCATGCCGTTGCACTCCAGCCTGAGTGACAAGAGTGAGACTTCGTCTCTAAATAAATAAATAAGTAGCAAAAACAATCCAGTTATTCCTCAAATATTTATGAGCACCTCTTAATGTTTCAGATACTATTGTGACAAGAGAAAAATGTGTTTGTATATGTAAATAGAAAAACAAAAGTGATGTGGAAGCGATTACTTCTGTCATTTTGGAACTACCTTCCTCCCATATTAAGTCCATATTATGACAATTCAAAAATAATCAAACTTCGTAAGATATTACCTGTGAAAGGAATAAGTATTTAAAAATGTATTTTAGATGGCCTTTTAGAAATCTAGTCCATGGACACAATCTAGCATCATGCAGTTGCCTTCAAAAAGAATATCCTAAAGTTCTTGTTTGTTTTCTTTTTCCTTTCAAAGTGTTCTGTTGAAAATAACCCATTTGTCATTTTAGTTTTGATATGACTTAGTTATACATGCCTTTTGAAGCAGTACCCACCCACATAGTAATTGCGACTATCTTGTGTTTTGAAAAAAAAAAAAGCGAGACAATTTGACTTTGATAGTTTTAAGTTTAAAAAAAAAAAAAAACGCTCCAAGTTAGACTCAGATGAAATCCTTTGATCTTAGGTATTTTATGAGGAAACTGGAAAAAATAATTTCACAAATTTCTATTTTGCTTTATAAAAATTTTATGATTCATAACACAGGGAAAATCCAGTAAGCTAAGGCGTTTTTTAGTCGTTTATCTTGCTAGTGAGTCTTTGATGTGAGTTATTTCTTTGCAGTAAGGTGGCATGGATGGGTGATGAGGCTAAGCTGAAAAGTTAAATCTCATAATGGACATTTGCACCCTTTAAGGAAGTAAAGCTCTCAAAGCATGATTATGGCCAAGATGAGGCCGGTGGCATGTTTGTCTCCTAAATGTGCAGCCAGGAATCTCGACGGTTTGTCTGAGGTATGCAGGTGCCTGGTAGATAAATTAGGGTGAGCATCATTCATGGCGTGTGGTCAGTTGCAGGCCTTCAGCCACAGGGATGACAGAAGGGAAGTGAGGAATCAGGGATGGGTTTGAACTGCGGCGTTGCTTTGGGAGTCTCTAGACATGATCAGTTGCACATGGACTGTTCTCCTTGTCACCCTCAGGATCTACTGTCCTGTGGTTGAAGCCTGCAGCTCTCCCAAGTTGGTGGCACTGGGCTTCCTGACTTCTCGATGTCTAATGAGACAGTGGAATTCTACTTGCAGCCCCACTGCAGGCCAGGTTTATCTCTCCTCTGTCTTCCCAGCTGGTGATTTGGTTTCTCAGTGCTGTTTTGGGTGCACTTTTGTGGAGGATTCAAGCTGGTCCTTAGCCACTCCTTGAACCAGAACCTCTTTTACTTTCTTATGTAGTTCTTCTCTTCCTGTTTTTATATCCTAAAACTAGTCCAGCGACCAGCCCATCGTAGTAGAAGCGTTGGTGTTCTTCCTAAAAGGAATTGTAAACATCTCTTGGAGAGTGGGTTAGCCACCATAAATTGTTTTGGGACTTCGGATACCCCCTTCCGCAAATGCTATCTAGAGATGCTTTAATTTCATTTCAATTGGTTATTGCATCCCTGATATTTTGAAACTGTTATGAGTAGAAAACATTCTGGTTTATGAACAATCTGCTTTTCACTATGAAATAGATGGGAATTTTAATTATTCCTGCGCTTTGTCTTAGAGAAGTTACATGCATGCATCAAGTGTTGTGTGATCTTGTGCAGTTCTTCTTAGATTGAGTTTTTGGCTCCTCGTGTGCAGGCCTTCTAAAATCACAATGTCCCTGAGTTGGGAAGGAACATCAGGGGCTATCTGGTTCATTATCCTACCCCCCACCGCCTCCCACGCCCCACATTTCTGGCAGCCTACGAGTCTTTGGTCCCTCCCCAGTGCTACCTGGCCAGCTCTCAGCCTTGGGAGGCCACCTGCCCGTGTTTGACCTGGGTTAATGACCGCCAGTTCCTTTCCCTTAATACGACTCATCTGCTCTCCTGCATGCTCGCTCCTTGGGTGAGAGCTGCCCTCTGCAACCTCATAACGGAAAATGGCTTGACTTCTGCCACCTCCTCCTCCTTCCCATGAAAGAATCTGGTCTTTTCTATCTCTCTATTATTTTTAAAACCAGATTAGGTTGGTTGTGGTGGCTCACACCTGTAAAAATCCCAGCACCTTGGGAGGCAGAGGTGGGCAGATCTCTTGAGCCCCAGGAGTTTGAGACCAACTTGGGCAACATGGGGAAATCTCTACCAAAAAAATACAGGAAAAAAAAAAAAATAGCTGGGTATGGTAGCACACACCTGTAGTCCCAGCTACTTGGGAGGCTAAGGTGGGAGGATTGCTTGAGCCTGGGAGGTCAAAGCTGCAGTGAGCCTTAATCACTCCAGTGCACTCCAGCCGGGGCAACAGCTAGACCTTGTCTCAAAAAAAAAAAAAAAAAGAAAAATAAGAAAAAGAAACCAGATTAAACATTCCTAAGTAATTCTTTTTGTGACTTTTGCCTGTTTATTAACTATCCTGGCTACTTAAAATGAATTTTTGAGTTATGAATACATTTAGATGGTTTTAAATTCAAAGAAGTCTCTTTTTTCTCAGTCACTTCCATCCCCAGCCAAACAGTTCTTATCCCCAGAGTCAGCCAGTGTTACCAGTTTCTTGTGTCCATGCAGTTTGCTTTATGCATTTACGTAAGCAAATATTCGTACACACACACACACCCTTTCTATCTTATGGAAAGTTATTTCAGTGGCACATGTAAGTATCTCAGCATCTCTTGATTGTCATTCTTTTTGGATTTTTTTTTTAAATTTCATACTTACAAATGATCATGTATCTTAAGTTTTCTGAAGTAGCCTTGGTTTCGCATTTTGACTGTATTTATTATGGTATCAGGTTCCATATTTCTTAAAAGTAATACTGCTGCTGCACTTACATTGAACAAGTCACCAAGCTCTGTTAATTTTGCCTGAAAAATGCCACTGCTTTGACATGATAGAAAACACAGGCAATAGTCTTTATTTCTCACTGCTGTTTTTTTCTTATTTTGAAGAATCACCCTAATACATAGGAAAATCTCGACTTAGCAAAGAGATAAATGAGACTGTAATTATTGCATTGGGTTTTTCACAATGTATGTTAGTTATCTATTGCTACATAACAAATTAGTTTTAGAGTTAGCAGCTTATAAAGCAACAGATATTTATTATCTCACAGTTTCTGTGGGTCAGTAAATCAAAAGTGGCTTAACTGGGTGGTTCTGACATGTGCCTTTCCACAGTGACTGGTATGTAGCAGGCAAGGGTCTCTTATGATCCTGAGTGAGGATGTCAGCCAAGGCTGCTGTCATCTGAAGGCTTGACTGGAACAGAAGGACCCATTTCTAAAATGAGTCACTCACATGGCTGGAGGCAAGAGGCCTCAGTTCCTTATCGCAGAGATTGCTCCTTGGGGCTGACTGAGTGTCTGCACATCATAGCAACAGCTGGCTTTCCCCAGAGGGAATGATCCAAAAGAGAGGTGGAAGCCTAATGTCTTTGTGACCTAATCTCCAAAGTCACACACTGTCACCTCTTCCATATTCTATTAGAAAGGAGTCACTAAATCAGATACCCATGGGAAATTACCCACCTCATGAAGAAAGAAATATCGAGAATTTGTGGACCTGTTTCACAACCACACAGCATCATTTTTTGAAGGTAGAGTCACCTTGAGCATTTAAATTAGGGTTCTGCTCTAGAAGTCTATCCCTTTATTTTTTCCCATTTGTTAACCCTTTTTCTACTTGGCATAATAGCAGCCATTACCCAGTAGAAGTTGAGAGATTTAGGTTGCACAGAATCCCACAGTCTTTTCAGAAACTCATATCCTTAGGGTGTCTGCTTGTTGACAGCATTGTAGAATTGAAACTTGACCACGTGTTATGTGTTGGGCTGCCAGTGGTGATCAGAGATGACGGTGAGTAGTCCGTTGAGTTAGGGCTGTTTGCCTCTGTCGGTGTCATCTGGGTTTGAACTGGACTTGCAGTCCTGGTGGGCTGCTTTCATTTCCACCCTGGGTCTTTGTTCTCACCACTCACATCTTACGCCTCTGTTCCACCGCTGTGTAAGAGGCAACTGTGCACACACCTTGCCTCTGCCATTGACTGTAAGCTCCTGAGAGAGAGAGAGAATGTGTCTGGTTCAGTTTTGTGGCCCTCCTTTTTGCTAGCATAATGCATTGAACATAGTATCATTCTGCATTTTTGTTGAGTGTATAATTAGATGGTCAATGTGGAGAACTCAGAGGGATTTTAGGAGGGGGTGGCAGCAATATAAGGTTGTGGGACCCAACATTAAGAGAGGGAAAGGTGTAGCGGGAAGGCGTTGGTGTGGGGAGGGAGAAAGTCAAGAGGATTCAACCTGGCAAGAGTTGGAAGTGACAGGAAGGTGTGTGGGGTGGGGACGCAATAGGACAGTGTGTGAGATTTTTTAAAAAATGCAGGCAGGGGAGGGATGAGTAGGCAGAGCACCGAGGATTTTTAGGACAGTGGAAATGCTCTGTATGATACTATAATGGGGGATACATGTCATTATACATTTGTCCAAACTCAAGGAGTGTACAACACCAAGAGTGAGCCCTAAGGTAAACGATGGGCTTCGGGTGATTTCGATGTGTGAATTGTAACAGGGATACTACTCTGGAGCAGGATGTTGATCATGGGGGAGGCTGTGAGTGTGTCGCGGTAGGGGGTACGTAGGAAATCTCCGTGCCTTCTGCTCAATTTTGCTGTGACCCTAAAACTGCTCTAAAAAGAGTAGTCTTAAAAATGCATGAAATAGGATCCTGTCTCAGGACTGGGGCAAGAGCAGGTAGAAATGGAAAGAGTGACTGTGGCTGCTGTGTAGCAGGCACACAATGGTCATGGTCCATATGCTGGCTTAGTTATTTTTTAAAGCAACTAAAGTTAAGTAATGTATACGTAACTTACATATTTATGTGGTCCAAAAAACGTTGGTCATCTGTTTTAATGCAGAGAGTGTTTACCCTAAGCCTGCAAATGTGATGGGTAATAGCTAGAACTAGAAAAGTACTTTAGAATATGGAAGGTAAATACATGAATTAATTTAGGTAAGAGTGACAAAACAGTGGAAGTCCCTGACTTAGAACTTATTGTCCGCTTGGACAGCTGGTGTACGTGATCCTGGGGTCACAGTGGCTCCCTGTGCAGGAAGAACACTATTTCCCAGCTCAGATACCATCTTTTTAGGAGAGTACCTGCCATTGTGGAAAATAAGGATAAAGGATAACAAGTTACCTCCTTAAGACAAAGTCATAGGAGAAATGGTAAATTCCAGTATCTTGAGTTTTGAGTTGGAACTTGAAATTTATTTTACTACAAGAACACTGTTGATGGATTATGTATTTTATAGACTTTGTGGGTGGCTATGGGACTCTAGTAACTGCTTATGCACAGTTTATATGAGTAGGGCTGCTGGATTTCCAGATGACGCTCTCGCAACTGAACCTTCAGATTACCACCTGTTTCTCAGTTTGGACACTATTAGTGTGCTGCTGTCACTTATGGCTCGGGCACCTTATCTTGTTTTATGTCTTGATGAAGAAGTACAAAATTCAGTGTAAAAGAAAAACATATGTAAAGCTTATAGAATCACCCCGTTACACAATAACAATGCAGAACAATAGATTAATAACAGGAAGAGATGCTGAAACTTCTCTTCAGCCTAGTTTCTACTCTGATGTTTCTTCTCTGCATTGTACAGCCAATCTATGAATAATATTTTCATTGTCTAAGCAAAGCCACCTTAGCTAAATATTTAATTCTACTGGAGTCATAAACAGGGTTCAAAATATCACACATAGATTTTATGAAAGTAATAAAATGCTTCAGAAAGTACAGTGGCTCAGCCTGGGGCCACTGCATCTGATAATTTGGTTACACACCTTGTCATGTGCTTCCTAAAAGAATGACGATGGTTGCTTATCTGTGTTTAAGCTTGTCATTTTGAGGAAACAAAGATAAGACATTTTTGCTGTGTCTCTAAAATGCATGTGTAAACTATTTTTATAGAGTAATGCTTCAGAGAGGAGTAAAATTTCCTGCAACAGGTGCTTGTAAACAGTAATTGCTCAGTAAAGGTCACCTCCCAGCTGTTGCCTACATGTTACATAAGAGAACCCCTTCACGTCTTCCGTATTTGCAGCTCTGTACCTTTGTGAGTCACCTAAAAAATAACTCATAGGGTTGTTTTTCTTTCTTTCTTTTTTTTTTCTTTGAGACAGGGTCTCACTCTGTCGCCCAGGCTGGAGTGCAATGGTGCGATCCCGGCTCACTGCAACCTCCGCCTCCTGGGTTCAAGCGATTCTCCTGCCTCCATTCTCCTGCCTCAGCCTCCTGAGTAGCTGGGACTACTGGCATGCATCAGCACGTCCAGCTAGTTTTATATTTTTAGTAGAGACAGGGTTTTCACCATGTTGGTCAGGCTGGTCTTGAACTCCTGACCTCAAGTGATCCACCCATCTTGGCCTCCCAAAGTGCTGGGATTACAGGCATGAGCCACCGTACCCGGCAGGTTTGTTTTTCTTATGACAAAATCAAGCCTGGATGGTGTCGTTAACGGTGAAGTTAAAATTTTTCTTTTGCTTTCCTTAATATTTCCGTGTTTTTTTCTTTTTCTTTTTTTTTTTTTTTTTAACAAAAGTCTGGTTTCTAAACCAAAATATTTAATGCTTCAAAAGGAAAAAAATGTAAGTCAGTCCAAAGAAATGATTCATTTTGCAGAGGTAATTACTACTAACATCAACCTTTCCAGGTCTTTTTCTATGCAGCTATATCATTGACATTTTTTTAAAAATGAGATTACATTGTACTGGAGGGTAGACTGCTATAACAACTTTTGGTTTTGGATGGGAATAAACAGAAAAAGTCTCATCTCCAGTTCATTTCTGGGGAGGGTCAGGAGGTGGGGGGTGCTTGGCTCTACTCCCTTCGTATGATTTTCCCTTCTTTATCTCCAGGATCTTCCCCATTTCACGGAGAGACATGGATGAGAATGAAGGCTGCTGAGTGGGAGGGGCTTATGGGGCCAGTTTTGAAGAGGCCTCATACCTTTTGGCCACATTCCATTGGCCAGAACTTTGTCATATGACTGCACCTAACTACAAGGAAGACTGGGAAATGTAGTCAAGTTGCATGTCCGGGTAGAAAAGGGACACTTTTCTGTGGAATAGCTAGCATGTTTGTAACTCAATTTTATAAACCATTTTGAAACTTTTCTTAAAAAAAGCTTATTTCAGACACATTTTTATATGCTGGATCTGCTCACCTCTCCATCTCTATCTTATTAAAAGTTCTTGCCAGAATCTCTCTCCAATTGTTCTCCCTCCTTCTGCCCTGTTCCCTCACAGCAGCCACAGTGGTTCTTTCAAAGACTGAAGCTACATTTTATCACTCGCCTGCTTAAAACTTTACAGTGCTTCTCCCCCAGTGGTCGGGATAATGTTCACCCTCTCCTGAAGCTGGCCTCTGTGGTCCTTGACCCCATCAGGTCCCACGGTGCCCTGCATGGACTCTGCCATCCTTCACCAGCTTCCCCCCATCAAACGGGGCTTGCTGTCAGCTCTTCCTGCAACTCCCAGCCCTGCCGCACCACTCAGCCTTCTTCCTTCAGGCTTCAGCTCCAGTGTCTTTTCGCCAAAGAAGCCTTTCCTGATCTCTCAGCCATAAATGTTCCTCTCCCCAGTTGCTTTTTCCCTCTCCCTCTACTCAGTTGCTTTATTTAACTGTCATATTGTCTTTGGAGCACTTGCCACCATCAGAAATTATCTTGCATTATGTATTTATAGTCTGTCTTCCGCCTACTAGATGGTGGGTTGCTTGAGGCAGGAACTCTGTCTTGTTTACATCTCTATCTCCAGATAACGTGTCTGGCACGTGATGGGTACTCAGTAAATACTTGTGGAATAAAGAAATGTCATTACAGGTTCTCTATGCATTAAAATTTTTTAGAAATGGGGTGTTGCAGCCGGGCGCAGTGGCTCACGCCTGTAATCCCAGCACTTTGGGAGACTGAGGCTGGTGTATCACCTGAGGTCAGGAGTTCAAGACCAGCTTGGGCAACATGGTGAAACCCCATCTCTACTAAAAATTCAAAAATTAGCTGGGCATGGTGGCACACACCTGTAATCTCAGCTACTTGGGAGGCTGACGCAGAAGAATCACTTGAACCTGGGAGGCAGAGGTTGCAGTGAGCTGAGATCCCGCCACTGCACTCCACCTTGGGTGATAGAGTAAGACTCTGTCTCAAAAAAAAGAAAAAAAAAAAAGAAATGGGGTGTTGCTATGTTGCCCAGGCTAGAGTGCAGTAGCTTTCCACAGGCTTGATCGTAGCGCACTGCAGCCTTGAGCTCCTGGACTCAAGTGATCCTCCTGCTTCAGCACCTCCCCGAGTAAGTGGTACTATAGGTACTTCAGGTTTTGAAGCATGTGTAAAAAATACTCTAGCAGGGACATCATTTGAGCTGAGCAGGCCATGGAGGCATCAAATGATTAGCAGTAGGGTACAACTTGTTGTGAGAACCAGAAAAGAGCCTTGGCCTACATAACATCCTGTGCTAAAGAAAGAACCCTGACTCCCAGCCTGTGAGTGTTCCAGAGATGGGCAGAGCAGTCCCTGCAGCGCTTCAGGGAACAGGGAAGAGCAGCTAACCCCTGATGCTTCTGTAAGCACTTTGGGACGCCCTTTGCTATAGTAGGGTATTGTCTTAGTTATCCCTGACTTGCCTGGTGTTACTTTACATCCCTTAATCCTTTCATGAAGACTGGCAAACACATTCAGTCCTGCCAACCTTGAAAGTAGGCCATGTTTGAAAGAACATTGGCACAAACGAGTTGCGAACATCTTCTTTACCATATTCATGTTCTTTACCGTATTATGAGGACACTGTGCTTGCCACATGGGCAGTCTTGTTTTGGGGATACGTGGTTGGATGGACGGTTGGGTGGATGGAAGACTCCTGGAATGTGAAGTATCTCAAGGATGTGTGTCCATTGCATGAATGTATGTTTGATCTATGCAGCTAATTGACAAAGATCCACCATCCTGTACCCTCCATGTTTTATTTTTGCCCTGCCATTGTTCTCTTCGACATTCTATAATCATCAAGGTTTTCTTGCCCTCACCTAGGTCTTGACTAAACATGTTGGGTAAATGAATTTCATATTACTACTTTCTTGCGCCGTCAGCCATTGTGTTCTTGGGGACTCCATCCTGAGCCTTTTTTTTTTTTTTGAGACCGAGTCTCAAAAACAATGAAGGCAGGTGACTGGTGAGGAGAGTTCCAGCCACTGGATTCTCCCTCAGTCCCCTGTGCTGTGGCCCTTGGTGACCCCTAGATTTCAGTGCCCCTGCCTGACACTGGAGTCCCTCTGTAAAGAAGCCCCTTTCTAGCTAGCTAGCTGTTCCATCCCGCACACCCCCACAGAAGCCTTTTGCTGCCATTAGTAAGCACGCCTCTATTTTCTCACCTGTGATTGATCATGCATGATTGAGTTTTGTCTATTAAAGCAATTGATAAGTTACTAAAATGGCACCAAAAGAAATTAGAAAAAAATTGTTGCAAATGTCAGTGAAATCTTTTAAAAAACTGTTGTACTTTAGAAGTGCCTCAAGTGACTAATGGAGGCTTAGGACTCTGAGTGGTGTCGCAAGGAACCTTATGCACAGGGACACTGACATTAGCCTGTACTGTCACCCAGGCTGGAGTGCAGTGGTGTGATCTTGGCTCACTGAAAGCCCCACCTCCCAGGTTCAGCAATTCTCCTGCCTCAGCCTCCTGAGTAGCTGGGATTACAGGCACATGCCACCATGTCTGGCTAAATTTTGTATTTTTAGTAGAGACAGGGTTTCACCATGTTGGCCAGGCTGGTCTCGAACTCCTGTCCTCGTGATCCGCCTGCCTCGGCCTCCCAAAGTGCTGGGATTACAGGCATAAGCCACCATGCCTGGCCCCTGGGCCATTTTTTATTCTTACTCTTAGGCTAGGTTTCTGCAGACCTTGGTTATAACTGCAGGCTCTACATTGATAACTGCTGAGTCTCTAAGTCAGACCAGACGTTTCTCCCCATTTAGTGATACATGTTTTCCATCCAATTGCTTCATAGACACCTTGGACACAGTGCTCTATTTCAATTTATGTTGACAGTTCATGACCCAAACTGGAAACCTGAGTTATCCTGGACTTCTGCCTACCACCTTCTCCTAAGCCATCTCACCTGTCCTAAATGTCGTAGCCCTTATCTAGTTCTCTAAGCTGTCATAGGGTCCTGTACTGCTGGGCTGCTTGTTGCCTTCAATAGAGCCTGGAGCATATTCATGTCGGTATTTCAAGGCCCCGGGCATAAGAGCTTCTTAGGAAATATTGGAATGAATGAAGAAATGATGAATAAATGAACAAATGAACAGTTGATTGATTTCCAAGACACTTTGGGGTGGTTTCCATTTAGAATGGTTTTTATTTCTTTTTACTGGAACTAAGGAATTATTTTTGCTTGTTGATGCCAACATTTTAAAAGCACTATAATTTTGAAATGTTTTACCACATTAAATTCTTTTCTATTGCAGGTCACATACAAATATGTCAACTTCAAAGGAGGAATTATTTGTTATATTTATGCAAACTTGTGGCACTTGGACATTTATCTAGATGGTTTTTTGTGTATGATTGTGTTCTTGGTACAGCTGGAAAAGCTAACTTTAAATGGCAGGAGTAATTGATCTTAATGACTTACTTTGAATTAAACTTGTGCTTAATTAACTTGGATGTTCTAAGTTTCTAGAGTCACAGACTTTTAGAGCTGGAATATTGCTTTTTGAACTTCAGTGTAAGGAAGAATTGCTTATGCTCGAATTGATTTGTTCTGTATCCCAATACTGGACTGAGTAGAAATCAATTACTTTAATATTGGATGAGAGAGTGATTGATTGAAGATCAGGTTTTTAACCTCTTTTTTTGTTCTCCTTCTCACAGGGAGAGTCCCGTATTCTCAGAGTAAAAGTTGTTTCTGGAATTGATCTCGCCAAAAAGGACATCTTTGGAGCCAGGTATGTTGGCTTTGTTTTTATTTCTGTGGACTTCTGAAAAATTGACAAGCAGTTTTCAAATTCAGGCACGCATCAGAATCACCTGGAGGACTTCTTAAGACAAAGCTGGCTGGGCCCCACCTGCAGGGATTCTGATTTAGGAAGTGATGCTGGCCCAGCTGGTTCCAGGAGCACATTTTGCACAGGGCTTCTGGACTTACCATCACAACAGTAGTTAACAGCCTGTTCTTCACATGGGCTAATTTCATGAGATTAGCTTCTGGTGTTGTATTCTCAGTAGAAAAATACAGTGTGGGACTATGGCTCTGCTTATTTTAATACTTCAAAAATATTTCAAACTTAGGGAAACATAAAAGTGTCATTTTGTTTCTAGGAGAACTGGATATTCTGGACATGTATAATCTGAATTAAGAGATTTGGTGATTTGGGGCGAATGTGGTGATTTCTGTGGCATTTCTAGAAGTACCAGCAGGGAAGCAGCCAGATCTTTCTGTGTGTTTCAGCTTTTTTATTTTCAGTATTGCACTTGGATATTCCTGTATCTTTAAATCAGCCCTTTTGTTCCTATTGGCTGTCAGCAATGTGTTGCATGAAGTTATTGGACTGGGAGCAGGGTGAGGGTAGCCGTAGAGCCACCTGGCACTAGAATTTAGCCAGATTTTGGAGACCAAAGATCTTTTGAACTTTAAACCTGGAATGGACATGAGTGATGTTCTAGTCCAACTTTTCCATTTTATGGTTGACAAAGCTTGAATCCAGAAAGGTTAAACTACCCGTGCAGGTCACGTGGGCCAGTGATGTTTGAGGAGTGACAGGAACACTCCTCCTGCCTCTACCCAGTACATTTTCCTTTGTGGCATGGTGGCCTGAAAATACTGTGAGGTTTAACAATGAAGGCAGGTGACTGGTGAGGAGAGTTCCAGCCACTGGATTCTCCCTCAGTCCCCTGTGCTGTGGCCCTTGGTGACCCCTAGATTTCAGTGCCCCTGCCTGACACTGGAGTCCCTCTATAAAGAAGCCCCTTTCTAGCTAGCTAGCTGTTCCATCCCGCACACCCCCACAGAAGCCTTTTGCTGCCATTAGTAAGCACGCCTCTATTTTCTCACCTGTGATTGATCATGCATGATTGAGTTTTGTCTATTAAAGCAATTGTTAAGTTACTAAAATGGCACCAAAAGAAATTAGAAAAAAATTGTTGCAAATGTCAGTGAAATCTTTTAAAAAACTGTTGTACTTAGAAGTGCCTCAAGTGACTAATGGAGGCTTAGGACTCTGAATGGTGTCACAAGGAACCTTATGCACAGGGACACTGACATCAGCCTGTACTGCTGGTAATGTCAGAGTGAAGCAAATCCCACCTGAAGGCACTCTCTTGCTTGACCGTGAAGTCACACTGAGTGGTTCACCATGTGCCTGCACTCATGCAAGGATAAGCCAGGTCTCTAGGCATGGGCAGAAGGATCCCTGCTTCCCTTCTCTTCCCTTTCAGAGCAACACTTTCAGCCATTTCCATGAGTCTGGGCTCTTGTTACCCAGCTGAAATACTGTTTCCTGAAACTCACAAATTTGCTCTCTACCAAAGCCCACCTTATGCCCTGCCTTTCCATGAAGCCTGTCAAGAAAATTCCAAGAAAGAAAATTTGATATTCCTATATCAAAGCGTGTGTCTTTCCTCTCCTAATCCCTCTTAGCTGCCACAGTAGGTGCAATGTCATTTTAGCTTTTGCAGATGCATTACCTGGTGGTTTCCTAGTATTTCTTTCACTTGCCTCGATTGCTAGATTAGAAATTTACTGGGGACAGACATCTTTTTAATATCTTTCTCCTACTACTTAACATATAGAGCATCAAGGGAAAAAAAAACAAAAATTATCTTTTAAAAATGTAAACATTTGCATGCCAACCGGTAGTGGATTGTGCCCTTAGGTTAAAAATATGTATTCTCACTCTTTCCAATGAAATCTGTAGTGCTGAAGGAGCAAGTTGGATTTAGAAAATTTTGGTGATTTCTTTTTAAGCTTGATTGGGTTTTTATTTTGTTTTATCCAAACCCTCCCATTAAAAAAAAAAATTGATTCACATTGTATTTCTAAGCCAGTTAAGTAGATTTAAGGTTGAATTTGTAGTGGAATTAGGCTCCAAATCTTAGAAGAGCAAATTCGTACCTTGAATTTTTACTGTTTAGATAATAACAGGCAGGGTCATTTCTAAGGGACATGGTGGAAAGGAATATTCGTGATATTAATTAGAAAGATAAATCGTATTGTGGCCAAGTGGACCAAGTGCCAGAAAATGCATCAGAAACTCTGAATCCTGCTTCTGGTCTTCATTTTCCTAGATTGATAAGTAGGCGCACACATTCCTGCTTTCCTCCCTCCTCTGAAGTGCTGTAGTTCTTCAGGGACACATTTGCCAGTGGGTCTGAGATGCAAGTGTGAGGTGGCAGTGTGGGTTAATGCCATCTTGGTGTCTCACTCTGGAGTGGCACTGCTTATTGCCTTAAAATTTTGCCAGATGACCTGCATTCTCCCTCCATGCTATCTTGGGCAAATCCCTTAAAACCACTCATGCCACTGTGTATTAGTGTACAACAAGGATAACAGTTTCTTTGTAACTGGCATGTGGGGAAGAACCGCAAAGTGACTTCTGTCGGCAGCAGCTCTGTCGTGTTTTAAGGTAGTAGTCACCGGGCAGAGGTTTGGTAGTGTCCTCTCTGGCAGCCACCGTCTCCTTCAGAGCCCTGGGCCACTGACATGCCTTTTCTCCAAGTCTCTTCCCTGAGTATTCCCCGCACCTCTGTGCCTGATCAGACACCTCATTCTCCCTTGGCAGCAAGAAGGCCGGGTAGGCATTGGAGCCCTTGCTGTAGACAGGATAATGGGTGAAAGAGGAAGAACATTTTCATGAGAGGCATTTCAGAGCCTTTAAAGTGGTAGAAATCCTGTAGACAATGATGTTTTTAAAATCAGGGATTTGCATCTCTGGGACTCCAACTCCTTTGTTTCCAAGGGAGGTTCCCTGGGCCACTTGGCCTGAGGTTGGGAAGGGGTCGGTGGTTGCGGGGCAGAATGTGATGCTTGGGGATGCAGGATGGTCAGGGGCGGGTGACGGTGGGAGGAGTGGAGCACGTCATCTCTCCTTGCCCTTCCGAGGTGGTGATGGAAGCTGCCTACAGCTCCAGCTCAGAGGCCGGGGGTTTCTGGGGCCCTTGGTGTGGGGCCTCTCTCCTAGCTGGAGGTGGCCCCTTCCCCCTTGAGAGGCCTGTGCCTGAAATGCCCTTGTCCTTTTCGGCCGTCTCGGCCCCAGTCCAGTACTTAGGATCCAAGATCATTTTCAGCTCCTTCCAGCCAAGTCTCACTTTATTAAAGGAGCTTTGTTTGGAGCAGATTGGATAACCGAGCCGCGACTCCACTTGAACATCTGAGCAGTTGGCCCGCGTGGGAAACAGCAATGGCAGAGAAAGATGCTTCCCTTTGGATCATACCTTGAGGACAAAAAAGGGCAGTCATATAATCTGTCATCTAAACTGGGACGCTTTTGTCTGGAATGAATGCGACATTGAATGGGACGTCCGGACATAAGATGTAAATTGAGACTGCAGTCACCCTAGGTCAGAGACATCCAGCCTTTATTATCCATATCATGGGGAAAAAAAAATGGAATGTGATTTTTTTTCCCCAAAACAGCTTAAAAAAAATGCTAAGTAAAAGAAAAAAATAAAAAGCACCTTTTAAAAAAGCAGGCCTCACATAAAATGCCACTAAGACATCAAAAGAGAAGTAAAACCCTGCTCAAAACGCCCACGTGGGGCGGCCACAGCTCACCCTTGTGTGCCTGTGTCCCGTTTCTGCTGTCCCCTTTCCCAAGGACGTACTCTGCCCTAACCTCACCCTGATCTGGTGACTCCTCCAGTGGCCCATCCTATGTTCACCAGCTGGGTCCTCATCTCCTCCGCCACACAGGCTGCTGCTCTGTCCCCCAGCAGACCTCTCCCTGTCTCTGGGGTGCCCATGACCCCTGGGAAGTGCTGTGCATAGTTCTGTGAGTGAGGTTGACTTGTTGTTTTATGCTTAGAATTGTTTCTTTCTCCTGAAATTAGATTTTTCTCCTCTGATGACTAGGATTCTATTTTATTTATTTATTTTTATTTTCCACGACCTATTATAGCACATAGCACCTAACAGGTCCTCAGGAAGTATTTACCAACAGATTGCATGAAGTGAGCCCGTTCTTCCTCCCTCTCTCCTTCCCTCCCTTTCCCACCCCTTCACTGGAAACTCACAGTCACTAAATATGCCATGAAGTTGCTGCCTTTTGCCTTTGCCTGTGTTTTCCCCTCTGCCTGGCATCTGCTCACATCCTTTCTGGCAGCTGCCCTCTCATCTGTCAGGGCCCAGTTTGGGTGGCAACACTCCTGCTGAGGCCCCTGCCCGCCTCATCACCCCAGCCCAAGAGGACAGAACACTGCTGCCCGCCTCATCACCCCAGCCCAAGAGGACAGAACACTGCTGCCCGCCTCATCACCCCAGCCCAAGAGGACAGAACACTGCTGCCCGCCTCATCACCCCAGCCCAAGAGGACAGAACACTGCTGCCCGCCTCATCACCCCAGCCCAAGAGGACAGAACACTGCTGCCCGCCTCATCACCCCAGCCCAAGAGGACAGAACACTGCTGCCCACCTCATCACCCCAGCCCAAGAGGACAGAACACTGCTGCCCGCCTCATCACCCCAGCCCAAGAGGACAGAACACTGCTGCCCGCCTCATCACCCCAGCCCAAGAGGACAGAACACTGCTGCCCGCCTCATCACCCCAGCCCAAGGGGACAGAACACTGCTGCCCGCCTCATCACCCCAGCCCAAGGGGACAGAACACTGCTGCCCGCCTCATCACCCCAGCCCAAGAGGACAGAACACTGCTGCCCGCCTCATCACCCCAGCCCAAGAGGACAGAACACTGCTGCCCGCCTCATCACCCCAGCCCAAGAGGACAGAACACTGCTGCCCGCCTCATCACCCCAGCCCAAGAGGACAGAACACTGCTGCCCGCCTCATCACCCCAGCCCAAGAGGACAGAACACTGCTGCCCGCCTCATCACCCCAGCCCAAGAGGACAGAACACTGCTGCCCGCCTCATCACCCCAGCCCAAGAGGACAGAACACTGCTGCCCGCCTCATCACCCCAGCCCAAGGGGACAGAACACTGCTGCCCGCCTCATCACCCCAGCCCAAGAGGACAGAACACTGCTGCCCGCCTCATCACCCCAGCCCAAGAGGACAGAACACTGCTGCCCGCCTCATCACCCCAGCCCAAGAGGACAGAACACTGCTGCCCGCCTCATCACCCCAGCCCAAGAGGACAGAACACTGCTGCCCGCCTCATCACCCCAGCCCAAGGGGACAGAACACTGCTGCCCGCCTCATCACCCCAGCCCAAGAGGACAGAACACTGCTGCCCGCCTCATCACCCCAGCCCAAGAGGACAGAACACTGCTGCCCGCCTCATCACCCCAGCCCAAGGGGACAGGACACTGCTGCCCGCCTCATCACCCCAGCCCAAGAGGACAGAACACTGCTGCCCACCTCATCACCCCAGCCCAAGGGGACAGAACACTGCTGCTCCTGGGGCTGTAGTGGGTGTACAAGTTCCCTCCTCCTACGGCCCCTTGTCTTAGCGGACTTGGGAGGCTCAGAGGCTCCAGCCCTGTCTTATTGGTGTTTGCAGGTCCAGAAATCTTGGCACATGACAGTTGCCTGGTAAACTGCCTTGAATTCATTGAGTGGAACACAATATGGTGTGCTGTGGCACCTGATGGCCAGCCTGGAGGAAGGGGTACTTTTTTCTCATTGTCATGGAGGTCCCATTGGCTCTTCAAGCATCTCTCCCAAGCATCTAGGAGAGGTGCTTATTTCTCATTCTCACAAAGGCTCTTTGTGGACCAGCACAGGAGGCCTGCCTAGGGCTTGGATGAAAAATGAGCATAGAGAGAAGAGGTTAAGGGAAGCAAGCTCAAGAGTGGGCTCAGAGAAAAGAATCTGGGGGAGTCAATGAGATGGCAGGCAAGGAACAGTCTCCATTTGATGCTGATGTTTGTGCAGAATGACTACTTTATACCGTACAGAAGGAGCACACTCTCTTCTTGTGGTAGGTCCCAGAAACTTCTACTTGGGGGTACATGAGGCCCAGCTGGGATTGGGCACAGAAGGTCATGGCTCTGCACCTGACCCTCACCTTAGGGGTCAGGAGAGAGCCAAGGACACGAGTGATGGGTTAGGGAGGACTCAGGCACCATGGAATACTGTGGCCATCCTTCCATAGAGGAGAGGTACAGGTGGCAAGGCAGGCACCAGGCAGCCGCCGACAGGGTCAGGAACCAAGGCAGGTCCAGGAAACAGAGGCCAAAACAGCAGCAGGAACCTCAGGCTTAGCAGACCACTGACTCTTCTGGAAGTCTTTTAGACGCTCTGTGGTGGGGCAGGGACAAGTCCTTGGTGTTTGGCCATGGTGAAGTGTGCAGTTAGGGTAGGTGAGTCGTGCTTTCTTAACACGGGGGTAAGGAAGGAGGGTAGAGTTTCAGCAGCTCCTGTTTCTTGAGCACTTGCTATGTGCCAGATGTGGTTTGAACTGTTTACATGGGAGCTCGTTGGGTCCTCCCAGCAAAGTCCTATGTAGCAGGCACTGTTGTTCTTTTTGCAGATAAAGAAACTGAGGCAAGAAAGGTTTAGTAAGTTGTAGAGCTAGGTATTGAACCAGGGCCTAACCTCTTAACAGAAGTTAGTTAGAGGCTGTTACTTGAGTGCTCACAGGTTGGCTGGCAATGTGTTTGGAACCCAATGTAATGTCATTAGATTCTGCCTAAATCTTGTGAAGAGGGGATTTCCATTTGATAGGTAAGAAAATTGAGAAGTTATCATCAGCCCGAGATCAAACAAGGGTATAGGGAGTGGTGGGACCTATTAAGTTCAGATTTATGTGACTTCTGATGCTATGCTCAGTGATAGATCTCTTCTTGAGGATAAAAGTTTGAGAATTAGGGTTCCTCGAAAACCCTGAGATTTCTTTTTTTGAGGGGTACCTTTTTGTGTTAGCAGATTTAAAGAGCTGGCCATTGTATTTGATGGTAGCTGAGTAAGCCTTTTGAATTGGAGTATCATCAACTATTACTAGATTTAGAATAGGTATATTTTGCTAAGTAAGATCTTAAAGTTTTTCCTTTAAACTTAGGATAGCTGTTCAAATTTCAAACTCTTCTTTTTTCAGTAAGCTGGAGACATTTAACCTTTTGTCATAGGCTTAAAGCAGTCATTAAACAGGGTCATTTCAATGCAACTTTTTAAACCTAACTCCCCTCCCTTTTTCTCTTTAATTATGATCAGTGGCTTCATTTGAGCTTACCTAGGATGCATTTGAGACTATAAAGCTGCTTTCTTAAAACTTAGCAATGTTGGCTGAGACAAACCAACTGTAGAATCTCATGCTTTCATAAAGAAGGTTGCAAGACATTCATTCACAGTTGCTCCTTTATTGTGTGTGATGAGCCATTGGCATCAAACCTGCTTGGGTTGCTATCAGTTTTTCTTTTGAGAGCTGGTGACTTGCAATTTAAAACACACATGGGCTCAAGGGTATTGGAGGGACATGGCAGAAAGTCCTTCTGCTGCCTAGTGATTGAGAGTGATGGGGTCCTAACTCTGTGTGAGGATAGCTCTTTGACACAGCTCACCTCAGTCCCCTTTACCTAGGTTTAAGTTGTTAGCATTTTGCTGTATTTGCTCCATCTCTTTTTTTCCCTGAAGTATTCAGAAGTGAATTACAGACATCATGACGTTTAGTTCCTAAATACTTCAGCCCAAACCTCTAAAAAACAAGAACATATTTCTATATAACTGTAGTACTGTTCTCACAAAATTAAGACTAATTGCCTAATGGACTCTATTACCTGATCCATTATCTGAACTTCCCCAGCTGACCTTAAAATGCCTTTTACAGCTGGACTGTTTAAACCAGGATTCAATTGAGAATTCTGTATTGCATTTAATCGGTGGGTCTATTAAGACTCTCTTAACCTAGAATAGTGATAAAAGCTTTTTACTCTTGGTCTCTTTGCAAACTGGGGACCCCCAGCCAGCAACACCCCACCTGGGTCTCACTCTACCATGCTGGGGTGCCCTAGCTCACCTGTGTTATAGCTTGTACCTGTGTTCAGTGGTTCCCGAGTTCTTGCATGGCACCCAAGAAGAATGAGGATATGCTGGACATTGAGGGTGAGGAGGGCAGAGTAGAATTTTACTGAGCAATGGAATAGCTCTCGGTGGAGAGGGGCTGCAGTCAGGTGCTTCTCTCCTTCCCGTGTGGCTGGGCCCAGGGCTTTTTATGGGCTCAGAATAGGGGAGGGGCAGGCTGCAGGTAGTATTGGAAAAGGCAACATTTGATTCATTAAAAGGCATTGTTCAGAAAGAATCAATCAGGAAAGGGTGGGCAGACAGGAACAGAAGTTCTCGCTCTGGTTCGTGGGTTTCATCCGGGACCAGCAGTCCAGTCTTTCAGCCTTCAGGCTGTTTTTGGCTCGAAGGTGGGGTTTCACCGGGGACCCGCCCCTATCTGCCCAGGCGTTTGGCTGCTTCCTATCACTATCAATAGTCCCTCCCCTTCAATGACTTGTAGGAAGGTTGTTTCGCTTACCACATTCCATCGTGTCCTGGTGGCATCATCAATGAATGAACATGTTCTTTTCCCCATGTTTCTTGTACGTACTGTGTATTAGAAGTTGGACTAAAGGCTTGATCAAATTTGAGGCAGGAATGGGTGAGGCTACGTGCGACTGGAGGGACACAATGACTGGTTCTGTCATAATCAGTGATTGAAATTGATCCCTGGGTAAATGTGGGGGCAGTCTCATCCCTCCACTATCAAAAATTAACATTTTTTTTCCCCAGGTGACCAGCAAGTAACGAGGGGAGGGGCTGTTTTGGTACTGTATACCTGCAAATTTTAAATATTGATTTACTTTACTTCCAAAGGATTGGAAATTTTGTTTTTTTCTTTCTTTGCCCTTCTTTGAAAACATTGTACAAAGTAAATCTCCTTATTTTACTAATGGAGAAGCTTCTGAAAGAGGCTGAACATACATTGAAGTACCTTTGCTCAGCTGTAAGCCCTTCTGGATCAGAGGTCAGACCAAAGTTTGCAGACAGTTGGTCCCTGTGGACCAGACTGAATCCACACATGAGTTTATTTGGCCTGTGGAGCACTGAAACAAAAAAATGCAAATCCTGAGCCAACGTTTGGGAGATCCCATATTATAATACAAATCGAGATTTCCAGGTTTCTGGAAGGTCTTGGCAATCTAGCCACACTGGGCCTGCATCTGTGCAAGGCTGCATGGCTAGAGGTGTGTGCTGGGCACACCCATTAGGTGGGACTGCGCCTTTCTGGCCACTAGGGACCGTACACCTCCTGTTGTTTTCATGGGGGCTGGTTTCCCTTGCTGACACGTGGCCATGAGGTCCCTCGAGGTACAGGCCGGCATTTGGACTTGTCCTCTGCACTGTTTCTTTGTTAGCATTTAGAACTGACTTCTCCTCTTCCTCCCCCATTGAGGAGCAGCACCTTACTCTGTGCAGAGTCTGTCTGTGATCTGCAGGCTCTTTGCAGAGCTACATTTCTCTCTGGAGGCCTTGCTGAGCAGCCTCCGCTGTCTAGGGCATTGCTGAGAATCACAACATCAACACTAATGGCCCTTGGGCCAAAAAGTGTTTGTCTTAAAATCCCTGCACCAAATAGCTTGTGCAATTACTCCTGTGAGAGCCCCAGAGGATCTAACTCTTAGGCTGTTTGTTCTAGCTGTATTCCTTCCCACCCCCCAAACCGAAATGACATTAAAGGATAGTAACTCCCTCCCGCAAATATAGATAAAAACCTCTTTACTCCCTAACAACCACACAACTATTTACATTTTTGTGTTTACCTCCTAGTCTTTAAGTATATGAATGCATGCAACGTCCTTTAAAAATATGTCAATCCTAGCCTCCACACCACCCAGCCGACCAGGTTTCCCAGAGGGAAGCATTGGAAATGGCAGATGGGTAAATGCACAGAGCTGGCAAATCTCCATCCTGCGGGAGGCTTGCTGTGCAATATAGCCATCGCCACAATAATGGATCTTCCTAATGATCCGGAATCACTGAGCAAAGACTGTGCCATGTTCAGTATACACTAAGTGAGCATGCAGGGAATATATGATCAGTTTACAAACATTTCCACATAAGCTTTTTTCTCTCTCCCACTCCAGTTTTGGTAAATAAAAGAGCAAACTAGACTGCTTTCTTTCTCTCTCTCACTCTCCCCCTGTCTCCCTCCCTCTTCCTCTCTGTCCCTGTCCCTCTCTCCTGCCTCCCTCATTCACTCTGTCGTCCTCTCTCTCTCCTCCTCCTCCTTCCTTCCTTGCTTCATTTCCCCCCTCATCTCTTTCTTCCTCACCCTTTTTAAAAAGAGACAGGAGTCTTGCTCTGTTGCACAGGTTAGAGTGCAGGGGTGCAATCATAGCTCACTGTAACCTCAAACTCCTGAGCTCAAGCAGTCCTCCTGCCTCAGCCTCCCCAGTAGCTGGGAGTACAGGCACACTACCATGCCCAGCTAATTTTTAAAAATTTTTATAGAGGTGTTGTCTTGCTGTGTTGCCCAGGTGGGTCTCAAACTCCTGACCTCAAGTGACCCTCCCGCCTTGGCCTCTCAAAGTGCTGGAATTACAGGTGCAAACCACTGTGTCCAGCCAGACAGGTCACTTTTCTGTACCATTCCCTGATGTTGTGAGATTAGTGAGAGTCCCTACTGTGGAACCTTGTTCACGTTGCCCTGACTCCTGATGCATGGATATTTGCTGTTACCAAAGACACCTCTGCTTTACCAAATGTTTTGACAGAGTGGAAGGAAAACTACAAGACTTCTTGCCCTCGTTTTCTTCAGTCTAGAATGATGCTGGGGTCACTGAGTCTGTAGGGCAGAGAATCTGATGTGTTTTTTAGGAAGCGGAAGGTGTCTGACACATAGATGTTTGACAAATTTTGTTAATCTGGTCAGAGTGCAGCCTAGAAAATTAAATTAAAAAGCTGCTGAGGAGTGCTGGGGTCGCATTTTGACATAGATACAAAGGCACCAATAGGGCCAAAAGTATGAGGCCAGTCCTAGGGCTGGTGAAGTTTGGATCCCCTGCCTGACATTGTGTCCTGAGCCCCTGGCCCCTTCCTGCACCTCTCCCTGAGCCGCCGGCCCCTCCTCATTCCTTCCTCTCCTTTATCTTCCGCTGTCTTTGCCTGTGCCCCCACGCCCGTGCCCTGAATCTGGAGTCTTTGTCTTAGTGCATTCTGTTTGTCTCACTGTCTTCCTCTGTTTTCCTTTTCTTGCGGGGAGGAAGGGTAGAAAGAGTGTAAGAAGCTCAAGTATGAGGAAGGGAAGGTTGCCAACTTGAGATGAGTCAGAAATGAAAGCAGTTCTGAATGTGTAAGACAATGAGGAAAATATTTATTTAACAAAAATTGAACTACCAACCAAGCCTTCAGGAACACAGCCAGAAGGTGCTGTGTAGGGAGAGGTGTGCATTAGGATGCTGGAGCGTGGCTGCCGGCGTCCCCACCCCAGGAGGAAGGGACTCGTTTCTCTGAACCTTTTTAATGGTTCTCCCCATTGTAGACAGGACTGGCTCTCCACCCCATCCTCAGTGGGTGCAGCTTTGGGGAGGCCGTGAGGCTGGTGATCTTGGGGCCTCCTATGCATCTGTGTTATTGAAGGTAACAATGTCCCTTCTACCCAAAAGTCATGCTTTTAAAAACGCACAATCTTGAATCCATTTGGGAAACATCTTTGGAACTCCAGAATGTTGTCTTTCTCAGATATGTATTGCCAATGTTGTATTACTTCATTTGCTAAGAAACATTGTCATCGACTTTATAAAATTATTGAATAATTCTATTTGGGGGAGAAGCCTGGAAGCTAAGATTTTAAAGGTTATTTATAAGTTAAGTGAACTGGCAAATTCTTAAATGGTAAATAAAACCTTTCCTACATGCTATAGGTAGTTATCTAAATCAGGGCCTAACAAGCTTTTTTATTTATTTTCCTGTAAAAAGCCAGATACTAAGTAGTTGAGGCTTTGCAGGACTGATGGTCTCTGACATAGCACTAAAGCAGCCTTGGGCAATACATAAACAAAGGGGCATGTGTGTGAGCTGATGGTCCACGGGCTGCAGTCTGCCAACCTCTGATGTTATAAGCCATTGATTTTCTACAACATATATATTTAGAACTGGGAGTGTCAGTGTTATTTTGTCATGGTTTCCAGATTAAACTCTTTCATATTGCTGCTGGTCGGTCAATGACAGACTAATTCTGCTAGCATTGACTTTCTGGGCCAGGGAATGGGGTTCCTAGATAGTGCAGTAGCTTTTTATTTATTTTCTTTTCCATTCAAGGGTAACATGCTTAAAATACAGCGTATGAAGCTTTTGGATATCCACTGTAAATTTTAAGGTCTAAAAATGAATGCAATTGTGAAATGTTTTTGCCTTAGAGAAAACGCTCTCACTGCTTTGTGTTAATAAATGCATGAAAAATAATGATGAATTAAATGCATACAAACAGATGCAGACATAATTTAGATGAGTGTATTGCAATTAAAATATTGCCCACTTTCGCTACGGAATATTCGTTGGACTTATGACCTTAGTGTAAGTAATGTTTAATAAGGAATCTGCAATGTGTAACTCCTCCGTAAATTATTAAAAGGATTGGCATTCCTACTGTATAATATCAACACAAGGGATAGAAAATATGCCTGGATTCTTAATGAATGTGTGCTAACGTTCCTTCTGGCATAGGAATGTGTAGTAAATACACTTCAAGGGTTGTTCGCATTTTTATCCGTCATTGTTATAGGCATGTTATTGTGTGTCTCCTATTGAAGAACTGATTGATCATTGTTTTAAGCTTCTGTGACTTTTAGATGCTTAAAACTAGGCGTTCATGGTAGGAAAGTAGAGAAACATGTGGAAGAAATACTGCGTTTCAAGTTTGGGAGTGGCTGGTAGAAAAATCAAACTAGGCTAGTCTTACAGCTTTATCGCAGTTTTGTTTTTTTTCCTAGTAGGAAAATGATAGTATTGGTTGTATATTAAAACACTCTCTCTGACACTGACTTGAATCACGTGCGAGTTCATTGAGAACAGGGATTTTAACTTGGTTAGGTGATTTTAAACATTATTTAGCAAATCTGGAAAACAAAAGAGAAATTTTCAAATATCTTTCTTCCACGGTGGTGTACTGGCTCTCTGGAGTGTGATTTCATCTTCTCTTATTATTGCATATGTAGTCAAGCCATCATGTTCTTGAAGTGAGACTTCACCCACTAGTGGGGCCGTATAATTCAGGATCTTTTGTTTGTCCTTACATAGTTTCTTGGCCTGGAATGTCAAAATATCAGAAACTGTTCTTTCTCTGGAATCATCTGTCTCCGTGATGGCCTCGCCATCTGTACAGTCATCCAAGCTAGGGACCAAAGAGTCGTCCTTTACTCTCTCATCCTTCCGGCTGCTGTGTCTGGCTTTCAGTGTTTGTGTAGAGCAGGGGTCTCCAACTCCTGTGGCGTGTTAGGAAGTGGGCCGCACAGCAGGAGGTGAGCCATGGGTAGGCGGGCAAAACTTCCTCTATTTACAGCTGCTCCCCATCATTCGCATTGCTGCCTGAGCTCCGCTGCCTCTCGGATCAGCCACCAGCATTAGATTCTCATAGGACCATGAACCCTATTGTGGAACTTTGCATGTGAGGGATCTAGGTTGCACACTCCTTATGAGAATCTAACGCCTGATGATCCGTCACTGTCCCCCATCACCCCTAGATGGGACCATCTAGTTGCAGGAAAACAAGCTCGGGGCTCCTACTGATTCTATATTATGAAGAGTTGTATAATTATTTCATCATCTATTACAATGTAATAATAATAGAAATAAAGTGCACCATAAATGTAATGCCCTTGAATCATCTCCAAACCATCCACCCCACTCCTCCAACCCCCAAACCAGCCTGGAGAAAAATTGTCTTCCACAAAACCAGTCCCTGGTGCCAAAAAAGTTGGGGACCGTTGGTGTAGAGGACTCCTCAAGCAGCGTCCATATCTGCCCTATTCTCTCTATTCCTCCACCTAGGTATAGAATTCTATCTCTAAGACACAGACAGACCATGTTCCTGCCTGGGCAAACACTTCGGTGACTGTGCATTGCCCTGGGTGAACGGGGGCACAGAGGTCTTTGTGACGCCCTGCAACGCATCCCTCTCCGAGCCGCGGTGCGCTCTTCCTCCTCTGTGCCTTGCCGGTGCCCAGAACCACCCCCTTCTCCCTCTTTGCACAAGTGCCTTGCTCTCTCCTTTCTCAGGCCAGTGCTGCTGATCTGTCTGTGTGACCCGGGTGCACAGTCCTTGGCTCTGTGCCTGGCCCTGTGCAGGTCTCTGTGGTGGCACTTAGCACATGGCGCTAAGATTCTCCCTGATAGGCCTTCAGCGCCGCAAGGGCCAGCACCGAGTCCTGCACATCCTGCTCTAGTCCCACATCGGCCCAGGGGCGTTGAGCTGAGGACAGCTCCCTACCCCCTTTCTGTGCTTGGCCGACTCCAGCGCCCGTTCTTCTGCCCCTCCTTGGCTCTGCCTCCCCACCCCTTGGCTGAATCTCTCCTCCTTTCGTGCTTGTTCTCCAGGTGACTTATTCAGGTCCATATTTTCATTACCCTTGCATTTCATTAATTTTCTCATTTATTTTATTCTGTAGGTTTAGGACATTCTTTAAAACATGCAGGTTCTGAATTTTAATAATATAAAAGTCCTCTGTGAGTGCCCATCACATTGCTTTTCTGTCCTCCCTACATTAAAGTTAGCACTGATGCCTTTATGTTTAAGGAAAGCCTCCTGCAGAGGGGCTCTGCCCATGTAAGTTCATTAGAAGGCAGGTGTACAGCCTCTGTCACCTGAAGACCTCTTAACTGTCTATTCCTTCTCTGGTCTATCGAGGTGTATTGGGGGGGTTACAGCACCCTCTGGTGGCCATATTGTCAGGTGCATTTTTGTTCTAGCCAAATAAAATGATAACACAAATCGAATAGTCGATTGGAGTTCTTTTTCAGAGGACATCGTTAATTCACATTTTGTGTGTTTCAGCAGGTATTTAAGCCATTCTCGAATAGTGACACTTATGCAGAGGAGAGAATGATTTTATTTAAGTAATTTCTACTTTTTACATAGCTAGTTTTAAAGTAGATAATACATAGTCTTAAACTTTATTTCCCCTTTATTTCTTTCTTTTCTGTTAGAGAATTTCTTAAACTTGTAGAATTATCCAAATAAAATGCCAGTCACTAAAAAGGAATAATTAACCAATAGTGGGAAAAAATTAAATTCTTCAAATGAAGAGTACTGTATTCATTTCATATGGTCCCAGAGATAAAATGTTTAGGATTCATTTTTAGTTTTAAATGTTTATGAATCAGAGCTTCAACACTCTTCCAGGTTTCTTTAAGAAAGGAATTTGTCTATCTACGGATTAATTAATTAGCAGAGCCTCTCTGTGTCACCAAGACTGGAGTGCAGTGGTGCGGCTGTAGCTCACTACAGCCTTGAACTCTTGGGCTCAGGCAACCTTCCCACGTTAGACTCCCAAATAGCTAGACCATGGTGCATGCAACCATGCCCAGCTAATTTTTTTTTTCAATTTTTCTGTAGATACAGGGATCTCGCTATATTGCCCAGGCTGGTCTTGAACTCCTGAAGGCCTCAAGCGATCCTCCTGTCGTGGCCTAAGAAAGGAATTCCTCATATAGAAAAATATTGTTATATAAATAGTTGCCTATATCCATGCTGTTTATGGTAACAGCTAAGGTTCATCTCAAAAGTATTTGTATTTGGCTTTGGAATAAAAAGAAATTTCCCCTTTCATAGGGTTCTGAGATTGTAGGAGTTTTTAGTATTTCAAAAAGTTAATGGAACAATCTGTGATGTGAAAGAGACTCAGAAGAGGCTAGAGAGGTCTTTAACACATTTTTTTTTTGTATTGTTATCCCTTCCCTATAGCTAACTTTGTAGATGACATTGTTTTTCAGACTGATGATTGTGACCCTCAACCATGGCAGCAACAATTTTTAATTTAAATTTTTTAAAATGCAAGGTTGGGTGATTTTCTCTCTGGATGCTTGAGTTTTGTTTTTGATAAAAATTCTACCAGGGGCAGGGGAAAGAGTCCATTAAGTCTTGGTGCAAGAAACCTGGGCAGATTGCCTAAGTGGATATGCATAGCAAAGAACTGAAAACAGAGTAGGGGGTGCTGAAAACACCCACAGAGGAAAATGCGGGGCGGGGGGTGAATGCATCTGCTCATTTTGTAATAAAGTCCTTCCTTTCCTTTAACATCTCTTAATGTTACAAATACCAACAAAAACCATGCATGTCTTCAGTGGGACAGAAAATGAGGGAGGCATTTAGGGAGAAAAAAGTGTCAGTTGAGATGATGTTAAAATAAAGTTTATTTTCTTTGCAGTTGCAGACATTAAGATTTATTCTCTGGGCTGTTAGGACAGTTCCTGCAGCTCTCTGTGGTGACCTGAGCATTGATACCTTTTTTTTTTTTTTTTTTTTTTGAGATGGAATCTTCCTCTGTCTCCCAGGCTGGAGTGCAGAGGCGCAACCTCAGTTCACTGCAACCTCAGCCTCCCAGGTAGCTGGGACTACAGGCACCTGCCACCACACCCAGCTAATTTTTGTATTTTTAGTAGAGATGGAGTTTCACCATGTTGCCCAGAGTGGTCTCAAACTCCTGTCCTCAAGTGATCTACCCACCTTGGCCTCCCAAAGTGCTGGGATTACAGGCGTGAGCCACTGCGCCTGGCCTGTGCCTTGGTTTCTCAGATATTTCTGCCCCTGTAGTGTTCTATGCACTATGCAGGGAGGTCCTGACTGCTCAGAGCTTAAATTCTGCATTCCTTTATTTTAAGTGTTTGGCCAACTGCAGAGGAAGGTACCTTGAAAGATACTCCCTCTCCTCCCTCACTGCTGGGTCCCCTGTCATAGGAGACCTGGCCTGAGGAGGCTTCTTCCTGGTAACCTGGGTTGTCACTGGGACCACATCTTCCCATAAGAATAATGCTTCAGGTTGTATGGGAGAAGTGTCTGACAGCAGTAACTTCAGCACACCCTGAGAATGGCCCTTATGGCAGACACACCGGACAGCAGTCACTGAAGAAATGAGGGTTGCCACATGGAGGTTGCTGGGAGGAGGGTGCTAAGTGAAGGTGCTGTATAAGCTGCATGCTTTTTACAAGCAGTTGAAGTTCTGCTGTCCAGCCCAGAGCCACTGGGCCACCCTATAAATAAGTTCCTCCAAATAAACCCTGTGCCTTGTTTGTTAGCTCTGGGTCTCTTCTTTGGCTTCTTCAACTTGGTGCTGTCCCTGTTGAAGTTAATACGGGTTTGGCACAACACAGGAGTAGACGGTTACCTGTACCCTGCCAGCTGTCCTTGCTACAAACATTTGCCCAGAGAGTGGCATTTGTGCCGGTTCTTAAAGTGTTTCTTGAGCTGCACATTAATAGGCCATGTCCTCTTTCAACCTGCCCTCTGGCTAGGTAGAACAAACACTCTTCACCTGGGCTCTGAGCCAGCTGCTCACCTGCAGCACCCCCCTCCTTGGAGATAGCTTTTCATGTTGCATCTTACCGAGTTGATTGAGTATTCACTTCGAAGCTCCATGCTGCACGCATGGGCCTGTAAATAGCTTTTTCGTGCACTTGTGGGTGTCATTTCAGATCGCTTCATCGGATTTCAGTTACCCAAGTTTTTACTTGGTTCACCGTAAGTTTGCAAAAAAGACTTTTTGTTATCCTGAACATTGCAGGTGGAAACATGATTAATTTTGAATTATTTTTGTTTAACTTCTACCCTCTTTCCTATTTACAGCCTATTTTGTTTATTTTAACTTCCGCTGTTAAGACTTCTAAGGCCAGGCATGGTGGCTCACGCCTGTAATCCCAGCACTTTGGGAGGCCAAGGCGGGCGGATCATGAGGTCAGGAGATCAAGGCCATCCTGGCTAACATGGTGAAACCCCGTCTCTACTAAAAATAGAGAAAATTAGCCAGGCGTGGTGGCGGGTGCCTGTAGTCCCAGCTACTCAGGAGGCTGAGGCAGGAGAATGGCGAGAACCTGGGAGGTGGAGGTTGCAGTGACCCGAGATCGCGCCCCATTACTTAAAGGAAGTGGGCTTGTGTTTTGTGGCCTTAAGGATGTAATCTGTTGGTAGGAGGGAATGAGGGTGTCCTGGTAGGGGTGTCTGGCTTTAGTGTCACCATTCTTTTAGGAATTGCCATGTTGTGGGGTCACGTCTTGTAGGAGAAACGTTCTGAAGTCATGGGATTCTCTACCCTCCTCTCCTGCTCTTGGTTTCCACCAGCAGCCTGCTTGGTGTGGTTTTGAAATGGAGCAGAGATGGTTTTGATGAGCCTCACTGGAGGTGCTGCTGAGATTACCGAGAGGCCTTGCTGGGCACCTGGAGTCAATCATGCCGGGCACTAGCATCCGTCATCTTAGGAGGTAGGGATTATTATCCTACCTCCTAAGCCATCCCTGGAGTGGTGGCTTGGAGAAGTTTTCCAGAGAAACCGATCAGTTCATAAAGTTTCTGTAAAGGATTAACACAGTGTAGTCCAGAAATGTTTGTTCATGAAGTCTTGGTTTTTGGGTTTAAGAAAGTGTTCTCCTGTCTGGGCGTGGTGGCTCACGCTTGTAATCCCAGCACTTTGGGAGGCTGAGGTAGGCGGATCACGTGGTCAGGAGATCGAGACCATCCTGGCTAACACGGTGAAACCCCGTCTCTACTAAAAATACAAAAAATTAGCTGGGCATGGCGGCGGGCGCCTGTAGTCCCAGCTACTTGGGAGGCTGAAGCAGGAGAATGGCGTGAACGCAGGAGGTGGAGCTTGCAGGGAGCCGAGATGGCACCACTGCACTCCAGCCTGGGCGACAGAGCGAGACTCCATCTCAAAAAAAAAAAAGAAAAGAAAAGAAAGTGTTCTCCTAAGTGCTGCTCACCCTTTTTCCCAAACAGGACCTAACCCTGCGAGGGAGGGTGAATTAGGCCATTTGTTTACAGTTTCATCAGCACCAGGCGTGCACGGCGTTAGTCATGGTCCTTGCTCTCAAGGCACTGTACTTGTAGCAGCAGTATGGTGCAAATGTGCAGCTGAACAGTGGGCACAGGTTCCTGGTTAGCATTTAGTGCCACAGGAATGACAGGGAGGTCTTAATTGTGATCGGACCGTGGGAGCTGGATTACCCCAGACTGTAGCTCACTTCCCTGTAAGCTTTTGGTAGGGAGCTTGGAATTAGCACCATTAGTAGAAACAGATTTCAAAGGGAATGGTACCTGTTCCGTATGAAACACTTTAAAACTCCCGGTGTCCACACGTCTTTAAAAAAGAGGCTTAAAGCAGTTTCATTTCATCAACCCCAAACTGGAGAAGCTATGAATGACCACACTGATGAATATGTCCTAAAATATATGTATATTATATAAAGTGTAAAAACAGACAAGCAGGAACATACTACCAGTTTCTATCACAGCTACCCTTAAACTATCATTGGAGGGCAATTAAGTGGGTACAACCTCTAGCTATTTGGAAATATGTATAAAAATGACAAATGCCTGGTTGGGTGCTGTGGCTCACGCCTGTAATCCCAACACTTTGGGAGGCCTAGGCGGGTGGATCACCTGAGGTCAGGAGTTCGAGACCAGCCTGGCCAACATAGTGAAACCCCATCTCTACTAAAAATACAAAATTAGCCGGGTGTGGTGGTGCATGCCTGTAATCCCAGCTACTCGGGAGGCTGAGGCAGGAGAACCGCTTGAACCCAGGAGGCAGAGGTTGCAGTGAGCCAAGATCGCGCCATTGCACTCCAGGCTGGGCAAAAAGAGCAAAACTCTGTCTCAAAAAAAAAAAATTAAAATTAAAATTAAAAAGTAAAATAAAATGATGAATGCCTGTACTCTTAGACCCAGCACTCCCAGTTCTGCCAGTTCATGCAGCAGATACATATGCACACGTACAGAGAAGGATGCAACAGATACATATGCACACGCATACAGAGAAGGATACGTATGCACACGCGCACAGAGAAGGATACATATGCACACGCACACAGAGAAGGATACGTATGCACACGGGAACAGAGAAGGATGCACAAGAACATACATTCCCTAGTTGACGGAGTCGCAGATTAGAAACAACAGAAAAGCGTCCATTAAACAACAGTTTGAACCTGTGTTGAGATATCAGCATCCCTTCTCCTTCTCTCCCCCACTCCCTCTGCCCTCTGCAGGTTTTATTCTCAGCCTGATTTTCTCCATTGGATGTCAGCCCTAGGCTGGCATTTGCAGAGAGAGATGGTGGCTCCTGCAGAGCTTACGGCCTGTATTTTATTGGGCTGTGTTGAGTTACCCCTGATGTGAGCAGGAGAATGGGATGTTCTGTAAATTGGCCTCTAGCCCATCGTGAATTCATATTTTTTTTATAATGTGTGAGTCACACTCCCTTCTGTCTTCATTTCCTTTTCACACTCCCAGCAGATCATTCTCTCTATTCTGATTGGCATTTTATACATGAGGCAGCAGAGGCTGAGACCTACTGTATTTTGAGACACTGTAGCTTTATATGGCATAATTAAATCATAGTCATCAATCACTCTTAGGAGGTAAGGATTATTATTGGCATTTTCCAGATGAGAAAAATGGAGGATGAGAAAGGTTAGGCATCTTGCTGAAGTCACAGCAGACTTAAGTGCCGGAGTTGGAGCTGCATTCCGGTATGCTTGCATAGACTCTCTTCTCATGCTCACTGCACGCCAGTCACCTGGTATGCTGAGGCCCTGCCTCCAGGCCTTCTGATTCAGCTGGTCTGCAGCCCTGGCATTTCCAGCTCCTCAGGTGATTGGAATGAAAGCCAGAGCTGGGAGCCACTGGTCTACACCACCAGTAAATGATCGGGTTCTCACTTGATCATTTAATTAAGAATCTTGGTTTTCTGCTTTCAGTCTGAGAACTCTTGTTCATGCTCTCAGGCATGTCTTCACGCAGGAAAGTGATCTTTGAAATTAATAGGTGCTTGGAAAGCCTTTAAGCAGCAGGCAGTGGAGAAGGCCACTCAGTAGGAAGGGCCGAGCATGAAGCCTAGTGCACAGGCTTTTCAAGACCCCACGGAGGGTCTTCAGAAAAATGGGTTTCCTTTGTCTCCGTGGCTTCCAGTCTTTGTTGGCCAGCAGTTGTCTGCTTCAAATGAGCTGGCTCTAGAGGGGCCTGGAGAACCCAGAAAAACTTTGTGACAACCTGACAAGTTTGTGTTAATCTTCTGGGCATTGGCTTTCTGCACTTATTGCTCACTGAATCACTGAACCAGGCAGGTGGGGTACTGGAGGGCAGGGGATGGGTAAGAAGGGCAGCCTTTGGAAGGAAAATCAGCAGAGGGCAGGGACCGGGGAAGAAGGAGTAAGAAGGGAAACCCTTTTCTTAGGTTCTTATAAATCAGAAGAGCAATAAAGAAAAAATTTAAATCTAAAAAATACATGATTAGGATTTAAATCCAGTATGCTTCACTACATATAAACCTTTGACTTAATATTTTCTGTAGTAGATGAAAATAGGACTTTTTTTGTTTCCCTTCTCTTCACATGGTATTGAGTTTTTTTGTGTTCTGAATACGTGTTAAGATTAATTATGAAAATCAAATTACCAGATACTTGAAATATAAAATTAGTAATATTCAAAGACGATTAAATGCACGATTTCCTTTTCTCATAAAAAAAGAAGCAGACGGAACTTGTATTCTGAAAGCAAATATGGAAATCACATTAAACATCAGAAAATCCTCACCACCGCCCCCCACCCCCATGTGCATTTCATTTCTCTTTGGTCTGAGTTCAAGGGAGAGAGAATATGAATGTGCTGCTAGCTCAGGAAGCTTCAGTTCTAACTTTCTAAAGAGCTGGGAATGTGCTTGAGTCTCTGTTATCTCTTGTTTGCATTTTTCGCTACTTTGCCTCCATTTGATCCAGGGAAAACTTCATGGTAGGGATGTGAGATGTATTTTGAGGGCTAAAAGAAAGGAGTTTGAACAAAAGCAGGACAGTGTTCCGAATGTGGAAGCAAAGAGTCCTTCCAAGGGGATGTGCGGCCAACGCCTCTGTTCAGCGATAGTCCAGCTGAGACCAGGACCTGTGCCTGATGCCCAGGCCACCCCACAGGACGGTCCTCCAGCACCTCATTTCTCCTTTCATCAGACACCTCTTCACTGGCCTACTGGGAGAAAACGGAGATGAGTGAAAATGTGCATACAGAACATAGGGCTCAAAGGGACCCTAGCACCAGTGGTGCTCAAGCCTGTCCCAGCATTAGCGTCACCTGGGAGCTCCAAAAACATATTGTTGCCAAGACTCAGTCCAAAGCAAGTGACTTCCTTGGCCTGGAGTGAGATGTGGGTGGCCAGGGTCAGGAACCACCGAGTGGGTCCACCTCTGCAGACTGGGAAACAGAGTCTGGGAGGCTGCTTGTTCCCTCAAGGACCTGAAGTGACATGGGGAGGCAGGACTAGCCTTGGGGCTCCTAATTCTGTCCTGGCCTGTATTCCAGTGTGCCGTGGGGCACGTCCAATTTGAATCTGGCCCCAGTACACTCTCAAGCCCTGTGTTGCTCTGGTCCCACAGCTTCTGCCCTTGACTTTCCATATAACAGCACATTGGTGGCCAGGGCTTTGCACTAACCTACCTGCCTCCAACATTGTTTTTGAATAATGGAAGCTAAGCAGATGCATATTAATGCCTGCATTATGGAGAAGACTGTCTCTTCACAAGTAATCTGTAGTTGTTAGTCTTGAAAGTGGGTTAATTCATTGTCTTTCTAGAGAAAATGATTGCATGGCCTAATAGTCTTCCAGTTAGTCTGTGTGGCAAGGTAGAAGCCAGGAGTGGATTCTTAGCTCCTGTTGAGTGCTGCTGTCCTGAATCAGAGATCTTCTCTCCCGGGCCACTTTGTCATGAGCAGGATTTTGAACCAAGACCTTTTCTTCACCTGTCTCGGGGGCCCTCACCGTGGGCTTTGTGATCCCCTGACAGCTCCAAAAGCCTTTATCCTCATCCAATATCTGGTGAACAGCTGACACCTCCTGGGAATCTTTAAAATTGTTCTCTAAAGAAACCATTCTGCTGCAAGTACCTATTTTTAGACTTTATAAAGCCCACGTCAGGTTGTCGCTGCCTTTCTCTCTGTCTGCTAAGCCTGCTGTTTGAAAGGCAGCAACAGGATCTTTTGTCTTTAAAAGTTCAGCCCCAGCTGGTGCATTCCCCACTTGAACTCCATAGCCCTGGTGTGCTCTGGGGTACGTCTCTTCCAAAACCCAAACCACAGGCAGTGACCTTTACACCCCAGGAGTTGAAATAATACACCTGGAGGAAGAAAATAACTTACAAACAATGAGCCTAGAGTATAAATGGCTATGTTTTAAAACCCTCGATTTTCCTTGGGCGTATTTAACCTGTACAGCTAGACTGTTGTGAGTTTTGGGCTCTCTAGGGGGCTGTCCAAGTTCAGAACAAGTGCATCTGCTGGCAGCCAGCTTAAGGAGTTAGCAGCCCTCAATTCCAATAACGAACGTGTAAATCAGAATTCAGGTGTGTTGAAGTGGGGCCTTGCACACATCCTGGTCAGCCCAGGGTGATTTCCTCTCTGGCCAGTGGTTTTGGCTTTTTTCTTCACATGAACTCGTCTGTTGTAACTAATGGTCACTGAGTGACTTCAGAGGTAGTGATAGCTCATAGTGAAGCCCGTGACCCACAGCGGTGGGCACACCTCGATCCCTTCTCCTTTTCCTCCATCCCCACCTTTCTCTCCTTACTTCATCCCTTCCTCTTTCCACATTGGGTCATCCAGCAGAAGTCAAGTATCTTCTATTTCATATCTTTATTGAATAAGAGTTTTACGATCCATGTTATTGAAGTAGGTAAATGGAATCTCTTATGTGGAATTCTCTAAAAAAGAATCAAAACTCCAGTCAAACCAAACCAAGTATTCCAAATCGTTTTTAGGGAAAAAAGATATAATTAGAAAAGACTGGAGAGGGTATGCAAACTATTAACATTATGTTAGGGTGGTAGGAGTATAAGTTATATTTGCTTTTTCTGAATTTCTAAATTTTCTTCAATTAACATATTGTTCAAAGTATCAAATACATAGAAGGAAGAGTGTGCATGCCTGTTATCTAGCAAACACACTTCATGCAAAGAAACTCTCCTAAGGAAGTATGAAGTTATATTTTATCCTTATCTATCCAAAGAGAGTGTGTGTGTGTCATATACCTAAAGAATTAGTTATTAAGATGAAGCATTGCTTATAATGAAAAAGTTGAAGCACCCTAAATTAGCTTAATAATGGTATATCTTTATAATGGAATAGTATAAAGCCATTAGAAATGATGTTACAGATAAGTATTTAATGTTATGGAAACATTTTATAACATAGAATGAAAAGTAAATTGTAGATTGGTTTGTATAATTTGATCTCATCTTAGGAAACACATAATACAGAAATATAGATGAAGGTCTGAAGGGTATTAATGCCCTAATGTATTAGTAGCATTACCTCAGAGAAGCAGGCTCATGAGTGTTTATTTTCTTTTCTTCTAACTAAGTATGTATATGTGTAAGTGTGTCTGTATACAGGAGATGTACATACACTTTTCTTGTGAAGAATCTGTATTGCATTTACTACTGGAAGGGTTTATTTTAGATTTAGATATTAAAGTTACCTCTTTGAGTGAGAACCTATGATTTATACTTCTTAGCTTACCTTTTACCTCCATTATTTAAATCTGTCTTTTTCTGCCATCAAATAGAAGATGTAACAGTGATAAAAAGGCTGGGTATGGTGGCTTACACCTAAAATCCCAGCACTTTAGGAGGCCAGGGGTTCGAGACCATCCTGAACATAGCGAGTGACGTAGTGAGACCCCATACCTACAGATTTTTAAAAGGTTAGCCAGACGTGGTGGTGTGTGCCTGTAGCCCCAGCTACTCAGGAAGCTGAGGTGGGAGGATTGCTTGAGCCCAGGAGGTCAAGGCTGCAGTGAGTCATGAATACACCACTGCCCTTCATTCAGCCTGGGTGGCAGAGTGAGACTCTGTCTCTAAAAGTATAATATTTTAAGAAAGAAAAAACAAAAACTAGTGATAAAAAGAACTTACAACAAACTGATTTTTAAGTGGACTGTTGATAATTATAAGGGCTGAGATTTTTAATTGCCATTTGTATCAATGAATAACCCCCCTGTCACCACATTTTCTGGTGTGTTTGGTGTGTCTGGTTCCTATAGGAGAGACAGTAATGCTATTTGACATGCTTTATTGCTGATTAGAAGCCTAATCTCTGTAATGGGAAGCTCAGTAATGAAGCTTGTTCAGAATTGTGTTACAGTCGGTTAATGAAGCTCTGAGATCAAGGGCCTGGCTTTTGATGGCCCCTATTTCAGAATCCAGAGGTTTGTTTCTATTTATTTGGGTTTTGCAGGTAAGTTCCCTGGACTGAGGTGATCTGAAGGTTAGCTCTGCTATAATAGGTAAATTGCTAAGAAAAACATTGGCCTTGGTATGTACAACTTAAAATTTTATTGGTGAGATAGTCTTCTTACAAAACAATCACGTTAAGCTAGAACTTGGTGTATAACCAGCATATATACTCCTGCCACCCTCAGTGTGTAGCCAAAGTTCTAAATTGCATGCACAGATAACAGGCATATAATTGGTGATTTCAGAAAAGTTATACCTGGTGGGCAGTGAGAGGCGAGCCCTGATCTGGGAAACCCCAGTGCTTCAAGGGGAAGCAATCTGGGAAACTCCAATGCTGGGATTGGGATTCAATCTGGGAAACCCCATTGCTGACAAGGTACATGGTACAAGCTTGATAAAAACTTGCTTAATGTCACACTTGTAATCCCAACACTTTGGGAGGCTGAGGCAGCTGGATTACTTGAGTTCAGGAGTTTGAGACCAGTCTGGGTAACACGGTGAAACTCCATCTCTACAAAAAATACAAAAATTAGCCTGGTGTGGTGGCATGCACCTGTAGTCCCAGCTGCTCGGGAGGCTGAGGTGGGAGAATAGCTTGAATACAAGAGTTGGAGGTTGCAGTGAGCTGAGATTGCACCATTGCACTCCAGCCTGAGCTACAGAAAATAATAATAATTTAAAAAAACTTAATGATGATAGCATTTGAGTTGGCTTTTCAATCCTGGTTTCCTAAATATGTGAGCCTGGACCATTAAACTGTGTGACAAGGAGCTGTCATCTTAACATACAGACATTAAATGCATTGTTCAAGATCAGAAATGATTTCTTGGTTCTGAGGCACTATTGACTGTGTGTAAGGTGCCATCGTTAATTTGGTAACAAGGGGAGACAGTGGCAGGGAAGTTCCTTTTGCCTGTCTTGTGATAGGCTTCCTATTTTCTCAAAGGTTAAGATATTAAATTGTCTTAAGCAAAGAAGGTATTTAAGGGCATCATCAGGGTTAGTTCTCAGGTCTCCTGACTCCTAGCTTCTCTAGTTTAGTGATTCACGTTAGCCTTTCAACAGTTTACCACTCACTTTAATGGTTTTTCCTAGCTGTCTTGACATGCTTTTCACTGCTTACATGGTTAGTTTCCTACCTAGCTGAATGCAGGCATCTGTGCTGTCTGCTGGGTTCGCTGGTGGTGATGCAGCCCACAGGTACCTGTCTCTTTGAGGGGAGTTCAGCAACCATCTATTTATGTCGAAAGGCACTGTACTGGGAGATGAAGAACACGGAGTTCTAGGCCTCCAGGAATTTATCATCACTTGCTAATTTGAGCTGAGCCTGGCACTTGAACATAGGCCATAGATTTCCAGATGTGAAAAAAAGAAAGAAAGAAAGAAAAGGATCCTTTAATGTATAGACTTGTCTTTCTGCCTGCTTTCTTCACTTCTGATCATTTTAAACAATTGATATCCTAGTTTGATGTGATCATGTTCCAACACAGCACAACAGCATGTATGGTTTGGGGCATGCACCTGTGGCAGTTGCAAAGGTTTTTACAGTGAAGTGGCTAAGAGGAGAGTAAGACCAGTGTATAGGGTGTGGATGAGGTCAGATGCGAGACTATTTCTTGATTTGAGTCATTTTATTTAGGAGCTATTTCTTTGGAATACTTTATATATGAGAATGTACATCTGATTGGAAGACAGAAGGTACTGAAATTTACCTCTTGATCAAATTATTCTGGTATAAAATTAAACTAAATACCAATCATATACTTAATTTCACAGACTTGCAAATAATATACTGGGGTAATGGAAGTAAGAGACAGGACCTTTTATGTGGTATGAAGTTCTGTGATAATTCCTATCTTCCTTTGTACCTAAAAGAGGCACCCTCTCCTGTCATACTGCAAACAGATGCCACTACTACGTGTAGACACATTTGCCAGCTGTGGCACAGCTGGTCACCCAGCCCTCATCACAGCTGCCTGTAAAACCCAGATTTATTCTCTTCCCCCTGATCTTTTTTAGAAATTACTGGTATCGTTTTAGAGAGTATCCAACTTACACACACCACTTAAATAATGAATTTTCCAATTTCTTCTTTTTCCACGGCCTTCACGTCATCTGGTAAATATTCCCCTCAGGTTGGCATCTGCTTCTGAGACCCTGCTGGACCTAGATATATTCACCAGAGATGGGTGAAGGCTTTGGAAGAGTGAAGTGGTTAGGAACATTTCTTCCGATATCTCCTGCTCATTGTTTTTGACCTCTCTGATTTCCAGTATATTCTCTGCTCCAGCCACACAGCTTTCCTGAACAGCTAAGTCTTGCTCACCGGTCAGGGACCAGCTCAAAGGCTGTCCCTTTTTAAATTTATTTCCTGGGTCTTCTCCTGGCCTCTTCCCTGCACTCGGTGGAGATGCCTGCCCCATGGTTTTCAGTAGCGTTGGCTCTTAGCTGTTCCGTTCTGGGGAAGGATTGGTTGTTTTCCTTTTCTCCATGTGTGTTGTGAATTTCATTCTGTGTCACCGCATCACGCGAGGTGGGTAGGGAAGAGAACTTTTACGCTCCCCGCTGTCGTTAGTGGCCTGATTACGAGTCTGTGGGAAAGAATGAAGGTTGGAAAGAAGATCTGGTGGGAAAGAACAAGGGTTGTCCTTGAGCAGCCAAACTAAGCTGTGAGAATGTTAATGTAATAAAGCAGGAATTCTAATGGGCTGCCTGCTACAGAGGAGATGGGAGATGGTGTAGGGCTCATGACTGTAAAAGCAGGAGCCACCAGCAGATGGTGATGCGGCCTCTTGGCCCAGGTGGGACTCTGCATCTCCCCCTCCCATGGACATTCACTTGATAAGTGTTGGGCCGGTCACCCATGCCCTGGTCGTTCTTATCTTATCGAAGAGTGCTAATATAAGTAAGCTGTAAATTCCCATTGTAAGAAATAATTGCCTTTTAAAAGGGAGCATTCAAGAAAAAGACCTTTTGGCTCAATAAAGCCTTTATTTTCCTCAACACTCTTGGCTCTTAAAAGGGGCCTGTTCTTGGCCTTGAAGTGGGAATTTACACAGAACTTTAAACAGAAGAAACCCCCTCTGCCTTGGGCTGCAACTTGTTGTCCCTGGCAGGGTTTGGGCTGTGGGGTCATGGGATCTGTTTGTTTGACCGTTGTATGCAAAAATGATTTTAAAATTGGCCTCCCTAATCTGTTGGAGACATTAGTTAAAAAAAAAATGAGAGTAAAGAGGAAAATATTTTGCTATTGGGTATGCACTGGATCCATTTTTAAACTGAGAGAAGGTGAAAGGGGTGACTGGTTGATTTCGGATAATACTTTTAGAGCCACGGGGAACTGTGAAAGACAAGAAAATGTAAAAAAAGCACATTGATTGCAGGACCGGTGGTCCAAAAGCAGCACGTGAAAGAGGTTTCAAGGCTGTTTCTACAAACAAGAATGCCAAAGGTGGCATAGGACAAGAAGCTTGCTGGATGTCACGAAGCTAGTGGAGATGGGATCCAAAGCTAGTTTTGGCTGATGAAAATACAGGCTCATGCCCTGTATGTGAGGACAGTGGGACAGTAATTTAAACAGAAGTATCTAGAGGAGTTTCCTTATTGCCTTGAATGTATTTCTTTTTAACATTGCTATGGACATTTAGGAAAAGATGCCACTGATATTCCAAAAGGGGCATTCCATACACCTGAGAGGGATCCCTGAGGCTCCAGGGTCACCTGGGCCAAGCCAGGTATACACACGTCTCATGGCAAGTTGGCTGTTATCATAACTTCCCTGGTGTTGTTTTGTTGCAAGGGCAGCATTGTGGGGCTGTGGTTTGAATTGCTTTTTTGTGTCTCTTGAATACACGAAGTTCCTCCTATAGTCATTGGCTCTGCTGCCTCTGATGAGGCACTTCCGTGTTCCCCACATTTGAATTTGCTCCCGATTCGAGAGAGGCAGGCATCCGCGGCAGCAGCTTCCAACCCAGACAGGCTTAAGCCGCGCGAGGGTGCCCGGGTGGGTGGCTGCGCAGGGCCCTACCTGGGCGGGAGCGGCTGCAGAGCCCTGTCCACGCGGTGCCTCCCCAGCACGGCACCTCCCACTCCAGGCTGTTGGTTACCTGGCCGGGAGCTGGCGGAGACCAGGATTTCTCCTCGCCGCCGTTGCTGTTGTTAGGGGAAACAGACCATCTGCATCTAGACCTGCCTCTCTCTCCGCTCCCCACTTCAGACGAGCTCTTCCTGCCTGGAATCTGGTAAGTGCCACCGAAGGTTCCGTTCCCTTTATTACTCGATTAGTGCCCACAGCATCAGGAGAAGGTTCTCTTACCGTGAATCCATTAGCTTTAACCCAAATGTGCAGGATTAGGGGGATTATTTGAACTTGCTTGCTTTCTTTTTAAAATGTCCATTAGACATTTTTTGCATGCTTCAAAATCAAAAGGCGGCACAGTGAAAACATTTTAATTATTTATGTATTTAACCTGTATCATCTTGTTTCTAACCTCTTTTCTTCAGGGTGGTGCAGTCAAAAATTACACAGATATTGCTCTGGTGCCTCTCCCCCCTTTTATGAATAAATTACTGCATTTGTCATCACTGTGTTCCTGAAATGTCAAAAATAGACACTGTAAAGGAATCTGTCATGCAGAGTTCAGAAATTTTCAAATTTCTGAGTTCAAAACCTCAGGTGAAGCGAGGACAGATCTTTTATTTAAAATTTGATTCTTTGTAGGCTTCACTGTGAAATAAGTTCAATTTAGAGCATAGCTAATGCAATCAGCCAGCTCGTGATGGGACAACATACTTCTCTATTGTTTTACATTCACCTCCTGGGATACACACACTTTCTCATTTGTTTTATAACCTTTACAGGAAATACCTGGGGATGAGTCACATGACCCCTAACTTGAGTTTTTACATGTATTCACCCAGATTAAATGATTTTGCTCTTATATGGATAAACGTGCAGTTAGGAACTTTAAAAAATTGTAAATGAGGTGCATAATCATTACTCATTGTCTTTTACTGCATTCTTCAGCCCTCAAACATACAAACTGTTATTCCCTTTAAGAGAAAATAAAACTGGCACTTATGTTTTCCTTTACTCTAAGTTAAAGACTACCCATGTTATGTGCCATTAAAAAAGATGTAGAAATTAATCTGTCTTTTTCTTTGACCTAATCTTACTAGCAGGGATATTGGGGCTCTACTTTTCTGTTCTCTCTCTCTCTTTTTTTTTTTTTTTTTTTTTTTTTTTAACATCAGCCACAGGTAATACTCTCCGGTAAACATATAACTTGAGGAAAATTGAATTAGGTTAATGCTGGAATAGAAAACCAGGGCAGTGCCTGCTCTTTTTGGATAATTCTGTATAAACAATGAGAAAGTCTCAGGCTGCCTTAGACAAAGGCTGAGACGGGAGCTCCTGATGATTTTTATGAGGGGGAAGAGGAGATGGTGAGGAGGAGGGCACCGAGCATGTGCAGCAACTTGAAGCATGTCAGAAAGAACATTTGCCAGAAATCTTCAAAACCGTGGCGGTCGGTAATGTGTGAAATTGAACTTCTGACCCTGTTTGCTTGATGGCGACTTCTCGTTGTGCTTGAGAATTGTGTGGCATTGGGTCCCTGGATGTGGGAGGAACAGCAAAGTGGTTTAGTGAATAGAGAGGGAAGTGCCTTCCTTTTTGGGTGGGACTTGCCATGATAGAGCCTGGGCCGTCACCTTAAAAGGAGATGTTTCTGTTGAGAGATGGAAAATTGGCAAGACAAACGCCATAAACCTTAACCTGTTTATAATTCCTTACCTGTAAGCTGCTTTGCACGCAAGGTGATGGTTCTACCTCATAAGGGACAAGGAAGAACAGCACATAAACCTGACTGAATGGAGTGTGGCTGTGGGTGGGAGCAGCTTTACAAGAAGGAAACGGGGCCCCCTCCTGAGACACCCCCGTTTGCTTCTGCTCCTTCCTTGCCATTGACGTGCCCTTCTCCTGAAACTACCCACACCTGTGTTTGGCAACAAGCGGCTGCCCCTTGATCCAGATGCATTTTTCAACTTGCGAACTCTCACCTCTTGCCAAGGGACCCAAGTACCTGGTTAATGATCTTTAATGTAAATGATCCTTTGCCTTGATTAACATTGAGCTGGGTTAGTATGCACAGGCCGAGCTCCGTGGTCCTCCCATGTGATCCCTTCCCTGCCAGCCACCTGCCCACCTGTAGGAACTGGGCATGGCCAGTTTTCTCTTTATGTGCTCTCTTTGCCTTGGATGGAATTTGGGCTGAGACCGATGAGGTGGAACCAAAGCTGTTCAGCAGAAGAGAGCAACCACAGAGCAGCCTGTTGGGTGGAGGGCTTGAGGGTTCCTAAAATCCGAGGACTTTCTGGTGAGCCTCTCCCCTGAGCCTGCTTGAGGGAAGGCGCTGCCCCACACACTCTCCAGTGGGTGGGGGTGGGGGTGGCAGCGGCTGATCAAAGGTTCTCACCTGCAAGTGATAATAGCCTGGGTCTCTTTGGCACCAACCTGCCTTCTTCACCTTTCTGCTCAGACACCCCTTGGCACCCCTACATAAAGGAAAGAGCTGTCTGGATGGCCTAGTAACTGTAGGATAGGTAAAGTTAGCCCTTTCTTCTGACCTAGATATGTGATGGTGGTATTTCTACATGTTTATGTCGAGAACTTTACAAAGATGAAAGAAAAGCTTTCAGAGCTGCAGAAATGAGAGGTGGCCCTTTTTTAAAATTTATTTTAAGAAACAACTTTTAAAACCACTTTTTGAAAAATTGGATGGCACCGTCCTGCAGCCTATCAGATTTCCCTTGAGAACTGGGGATTATTGGCTTATTCCTTGCTACCTCCAATCCCAAATTAAGCAGAGTGACATGTAAGAAGCTGGGGACATCAGCCTAAAGCGTTTATCAGGTATGTCCTTCCCAACTGGATCTTTTCTACTCCCTGGCCCGAATTTTGTTTTAGGGAATGGGGCCTATTTTAATTGCTGGTGGCAAAAGGATCCCTGGGCAGTGTTTCCATGGTCCTCTAAGGTGGAGTGTCGGGGAGCTGGGGGACACACAGTGGTCATGGGTTATCTGTCTTGGCCTCTTTCCCAGACCAAGTTCTGTCTCATGCTTATTGGTTTGGCTGCTAGTTATAGAATCTGATGTTTACCTTAGAATCCTAGGATGGAAAGGGTTAAGAATGATTTCTAATTTGAATTCCTTGTTTCTAGGGAGTTATTAAACCTATACATTACATTTATTATTTTACAAAGCACTAATTCATAATAGTTGACAGGAACAACTATTTTTTGGCTTCTTTGTTTTTTTGTTTGTTTGTTTGAGATGGAGTTTCACTCTGTCACCCAGGTCTGGAGTGCAGTGGCGCAATCTCCGCTCACAGCAACCTCTACCTCCCAGGTTCAAGCAATTCTCCTGCCTCAGCCTCCCAAGTAGCTGGGATTACAGGTGCTAGCTAATGTTTGTATTTTTAGTAGAGACGGGGTTTTGCCATGTTGGCCAGGCTGGTCTCGAACTCCTGACCTCAGGTGATCCGCCTGCCTCGGTCTCCCAAAGTGCTGGGATTACAGGCATGAGCCACCACGTCCGGCCTTCTTTGGTTTTCATATTGATTATATTTTCTAAGACAAATACTCATTTATATAGTCTAATAAAAATTGTTAAATCTAATTAAACAACTAATAAAAATAGTTGTTTAATCCACGTTGACATCTTCTTACATTGCGATAGAAATTTTGATATATTTATCCATATGATGAATTGCTTAAAGCCGGTGGTTCTCAACCAGTGGCAGTTTTGCCTTCTCTCCCACAAGGGACATTTGACACTATCTGGGGACATTTTTCATTGTCATATTCAAGGGAGTGGGGTGTGAAGCTGGCAAGCATCTAGTGTGTAGAGGCCTGGGTGCTGCTCCACTTTCTACATTGCACAGGATGGCACCTGACACACAGCCTAAAGCGTCGGTACTGGTTGACCGTATACGAAATGCTGTGGAAGACCAGGCACGGTGGCTCACGCTTGTAATCCCGGCACTTTAGGAGGCTGGGGCATGAGGATTGCTTGAGCCCAGCAGTTTGAGACCATGTTTAAGTTTAAGTTCATTTAAGTTCTCTGAAGTGGTGATTCTGATGCTATATAGATGAAGGTTGGTTTGTTGAAGAGCTGACTCTGGTATTTCATCCAACATCTGCATTTTTCTTTAGCTAAGGATGCCTTGAGAAACATTCTAGTCTCTTAGGCCTGAATTTGTTATTAGCTTAATAGCTTTCCTCTGGTTGAATTTAAATGGAAAGAAAATTGCATCTTGCAACAGGAAAAAGAACATTAGGGAAAAACTGAGGAAATGGAAATAAAGTGTGGAATTTTGTTAATAATAAATCAACCTTGATGCATTAATTGTGAGACATGTCCTGAACCAATGTAGATCTTAATAATAGGGGAAACTGGCTTCAGGGTACGTGGGGACTCTATCTTATCTTTATAATAATTCTCTAAGTCTGAAACAAAAAAGTTTATTAAAAAAGCACAAACAAAATTGCTGCCATTTTGTTAACAGATATAGTAGTCAATCTTACTGTTTTCTTTTTCTTTGAAATAGGCTGCTGCAAAGGTATGTTCTTTGTTATCTCGGCTCTCTGCTCAGGGTAGCCATGAAATGGCTCTTTTAAAAATGTGCCCAGATAATTTTGAACCATTTCAAACCATATTATGTGATTTTAATTTATTTTCCATTGCATTCACTAACTCATTTCTGGGTGATGTATTTAAAAGACTAGACAGAATTTACAGGTTTAAAAAGTTACATTAACAGAAAATGTAGGTGCCAGTTGAAATACTGTCAACTGGAAGTGCTACCAGCAATGTGCTAGCTGGACAATGGGACTTGTCCCATTTTTTTGCTGGGTGACAGCTATCACTGCCTCAGGGAGGCTGGTGCCATTTAATGCCTCTGATAATCAGAATAAGTAATTGTGGCTTCTGGGTCTGTAAAGCCACAAAATACATATGCAGGCCTATTTTAATTGACGGTAAGTCATGAAATACACTATTTTCGTATTAAGATAACGTGGATATGTTATGGAACAAAGTTAAAAATTAGCATGAATTTTTAAAGTACTACTGGAGATTGTTGGCTTTAGGTTCGTGAACCCCATTCCTGCCCCCACACTCCTGTTAGTGGGGCTACCAGAGGGGCCAGTATGAAAAGCACTGGACTTACAGATGAAAGAACTTGAGCTGGAATCAATTCGAGTCACTTACCTTCGCTACAGGTGGGCAGAGGAGTCATCCTGCAATTTTGTTGTGAAAACAGAATGAGATAATATAAAATGTATTTGAATACAGTGAGGTCTGTACAGATGCTGAATCTATTACTTTGCAGTAGGAGTCAGGTGTGGCCCCACTTCCCCACCTTCTTACCTACTTGTATCTTAGATCTTATATATATTGATATTCACTTTTGGTGGACTAAGGTTGTCTTTGTTGCAAACCTGGACTCTCTTGTATTCTTGCTCAGTGTGTGTATGTTAATGTTAGATAAAGAAGATTAGGCTGGTGCATTGGCTCACGCCTGTAATCCCAGCACTTTGGGAGGCCAAGGCGGGCAGATCACTTGAGGTCAGGAGTTCGAGGCCACCCTGGCCAACGTGGTGAAACCCCATCTCTACTAAAAATACAAAAATTAGCCAGGCATGGTGGTGCCTGCCTGTAATCCCAGCTACTTGGGAAGCTGAGGCAGGAGAATTGCTTGAACCCAGGAAGCAGAGGTTGCAGTGAGCCGAGATCACGCCACTGTACTCCAGCTTGGGTGACAGAGTGTGATCCTGTCTCAAAAAAAAAAAGCAGAAGATTATTTGGAAAGCTATTTTTAAATTATTCTTCAAACATATACTAAAATAGAGAAGACAACATGAGAGCCAACAGCATAATGAAACCCCATCACTCAGCCTCAACCGTTGTTAACAGTTTACTATCTTTATTGCTACTGAAGGCAGTTAAATATTTCTTGGCAGTCCTTTTTTATTTAGCATATACCATCAGGGATGACAATAGAAACAGGTTTCAAAGTCAGGTGAAATAATGTTTCTCTATATGAGTTCACCACTAACTTGATACACAGTTTATGTTTATGTTTATGTTCTTATTACGTTCGTGTATTAAGGCAACCTTTCATCCCTGCCCCCTAATAGGTAACTGTCTTTATTTGTTCTGGGATTATCCCTCCTCCATTGCCCTTTTTGGAAAGAGTATGGATATATTTGTATTTTCTCTTACTCATAAAGCAGCACATGGTACATACTGTTCTGAGCCCTGGTTTTCTTTTTTTCACTTAGCGTTGTATACTGGAACTCACTCAATGTCAGTATACAGAGAATTCCCTTGTCTTTTTATAACTCTGTGCTATACGCTGACGGAAGTTCATTCAGTCAGTCCCCTATTGATGGACACTTGAGTTATTCTCAGACTTGTCCATTGTTTTGCAAAAATAGCCCTGGGCATATGTCATTTGGTATTTTTGTCGAGGCATTCCAATAAAAATAAGTAAATTCTTCCTCTCTTGCCTTGAAGATGTGCAGCTCCTCAGTAACCTTTTATTCTCTAAAGCTCTGTCCTCATCTTTAATCCCTGATTTAAGAGGTGCAGCTCTTCAGGCCATAAACCTTTCTTCCTGCCTCAAGTTTTTAAAGCTACAAAGGAACCTAAGAGATCCCTTGTGTTTTACAGCTAAAGGACCTGAGAGCAGGAAACAAAGGGAGAGCCGGAAGCCCAGGTCTCCTGTTCCCTGCCTGGCAGGTGATATTCTTTCTGTTAAACTCTCTTTCCCTCTGCCTATTATTGGCCAGGCTGTCCTCCAGGACAGTGCTTGCCAAAGTGTGGTCCATGGGCAGCAGCATCCCCGGAGCTCATCAGCAATGTAAGATGTCAGGCCCTGCCCCAGAGGGGCTGAGATAGAATCTACCAATTACTGGATTCCCTGGGTGACTCATGCAGTCAGGTTGGAGAAGCGCTGGACTGGTGGCTTTCTCCAGAGGAGCATGCAACAGCGGTTTGCAAACAGGGATGATGCAGTTCCTTTTCAACACGTGGATTTGCACTTCCTCCTGGTGCGCTCCTCCAGCCTGCCTGTCCTGTTCACACCAGCCTCCCCCTGGAAGGGGTTCAGACTTGATCCTTTGGGTGGTAGGGTCTTTCTTGGATAGCGTAGCCATCCATTCCTGCTGCATACATTCAACACAGCCTTCATCCTTCGCCATTTGTCTCTGATACTTCATACTCCTTTTGTTTGACAAGTGCCCTAGCTTTATTTATTTTCTCATCATTGTTGTTAAGGGCCTATTGTGCTTGCTAGTATACACACCACTATGTAAGTTACTAGTTCAATTTATTTGTTTTACTGCTGCTGTGAGGTGTGTCCATGTGTGCACATCTACCTGTGTTAATAACTGATAATATTGGGCCTCAGTACATACTTTTTTTTTTTAAGAGACAAGGTTTTACTTCGTCACCCAGGCTGAAGGACTGAGACACACTTGTAGCTCACTGCAGCCTTGAGCTCCTGGACCCAAGTGATCCTCCCACCTTAACCTCCTGAGTAGCTGGGACTACAGGCACACACCACCACACCAACTAATTTTTTTATTTTTTGTAGAGACGGATTCTTACTGTGTTGCCCAGGCTGGTCTAGAACTCCTGGCTTCAAGCCATCCTACCACCTCAGCCTTCCAAAGTGCTGGGATGATAGGTGTAAGCCGCCGCACCTGGCCCTCAGTGCATACTTAGATATACTTAAATAAAAACTTAATTGCAAATTACTTCTTAAATTATCCACAAACTGACTTGGCAGTAAAAGTGACTACAAGTAGTGAAACCACTGTCATAATAAAAATAAAATAAAAGTCTTTATTGTTAGATTTAGTATTTCTAATCTCTTACATTTCAGTTTTGGAAGGTAAATTTTTGGGAAGTGGTGGTAATAATCTAAGTATGTCTAGATTCAGTGATGAGAGCTAGTACACTGTAGGAAAGAGTTGAGCATAACAATATGGAATGTTGGTAAATGTATAGGGGTTTTCTTTTTAAAGACAGCTTTTTATACAAAGAAACAGATGATCTTTTTTTTTTTTTCTAAACTATGTTAGCTATACCCAAATTAGTAAATGTTAAAATAACCATGACTGGTAAAAACATTTTGCAATTTTTTTTTTTTTTACTTTTTATATAATTAAATGAAATTCTCCATTTGGTAGTTGATCTCTCAGACAAATTAAGTCTTGCCAGACTGTCTGAGAAGACTAGTGAATCAGACCCTAAAAACTTGTAGCATTTGAAAAATAACAACTGTGTACTGCAATTTATAAGGGCATAATTAGAGAAAGTTTTTCAGTCTGAAGATTTATACTAATCTTATCACCCTGGTTTTAGAGAACCCAGTTCAATCCAACTGCTGTGAAAAAGCCACTGCTTTTAGCCACAGAAAATAACCAGTTTCATAGAATGACTTATAATAAAAAATTCAACCATTTTGACTCCAAAAACCTAGCTGGCCGGGCGTGGTGGCTGACGCCTGTAATCCCAGCACTTTGTGAGGCCAAGGCGGGCAGATCATTTGTGGCCAGGAGTTTGAGACCTGCCTGGCCAACATGGTGAGACCCCCGTCTCTACTAAAAGTACAAAAATTACCCAGACGTGGTGGTGTGCACCTGTAATCCCAGTTACTCGGGAGGCTGAAGCAGGAGAATTGCTTGAACCTGGGAAGCGGAGGTTGCAGTCAGCCAAGATTGCACCACTGCACTACAGCCTGGGCAACAGAGTGAGACTCCTTCTCAAAAAAAAAAATGCCTAGCTGACTTTATCATAGATCTGTCTGTACCTTGTAGGCACAAATATATTTACAAAATAATTAATGGTGATTTACTTATTCACAATAAGCAGTTATTTTGCTTTTGGTGTATATGTGACAAGGTGGTTATGTGGAGTACATAAAGGAGTAAAGTAAGTCCGTTGACTTCAAGATGCTTACAGTCTAATAGAAACCTTGAAATTTCCACTGGGCAAGGTTTTCTTGGGATTGCTCCAACCAAATGAATGAGCAGGCGTCTAAGTAAATGAAAATCACTCTCATCACTTTCCTTCACATTATGTTAACTGGTGACAGGTCATGACGCATGGGAATTGCTTATGTTTCTGAGCTTTAGTCTTATAAAAATAAGTTTAGATAGTCCATCATGTTCTTCACATTAGACACTCATTACATAAAAGGTTTTATATGTATTGTAGATCTTTCTGAAGGTCATCTATGTGAATGTTTAAAAAAGAAGCAAGAAGGTGCTATAAAAAGCACTAGAGGTCAAATGGTTTGCGAGACAAAATGAAACTCTCCAGCTCTGAAATCCAACAGAGTATGATGAAGAAAGGGAAAAAATAGATCAAAAAATGGCAGGGGAGGAACTCGGCATCAAACCAGTGATAAAGCAGAATGTGGATCAGATCCAGACATCCAGTAGTCTGTGAGCATCTCCATATGGGATGTTTGGGTTGAGAGTTCAACCCATCAAATACATTTTATCCATAACCATAAGATATTCTAAGATCGACCAAGTAGAGTAAGCAATGTAGAATCAAAGGTATCATCTTTATTATGTCCTATTTGTGTTTCCTGCTTTTGAGGTTCTTAGTCCTTTTAATTAACTCCTAATGAACTAATATAGTTTTGTGGTCACCAGCTTCTAGCTAGCACAGGCACAGTTGTGGGTTGGTAGGAGAATGAGCAGTAAAGCCATGAGCTAACACACCAAGTAATCTGTTGTGTTCACAAATGTCCAAGAGAATAACAAGAGATTAAAGAAAGGTAAATACAGCCACCTGGCAAAAATATTTACCCTTTTAAAAATGATGGAAGTTATATATAGAAGAAATGTTTTTGGTAAAAATATTTGAAAGTTTGTTTTATAATCATAAGTAGCTTGGGCTATTTTGACTAGAGGGGTGTGTGTGTATGTGTGTGTGTGTGTGTGTGTGGTTGGCAGGGAGAGAAGGAGGGAGGCAGGCAGCTGGTAGGGACTGTGGAGTGTGTCAGTTGGGAGAGGGAAATGAGATGATTAAGTTAGTAAGAATAGAAAACATGTAGGAAGGCGGATCTTGAAATTTCAGGGCTATTCATTAGTCATTAGTTGAAGATTTCACAGAGAAATGGTAGAAACCACCAGTAATTAAGAAATAGCATTATTGTTTAAAAAAAAAAAAACTCCCAAACCCTTTCCCTGGCATTCTGGTAGAATATAGTTTTGGTCTAACCCAGGTCCCCTCTCATTTCCTTTCACATCCCCTTGGTTCTAGCCACGCTAGACTGTCTGGGTTGTCTGTATATGTTCTGATGTTTGTTTTCCTCTGTGCTGTTCTTCTGGCCTCAGAATCCTAGTGTCCTTGTGCCTCCTTCTGCATATGTCTGGACTTTGCTTAGCTGATGAGATCCAGTTCAGATACCACCTTCTGTACAATGGCTTCCTTAATTCCTTTAATTTCTCTTAATTGCAATAAAGCTATTTGCAGAGGAATGAAAGATGCTCCCCTTTGCGCTGGGTACAGGATGCACTGAAACTTTCAGCATGGGGCGCGGTGGCTCATCCCTGTAATCCCAGCACTTTGGGAGGCCGAGGCAGGCGGATCACCTGAGGTCAGGAGTTCGGGACCAGCCTGACCAACGTGGCGAAACCCTGTCTCTACTAAAAATACAAAAATTAGCCAGGCATGGTGGTATATGCCTATAATTCCAGCTACTTGGGAGGCTGAGGAAGGAGAATCTATTGAACCCAGGAGACAGAGGTTGCAGTGAGCTGAGATCGCACCACTGCACTCCAGCCTGGGTGACATAGCGAGACTCCATCTCAAAACAACAACAACAGCAACAACAACAAAAACCCAAACTTTCAGCAGGAGAGTAGCTTGGTTCAGCCCAGCAACATCGGTTTGAAGATTATATCAAGTTTTCCAGTCAAATGTAACCAGTTTATGGATCTGTGTTTGCACGGGGTCTGAACCTCCCCTCCTCAGGTATAAGCTCTTGGAGGACAGCCTGCTGCTTAAGGTACAGGAGAATTCATCTTTGCTGGACATGGTAACGTATGCATAGAGATCTGGCAACAGAACTTAAGATATGTGGGAGAAATAATAGGCAAAAACTGGAAAGAGCACAAGTAAGAGAAGAGAAATCCGCAGAAGTGAGAAGTAACAGAATTGCTGGCTGAGGTTGGAGGCATTTAAGTGTGTGGGTGTTTGTGGGAGGCATGGTGGTCTCCTGTTCCTTGACCTCATTGGGCAAATATTACAGCACGAACATACAGGTAGGAATCAATTGCATCCCCACCTGGGCACCTTCATCGGCAGTTGGGGTACACCACTTGCTACAGTGTGATGGAATAAGGGACGATCCAAAGGCACTCAGTTCTCCCACCCATCCTGTGCACAAGGAAAAGACCTTTGAATTGTGTCTCCCCTGTTGTCCTTTGCATTGTGAAAGTGCATATTAGTTCTCCCATCCACTCTTTTCTCTTTAAGCTTTAGCATACGGTTGTTTGCCAAGAATGGAATCAGATAGAATATTTTCACCAGGAAGTGAAATTTAAAGTGCTTGAAAAAGATACAAGGATATCTGGAAGTTCCAGCCGGCGCCATTTTATATTTTAACCATGACAAGTAGCTGTATATCACGGAACTTTGGAAAACAGAGATTGTTCCATTTATTTTTCACAGATGAAAACCAGAGTGCTGTGTGGGGATCAGGAAGAGGGAAATCAACCAAATACCTTATTTTAGAGATTTTTTTTTTTTTCTGGGAAATTGGAAACAGCGCTTGTTTATAGCCAATGCAGCGTCCTTGAAACTCTCCTACTTACAGTTCTGGAGCTGTAGTTTCCTCCCTGAAGAATGGGTTAAGGCAGGCAGGGTAATATGCATAGATGGGAGTGAGAGTGGATGGCCTACAGGGTTGTTAACCTCTAAGTGCAACAGGAATATATGAAGGTACTTGGGCTGGTGGTCCTGTGCAGAACCAGCCAGTAGGTTCTAAGAGACTTGATAGCCGAGGGTCCCTGGGCCCTGTTCCACCTTTTTAAAATTTCTATGACTTAGTAGCGGCAGTACCATGCCCATCCCCCAGTGATGTTTGGGGTACAGCTGCACCCTTGGCCGTGCCTCTGCACTCACTCACGAGTGTCATCTGACATCTGGCTCTTGACCAGGATCTGAGGTTGCTTAAGCAGGATCCAGGTCAGGTTTTTTGTTCATGGAAGGTGGAATTTTGGACCTTTCCCCCAAAAAGTTGACATAACTTAAAGAGAAGGGAGGTATATTGAGACCAGCCTGGCCAACATGGTGAAACCCTGCCTCTACTAAAAATACAAAAATAGCTGGCATGGTGGTGAGTACCTGTGTAGTCCCACCTGCTCAGGAGGCTGAGGCAGAGAATCAGGGGGCGGAGGTTGCAGTGAGCCAAGGTCATGCCACTGCACTCCAGCCTGAGTGACAGAGTGAGACTCTGTCTCAACAACAACAACAACAACAACAAAGAGCAGAGTGGTATTATTTCCTCACTGGAACATTAAATGGTTCCTACTACCAAAGAGTTCCTGTTCTAATGGGGGTTTAATATAATAGTAACATTTTATTCACTGGGATTCACTCGGGGGAAAGTATTCAGGAACAAAGTGACAAAATTAAATATAGGACATATGAACATTGTCATTTTGGTTCTAGTTCTTACAAGGGCTTATGGTAGCAACCCAAATAGAAGTATTTGCTCTAACTAACAGATAAATTATTAGCACTTCAGTTGTTTACATATGAGTCAGAGCATCTAAAATTTGTTCCCATAAGTAGGTTGAGCCTCCTTCTCAGCCTGTTGTCATAGGGTCTAAAAATGGAAACGTGAGTCCAAACTCTTTCCAGATCATAAAAATAATTCTGAATTAGTAGAGCATAAATGAATGTGATTTTATTCGAGTGTCATTTTCAAGTTCCCCAGGCCAGGTTGAGACCTTTTAAGTCATCCTTAATTCCCTGTAGGGAGGATTAAGAAAATAGTAGCAGCTTTGCTTCTGGCCTTAGACAGTTTTCTAATGAGGTCAGAGCCTCTCACCCTGGGAGAAGCAGATTCACTTTGCCCCTTCAGCATTGGTTTTTGAGAATTGCTGTCTGAAGCTATTGCATAGACAAGGTCACTTTTTAAAAGGGTACATTTCTGAACCTGGAGAAGGAGTGGGTTCTGAATGACTGGCTCTTCTGATTAACAGAGCTGTATATCAAGCTGTGCTGAAAATACTCCTCAGATATATTAGGCCACATTTATGCATGAGTGAGCTCACTGTCGTGACATGGGAGTGAACCTTTGCTGATTCGAGATCCTGGGGTGCCTTCACTTTGGAACACTGATTCTAGATATTTAATAGCAGTTTTAAAATTAGGCTAAATGTAGTCTGACTGCAGGATTCATTCCAGTGGGAATTTTTTTGTTTGTTGGTTAGTTTTTTAAGCCTGAATATGAACCCAAACATGTTTCCCAAAATGTGAAATGAAGAGTGAAAACCTAACAATGGGATAAGAAAGATAATAGATAAGAGATTATAGTTCAAACTCGGCCTGCACTCAGGAAATGGAAGCAATTCCTCCCCCTCATCCTGCCCCCCTCCTCTTCCTCCACCTCCTCCTCCTCCCTTACCTCCTCCTCCACTACTTCCTCCTCCTCCACTACTTCCTCCTCCCCCTTCATCCTCCACCTCCACCTCCTCTTCCACCTCCTCCTCCCCCTCCTCCTCCCCCCCTCCCCCTCCTCCTCCTCTCCCTCCTCCTGCCCCCTCCTCCTCCTCCTCCACCTCCTACTGCCCCCCTCCTCTTCCACCTCCTCCTCCTCCACCTCCCCCTCCTTTACCTCCTCCTTCTCTTTCTGCACACCCCACCCCCGCCCCCACTAGGGACAGTTTACTCTTCCCCCTCCTTTCTTAGAATGCCAACAACTAGCCTGTTAGTTCCATTACTTACTTGCCTTGTGACTCATAACGTTTTCATCTTGGGTATTTTTCTTTCTTGGTCTTTGTAAAAATTCTAAGCATCATAGAGCATATCACCTGGAGAAAAGACCTACGTTCATTATTTAATGAAGGTAAAAAGTAAAGAATTGAGTCTGCATCCTAAGAAATTAGAAAAAGATCAACTAAGTAAACAAAAAAATATAAAAACTAGGAGGGAGGAATTAGGAGATGATAAGATTTAAAAGTTATGTAAATCCAATAGCTGGTTATTTGAAATGACCAATAAAGTAAACTCTCATTATCCTAACTCAGGAACAGAAAGAAATCATCCTAACTTAGAACTAGATAATAGGAATGAGAGGCCGGGCATGATGGCTCACACCTGTAATTCTAGCACTTTGGGAGGCCAAGGCGGGCGGATCACCTGAGGTCGGGAGTTTGAGACTAGCCTGACCAACATGGAGAAACCCATCCATACTAAAAAAATACAAATTTGGCCGGGCATGGTGGCTTATGCCTGTAATCTCAGCTACTCAGGAGGTGAGGCAGGAGAATTGCCCAAACCTGGGAGGCAGAGGTTGCGGTGAGCCAAGAGCACTCCATTGCACTCCAGCCTGGGCAAGAAAAGCGACACTTCGTCTCAACATCAACAACAACAAAAAAGAAAGAAATAGATAATAGGAATGAGAAAGGAGACACAGGAGATATCAATAGACTTTATAAGAAAACATTACATGCAGCCCTGTGGCAACACATTTGAAAATATAGGGCTGACTTCTTAGGAAAATACAAATTACCAAAGTTGATCCAAGAAGCATGGAAAAGTTGAATAGACCAATTACTATAGAAGAGATAGGAAAGATGATTAAAAGTTACCATTGAGAAAGGCACCAGGAATCCATGGATTTCCAGCTGAGGTTTTGTTTGTTTGTTTGTTTTTGGAGATGGAGTTTCGCTCTTGTTGCCCAGGCTGGAGTGCAACGGTGCGATCTCGGCTCACTGCAACCTCCGCCTCCCAGGTTCAGGTGCTTCTCCTGCCTCAGCCTCCCAAGTAGCTGGGATTACAGGCATGTGCCATCATGCCCGGCTAATTTTGTATTTTTAGTAGAGACGGGGTTTCTCCATGTTGGTCACACTGGCTTGAAAAAATAGAAAATTTGAGTGTTATTTTTACTCTTCCAGGACATACTAAAACATGGAAAGGTTCCCAGTTCATTTTATAAAACCATCAAAATTTTAATTTAAAAATCTGATGAATTAAAAAAATAAAAATAAAGATCAATATTATTTATGAAAGTAAATGTAGAAATTTAAAATAATTTATTAACAAATAGACTCTTGGGTGCATCAAAACACGAATGCACTATAATCAATAGTTATTTTCCAGTAACACCAGGGTGATTAACTGTTAGAAACTCATCACTATCATCAGTTGTTACACAATCATATTGAAGGAGAGGAATATATGAATAAGTCAGTAGAGGCTAGAAACCTATCTGAAAAAGTTTAGTAGCCATTCCTAATATAGTACAATCTGAGAAAGCGAACTAGGAATAAAAATAAATTACTTAAACATAAAGGCCATATATGTGTACACAAACACACACACACCACAGCAAATATTTCCTAAAAGACAAAACACTAAAGCCATTCAATTAAAATTAGGAATGAGAGAAGAATCTTACATTTTACAATTAGTATTTAATATTATCTTAGAGGTTCTTGTGAGTGGAGTAAGACAATGAAATGGTCATATGTCTAGAAATCGCAAGAGCATCTAGTAAAAAATCTAAAATCAACAGAAACAATTGTCAAGGAAGCTGGATAAAAGATAGGTCTCTAGAAATTATCTTTTCTGTGTTTTGAAGATAAGCACCTAGAAATGGAAGTTAAGTATTTCTTTCACAATAGCAGCAGATAACCTAGGAAGACATTGAACTAATACCTGTAACCTTCTTAGTGAAGAATGTGAAATATAATCTAGAGAAATTAAAACATGTAATGCCTGAATGTATCTTATTACAAAATTAATAAGTAAATTTCTTGTGATTCCGGTTAGAATTTCCAAAGTGGTGGGTTTTCTCTTTAATTGAATAAAATAATCCTGAAGTCTTTATAGAAGAATAAATACGTACTACCTGAGAGGAGCCAAGACAAATATGGAAAAGAAAACCGGTGAGGGCAGATTTGGCTTACAAGTAATGACAACATGCTAAGAATAAGAAGTCTTCGTGATCAAAGCAATGTGGTATTGATCCAGAATTACATAAATAGTTCAGTGGAACAGACTAGAGAATCTAGGACTGTGTCTCATTAAGAGAGTGAATGTATAACAAGATGATAGTTCAGTACTGTTGAGGTTGGTACTGGCATAACCAGTTCTTTATCTGGAGAGGGGGTTGGGGGAACAGCACAGACCTCTATCTAATATCATAATCAGTAATAAGTCCCGGAATCTTCAAACACTTAAATGTAAACAAGCAATTCAACTTTTACAAGAAAATATAAGAACCTATTTTGTATAATCTTGGAGTGAGGGAGAATGGTTAAGCAAAATTTGATACGCACAAGCTATAAAAAGAGACACACTTTGAACATATATTTTATTTTTATTTGTTTATTTTTTGAGACGGTCTCACTCTGTCAGGCTGGAGTGCAGTGGCGCGATCAGGGCTCACTGCAGCCTTGACCTCCCAGACTCAGGTGATTCTCCCACCTCAGCCTCCCATGTAGCTGAGACTACAGGCAAGACTCACTGTATTAGTTCTCATACTGCTAATAAAGACATACCTGAGACGGGGCAATTTAGAAAGGAAAGAGGTTTCACAGTTTCACATGGCTGGGGAGGACTCACGATCACGGGTGAAGGTGAATGAGGAGCAAAGTCCCATCTTACATGGTGGCAGGCAACAGAGTGTATGCAGGGGAACTCCCCTTTATAACCATCAGATCACATGAGATGTAATTCACTATCATGAGAACGGCATGGGAAAAACCTGCATCTGTGATTCAGTTACCTCCCACCGGGTCCCTCCCGTGACACGTGGGGATTATTACAGTTCAAGGTGAGATTTGCATGGGGACACAGAGCTAAACCATATCAGCTACCATGCCTAGCCAATTTTTTGTGGAGACGAGGTTTCACCATATTGCTCAGGCTGGTCTAGAACTCCTGTTCTCAAGTGATCTGCCCACCTCAGCCTCCCAAAGTGCTGGGATTAACAGGCATGATCCACCATACCTAGCCTGAATATATATTTTTAAACTTTTCTGTGGCAAAAGATACGTGATTAAGTCATAGATCAAGAAGGGATATTTGAAACAGACATGGGGTTACTATCTATAACAAAAAACTTACAAATTGTTAAGAAAACCACAGAGGAAAAATGGACAAAGAATGTTAATATAGAATACACAGATAACAAATGCAGACAGCTAGCTGGCAAACCTATGAAAAATAGTTCATTTTTGCTAGGGAAATGCAGATTAAACAATGAGACGTTACTTTAAACCCATCAGATTGGTAAAAATAGAGAAAAATAACACTTTTTGATAGCAAGGCTGTAATAGAAGTGGCAAGTGGTATTATTTCTCATAATACTGATGGAAATGTGAATTATGGGCAGTTGGGAAATTGAAAAGCAGATGGGCAATGTATATTAAAATAAAAAACTATCATACCTTTCTTCTAAGCAACCTTTGTCCTCGGTTATTTGTCTTTTAGAAATAAAAAATGTGTGCAAAGTCATATGTATAAGGATATTTATTGTACCATTATAGTGGCAAAATACTGAAAATATGAAAACCCATCAGTTGAAAAACGGCCAATTTATGGACTGTTTGTACCATGTAATATTATGAGAGAACTAGAGCTGTATGAGAGTTGGCTGTGGAGGAATTTCTATGAGAACTTGATGAATGAGAAGCAATGTGTAGAAAAATGTATAATATCCAGTTCTAAAAGACGCATTCCTCCTGTGCCCATATGTGTAAATGTGTGAGTGTGGAGAACAAGATGAAAATGCTCATTCTGTATGTTAAGCAGGGAGTGGGGTGGAGGTTAATGTGGAATGGTGGGAGAGTGGGGTGGCAGGGATTTCCAAGTCACTCACCAGTGATGAGTGTTAACCACATCCCCATTTTTTTCCTATGAAGGAAGCTGCAATGCTGTGGTTTGAGGTTAAACATGCTGGCTCCTTCTCTTAGGTCTTGATTTGGTTTTTGTTGTTGTTGTTTTTTTTTTAATTCTAGTCTGTTCTTGTTTTGCTGTGCTGATATCCTCTTAGATTTTACGAGCATATTAATTGTGAGTATTTAACATTCTTCTTTGGTTTATTCTGAGACCCCGTTTGCCTGCCCTTTGGCATCATTGGCAGTTTTTGGTGGTCTACTGGTCTTCCTGTTTGTGCCTCTCGTTTGCCCCTTTTTCACTGGAATGTGCCAGGTTGAAGCAATATGTAGGGCCCGGTGGGATGGGCCAGGAGGTGGCCTTTCAGATGTGGCTCCTGCATGGCCCTGCTTGCTCTCTTGAGCTGCCTGCACTTCAGTCTTAGGACCACATTCCTGCTTTGGCCTACATGAAGTGCAAGGTAGCAGTGGGAAAAGCAGAGAGGAAATGAAGCTTCCTGATAAATCACCTGATCGCTGCCCCAGGGTTAGTCACTCTAGCCCCCTTGGATCTCTTGACTCCATCTCTTGATTTGTTTCTTTTGAATTTCTGGCATCTGGAGAATACTTGTACAGCAGCAGTCCCCTGGTTTTGTTTTTCTTTCAACCCAAGCCCATCCCATATCTGTTCATGTGATGATACTGTGTCTTATTTTCCCAAGATTCTTATGACTGTGATATTTAGTCTGAATCAGAGAAAGAGAGAGATAGAAATGTACACTCAGAGGGCCACTTGGATGGAAACTTCTGTTGATCTCTCCAAGCCTTAGTGGGATCATCTGTAGAGCAGGGATAATAACAGCGCCTATCTGTTACTGTTAGGGTTACTGCAAAGATTAAAATAGGTGGTGCTCTTAAAAGACTTAGAACAGTGCTGTCATATAGTAAGGATTCCATAAACATTAGCTGCTCGGTTTGTGTGTGTGTGTGTGTGTGTGTGTGTGTGTGTGTGTTTTGTTGTTGTTGTTGTTTTAAACGGGATCATGCTGGAAATGATAGATTGCAACAGAGCTTTGGGGTTTTTTCTCTAATTAATAGATCTAGGATGTTTTCTGAGGTGTGTCATGTTTTTAAAACTCTGTGGTATTTCTGTTTCTTTCTTTCTTTCATTTTTTTTTTTTTTTTTGTTGTTGTTGTTGAGACAGAGTCTCACTGTGTCACCCAGGCTGGAGTGCAGCGATGCCATCTCAGCTCACTGCAACCTCTGCCTCCCAGGTTCAAGTGATTCTCCTTCCTCAGCCTCCCGAGTAGCTGGGACTATAGGCATGCACCACCATGCCTGGCTAATTTTTGTATTTTTAGTAGAGACAGGGTTTCACCATGTTGGCCAGGCTGGTCTTGAACTCCTGACCTCAAGTGATCCGTCTGCCTTGGCTTCCCAAAGTGCTAGGATTACAGGCGTGAGCCACCATACCCAGCCTGGTGTTTCGTGATATATCTATGTGTGAGGGTTTCTGTAGTTAAGTTCCCATAGTTGAATTCCTGGTTCAAAGGACAAGAACATTTACAATGTTCATAGACGTTGGGAAATTGCCTTCTGTAGTACTGCACTAGTTTCCACTGGCTGTAGTGGTTGATGAGAGTACCAGTTTTTCCCTAGTTCAATATTAACCCATTTTATCAGTCTTTTCATCTTCGACATTATGGAAGGTAAAAACATCTCATTTTATGTCTTCAGTCAGTGATGCCAAGTATCTCTTCGTGTATTTATATTTCCATTTTTATCCAGTGCCAACTCACATCCTTCTGTCAATTTTTCCTTTGACCTATTAATTTTTCATTGATAAGAATTCTTTGTAAAATGGGCAGTTTAACTCCCCATCTGTCATATGTTTTTTCTCATTTGATTTATTGTATATCTTGTATAGCACCTTTTAATTTTAACATTGTGTTTTTAAGTGTCTTTTCTTTGTTGACTTGGAAAGCTAACAACTACTTACAGCATAATTTCCTTCTGTTAAAAACAAGAAGGAATTTCCCCACTCTAATTGTGAAAATTATACATTTTTCTAAGTCTGAAAAAAAATAGAGGAAAAAACAGAAAAAACAACAGAAAGAACATCAGTCACTCTTAATATTTTGGCATTTTCCTTTTAGTTGTTTTTTAGGAGAGAATGTATATTTATACTTCGCATCATAACATAGATATAGTCTATTTTGGTGATTTATTCCAATATGTAATATATGTTTCTGAATGTACAATATCCTATTTATCATATCTGTTAAGTTTGTTTCCAGTTTTTCATTTAAGAGAGAAAGGTACTGGGAATATCTTTGTGCAAAACAAGAATTTTTTTTTTTTTTTAGTCAGATTCTGTTCCTATGATACCTCCCTGGAAATGGGATTCCTAAATTAAAGAATATTAGGATTTAAATACTTTTGGTATAGATTACCAATTTGCTTTCCTAACGTGTGGTACTAGTTTATGTTGCAATCAGCACAAAGACTCACTGTGCCATTTATCATCAGCAGAGAAGAGAGCAGCCCTGAAGATTTGGGGGAGGAGTGTTCGTAGAGAGGCACGTGAAAGTGAGTTTGAGAGGTTTGAGAAGTAGCCAGGTCAGTGGGGCTGGGGAAGGGAGAGAGTTCATGGGGGAGGGCTGGAGATGAAGGTAAAGGAGCCATGGTTCTTTAGGGCTGTGTGGGTGCTGGGGAATTTGCATTTCCTGCTTAAGGTTGTAGTAAGTCAGCCTGGAGAGTTGCAAGAAAGGAGTGGCTTGGTGTGATTTATTGTAGCAAGTGAGAGTGACCCAGAGGCCAGTTAGGAGGCTGTTGCAGAGGCCTGAGTGAGAGAGGATGGTTTAAACACCAAAATGGTAACATTCAGAATGGAGAGGAGGAGATGGTGGGAGATTAAATTTGGGGATGGAGCCCTTAGGATCTGTTGATTGACTGGATGTGTAAGAGAGAAAGGGAAGAGCAGAACTGAGGAAATGTCCTCTTGAACTGGCTGGGGGCCACTGAGATGGGACAGATGCGCTGGGGAGCAGTGCAGAGGTGGAATCACTGCTCCTTTTAGGTCTAAGGCATCCCTTAGATCTCCAAGTGGATGTGTGAAGATGGTGGTAGAGGAGAATGGAGCTCAAAAGAGGGGCCAGAGTCATTTCCATTTAGATGGTCTTTACAGCCTAAGGAACTGGCAGATTTCACTAAGGTTGAGGTCTTTCTTTCCTGTGAAAATGTGATCAGGATCCTAAGTAACAGCCCTAAAAATTAAACATTAGGAATACAAGGTTTCATAAATTAGGAACTGTCTGTAGCTGCCAGATTCTAAATGTTTTGAGGATACAAATCTTGGGGTCTTTTCAAATGCTTTGAGCAGAAGAGGTACATCGTATTGTGTTTACTGAATGGCATTTAAAGATGCAGGAGACCTTTCCCCCTTCTTGATGAAACAATTTGCCTTTCAGATGTTTTGTTATAGTGAGTTGATTGTAGGACCTTATGAAGCATGTAAACCACACATTTGTAAGGCATTGGAAGAAAAAGCTAACGCGAGTTAGGAGGGATTTAAGACCATGTGAGGAAATTCAAGCCTATGTTGTTATCACCAAACCTTGCCTGTGTTATGTAAAGATTTTTGCCTGTGTCATGTTATCTTCGTTGTGTTCAATTTATTCCTCCCCCTCCAAGTGTCCTAGTTTCTCCTCTACTGTAGCTGGTTTTGAACAAAATAGAGAAACTTGGGTCTCCTCTACCCTCAGCATCTGAATTCTTCTCATTTGGTTACTCACTGTGTTAAAATAAGTGATATAGTACATTCTTAGCAGTTTGTTTATTTTTAATTTTATTTTTTATGGGGCTAGGGTCTCGCTCTGTCACCCACGAGTGTGGTGCCATGGTGTGATTGCAGCTCACTGCAGCATTATAACTCTTGGGCTCAAGTGATCCTCCTGTCTTAGCCCCACGAGTAGCTGGTATTACAGGTCCATGCCACCATACCCAGCTAATCTTAGCAATTTTTAAATAACTTTTTTTTCCGACTGTAACAGATTTAGATATTGGAAAAGATAAAACATAAAGCATTGATCTACCTGTAGAGCCAAATAGCCACAGGGATATAAATTGGTTACCATTTAATTTTATTTCCATCTATATTTGGCTATATTTATATTTATGTATATGGAAATAGTTTATGAATTTGGAATCATACTATGATATTTTTTAGAATGATGCTTTTTAAACTATTTTATGGTAAGCATTTTAGTAAAGCTCGTAATGTTATTTTTAAAAACGTACTTTTCGAAGGCTGCAGAGTATGGATAAATTCATGATGACTTTTTAGAGGAAAATATCAAGATGATCTCACTAACAAATCCTGAGATTAAAAACAAAAGCAAACAAAATACAAAAACTGAACCATCTTTGGAATACTATGAAATTCAGATTTTATGTTCTTAATAAAATCCTGTTTTGAATGAAATCAGTCTTCATGCTTTTCTTATTCCTTTTGGCTATGTTGCCTACAGTTGAATTAACTGTTTTTATATACTTCCTTTGCTTTGCATTGAAACAAGCTGATCCATTGTGACCCTTTGTGGTATTTCATAAAACCACACCCTAAAAACTGCCCAGTCTTTTAAGTGTAGTCAACAGTATTGAGCAATTTTTTGGGTAATATTGTCGGAAGTGTTAGGTGCCAACCAACAATGGCTTATTGCTTACATTTAAGTGTAAGCAATATACAATTAAAGGAATGTCATGACTTTTTAACTTCATTTTGAAATTTGAGTTTAGAAAAAATTCCAAGGGAAATGAGCAAGAATGAAAGCATCCTCTCCTACTGCCAGACTTCTGGGAGACCCACCCCTGGTCTTCCCAGGTGTCTCTTCAGTGACCTTGTTGGTCGTTGAGGGCTGTGGAAAGTTCTAGGGAGGCTGCTCGTCCCTCCTCTCCTTTTGCTTATTGCATTCTGCCCAGATTATAAAACTGAAGTATCTGTCTTAAGACGCCAGCAGCTTTTTCTTCATCAAATCCAGACACATCGAATCCCCCACAACCAAGAATTACCCAGCCACAAAATGTCAGTAGTGCCCCGGTAAAAGAAAGCTGGTTTTAGACTTAGTCTCAGAACCTGGCCATCTTCCATGGATTATCCCGATATGTGCATCCTTGTCTCTTTTCACTATAGCCTGGTGATCATGGTGGCAGTTTTCATTTTGGGACACTGGTGAGGTTAGAATAGCTTCAGGCTTCCCTCAGTGAATAGTATTGTGAAGGCAGTGGTGGTAACATTGTGTTGGAGCTGGTGTGAGGGTTGAATCCACTCTGTAGCCTCTGTCCCTAGATCATGGCGCTGCTTTGATTGGGCCCTAATTTTCTCCTCTAGACAAAAGGAATTGAACTAAGACTTCCAGCATTCCCTCCAGGCTTAACATTTTTTCATTTGGTGCTGATGGTCACTGACTATTTTCCAGTTACATTTTAATGCAAGTTTGGCAGAAGCCGATTTCTCTGGGTTAGGGAAAATGACATAGGTGGCAGGGAGGTGGATGTACACCATTTGTTTGATCAGTTTGCCTAGAATGGAGGTGGCAGAATTGGAGTTGGAAAGATCAAATGTAGCCTTTTTTTCCCTTCCAGAATGAGGCTTTTCTATGCATTTTTTTGAGGCATGAGAACCTCATGGGACAAGGCAAAAGTGAGCATACTCAAGTGAAGTGTATGGTTATGGGGGAATGGTTATTAGAAATGTCAATTGTCTCAATTTTTTAGTATTAATTTTCAGAGGGAAACAGTGGTGTAATTAGTGTTGTGATTGTTTGCCAGGGCGGTCGTAACAAAGTAGCACAGACTGGGTGGCTCAACTACCACAAATTTGTTTTCTCAGGGCTCTGGATGTCCGGAGCCTGCGATGAAGCAGGATTGGCTTCTTCTGCGGCCTCTCTTCTTGACTTGCAGATGCTCCTCTGGGTCTTCCCAGGTCATTTGTGTACCTGTGTCCGTGTCCTAATCTCCTGTTCGTATAAGGGCACAGTCATATTGGATTGGGACCCACCTACTAACCTCATTTTAACTTAATTACCTCTTTAAATACCCTCTCTCTAAATACAGTCACCATCTGAAGTATTAAAGACTTCAACTTAGGAATTTTGGGCAAATACAATTAAGCCCATCACAATCAGGTAACATTTGGTAGGACGTGTAGATGCTTTTTATCTTTAAGGGAATAGGCAAATCGTTAAAAATAAATAAATAAAAACTTGTTCAACTTGTTTAGGTACATTTTCTTATAGTGTATTGTGGTTCTTATTTTTTTAACCTTCCAGCTAGTGTGTAAATTGGAAACATTGTAGCTTAATTTGATAGTTTTAGACATAATCAAAGATGATGGAAATCTTGTTCTTAAATTTAGTCTATTCAGCAACTTGTGTATCCTCAACTGCTGAAGACTGAAAACTTGAGATGTTCCTCTTGTTTTAAGAATTTGACTGAAAACGGGCTGGGCACGATGGCTCATGCCTGTAATCCCAGCACTTTGGGAGGCCGAGATGGGTGGATCACTTGAGGCCAGGAGTTCCAGACCAGCCTTGGCAACATGGCAAAACCCCAAAAATACAAAAATTAGTGGAGCGTGGTGGCTCACACCTGTGGTCCCAGCTATTCAGGAGGCTGAGGCACAAGAATTGCTTAAACCCCAGAGGCAGAGACTGTAGTGAGATCGTGCCACTGCACTCCAGCCTGGGTGACAGAGTGAGACCCTATCTCAAAAAAAAAAAGACTGAGAATGGTTGGCACTGTCCCCCTGTCTCCAGGAGGGTGAATGTTTCTAGCTGAACCCTGGTGCCCACTTGCTCCTCTAAGCCTTCAGCAGTCCTCCCAGCCTCAAGGGGTGATCCGTTCATCTTCCCCCCACCTCTGGAAATCCCAGCGTTTGAACGCTGGGGGGAACTGCAAGTCTAGTTTACAGGGTTTCTCAGCTGAGATGCCAGGAACACTTCGCGAGTGAGCATGCCACCACATTTGAGTGCATATAGAAAGTTAGCTGTTTGCTACAACTGGGGACACTTCCTATTAGAGCCGCATCTGCTGGGGTGGAGGGCTGCATGGGTTGGAGAGTAGGGTGTGACTTCTTCCAGCAAGAGGAAAGAGAAGTAGCATAGTGCCCATCGCAGGCAGAGAGCACATGTTTGACTTGCTCTTGGAATTTCTGTAGAGTAAGGGTGGTCAGGTTGCCAGACTACCCCTCAAACGAGGACATGGTGCTGCTGGGTCCCAGGGTAGAGCTCTGCTGGCACCTTCAAGGCCCTGATTTACACCTAAGGGCACACAACTGGGATCTGAAAACTGGGATGCACAGTACAGACTGCAGATTTACAGGGCGGGGCTGTCTCTCATCTGACTATTGATTCTTTTGGGGGCTGTAGTTTGTATCATAGTTATTTTTGTTCCTGTTTTTTTCCCCTCTTCAAGACAATAAGCTTTTGGAGGGCCAGGAAGTTGTGTTCCCATCTGCCGAGTGTGGGGCCTCGAGGGCCAGAACCTCAGAATGTAGAAGCTGAGTTAGTTTGTGGCAGGGTGAAGGGCTGACCTCTACTGTTGGAAATGCCAAAATCTCTGATCTGGCTTTAAATAAGCAAAACAGCCCCGCCAGACATAGAGTCATCCACAAAACCTCATGACCTCTGTTATTGCCCATCCTGTGTGGAAGCCCACTGAGAACTTCACTTGAAGATGCTGCAGGAACAACTGCAGGGAACCTGGAGATAAGGCCCCGGGTGATGATGTAAGCTAATTGCTGAGCTGGGTGGAGCTACTTAACCTTATGGTAGGAGGTGGAGCTTGACGCAACCCCCTTTTCCACCAACAAGCATTTCTTTCTACCTGTCATTGAAGTGAATCATCAGTATAAGTAGCGAGCTGGGCGCATTCCTTCTCAGTTGTGTTAAAACTTGCTGGTATTCCCCCGGTATCAGCAGAGGTGTGTACGGGCACTGCTTTAAAACTGGGAAGGAGGAAGACGAGGCCAGGGAGCCGGAGGGTCACCAAGGTAGATTTCCAGCAGCGCTAGTCCAGCTGAACACTTTCCAGCCTTGTTTTTCAGCAGCTTTGAGGAAAAGTATAGGTAAGAACAAAGACACCACTGTATGTTTGCTATATGAATGCATAACATCTGTTCTTGGTGTGAGTTTGATGTTGGTTTAATACTGTTTTTATGTCAGCGGCATAGTTCTAGCATGTACCAAGATTTTCAATTTTAAATGCTTTTTGGTGTTCACAGTTAGCTATAATTGGTCAATTTTACCCTCCTTATGCATAAAAAGAATGATAGGCAAAGAATGAGCCTTGAAAAGAATTGGGATCAGAATTCTGGTCCCCTGTTCTTTGCTTCTTAACTTTCTTGACTGTTTAGAAAAATGTACAGCTTTTCTTCCAAAAACCAAAGCAATAATACTTTTATTTTTGAAAATAATGGAAAACAGAGACCGCTGAAGTTCTATGAATGAGGTTTTCTGTTTTAGAAATCACAGGTTGAGGAGGAAAGAATTGTGTTTTCCTTCCTGTTCTGTTTCGAGTCTCAGTATTTCTGACTTAGAAACCTCCTGGAGAAGAGGGAGATACCAGCTCTCCTTTGTTTCAAGTAAAATACCATCTTAGGTCATAAAATAGTTTGCTTGGAGAATAATTCATGGCTTATATCTGAATTTTTGGTTGGTAGCAACAGAAATCTTTCTCTTCCTCGGTATGAGTAATTTGGCTTACATGATTTAGACTAAATTTTATTATATTTTTTGTTTGAGAAAACAAAAGTCAAAGCCCAGAACATATTCAACTGAGTTTTTCCCTCAGGTTTTCTATCATTTTCCCACCCTTCCTACTCATACATGTGAATATGCTGAATGATTAACATGTGATTTTTGTTTCTTTACTGTCTCATTTCATGGTGATTCATAAACTGTTAGTTAACTGGTTATAGTGTATCCATATGTTGGCAAAGCTTGAAATAAATTTGAGTGCAGGCCACACCTTCGTATTAATGAGCCGGGTTACTTTCAGTAAAGTATTTCTGATGTCATTAAGTGTTAAGATGGCCGGAATTCTAAAGACAATAAAAATGTATCAACAATATGAAATATCAAAGCCTACAGTCAAATCTGAGTTATTCTTTAGTACTTATTTCATAGCTATTCTTTAATGTTTATTCTTTAATACTTATTTCACATTGAAAAGTACTTTACACATGTTTGAATGAGATATTGCCAGTGAAAGAAACAAAAGGAAGCAAATAACTCTATAAGGGAAGTGGGATTTTAAAGTATGTTTGTGCTGGCCCCAGGCTGGTGAGTGAGTTTCATTAGCAATGACCAGGAAGAGAAAGAATGCCACAGTGGTGGGTGCTGACCTTTTTTTTTTTTTTTTAAACCTTTTTTAATGTCTGTAAGGAATACAAGGTGAACTTTAATTCTTGTGGGAATCTAGTAAGATGGAAGTCAAGAAGAGAGGAAGAAATGCTTTTTATTTAGTTAAGAGGAAGTAAACATCTGTATTAGTTACAGATGTTATGCCTTAACCTTTTTCATTCCTATTGTTTTTATGAAAATTTGCCTTTTTAAGTTAAATGAAGGTTTTCTGGAGTCCTGTATTGCAACTAAATGTTGATTTAAAACGACACATTTGGGACATTTTCTTGGCACTGTGGAATATAATGAAAAGATATAAAATGAAGGCAGGTATGAAATTATATGAATTCTGCTACTTGAGTGTAGAAGTTTTATTCCAAAGTGGTTTGTTTGGTGGATGTGGTGATGGTGGGGGGCTCTATGTACTTATTAAGGCAAGTGATGGGACAGGAGCTTTTGTGGTCTTGACGGTTCTGTTGGGATGGGAGGGTTGTTTGGGATTTTTATGTTTCATTCCAGGCAATGTTTATTTTTTCAGCCTGTACTTCTTAGGGTTTTACCAAGTCAGTTTTCATGTGAAGCCATTTTCATATCGTTTCTTTCACCTTGATGGAAATCTTTTCCTTCTTATGTGCTTTGAGTTAAATATGATGTAGTGTGCTAGTAACATAGACGGGGCTTTCCTTTCTACAGGTGGGCTTGAAGTGAGCCTGCCACTCGCTCACCTTGAATCACGGAGGTTTCAGAGGCCGTTGGCCTTCAGGGCAATGGCAGAAGCACATGTTCTCTGCTGTTTTCTGAGTCTATCTTGACTGCGTTCCCAGTGGCCCAGAATTCCCCAAGGGTCACTCGACACACCCTCGTCTACAGTAAATATTTGTGCTTCCTCTGTGCCTGGCCAGGTTTTCTCAGTACCCAGGAGCACAGGTGGGCAGTGGGATGTGGGCAGGCGGTACCCAGATTCCCTCCCACAGGGGCCACAGGGAGGACTTGGGCGCTTCCTGCCAAGAGCCCCCTGCCCTTCAGACTAAGTGGAAATAGAGATCCGGGAGTCCAGTGGACTCAGTGGAGTTCCGTAGAATACATGGAAAACGCACCGCTTTCAGTGATGTAAGCTGTCTTGTTCACTTCACGATTACTCATCTGGCCTGCAGCAGGCAAGAGGATCACATGCAATTATAAACAGCCTCCTCTGACTAAGGTCAGTGACTGGAAACCCTGTCACGTTATCAGAGGTCATTTGGTCATAGATTCTTGGGCAGAAGCCATTGAGAGTCCTGGGGGTGTGATCTTTGAGCCTTTGCCAGTGCTGGGGTTTGACTCCTTTTAGCTCAATTAACTGGGTCCAGGAGTTTATTTTGGCCGAGATCTGCCATGCTGAGTTGACAGGCTTGACACTGGAAGGAAGTCTCTAACTTCATTAGAGGAAATGGCGTGGCAGGCTTTAAGGCATTTTGATATACTCCACTTTTTCTCTCTTGCCCTGTTTTGTTGAGGTTTTCAGGGCCATAACTGTACCTGAGGTTAATCAGTGAGTGATCTATCTGAAAGGAATTTGTTCTCTTTGGGCACCGTCCTGTGTGGTATTATATTTGTATAACTATTTAGCTTAACTCATTCAAAAGGCTATTTAAGTCACTTGTCCTGTTCATTACTTGAAAACAAGTTGTCTTCTCTTTATTCTTTTAGTCAGTTACCAAATATTTCCTAAGTGTCTCTTGTGCTAGACATTGAGGGGCACTCCTTCTCCCTTTCACTTGTCTGTTTTTGTTGAGCTACATTTTTTCCTTAAGTCAGATTGTTCTTTTCCTGTTACTTTTGTTTTCACTTGATTTGTTTATTTATATTTAAATATGTACTTTAACAGTCTTGAAGCATTGGTCTGAATGAGGATGGTGATCAGATTGGGAAAATGCCCCTTAATTTTGGTTTAAAAAAATTTATTTTCTTTAAATTATTTGTTTATTGATAGGGGCCACCCACTCCAGGTGAGTGGTTTCTCTGTGTGTATGGCAGAGGAATGCTCTGTGTCTGGAAAAAAAAGTCACTTAGCTTGAAATATTATGAAAGCTGAAGAGTACAAATGTCAGAGAGAAAGGGGTATTGGGGGGGAAGAGAATGAGAAGACAAGACACAGTCAGGGCCCTGTCACCCGTGTGGAACTGCAGGTCCCTGGAGAGATGATGCATTTATCCCTTTTTAGAGATATTGCCATTAAAAGTTGATCTTGAGCATGACACAGAACTGAAAGCTTTGATGACAAAGCCAGCATCTCAGTTTAGCAATAACCAGGTTAGGGAAAAAACCCCAGAAACTCAACAGTGAGATTCAGCTCAGCAATGTGGGCGGGGAACCCACTGTCCCGCCTTGGGCAGGGAGCAGCCCCAGCCGCTTCATCTGCCTGATGCTGGGTTTTATCCGCTTCACAATTAAATTTCCTTTTTGTTATGCTTGCGCACATCTATATTTGGCTTTGCTTCTTATTTTTTAAGAAAGGGGAGAAGTGTGGGCAAGGTAAAATACAGCTTGCAAGCTCCCAAATGGCAAATGCACCAGTTAGAGTCTAAGTGGCCTCCCAACCTTAAGGTGAAATTCATTTATTCAGCAAATATGTACCAAGCCCATCAGGGACCACTGCTCGAGATACCAGTGCAAATAGAAGAGGCCAAGGGCACATTATTAGGTCCGGAGCCAGTGGCCTGCACAGCCATCTGTGACCACCTACCTCTCTGCTTGCAGGGAACTTCAGCCTGGTGGAGGAGACCCATAATAGCCAAGTCAACTGATAATAGAATTAGTAGTAGTGTTGAGGGACATAAAGAAATCAGGGTAAGGCCATCACAATTACATGGGTGGATGATCTTTTATAAAACAGCACAGTTTTGTTTTCTTCTGCCATGGTATCTCCTAACATTTTCCAGTGTGTCTACTTGCAGTTAATATGGAAGTTGCGGCTGACACTAGGTTAGTGGTTAAAAGAAAACAAGAAAACCAACCTTTAGAAATCTTTAGAAACATCATTATCATAGAAAGCTATAAACTCTTATGTATAGAAGGGTAAGTGGCCATTGATCTTGGAGCAGAATGAATGGATATTTCCTGGAAAAAAATATTTCCACTCATCAAAGATACTCAAGTCTCTTCTCATCTAATCAATATTGGAAACTAGGAATATCCACGCCTATGGAATATCCTCAGAGAGAATTAATTATTCTGCCCTCTAAGAGGTATAGTAGTTTAGACTTAGAAGTAAAGGCCTGAACTTGAGGCTGCACCATTGAAGGCAAAAGTGCCCTTTATCTCCCAGCTTTGTCATTTGCCAAATGCAATTGTGTTAAATTAAGTGACCTCCAATAGCAGAGCTCTATGTTTTCTCCCCTGACCCCCAAGTCAAAATTGATTATAGTAATCCATCAAACCAGGCCTGGCAAATGATGTTTTGCAACTAAAGGATAAATACTGAGGGGGAGGGACGAATGTGAACGCATATGCAGAGCAACACAGTCATGAGACCATTCTATTACTTCCTAAATTTCTTAAAGCTTTTCTGTCTTTTCTGAGCTTCTCAAGTGAGCAGGGGCATGAGTTCCTGTGTTGTGCCTGGGGACAGGGAAGGCTTTGGGACCTACTGTGGTCTTAAGTCTGAGCAGTGCTAATAGCCTCGGCTCACCAAGTGCTGGGCACTGTGCTAGAGGGTGTACAAACCTCTCATCTCATGAGGCCTCACTGCTACAGCTGACAGAGATGACATCCAGTTGTTTTTAGTTGCACATGGCAGAGCTAGAAAACAAACCAGGGTGTGTCAGACTCCAGAGCGCATGCCCTCTGTGATGCCGCTGTGTTACCCTAGATCAAATCAACCAAGCCATCCGTTAAAAAAAAAAACCTGATCTTTGTCAAATATGCAATTGTTATATTTTTGTTAGAGTCTGCCTCTCCAGTGAACGATATTAATTTCCTTCAAGTGGCTACTCACAGATATCACAAAATCAGAAAGCTGCCTACCCTGCAGCCTGTATCTGCCTCCACGTCCCCACATCAGTCCTCCTTGCTGTGCTTCTTGTCTCTTTAGTTTTTATCATCTTCTAACACTGTGAACTTTAGTAATTTATTCTGGATTGTTTGCTACCTGTCTCCCCTTGGTAAAATGTAGGCTCCGCAGAGGTAGAGCGTTTTGTCTGTTTTCTTCACTGGCATATCTCAGGTGCCTAAAACAACCATGCCAGACATGTAGTGGTGCCAGTGACAACTTGTTGAATGAAGAAATGGGAGAAAAAAGCAGACCCCGGAGACTTAGGAGGGTCTGTGTGAGGGAGTCTCCAGGCAGTCTTCCTGGGGGTGTCCTGAAGGACCTCCTGATCGTGATTTTGGTCAGTGTGGAGGCTGTGGTTTCTTCTGAGCTGTCAGTATTTGGAGGTGAGTTGTCTGCAGGTCACCTCATCCCACCTTTACACATTAGTAAAATGGAATTCGCTGGGTGATTCTTAGGACTGTGCGGTCAGTCGAATTACCAGACGTCCCTGCATGCTCTGTCTAAGGGCTGGAGTCTGCTTTCCTTGCTTCTCTTCTAGAAAGAGGTCTGTCCACAAGGGATTAGCCTCGCGAAGTTCCTACTGTTGTTCATTGACCCAGTGAGTGTTTTACCCACTGTGGGTTTTTCCTACCTAATTGCCCCTCTGGTTTTCAGTGTTCAACATGCTGCAGTTACGTGTTCTGCTGTGGTTTTACTTAGCTTAATCCTTTATTAATTGCCTCTTGTTCAAACTCCCTAAGAGCAGATTATCCTTCTCTTTCAGCTTCTGCTCCATTGCTGTTGAACTTTTTTTTGGTCGTGACATCAGAAAAATAACCAAGTGTGAGTCTGATAATAGCAAGTAAGGCTATTTTATTTCTATCCAATTTACCCCAAATTTGAGCAGTATTACACCTTAAAATAATAGAGCTGGCTCTTGCCCAGCATGTGAAAAGTGTATGCTTCACGATGGACAGATATTTTCCAGTATCTACTTACCATAAATCTCAAGATTTACCCTACCCCACTCCAGCCATTACCCCCATGTCCCATTTGCCTAACCTACCCTAGGGCCATCTCAGTGCCCTGTAAAGCAACCTTTGTTGCAGACCCACTGTGTGACTGGAATGTGATGCACACAAGTGACCAAGGCATGGCCCTGTTCGCAAGGAGCTTCCAGACCAATAGCAGAAATGGACACATAAGTAAACAACTGCGCTACTGATAGGCTTCTGCCAACAGGAGTGGAGCTTGAGGGCCAGGAAGCCTTCCCAGAGGCACTGGAGCTTGTTTTAACGTTACGTGCATGCCAGGTGGGGGGCAGGACATTTCTAGCAGAGGAGAAAGCATGCTGTGCTCTGAGAACTAAAAGTCATAGTCACTCCACTTGGTGACATGTATAAGGCACATGGAATAGGGCCAGAGCTGGGCAGACCGTGTATGCCACAATAGTTCGTTGTAGGTTACAAAGAACCAGTGCAGAGTGGGTGAGGCATAGGCTATTTGATTAATAATTTGGCTGCATTGACAAGATACGGAAAAGGCGAGGTTGGGACTTTCCGTGAATTTTCTCCTCAAGGTGCTTAATCAGTGAGGTTGGGATGGCCGGAGGGGGCCCTCATTTGCTTGCCTGGTGCTCAAGCCTGAGGTCCTGGCCTTTAATAGTCAGGGAGGTCTGTGTGGAGGCAGGGTGTGAGCCCCCTCCAAGGAAAGCTGCAGTGTGAAAAGAGGCCCAGGATGAGCGTTGGGGAGTATCCACATACAACTTGATATTCCTAAAGTCTCAGTTCTTTATGGGAAAGCCCATGCACTCTTCCACACTTGGAATTCTTTGCAAAGTGAGTGGTATTTGAGCTTCTTTAGAGTCTTGCTACTCCCACCAGCTGTACTGGCATCACCAGGGAGCTTGTTAGAAATGCAGATTCTCGAGGCGCGGCTCACAACTACCCAATCAGACTACATTTTAACCAGATCCCAGGCAATCCCTGTGCACGTGAAGTGCTAGAACACTGCTCTGCGGTAAAACGACTTTGCTAACCATGGAAGAGGGTGATTTTTTTCCCTTTTCCTTTGGTGTTTTTTATAGGACCTATTTACCTTTTAGAACTTTTTCAGAATTATGGACTGCAGAATATATACAGTGTCAATGTCATTAGCAATTCATTAGTGATATTTGGCTAGAATACATAGTTGTTTCCACACAAATGCCATTTCTTACATTGAGATGGCACATGTCTGGTTAGGACTTGGGCTCATTTGTAAGGAGCCACGCTGCAGGTAGGCATGCTCCCGGGACATTAGTTGCTCAGGTTTCAAACTGCTGCCCCAGCATAGCAGATGGCACGGTAACAAAGTCCCTGTGCACTCTCACATTGCCTGCGGTGATCTATCACACATTTTGTCCCCTAATAACCTAGCTGGGGGGGAGCTCATGTCTCTGTTTGTGCTAATGCTCGCTGTATCCCCAAGTGGCAGTACTTAATATAATTGTCATTGCTCTTTAATATTATCTCATTCCACGTCAGCTGCACAAAAATTTGAGGTTAATCACAATGAATGTTTTCTCAATCCTTGTTATTGAGAGCTGTTTAATAGTTTATTTTGTATGTGAAGATTCATATCTAGATTGAGGCTTATACAACTTCATTTAAAGACAGCTTTTTCGGCTGGGCGCGGTGGCTCATGCCTGTAAGCCCAACACTTTGGGAGGCCGAGGCGGGCGGATCGTGAGGTCAGGAGATCAAGACTATCCTGGCCAATATGGTGAAACCCCGTCTCTACTAAAAATACAAAAATTAGCTGGGCGTGGTGGCGGGCACCTGTAGTCCCAGCTACTCGGAGGCTGAGGCAAGAGAATCCCTTGAACCCAGGAGGCGGAGGTTGCAGTGAGCCGAGATCGTGCCACTGCATTCCAGCCTGGGCGACAGAGTGAGACTCTGTCTCAAAAAAACAAAACAAACAAACAAAAAAGGAAAGCTTTTTCAGGTTGGAAAAATATCAACAGCAGACATGAAAAAGCATGAAAAATGACGCTAAGAATGTAAGCAACTGGAAACAAAAATTATAATGGTGCATAGTGAGCTGAAGATCTATATTTAAATGTGAACTCCCCTTTCAGTTTATAAGTGATTACTAACAGCCTCATCAGGTTTCTGGAATTAAATGTTTTATTATTTCCTCCCAAAGTTAGTCCTCAAACATTAGTATTTCTTGTGTTCTTTTGATTTGAATATTTGTTTTTAACACACAAGGATATCAACTCTATAAGTCAGTTAATATGTTCATGCTTTTAGTTAATCGAAAGTGGCTTATGATTTCAGTTTTTGGTATCAGGTGATGTTGCGGAAGTGAGGTTCACTGTGAAGCTTCTTCTTTTTTTTTTTTTAATCATTTTGTTGTTTCTTTGAGTGTATGTGAGCTTATAACTCAAGACACTATGTGAAATGACCCTGTGTTTCCTACATTATAGAAAAGAGGAAAATGAAGCAAGTTCAAGAAAATTAGATTTATGTGGAAAATAAATTCTGCATCTAGTTATTCATTATCAGGTATGAGATTACAGGCATGAGCCACTGTGCCTGGTGACCTCATTTGAACTCGATTACCTCTGTGAAGACCCTGTTTCCGAAGAAGGTCAACATTCTGAGGTGCCATTGTCAGGTATGAGGTAAACACACTGAGAATACCACATTTTGGCAACTCAGACAAGACTATTTTCCAAACATGTAACCCTGGGAAGAAGGTAACCTATCATAGTGTGTGTTAAGAAGTCAAGCAACCAAGAAATGTTAATTGAAGGCCCGTTTTGTACAAGGTTGCATGGAAAAGACACACTAGCGTAAGACATGGACAGTGGCCCTGAGTGACGTGCAGCCGGTTTAGGCGAATTAAGATTTACATACTTGAAAAGGGACAAACAAGTCTGGACGTGGTGACTCATACCTGTAATTCCAACACTGTGGGAGGTGGAGGCAGGAGGATCCCTTGAGGCCAGGAGTTTGCAACCAGCCTGGGCAACATGGGAAAACCCCTGTCTCTACAAAAATTAAAAAAAAATTAGCCATGTGTGGCAGCATGCCCATAGTCCCAGCTACTCACAGGGGCTGAGGTGGGAGAATTGCTTGAGCCCAGGAGATCCAGGCTGCAGAGATTGTGCCACTGCAGCCTGGGTGGCAGAGCGAGACCCTATCTCAAAAAAAAAAAAAAAAAAAAAAAGAACAGAAAAGGAACAAACAACAGACACAAGATTCCATGGAAAAGGGAGTGGTCTAAGTATTCAGACTGTAGGAATTCAGAGAGTGGAGAGGCTGGTTATTATGGGGGTGCTTCATCCTGGGGAGTTGAGGGAAAGGAGGTGCTGGCTGCCTGGAGCCTGGAAGAATCAAAGATTTCCAAGGCCATGGGGGGAAAGCATGAAGGATGAGTGAATAGACACCAGGGCTGAGCACCCTGAAAACTGTGAAGATACTAGATTGACCTGTTTGGAAAACCAAACAGATGTGGCTGTTATTGACAAGTGGTTTTGTTTTTGTTTTGAGACAGAGTCTCACTTGGTCGCCCAGGCTGGAGTGCTGTGGCTTGATCTTGGCTCCCTGCAACCTCCGCCTCCAAGGTTCAAGCAGTTCTCCTACCCCAGCCTCCCAAGTAGCTGGGATTACAGGCATGAGCCACCATGCCCGGCTAATTTTTTGTATTTTTAGTAGAGATGGGGCTTCACCATGTTGGCCAGGCTGGTCTCGAACTCCTGAGCTCAGATGATCCACTTGCCTTGGCCTCCCAAGGTGCTGGGATCACAGGCATGAGCCACTGTGCCTGGCCAACAAGTGGTTTAAATTGGATTCTCCATTTCCCACCTAATAGAAAGTCGGAAGCATAGGGCAAAAGTAAAGGAAGGACCCTGTGTTCTGCTGGTTAAATATAACAGAGGTCTGACTCCATGGCTATTATAGGAGAGGTGCATTTTGTTCTATGTAAATTATCTTGATGTGTCCCCTGTGCCTTTACCCCATGATTATTTAGCACTTTTTTCTCCACGGTCACAGGGACAGGGAGAAACATACACCCATAAAACAGTGTCATCTAGAGGCAAAAACTTGTAATGCTCAAGCATGTGCTCTGACGAGGTGGGGCAGGGTGTGTAGGAACAACACTCTACTAATTATTACAGAGCTTGCTCTGCACTCTCTGTAGAAGTCCTTCAATATCCAGTCTAACACACACAGTAACTTAAGAGAGGATTTTAAAAAATCAAAATGCCCTCAGATTTGTATTGGATTTAACCAGGCTGAGATCCCTGAGATCCAAATATAATAATGTGTCCTTTTTGGATGAATCAGACACAAGCAAAAATCTCCAGTGTGTGTCCAGCTTTAGAGGTGTAGTAATGGATTCCACAGTTCACGCTGGTGGGCCAGCCAAGACTTTTAATGCTGATGTGGGCTTCATTCTTTCTATAAACTCCCTTTCTTCTTGATAGTGCATGGGCCCAGGGGTTCCAAACATGGGTACCTGCCGTAATTGATCTGTGTAACCGGAGAAAATACATATCCTATGGCACCCTTGTGTCGGGATATAGGGGGCATCACCGTAATGTGGCTCTTTTTCTGTTGATTATAGTTTTTTCTTTCTGTGATCACACAATTGTTTTATCCTCGCTTAAAAAATTTCAAGAAGTGCAGCACTCAGAATAACAGAAAAGTCAGGTGTCTGGTGGTTTGTTTGCACATTTAATAGACTTGAAGATAAACTCTCTAAACATTTATTTTGCAAGTTGTTTTTCTGAGAGTTGAGGGGAAACTTTTGCCCTTTGGTCTCCCTGAGGAATTCTAGGATTTCACAGGTAGGCGTGTGTTTTGGACTGCAGGCTGAACGTGGTTGGCAGGGTGGCATGAGGAGGGCACATATTTTAAGCGTTCTTAGGGCAGATCCACGATCCTTTACCTGCCATTTCTAAGTCCAAAAAGCCCTGAAAACCAAAGACATCTTTACAGGTTTGTAGGAAATTGATTTGAGAGCAAAACCTGATGTGAACAGATTTGAGAGTATTCTAGGCATCTTGTATAACACTTCATTCAATGCTTTGTGCCTCTTGCTGCACAGATATTAACATTCACTTATGGGCCCTGCCCCATCCCCTACTGGGGATGCTATGCAATAATCAGAATAATCAAACTAATAATAATAATAATAATTGGAATAATCACTGAGTCATTGTATTAGTCCGTTTTCACGCTGCTGGTAAAGACATACCCAAGACTGGGTCATTTATAAAGAAAAAGAGGTTTAATGTACTCAGTTCCACATGGCCGGGGAGGCCTCACAATCATGGTAGAAGGCAAAAGGCACATCTTACATGGCGGCAGACAAGAGAGAAATGAAAGCCAAGGGAAAGGGGAAACCCTGTATAAAATCATCAGATCTCTTGAGACTTATTCACTATCACAAGAATGGGGAAAACTGTCCCCATGATTCAATTATCTCCCACTGGGTCCCTCCCACAACATGTGGGAATTATAGGAGCTACAATTTAAGATGACGTTGGGTGGGAACACAGCCAAACCATATCAGTTATCTTTCTAAAGTGAGACAAAAAGTCAGAATTCTGTAACACATTTTTTCCCAAGCGTTTCCAAAAAAGGTTGGCTTTAATGGAGTATTAGTTTGCTAGGCCTGCCATGGCAAAGCACTATGAACTAGGTGGCTAACAACAGAAATTTATTTTCTATCAGTGTTGGAGTCCAGAAGTCTGAAATTAAGAGTCAGCAGGATTCTGCTGTCTCTGAGCCCTATGGGAATATCCTTTCTGGCTCTTCTAGTTTGTGATGTTTGCCAGCAGCGTTCTCTGTTCCTTGGCCTGTAAATGACAATCTTCTCGTTGTATCTTCACATCGTCTTTCCTCTGTGCCTGTGCCTGTTTGTTTCTGTGTCTACCTTTCCCCTGTTCATAAGAACACCAGTCATATTGGATCAGGGCTCAACCTAATGACCTCATTTCTTTCCTTTTCTTTCTTTCTTTCTTTCTTTCTTTCTTTCTTTCTTTCTTTCTTTCTTTCTTTCTTTTCTTTTCTTTTCTTTTCCTTCTTTTTTTCTTTCTTTCTCTCTCTCTTTCTTTCTTCTTTTTCTCTCTCTTTCTTTCTTTCCTTCCTTCCCCCCTTCCTGCCTCCCTCCCTCCCTTCCTTCCTTCTTTCTTTTAAAAATATTTTTCTTTTTTTTCCCTTCCTTCCTCCCTCCCTTCCCCCCTTCTCCTTCCCCTTCCTCCCTTTCCCCCTTCCTCCCTCCTTCTCTCCCTCCCTCCCTCCTTCCCTCCCTCAGGGTCTTGTTCTGTCATCTAGGCTGGAGTACAGTGGCATGATCATGGCTCACTGCAGCCTCAGCCTCCCTGGCCTAAGCAATCCTCTCACCTCAGCCTCTTGAGTAGCTGGGACCATGGGTGTTTGCCACCATGCCTGGCTAAGTTTAAAAAAAAAAATCGTAGAGATAGGGTCTCACTATGTTGCCCAGGCTGGCTTTGAACTCCTGAGCTCAAGGGATCCTCCTATCTCAGCCTCCCAAAGGGGCGAGATTACAGGCATGAGCCACTGTGCCTGGTGACCTCATTTGAACTTGATTACCTCTGTGAAAACCCTGTTTCCAGAGAAGGTCACATTCTGAAATACTGGGGGAACATAGTTCCCCATCTTATAAGATAGAGAATGGATCAAGACGAGCAGCTCCATTCTTTGTTTGTGTTTAGGCCAGTGCCAAGTTCAAGATCTTGCCTCAGGGCTTTCCTGGTACCCCTGGGAATGTGTATCAGCAGCAGCTGTGTCACTGAATGGGTGTCACCTGGGGGGCTGCCTGTTCAGACATTAGAAGCTGCCACATCCCCTGTTAACTCCATGTGAGGGAGGAATCCCTTCCCTCCGACAATTTCGCCTGTGAGAATCAAGTCAGATTTTGCAGTGAGAACTGAGCTGAGTGTAGAATAAGTTCCCGAGGTACTTCTGGCACCGTTGTTACTCCCCCACCGAGAAGCCCAGAATGTTCCCAGGTGTGTTCAAAGATTGTACGGGAAGGGCTTAGGACGGTGCTTGGCTCATATAAACACTCAGTGGCAAAGAGGTTGATGCTTAAGTACACAGGAAGTGTTTACCAGTACACATAATTGTATACCAGTGAGCTCCACCATTCAATTTACTGTCTGTCCGGTACATTGACCCTGTGAGGCCCACTCTCGGTGTGGCACTGCTAACAGGTTTTATTGTTGCTTACTCACTTGAAAAGTGTCTCCCTTGGCTAGACCTTTGTCCTGAGCACTGGACACACATAGGTGCTCAGCAGCGTCCCTCTCTGCAATGCAAAAGGGATACCGTGTGCCTCTGCATGTCAGCTCTAGTCCTGGCATCCCAGGAGCATACGGTGACAGTGGAAGTGAAGTGCAAGCCGAGTCCTGGGAACCAATGTCTGCCAGAATTAATTAAAAGTAAGCATCTTTTTTTCCCTGGTTAGTTAATCCAGGATGAATTCCCTGAGTAGTTCCTGCCGTTAGAACTTGCTCTCTTTTTTAGTTAGACACAGCTCGGTGTTGCCTCCACTTTGACATCACGTTCATAGTTCCTGTGCTTGGCCAGAACTGTTTTCAGTTGCAAGGACATGGGTGAGACTGGTCAAGGAATTGACTTTCAGGGTTCCAAGGGAATAATTAGTTCAGAAGTCTGTCCCCATACTTGTTTTCCAGTACAATCTGTGTCTCTGTGGGTGTTTTCTTTTAAGGCTGTGTGCTTTATAAACTGGAGATAGAAGGAGCCAGTTTATTATAAAAAGGATAAAATATAATTAAACAATTAAAAGTATGTCTTTATAGCCGGGTGTGGTGGCTCACATCTGTAGTCCCAGCTACTTGGGAGGCTGAGGCAGGAGAATCGCTTGAACCTGGGAGGCGGAGGCTGCAGTGAACTGAGATTGTGCCACTGCACTCCAGCCTGGGCGAGAGAGTGAGACTCCATCTCAAAAATAAATAAAAATTAAAATAAAAATAAACATAGGTCTTTGGCCAAGTGTAGTGGCTCCCGCCTGTAATCCCAGCAGTTTGGGAGGCAGAGGCAGGAAGATCGCCTGAAGCTAGGAGTTTGAGACCAACCTGGGCAACATAGTAACCTCGTCTCTACAAAAAATTTTTAAAAATTAGCCAGGCATGGTGGTGTGTGTCTGTAGTCCCAGCTACTCAGGAGGCTGAGGTGGGAGGATCGCTTGAGCCCAGGAGGTCGAGGCTGCAGTAAGCCATGATCTTGCCACTGCACTCCAGCCTGGGTGACAGAGCGAGACCCTGTCTCAAAAAAAAAAGAAAAAAAAATTTATGAAGTACTGGTTGGGTTAACGTTTCTTCTTCTAACCATGAGGGAAGTAGGTGGGCTGTTCTGGTGACTCAGTGTCCTCCCAGACTCACTCATGAGAGGAAGTATTCACGGACTGTGGTGATCTTGTCTTGGAATTTTTTTCTTTGCCTCCTGGCCTCACAGCCGTTCCTTTTCTTTTACACATCCATGAAAGGGAGACTCTAAGATCTTCCTTGCCAAGGTTGTTGTAGGGATGAGCGATGATGTCTCTGAGGCACCAGGCACGGTGCTGGCACCCAGAAGCTGCTTAATGATCCTGGAAGTTATGACCATTGCTCATAGTTTTTCCTACGTTTCAGATCATCCTTAAATAATTGTCATTGGCTGGGCGCTGCGGCTCACGCCTGTAATCCCAGCACTTTGGGAGGCCAAGGTGGTTGGATCACCTGAGGTAGGGAGTTCAAGACTAGCCCGACCAACATGGAGAAACCCCATCTCTACTAAAAATACAATATTAGCCCGGCATGGTGGCGCATGACTGTAATCCCAGCTACTCGGGAGGCTGAGGCAGGAGAATAGCTTGAACCTGGGAGGCAGAGGCTGCGGTGAGCCAAGATCATGCCATTGCACTCCAACCTGGACACCAATAGCGAAACTCCATCTCAAATAATAATAATAATAATAATAATAACAACAATAATTGTCATTTATCAGCTTCTTCGAGCTCTTAATATATATATCGCCACCTTTCACAAAGGCAAAATCTGCATTAGAAACACTGTTGTCTGATTTTGGTTCCTCTGGAGGAGGGGTAGACAGTCTTTTTGTGGGCAGGGTCTGTGTCTGTTTACCTCTATTCCCCGCCCCCCACTTTGGTGCCCACCACAGTCCCTTGTGTATGGTGGATGCTCCTTGACTATCTGAGGAATAAAATCAATTGTGAAACAGTTTCCAAAAAGGGAACAGTTTTTGTTTCCCCGTTTCCTTATAGCCTTGTGAGTTGCTATCTCTCTTGGCTCTATTATTAATAACATAAAAGAAAGAGCTGTTTTCTTAACCTCTGGTAGTTGCACATATATGGGGAAAAGGCATAAGAAAATATGCTGGCAATAAAGACAAGTCACAGATTGTCATTTTCTTTGGTGACTGAAGGGATATTTCAGTAATTTATAGGTGAAATCTTCCTTTTTGTGACTTCCACTGAACAACATTTTTACTACCAAAAGATAAGGGAACAAAATTTTTTAACAAACTATTTAAGCTTAAATATTTAAACATTTTTATTAGTCACCACATATTAATAAAATATTTTTATTAGCACATATTTTATTAGTCAACACATGTGTACACAGCTCTGATGATCTCTATGTAGATGCCTATATAAATAGCTATATAGATATCATCAGAGCTGTGTATATATGTGTTAGAGATAGATGCACATACAGTTGCCCCCTGTCTCCCAGGGGTCTCTGTGACCCAAGGTTGGGACCCTCAAGTGACTAGTTATGGATGGCAAGGGGGGCTGCAAGGCCAGAGTTGGTCCTGGCTAGAGATTTCAAGACTCGAGTGGCTGGGAAGGTTTTAGAATGCAGGTAAACCACTAGTTGCTCCAAACAACAAAACCATCATAATGGAAGCATCCAAAAGTGTGTTCTTCGGCAGCTTCAGAGACTATGCCTAAGCAATAAAGTTTTAATGTCTTTTTTAGCTGCTTAGGTGAAGAATGCATTTGACTGTAATCTAACCCATTAATCTCTTATTTTTGCTGGAAAATTGTACATATTTAAGAGTAGTGGCTCATTGCCAGTATTGGTGATGAGTGATATATTTTAAACTATGCTTCATACCTTTCAGTAAATCTTGGGCTGAAAGATATGTACGTTTTGTTTTCAAAATTTTTCAGTAGTCATCTATTTAGGTCAATTTTCTGGGCAAACAAAATATTTGAAGCCCTTTAGGGTTTGTTATTGAGATGTAGGCTGGCCATGAAATTACAGGGTTCAGTACCTCATTGAAGTGTATATGTAACTGTTATTAGTTTTTTGATAACTTTTTTATACTCATAAAAGTAGTACTTGCTTACAGTAGAAACTTAATAAAAACCATAAATGGAAAAATAAACCATTCGTAAACATCATATAGAGAGAATGACTATTAACATTTTAGCCTAACATGATTTTAGGGGTTTATAATATTCTAGTATATGATTGTACCATAATTTATTTAATTGCTTCCCAATTATTGGACTGGAAGTTTGCTTCTAATTTTTTCTTATTATATATGATGCTGTAATGAGTACCTTTTACCAGTAAATATTTACCTGCCTCTCTGATTACTTCTTTGGGATTAATCCTTAGAAATAAATTTGATGAATCAAAGGGCATCAACCCTTTGAATGCTTCTGATACTTCTGCCATGTTGTTTCCCAGAAAAGATATAATAATTATTCCTTCCAGTAGTAGAGTATTAAATGTCTGCCTCTCTTTAGAAAGTATTACCTTTTTTCAATCTTTGACAATTTGTTAGATAAAAACTTCAGTTTCAATATTATTGCATGTATTCATGGATATTTTTCTTCTCACACATTCTAGATTTTTTCTATATTGTTTATAAATGTTTTATAAGTGTTATTACTTTATTGAGGATAGAAATTATTATGTAACACTTGATGGTAACAGTAAAAGTGGAAAAGAATGAGGAAACCTTCAACAAAACAAGTTGTCATTAACAAAACGGGTTTTGCAATGCAACTTTCTGTGGGTTAGCTAAATCTTTAGTGTGTCAGGTAGTCGAAAGAAATTTGCTGTATAGTGCTGTGAAATATGCTGCATCCATGAGCCCTCTGCTCTTTGCCCATAGGGAGCAAAGACACAATCTTTTTGCAAGCTGTCCCAGTGCCATATTGACCATCTTCCTTTTACAGCAAAAAGTTATTGCTTCCTTTGGTTAAGGTTGGGACACCCCTCTGGAGGCACACTTGAAAAATGAAGACCTTTCTCGTTGTTCTTCTGTTATCCAAGTATCTTGGAAGAACACCTCTATAGCAGGTAGACAAGGCAGGGTGTCATTGCAATCTGGCTGCAGACTGAATGTAATCCCCCTTGACATTTTGCCCCTTGGAGGCAACTCCTGCCCTCCCCTCTCCCCTTACGACCCTGCCCCCTTAAAATATGTGGAGCTCAGCAAAGACTATTTATTCTGATAAAAATGAGCAAATAATAGGTGTGAAAGAACATGGAACACTTCAGTGAATCAAATGGAGAGGATTAAGCATTACCCCAATAATGATTGGTCAGGACGACTGTCCCTGTGGAGTGTGTCCCAGAAGGGTTGAGCAATGGAGCAAACCCAGAAAATCTCATTCTCAACTCTCCCTGACAGATGACCTCGTCTGCGCTGTCTTTTGCTTCATGGTGATGAAGGTGGAACAAGACCCTTGAATAAGATTTCCATCTCTGAATTCTTTAAACCCATTTGAGATCAGTGCAGGCCTGCAGTCTCTCTATTAGAACTGGAGCAGAGGCCCAGAAGAGAGAACTGAATTTTCAGCACTGGATTCTATGTTGAGAATGAAAGAGACAATAATTGAAAAGCTTTTCTCTTGGAAATTTTGCAAAATCCGAGTGGATTTTTGACCAGGATTTCTTGGTGACCTCTCCTGAGAGAGCAGGTGCCTGAGGATTTCCTGCTGAGTATCTTGGCATCTGTCAGACTCCTTATGACTTCATTTTAGTTCAGGGAGTCTGTTTCCTAGCCATTGATTTCATGCACAATTCCTGGCATGTCTCATATCTCTAAGGTGATGTCACCCTTGTATTTTTTTTTCAGATGTAATCTTTTATGTGACAGTGAGGTGTCTTACTTGTGAGTGAACAGCTAGAACCTCCCAAGTGGTTTTTCTTTTGGATTTTGTTTACTCAGTGAAAAATACTGAGGAACCTGAGATCCTTCAGGGTGCATTTTGGTGTCTGCCCAACCTTGACGTGGATTTGGAGGCCAGGCTCAATGCTCGAACTTCTTGTTGGAGTGGCACTAAATCATTAGGATCCCTGAGGACAGACAGTTCAGGCCATCATTATTTGGTAGGCCCTTGCACACTTACACACAAATGCATCATTATGAACATGGAGCAGAAGATTCTAGGGCCCCGTGTGTAATGGCACAATTTGTCAAGAGGCCTGAGACCTGGAGTTGGCATGGATTCCCTCTCCTCCTGACCCACCTACCTGCTACATTCAGTTGGCCACCCTGTTCTTTTGAGTCCACCTTTGGATGAGTAGTCAGTCCTTTCTGATTTTTGCCACCTCTGCATTCAGAGCTTTCTTATTCTTTGGCGCGGAGGCCTTCCGTTGGGTCCCACTGCCTGCTGTCTTATCTCCTTCTAATGAATATGATCATGATTTTTCTGTATTTAGACAACTCCACGATGAGGAGGATGATGGCGGCAGCTAACATTTATGTATGTATGTATGTATTTAGAGACAGATTCTCTGTCACCCAGGTGCAGTGGTGCAATCTTGGCTCACTGCAACCTCCCCCTCCTGGATTCAAGTGATTCTCATGCCTCAGCTCCCCGAGTAGCTGGGACTACAGATGCACACCACCACACCCAGCTAATTTTTGTATTTTTAGTAGAGACGAGATTTTACCATGTTGTCCAGGCTGGTCCGGAATTCCTGACCTCAAGTGATCTGCCCACCCCGGCCTTCCAAAGTGCTGAGATTACAGGCGCCTGCCTCCACACCCAGCCAGCAGCTAACATTTATTAAGTGCTCACTATACTCCTGCCAAGCACTATTATAATTTGTCTTCTAACAGGCTTTTTATAAGGGAAGTGCTACTATTATACCCATTACATAGATGGTAAAACTGAGGCACAGAGAGGCTATGTAAGTTTCCCAAAGTCATGTACTAATTGATGAAGACCCAGGGTTTGAGCTCTGCAGGAATGGCCGACTCCTTGTGGTTTGAGCCTGGGCTCCCTCTCCATCTGTCTTTTCTCCCTGAGCCCTCCTGACTGCAGCCATGCCAGACTTTTTAATGTTCTGAACCCCAGCTCCAGCCTATCACTGGAGCTCTGCCTGTGATCTTTCCACCTCATGCCTCCCGGTTCTATGTGTGCCTTCAGACTCCATCTGGCAGTGGTATCTGGATGGACCAGTGCATAGAAATCACATGAGACACTCAATAAATGTAGACTCCTAGTGATTCTGACTAGCAGGTCTGGGGTGGGGCCAGGTACCCAGATTTGCACGGGAAGTCAGGGACCACTGCTGCTGACTGCTTTTTTCCTGGGTGCTTGGCACACTCTGTCACAATCATGTTTTCATTTCTCTATGTTCCATTTCAACTGGATAGGGACAGTGTCTTTTGTTTCTGGAACCTGTCTCTTTTCTTGGCATATAGTAGGCACTCAGGAAATAGAAGGTTGCTTGAATCCTAGTACCAGTTTACTATCTCCTTGGAAAGACTGAAAGGTAGAATGTGATGTCTAAGCAGCTTCACTAAGCAGAGAAAACAAAAAGTTTGCAAAATAGAATTTGCCTTTTAATCTACATGTTCTTGCGTAGCATTGAGCTTCCTAGAGAGTCATATTCATGCTAGCCCTGAGTTGTATCAGCAGCAGCCACTAGAACGGTAACTTGATGCCAAGAGTGAATTCTGATGAGCTTCATTGTGAGTAAGAGTCCCAGTTTGATCATCTCTACCCAGATCCCGTGGGACCTCCACACTGTATGAATAATGAGGAGGCGTGGAATACGTAGCATGCTGCAGTTGGCCAGCACCCAGTGTGTACTGTGAGGTAATCAGTGTCAAATCAGTCATTGTAGCAGGAGTTGGGAGTCAAAAGGAGCAACAGAGAACCTCACACGTCTCCTAAGAGAGGAAGCAAAGAACAGTTACCTTGGCTGTCATTTATGGGGCATTTGTATTGTATGTTTGGAATGGTGCTGGGTACTAGTATTAATACATGATTTTCTCTGGTCTTTGCAAAAACTGCCTGAGTTAGGAATTGTCATTCCCATTTCATTCATGAGCAGGCTGAAGTTAAGAGTGGTTAAGTACCAGCTGAAAGGGAGGAGGAGCCTGAGAGCAATCTGGGCACCCGTTCTCCCCCTCTTCTTATTTATGAATGAATGAATGAGACAGGGTCTCACTCTGTCCGGGTCTCACTCTGTCGCCCATCCTGGAGTGCAGTGGCACAATCTCGGTTCGCTGCAGCCTCCACCTCCCAGGCTCAAGCAGTCCTCCCACCTCAACCTCTGTGGTGGCTGTGACTACAGGTGCATGCCACCACACGCAGCTACATTTTTTTTGTATTTTTTTGTAGAGATGGGGTTTCGCCATGTTGCCCAGGCTGGTCTTGAACCCCCGGGCTCAAGCGATCTGCCTGCCTCAGCCTCCCAAATGGTTGGGACTACAGGCGTGAGCCACTGCGCCTAACCCTCTCCTCCCCTCGAGCTTACATCCTACTGTCCTGTAGCCAGCTCCAAGATGTTGGCCTTTGGTTCTCTCTTCAGGCTGAACTCTCTTTCAGGGAGTTTCCTAATCGATCTTCCATAGAGTTGATCATACCTTAGTACCTACCTGGATGAGCACTCAAGATGTTACATATTCCCACCTGACTTCTTTATTACTGCTGGAAGATATGGTGTCCCACACCTAAGTATCCCACCCACAGTCCCCAGCTGCATGTGTCGATTATTGTGAGCTATTCAAGGGATACAGACTGAGGTAAATGAACCACCAGTGGAAGAATGTGGATGTTCTATTACAGGAAATGCTTAGCTCTTTATTGCAGTTATATAATAGCCGGCAATCATGATAGCTGAGGGGCATAAAAATGAGAGCAACAGAGTTTATGGTATTCTTTATAACTGTGGATTCTGTATGTGCGTGTGTGTGCACGTGTGTTCTGCATGCATCTCCACGGCACATTATCTGGAGGTAACATGATCATCAGGCCTTGAGCTCTTTTATAAGCAATAGATTGTGGCTGGAAATTGAAAATTTAGTTTCTGTAGCTAGAAAATACTCTTTTCAAATGCCATCTAGAACAGTAGTTCTCTGAGTGTGGTTCCTGGATCAGGAGCCTTGGTATCACTGGGAATGTGTTAGGAATGCAGATTCTTGGGTTCTACCCCGGATTGAATTCAGATTTGGGAGCGGGGCCCAGTTATCTGTGTTTTAATCACCCCCTCCCCCAGGTGAATCTGATATGCTAAAGCCTGAGCCTCACTCCCCTGGAAAGTGACGCCTGATTCATCTGCCAGCCCATGGGCACCCATTAGGAAGGTGCTTATGGGAGCTTTGACCTGGGCTAGGTGCCGGCTCTTGATCCATCTTTTTCTAAGGCTGAGGGTGTCCATAGAAGGAGAAGTAGGTGCATCCGCTTAGATGTTATTTAACCAAATAAAGGTTTACAGCTTACAGAAAAGAGGCAAGATTAACTAATACCTTCCAAACCATAATGTAAAAAAAAAATAAAAAATATTTACTCATAATGGAGTATAACTGAACAAATCATGTTGCTAATTTTTTTAGGATATGTTTTGTAGCTTCCATTCAGATACATCTTATGGGTAATAAATACACACGTGAACACACATATGTGTACTAACAATATTTTTCAGACTTTTGATTTTTTAGATATTGAGTATAGCCTTGTTACTACCAAACTTTTATCATACTTCCTTGTGAAAGGATTTCATGGCATATTTATTATTTGAAATATCAAATAGAAATCAGTACAGTCTCAGCATTTTAAGATACTTGATGTAATCTTTGGAAATATCTTAGACATTGCAAAATAAGGGTTAATAGTCATAGTATAGCCACTAACGGGCAGTTCTGAAATTACATAAAGTTAATCTGATGAACTGATAGCAATCAGTTTTTGGCTATACATAACTAGATAAGTGAGAATTTAGAGATTGAATACATGAGAGCCCTTTTTATGATTTTCAGGATCTCAAGTATGAAGCAAAATAAATTCTTCTATACCCTAAATTCTTGCAAAGTGATATTTTGATTAGATTTGAGCTACCCCAGGGCTAGCAATACTTGAAAGTGTGACTAGACTTAACCTCTTAGTAGATAGTCCGCAGTAATCCTTTGAAATATACATCTTGCTAAAAGTTCCTTTCCCAAGGAAATAATGATTAAAGATAATGTGATGTGTACAAGGAATTCTGGGACTTGTAGTCGAGAAACCTGAACTTTAATCTAGACTACTCAAATTTATAACTTTAGGCAAATCTCTCTTGACTTTCTAGGCTTTAGTTTTCTAGGGTTTTGTTTTGATTTGTTTTTTTATGTTTTTGTTTTTGTCTTTTTTTTGGGGGGAGGGTGTTGAGACAGAGTCTTGCTCTGTAGCCCAGGCTGGAGTGCAGTAGTGTGATCTTGGCTCACCGCAACCTCTGTCTCTCAGGTTCAAGCGATTCTTCTGCCTCAGCCTCCTGAGTAGCTGGGATTACAGGCACCTGCCACCATGCCCAGCTGATTTTTGTATTTTTAGTAGAGACAGGGTTTCACCAGGTTGGCCAGGCTGGTCTTGAACTCCTGACCTCAGGTGATCCACCTGCCTCTGCCTCTGAAAGTGCTGGGATTACAGGTGTGAGCCACCTCGCCCAGCCTTGATTTGGTTTTTAATCTGTAAAATGGTAGGTGTTGGGTCACATGAACAATGGCTCTTTTACCTCCACTAATTACCTAGACGCTAGAAATAAGAATATGGATAAGACCTAAACCAAATTTTCTAGCTAAATTTTGTAAAGTCTGAACAAAATCTGTGTGCGTTTTAATCTTTCTTGTAATCTTTTCAGACTCTGTCTTTAAAATTATATATATTTTTAGCTTCTAAGTAAACATTATTGGCACTGGTTTTGATAGGAACTTTACTCCAAGTGTATTGACTTAGTAGATATGTTAAAAAGGTTATTGCTTAGTTTGTGGAAATAATACAAGCTGAGACTTTAACTGATATTTGTATTTTCATTTAGGTTCCACTGTTTTCTCTTTTGAATGAAAAGTATAATCCTATTAAATCTAAAATATTTTCTTACAGTGATCCGTATGTGAAACTTTCATTGTACGTAGCGGATGAGAATAGAGAACTTGCTTTGGTCCAGACAAAAACAATTAAAAAGGTAGGTGTCGATCTTTAACCAAATGTCATTTAAGTCATAATTTAATCCAATTATGCACAGTCATGTGCTGCTTAACACCTTTTTGGTCAAGGATGGACTACTTACACAGTGATAGTCCCGTGAGATTATAATGGAGCTGCCATATACAAGTGCATCACTTTTTCTCTTTTTTTTTTTTTTTTTTTTTTTTGAGATGGAGTCTCACTCTGTCGCCCAGGCTGGAGTGCAATGGCATGTTCTCAGCTCACTGCACCCTCCGCCTCCTGGGTTCAAGTGATTCTCCTGCCTCAGCCTCCTGAATAGCAGGGATTACAGGCACCTGTCACCATGCCTGGCTATTTTTTTTTTTTTTTTTTTTTTTGTATTTTTAGTAGAGACAGGGTTTCACCATGTTGGCCAGACTGGCCTTGAACTCCTGACCTCAGGTGATCCACCTGTCGTGGACTCCCAAAGTGCTGGGATTACAGGTGTGAGCCACCGTGCCCAGCCCACTTTTTGTCTTATATACTGTATTTTCATTTTAAGTGTCTTTCAGTATTAAATCTAGAAGTTTTCCAAGACTTTTCAGTACTAACCCAAGATAGTGATTCAGGTTTTTACTTAAATGCCTACAAAAACAGTATCCTGAAAATGTCATAAGTTGTAACATTTTTTCTTGCACAGAATACAGCAAAAACAAGGATTTGTTTTTGTCTTTGTATGTTTCACAAAGAAACTTAAAGTAATTTAAAATACATTTAATGAAATGGAGCTGTTTGTGGAATTGGTAGGCACACCAGGAATAGTTTAACTTGAAACAACTATTTCTAAAGGAAGCAAAATACTTGGTTAGCTACATGGAAATAGAGAAAATATATTAATAATAAAGCTATACATGTATGTATATATCTTATTTTCCTAATTTTTATGTACATGATTTCATTAAAAATTTGTTTCCATAAGTATGTCTTTTAGTTATTTATTTATTTAGTTTGAGATGGAGTGTCACTCTGTCCACCCAAGCTGGAGTGCAGTGGCATAATCTCAGCTCACCGCAACCTTTGCCTCCTGGGTTCAAGTGATTCTCCTGCCTCAGCTTCCTGAGTAGCTGAGATTACAAGTGTGCACCACTATGCCCAGCTAATTATTGTATTTTTAGTAGACGTGGGATTTTGCCATGTTGACCAGGCTGGTCTGGAACTGCTGACCTCAGGTGATCCACCCGCCTTAGCCTCCCAAAGTGCTGGGAATACAGATGTGAGCCACTGTGCCTAGCCAATAAGTATGTCTTAATTTGCCTATCTCCATGTATTTATAGACATATGTAATATATATATATGTAAATATTTTTTACCCTATGTTTGGAGGCTTTATTGAAGATGCATGTTCTCTATTAAAAATACTTGGCTGCATGTGGTGGCTCATGGCTGTAATTCTAGCACTTTGGAGGCCGAGGCTGGCAGATCAATTGAGCCCGGGAGATTGAGGTTGCAGTGAGCCATAATGATGCCACTGCACTCCAGCCTGGGTGACAGAATGAGAACCTGTCTCAAAAAAAACCCAAAAAACAAAACAAACCCCTTTCATCTGTGCTTTAGTATCATTTATGGGTTACTATGATTTTTTTCCTTACCTCCTTTAGAGGCGGGTGCTTAGATAGTCTAACACTTTGCTGAACATTTTCTGGACAGCATGAGTGCTTTAAAAAATTGTAACTGTCTTGCTGCCATGCAGGCACCCAGGATGCAGCCAGGTCCTTTTGTGTAAGGAACCGTAACTGCAGCGTGTCCTCCACTTGGCATTGGGACTGGCATTAAAAATCTGTTTTGCAAACAGGAGCCAGTCTTTTGATTAGCAGGGAGGATGCCTGCGAGGGACGGAGGCCATTGTTCCCTGTGTTAGGCGTTGTTGCTGGTTCAGTTTCTAGGCGAGTGGGGGCTGTCTAGAAGGCTCACCAGGAAGGCAGCTGGGAAACTTGGTTGCCTGCTGGATGTGGAGCCAGGACCAAAGCCGGCGACTGGGGCTATTGCAATGGATTTCCTTCCAAAGGGAGGTCCTCCTTCTCCCTCCCTTTCCACGGTCGAGGGAGTAGCTCTGTAGCTGGGTTTGCCCTCCTTCTCCTGCTGCCCGCCTCCTGGTTCGTATGCCTCTGCTGCGTTCGGGTGCGAGAACTGCCGTCATCCTCCTCTCCTTGCCGTGTTGTGACTGGTTCTTCGTTCGTTTTGTGCTCTCCTGTCTTGTTGCTTTCCTCGCCTGTCATTTCCCATGTGCATTTCCGTGAAGCTGCCCTCCGGGACTGCAGCCAGAGGCAGGCCAGGCCTGCTGCTCCACTCCCCTCCCCTCGTTCATTACCATCCTTGGCTTCATTCACATGGGAGAAAAGTATGAACCCCATTATTTAGGATTGAATTCACTGTGGAGTTGTGGGTGGGGAAAGTGCTGAATTTTTGAAAACGCCGGTTCAGTGTTGTGTGAGCTCTGTGTTTCCTATTTTTATGTTGCACTCTGTTGATTTTTTTCATCTCCCTGAACTGATCTATTAAAGGAAATAGATTGATAAATATCATTTTGACTAAAAATATCTATCGCTGTTGGTGAAGTGATGGTTTTTTTTTACATACAATTTTTAAGAGCTGTCTTTAAGAGGCTTATGCATGTGCAGATGCATGAACACACATGTACAGTCTTCCTTCCTAGAACATGCTTCCTCTTAGTTTTGGGGGATATCTGGCAGTCCTTTCTTCCATGCTGAGGACAAAGGTATCCTTGCCATCTCCTTGTGAGATGTACATTTAAGTAGACTGATAGAAAGATGAACAGATGGATGAATGGAGAGGAAGACTGAAGGATAAGTAGACAAGTATTTTTTAACCTGGTTATTTTTGGAGAAAAAAATAATTCACTTTTGGCTTACATTTGGTCTTTTTTTTTCTTGTTATAAAATCTGATCCTCAGTATAGCTCTCTATAAAATGTTAAGATTTCAATATTTATATAAACAATGAACACATTCAACTTTCCCCCACCTGCTTCGTTACTCTGCAAAACAGATTTGTAGCAGGGAGAGGGAAGTCAACAAAGTTCATTTCCTTCTTGGTAGAATAATCATATCAATGCTAATTTCTTGAAGAAATTTTTTATATTTTCACGATGACTCTTTCCAGGCCTTTGATGTTTTTCCTTCTGGTGATAGAAGCAGTTTAAGGTTTCATACCTATGAAGCATCTGTTTCATAAATACATTCCCTCCCCCTCCAGTTTGGTTTGTACGCTAGTCTCAAATAATCGACTAAATGCTTCTCTTAGCTTTTTTTAATCAAAAAAATGTTTAAGCAAATATGTAGACTGTATTGTACTAGTAACTGCTAATGTTTGAAAGACTAAAAGATACTACAAGATAATTTCTCTTCCAGACACTGAACCCAAAATGGAATGAAGAATTTTATTTCAGGGTAAGTTTTTCATTGTTTGGTAATAATTGTTATTGATACGTCTAGGTCGATTATCACAGTCAATTCATCTTGAGGAAAAGCTCTTAAATTTTTAATGAGAAATTCCTTTTAGGATGAAAAATAGGTAGCCTCCTAATGTGTCCCAAATTTTGAAAGACTAGAAGTAGTGGTCACAGAATCCGGACTTGTTTCATTGGGGAGTGTTTTGGAGAAGTCAAAAGAAAATTATCCAAACACCATGTTTCATCTTTTGAATTCAAACCTTTCTTTAAGAAATAAGATAAAATATCATTTATGAGAATGGTTTAATTCTATGAGACGGGTTATGAAATATTTTAGAGAGAGTAAAACAGTAGAGGCAACATGATTAAAAAGAAACATAAAAATTACCAGTTATATTCTAGTTAGGGAGGAAAATTTTGGTAACTGAAACACTTGAGTGCATATATATGTGTATAATATAAAATTACTTCTGGAATCTAAATACAACAGAATTAGGTAAGATTTCCTCAACCTTTTATATTTAATATTTAGAATAGCTATATGTCGAAATGACTGAAATATGTGAATTAGCAGAGATTTCTGCTTATTGAGCATTTGTGGTTGTTGCTGTGTTTTACTACTGACATTTTGGAACTATTAGACTGCTTAGCTATTTAATTGAAAGAAAGGACTTTCTCTTCAAAACGAAGGTATCTTAATTGTATAGCTGTGATATTAAAAACTGCTTACCTCCAGAAATAATCCAGGTCTTCTGATTAGTGCAGATTTCCAAAGGCCAGTATTGCCATGAGGCCCATTATAATTGGTCCTGATTTCTTCCTCTCAATCGCAATAGTATTTTTTGTGCTCCAAACTTGGGCTACTACATACAGCATCTGCTTTCCATTATGCTCAGAGCTGAAATATGGCACTGATACTTTCATACTTGGTGAAATCCTATGTACAGCCTCCACCAGATGTATTTGAAATTACCCTGTGGAGGACTGAAAAGCTAATAGGAGCTGATAGATGCTGTTGGCCTTTAGTTAACTCTGAAATATAGCTTTCCACTTGTGAACCTCCAAAGTGTTTAGACTCCTTTCAGTGGAACACTGGCACAGTTACATAAATGTTAGTACATCCCATACTTTTTTCAGCTAATCTTGGCAGTAGGCACATTTAAGTTCTATTTTTGTTAGTTTTTCTGAAGGTTTTTTTTGTTTGTTTGTTTTGTTTTGTTTTGTTTTTTGAGATGGAGTCTCACTCTGTCACCAGGCTGGAGTGCAGTGGCACAATCTTAGCTCACTGCAACCTCTGCCTCCCAGGTTCAAGTGATTCTCCTGCCTCAACCTCCTGAGTAGCTGGGACTATAGGCCCGTACCACCACGCCTGGCTAATTTTTGTATTTTTAGTAGAGATGAGGTTTCACCATGTTGGCCAGGCTGGTCTCACTCTCCTGACCTCGTGATCTGCCCGCCTTGGCCTCCCAAAGTTCTGGGATTACAGGTTCTTAAGGTCTTTATATTTATTCATTTTACAAATCTTTATTGAGTGCCTATTATGTGCCAGCTCCTGCCTGTAGCCTGTGGTTGCATTGGTAAGCAGTGTGACCCTTCATAGAGCTTCTAAACAGATAGCAAACCCCATCTGCTTGTTCTGTCGCTAGGCTGCAGGCAGACCACGGACCAGAAGCACAAGCTGAGCTCTCTGTGCTTGTATGGTCAAGTGTTATTTCATGCATTCCCCACCATGAAGCAGCCAGGGCCTAGGTCACCTCTCTGCTTTACCATTTAGAGCCTTTGTGACCCTGGAAAGGCCACCTGAGGACTCTCAATCTCCCTGGGATCCTTATCTCTCACATAGGAGAGAGAATCCTTACCTGCAAGGGTTGTTTCAAGGATTTGCATGCGATGATGTAAATGAGAACATGTAGCTCTATGTCACACATGTGGTTGGTGCTTAGTAAATGATACCTGAGTTTGGAAGATGATATGGGCCATTTTGGTGAGGTTTTGGTAAGGAAAAGGAAGCAAAAAGATATGGAAAGCCCAGTAGCTCTGTCATTGCCTCACAGTTCCAGGTCTCTCTCATGGTTCACAGTCTAGGCTCTGGAGACAGGCAGCATAGACCTAGTGCAGGTCCTGGTTGCCCTACACATTAGCTGTGGGCTCTTGGGCAAGTTACTTCACTGAACCTCAGGGTCTCGGCTCCTCATTTATAAAATTGCGTGATAGTTATACATCATAGGATTGCTGTGAAGATTAAAGGAGATCATGGGTTGTTGATATTTAATAACAAGACAGTGCCTAAAAAGTAAGTGCACAGGCTGGGCACAGTGGCTCATGCCTGTAATCCCAGCACTTTGAGAGGCCAAGGCATGCAGATAGCTTGAGCCCAGGAGTTCAAAACCAGCCTGGGGAACATGGTGAAACCTCATCTCTACAAAAAAATACAAAAATTAGCCAGGCATGGTAGTCCAAGCTACTCAGGAGAGTGAGGCAGGAGGATCAATTGAGCCTGGGAGGTTGAGGCTGCAGTGAGCCATGATCATGCCACTGCAGTCCAGCCTGGGCAACAGAACAAGACCGTCTGTCTCTGTCTGTCTGTCTGTGTGTTTGTGTGTATGTGTGTGTGTGTGTCTCTCTCTACACACACACACACACAGATACATTCTTAAGCTATTACAATCTTCTTCATTATTTTTATCATTACTATTACTGCTATCAGGACTAAGAAATATCCTCAGGCATAGACATTTTTTGATCTACAGTCATGAGAATGCCTTGTACAGAGGTTAGGAACCCGTCAAAGCTATTTACAACTATCCTTTCTTATTTTAGAAAAACAGCTAAGAGCCTTCTCTTCTTTTGCTATGCCTAAATTTGGGGCAGAATAATATAGAAATCAGTAATAGGAAATTTGATTTAGTACACATAGAATTCCCAGAACAGCAGGATAATTGTTCATATTATACAATTGAGTTGGGCGCATTGTAAAGCAGTATGTTATTCTTTCTGTTCCTTACGTCGCTGTTCAAATGATTCCTGCTCGTTTAAAAAATACTATTTATGTTCCTTATAGGTAAACCCATCTAATCACAGACTCCTATTTGAAGTATTTGACGAAAATAGACTGGTAAGTGGATGCCTGTATTTGAATTTTGCTTCATTTTTTTATTAACTGGATTTTCAGAGCAGCGTCTTTAAAACTCTGTGTTTATGTTGTACTTAGGACAGTATATGTGCCCAAAAAGAAGACTGTTTTTGTCCCACTACGAGTTTGATGTTCAAAATCCTAACAAATAGTTTTATGTTGCTAGGATAAAAAATGTATTTGTATGTGTGTGTATTTTTATTGCAGTTAATGTTAACGAAAGCCACTGGTGATAGTACCAGCCCATATGCTCATGCTCTAATGTTGGGAATACAGAACGGTAGGCAGATCTCTAAAGAGGCCATCAGGAATGTAAACAAACTTTGCTCGGTTTTTAAATGAAAGCCAGACCATAGTACTGGGATGCATTCAGTAGCAAATCTATGGTAATTCTCTCAGGGAAAATAACAATCTAATTAACAACGTATAGCAAAAAGTGAATCTACATTTAGCAGGTAAAGTCAAGCCGTATTTTAAAAGTGGTTGCCTTCTTAAGAGAGAACCTTAGAAAGTACCTTTAAAGAAACAAAGATATGCCTGAGGCATATAACAGATACAAACTAACATTTTATATATAGATTGATGTATATATAATATGTTTATGAAGATCGACACATACATAACTGAAATAATTATGATTTCATTTTATTGTTTTTAATTTTTTTTAGAGAGAGGGTCTCCCTCTGTCACCCAGGTTGGAGTGCAGTGGTGCAGTCGTAGCTCACTGTAACCTCAAACCCTTGGGCTCAAGCAGGACTCCAGGATAGCTAGGACTACAGGCATGAGCCACCATGCCTGGCCAGATTTCATTTTAGAAATGGAATTTTTGAAGCACATTTTGCTTTCTTAACTATCTAAAACGTGTACATCAAGTAGCTGTGAACCAGGTGTTCCAACTATGAAAATGAACACTATCATGTTAAGTCCTTAAGGTACCTTCAGAAGTGACACTATAATTCAGTGCAGTCATTCTCAAATTTACCCTCTCTGAAACTTGTATGGTATGTTGACTGGTTAAAAGGTGTTCTTAAGAATCCTTTCTGCAGTATTCAATTGAAACTCCAGATTTTTAATAGCTGGACGTTAATAGAATATTTGAATTGGAGGAGCCTTATACAATAACTCATTTAACTCCTGTTGTTGTCGATGAGAAGAACCAGGTCTAGAGCCTTTACATAAACACATCAGTCAGTGGAGGTGCCAGGGTCTGACCTGCTGGCCTCCTAAGTCCCAGCCCAGTGATAGTTTGGGAATGTATTGAATCTCATATGATTAGTATTATTCTCCAAAAGAGAAAACTAACAGATTTTGGCCTACCATCCTAGTATCTTTTCCATTAAAGTATGGGATGTTGGGTGATGAACAGTCGTACAGTGTAACTAAACCACTTTTGTTGTATGCATCAAAGTACTTTCTTGTGAAATTGGATGAGAGATTCTGCTGAGGGTGCAGTTCTTGTCTCTCCATCTCTCATCCAGTGAGGACCAAGTGAGTTAAGCAGTATTGAGTAGTATAACAGTACGTTCCTGGAGACATGGGTGTGTCTGTAGACTAATCCTTATTCTCCAATTATTGAGTATAATATCTCTTGTTTAACATGAGGAAAGGGTCAAATTTGAGGAAAAATGGCCTCTTGTTTGATGTGTTTTAGTTCATTATTCTCTTCTATTAAGAGAAATTCACTGTTAAAAAATTGTTTCCCATTTCCGTATCTGAAATAATGACTGTAGTTGAGGTGATCTTGCCCTGGGTCTGAAATCATACTTCCAAACCAAAAAGGACTTTGAATACAAAACTTTTAAGAAATCTTGTATGAATACAAGCTATATCTGAAAAATTGTGTTTTATAATATTGATGCCTAGTTTTGCCCCAGGCCATCTGCAGTGTGGTTACTATGCAAAGAATGCTGGTGTTGCTGTTTTTTTTTTTTTCTTTGTTGGCTATTAACCCAGCGGAGACAATATGTGGCTATGGTAGTACTTGGAAGTTCTAGCATTACACAGACTAGCTTCCATTTCTCTCATAGAGGTCATTTTTGGCATTTAAAACACATACTTTTAGAAAACAGATTTGGATGTATGTAAACACAGGGTTAATCCACCACACTCTGGATGCTAGAGCTGTTGACAAAGTCATGCTTTGCAGATTTTAAAATAAACTTTTTGTTACTCTTACAGCTTGGTATTTTCCCCTCCTATTTTTTTTACCTCCTCTAAATAAACCTCTTTGTTAAATAATTGATGTTTCTGGATCATAGAAAATAGTAAGTTTAAAATACAGAATATTTCCAAGCTAACTACAAATCTGATGACAGTTTTTTGAGTGTGCACTTTTCCTTTTATTTCTTAGGTCCTTTTTGGTCCTTTGCAAACATAGTAAGATTCCATATTTGTGTCCCAACTGTGGTAATATTGCTGACTTCTTACTGGAAAACAGTCAGCTCTAGGTAGCATTTCTTCTGTGTGGTATTTAAGTTAAATTATTACCAAAAAAAAAAAAAAAAGCCCACATGCACTCCCTTCTTCAATTTTCCTTTTGTTTTTTGTTGTTTGTTTGTTTTTTGGTTGATGTTTTCTTTCCTACCTGACATATGGAAGACAATGTTTTCTCCAGCTGGGTTCATTTTCTCTTTGAAAAGGAGACACTTTGGTGTCTGCCAGTCATATGTGAGCTACACACACGTATACACCTTTTAAATGAAAAATGCTGTGATAGCAGGAGGGCTCTGCTTGGCTAACTGGTTGTGTAGCAAGTCGGGCCCCCTCCCCTCCACTTAGCTATTTTGTTACTTGTAGATCCTGCTCTAATTATTTAGCATTAAACGGACACTAACTCTGTAGGGTGTGTAATCGTATTTATAGTACTGTTTTATTAGTTTGCATTCCATCCTGGTAGTGTAGTGATGTCATAAATAACAGAAACATGGTATCCGATGCTTGGGAAGGGGTTTACCCGGTGGCCAAGCCATATTTTACTTGTCATTATTCCGTGTGGCGGAAGGTGGGAAAATACCGTGTGTGCTGTTAAACATGCCAGGTCCCTGCACTGGTTAGACAGAGTCTCAGTGCTGTGCTCCGTTGGGAAAGAAGTGCCCTGCGAATGTGATGTGGTTTAGATTTATAGCAGCGTGGCTTGCAGTGTGTTTGCTGCCTTAGTCAGCTGTGAGAGCGCCCTGCTGGGGCCACTCCTTTCTGATGGAAAAGCAGCAGCTGGGAAGGTGCTGTTTCAGGCTCTTGCTGTTTAAAAAAAAAAAAAAAGAGCGAGTAGGGGAAAACTCCTCTAAGTCCAGAAGCTGGCATTGGAGGGGGAGAGCGCGGTCATGTGGTTCTGGCCACCCTACCCTCTGTCACAGTGTGGATGAGAGCTTTTTGCTCTTATCCAATCATGCCTGGAATGCCGCTTGCCACTTGGGTTATTTCTGCTATCTGTCGCTCCCGGTGCCGCAGTGCTAACAGTTTGGCAGATGGGACACTTTTTCTTGGAATTTGTGTCTTTGGTTTGTGACTTCTGGCAGTGTCGGGCCTGTTGTTGCCGCTTGCCCTAGCCCTCCTGGCCCCCCTGGTCACCATGGCCCATCGGCTTCGGTTTCATTTTGGCTCTGGTCGCAGCAACACAGCCCCCGAATCAGACATCCTAGACCAGGAGAGAGAAGACGACTTCTTCATGGCATTCCACACCCTACCGCGGAGAAGCAGCCCGCACCCCTTCGCCCAGAACGGAGGGGAGGACGGCGGCGGAGGCCTGCAGGGAGGCGTGGGTGCGCTTAAGCGGAGCTCGTCCATGTTCATCCCGCAGCTCTTGACCAGCATCGACGCCCGCCCCACGTGCAGCTCCTCCGTGCAGATCTCCCTGCAGCGCAAGGCCACGGACGGGGCCACGGACGGGTGCGGGCCGCCCGAGGGCGCCGACGATGGGCCTCCATGCGCAACGCCCGACCCCAGGGACCAGGCCTCCGCCACTGCCACCACGAGGGCCTCGCCCCAGAGTGGCTCCCGGGAGCCCTCGCCGAGGGACACCCCCGGGAGCTCCCCTCCGAGGGCAGCCCGGGACCCAGGGCTCCAGGTCAACGGCACGTGCGGCCGCCGCGTGCGGTGCTCCGGCCCCGTGGACTGCGCGGAGGAGGCTGCCCCGGGCCTGCGCATCCAGCACCGCGCCTCCAGCGCCGACGTGCGCCAGGTGAGGCTGCTGCCCCTGGGCCCCGATGGCCAGGGCGGCCCGGCCGCGGCAGAGCCCAGGCGCTGGTCCCTGCAGCACGTTCCAGATGCTTCTGGAAGCTCTGGGAAGCGGTGTTTTGTCTTCCAGTTGCAGCAGCCCCAACAAGGCGCTTCGGGGCCAGGCAGCGACCTCAACTTTGGCTTCACGGGCACAAAGGGGGACAGGTTGGTGAGGTATCCTCGCATTCGGCTGGAGAGGAGCACCTCGTACCCCACGCAGCCCCGAAGCGAGCGAGGGAGCCCCACGGAAGATCGGGGAGCCCTGGAGGCATCGCCTCGAGCTGGCAGGATGGCTCCTGAAATCCGCAGGACGAACTCCGCGGAGAGGACTCCGCAGGGCCAGGGGTGCACATTTAAGATCAGGCAGGATCAGAACGCGGGGCAGCAGCATTTTAGAATTCTTGTAACCCGGGGGCCGGAAGAAGCTCCCCAGAATCCCGAGGAGAAAAGCGCCAAAAGCCCTGTTTCCACGGGAGCTGACACCACGGTAAGTTCACAGCGTGTTTACATGTGTTTACTGATTTCAACTTCGATGCTTACTCTGCGGCGTAACCAAAATAAAACCTCACCCTCTGTTCCGGGAGTTTCCCTGCTTCAGGCCAGTGGATCTGAATGTTTGGCCGAGTTCTGGCACGATGATTTGTGGTCCAGTGTTTGGTGCGCAAAACACCATTTCTGCAAATGTCTTCTGTAGGTCCTCAAAGTCAAAGAACTTTGTCTGTTTGGGAAATCCAAGCAGAATACCTTCCCCCTGCTTTTATTTTTCTGAATAGAAGAATTTCGAATAAAATTTGTTACTTTAATCTGCCAAAAAACAAGTCAGTGCCCCAACGTGCTGATGTTGGAATTGCATTTAAAAAGCTGCTTGCAAGTATAGCCTGTGACAATACTTTAAAAATAATCAGTTCTCGGAAAGGGGAGGATATTGCAAAGGACCTCAGTTTCGTCTCTTAATAGTTAAAATAGGTGAACGTAAAGTTTAGTGGAATTTGATTATCTGTCATGGCCTGTTTGCTGCAGGAGGTCAGGTCAGTCGTTGTTATATAATTTGCTTTGTTTTTTGTCCCATTAAGTAATACTGAACGAGAGTAGTGTCGCTTGTGGGATAGTGACATTACTATCCCACAAGTGACACTGCTAAGATACTAACAGATGCGTTTTTAAAGCACATTGGGTTATGGCCCAAGGCTAGGGGAAACTGATGGGGACTCGTTAATGGTCAGATGGCGTGGCGTGCAATTTAACACTGCACACTTGAGTGTCCAAGCCGAGGATGCTGTATATAGAATAGTAAGTACCCTGTCTCCAGCTGTGGAGAAATAGACGCCTTAGAACAGATTCTGGCCTTCCTGTTTCTCTGTTCCTGATCGCTCCCTTTCAGTGAAATGGAGTACAGAGAGACAGCTGCACGCTCCATCGACCAGGCATATGATGACTCTGCAGCTTTCGTGGTTTAGAGTGGAATGAAAAGTTTAATCAGTTTGGTTTCTTTTACTAGTAATCACTAGCCAGTGAGTGCTTTCTCCTAAAGAACAAGCTCCTTATATTTTGAATTGGATATTTTTTCTCCTGAATTTCATGTGACTGCCAGTTTGAGGATATGATTAGTAAATGTCTAGGGGACTTTTCTTTGGATTTCACTTATGAATTGTGATTTTGAAAAGTGAGCGTCTGAGTATTACTCTAGAATTGTATTGTCTTTTATTGCTTTGTGTTCAGAAATAAGTTTCGTCTTTCAAGTAAACTTTATCACTCCTCCATCATTGGTTTTCATCATTTTGAAGATACAATCAGATGCTTAATGAAAATTTATTTTTCTTCTTCTCTTTCCTTCCATGTATCTCCTTTCTTTCATTATCTCAAACTCTTCTATTGGGAAATGGCTAAGTGCTTTGTCTTGGTCTGAACCTATACCATGTATTACACAATGGTACAAATTTTGACAGTGTTTTGATATTATAGTAGCCTTTAACGCCCACCCCCAACAAATTACCATCATGACAGTTGTAGGCTTTGTTCGGCAACACAATTCCATGCTGAACTTGGACCACTTACCGCATGAAGATTGACAAAAATATATTTCCTAAAGTTTGATAACTATTCAATTATATTACCAAAAACTGAAATCACTTTGCAGTTCTGATGTGGAAGACAAAGGGATTCATACAATTAAACTCAAAAAAGTTCAAACTCATTTGGTTTGAACTTTCAAATGTAATTAGAAAACAAATCGAATAAACTAAAACTTATGTGTACCTTGCTTAAAAGGGCTATTCTAACTTGCAAGGCCTATGTAGTGAAAAACAAGTTTCTACACATTTGGAGAATATAAATTCTGGAATAAAGAGCTTTTCTTGGAGAGTAAGTTCCAACTAGTGAACAGTAGTTTGCATTTTCATATGTATGTATTTTTGTACACATACATAAATTAGTACGTGGTTAGTAAGCTGGTTTTCTTTTAAGCAAAACGATTTTTCTTTAAAAAACAAAACCAAAAGTGGTCACATAACAAAACCGCCTGCTCCATTCAGCAACTTTGTATGCATTTCATATGGACAGGGGTGTTAAGTTTAGGCAGCAGCTGCCACCGCCTTACTTATCTTGAAGGAAAACATTCACTTGGGCGTCTACAGTCTGGCTGCTACCAAGCTTTTTTGGCGTTTCAAATATCCACTGCTTTGGTCTAAAGGACATTACATTATTAAGTTTACATGAAAAATTAGCTAGAATCTGTTGCAGTTTGGTGGTGGAATGATACGGAAAGTCTTCCTAGATTTGGGAATACCGCTCGGGATTCATTTGACAACGTGCTCATATTTCATAAGCTATACTTTAGACCTTATTACAAGATTAAGTTGTTGAGTACTTTTATCTGTGCCTCCCAAACATCCTGCCATGACTAAATCTAAAATGTAACATGACTCCAAAAAATGTTAACCAACTAAATTATTAGAAAAAATACAGGGGAAACCCTTGTGATGATAAGTTTTCCACCTGGTTTATCACTGTCAGTAGACAAGAATTCATTCGTATAGTCATCAATTATAATCAGTTAAAAATTTTCAGAATTGTTAGAATTTACCAATTCAGTCTGTGGCAGTCATTAGTAGTCATTTAGTGAGTAATTTAGTTATTTTCTTATAAATTAGCTTTTGGGTTATTGGGTTCTGAGCCTCTTAACTGCATTAGAGTTATTCTGAGGAAGTTGGACCACCATTTACCAGCATTTGTGCCCCCTTTGTATGCCATTTTGTGCATAATAACTGTGAAACTCTGCATTTTACAAGCTTGAGGAGCCAGTTTTCTAATCTCATTGGTGTTATGAAGTACTCAAGGTCTACTGTGTATATAACATTACACCCGTTACTTGGAAAGTTTCAGGGACTATCTCAGTGTCTTGCTGACACAGTTTGTAATGTAAACGGAGGGAGGAGGGCCCACCCGGACAAAAGCAGTAATTCTAACACCTACTGCATATGCTATTGGAGAAGAGAGCGTTCTTTCAGCTCAAGCTCTCTGGACTTTCCTCTGTGTCCTCTCAGTGGACATGTACTTCACAGGAGTAGTGTAGTAATCTCTTGTGATTAAAAATTACTTTTATTGAACAACAAAGGAATATCCAAATTCTTTTCATTTGGGGAAACTTTGAGTCTCTTTTACAGAAGATGTTTTTAATATACGGCCATTTTTTGACATTAATATTAGTCGATGTCTGTTTTTTACCCTAAAAATAACTCGAGTATCCAATGTATTAACCACCCCTTTATTTTAAAACATAACAACACAGGAGGCGAAGGTGGGAGGATTGCTTGAGCCCAGTAGTTTGAGATTACTGTTTCTACCACTGCTCTACAGCCTGGGCAGCAGAACGAGACTTTGTCTCAAAAAAATAAAAATAAAACTTAATATTGTAATGGAGAAGAAAAACAAGTAGCATTCTTTTCATTGACCTGGTTTCTGACTGGATTCAATCAACTTTCTTTCTTCTCTCATGTATAGTAATGCTCTCTCTTAATGTGGTCTTAGAATAAACCAATATATATCTTCAAATGTCACCTGTTTTCAGGGATGTTTTGAAAAGTTGGATAGGCAGTGCACAAGGTTGACACCGATATGTTTGTAAACAGAAACTGTACATGGCTTGCAGCATAGCTCATGTTTCTGTAGCACTTCACAATTTGAAGAATGCTTTGTTTATTTCACTTAATATGTATGGCTGTCCCATTGTGGAGGCATTATCTCACTTGACCCTCCCATGTGAAATGGTGTTATTTCACTGTTTCAGATGAAAGGATGTGATACCGTTGTTAGGTGTAATAACATTATGTGTATATCATAGTGTATACTATGATACCACTTTGTGCACCTATAATGGGAATGTGTATTTATGTGTGTGTGTATATTTGCACAATTAAAAAGTATATGTTAAGCCAAAAAGCAGTTTAATGCTTCCTGTGATGTGACAGTTTTTTTGAAAAGTTTAGAGGTGGTAACTTCATTTGGTGTCTTGCAGCACTGGCCTGAAGGTGAGAGAAGGCTTCTTTGGGGATCCAAAGAGCCGTCCTCTGCAGTTCACTAGCTTTTGGTCCTGGAGTACTTAGACTCCCTCTCTAAGCCTATTCCTCATCAGTAAATTTGAGGATAAAAATGTCCAGCTCGTAGGTTCATAGTTAGGTTTAAATGAAAGTGTCCATGGAAGTACCTGATTCGTGAACCAGGTATCTGTAATATACAAGTCTTTCCCCTAGCAGGTTAATTAGGTTAATTGTGAACAACCATTTTTTGATCAGTATGGCATTTAACACAAGGACAACATGCATTTATGGCATACCTGGAAATGTTTAATAAATAGCTTTGATGCTCTTTCTGTTGTCATCTCATCTTTCCTAAGTATTTGTCCCTAACACCAAATACAGTCTTGGAAAAGAATTGCTTCCTGAACTATGCATTATAGAAAAGGACTCGTAAGTATATTTACTGTGTTGATTTTGAAGCCTTATAACATTTTGGCTTGCATTTCTAGCATATTTTTTACCATGTCATTTTGCTGTAATATTTCCAGTGGTTGAGTCTACTGTTACTTTGGTATAGACTGAGGCTTTTGAGAAACAATATAGTGTTATATCTACAAAATTTCCACATTGTATGACTTTAAAATGAGGGAGATATTTGGGAATATGTCTTATTTTAAGATACTGTCTTTTAGAGAGTTTTCATAAATGGTGCAGCTGCTTCTCTTGGCTAAGCCTGGTGGCAGAATTCCTAGTCATTGAAATAAATCTCTAATTTTATAATACATACTGATAAGAAACTTGCTATCTTTTCATAAAAGTTCACAGTACCAGAATAAATTTACTTTATGTAAAAACTACCTTAAAATGTAATAAATGTTGGATAGTTGAATGGTTTCTGGATAGTTGATGAATATTTCTGTATAGTTGAGGCGAATCTAAATGGTAATGCTACTTGTGCAACTGTCAATGATCTAGCACATTTTTTAATAAAAATAATTACCTGCATATTACTGTGGGCGATACAGGTTAGCTATCCTAAATACGTTTTTACCTTTTTAACTCTTAATTATATTAAGCCATTTGCAAGAATGGGAAAAAGCAGGAAATTCATAGGTGGTGTTGAAATTGCTGATTCTACACAAAGGTACCAGAATGTCTACATTTCCTCTGTAAATGTCAAAGGAAACTTTGGAAACCCACCTCAGAGTTGGCTGGTGATTATTCGGACAGGTTATCATCCTGTCTGCAACCTTCTAGTTCTCTTAGTTCATACCAAGCAGCATGATATTCCATGTCCTGCACAAAGGAGAGCACCAAAACAGCCTTCACCTGCTGCGTATGCCCCACTCTGAATAAAAAATTAAGAAGGCCAAAGGACGGAATGTGTTAAATATTAGCAAAAGCAGGTATTGCAGAATGTCTATACATTTCTGGGCAGGTGGAGATTATTGAAAGATTTTTAGAAATAATCTTCGTTCACCACATTCCAGTGCCAGGCCCTGGACTTCTGTCTCTATTTGTGATAAAATGTTTTTAAGAAATGCTGGCTGGGCACGGAGGCTCATGTCTGTAATCCCAGCACTTCCAGAGGCTGAGGCAGGTAGATCCCTTGAGCCCAGGACTTCGAGACCAGCCTGAGCAACATGGCGAAGCCTCATCTCTACAAAAAATACAAAAGCTAGCCAGGCGTGGTGGCCTCTGTCTGTAGTCCCAGCTTCTTGAGAGGCTGAGGTGGGAGGATCTCTTGAACCCGGGAGGCGGAGGTTGCAGTGAGCTGAGATCGTGCCACTGCACTCCAGCCTGGGCGACAGAGTGAAACTCTGTCTCAGGAAAAAAAAAAAAAAAAGGAAAAGAAATAATCTTCTCTCAGTGAGCATGTTGAATGCATAATGTTCTCACTGGAGTTCTCCTTTGGAATCTCTTGATTATTCTGCTGTGGCTTCCTTGGGCCAACTAGGATACAGAGGAGAATAAATGAGTAACTCAGTGAGACAGGTGGCCTGATGTGAGTGGGCCTGAAAGTTAGCCCCTGATGTCCTGGCTGGTTTCATGCCATGTCCTAAACGGGCACTTTCCTGGTCTCTAGGCATCACCATGTTTTGACAGGAAGCTTAGTTTCTTTCAGGATGGAGGATGGAATCAATTGTATTTCAAGAAGCCTGTTTTTTATGCCCTGACAATTTTAGAACTGTGGACTGTTCTGACACTTTTGAGTACAGTGATTAAATCTCTGTGAAGGGACAGGTCATGAAATCAAATAAAAGGACGGATCATAATTGAGCTGGAAGGGGGCCCTCCTATCTCTGATTTGACTCGTTGCTACACTTTAGTATTCGGAAACTTTGTATTGGTTCCCTTAAGTGCCTGCACAACCTCCCTATTTCTGGAAACCATTCAGTGTTTGTTTTAATGTTAAGCATTATGCCACGTATCCAGTAAGCAGAGCAGAGTAAATTCCTCCAGGTAGCAAGAGACTGGAATTTCCCCCAGGCAGATCAGCTTTTCACAGGTTCCTAGAGTTTACACAGCCTTCTTTTGTGACTTAATTTTTGTAGATCACAGTGAGTCAAGTGACTTTTACTTCCCTGTATAATAACTTTGAGGAGCCTACTTGCAACCCACATCATCACTCATTATCTTGCTTACTTCTTTCTTGGGGGTTAGATGGGCTGGGGTTGTTATTAAGCATGTTAAATACTTTGAAATTCAAATCGTTTCTGATAGATTTAGTTTCTCTTTCTTCTATTGGTCATTCGAGAGCTGGTAGACTTTTAAAATACATTTAATGACTCACACATGTCATAACTCATCCATTTCCTTGACATTTTCAAGCGTGATAATAAATCCTACTTCTTAGGCTTTTTTTTTTTTTTTTTTCTCTCTCTCATGTTCTTTTCAAATGCATGGCTAGGTAGTTACCTCATGAAGGAAAACAACTGTTTTGGTCCAGATTTTAAAAATTGAGTTGAATAGAAAAGGTGGGGTGGAACCAGCAATACTGAAATGTAATAATGTATATTAAGCTCCAACCAAACAATCCAGCACTTCTTCAAATCCAGGAGGTCTTCTGGCTAGGAGTTACATTGCAGAACTAACATGGACTCTTAAACTTTGTAAGGAATTAGTCACAGTTGAACACTGGAAACTATCAGCATACCTCTGGGCTTCTTTTATATGGTCTTCCTCATGAGTTAAAATGCCTTAAGCATAGTATCTGTTCCATAGGACCTTACTGATTATGCTTTTCCACTTGAATAAAAGAGATATTAAGTTGTAATAAAACTTTAAATATTTTAATTTAGTTTGAATATTTAAGTTGAATTAACCTCTTACTACAGTAATTATCTTTTTTGCTAACTTCTTACTACGGTAATTATCTGCTTTTATAAAATCCAGAAACGATGTTATACACATTAGCACGCATTATTAGGTGCCCAAATGCCAAGGCTAAGGACACAGCAATGCTAAGGACACAGTGTGCCTCCGGCCTGCTTGCACCCTCGGTTGAAATTATATTAGCAAGAGAAGCTCCTGCATTCTGCAGTATGGCATTTTTCTCCAGCTAATGTATGCAGGGGTCATTTTTAAATGTTAGATTCACAGATTTGCAGAGCTGTGAGTTGCCTTGGAAATTATGCTGGCCAGTTCCTTTAATTTTAAAGATGAGGAAAGTGAGAACTTTCCTTTTTAAAAATTGATACATAATAGTTGTACCTGTTTATGGGGGTACATGTGATATCTTGTACCTGTTTATGGGGGTACATGTGATATCTTGTTAACATGCATACAGTGTGTAATGATCAAATCATTACATACTGAAATATTTGAAATATCTGTCACTGCAGACATTTGTGGCATCTGTGTGTTAAGAACATCCCAAATCTTGTCTTCTGGCTGTTTTGAAATGTATAGTAACTTCTTATTAACTGTCGTGCTGAGGACATGGACTACTGTGCTGTTGAACACTAGAACTTACTCCTTCATCTGACCGTATTTTCGTACCCATTTACCAACCCTGAGAGCTTTACTTTTGCAGTAATAGAGAATATTCTTTTTCTCTCTTGAGTATGAAATAATTATTTTTGAATAATCACTGCACGTGAAGCCCTATCCTTCTTGACGTTGGACATATAAATACTTAGGGAGCTTGGTTTATAGAGCTTTCAGTTTCACAAACAGATGGGACAGCTGAGGTGAGGCCTGCCTAGCAGAAGAAGCCTTACTCCTGATAGCAGGCACTAAGCAAGGCATTGGGTGACAGATTGCTTATGCACAGGCTGGGAGGGACAGGAACTGTGTCATGGAGGGGCAAGACTGGAACTAGATGCTGAAAAGTGACCAGATTTGTCTCAGTGGGCCAGTGGGAGGGGCCTCATTGAAAGACTGAAGGTAGATGTGCCTCCCAGGGATGTGGTGGTCATATTGGCTCCAAATTGCCTTGTTCATTATTAGCAGGTTTCAGCAAATTATTTTTCATGTGAAACGTTGCTGAAGATTTCTTGGGTGTGGCTGTCATCACAAACAATTCCTCTCTTTTCCATCAAATGTGGAGTTGGATGAATTCCTTCCTTGCTGGCCTGCCTTCCACAAAGCTGCTCTCTGAACACCTGCCAGGCCATGCTGAGGACAAGGAAATACCAAGGCACAGTTTCTGCCATTTAATGGTGGTAGCAGAGACCCAGGAATGCAATGGATTATTGTCACTTTCATTATAACATCATAGTGTAGGATCATAACTGGAACAGAGAGGATGAAGCTTTCTTTTGGGGAATTGAGGGAGGGAGACAGGGTCTTGCTCTGTTGCCCAGGCTGGAGTACGGTGGCGTTAAGATGGCTCACTGCCACCTCCACCTCCCAGGCTCAAGTGATCCTCCCACCTCAGACTCCCAAGTAGCTGGACCACAGGTACATGTCAACACACGCAGCTAATTTTTTAGTTTTTGTAGAGATGGGGGTCTTACTATGTTGCCCAGGCTGGTCTCAAACCCCTGGCCTCAAGCAGTCCTCCTGCCTTGGCCTCCCAAAGTGCTGGGTTTACAGGCATGAGACACTGTATCCAACTAAGTAGGCTTTATTTATGGAGTTTATAAAGAAACTGTTTATATATACAGGGGAGAATTTATCCTGAAGAAAAACTAAAGAAATGAATATTTTAAATACGTCTCTGCATTTCTTTTTGTTGGATATGACATTTATGTAAGAAAAATGCTAATCTGTATGATATGAGACATGTTAACTACATATGGTACATGTATTTAAATATCATATGTATTTAGATTTAGCAACAAAAAGGGAAATATAAACCATATTTCCACCATTTGAACAAATCGTATTCAATTATATGTGCATATAACCATTTGAAAAAATTATAATGTTGATCGGATCTGCAACCTAAACCAAGTGCCAAATTAAATTCAGGATAGATAATTTCATATAAAATGTTTCACATCATAGAAAAAGCAGTGAAAATTGAGTATCAGATCTGTGAAGGATGATACATTTCTAACCTTAGAAGCAGAAAAGGAAATCACAGAAGTTGGATAGATTCAGCCATATAAAAGTATTAAATTTCTGAACCATGAAAAAAATAACTAAAATGAGGGAAACACCAGATGTTTTTCTTAGTGATTCATGTAAGTTCTCATATGTATATCTTTTCAGTGTCTAATTATGTGCATATTTTGGCCAGTGGGTTTGTATCTCTGTAGAAAGTTCTAGTAAATACTGGAGAAATACTGAGGTTCCCCCACTCCAGCTCTTTCACTCCATTGCAAAGTAGGTCTTGTAGGTGAATCACACAAACGGATTAACAAGAAAGACAGAAATGTCCAGCTCCCAGGTTCTTCATTATGCTGTTGTGTTGTGCCAATAGAAAATACAATATATCAAATTGGAGAACTTGTGGTTGAAAATAATATACGCAGATTGCTGGTGGCAGTATTCATGGATGTGACTTTGGAGTGATTTTTAAACACTTAAGTATTTTTAAATGATAAGACCAATTATAGGTACTAAGAGTCTTGTGTTTTGAAGTGTTGGAGTTAATCCAGATAAAGTTACAAATCTAAGCAGACACCTTATTAAGAGATCATTATTCTCTGCTTTTAAAGTGGACTTGCTTTCTATATAGTTATGAAGAACAGATAGAAATGTTTTAAGATTACTGGCTACTATTAAAATAATCTGGTGACTGCAGTTATATCTGGGTCTAAGGCATTAGACTTTTTGGAAAATGGATGCTTTTAATCTTTCCTTCCGTATATTTGTCACCCAGAATTTTAAAATTTGGAAATTTCATTCATTCAGTCCAGATAGAGAATTGATCAATTGGCAATTTTATTATTTTTCGCTCATGAAAAACTCTAGGGTTACAAGAATATGCTCCTGAAGTTAACATAGTTACTTTTAAAATGTCTCAATTCTAATGGTTAGGTATTAGTCCTCTGAGTTCCGGTTGCCCCTTAACTTGGATCTTAATTTACAGTTTACAGAAAATTGTTCATATTTCATATTTTAAGATCATGTACTCTAAAACCCTATTATACTTGAAATGAAGACCTGTTATGTTATACTAGAATCTCTCATGAAAATGTAACAGTTCCCAAGGAACTTTGTTTCTGTCTCCATGGACCACACTGGCTACTGTACTGGATGGAGGGCAAGGCGGGAGCTGAGAGGCCTTTGCAGAAGTGCATGTCGCCTTAGTATGTGGCAGATCCTGGTCCCTGGCCTGTGCTGTTTCCCTCCACACCCTTTGATTTCTCCGAATACCAGGAAAGATCATGGATTGTCTCGGGAGTTAGTCTCCCCCTTAGTACTTAGCCTGTCATTTTCATGTTGCAATGCCTAGAAAATGGGAGGTTTTTCTTCTCCTTAAGGAAGTGTTATTTCAAGATGCTTTCTGCTGCCTGTGTCATGCCAGGGCGTGGGTGGATATATTTTTGCACTTTTGCACCAGCGAGTCTGCTTCTGATTTGCAGATTGCATTTATTATAAGGCGTATTGTCCATTGATGAATAATGTGTGGGCATTAAAGCAAAGCTGATACATAGCTTTTAAAATAGCTCATTTATCCTGCAAGCTTCACCCCCATAGAGAGGCAGGCCCTTCAGAAGCGTTTTCCAGGAGCAAGGTTTCTGCATGTTTCCCTCAGTTTTGGAGGTCGTCGTTTTTTGCCCCTACTGTGGGGGCCAAGGGAAAATTGCTCTGCGCCTTCTGATGGTCCCCTGAAAAATCAACTGTCAAAAGCCCAATTAATAGGAGAAATGCCATACAACTTTATTAACGTGCATGCAGATTGATTACCCCAACCCCCCAATGGGGTTCAGAAGCTTCTATACCATCCTGAGGTTATAGGAAGAATGGGGCTCAGAGCCCGACCAAAAACAGGGTATGGTGGTCAATCAGGTTATGGTGGCAAGAAAGATTCTTGGAGGGAGAGAAGAGGAGGCCTGGCTAGCAGAGGTGGCCCTGTCGTGTAGATGAAACCTCCTAGGTAGCAGCCCTCACAGAGAAGGCAGATGTTTCTTTCAGACCTTTAAAGATGTCAGACTCTCAGTCAATCTTCCCTAGATCTGGACAAGGGAGGGCCTTAGAGAAAGATGGCCTCCCATCAGTGCAGTTTCCTCCCCAGGTGCAAATCTCCCCCCACAGACCTGCCCTCTGAACAGCCATTCACAGTGTATCAAAGAGGTATATTTTGGGGTGAAATATTTTTATTCCCTTCACCCCTAGTTTATCATGTGTTTCCTTGATGGGCTGAGGGCTTGACAGATGAGCAGATAGACACAATCTTAGTTCATGGAAAAGGCAAGAATAGAGATGGGTAGCGGAGAGTTTTTAAGTTGCTGCTGATGAAATAGACACTCCTTTGTCTCAGCTACTGAAAATTTTCTTTAGAACGTGGATTTAAATAAAGAAAGAAATAGACATCATGCTTTGTAATGAAGTCCTTTGGTCATCGTAAGTGGTCACAGCCAGTTTATCCTCAGGCTTCTTTAAGCTGACCAGTTAAGGTTTCTGCAGAGGTTCTGTGTTTGAGGGAGGAGAGGAAGTCCTTGGGGAGGAGGGGAGCGTTCTATGGGAGACAGTGCTCTTGGGAGCATTCTTTCAATCTGATACCCATGCAAGGGTGATGACAAGGTATGGCCTTCAGTGACTCAGAGCCTCCTCCCTTCCCAAGCCTCAGGCCTGAAAGTCTGGTGATCCTCCCTGGCAGAAACCTCACTGGGGATCATTTTTTCCTTTTGAACAAGTTTCTTACTTTGCCTCATATGTTCCAATCTTCTGTCAGTGGCCAGGTGACATCTGTTGGAATGCTGATGTGTGTTGCCAAGCAAAACAGATGCAGGAAGACTTGCCCAAAGTGGGGGAAGAGAGGGAGGAAAGGGAGGAAAAGTGGGAGGTAGAGTGTGTTAGCTGGGGAGATGGGATCGAGCAGTATTTATCTATAGAACAGATATCAAAGATTGGGTAAATCATGGCTTAAAACTCTCAGAAAAGCATTCTAGGTTCTTGCACATCTTTGCAAGGCTACTGAATGGCTCATTTTTATTTCCCACCCTGCATTCAGAGTGGTGTTTAAATGGCTCACCGCAGCAAAAAGGATTAGGTATTACCCTTGTGCTCAACACAAGTCTGTGGTCAGCAGATTTTTAACTTTATCCTAGTTTATTGATATTTCTGTCAGTGAACAGGTTTAACTCTTAATGGAATAGAATCTACCAAGAATAATGCAGACTGGATAAAAAGAATTTCACTGATTTTGATTATTTAGCACATTAAAGGGGACCCCTGGCCAGAAGTAGATGTATTGCTTGGGAGAGGAGGGCATAGTACCCAGGTGGTACTTCAGGGATTCTGATTTTCAGTCAGGGTTGAGAAAAACTGATTTAAGAAGTTAATGCTACTGACAGCCTAAATCTGGGTTTCCTTGATAACCTTTGGTGTAAATACTGATTTAATGCATTTTTTTTTCTCACCCACTTTTCCTTCATCACCCCAAATCTATATTGTGTTCACATGGTTCCTCTTTCTAGAGGTGGGAGATGTCCTTTTATGGCTCAGAGGTCCACAAAATAAACTTGCATTCAAGCAAGGTTGTAAAATACCTATGCATTAAGAGCAGTCCAGTTGAATATTTGCAAAGCATATATAAAAGAGCTTCTCTCCTAAAATAACTGAAATGAAAGGATTAATTTTCTCTCAGTTTCCTACTGCAAGAAGTAAGTAAAAGTGGAATTCCAATTCTAGCCATGGCAAGACCGGTCTATCCTGTTATGTCTTGTGTGCCAATACCACTTTTCTCCAGGTAACTAAAGTATCTCCCTGCTGTAAATATTAACTGAGTGCATTTTTGTGGCTTTTGATAACTCCACGTCTTGAAAGTGTTGGCCAGTTGTCAAATTTTCATGAATTTCAGAGAAGTGGGTAATAGGTGGTTTCTCTCACGGTATTTAAAGCGAAGTAGTAAAGAGGAAAAAGACTGAAAAGGTAACCTGGGTCAACTCATTTTTTAGGGCGCACAGAAGTGTGGTAGCGGAGCCTGGACATCAGGTGGCCTGAAGCCCAAACCACCAGCTCCCCCAGCACAGGAGAGTGCAAACTGTAGCTCAGTCTTGGCCATCTGGGGTCTTCTGCAAATGAACTGCCCATAGTCTGGCCAATAATTCACACTGTTGTATTGCTGTCTTTCATTCTCTCTTAAGTAGAGCGTTCTGAACATATCTGAACAATTTTTTGACACGCTGTTACTCTCCTAGCCACAGGTTATTTTATGACCTAGTCATTCTTTACATAAATAAACATTTATCAACAGTGCTGTCTGGGCCTAGTAAGGTATATAGCCTGCTTTGTTTCTGCATTAAAGTTCTTAGACCGCCATGATCTTGAGATGTTTGCTGCTTATTGTTTCTTTCTGATTTCTATTGCTTATCAGTTACTACTACTTGTGGCTCCAAGGATAGAGGCCGATTCCCTCTTCTAATTTGCTGCCTCTCATCTGCTTGAAGTTTAGGTGTTTAGTCAAGCTCACTAGCATTGTTTATAAAGGAAGAATAAATAGGTTGAGAGTGAGGACTTAGGGTAGTTACCTTTTTAATAATGTATATGATCTGTCTTTGGTCTTTCTCCCTCATATCTCTGCTGATTTTACTCTCGTCCTCCTGGAACGTCTCTGGAATCAGATAGATTTTTGTAAGATTTGGATGTAAGAATTCAGTGGAATAATATATACTAGCTGTTTAGCCTAGTGCTCGGCACATATTAATGCTTAATAAATATTAGCTCTTATTATTATTGTTTTTTTCCCTGAAAGAGAAAATCTTAATTCCTCACAGATGTTTAGGAATTGGATATGTAGCAACCCTATCCACTGAATTAGTATCAGCAAACACATTTTTAGTTCATCTTGATTTTTATCTTCATTGGGATTATGCCTTTATCCCTTTAGGGTTAATGAATTTCCTACTGTGCTGTTATGGAAGAACCCTGAAAAAAAAATCAATAAAATGTATCCTTAAAAAAGATTTTATGATTCACTTGACTACCAGGTGTCAGCAACTTTTATTTTTATTACTTTAAGTTAGAAGGACTTTGAAGGTTTTCGTGGTTTATTCTCTTCTTTTTTAAAGGCCAAACCAAGATCACTTTTTGGTAATGGCTACCTTTCCTCTGAATGTATTTCTCAAAAAGTTCTTTCTGGTTTTTATTAAACCCAAACAGTTGTTATAATTTAAAAGTTACCCTTTTAGAGTGAGATTAGCTAGAAAAGAAATTAAGGATTATTTTAAGTAACTCAGCAAGTAACCTTTTCCAAGAAGCTTAGATTATAAATTAACGAAAACCAAATTATAAACCAAGGTGTATGGTTGATTGTGGGTTAAGAATTTTATCAGCAGTTTTGCTGTTGTATGTACCAGTCGTATATTTTACTACTGAGTAGAAGAAAAGTCTAAAAATCAAGTGAGTAGTTTTTCCTTAGCTGGTTATCATGTTTGTTTGATCATTATATTAAAGTGCTCCTTTTATTTTTCGTTTTGTATGTTTTCCCAACTTAATAATGAATGTGCTTCTCTCTAATCTAATCTCTGAATTTCAGGAGTCTATTAATAAAGTATGTGTAAAGAATTAGTTGCTAATTTTGGATGTGGCTGAAATGAGATTGTCAGCAAATTACAACTTCAAGCCTAGGACTGCAGTGTTATGGATTGCACCTCATCCTTGGTTATTGAAGATATATTCAAAATTTATGAAAAATAGAAAAACCTTATTACTTCTGAATTTTTCCACGTTAGACTTTCCTTATACTTTTAAGATAGTGAAAGTGTTATTATATAAGATCATGGAAAGTTTGTCTTTCCAGACCTATTTTATGTTAGGATTTTACAATATTAAATTCATAAGATAATAGTAGAGACTAGAAAACAAATCCTTACTGATAATGAATTTCCTAAGTAGTAAATACAAATGAATATTTATTTGTAAACCTGGGTGATTAAGTAATAGCTGTTCAGTGATATTGATGGAAGGAAATTAATATTATTTAATCCAAAGGCCAGGCGTAGTGACTCACACCTGTAATCCCAGCGCTTTGAGAGGCCGAGGCAGATAGATCGTTTAAGCTCAGGAATTCAAGACCAGTCTGGGCAACATGGCAAAACCTTGTCTCTCCAAAAAAATGCACAAATTGGCCGGTATGTGCCTGTAGTCCCAGCTATTCGGGAGGTAGGAGGTAGGAGGATCACCTGAGCTTGGGGAAACTGAGGCTGCTGTGAGCTGTGATTACACCACTATACTCCAGCCTGGGTGACAGAGCGAGACCCTGTCTCAAAGAAAAAAAAAAAAAATTAATCCCGACCTTCCTCCAAAAAAGAATAAATTAAGTCCAGAAAGTTTGGTGATTCACTTGCTGTTGCCGCCTTTATAAACATAAAAGTCAGTAAGGCTAAGGGACACTTCTGAATTCCTTCTGCTGTCCAGGTACTGTGCCGAGTTCTAGAGATGCAAGTAGTACATAAGACAGATGTGGCCCCTGCCCTTGTGGAGACTGCAGACCATGGCTCTTTTTCATGAATGGTAGAGACACTCATAAGTCAAATACCTACATATTTTCATGAATGTGCCAAAGGAGGCAAACAGGAAGCTGAGACAGGAAATCATGGGGAGGCCTACTTGAAGAGAGGTAAGGAAACCCCCAACTCAGGAGTGGCCTGTAAGCTGAGGCCTGGGAAGGACCCCTGTGGGCATGGCCAGTGGAACTGCAGCGGAAGCAGCCGTTCGCCCAAAGGTCCTGCGCTGGGAAGAGAGTCAGAGATGCTGGAGGATCAGAAAGGGATCATCCAAGTGAGTGGAGGAGACAGTGGTCCAGGATGAGCTTAGGGGAAAACAGGGGCCCCTGGATTGTTCACGCTGTAGAACACAGTCATGCATCTGATATATAAATAGCATGGAGATACCCTCAGTAGATGCAAAACTCAAATGAGCTCAGCTGCTCTGAAGCCTGGGAAAAGTCAGCAATTTGTAAAATTATGACACATCCACATTTTCACAGGAAAAACAAAGACTAGTATGTAACATCTCCTTTGGTATTTACAGAGGATCTCTCTCTCTCTCGTTGTTACTCTTACAAATGATAGGAGGCCACTTTTGTTTTCCAAATTCTGTGCCAGATATCTTGCCTTTCCTGAGATATAGACACGGTAGAGTCAGGAGTGTGTGTGAGGGCTTGCAGACTTCTTTTTATGTCTTTAGAATCCTTCTTCACTTTTGAATCATTTGGTCCAGGAGTTTAAGGCCTTTTCATTTGGCTTTTGTTGTTCATTTGTTGAACATAAATAACTGTGTTCATTATGCAGACACCGTGTCATTGTTGACAATTTGGTGTTGTAGATTAAGGCAACGTGACCATGTAACAAGTTGGGCAAATGCACTTATCCATTCAGTGAGCTCTAACCTACAAGGTGTTTTGCTTCAGACCAAAATGGTAGACTGCAGAACCTTCGGCGCGGATTTTAAGTCCATCTTTAAAACCATAGGTAGAGATTGTATCTGTGTGTTCTTCTTTAATTAAAAATGGGAAAATGATGCGACAGAGCAAAGACGGCCATGGATCCTTTTTATCCCTCTCCCATCCACACAGAGAGTTTATTTCCCCTCCCCTGGAGTCCAGGCTGGCCTTGGGGTTGCCCTGAAGTGATGCCGGGCCCTTTCTACACGTAGCCTTTCAAAGGACCGGCAGCTTCCACTTCCTGCCTTTTGGAAAAGCTTGCTTTAGGGATCCAGCTGCCACCTAAAGGCCCTGAAGTGAGCCACGTAGAGAGAAGTTCCAGCTTTCTAGCCCATCTCCAAGTGTCAGGCAGGTGAGTGAAGCCATCTTGGATGCTCCAGCCCATCACCATCCAACTATAGTCACATAAGAGGCCACTGATGGGCCCAGTCCGTCTCCACACTCCTGAGAGTTAGTAAGTGGCTGTCGTGTTGGGCTCTGAAGTTGTAGACTAGTTTGTTAGTGACGTATAACCAAAAGAGAGAGTGTACTTAACATTTAGTCCTGGGAGGTTCGAACTTTGCCTCCGCCTGTACGTGAGCTCCCTGGAGTGTGGGATGAAGGAGTGCTTGGCCCAGTTGTTTTCCCGGAAGCTGGAGGAGGGCAGCCATGCACAGGTTGTGTAGACCAAACAGTTCAGGGATGCACTTGGCTTAGACAGCTGATAAACAGCTGCAGTGCCCCCAAGGGAGTTGAAAGAGTGGGTATTTTGTTGTCAGGAGTAGAATTATTCACCTTGAAGAACAGAAGATTTGTAGTTTAAGGAAATTCACCATATTCTTAAAAGTTGCAGAAAGAGAAGAGTTCTTAGCCTAGGCCTGCACCAAGATCCAGTTCTTTTGAATCTGATTTAATAGGCAGATGATGAAGGACTTATTCCCAATAATAAAGAATAGTTCAATAGGAGGTTGGTAGTCTTAATTGTCTTCCTTGTCAAATCCTAGTGAATTTCACATCAGATACTGTGCCCTGTGAGGCTCTATCACCTTAGCACTTGGTAATACGTTTTTTATGTAGTAGGTGCTCAATAAATGGGTTGAGTTTCTATAATAATTTGATTTCTGTAGCATCTGATTTAACTAAGTTTGCTATAAAACGAAATCTGCTATTGTATTCAACATCACAATAAGCAGTATCAGTTGTAAATCATACCTACATACAGTTAACCCTTGAACAAAGTGGAGGTTGGGGTGTCAGCATCTTAACACATAGTTGAAAATCTTTTGACTCCCCCACAATTTAACTAGTAATAGCCTACTGTTGACAGAAGCCTTACTGATAACTTAAACAGTTGATTAGCATATATATTTTATGTTATAAAAATTAAATACTGTGTTCTCATAATTAAACTAGAGAAAACGTTAAAAATCATAAGAGAAAATATATTTGCTATTTATTAAGTGGAAATGGATCATTGTAAAGTCTACATCCTCACTGTCCTCACATTGAGTAAGCTGAGGAGGAAGAGGAGGGGTTGGTCTTGCTGTCACAGGTGACAGAGGTAGAAAATCCTTGTATAATAAGTGAGCTCATGCAGCTCAAACCCATCTTGTTCAAGGGTCAACTGTACTTGAATGGATTTTTTTCCCTGTCATAATTAACCACCCACACACATCTTACTAGACCAAAAAAGAAAACTTGTCAAGCAAATAATCTCCCATTTCTTGGGTCATTTGGAGAGATAACACAGGCCAGGTTATATGTCCTGAAAGATGAGAATGTGTGAAGTCCCCAGAGAGTCTGATACGAGGCCTTCTTCCAGGGAGTAGTGGTCTGGCCGCTGCACCAGCCTGCCCCCTGCCATGCCCTGACTCACCTGCACATCATGGGTGCTGCTGATGCCCAGGCTTCATGGCTGAGCATGGCACCCTTAGCACCCCTCACCTGTTACCCAACGGAGATTTGTGGGTCGGAGGCATTTCAATTGGAGAAGGATGGAATGGCTGAGGGCAGGAAAACTTAACAAGCAGGAAGTCTGCACCCTGGCTGCACATGAGAATCCCCTATGGGCATTGAAAGTAGGGGGAGCATTGAAGGTAGGGGGAGCATTGAAGGTAGGGAGCAGTCAGGTCCCATTTCCTAAGCGGCTCTGCAGGCCTCTAAGCTTGTCAGTCATCTTTTTGGTGCTGTGTGGACTAGTGCCAGCAGGAACAACTGGATAGTTTTAAGTCTTTGGCCTCTTCTGACACTTTTTAAACCAAACATTTTATTAAATTCTCATTCAAGTTAATAGCAAAAAAATATTACTACTGGTTTCATGTTTAGGTCTCATTTGCAGTTTTTAAAACAACCTAACGGAGTATAGTAAATACATAAAGTACTCGATTTAATGTGCATTTTCTTTTTCGTTTTTTTTTTTTTTTTTTGGGTGGGGAGGGGGGTGGTTTTCTGAGACGGAGTCTCACTCTGTTGCCCAGGCTGGAGCTATCTCAGCTCACTGCAAGCTCTGCCTCCCAGGTTCAAGTGATTCTCCTGCCTCAGCCTCCTGAGTAGCTGGGAATACAGGCACATGCCACCACACCTAGCTAATTTTTGTATTTTTGGTAGAGATGAGTTTTCGCCATGTTGGCCAGGCTGGTCTTGAACTCCTGACCTCGGGTAATCTGCCCACCTCGGCCTTTCAAAGTGCTGGAATTACAGGCGTGAGCCACCGTGCCCAGCCCTAGTGTTCATTTTCTGACAAGTTCTATGAAACCTGGTGACTTAACTTTTCTGAATCTGTTTCCCTATTTGTAAAATGACAATACTTGCAGTAGAGTTTATGTAAGGAATTAATGAGGGTAACTTTAAGATCTTTGTAAATGCTAATGTGTTTTACAATTGTGGTCAGCTATAATAATAATAATAATATTATTATTATTATTATTAATAAAATGCTTACTAGGCGAAGTTAATAGCTCCCACCCATTCCCAAACTACTTAAGGAGGATTTTAAGCTGGAAACAGTTAAGGAAAGCCGCATGATGCCATGAGCAAAGCCTTCCATCTGCACTTGGCATATTGCAGGGTCTGTAGTTGCTGGAATGCCTATGTCCCTGGTTACGAGCCTTGATATAATTGTGCTAAGGCATTTTGGTGGAGTGGACCGTGTCCTGCTGTTGATCAAACATTTCTGTGTGGAGAGACTTTGTTTTTCCCTTGGGGAGTATTTATTTTTTAGTGCCAGGCTCCGGGTTGGCTGTGCTACGCTTGGCTTTTCAGTGCCAGGCATACAACCATGTCAGAAGGGGGACTGCATGGTAGGTCTCAGGAAGAAGGGCCGAGGAAGAGGAGAAAAGGGACTTGGCTGTGGACGGGGAATCCTGTGTATCTTGGCTTCTCTGAGCCAGCTGTGCCTCAGAACTTTGATTTGATCTTTGTACCCCATGGGTCCTGCCAGGTGAGGGGCACAATGGAGAAGAGAAAAAAAAAAATGCTCTGCTGAAAACATAAGCAACAAATAAAATAGAGGATAGTAATCCTAGGATAATCCCCGAGGCAGCAGAGAAAGGCAGGCTCTGGCTTGCATGTCAGGAGCTCTCTTCCTGGGGGCAGGAGGGAGGGTGGTATAGTCCCAGATGAGTGCTTGGCAGGTTGTTTAGAGCCTGGTAGCAGTGAAAAGAAATGTCTACCAGGCATCTTGTGCATGTGGTAGATCTTGACTTGTAATTGTGGCAGTCTCCCCTAGGCTCCTCGGCAGCTAGGTGACAGTTGCCTGCTAGTTCATGGGTCACCTTCTCACCCTCTGGCTTGCTTCTCAGTGGGTGTAAATGGGGTAATTAAAACCTGTGGTTTTAGACTTTGCTCCAAAGACTGTTTCTGGGGTTCTGCAGACATTGACCTGAAATTTATTTTTATTATTTTTAACGTTTACCACCTGTGAAGATACTGTACATTTAAAGATATAAAATGTATCATATTAAAATAAAATAGCCTGTATGTTTTACATTTTGAGATTCTGTTTATGCTGTTTTTTTAAAAAGTTAGAAATGTATTGGCATGTTCTGATAGCTTATTTTTAACTACTTCTCCATTGTTGTAATATCATAACAGGTTGGACTGGCTAGGCTATGGTCAGAAATTGCTTATCAGTGTTTTATACATACCCAAGGGATTCCAACACAGGGTGTCCATGGTCCTCTTTGAGAAAACTTTGTCTAAAAGATATTGAATGATGCCTCATTAAAAACTCCTCAGAAATATTTTCTCCTGGCTTGTTTTCGCCTTCCGTGTCATTGTTTGAGAAATATCCAAGATTCCTTCTTTTTTACAATTAAAAAAAAAAATTGAAGCAAGTCCATAATCCCATGTAGTTCTTTGATAGAATTAAACTTCAGATAGGCATAAGAAATTCAGATAGGCTTTCTCTCCACTGGAAATGCATGCCTTTCGCAATCAACAGTGTATGATGTGGTCTGTTCTGGAGTTGGGGTCTGACCCTTCAGCATGGCCAGCGCTATCTGAAGATCAGAAACCCTGGAAGCCCCTTGTCTCTTTTTCATCTTCCACATCTGTCTGGCGTCCAGGCCCTGCCCCTCCTGCCTCTTCACTGCCACTGCTGTGGCCAGCCTCTTATTCAGAGGAGTTTCCTACCTGGTTAGACACTTAACCACCTCCAGACGGACCCCTTCTAATCCACGTCCCACATTATAGCTCAAAAGTATGGATTTTACAGATCTTATCCTCTCCTGTTCTGCCAAAACCCCATACGGTCCTCCATTACCAATCAGGTGAATCGACTTGCATTTCCCAGCGTGTCCCCACACCCACAAACACTCCATGACACTGGGCCCGTCCCTGCCTTTATTCCCTGTGGCCCCTGTGTGCAGGAGCCTTCCCTCCCCTTTCTATCAGTCCCTCATGTACAGGCCTTCAGCCCCCTCACTCTGCCCTGTTCCTACCTCCATCATTGTGCCATTTATGTTTGCATGTCTGTCTTCTCTGTCATATCTATCTCAAACTAGGTTGAAAATTTTTTGAAGATGGAGATTTTCAGAATAAAATTGTTCACACAGTTATATATTTGACTGATTATACTTTTATTTTTATTTATTTATTTTTTTTGGGATAGAGTCTCACTCTGTCACCCAGGCTGGAGTGCAGTGGTGCAGTCTCAGCTCACTGCCACCTCTGCCTCCCAGGTTCAAGTGATTCTCCTGCCTCAGCCTCCCAAGTAGCCGGGATTATAGGCATGTGCCACCACATCCAGCTAATTTTTTTTTTTTTATTATAGTAGAGATGGGGTTTTGCTGTGTTGGCCAGGCTGGTCTCAAACGCCTGGCCTCAAGTGATCCGCCCACCTTGGCCTCCCAAAGTGCTGGGATTACAGGCATGATCCACCATGCCTGGCCGATTATACTTTTTTAATGTGTTAGTTAAGATGAGAGAGTCCAAAGTGATACAGCCCCTGCCCCCACAGAGCTTCCAGTCTAGTGAGAGAGGCAGGTACCAAAAAGATAATGCACATGACAGAATGGACTGAACTAAGTAGTAGTAGAAGTTCAAACGAAGAAGAAGACACAAATGGATAAAAGCTATGGATTCTCAGGATTGAGGATGCTGAAAGGCTGCACAGGATGAAAGGTGCGACCAAGGGTCCTGAAAAAGGCATAGGATTTATACTTGCAAAGGAGGGCATTTCCAGCAAGAAGGCTTGGAAATGAGAAAATCTCGGGAGAATAGGCCCATGTTAGAAATTCGGTACACGATTGAGAGGAAAAGAAGTGCCACTGGGGAAGTGTGTTGAAGCAGGTATGTGGATGTTCTTCCCTATGCAGTGGTGTCAGTAGGATTTTTTGTTGGTGTGAGATCTGGGATCTGTTTGTAAGCCGTCTGAGAGCTGGGACTTTGCATTGATCAACTTTTTGTTGCACATGCTCTGTGATGTAATTGGCACTGCATGATTTGACAAGAATGTGTTTTATGCTCTAAATCAGGAGTGAGCAAACTTTCTGTAAAAGGCCAGATAGTAAATATTGTGGCCTCTATTTAGTCCATTCTGAATGTACATTAGACACAAGTTTCTAAAGTACATTCACAAATAAGCATTATACACTTAGTTGTAACATACACGGATGTTGAGCAGAGAAAAAGCTCTCTGATTTTTGTGGTTCCTGCTCTAAGCCAGGCTAAGTGGTGTTGTCAGGGTTCCAACCCCTTCCATCCCTGAAGCACACTCAGCAAACCATCTAGTTTATAAGCCACAGTGTGCTAGTAGGTGCTGTGTGTATTTTTTTGCGGGGGGAGGAGGTATTTATTTTGTTTTTGAGATGGGGTCTCACTGTGTTTCCCGGGCTGGTCTCAAACTCCTGGGCTCAAGTGATCCTTCTGCCTCGGCCTCCTGAGCAGCCACTGCACGTGGCTGCATCGCTTTTAAAGGTAGATGATGCCTCTGGCCTTTCTCATTGCCTCTGGGTGTGTGGCCCATGTCACTGTCCAGCGCATTCCACTGTCCAGCCCATTCCACTGTCTGGCCCCATGCCACTGTCCAGCCCATGCCACTATCTGTGTGTTCCGTGCCACTGTCCATCTGTGTAGGGAAGAGAGCACCAGGGGCTGGCCTGGTCAGGAGAGCTTTCTGGGCAGGGGTTGAGGGAGGCACATGTGAGCTGGACTTTGAATAAAAAGAAAGGAAAGCCAAGGAGCAGACCGGGCGAGGCTGGGTGCGAAGACCAGATGTGGCAGGGATTTAGGAGGCAGAGCGAGCACAAGTCTGTGCATATTGGTAGGTTCTGTAGACTTGTCGGTTGTGCAGTGGATTCATGGAGCCTGTCGAGGAAGCTACCTGTGTGCTTCCACTAGGAAAGCACAGCCACAGAGAGAAGATGAGGGGCAGGGAAGCAGTATTGTGGGGAATTCGGAGTGAGGGCTGAATCTGAGAAATATTATTTTAAAATTATGTTAAATACATTATTTTTTGCTGTCTCCAACCATCATTACTATGTTCACTGTAGAAAAATTAAGAAAGTCAGTATGGCATATAGTCCCATAACCAAGAAATTCATTCATTGTGACCTATTTGAGGGTCATTTAAAAATGACTGATGTAATTTGGTAAAAGATTAATCAACAAAATGACTTATTTCATAATTAATTACTTTCCACTAATGTGACATTTCTCAAACTCTGCAGTATTTCCTTTTCTTCTTTTCTTTTCTTTTTTTGTTTCCTGAGACAAATCTCACTCTGTTGCCCAGGCTGGAGTGCAGTGGCATGCAATCATGGCTCACTGCAGCCTTGAACTCCTGGGCTCAAGCGATCCTCCCGCCTCAGCCTCCTGAGTAGCTTGGACTACAGGCATGCACCACCATACCCAGCTAATCTTTTATTTTTTTGTAGAGAAGGTGTCTCACTATGTTGCCCAAGCAGATCTTGAACTCCTGAGCTCAAGCAATCATCCTGCCCTGGCCTCCCAAACTGCTGGGATTACAAGTGTAAGCTGCTGTAAGCTGCTGTGCCCAGCCTATATTTTCAAGTCTCTCTCCTTTTTTTTTTTTTTAAACTGGAAAGGATAGCTGTGATGGAAATGGAAGACTTCCAACAGAATACCTTAGTTAGCATAACTGTGTAGTACAAGATGTAAAAACCTGTTGAAGTGGGTGGCCTTTTGTTATCATTCTGTCTTTCTGCCCACCCTGTGGCACAGTTCTCACCATATTTTCTGTCAACTGCTACCACATGGTCCCCTTCTTTATGTTATAAAGTCTCTTAATTATTAGGTAATTATTCATTGTCCTAGCTCTCCATGCTTACCAAACAATATTAACAAGAGCACGGTATTACAAATGAGTCAATAACAACTTCCCTAACCTTATGGCAGCTGTTTTGGAGGAAAAAGAAAAAAGAAAAAAAAACTGCCTTTTTTTTTCTTAATGCGTTACAATTGGTTGATCAGAACAGTTTTAAAACTATAAAATGTTGGCTGGGCGCGGTGGCTCACACCTGTGATCCCAGCACTTTGGGAAGCCGAGACGGGCGGATCACGAGGTCAGGAGATCGAGACCGTCCTGGCTAACATTGTGGAAGCCCATCTCTACTAAAAATACAAAAAATTGGCCGGGCGTGGTGGCAGTCACCTGTAGTCCCAGCTACTCGGGAGGCTGAGGCAGGAGAATGGCATGAACCCGGGAGGCGGAGCTTGCAGTGAGCCGAGATCGCGCCACTGCACTCCAGCCTGGGCGACAGAGTGAGACTCCGTCTCACAAAAAAAAAAAGCAAACAAAATAACTATAAAATGTTTAATAAACATATTTTAAATTAAAAGGTAAGGTTGTATCTAGTTATTTATACAGCTATTTTTAAAAGTCAGGTTGGCAAAGGTCTCTCTGAGTTTCACAAAATATCCGCGTGAGTGGTGCATAGTTTGTGCTGGCTTATTTCCATTTGTTCGTTGTGTTTATGGTAACCAGTAGCATTTTCTAATTTGGTTAAAATGCTGTCATTAGCTGGTAAATGCAGTCCTGTCACCTCAGAGGAGGACCAAGAAGGAGCTCTTTCTAGAAAGGGAGGGATCGAATTACTCCTCATCCTCATATCTACTTATCTATCTGATTTTAAGACACCACTGAAATTTATACTGCGAGCAATTTAAATGAATGCAGTAATTGATTGCAAAACATGTTTGTAATATCAGTGACTGAAATTAAATAAAAGATAAGTCAGTACTTTTTGGATCAATCCAGTTGATCTAAAAATAAAAAGTAGACATCCACTGAATGGTTGGGTAAATGAACGAATGAATTTTGGCTTATGTCAGTGAATTGGCCTGACTGGGCCTTGATCTACATAGCTTCTCTTGACATTTTGTTGCCCAAATTGAGTTTGAGTGTTTTTAGTAGGCAGGGTAAATTAGCGGTATGGATGGGTATAACATTCTACATTTAGTTTTGCTACTGTATATGAGCTCATGAAATGGACTTCCCTTCCCTAATAATATAGAAAAAAGAAAAACCTAAGGAAATATAGAGAACACATTCAATTTGGGAAATTCCCGTCTGTATCAGTCAAGGATAGGCTAGATCATGTTGATCATGCTGCGTAACAAACCACATCTCAGTGAATTAACCCACAAAGGGGGATTTTCTTGCTCACAATACACAATCTGTGTCAGCAGGAGAGCAGAATTATCTGTCGTCACCAAGAGTCCCCAGGATGATGACGGCTAATCCCATTGTGCCTTCACCATCACTGCCATAGGTGAAAGGAACGTGATAAATTGCACACTGCCTTATTTATTTATTTATTTATTTATTTATTTATTTATTTATTTAGAGACTGTGTCTCGCTCTGTCGCCCAGGCTGGAGCGCAGTGGTGCGATCTCAGCTCACTGCAACCTCCACTTCCCGGGTTCAAGCGATTCTCCTGCCTTAGCCTCCTGAGTAGCTGGGATTACAGGTGCACGCCACCACACCTGGCTAATTTCTGTATTTTTAGTAGAGACGGGGTTTCACCATGTTGGTCAGGCTGGTCTCAAACTCCTGACCTCAGGTGATCCACCCGCCTCGGCCTCCCAAAGTGCTGGGATTACAGGCGTGAGCCACCATGCCCAGCCCATACACTGCCCTTTTAAAGCCTGTGTTCGAAAGTGGCACACATCACTGCCGCTCATATTTTACTGGCCAAAGCAAGTCACGTGGCCATGCCATTTCAGATTGGGAAGTACATTTTTACCATTGCCCAGAGGAGGAGAGAGATATGCAATATTTGAGAATAGCCCTAAAGACTACAATACTATCCCTTAGTCCACCTAAATGATCCTGAGGCTTTGGGGCAATTAAAAAATCCTTACTCTTAAAAAATGTCAGGCAGTAAGTCTTGAAGCCAGCTGCTGGTGCTACACAACATACCCTTGTCTTGTGAGGAATCCCTTTTGAAAAGGTAACTTACCTCGTCACTTCATTATTGCTCATTGCTACAGGTTGAATTGTGTCCCCCCAAAAAGATATGAAATCCTATCAGTACCTCTTTGAAAATAGGGTCTTATTTGAAAATAGGGTCTTTGCAGACCCTCTTGCAGATGGAGTCAAGTTAAGATGAGGCCATGAATGTGGACCCTAATCTGACTGGTAGCCTTATAAAAAAGGGAAAATTTAGGCTCAGAAACAGACATGCACACTGGGAGAATGCCATGGAAAGATGAAGGCAGAGATCAGGTGATGCTTCTACAAGGCAGGGAACTCCAAAGATTGCTAGCAAGCCTCCAGAAAGCAGGGGAGACCATGGAATCTCCCTCAGCCTTCAGAAGGAACCACCCTGCCCATATCTTGATCTTGGACTTCCAGCCTCCAGAACTTTTAAACCATCAATTTCCATTGTTTAAGCTACTCAAGTTTGTGGTACTTTGTTACAGCAGTTTTAGCAAACTAATATGCTAATCAATATATATTTTTATCATCTTCTTTGGACCTAGCAAGGAGAACCACTTGGGAAATTGAAACAAGGACCCTCTCGGGAAAGTTTGGTGAAATCCTGGCCAACATGATGTCTAATGCTGATTGCAGTGAAATTGAGTACTGTTGTTGATTTTTTTTTCCTCAAAGTAGCTTTTGGAAGTGAAGAGTAAAATGTGTTAGTGGGAACTCAGTATTAGCAAGAAGAGAAATAAGGGACTATGCTAGCAAAATGAATAATCTGTCTTTATTATACTGTCACAGGTGGTTATCAAGATACAGTTTTTGTGAGACAAAAAGCTTTGTGGGGCTGGAGTTGCTTTTGATGGTGGTGGCAGAGGGAGAGTTATACGAATAGAAGTAACTTCTGGTAGTGTCTTCGTTGCATGTGGGTACACCCAGTCTTATGGGCAAGCTGATTTTATATAATCTTGTTCTTTTCAGTAAATTTTGTATATCAAATATTTAATCTTACTTCTTTGAAAAACTTTTTAGATAAGTGATGTTTGCAAATTGAAGCATATTGAACCATATATCTGGATATTTTGTTTGATTATAAACCCATTTTTACACCATGGCCATAGAGAATGGTGCCGTGGGCACTATCAGGAGTGATGTCATTAACCCCACAGGGCTATGTGGAAAGCGTGTGGCTGGGACTGCTGTGTGGTTGGGACAAGGCAGTGGTGCACATGGGCCAGCTCCTGTAACTTTCCTGTTTGTGGCTCTCATGGGGCACTCCTGCTCCTGCTCTCCCCGTCCTCATCCATGATACATACTCTCTCTCATCTACGTGCTCATAAATTTCAGCAGCAAGAACTGCATGATTTTTAAAATTCTGAGTAGATGCTTCCAGCAAAGGATTTCCTAACTGATCACTGCCAGAGAAGAAGAGGTGCTAAATAGTTGCCAAGTTACATGCTTTTTTTCCCAAATGAAGTACTTCCCCTGCTACTGCTTGTAAAGCCCTGATTGTGTGTGTGCGCAGAACCCACATCTGGTGCTGGAAGCCTAAGGACTAGTGAGTGGTCATGTGGTTTATGGCCCCTATAAAAGGACCCATTCTAAAAGTCTCCAAGAAGCTAACTCCACAATGAGATGATGTGTGTGTGGGTGTGTGTGTGTGTGTGTTTGAGATAGGGTCTTGCTCTGTCACCCAGGCTGGAGTGCAGTGGTGTGATCTCGGCTCACTGCAACCTCCACCTCCCAGGTTCAAGCAATTTTCCTGCCTTAGCCTCCCCAGTAGCTTGGATTACAGGCATGTGCTACCATACAGAATTCAGATTCCTCTCCTACCCCTAGCCTGATGCCCTTTCATTAGCTATACAAAGGTGGTTGAGTTTCAGGTTAGGCTTATTATCGTTTAAACTATAAACTAAATATTCACCAAAGCTAGCCCAGCCTAAGCCCAGGAATAATCAAGGCAGCTTGAAACCTAAAAGCAAGAGGAGGCTGGGTTAGATCAGCTCACTGTATAATTTTTGCAAAGGCGGTTTTATTGAAACCTGTTCTTTTTTGAAAGCTGGCTCTTTCTAACATTCAAATGCTTTTGATCAACCTATTTTATGGAAGCAGAATATTGAAATTAAAGTAAATATTAGATGAACTTTATAGCCAGTTGTTTTCCTCATTCTTCAACTCTTTACCCTACAAATCTTATTTAAACAACATGTTCAGCAAGCTGTTATCTTGCTTACGCAATGAATAGAACATTATGTTCTAAGGTACAGTTTGCTCACCTATGAAAAGAATTTAACCTCTTTTCTAAGTAGCTATACACAATTGTCATACCTTAAGTTCTTATTTAGATGCATTTCAGAATATTAGAGCATTTTGCAAGTAGATGCACGTTCTTACCCAGTGTCAGTGTTTATAGACAGACACTCACCATGGGTATATTTAAGTCTAGGGTGGTAAAGAATATAAATGTCATTTATTAAAACCTGAACATAGCCAACTATGAATTATTTGTGTTAATGTAAACGTCGAATGAGCACTGCAAACATTTGATGTTTGAATATTTGCCTGTAGAAGTGCAGTACTATGTTCTATAGAATATAAGTAGATGCCACCCCAGTCCTCAAGGTTTCAGTGAGGTCATCATTGTATCAATAAAGGTGCCAATTTAAGATGCTAACTGGACATTGGAAAAAATTTGTTGTCCTATTCTGAAGGATGAGTCTTATATAAAGTGTTTTTAAAATACTTTATTGAAACTGCCATGTTCTTTTCAATTTTGGTAGCTCCCCTGCATTTAATTTAGTCATAAGCGTCTGTATTAATGGGTGTGTTCAATATGAAGGCATCCTGTGAAGACAATAAATTATATTATACTTATCTAGTCTGCACTCTTTATCATGTTGATAAAATGGCCCTTACCAGTAAAAAAACTGTTTCAGAATGTGTAAGAGTAAGTCTGTCTCAGCTGACTGAGGGCTTCATCATGTTCATGATAATCCCAGCAGCTTGAAATGTCAAACTGGTAGCTGATCCATAGCACACAGTAGTGCTAATTGAGATAGGTTGGTGTGGATAATTGAATTTAATTGAATATTAAACACCAGTAAGTGCTATGCTAGATGTTGGGACCACAGTGATGAAGATGACATTATCCTGACCCGGGAGGCGCTCCTTATGTGCATAAACTGCATTTGGAAATTTTCATGATTTGAGAGTCATCTATGGTTGCCAGTAGAGATTTTCCCAGAAGGCCAAGGATATATGGGGACATTTGACTGTTCTTTGACCATAATTATATAACTTTTTATTTGCCCAGAATGAACAACTGCAGGGTAACATTTATACAAAAGGAATTTAGTGTGCTTAGAGTGCTGATAATACTTGAGAAACTAGGAGAGCTGTTTTAAAGCACTTCTTTTTCTTTTTTTTTTTTTTGTTTTTTTCTGGGCTGTTAGAATTTGACATTGTTCAACTTTAACTTTGTCCTCATTGAACTTTATCCTGCTAAGGAGCTAAAAGGTCCATATGATCAAAAAGGCAGCTCTCAACCCAGCACGAAATTCCAGGCTCATTCATTTCTGTTTACCTACTGCCAAATAAGTCAGACAACTGCATACTTGCTTTACAGACGAATAGAGGACAGCATGTTGTTCAATAATTGTAGTTTAAAAAGTATATGTAAGATACATCCACAAGAAGAAAGATAGAGGGAGCATACCGTTTGTCTTCTAGTATAGGCTCCCTGCCCATGGAGATCACAGAGTAGAATTATGATGGGTGCCTTAGAGACCAGCCTCCCTCAGGATCATGAGTTCACCTCGGCACCACAGCTCTGGGCAACGTGGAATTAGACAA